>NC_000004.12:77671381-78921381 GCF_000001405.40 Homo sapiens | reverse complement strand
TATGTTATTTACATTGAAATTATTATAGCTCTGTATTTTATTTACTGAGAGAGATCAAGAAGTTTTCCGTATGTTAATTGTTTAATCTTCTCAGAATTTAACATTTGACCACAAAGAGATTAAATTGTTCTCTTAAGTTGTATATGAACTAAACAACCTTAGTTAATTAATCCATTACTAATTACATCCTGCAGATTATTCCATTAGTTAGAGAGCACAGAATTCAGGTCAGCACTTTTTCTTTGCACACCTGCTTGAAATAAAAAGTGCTTCTAATAGGTTTATATCTAAACCCAGCAGTATATCTCCTTCTCGCGGATTTATACCTAAATCACACCATGATTTTTAACATCTGGTTTCTTTTGCCTCTCTCAATAATTTTTTGTTGTTGTTCATTCCATCAAATGTGAGTTGAGATGTGGGAGGCATAAGGTCAAATTCCTGAAATTAAGTTAGATTTTGAAAACACACTTGGAATAGCATTTCTAAAGTTTACCTGTGTACTTAATAAATAAAACCTTAAAATTAGACCCAAATATGAATTGATCCATTTCTAAAAACGTTTGGAGCTTCCAGTTAGTCTCTAGGCACTCTGAGACTATGAAAATTTTTCTGCTAAGCTATACTTCCAAGAAATATATTTTTCCTTTAATGTCAACATATTGAAATCATTATCATTTTCTTTCTACCTTCTTTCCAGGACAACTAAACTACCTCGGATCAAGCCACCAAATATGGCATATCCTTGCAGTAGTGATGTTATATTGGTGGCATCAGTCAACAGTGTATGTCATGCAGTACAGACATAGCAAGCCTTGTCCTGACTATGTTTCACATTTGTGAATTAGGTATGGCCACCTGGTGAATTCAGTTGTTAAGCAATATATAATGGGGAATTGTATACCCCACTATTTCTAAGATTCCCATTAGTTTTCCCTTTTTCCTTTTTAATATGAGTAATGCTTTATAAAAATGGGAAAAAAAGTATACTTAAGGATCTGTAGTAATAACTGCTTTACAAAATCCTTAAAACTACTAATTTGCTGCTTGTACAGAAAGTGAAAATTAGTTGGCAATCATAAGAAACATCTGAATAACAACGATGAATGGGAAACTAGTGTTGAAATAGGATTCATTTTACTTAGCACCAGCTTAATTTCCTTAGGAAGGGCTCATGTCCATTAGAAAATGGAGTCATCTTATGTGCTTAATTATTTTCAGTTAATTGTCAAGTTTAAGTGCCTAATCAAGGCAAGTGTTGTTTCAGCCTATGCTTAATGCAAGCTAGGATAGTGATTTTAAATAATCACTAAAATCACTAGATTTAAATAATCACTAAAATGATTTGTGAGAAACTGGCACTTCAGATATTATATCCTTTAGCTATAGGTTCTTCTCTCCCTAAGAACATTAGATATTTTAGTTTTCCAGAACAAAAGCTTTAAACTTCTGCAGTAAGTTGAGAGAAGGGTTGAGAAGAGGAAAAGAACTTCTCATTTTCTATCAGATAAGAATCACATTAGAAACTAAGTACAAGATTAGACAACAAATTATGTGGTCAAATAATATAGTCATTAGCCACCTAAACATTTTAATTCCAGATATTATTTAATTCCATATAATAACTGAATTCTTGTGAGTGGATTACAGGTTTTTGATCCCAAAATTCCAGAGCTTTCAACTCTCTGAATTTGTAGTCCTGAATATCCCAGTGGTGGGGGTTCCCAGCATTGTGGGTGCTACTTGCAAGGCCATAGAATCTAGATGGCCCTGTCTTGACCCTGAAATGAACCTTAAGCCTTAGAACAAAGTCATGCAGATGCCCCATTTGATAATAATCTTATTCACCTGTGCTCTGGTCCTCGGTTTCTGCATGTGTTAGCATTGCATTGATAACTCAGAATCTTGATAAACACTTAATATTTGGGCCTGAAGCATTAAACTTTCTTTTTATTGTATATACTTAAAAAATAGAACTCACTGCCCTATCATACATTGTAGCCCTCTTATTCTTTGGTCTTTCATATGCATTAGTTAAATCCCTTAAAGTAGACATTCATAAAAACTTACATTGTTTATTGGAGTATAAAATATTACCCAAGTTTCTTCATGAGTTGACATGAGCTGTTTTAAATACTGGTGTATTTTCAGAACAGTAAAATTACTGAATATCAGAAAAAATGTTAATTGATGATGAAGCTTATTCCCAAAATGCCTTTTGTGCATATGATACTTGGAAAGTCACTAATGTGCCTCAGTTAATACATCAGTAAAATGTTGTGTTTCTTTTCCAGTGTAGTGTTTTTGGAATATAAATTCCCCATGCTAGTATAGTATCTCAGCAAAGAGAATTTCCCCCCAGGAGGCTCAGTAAAGGAATACCGTGTCTTACCCATCGTTATGATGGAAGGCTGCTTTGAAAATGGCTGTTTTACCTTATAAGGTTAAAATTTTGATCCATATGTTAAGTGATAGAAGATTTTGGTGCAACAGTAGTAGGATATATTTCTCCTAGAACATCCCTTATTGGCTTACATGATTTTATTGCCTTTTAATAGATATTTTGTCATTTTGGCCAAACAAAAGACACTGAGTAGTTACACTTAAGTTAAAAATGAGGGGAAAATCATTATTTTAGGTGTGGAGCCATTTTTATTATAAAACTTTCTCAAAATAAAAAAACATTGAATCATTTCAATTTTTGCAGTCCCTGTATTAGTATATGAATACATACTTGCCATTTGAATTAATAACATGAAAAGAGTATACTGTGTTTTTAAATCCGTGTTTCTTTGAATTTAAAGGGTGTACAGGTCTTTCTGTAGGGAAAATTATTCCATGTAAACATTTCAACTCTGTATGAAAATGTTAAATATTGTAAGAAAGTTATCCTCTCATTTTTTCACTGCTATGATATATTTATTATAAAATAGGGAATGAATGAATGAATATGGATTGCTGTTAACTAGAAACACTTCTGTATGTCAGTCAGCATTTAATGACCACCTACTGTGTGCACAGCACTACTGGTAAAATTTTGAAGACATTGTTAACATTAAAAAATATTTTAAAGTTGTCTACAAATCTGAGCCTTGTAATGATGTATATTTAAGTTATTTTTGTTTTTATAGATTAAAGTAAGATTAAAATATACTATCCAGTTTTATTACTAAAAAAGACTGGTTTTAATTTTACCAATGTGTGAACTATAAAAGCTTTTTGCCTACAGATTTTACATTTTAAAATTATCTATGGCTGTTTTAAATTGTCTAGCAATTTATATGGTTGTGGTTAACTCATTTAAGAAACAATTATCTTTCTATATTAAGCCATTTTCAAATAGCAAGACAGTGCTTGTCTTTTTTTGTTATTACACTAACTGCAATTCAGTAAGCTGCATGACAAAATATGTATTATGTAAATAAACTGGGTTTACTAAATATTTTTAACTGCTGCTTGTCATTCTTTGTAATACATAACAGCTTTAAAATCATATTTTAGAATCAGGAACGAAGATTCAGGGAATGTCTGTCACATCTTATGGCATCCCACCTGGACAGAATATCCGATTTGAAGATTGTGATTGACTTCCGTAAAACTGTACAACTCTCCATTTGGCAGGTACCTACTAGATAATACTTTGCCCTGTATTAAATGTCAAGGGGCAAAGCCTATTCCTGTGAATTCCTGCTGGTTGCTTTGCTGCATTAGGTCCCTGTCCACTGTAAATCATCATTCCTGGGAATTCTACTTCTGCCCAAGTGTGTAAAGAATCAGCTCACCTATTAGAGAAGGGGTAGAAATACCTTCTGTGTGCATTATCACAATAACTGTGTTTACACTAAAGAGGTGTAAATACAGTCCTCTGAAATTTTGTACCAGAATTCCCAAGTAGTGTAATGAGATAATGATCCAGAACTGAAACTACCCTTAAGAAAACATTTTTGGAAGGGAGAGGTAAATAGCAGTAGGGGGTTTCTTGTGAAAAATTAACCTCCATCCTTAAGAGGGCTGAAATGAACAGCCACCAAGGTTCTAGTCCTGCTCTATAAAATCTGAGATCAAAATACTACCTAACCTGCACATAATCTCAATTGTGACAACCATCTGAACTATCTCATTTAATATGTAACAACAAATACAAGCTCAAGCTTTCAATATGAGAATATTAACTACATGTTACATATGATGCTTGACCTGGGCTTCCTTAAAAAGGTATTCGTTATCCAAAATAAATAGCTCAAATTGCAGCATATATTCATCTCAAGTAACTATAACTGAATTTGAACAGTAATACACTGCAAACTATTCTTTGTTAATAGAACTTTTCTAATCATTTGTGTTATTTTGCTTTGTACCATTCATTTTCATTAAAAAGATACAAAGCCCCTTTTTTTCACATAACTTTAGATAAATGTTACAACTTCAGAAAAAGTTAATTCATAAAAATAGGATGAACCTTTCCACAGGCTACCAAAGACTCCAGTTTTTGGAATAATACATATTATAACCTTGATGCCAAGCTTAGTCCATCAATCCAATAAATAGGTTTTCTCTTTAATGTGTCATAGCCTCTTTTCTGATATAATTGAGGATTACAATGTTATTTAAGCAAATAACCAGTATTAATTCAGCCAAAGATGTTATCAGTTTTAAAGATTTTTAAAAATTTATAATGTGGAAGCTGTAAAATAAGTTATTCAGAAGGCACTACACAATATTGTTTTTGCCTTACTGTCATCACTCGAGTATCAGTAATTATGACTCACTGAAAAAGTCGTGCTATTAAGTGTTCTTGTGGCAAAAACTCTTAAGTCAAATGGGTTTTCTTACCTAAATTGTAAACTCTGAGCTCCTTAAGAATAGGGATCTAATCTTAGCAACTTTTCTATTCCACTAGCTGCTACATAATAGGTGCTTAATGTTTGTGGTGTGAATGAAATAACTGAATTTGAATAGAAGTTTACATCCAAAAGTCATAATAAGACAAATAATGAAAAACTCCAAAGTCACTGATTATAAAGAATATGCAATCCATTTGGGATTTATTGCATTTAAAGAAAACAGATTAAAACAGGTATGATAAATACAGTAAGAAAATAACTTTAAATTTCAAACAAAACAGTGAATCAGGGACAGAATTCAGTCAAAAAGAATAAGCAGTGTAAAGGCAATAAAGTAATAAAATCAGTTAGTGCTTAATTAGATATGGCAGGGGAAAAGGGGTGGGAGGGGGAGACTGAGTCTATCTCATAATTGTTTCCCAGCTATATTTGAGGACTGAAGTTACTTTAGCAAGTATGTTTTGTAACAAGTAGAAATACAATAAAGATGTAAATTTGCTTTATTTAAAGGTTAAAGTTATTTGCTTAGTGGTACATAAAAGGCTTCAGAAAATTCAAGTTTAACAAAAAATGGAAGTGTAATCAAAGAAAGTGCACTTAAAGCTGTTTGCCAGCAATTAAAAAGTAGCTTCTATACAGCTTCTATTAGATGACTTTTCAATCACAAAAAGAGCATAGTCATAAAAACAATTCTTTCAAAAGTAGCAGTATAAATTTTAAAATAAAACAAAAATAACCCCAAATCATGACCCTTTGCATTATCATCTACCTTATTCTCTTAGTAGCTTTTGTAAACCCTCACTAGGAGTGAATGTTCTCTTAGATATGATTGTGGTTGCAATTCCATTTTTTAAAAATTCACATTAACTCCACAGTAGAGAGATGTGACATGCATGTGTGTACATATTTTTATCTTAATATATAAAACACCACTGAGTATAAAAGTTCTCAAATAAACTATTCATCATTTATGGTATTCTCACAGTAGATATGTCATCTCATTCTCACAGTAGACTGTCAACTCAATAATTGGACCTAAAATAACAAGTTTGCTAAAAAGAAAAAAAAATGAGAAAAAAGTTTACTGCACATTCTAAATATATTAAAAACAAATGTACCCAAGCGCCTCAAAACTAGTGATATTAATACACTTGTACCTTCTAACAGTGCTTACGTGAAGTACCAAAACCTAAAATAAACCAAGCAGAGTAGCTGACTTGTAAGAAAACTGCTCTGCCTGGTGAACTTCAGCATAGAAGAGTGGGCTCCACCTTAGATTTTCCACCAGCAAGAGGACAACAGTCTATCACTCTTAAACAATAAACAGGGTAAGACTGAAAGTTGTGTCTATTTGCAAATCCGGATAATGTCGTAACTATACCCAACACGTACACAGGGATTGGGGTAAGGGAAAATAATTACACTCCTGAATAAATGTTCTAGTCAGTTAAATTTTCATCCGGCCTACAACCTTTCCTCCTCCACCTATTATACTTACCATGCAATTTTTGTGTCTTAGCAGATACATTCTTCAATGCCATAAAAAGCTGATCTTTTTAATACTAACATTTTACTGACGTGATATTAAAATAAGCAAATGGTCCACTTTTTAAAGGATTATTCAAAATCAACAAGCATTATTAAAGCTGTTAAGAAACAACTTTGGCCTCAAGATTTTTGCTAGCTTCATAATAATTTACTTCTCTTAGTGATGTTCAAGTATAACAGGTTTAGTTATAACTACATCCTAAAGAAGCACAGGGGACACCCAAATAATATTAGGGAAAAAAAACCCCAAATATATATATATATATATATTTGCTTAGTGGTACATATATAATAACCTTTCTTCCTTCCTTAAACCAGAATTGAACCATCCCATAATAGAGCCAAACTTTTATTGAGTGCTGTGTGCCAGGTACTGTGTTAAGCACTTTCACATATCTTGGGAGCTTTATTCTCATAATTCTCACAAGGGAATAACCTGAGCATCAGCTGTGTGGAGTGACCTACACCTTGACCATGATTCTGGGGGATGATGAATGAAAATGCAAAGTATAAATCTATACTCCTTAGGAAAATGCCTCTACTACAACACAAAGGAATCTCTCCATTTCTATCCTATTGAACCCCCAATTGAATCCTGTATCTTTTCTCTGAGCTACAATCTTGAAAGAAGAAAGTCACTGTGCTGTGTTATAAGAATGTAAATATTTTATGCTGTCAGTTGTTTCCTCAGAATTTATAAGTCAAAGGGTCTACATCAGTGTCAGAATCATTTAAAATTATTCAGTGTATTGAAAAGCAAGTAAAACTCTAGGTATTTCATGTTTACATCTGAAGGAGACATTAGTTCATCCTCTACCCCTTTTCTAAATGATGAAACTCATGAGGTCTAGCAGAGACCAAGGACTAATACAATCAAGAAGCATATTGTGTACACCTCAACAGATTTTCATTAAAAAAAATTGTTTGATACAAACCTACTGTAGTTCATGAATTTACTATGTGTAATCATCAACTCTTCACTTTTAAAAGAAAGTATCACTTGAATCTATTTTGTAAAGTTTTTAAACATCTACTTGAGCATTTGCATTAGCAGTATTAATCAACCTGAGAATCAGAAAAAAAAAAAAAGGTGCAAACATATTTGCCTTTGGCACGAGGACAAGTAATTGGTGCAGTCCAGCTCTAAATAATAATGTAATGCTTGGTCTGCCTCTGCTACATTGTGATTCACATATTGCTTCCCTATCCACAAATCTATATTTGATTTAGCATATAAAAGAAGGGAAAAAGCAATAAAAAGACAAATATGTGGTTTAGTTACATATACTTTGCTTCTTTCCAAGTTCAGAACTGTGAAAATAGGCAAATAGCTTATCCCATTGGGGCACTATAAGAGATTCCTAATAAAATTACTCGTAAAATATACTTTGAGATCGAAGAGAGTTAATTTAAAATATAAAAATCAAAGAGAGTGCCAGTTGATGAGTTTCTACTCCTTTCTGTAAATAGCATTAACTGTTCTAGAAACTTCCAAATGTTAATCTGATAGCGCAGCACAATTATATCTTAAAATAGTCATAGACACAGGAAGCACAGATACTATATTCACATTAATTCACATATGTAATCTCTATCATTAAATGATTTCTATAAAACCTCAAGTTTCTAATTAGGATTTGTGGTGTAAAAAAAGGCAAATTGGTAGCTGGGTTCTTTTCAGTAAAGACACAATCAACTAGCAGAATTAAGATGCTAGTCCACCTTATATGCATTTTAGGATCTGGTATATTAGTGCAGAGGTACTTGCAGCAGGATGCATGAATCCTGCCTTTATATAAGGCTTTGTGGGTGTCACCATTCTGTGCACTTTATTAAAACTACTCCACCCCCCAAAACCTAATAAAAATAATTGTTGCTTATGACTTGGGGAATATTTGGTGAAGTTGCTAATAAAGTACATTGTTAAATGCAACATGATTTCACATTGTAAATGTCTTGAAAATTCAGTTTCCGCTACATATTTTCTTCATAAAATAAAATTTTTATACAACCCTTGTCCTCCAATTTTTCCAATAATCTGCTTTATTAGGGCCATCACAATAAAAGTTTGGGGCAAGAAGCCATGCATAAAGTGTTTCTAAAGTAGTGAATGTTTTCTGTTCTGTATCTTTTTTTCTTCTTATAATTTCTTTACAAATGTCAGATATTTCTCTTCATATTTTTGTTCTAGGCTTCTGTGCGACGATAGTCCATTTTTTTAATTTGTTTTAACTGACAAAAATTATATATATTTATCATGTATAACATTGTTTTGGAATATGTAAGTTGTGGAATAGTTAAATTGAGCTAATTACACATTATTTCATATGCTTATCATTAGATATTCCATTTTAATGGCACTTGTTTTTAAAAATGAAACAGAGTTTTAGGCACAATAGTCAGTTACTTCTGGCTCTGCTTTGTGGAGAAAGGTGTATGGACTGAAATCTCTGCACTCTCCAGATAATAACTTTCTAATGCTTTAAGATAACTAGATTGTTTTTAACTGTCTGGAAATTAAAAGAGACCTTAAAAAAAATTCACAAGTGTAACTAGTGTATGTAGAAATAACCCTAATTTTAGGGATATGCACATAAAAATGACATTCTGATATCAAAAATAACAGTTTCACTGTCCCTTCTCAGTGGCTACACACCTAGAAAGGTGCCATGTGCTTTCACTGGAAGTACCACACTTGCATTTCTGTGTTGTGATGTCAGTAGCAGAAACCCTTAGTTAGAGCTTGCAATTTAGCTCCCTTTTCTCCTGAAGAGGAATCAAGTTACTACCCTGTAGAGATACTTCATTCTTCTATTTGGTTTATTTAGAAATCACCTATTCTGACTGATCTTTAAGAATGAATGCTATAAAGAGCTACCAAATTTTCTTTCAAATTCATAAAACTGTTCACACTTTTTTGAAACAGGAGTTAATGCCGAGAATCCATCAGAAGTATCTACTGTTTAGAAGGAAATGGAGCAGCACCAAATGGGTCTAATTCGACTGGTTGGGACTGTTGGGACTGATGTGGAGTGATGCTTTGCACCACAAGTTCTGTAAAGGGCACGGCACCAAAATCATCCATTTTCAATACATCTGCACTATGGAATGACCCATGTAGTGAATTTTGTCTTGGCCGCCCTGGCAGGACAGTATTGTGATCAGCACGGATGTCGCTCAGGCCCTGATGTGGAGGGTGCCATGACAGGTCTGGAGAATGGAAGGGCTTGGCACCGAAGGGGTCCAACAGGCTCTCCTCAGGTTGTAAGACATTCCCCCTATCTTTCCCATCAGTCAGTGCAACACTAATGTTCTCCTTGGAGTCTGAGATGGTTAAAAATTCATTGCTACTTTGAGAGTCTCGGCGGCCCACTTTTTTGTGCCTGCGAGCCCTCTCTGGAGTGCGATAGGTAGGCTTCAAAGTCTTCTTTGTGCTAGTTGGCGTGCCATGATGCCGCTTCCCATTACTTTTGGACATATCCTGCTTTGTGCGCCTTTGGCGAGAGGACAGTTTCTGTAAGCTGCGCTGTTTGACTTTTTGCTGCTGGCTCCCCGTTATTTCATCAAAGGGCACAAGCCCAAAAAGGTCCTCATTGCTTTCACTTTTACTTGTTGATGTGAGGAAGGGCTGAAATGGAGTGGAGCCAAATACATCTACACTTTTGGGATAACCAGGGATAGTATGTGCCTCAGGCCCCACTGCATGGCATTCTTGTACATTCACCTTCTTGCTAAAAGGCGCCTTTGTGAATACATCAAATTCCTCCTGCTCCAGTCCTGCAGCAGGAAACCTGTGTTGAGGGAGGTTCTTTTCATTCTTTTCTTGCTGGGGCTGTTGAGCACGCACTGCAAAGAAGGGGACAGCGCCAAATACATCAAACTCCTGTTTGGGAGTCTCCACTGCAACATCAGAGGATAATTGGGCTGAGGTGAGGAGTATTGTATTAAGATCTTGGGTTGGTCCACTGCCAGATCTGTCTCTGTAGACAGAGCTCATGTCACTGTACTTTGCTTTAGCCTGCTCATAATCAGAATCAGAGCTATGTTTCTCCTCTTCTTCCTCATCTTCAGAATCCATGAGGAGAGGCCTATGACCCAGATTTTCTGGTTCAGTATCATCATCATTAAAATCTCCTTGTTCCCCCTGAAGAACTTCTTCATCATCTTGCTCTTCCTCTTCACTGCTCTTAGGAGAAGGGGGATCTGATTCAAAATCACTTTCAGATTCATCATTCCCCTTTTGCACTTGACCCTGTACTGAGGTTTTCTTTCCAGTCCGCTGATCTTTAGATGCTGGACTTGTTTTACCGTTCTTGATAGGGTTTGCAGTGCCATTTTCTTGATTTATAGATGAATGTTCAGCTTTCTTTTCAGGAGAACCTGCAAGTTCAAATAAATATTATTACAGCATTCCAATGCATTTCAGAATCCTCTTGCACTAAATGTTAATATGTATTACACATGGCATTACAAATCCCTCATACGAGTTCCCTTAGAGGAAAAAATAATGTTGTCAATTCTTCGTCATTAGACTTAGAGAATGCATTTGACCTCAGGTAGATAGTTAAGTCTTAATGTAGACAGACTTATTCATATCTGGACCCTACACCCTGCCTCATCGTACTCTCACTGACAGCCAAATTTTATTTATAGCACACAGAATGTAGTAGACTAGCAAATTTTCTTCACCCCACCACCAAAATAACATTATTCTGCTAATTCTGAAAGCTCAGATTTCACATTCACCAAATACCTCCTGCTTATATTTCAACTCTTGTAAAGTTTTCCCATAGAGATCAACAAGCATGAACAGCCTGCCTGCTCAGTTACGTATTTGTTTCACTATTTTTTTAAATCAGCATTGTATTTTTTATAAACCACTATCTTTTGAATTGACTTAGCATGAATGGCCTCACCAAAGCTAAGGACCAGATACTAAATGGAGACTGTACCAAAAACATCTGCCTTCTCTAGATGATATGACTTCCTTTAATTATAATATCTATACATTACATTAAAAAAGCGAGATTCCTTTAAAAACAAATCTAAACCATCTGGAGATGTTTTTAGCTCAGAATCCATTCAGTCACTTCATTTTCTGAGTTCATTCAACGAAAGAAATATAGGGCACTTTGCTATACACTGATTATACATTGGTGAGTAAAAGAAACATGGTTTCTGCTTTCAGGGGTTTACAGTCAGAGGTTGTAAGTAAACATAAATTGTGACTAGTGCTCTGAAATAAAGGACAGCAGGGAAATGGGCGCATAAACCTACTTTGGACAGTGGTGAAGACCTCCCTAAGGAGACGACAGTTAGGATTGAACAATGAGAAGGAGCCCAGCCATGCAAAGGATAAGCTGGAAGCAGCTTCCAATAAAAGCAATGGCATATATAAAGACATATTTAAGGGGCTGAAAATAGGCTATTGTGGCTGGAATATAGTGAGCAAGGGAGGATCAGGTACAACATGAGGTAAGGAAGACTGGAAAAGGCCAGACTGTGAAGGTCCTCTAAGGCCATGATAAGCAGCGTATATTTCATTATACATCTAATTCAAAATTCCATGTATAATGGAAAGCTATTATTAAAATAGGTGTCATGATTAGGTTTACATAAAAAAAAATGACTGCTCTATAGAAAAACACTAAGGGGGCTGGGTGCGGTGGCTCACCCCTGTAATCCCAGCACTTTGGGAGGCCAAGGCGGGTGGATCACGAGGTCAGGAGTTTGAGACCAGCCTGGCCAACATGGTGAAACCCCATCTCTACTAAAAATAGAAAAATTAGCCAGGCATGTTGGCAGGTGCCAGCTGAGCCAGGAGAATCGCTTGAAACTGGAAGACAGAGGTTGCAGTGAGCCAAGATCGCACCACTGCACTCCAGTCTGGGCCAAAGAGCGAACTGTCTCAAAAAAAAAAAAAAAAAAAAAAAAGACTAAGGGAAGGTAAGAAGGGGAGTTCAGGCAAAAGGAAATTATAGTAATGCAAGTTAGAGATTTTGGTGGCCTAGATGACATGACAGTGGTGGCAGGGTGGGTCAAAGTAGAAAAAATAGAGATTGAAAACTCTTGGTGGATGGCAGCACCATTAACAGAAAGAAAAGAATGAGTGGCGTGATAGAAACCCATTTACCCTGATGTGATTATTATGCACTGTATACCTGTATCAACATATCTCATGTACCCCATAAATGTATATACCTACTATGTACCCACACACAAATTTTAATGAGCATAATTTTTTAAAAAATGAGTAAGTTGGAAAGTGAAGAGGAGTACTAAAAATTTTGTTTGGAGACATTAAGCTTGACATATGTGTGAGACAACATTTAAGTGTACAGCAGTTAGGTATCTGTGATTTGAAACCAATGGTTAGTTTTTGGCTGAAGAAAATAGATTTGGGAGTTATCACCATGCAGTTGGTATGCAGAGAGAGCCACAAGACTAAAGGGCATACCTCGGAAGAAAACATAGAAGAAAAGAAGATCCAAAACTGAGCCCTCAGTATAAAACATTCAGAAGTCAGCAGAGGAAGATGAACATACAAAACAAACTACAAAGTAACAGCCAGAGAGGAGGAAGAAAACAGCTGAGTGCAATGTCACAGAAATGGAGAGAGAAGAATGTTTGAGGGAGGTAACAGACAACTGAGCTGGATGGTGCAAAGAGGTCCAGTAAACTAAGGACATAAAATGGCCACTGGATCTGGTCATCTTGTATAGTTTGTTGGCAATGTTGACATGAGTAGTGGTGCTAAAGAATGTGTGGGAGACAAGTATGTGAAGAATACCACCAGGTTATACTTAATTGCAAATATAATCTTCTGTCAGTTCCTTAAAACCAGCCAAGAGCTACATGCTGTATTTGTTATCCTTCCAGATTAAAAGCAAATCAAATGCAGATTCTCAAGTTTGACTTCTTCCCTACACAGCGTATTTATGATATTAAAAACAAAGTTAATTTTAGTGAATTTATTTTTATGAATTTTTATTCAAAAGCAAAATATGGGAAGAAGGGAAAAATGAAAATAAAATATGTACGGTTCCAGAAGATTTCCCATCATCCCTGACTGTGAAACGTTTAACGTATTACTCCTCGAGCTGCATACCCACCCACAGCCACAACATTCACACCTCACGCCTGCTCACGGACACCTCCAAGTAACATTCCAATGTTGCCCAAAGTGTATTCTGCAGAGGCTATTTCCCTAACAAGAACCAAGACAAACAGTTCTGTGGTCTCAAGCAAACAAGTCTATGAAATGGTGCACTCTGCATTCTGCCTCCACTCCTACTCACCTGGAGTATGCTCATTAAAGGTGCTAATGAGTCCTACACAAAAGAATCTAATTTTATGAACCCTAGGATTTCCCAAATTGTCTTCACTACCCTTTTATTTACATGTAATGCCTGTTAACCTTTAAAACCAACTATGCAAAAGTACTTTGGGGAAATGCTGCTATACAACTTATCTTGAAATTTTCCATTTCTAGTTGTGTTCCTGAAGGTCTTCTGGAACATTTAACGTAGGACAGATAATTCATCTTGGAGAGTGTCACTTGGAAGTGAATTTAAATTCGCCTTCTTTTTAAAATTATTACATTGTACTCCCTAGTCTTCTTAAAATTTACTGTTTTCATTATTCAACTGGCTACCATTACTTTTCAGAAGACATCTGTCACTTTATACTTCTCATTCTGTTGGCCCTTTGTCCATTTATCAAAGTTGTATTAATAGAAATACACATTTATAATTGTCAGTGTGGGTATAAATCTGTGGGTTTTTAACTTACTATTTTTAATGCATCTTTTCAGGTATCAACAGTCTATTATTTATTCTGATAGAAATATGATAAAATATTCCATATATAACTGTTCACTATTTAGCAATAGAATATTTAGGTTGTTTCTAGTTTTTCGGCATTTTAGATACAACCATGATTCATGCACTTTTTCCTTCAAGGAGTAAAAAGGAAACCCTCCTTTTTTAGTATCAATTTCACTTTATTTATATACTATGATTCCCTCCTCATGGGTAATTAACACAGCTACTAAAGCTAACCCAATAATAATCCTGACAAGGTCACCACTATTCCACTTTCTTTATACACAAAATGGGATAACACATTTTATATCATAGAGCTATTGTGAAGAAAGGACTTAGAACGGTGCCTGAACACATAATAAGCACTCTACCATCATCATGTCCTGGGAATGGCCAAATTCAATTATTTTATCCATCATACCCAATAAGCTTCTAGTAACTTTTCTGGGCCCAGTGGTTGCAGGTGAATATAAATGAGGGAGAAGTGTAGGGAGAAGCAAGTCTATGGCTAATTCAAGAGGAGCTGAGATCCACTTCAGAACTGACCAGAAGTAAGTAGACCAACAAATGTATATCCACACAGCATAAGGGTACATTTTAGATCCTGGAAATTCTATTTTTGATTTTTAGACAGCTATATTTGAGAACACAGTATAAGAAATGGAAACACACTTTCAAAAAGAGCAAGAAAAGACACAATCATCTATACCACCTTTGTGCTTTCAGGTTACATCTGCAAATAGTACGGGCAACTGGGGAAATTTTCTGTTGGTGTAGATAGACTGGTTTTACTTATTTTGCCCCCCTACATAAAACTAAAATAACAATCAAAAATATTTATCCAAATTCCTGTTTTCTCCCATATTCTTGCAACCCACACTGACATTGTTTAAATATTTCACTCTACACTTTTACTGCTGTTATAAACTTATAAAAAGTAAAGAGCAGTAATGAGGCTCTCTGAAAGCATACTAAGACAAACTATTAATCCTTTTATCTCTCCAGTACCTCCTGCTGAGGAAAAGTTAGGTTCCAGGCTGCAAGTTACCACAATCCAAGGTAAGTTTCTGCAGTAGCAGTGATCTACTTAATCATCTATTCATCATGAAACTACAGAAGAGCTGGGAAAGAAAGGTGAATTACACAAAAATAAAAAGTATTTCAGTATATTCTAAGGCTTTCAGTCCTATTCCATAGACATAAAAGACTGTCAGAATAAGTATTTTAAGTTATAAAGTTGGTTATAACTATACAATGCACAGCACTTTAGAATGTGACCTCTAGCTAAGAATGCCATAAACCTTCATACTCCATTTCTTTGCCTAAACATATTCCTATAATTTAAAAAAAAAAATTTCAGATCTTCCCACTATTTGTGTCTGGGGCCAGATTCCCACTAGTTGTTAGATTAAATAATACACATTTGATTTACTATGAAATTTAATCAGGATTATTTCACTGCTAAAGTTAATTTCCCAAAAGTATAAGCCTAAATATGTTGCTTTATAATTCAATATACCCTAAATCCTAATAATCCCCATATTTACTGAGATCTGTATTATTAACATAAAAATAGCTGTTCTTCAAGTAGGTGGGAGATGGGGGTATAATATTTAGAATAAGCACTAACAACATGTATTTACAGCATTAAAAACTGTGTAGATGGTGCACAGAATCATAACTCATTTACATTATTTTAGTATACTGTGAAATTTCATATATTCACCCACTGTTTTTATTTTTGGCTCTAAGTAATGTATTTCTTCTTTTTCTTTAACTAAATATGGTAGAATGATATTTTGATGGTTTCTAGTCAAGATATTCTTTATTTCTGTTTTTGTGCTTTGGAACTACGAACTAAAAATTTTAGCTTTTTTATTATCTTAGGAAGTTGCATGTTAATTACTGACACTAAGCAAGTTTACTAATTATGCAGTGATTTAGTAAATAAATGCCGTGCAAAAATCTATATGATCAACCAATATCTGTAAACAAAACTTAACGAAAGGGTTAATCAATTAATTGAGAGCTATTATTTCAAATGCTGTTCCCCAACTAAGAATGAACCAATAGATTAGTCAAAACATAATACTAAGTAGATTTTTAGTGAAAAAAAATCAAAATAGGAATACATTCATATATTCCACATATTTATACAAAAATATAGAGTTAAATTTTCTTTAGGTAGCTTTGGTACAGAGTTACTAAGAATGTTTTTTCCTACTTTCAAACCAAGAACCAAATTTTCAAAGATTCATTATTGTAGATGGAATTATAACTATCTTATTTTCAGAACCTAGTTAAAATAATAAAATCATAGACTTTCACAATATATAATAATTATGCTCTTATTGAGCCATAATTAATAATTAAGCCATTTCAAGTAGAACTTAAATGAAGGTATACGTCTACTTAACAAAAGAACTTGGAACAGAATACAAGTCTCAACATCAAATGCAGTGCTCTTTCAATTCTTTACTTCTGCTGAATTCTACTATCTGAAAATGAGAGCAAATCCCCATCTTTTGAGGTTGAGTCTGATTGCTGGAAACTGCCAAAATTCATTCAGAGCTAAATTCTGAGAATAAGGTGAGTGACTAAGACAATGCAGATCTGGGTAATTTATTAAGAACAGCAATGATAGGTTATAAAGTTTTAAATTATCTTGTGTGGCTTGTAAACAGTCTCTCAGGAAAATTACAAGTATTGCAAAAAATGTCTGAGCAATGAAGTACCACTGAAATAAGTGTCAAGAGGACACAAATGGTACTTGAATCAGAAATGAATCAGAGGGAATAGGAACTAATATCCTGAAGCACAGTGCCAAGGGTTTTTCATATATTACCTCTTATCTCCCTATATTAGGCCCCCACAACATTTTAGGGCAAAAAATGCTCTGTAAGGTTTACTATGATCTTTCTTAGAACTTTTTTCTCTTCAATCTTATTAACCACATTTTCAGAAACTTTGTTTTCCATGTTAGTTCACTGTCATGACTTCCTATCGTTTCAAAGACATGCATTGTTAACACTCAAAACTCAGTCCTTGGCTTTCTCTTATCTCTTTGCACTTTTTCCTTTTGATGGCTTTAATACTCTTTCATAATTCCAATTATATCTTGAAAGCATAAGAAAGGATTCTGAGAGATTTAGTCCAACATCTTTTTATACGTAAGAAATCTGAGACCTGCCTAAATTTAAGACTATATATCAAAGCCATAATAACTTCTCTGCTGACACTGGCTTAAAACTCTCATCTGTAAATTCTACAATTAAACTACCAGTAGAATATTATCACCAGCAAAAATTCAACAGTTTATCACCAACACACTACAAAATACAAACATGGGCCTGTCTTGCATTTATTTTGTATCATCACTAAAAAACCATGCCCAAAAAATAAAAGCCACGAACAGGATGAAGACTCTTTTGTTGAACCTGTATGATGAGTACCCTGTATTAAAAATTTTTTTTAATATTCTGTAGGGTTAAGTTCTAGAAACACTATAAGGCTTTATCAACAAACAAAAGAATACTCAACTTTACAAAATCCATGAGAGATAAACATCCAAATAAGCCTGAGTTTTCTCATCTAGAAAATAGAGACAATAATAGAACTTACCTGATAGGGATGATGTTAACATAATTCATTTTATTTAGTGAATGTTCACTAAATATTGGGTGGGGGTGTGTGTTAGATTACTAATGTGTATTTTGATAATGAATTCATTCAGCAAGGTATTGTATGGGATACAAAGAAGAATAAGACAATACCAGACTTCAAGAAGCTTACTTACTTAAAAAGTTGTGAAATAATTATGTACATTTATGCATTCAGAAACATGCTAATCTGACTCTAGTGATCTGGAAAATGAGTGACCAAGGTAATAACAATAGGATAATTTTGAAAAACAAGCTTATATTCACCAAATAAATACAAGAACATGAATTTGCCCATTCTGTGCTTATGAGTCTTCATAAAAGGCTATGTTTAGGCCTTTTATGAAGGTGTTAAAATTTGATAATGAATTCATTCAGCAAGGTATTGTATGGCATACAATACAATACAATACCTTGGTGGGAAAATTTCAGACATCATAGCCTTGCACAGTCCAAACAAGGATTCTAAACTCAAAAGTTAAAAATTTGTAGTCAATGCCTAAAACAACATTTCTTAGGCTACATTTTCATATATTTGTTATAGCATTTTTTAAACAAATACTTCATAAAAAGAATGAGATCCTAGTTAATGCCACACTATTTTAAACAAATATTGCAATATATTATTAAATAAACCTTTATAAACTATACCAAAAAATTCAAAATATTTAGAAAATATCCAATATGAAGAGAGAAGCATGTTTGCATCATACTATGCATATTACCGCTCTTCTAGAATCAGGTTTCCCTCTTTTCCTTTTAGAGGGCAGTTGTTCTTTTAGTTATAAAACAGGTGGTACATTTTTAATCATATAAGAAGCTTCCAGTGTCAGGGAAATTTTGTTTTGATGTTCTTTTCTTACCTATCAGATTATAGAAGATAAATGGCTTGAAACTTCTATTGTAATTACATGCCTTCTGTTGTCTCATCATTGAGGGTGTACGGGAGGGGCTATAAGACTTCAAAGTTCACTTTGAATTGGCAGCATACTGCCTGCCATCATCTCCCAGCAATTTACCATGTTAGTCACAAGGATTAGTGGATTAGGAGAAGGTTTTATCAAATCTGTACTGCTTCTCAGAAGGCAGGCCAAGTGACAGGGTTTGAGTATAAGAAGAGAATCCTAATAGTTGTGAACAGTATTTCCCAGCCAGATGAAAAATGCCATAAAACTGACATTTCCATTATGTTCTCATATTAATATAAATTTTTCTTTAAAATAGGTTAATGCTTTGTTTTGCTATTTACAGAATAGGGTTTAGAATGAGACAAAGCCAGATTCCTACTTATAAACTATGTAAGCTTAAGCAAGTCAGTGAACCTTTCTGAGCCTCATTTTCTACTCTATGTATACAGTGGAATTCAGTATATCGTAACTATTATTGCTAACATCCTGAAGTTCTTCAAGAATCATACACTAGAATCTAAAATAAACAATACACCTCATTGTAGCTTATAAAATGGCCCAGCATTTGGACTGACAATCTGTAAATGTTATGTTCCAACAAATATTTGCTCTATGTAAGGTAATGTTTCCCAATCCTAAACTCAATTTAACTTCCTATTAGATAATAAAGCCCACGAGGTGGGTCTAGGGTCTTTGGGAGCATTGAGGAAGTTCACCAAGCCTAATTAAAAATTAAATGCAATATAAGAAATCTAAAACTTCAGTGACCTAATTAATATGGCCTACATGTCACTAAAACTCTTCAAATACAATTTTAGAATTTCATGAAAACTACGTTTTAGAAGTTGTAGGTGTTTATTAAAATGGGGTGGTCCACACTACATTATATAATTCACAGAGCCACCTATCCTATGTTGGTATGCAAACTAACTGTAAAACAGTGCCCTGGGGAGAAGAAAGGGAATGTGGGTTTCAGGAAAGGGAATGAATACCATGCTTTAAATATGATTTTTATGAGTATACTGTAGTCAACACTGGTAGTTAATCCTTTAGTGAAAATAGGAATGGCACCATCTTAAACAGATACTGGTAGTGGAAATCCTCACAAACAGGTTCTACATTTTAAAGGTTTCATTCAGCAGTTAAGAGAAAACTAGCATAACTCATTTAATCCTTTCAATTTTCTTATCAAGTAGCCAGTATTATCTCCAATTTAAGATAAATTTTACAAGAAGTTTGGGCTGGGCACAATGGCTCTTGCCTGTAATCCCAGCACTTTGGGAGGCTGAGGTAAAAGGCTTTCTTGAGACCAGGAATTAGAGACAAGCCTAGGCAACATAGTAAGACCTAGTCTCTACAAAAAAAAAAATAATAAAATAAAATAAAAAAGTAGCTGAGAATGGTGGTGCACACCTATAGTCCCAGCTACTTGGGAGGCTGAGAGAGTAGGATTGCTTGAGCCCAAGAGGTCCGGGCTGTAGTAAGCCTATGATCACGCCACTGCACTCCAGCCTGGGCAACAGAGCAAGACTCTTATCTCAAAAAAGGAAAACAAGTTTGCCAATACTCAATATCAAATGGTTAATCTGTGATAGAACTAAGATTTTTAACTCAGGGTTTTATAATTCCAAAGTCAATGGTCTTTTGATAAACCACACTACTAACATCAGTTTTATAACCTGCCATAAAAGGCAAATATAATTCATGATAATTAAAATATCAACTTGTGGAATAAAACATAACATTTGCATATAGCAAACAGATTATTGATACAATTATTTGATTTTTGCGTAAATGGATCATTATAAATTTAACTTTCCCAGAAATCAATGTTTAAAATTAAGAAGAGAAAAAACTAGACTTGATTCATTTTAAGACATAGTCTATCTAAATGTTATATTCAGCTAATCTTTCTAAAAGTCTGGAAATGATATCATAAACTAAGGCAACAAATAAATCAGAAAGATCATTCTTTGTGGCCAAAGTAAGGTAGGCCAGCTGACTGAACCAGACTGTGAATACATGAATTATCCTTAATTCCCTATCACAAACCTATTTACAGCTATTCCCAGTCTCAAGGAGAAAAATTTTTATGTCTTGTTAGACTCTCATTTTTCCATCTGTGCTACTGACTTTATCTCTCCAGAATACTGTTTATTCCTTCTCCTTCCTTCACTTTCAGTCTTTCTATATACAGTTGAGCCTTGAACAATGAGGGGATTAGAGGTATCAACCTCCGACACAGTCAAAAATCCATGTGTAACTTTTAACTCCTCAAAAACTTAACTGCTAATAGCCTACTGTTAACCAGAAGCCTTGCTGATAACATAATCAACTAATAACATATTTTGAATGTTATATTATACACTGTATTCTTAAAGAGAAAACAAAATGTCAATAAGATATTTACTACTAATTAAGTGAAAGTAGATCATCATAAAGGTCCTCATCCTCATCGTCTTCACATTGAGTAGGCTGAGGAGCAAAGAAGAGGGGTTGTTCTTGCTGTAGGCATTTAGACACAAAAGAAGATAGGGATAGCAGAGGCGAAAGAAAATTAGTGTATAAAGGAATCCACACAGTTCAAACCCGTGTTGTTCAAGGATCGACTGTATATATCAACACTCACTCTCACATCATATAATTTTCTTGTCTTGCCCATATAAAATCTAAATTCTTCCCTTAATCCTTACCTACCTACCTTTCTCTGTTCTCAGCACAGCTGGACTCTTGGAAAGAATAATCTGTTGCTAATATCTCAACTTCTTCAACTCTCATTCACTTCTCAAATCCACTGCAATCAGGATTCCAACCGCATTATTTTTGCCAAGATAAAATAATTACTAAATGCTAAATCTAATGGACTATTTCCAGTCACCCTAACCCTGTAACCCTGTGGACATTTCAAAAGATATGCTCAATCCTTTGGGAAAAAAAAAAAAAATTCTTTCTTCAGCCCTCCTGTACTTCTCCTGTTTCTATGGTCCTTCTTTCTCTATCCCTTTTCTTATCTCCTTTGTCTTGCCTCTTCACTGTTAGAATTAACCTGAATTTTCTTCTTCTCATCCCTCTTCTAGTCTCTTCTAACTGGCATGAACTACCACTTTCTTGATGGTAAACCCAATGGCCAAGATTTCTGTCTTGGATGTCTTCTTTTGTGTCTAAATGCCTACTAAAAAGATTCCAGTGCCCCTACAGACAACTCAAACTCAACCTATGTGAATGTGAACTCTTTTCTTGACCTACCCTATATTCTCCCTTTCCAGAAAAGAACTTCACCAATTTTGCTGAAACAAAAATCTGCTAATCATTTTAGATTCCTCTCTTTCCTTCAAGGTCCCCTGTTCCCTCCCATATGGTTACTAAATCCTATATATTCTGCCCCTCTAAATCTCTCTCAGGCTGTTATTTCAAGCATGGAGTCTTTTGCAATAGACTTACTTTAAGAGAAGGGGTCTCACTATGTTGCCCAGGCTGGAGTGCAGTGGCTATTCATAGGCATGATCCCACTACTGATCAGCACCGGAGTTTTGACCTGCTCTACTTCCAACCTGAGCCAGTTCACCCTTCCTTAGGCAACCTGGTGGTCCCCCTCGCTTCCTGGAGGTCACCATATTGAGGTCCAACTTAGTGCAGACACAGGATCAGCATAGTGCATTGCAGTCCAGAACTACTGGGCTCAAGCAGTCCTCTCGCCTAAGCCTCCCGAGCAGCTGGGACTACAAGCACATGCCACTGCACCAGCTGCAATAATCTTTTAATCACTACTTCTCAGACTTGAAGTAGTGAAGCAATAGGTTTATTTCTTATTTTTGTTAATATCCCAATTCACATTGTCCAAGTGATTCAATACATATAAAGTTATTTCTCACTTGCTTTCAATTTCTGTAGTCATTTTGTTGCAGACCACACTTTGAGGAGCAATGGTCTTTTTTTTTTTTTGAGATGGAGTCTCGCTCTGTCGCCCAATGGAAGGACTTTAAACAGGAAAGGAATATGATTAGATATACAGTCTAGAAAGATTACAGTCTTTCCAGTGTAATCTTTCTAGACTGTATTAATCATATTCCTTTCCTGTTTTAAAGTCCTTCCATTTCTACCTATTACCTCCACTGTCTCCATATCATGATAGCCCCTGCCAACCTCTCCAGTTTAATTCAATATATAACTATTATTGCTAACATCCTGAAGTTCTTCAAGAATCATACACTAGAATCTAAAATAAACAATACACCTTATTGTAGCTTATAAAATGGCCCAGCAGTGGACTGACAATCTGTAAATGTTATGTTCCAACAAATATTTGCTCTATGTAATGTAATGTTTCCCAATCCTAAACTCAATTTAACTTCCTATTAGATAATAAAGCCCACAGGGTGGGTCTAGGGTCTTTGGGAGCGTTGAGGAAGTTTACCAAACCTAATACTGCCATCCTCAAATACCTGCAATTCTCTGAACATACTGAATTGTCTTAGAACTTTGCTCACAACTGTTCTCTCTGCTCTGAATGCCCTCTTCATTCCTGTAAGTTCACATGCATTCATTTCTCAGGGCTTAACCATAAGTAACATCTTTCTCATGAAGCTTTCCTCATTTCCCAATCCCAACTCAACCAGAATAAAGCAACTCTCTCCTTTGTGCACCAACAGAATAATTTATCTATTGTAGCATTTGCATCTTAATTGCATGTAGTTTTCATGACTCTCTCAACCTAACCAATCTCGAAGTCCTTGAGAGGCAAGGGCTGTAATCTTTATAATAATCCTTTTAGATTTTCAGATAAAACTCTATCCAGTAATAGAAATAGCTCCTGAATTAACTTCTGAGACTATGCCCA
The DNA here is from genome assembly GCF_000001405.40 of Homo sapiens. Lineage (NCBI taxonomy): Eukaryota > Metazoa > Chordata > Mammalia > Primates > Hominidae > Homo > Homo sapiens. The sequence continues at coordinate 78,897,762 of NC_000004.12, read as the reverse complement.
TATTAATCACGGCTGGGAAATTAGAAGGTAGAAGAAATAAGAGGCACCAATGCAAATATAAATTAAAACAAATTATCTGTACATGGTAGGATACTTAGCGCTATAAAAAATGCTATGAAAACACAGAAGTAGCAAGAAAAAGGATCAAAAAGTTTTACATACACTATGCTTAACAGGTATAAATATTAGATCTACAAGGAAAATGAAGTAAATGGTTCAAAATTCAAATAGCTGTGCTAATATAATGATGAGATTGTGTTTTTCCTATATTATTCAAAGTTTTATGATATAGTTAATTTTTCATTATAAATTTTTAATTCAATTATAGCAGAGACACATTTGTACATTGCTACATAATCTTCACTTCCATCATTTTAAAAACAGCACTAAATTTTAATTACTAAATAAGCCATAATTTAATATTTCACCTAATATTGGATATTTAGGGCACTTTAAATTTTGTTTCTACAACTAATGTTGTACTGAACATTTTTATAGCTGCACTTTTCCCCAAGATGTTATGTTATTTTCTTAAGGTAAGTTCCCAGAAATAAGGCTTAAAAAAATCAAAAAAACATTTTCTTAAGCTGCTCTCAAAAAAAAGTTTTACCAATTTATGCCATCAGCAATATCTTATGCTAATTTTACTCCATATTTTAAGCATTATATATATATATAAAATCATACTAAATTGTATTTACTTACCAGCTCCATTGTACATTTCCCCCCAAGCAATATATTTCAAGAGAGGAAACTATCAAAACTCTAAGATTAAGCTTCCCAAGTAAATGAGCATTTTTTGAAAACTTCCAGTGGGAGCATAAATCAGTGTATTCATTCTGTAGGCCCATCTAGCAATAAATCCATTCTGTAAATGTACATGCTCTTGGCCATTAGTCCTCCTCTAGGAATAATGTCATGTGCCAAATGTTCATGTGTAAGGATATTCAATAAAGAATTATTTAAAATATTGCAAACTCTTCTTGATGGATTTGCAAAAGCAGCAGCAAAGAAATATTGTGATAAAAAACAGTTTAAATATTAGAAATTTAACAACTTCTAGAAATTCCCATAAAATTAAAAAGATAATTCATTTGTAAAAATCAAGTAGACATATTAGTCTCATAGTTGAGATCTCACTGCACTGCATTCACCATGTATAATAATCATGACAAAATCTAATGTTTCCTGAAAAACTATGTGCCAGTCACTTTTTGTGCTTCACATATATTTTTCTTATTAATCACTAAAAACCCTGAGTCACATGTTATGGACTATTACCCCCATTTTATAGATGAGGAAACTGATACACACAGCAAGTAGGTGATTTGCCTGGGTCAAATGCTATCAATAGACTTTAAACTGAACCCAGATAATTTTAACTTCAAGAATTTACTCATATAATTTTTAAATATAAGTACAATTAAATGTTATTTCTGATCCCTACTTTTTCAATACACATGCTTTGAGTATTTTATCATAGTATAGGCATTTGTATAAAAAACTGCCAAAATTTGATAGTTTGATCACTGGCTCACCAAGCCCAATATTCCATCTCTGGCAGTGACAGTAGGATTATTAGTTGTGAGAAAAATGAATGTCATTTATAATCTTGGCTGCAAAAAAGTTAGGTTATAGATTCATAAAGGTAAGGAAAGAAAATTAAAAGCACCCTATGTTTCAATTAATTAAACACTGTATTTGGACTTGGCAGGATGGCTCACGCCTGTAATCCCAGCATTGTGGGAGGCCAAGGCAGGATTGCTTGAACCCAGAAATTCAAGATCAGCCTATTCAACACAGCGAGACCTTGTCTCTACTAAAAATTAAAAAATTAGCTGGGCGAGGTAGCTTCTGCTTGTAGTCCAGGCTTCTTAGGAGGCTAAGGTGGGAGGACTGCTTGAGCTCAGGAGTTCAAGGTTGCAGTGAACCGTGATCATGCCACTGCACTCCAGCCTGGGCAAAAAAGCAAAATGCTGTTTCAAAAACAACAACAACAAAAGCTGTGTTCATATAAAAATTAGAGTACAATTGGCAATGATATTATAGTCCTTTTGCTCCATAAAATTTTGATGATTTTTCTTTAACAATAGATATGAGCTAAATTCCCATCTACATCCCAACTTCCATTAATAAATCTATAGATCCATCTTCTTATTTTTTCCCAAGTCTCACTTTCAACTTTTATTTCATTACCTCTTTTTTTTTTAGGTGTCAGTTCTTTTATTTCTTCTAGTATCATTTACTTCAAGGGAATCCTCAATGTCAAGTATTTTTTAAAAATTTATCCTAAACCCTCTGGGATTTCAACCTTTAATCAAAACACTTTTTGAAATTTGTGAGAAATTAGAAAAATTATAAACTATGTGGCAAATTCAGCATATCAAAATGTGTGAAATGCAGCTAAACTGTGTTTGCAGAGAAATCTGTACCTTAAACCCTATGCTTTAAAAAGATCAGTGTAAAATTAAATACAGGTGTACGTTTTTGTATTGTGCCAGACTTCACTGTATTTCCAAGATTGACTTTCTAAAAAAATTAAAACTCTGTAGCAAGCCTATGTTGAACAAGTCTATCACTGCCATTTTTTTAAAAGCATGTGATTACTTTGTGTCTCTATGTCACATTCTGGTAATTCTTACAATATTTAAAACTTTTTCATTATTATTGTATCTGTTACGGTGACCCTGTGATCAGTGATCTTTGATGTTACTACTGTAATTGTTTTGGGCTCCACAAACTGAGCCCATATAAGACAGCAAACTTAACTGATAAATGTTTATGTGTTCTGACTGATCTACCGACCAGCTGTTCCGTGTCTCTCTCCCTTTCCTTAGGTCTCCCTATTCCCTGAGACACAACAATATTGAAATTAGGCCAATTAATAACCCCACAATGGCCTCTAAGTGTTCAGGTGAAAGGACGAGATGCATCTGTCACTTTAAATCAAGAGTTAGAAATGACTAAGCTTAGAGAGGAAAGCACGCTGAAAGCTGAGATAGGTCAAAAGCTAGGCCTCTTGCACCAGTTAGCCAAGTGAACACAAAGGAAAAATTATTGAAGGAAATTAAAAGTGATACTCCAGTGATCAGTGATGAACGGTAAGAAAGGAAAACAACCTTACTGCTGATATGGAGAAAATTTTAATGGTCTGGACAGAAGATCAAACCAACCACTGCGTTCCCGTAAGCCAAAGCCTTAATCCAGAGCAAGGCTCTAACTCTCTTCAATCCTATGAAGGCTGAGTGAAGTGAGAAACCTGCAGAAGAAAAATCTGAAGCTAGTAGAGGTTGGATCATGAGCTGTAAGGAAAGAAGCCATCTCCAGAACATGTAAGTACAGGTAACGCAGGAAGTGTAACAAGTTATCCGGAAGATTTCACTAAGATCACTGATGAAGGTGGCTACACTAAACAACAGATTTTCAATACAGAAAACAGCCTTCTATTGGAAGATGCCATCTAGGACTTTTAGAGCTATAGTTAAGTCCATGTCTGGCTTCAAAGATTCAAAGGACAGACTGACTCTCTTGTTAGGAGCTAATGCAATTGGTGACTTTAAGTTGAAACCAATGCTTACTTGCCATTCCAAAACTTCGAGGCCCTTAAGAACTATGCTAAAACTACTCTGTTTGTGTTCTATAAATGAAATAACAAAGCCTGGATGACATCACATCTGTTTCCAGCATAGTTTACTGATTATTTGAAACCCACTCTTGAAATCTACTGCTCAGAAAAGAAGATTCCTTTCAAAATATTCCTGCTCATTGACAATGCACCTGTCACCCAAGAGCTCTGATGGAGAAGTACAAGAAGATTACTGTTGTTTTCATGCCTGCTAAAATAACATCCCATCTGCAGCCCATGGATCAAGCAGTAATTGTGTCTTTCAAGTCTTATTAGCTGGGCTTGGTGGCTCACACTATAATCCCAGCTACTCTGGAGGTTGAGGTGAGAGGGCTGCTTGAGGCCAGGAGTTCAAGACGAACCTGGGCAACATAGTGAGACCCAAACTCTAAGGAAAACTTTAAAGAATTTCGCAGGTGTTGTAGTGCATGCCTATAGTCCCAGCTACATGGGATGCTGAGGCGGGAGGATCACTGGAGCCCAGGAGTTCGAGGCCATAGTGAGTTATGACCATGCCACTCCATTCCAGCCTGGAAGACAAAGCAGGACCCATTTTTAAAAGTCTTATTATTTAAGAAATACATTTCATAAGGTTATAACTGTTACAGATAGTGAATTCTCTCATGAATCTGTGCAAAGTAAACTGAAAACCTGAAAAGAATTCACCATTCTAGATTTCATTAAAATCATTCGTGATTCGTAAGAACAGGTCAAAATATCAACATTAACAAGACTCTGGAAGTTGACTCCAACCCTCATGGATGATTTTGAAGGGTTTAAGATTTCAGTGAAGGAAGTAACTGCAGATGTCATGGAAAGAGCAAGAGAACTAGAAATAGAACCTAAAAATGTGACTGAATTGTTGCAGTCTCGTAATCAAACTGGAACAGATGAGGAGTTGCTTATGCTTGAGCAAAGAAGTGGTTTCTTGAGATGGAATCTGTTCCTGGTGAAGATGCTGTGAACACTGCTGAAATGACTCCAAGAATTTAGAATATTACATAAACATAATTCATAAAGCAATGGTATGGTTTGAGGGAATTAACTCCAATTTTGGAAGAAGTTCTACTGTGGATTAAAAAATTATATCAAACAGCATTGCATGTACAGAGAAGTCTTTCATGAAGAGTCCACTGATTTTGCAAACTTAATCATTGTCTTATTTTAAGAAATTACCATAGCCACCCCTTCTTTCAGCAACCAACACCCTAATCCATCAGCAGCCTTCAATACTGAGGCAAGACCTGCCACCAGCAAAAAGATTACAACCAGCTGAAGGTTCAGATGATTGTTAGCATTTTTTATCAATAAGTTATTTTTAAATTATGGTATATACATTTTTTTAGACATAATATTATTGCATACTTAACAGATTACAGCATAGCGTAAATGTAACTTTTGTATGCACTGGGAAACAAAAAAATGTGTGTCCCTCTCTTTATTGCAAAATATTCACTTTTTGTAGTGGTCTGGAATGGAACCTGCAGTATCTCCAAAGTATGCTTGTATTTAAATCTTGCTTAAGAAGCTAGAGAAAGAGTAGCAAATTATTCCTGAAATAGGTAGAAGAAAACATAAAAATTTTAGCATATGTCAATAAATAAAGAGCAGATAAAGTCAAAAGTTGGTTCTTTAAAGAGATTAATACCTTAGCAAGTTTGATAAAAAGGGGAAAACACAAATTACTACCATTAGGTATAAAAACGGAATATCAGAATAGATCCTCCACATTTTCAAATGATGATACTGGAACATTATTAAAAACTTCACGTCAATAAAACCCAGTATCTCAAGTGAAATGTACAAATTTCTTTAAAAATATAAATTTCAAAATTTACAATGTAAGAAAACTGAACATCTAAACGGCCCTATAACTATTAAAGATATTAAATATGTAATTAAAAACCTTTTCACAAAGGTAACTTGAAGCCCAGTTTGCTTCACAGGTGAATTCTAAATATTTAGGAAAAAAATCTACATCATACACTAACTCTTACAGAAAGTACAAGTAACATTTCCCAACTCATTTTACGAGACCAACATAACTCTGAAACAAAAGCCTGACAGATTACAAGGAAAGAAAACCAAAGTTCAATATCCTTCATGAATAAAACATCCTTTTAAAGACTGAAAACAGCAATATTTTTTATAAAAGAAATCATGGTCAACTAGGTTGTTTCCAAGAAATTCAGTGTCGGTTTGGCATTTCCCACTAGTCTCATCCTTCCCCACTTCTCCATCACATTTTAGACTCAGTAATCTGTATCAAACTAAAGGATTTCTCAAGCCTGGGAAACACTGTATCTAATAAGCAAACTTCTTTACATCCTTCAGGTCTCAGTTTAAGGCTACCTTCTCTGGGAAGAAAATAATTTACAATAATTTGCTGAAACTCTTAGAGTGAAAGATAAAGAAAAGAGAAGAAAAGGTGTGGCAAAATGTGCAAAACCAAAGTATCCTCAGACAAATTAAAATATACTGCATCCAATAATATGTTATTTGCAATCAGAAATAATGTCTGTAATATAAAGCCAAGGAAATTTCTAAGATGCAAATATAAAAGACAAAGAGCTAGAAAACAGAGGAGAACAAAATTTAAATTAGAGGTTCAATCCAAACGGCACAATATCCTAGTAAGAGGAATGATTTTAAAAGAAGAAAGTCCAGAAAGAGGAAGAAAAAATTACCAAAGCATATACAGCAAGAAAATACAAGTTTCCAGGCTAAATAAGTAAGGCCCACTAGGTCCCCAGCACAATGAATAAAAGGTACAACATCTTGAATATTCAGAACAAGTTAATACAGATGCTACAAATGTCCATGGTGGGGTAAGGAGGAAGAGAAAGAGGAGCAGGAATAAGAAAAAGAGGAAGAAGAAGAAACCTACCACAGTTCACACATAAAGGATCAGAAAAGAGAATAATATCAGATTTCTCAACAGAAATATGAGAAGCTAAAATACTATGAAGCAGTGCCTCTTAAAACTCACAGGGAAAATTATATCTAACCTAAAATTATTTGCCCTGCCAAATTATCAATCAGGTATCAGTTTAGGGAAAATACAAACTTTTAGGCAGCAAAGTTTATTTTGTATTTATTTTTGTAGAGACAAGGTCTCACTATGTCACCCAGACTGGTCTTAAACTCTTGGCCTCAAGCAAGCAATCCTCCCACCTCAGCCTCCCAAAATGCTGGGATTACAGGCATGAGCCACCCCACCCAGCCTAGGCAGCAAAGCTTAGAACTTCCTCTCATGCATATTTTCTCAAGCAACAACTAGAGGAGTTGCTTTACTAACAAACCAAGAAAAAGGATGAGAAGAGCTCCAGGAATTTCCATAAAGATTGGTGGGAAAAATACTAGAATTATAAGTGTGACAGCTCCAGAAAGCAACCAGTTCTGATTGCAGAGCTCCATGAGAGATGTAATGAAGAATGAAAATGATAGCCACCTTAAACTGGGAGGAAATTTACACTTCTAAATGAAGATTAATCAATGATAGGGTACATAAAAAACTAAGCAAACAAAAAACATAGTGATTATAAACACAGTAATTAACTCCAGGAAAAACAAAGACAGGAAATGTGATCATGGGATAGATAATAAACCTCAGTGGTGACAAATATTTACATATTAAAAAAATGTAGACACTGAACACTGAATCAACCAAAAACTGTGTCAAAAACATGCTGGATGTAAGGACAGGACACGTGTGTGTGTGTGTGTGTGTGTGCGCATGATTGTGTATGTGTGAGGCGGACAAACTGTAAAATATCTAAATCAAAAAAAAATCTCATTTTCCATAATAGAAAGTCCATAGCTATTGTTTTAAAAAGTGCAGAGGTAAGAAATAGCATAATTAGCATGATATATTAAAATGCCAGAAGTGAAAAATTACCTCTAAGGAGTTTAAGTAGGAAAAGGGGACTGGGAGGGAACAGGAAAGGAAGTGATTTTTTTTTTTCCATTTCAAATCTTGTTAAATCTGACTTTTTAAACTATATACATACTTTAATAAAGTTTCAATTTACAAATCACTTTGTAAGATTATGAAAAACTGCAGAAAAAAGTATATACTAATCTATTACAGTATCAAAGTTGAGGTTAAAAGTTTTCACAGAAACTTTTTCTTTCAAAATAAAAAGAGCACAATTCCTAATAAAACCAGTGTAAGGAACACTAGATTCAGGACAGTGGTTCTTAAATGAACATTAGCATTAGACTTAAAACTTAACTAAGTTCTTACAAGCATTCTGCTGCATAAATTCATTTTATTCTCAAGTAGCATTCTCTATATGGTTTACTAAAAATTAAATTCTGTTTAGTAATTGTCAACTCTCAAATTCAAATAAGATGGCTTATCGCATATACTTATCATTCTGTATTGTATATACACACATACACCTGGGAGTAGTTTTTTGCCTTTCTTGGGTCCTAGTCCTAGAAATCTCCAGATGCTTTTTCAGTCTCACAACGCTAGTAGAGTGTATTTTCATTGGATAGAACTCCTTTGTCCAACTTTTTCCTAAAGCTTATAGGGAGGTTAATTCTTGTTTCAGTAGGTTCAATTATTTTGCTATTAAAGAAAAATGAATGTCCCCAAATACATTTTTACCTAAAAATTATACATGACAAAGTATTTCAAAGCTTTATAATAAGTAGCAATATATTTAGATTTTTTAACTTAATATTTTAGATCTGACATATATCAAATTAACAGTGCTAATATTGCACAGTGATCACTTTTTCTTCTTTCTCAGGAGACGCATTTCTCCTATGACCATACTCTCCTTTATTCCAGTCTATATACTTTTTTCATAACCAAACCAGTCCAATATTTATGTTCACACTGTTTAAAAAGATTTCTTTAAAAGGTAGCATTTATATTAATGGGCTTTTTTTTTTTTTTTTTTTTTTGAGACAGAGTCTCACTCTATCGCCCAGGTTGGAGTGCACTGGCACGATCTCGGCTCACTGCAAACTCCGCCTCCCGGGTTCACGCCATTCTCCTGCCTTAGCCTCCCGAGTAGCTGGGATTACAGGCACCCACCACCACGCCTGGCTGATTTTTTGTATTTTTAGTAGAGATGGGGTTTCACCGTGTTAGCCAGGATGGTCTTGATCTCCTGACCTCATGATCCGCCTGCCTTGGCCTCCCAAAGTGCTGGGATTACAGGCGCAAGCCACCGCGCCCGGCCCATTAATGGGCATTTTTTTTAAGGCCACTGTCCTAAATCTAAGGAATATGAATTTTTATAGATAGTCATGATTTTTTTCTGCACATTCAATGAACAGTATTAGGTACCTACTGGGTTGTATACTGGGCAGGATTCAAAGATAGACAATTCATATTTCCCACCCTCAATTAGCTTAAAATCTAATATAAATACCCATAGTAAACAGTTAAACAAAATAGCAGCAATCGAGCTCAAACCTGTGAACATGTTGCGAAGTACAAAATCTTTAGGCCAACCTCCAAATAAGGGTGTCCAGAGAAAAGACCAATCACTGAAGCTTACTTCAGTTCTCCTAACTCTACTATTCATTTCCCCAGGGTTCTTTCAGATGCTATTAAACATCAGAGAAGTAGTTGTATAGGTCCATGCAAACCTGAAAAGGATAATGCAATTCCTAACAGAGGATGTAAAAGAGCTAGTACTGAAACTGCCTTCTACCACACAGAGATCAGTATCTCAAGTCATTGAATACTATGTTCTTGAGAACTTACAATGACTATTTTGAGTTATTATAATTTTAGACAGTAATAATTCCATTACCCAGGGTATTGGGGGTATAAGGGAACACATTTATGCAGAATAAGTAAACAGACACAGTAAGCTATGTTCCCCAGTTAATTATGTCATTTATGAAAAAGAAAACTTGAAAGCAGCAAACAGAAAACAGCAAGAATAGGAACTGTTTTTAATAAATGTCAAAGAGAAAAATATGGAGTATGAAAGCAATGAAAAAACTATCCTGTATATTCCAGATAACCAAACAAGTCTGAATGTTGAAAAGCTGTTCAATGTACTCAGCAGAAATCCTAAACACTCAATTCTTCTTTTGGCTTTACATTTGTAAGTTTTTCTTTTGTTGTTAATTCTGTAGTTTTCAAATGGTGTTACATATGTAACTTGCCTGAGTGAGAAACAAAAGGAACAGAACTGAAGAACATGGCCGACAGTTACCATGAATATATCGAACTTTTACCTTCTAATAAAGCATAACTTCTTCTAACATATTTCCCTTTGCCAAGATTAAAACTCTTTTTTTCCACTATAACCATACATACATGAAAATTCATTTATGCCAATGCACGATCCTATTCCATCCTAGTATCTTCCAAGTGTTAACTGGGTAATTTGAAATTATTACTGAAAATTTTTAACAGTGAAAAACATCAATATTTGAATTCTGAATTGAAATCAAAAGAGGGATATAAGAAGACAAGAGTAAAACAAAGTGATTGTGACAAATACAAAATTATTAATACTTTTAAAATGCATCTACAAGAGAGCATGTACAAACTAGGAAAATATCAAATTTTTAAGCAAAAGCCAAGTATAAAAATATCTTTAAATATTTTTTTCAACAGTATCCAATAATAAAGATGAAAAGAAGCAGTTATGTTTCTATTGTGTAAATCAGCATTTTTCTATGTTGGCAAAGATACAACTGAATAATAACTCAATGCAAAGAACATCATTAAGAAGAGTAGGATGGCTAAAGGTTAAAATATTTTCTACTTTCTGTAGCTAACTAACATCAGAGTCTTACTTCCACTTTATAAGATTTTGCTGTTGTTCTTGTGTGTTTTATTTGTGACAGTGATGATGTTACATGTGTAACTTGCCTGAATGAGAAATGAAAGGAACAGAACCAAAAGGATCTTCTGGAGGATGGTTATGTGGAGCAGAAAGTGAGTCTACATTCTTATCTGAGGATGCTCTCTCCTCGAGCCTATCTGCAAAAATAAGATGAAACGAAATAAAAAATGAAATGAAATAAAAATGATCTTTAAATTAAAAAGTGATATACATATAAATAAAAGTGAAAATTAAAGCACCAGCCTTTTTGCAAAACATTAGGTTCAGAATCTATCACTGTAAGTATTAGGGAGTAGTCCTGAATTTAATACATATTTGTTGCTGCAAAAGCAAATTTAACAATATAATCCGTGATAGGTTTCACTAAATACAATTAACCCAACAATAAACTTAGTCTGATTCATTTAAATACTACTTGTCCTCAACTTTTGGGCCTGAACTCAAACCCAGCTAAATAAACAGAGACATATTTGACAGACAGTCTCCAAAAATAAATTTAGAAAAAATCTTGCAAATGGTCATTCATCCATAAAGTAGGTAAATCTTACTTCTCAATAGTAATAAAAAGTAATTCACTATATCTTACTTTTTTGTTCTTTTTTTGTACTACTTTGTACTATCAAACCATTCTCTCTCTCGCACACACACACACAAACACACATGCCCCCACGTACACTCACAAAAACTTACACAAAAACAGAGTTTATTGATTCATTCAACAAGTAAATTTTAGTATCTACTATGTGCCAATGTGCCAGGCACTATTCTAGGCAACTGGCATGTAAGGTCAAACAAAACAAAGACCCCTGCCCTTATGCAGTTTATATGCTGGTGTGGAAAAAACAAATAATAGGCAATAGGCATAATAAGAAATGTATATGGTGTATTAAAAGCTATAGAGAAAAATGTAGTGCAGGGAAACAGGAATTGAGGAAGTGGGTAGAGGTTTTAGTAACAGAGTGATTCTATTAGTTACTAGGTAAGAAAAGACTTGAAGGACGCAAGGGAGTAAATATCTAGGAAAGAACAATCAGGTAGAGAAAGAGCTGGAGCGAAGACTCTAAGGCAAGAGGCCCGGTGTGTTTTGAGTTGATATATCCTGACTCCCTAGTAATGATTATCTTTTCCTTGCTCTTAAACTCTCCATACAGTTCAGGGATGGGGGCTCACACCTATAATCCCAGCACTCTGGGAGACCAAGGCAGGAGGATTTCTTGAAACCAGCCTGAGCAACACAGTGAGATGACTTTTTTCACCAAGCATGTAATAAAATTTGAATCTCTCCCGATCTTTACAGAATGTTAACTTCACAATATTCTATAACAGTCAATAACACATTACTTTAAGAATGCAAAAATACTACTAAAAATTGAGGCTACAGTGAGGCAAAACTGTACCACTGCATTCCAGCCTGGATGACAGAGAGACTCTGTCTCTAAAACCAACAAAAAAACTCTCCACATAGTAGACACATACTAGTTGAGAACTTCCTGATTTTTGTAGGATGTCTCTCTAGCCTCTGATTCTTGGCAATCAAAATTCTATTTGAGACTCATTCTACCTCCTTTCCAGATATTTCAAGCATTTCTACCAGCAGACCTTTGGTCCACAGCCATTTGAAAAAATCCAAATCATGTTTAGACTGACCTATATTCCAAGAATTCCATGGTAAGCTGTACTGGTTTCAACTGAGTTCTAAGGGACTGCAGTGTAGGGGAGGCAGAACCCAAGTAGAATTGGAATTCCCTAAAAATGACTTTTAATTTTGGAGTGAAGCAAAAAGCCCCAAGTTCAAGCAGCATCTCTTCTAACAGTGCTTTTTACATTTAATGTACATTTCAGTTACCTGGGGATTTGTTAAAATGTAGACTCTGATGGGATGAGTTTGGGGAGGATCCTGACATTCCACACTTCAACTAGCCCCCCAGTGATACTGACACTGCTGTCCAAGAAGTACACTCTTGAATAAACAAGGCCCTAGAGTCTATTATATTCTAAATATAATTACTCCTATGGGCAACTAATTCTTTCAAAACCTTTATGACAACGGGACAATTACCAGCTCTTACAGCTAAGATGAACTCTGCAGTATCTACATGAAACTTTGGATTGTTTAAATTTTTACTTAAAATTTTGTTGAAACACTATTAAACATTTTGTTGAGGCACTAATATTGAGTTACTAAATACATCTGACAATTGTTTTATGAACAAACAAAACTTCCTAAACTTAAGTGCTACTTTTCAAATCCAACACTGCATTGGTTAACAATGAAAATTCATTTTGGGTATTATTTTTCAAGATATTAACTGTATACTTAATGCAGGAAATCAGTAACAAATGCTCATTTTACTAAAAACTTTTTATTATTTTGTTGTCAAAACACCCATTAAAGAGTAGCTAGTCCCATAACATCTTTCTGCAAAAGGTTGAAGAATAATTTATATAACGAAGGGTCCCTAACTTATTGTGGTGGGAGGCCACAATCAAACCTTAAGGTGAGGATTAAGATTCACTGAGTCATAGAGATTACATGTGGTTACCTATTTATTCAGGCCCTGAATGCATTTATGGAGGAACTGTAAAACCAGTAATTATGCCTTGTATCAGAATCCACCTGGACTCCCCCACTCTTCTCCATTTCCCAAATTCCAGTGTATAAAGCACTGAGGACAGAGAAAAGAGGGGGTGAGAAAGAACAAATGGAAGAGACTGACTCAGAATGATAACTACAGCATGTCAATATCCAAGGGCCCTCATTCCTGAAAATTAAGACCAAAAGTATAAGTATTTAGGTCTGAATTAGAAACAGACTTTTTGCCTCAACCATCTGCATCATAACTGCTAGGATTCCTGTATAAAATGTAGTTACCTGGACCCAACCGTAGACTTGATTCATTAGGTCTACTTGATTCATTAGGTAGTAACTTAGGAATCTGCAATTTTATATACTGGTTTTTTTTGTTTGTTTTATTTTATGTTTTGAGACAGGGTCTCACTCTTTCACCCAACCTAGAGCGCAGTGGCATGATCATGGCTCACTGTGGCCTCAACCTCTCAGGTTCAAGCGATCCTCCAATCTCAGCCTCCCAAGTTGCTGGCACTAGAGGCACAGGCCACCACGTTCAGCTAATTTTTTATTTTTTGTAGAGATAAGCTCTATGTTGCCCAGGCTGGTCTCAAACTCCTAGACTCAAGCAATCCTCCCAAAGTGCTGGATTATAGGCAGGAGCCACCACACCCAGCCTCTCAGCACGTTTGTTTGTGAGACAGAGCCTTGCTGTTTCACCCAGGCTGTAATACAGTGGCATGATCTTGGCTCACTGCAACCTCTGCCTCCCAGGCTCAGCCTCTGGAGTAGCTGGGACTACAGGCACACCATACTTGGCTAATTTTATTTTTTTAATTTTTTGTAGACACAAGGTCTCACTATATTGCTCAGGCTAGTCTCGAACTCCTGGCCTCAAGCAATCCTCCCACCTCAACCTCCAAAGTAGCAGGATTACAGGCATGAACCACCACACCTGACCCTCTCCACGTATTTAAACCACTACTATAATAATGAGTCCCAGCTTATAAAACTGTGAAGTTATCACTAAGGTTCTTTAAATCCTCATGCACTGGGTATATTACATCCATCAGTCTGTGGTAAATTTATGGTAAGTATATAAACAGTACTGTGAAATTATGACAAAACTATACACATTATCATGTAGAGGGGAACTTATTTTTATGTAGGGGTCCCTATAAGTAAAAATATGGAAGATACTGCTCTATGCTAAGTCCATTTATCCAGTTATTTCAAAATAGGAATCAGAATAAATTCACTGTAAAATGAATAATGTTATTGTTCCACAAAACACAGAATCAAGTTTTCAATTGAATTTTTAAAAAATCATTTATGTTTCTAAAGTTCACATGAAAATGTGAGTCTCAGGACACAAAATACAAAAGAAATATACACATTAATTTTGTAATTATTAATTACCTACAAATAAAATCTAATGAAATGGTTATGTAGAACTACTTTGTAAATACATAGTCAACCCTAAAATGTTTTTAATTACATTTTCAAATGACTGGTTTTCTTTAGATTAGAACAAAGCTTGATTATCCAATATGAGAAACTTACCTCCTGCCTTCACAAAAGAATTATGTTGGTGAATAAAGACAGTATCTTTTCAAGAATTTTAATTGATACAGATAGCAAAAATATAGGATTTTAAAATCCTAGAATCAAAGTATATTCCATAATATTATCACGAAATTAAAATAGTCTACAAAGTTAATTCTGCTGCTTATATGGATAATGGTGTAAAAGGCTAAAAGGTTAATGAAAAACTCCTGAAACTGGTCTAATATATTTGAAAAGCTCTGTTATTCTACACTGAAGGAACAGTAATAGTTCTGAATTTGCTACAAAAGATGAGGGTTAATATTTTACAATAAACTACAGATTCAGATGCTTATAGCCATTATCATTCTGTGGCTTCATAGGTGAAACAACAACATTCAGTAGAATTTATAAAGCAATCATAATCTTTAGTTATCTTCTATTTTTCTTTTTAGTTATTTTGATCCAATTTTAAGCAGAAACAAATCCACCATCAATAAATGAAATATATTTCATGAAGTAATAGTTTTAATTAACGAGTATAACTATACAACTATTTGCACAAATATGTTAATAATTTCCCCAAAGCAAGCATCTATGTTCTAATTACTGTTTAAAGTATTAAATATTATGGCAATTTTAAATTGTCATATTAAATATTAAAATACTAAAATATTATGACAAATTGCTAAAGTTTACATACTACTCTGGATGTTCTGGTACAAAAAAGTAAAAATACAAACTTAAATTTTAAAAAAATCATTCAGACAAGCTTTATTATTATTGCTTAAATTTGATTTAATGTTTTGTTCTTACTAAAATTAAGAACAGGTAAAACAATTCTGAACCATAAATGGTATTCATTTATAGTGAAGGGTGAAAGCAAGAAGAATCTAGTTTATTTTACATATTAAATCCCTTTGCCTAGTATAGGAAATCAACTGTTTTCTTAAAGATCACTAATTAGTAATATTTTAGAATTTTGATATCTCAAAATACTATTATGATTTGAAAATTACTTTCTGGATAATACACATAAAATATTCCCTAAACAGCATATTATTTTCCTTTTTTTGTTTTTAAAAAAATAACCATGAATCATATTCAAAATAAAACCCCAAATGGGAATGTATTATTCTGAATAATCATTGCATTGGCAATACCTATACTTTTAAGGACCATATAAAGGCTTTCAGTTTCTCACTGGAAAGTGTTTTATAAACCAAATATAAATTATTTTAGAAAAGACTTTGGAAAATTGTTAATACCTGTGTCAAGGAAAAGGGTACAAATATCCTACATTGCATTTCAACTGAATCAACAGTTTATTTATTCATTTTGTAAAATGATAGGATTTATATTATACTGATGGGCAAAATTTTGGAGTCACTGAACCCACTATTTCAGAATTCAAAAAAGGTGAAAGTCATTAAACTTTAAGAAAGTTTAATATAATGACCATCTATCAATTTTCATTGAACAATTAGTCTTCTAATAAACTCTGAAGGTTCTGGAAGAGGTCTTTTGCCCATCAATATAATATAAACTCATCAAATAGATCAAATATTAGATATCTTATTGCTTCTGAAAGAGGTGCTAAAGATGACTAAATATTACAGTTAAGTTAAACTCTGAGAGGAAACCTTTCTAAACTACATTTTATACACAACTTTATAGTAATTACAAACTTTTTTATTAATGACACTTCACCTTTTTTGAACCCTAAAAGAGTGGGTTCAATGACCCCAAAATAGTCACTGAACAATGAGTATCAATTATTAAAGGAAAAACAGACACTTTTCCATCAACTTCCTTGCTATCATTTGTCACTTCTGCTTTTGATGTGTTTGCCCACAAAGCCCCTTCTAATTTGACTGTTAAATTACCACTGAGAAACTAATAATTTAAATATAATTTTTAAATGCTGGCTAAAAGCCAAAAACCTCTTAAGTCATGACATAAAGGCTTATACAGAAAGTGAGAAAAGAGAAAGTGGCATTTATTTATTGAGTGCCCAAATTTAAAGACATCATTTAATTATCTGGACAACCCTATGAAGTAGGCATCATTATCCCCAGTTTATAAATGTGGAAGTGAGACTAACAGCAGTTGAGTGACTTATCTGAGATTACAATCTAGTTAAGTAACATTGTCAGGGATCAAAATTTATGTTTTCTGGTACTGTGTGCCAAATTAAGCACATCAGACTTGTGACAATAATTTCAGTAGCTCATGGACCATGTAGCTGTTTTTCCAAATGGCTAAGGTTGCTCCAAGTCTAACCTTCACATAAAATTCCTCCTGCACTTTCCTTTGGATCTTAGTATCTTTCTGTAATTAATACTGCAAAGTCTGAAGTCTCTTTGGCATACACATGTGCACACAGACACATGCACAATTTACAAATGGCATCTGATCATGAAGTTTAAAATTTACACATTATCTGATCATGAAGTTTTAAGCTATTCTTAAAAATAGCTACTTAAGAATTTTACGTGCTCAACCCAATTTTTATGAAGTTATACACATATAGGCATATTCATATGTCACTCTTGCCTATGCTAAGTAAATAAAACTACTTTGATGTCATTACAAATTCTAGGGAACTTAGAATAACACATTTTTATAAGATACAAAATAATGTGAATACCCATTTCATAAATTCATTTTTTAAAAATAATTTTTTACCTAAGCAGTTGAAAATACTAATTTAGTAAACCCTGGTCAGTACACATTAAAATTAATATCTTTTGCTTTAAATATAATCCTATAAATTATAATGATTTGGTTACACCTTGTATCTACCCCTTCCATAACTCTGAAAGAGCTGGGCATGGTGGCTCACGCCTGTAATCCCAGTACTTTGGGAGGCCGAGGTGGGTGGATCACCTGAGGTCAGGAGTTTGAGACCAGCCTGACCAACATGGAGAAATCCCATCTCTACTAAAAATACAAAATTCGCTGGGCGTGGTGGCACATGCCTGTAATCCCAGCTACTCGGGAGGCTGAGGCAGGAGAATTGCTTGAACCCAGGAGGCGGAGGTTGCGGTGAGCCGAGATTGCGCCATTGCACTCCAGCCTGGGCAACAAGAGCAAAACTCGGTCTCAAAAAACAAAAAACAAACAAACAAAAAATCTTGCTTTTGGGACTACTCAACATAAATTCTAGGAAAATGCCAAACAAAAAAAGCCGTGGTTTAAAAAAAAATTGTTTTAGTAACATGTGATCGGTTTTATTTAGAAACCTTTATTAACGGCTCAGAACTTATTTTTATATCTGCATTTAATCATCAATTTAATTTTCATAATCATATAACCAATATATAAAATACAAATTTAAATCCCAAACTATTCTTACAGGAATTTTACATAAAATATATACCAATTCAGAACAAAGCATTTCATCTATTAAACATTCTCATAAGGCCAATTACCTAAATGAAATAGGAACTAGGAACTATAAACTAGGGATTATTAAGACCTTCTTTTCACATGCAAAAGGGGAAAACACACTTGTTTTGTGTGCACACCTGCACACACATGCGCGTGCACACACACACACACACACAAAGCCTCAGAAACCTGAAAATTATCTACATACTCTAGAAGTGAGCTTTTTGCTCCTATTTGGCAACCTACTCAAAACACTCACATCATTCTTTCAAAAAGGACATTTCTAAAATATGTGTGGCGAAGCTTGACATATATTAGGTAGTTCAAAGAAAAGCAATGATTCCAAGTAAAAACATTGAGATATCTGATTTAAAGTGAAAAAGAATTTATTTAATTTTTGCCATATCAGGACAACAAAGCAGCCCTTTTATGTCACCACTCATTAAAAGGACATTACAAAACATTAACATAATGTAGTAGCCCATGTTTTCTTTCAGGCATTTTCAAAGGGCATCTCAGACCCACAATATTTTCTATTGAGTGTGCAGAAAAACAGAGCTGCAAAATCATTAGTAAGGCAAAATAATAAAATGTCTCCCTTTTTATTGAAACATCAATTTTCCATGTTTTAGAGATATTCTGAATTTAACATTCATAGATATGCAATATTTAAGTTTTAGGATATTAGCATACTATCAGCAATATTGGGTTTAATAGCTACTATCAAGCAACTGATTTCTAATGCACACAACATAATTTGATAGTATATGTATAAGAAGATGGCCTGAATTTTGCCCTCAAATGCACAAAAAGAATTTTCCATACACATTCTCAAAAGTCTTTGGCCTTGCTGAATAATAATAGAGCTGTTATTTTACTGTGAAGCAAAATAAGCCTTCAAGTGTCCCTTACTTGATCTTAGAAGGTCAAATTCTCTGTCCAATAGTTCCTCTTCTGTTAACTTAGAGAAATTATCCTCTCCAAAAGGATTCCACCCTGACATATCAGGTGGATTGCTGATGTTCTTCTGATTTGTGAAATTTGCAATGGCCTCTTTATCAGCAACTGACCTATAGTAATAATTGAGTAAGAAAAAAGAAGATGGAAAGAAAAATTAAAATAAATAAAAATTTACAATGCCCTACTTTATACTTTATAAATACTTAGAAAACCAAATCATTTCCTTATGACAGAGATGACAGACAAGGGCATGAGATGGAGAGGGAGAACATATGGGATCTAGATCACCTCCATAAGGTATACTAGCTCCATAATCACCTACATAAGGTACCCTAGCTGTGTACCCTTGGGCAAGTTCCTTAACTTCTCTGCCTCAACTTCATCTGTAAAAAGGAGTAATAGTATCCACCTCATAGGGTTGCTGAGAAGATTAAATAATTTAATACACGTAAAGCAAAGAGAACAATATCTAGTAAAAATAATAAATATTAACTGTTATTATCATAGTAAACAAGACTTAAAGTAAAAAATCAGTCACCTTATCAGACAGCATCACTCTAAAATCACTACTGAACACAGTGATCAAATGCCTTGGTTATGCTGGGACACCACAGTAATTTTCCTTTTGACAAAGGCATTCCCTATATATAGCTACCAACAAAAGATGAATTGCTAGGACTGCTTTATAAATTAGCTAAAGTTAAATGAGGGTTATTTTTGCATATAATAAATTATTATAGTATTTAAAGTATCTAGAGTCTGGAGCCTGAGACCACTGGTTCTATGAAAATTATCCTACAGGGCTCTTGGCTTTTAAGAGAAGATGAGAATATAAAGATTTCTTAACCCAAGAATCCCTGTGTACCTCTCCCTCAACCCAGCCTGGAAATATAGTCATATACCACATAATGACCTTTCACTCACCAATGGACCATACATATGATGGTGGTTCCATAAGATTAAAATAGAGCTGAAAAATTCCTATCACCTAGTGATATCGTAGCCATTGTAACACCATAGCACAACAGCTTACTCATGTGTTTGTGGTGATGCTGATTTGAACACACCTACTGGGCTGCCAGTTGTATAAAAGTATAGCAATACAATTGTGTACAGTGCATATTTGATAATGACTGTATTACTGCTTTATGTATTTACTGTACCATATTTTTGAGTTATGTTCAAGTATACTCCTACTTATTTTATTTAAAGTCGACTGTAAAACAGCCTCAGGCAGGTCCTTTAGGAGGTATTCCAGGAGAAGGTATTGTTATCATAGGAGATGACAGCTCCATGCCTGTTATTGCCCCTAAAGAACTTGCAGTGAGACAAGATGTGGAGGTGGAAGACAGTGATATTGACAATCCACATCTTGTGTAGGCCCGGGCTGATGTGTGTGTTTGTGTCTTAGTTTTCAACAAAAAAGTATAAAAAGAAAAGTTAAAAAAGAAAAAACTTATAGAATAAGAATATAAAGAAAATATTTTTGTACAGTTGTACATGTTTGTGTTTTGTGTTATAACCAAAGAGTCAAAATGTTTTTAAATTTTCAAAGTTTATAAAGTAAAAAAGTCACAGTAAACTAAGGTTAATTTATTATTGAAGAAGAAAAAAATTTTATATAAATTTAGTGTGTTCTAAGAATGCAGTGTTTATAAAGTCAAGTCTATAATAGTGTACAGTAATGTCCTAGGCCTTCACGTTCACTCACGACTCACTCATTGACCCACCCAGAAAAACTTCCAGTCCTCTAAGCTCCATTCATGGTAAGTGCCCTATACAGATGTACCATTTTTAATCCTTTATACAATATTTTTATTTTACCTTTTCTATGTTTAGATACAAAAATACTTACCATTCTGTTACAATTGTCTATAGTACTAAATATAGTAACATGCTATACAGGTTTGTAGCGTAAGAGCAATAAGCTATATAATAAAGCCTAGATGTGTAGTAGGCTATACCATCTAAGTTTGTGTAAATGCACTCTATGATGTTCATACAACAATAAAATTGCCTAATGATGCAATTTCTTAGAACATGTCCCCATTGTTATGCAATGCATGACTGTATAGCATAAGAACGAGACAATGTAAGAAAGCTATTAAGTTCCTTTCATAATTCATATGCAAATCCTCTTAACAGTAGTAATGAAGGGAGAATCCTAATGTTCAAAGTAGTATCTCAATTTCACAAGTCTTAACTGATCCCCTAAATTTACCTAACCGTTGAGAGCTCATTGCCATTGCCACCAAACAGGTCTTAGAAGAGAAAAGAAAGGCAAAAGTCGTCTATTTAATCCCTTAGTCCAAGCCCCTTCAGCATATCTGAGCCAAGAATAGGATACTTAAATACTTACTGAAGGCTAGCATATAACAGAGGAAAATAAATAGTAAGTTACCTACAAGTAAATAGACTTGCTTAGTAAATAGAACTTAGGTATCTTAATTTAAAAAACAATTCAGTTTAAAGTCCATTCTGGATGCATTAACTGCCAGTCTGAGCCTGCCTCTGTGTGACAGAGTCCCATCTCTCCTTAAAACACAGATCAGATGTTTTTACCCAGAAAATTGAAGGAAAAAAAAAAACAGATCACAGTGGGTAAAACTCAAAGAGAGATGGGCATCCCCCCTCCTGTCTGTCAATCATTCCTTTTAGAACTTTCGGATTCCCTATATGAATCACCCTCTTCCTATTCCCAAAATAAATTTATGGATTCCTATTGGCAGACTGTAACTCAATAGGGTTATCACCTTAACCTAGTTTAAACAGGTATTAAAAAATGTCTACAAGTTATCTGACATTCCTCCCTTCGAAGGGTGAAACCGAATTTCACTGCCCTTGAACATGAGCTAGATCTAGTGACTCAATTCTAACAAATGAAATATGGCACAAGCAGCAGCCCATGACTGCTGAGACTAGGTCTAAAAAGACATTTCAGATTCCTCCTTGCTCTGTCTCTTGGATCACTTATTGAGGGAGAAACCAGAATCAATAATTCCTTGTTCAAAATAATTTTTGCCTTGGCAAAGAGAAAACTCAAGCAGTCTTTTGAAGAAATCCATGTGGCAGGGGACTGAAGCCTCCTGCCCAAAGCCATGTGAGTGAACTATCTTGTAAATTACATCCTTTATCACCAGCCAAGCCTTCAGAGGACAGCCGACCCAGCCTTACCAGACACAACCACCCTGTTAAGCCACCCCTAAATTTCTGATCCAAAGAAAGTATGTAAGATAATAAATGTTAACTGCTGTTTTAAACCATTAAGTTTTGAGATAATTTATTAGGCATCAACAGATAACTAATATAACAGGGCAATTATATCATAAGAAGATAACGTATGCATAGATGATGTTTATTTTAACTATTATTGGAATATAACACAGTAATACTCTCTGATATTCATACTAAAGATAAATTAACATGGTGGAAGAGTAGAAAGTTTAGCAAAAGATAGTAGAAAAGAAAAGGAAATAATTATTCCAACAAAGATAGTGACTCTTTCCCTCTGTCTAAGGAACTACTACTTGGTTTCTTATATTCTACTCAAATAGCCCTTATCCACTGAGAGACAAACATTTAACCCCAATTCTCTTCTTCCACTGACTTTGTCATAAGCAGGAACATTAGTTTAGAGCTCTTTTTAAATTGTTACAGAAGATACTATACTCAACATACAATCTGATGTTAAATAGGTATAATATTAATGAAGTAGCATTGACGTACCAAGTGTGGCTGGAGCAATGTTCCCACATGAAGTTCCACATTTCTAACCTTTAGTGGCTGAGTGTATAATTTTTTCTAACACATCCTTAAATACATAAATTTCATAGGAGTGGAGTAAAACAAGTCTTATGCACTTTCCCAGATATGCAACCCAATATTTCCTAACCTGGGGAATGCAAGATGATTTTTGTGATAACTTATTTTTTAATAGTTACACAGAAATTAAAAGAAAAGTGTCTAATGTATCAAACCTGTGATTTGTCGAATAGCATCACTACAAATGAGAATAAAGCAGACAGTGCTATAGTAATTAATATACATTACAGGCATCAGCACCTTGCATGCCAGTGTATGCCTCAAATCCTTGGATATCCAACTTTCTTTTTAACTAATCAGAAGTTTAGACAGATTTCCAATTCATCATCCCATTCTCAACAGTGACATAACTTTGCTTCCAGGAGCTGACAGACTTTTAGAATATGAAGTATACACAATATATATGCTACGTCAGAGAAGACAGTTAATATCTTTTCTATTTTCCAACTAAATAAACTAGATTTGACATTTTTTATGCTAGTTAGCATCAAAAGTGGAAAAAAGCAATCATCTAATTAGTACAATAGCCTCATCAGTATCTTTAAGCAATTATCAAGCAGAATATCTGATTTTTAATGAGGAAAATTATTCCATTCTTATCACTAGGGGACTTAGCAAATTTATTAGATTACTATTTACATTTCATACTTTATATTTTAGTGGATCTTATTTGTTTAAAATGTATAATATGTTTTAATTTTATTATACACAATAATGTTACTAATTTATTAAAGAAAAAAGCACTATGTGAATAAAGCAAAAAATTTTAACTAGAGTAGATAAATGACAAAGAGTTCGGCAAATACTGATCTGAACTTTTTGTGTGTGTGTGTGTGTGTGTGTGTGAGATGGAGTCTCGCTCTGTTGCCAGGCTGGAGTGCAGTGGCATGATCTCAGCTCGCTGCAATCTCTGCCTCCCAAGTTCAAGCCATTCTCCTGCCTCAGCCTCCCAAGTAGCTGGGATTACAGGCGCGCACCACCACACCTAGATAATTTTTATATTTTTAGTAGAGATGAGGTTTCACCATGTTGGCTAGGATGGTCTTGATCTCCTGACCTCGTGATCCGCCTGCCCTGGTCACCCAAAGTGCTTGGATTACAGGCATGAGCCACCGCACCCTGCCTGATCTGGACCTTTAAACTGGCCTTTGACCTATACTCTGCTCTCTCCTTAGACAAAATTGTCCTAATTCATCCACCCCAATTCTTACTTTAGAAAAGTAGTTCAAGAAATCCATTCGTTTCTGTCTCCCTCTCTACCATACCCGCCCCACCATCTGTCTCTTGCACATGTGCACACACATGCATGCATGCATACACACACACACACACACACACACACACACACACACACACACACACAGAGGTTGGGAGGCATTCTATAGCAAACTGCATACTTTAGCTCTCTTTTGAGATGCAGTGTACAAGTATGCTACTGATGCTGCTGTTTCTCCTGCTCAACTCTGAGCCAAAGCTTATAGACACCTTTTCTCAGCTAATGTTTCAAATCCTTAAACAGCATTGTATGAGAACTTCAGTGTTCATGTAACAGAAGTCTAACAGCTCCTACCTCCTAGGTATCTAAAAACATTAGGAGGCATTGATGATGATTCTTAGTTACAAGATGCTAAAGCACGTGCCATTTTGTATAAGTTTAAGAAATTTTGTACCAAAGTTATTTAATTTATAACGCTACTAACCAATATGTCTCAATAGCCAAAATATACTATTACCAACTATGTTACGGTAACAGTATGTATACTATATATCATCTTAAAATACATATATGTAAAAATGTTTATACCTATTTAAATTAAATTATACAACCTTTATGAGTAAACAGTAAAATTAATCAAAGGTAATAACATGTAAATAGAGAAAGTCTACAAGGATTTTTTTTTAACTGCTGAAGTCACTTGTTAGGGTGTTGTTTATACTTACATTACCAAAAATGCCTTTACATACAAGCCAATAATATCCTTAGCCCTAAATGCTGTTAGATGTTGCTACACCTTACCTACAAATAGCAGTTAGCAGAATTAACTGAGGAAACGGAAGGATGGGGATGCCAAGGGACCAGAAGACAGGACTAGGAAGAGAGAATGGGTGGCTCTACAGAAAGATAAATTCTAAACTAATTTAAGAGAACTTAATGACCGACCATTCAACGATGACTTCCACTTCCACAATAATTTCCTTTGCTTTCACTGGAAAAATACTTGCCTATTGGCACTATAGGAGGAGTCCATTATGGTTCCAACCTGAGCTGGAAGTGATGAAGTGTAGGAAACTAAGGCTGGTGAGAACTCTTGAGGGGAGGTAAGATATTCAGGTGATGCCTGTTGTTGAGACGGCTGATGTTGAGCTAGCATCTGCTGTTGAAAGAAAGCCTGCTGATACTGCGGCATCTGAAAAAAGAAATGATATTATACAAAACAATGCTCCAGTCCTAAAGCACTGTCAGCACTGCATCTATTTACTATGTTCCTTCCTTTCACATTGGTGACAAAATCAGAAACGTAAAAAACAATCATCTACAGAAGCAGCTCTATTACTAGAAAACTACAGCAAGATGAAATAAATCTTTTTAAAAAGTTGTAAAGGTAGGCTCACTTGGCCAGAATCAAAAATCCTCTTTTAAGTATTTTAAGAAAAAGAGTAGCTTAAAGTCACTAATATAGTGGTTGCTGTTAAAAAAAAAAAAAAAAAAAAAAAAAAGGTCAAATTATTCTCTGAAGAAAATATACTCTCCCTTTGGGTTTCATTTTTTTACTCAATAGATATGTGCTGAATGAAAGAGACATGTGACGAAAGACTATAGGTAAGACATCATTTCCCTTATATAATGACATAAGAGAAGTACGTTATCGGTCAATTACTATGTGCCATATTCAGGTGCCATAGTTCAGTGCAATTTAAAGCTGCTTGAGAATATATGACTGGCTTTGATAAAATACATGTCAATTAACTTACTTGATTTTGAATTACTAAATTCTGAATAATATGATTCATACTGTGAATTCCAACACCATAATGTATACTCAGAGAAATCTCTAGAAATTATTTAAGTTACCATTGTAGGATACTGTGATGCAGAAGGTTGTGGTTGATATACCGAATGCATTAAAAATTGTTGTTGAAGCATCTGTTGCTGCTGTGTTGCATGTTGATACTACAACGAGAAAATCAAATTAATAAATGTTATGCCTTTTTTGTGTCAGAGCCCTTTTTTAAAGTATTGATCTTACCATAATGATTTGAGAAATCAGTAGTCCAAACATCAATACAAAATAGCTATACTCTAAATTACTATAATTTATTAATAAATATGCTTATCAGAACTGGTTTCAAAATTATCAACAATTAGATTCAATTAAAACCATTTTTAGCACAATTTAAGGATGTTTAGAAGAAAGCTACCAAAACACATTTACTACCTTTTCCTAGAAGATAAAGACACCTGAGTGACTTCTAACCAAGCCCCATTACACTAAATCTCCCCTTCAGTGGTGTCTTCTGGGCATCCCATGGTACCACCTACTTACTACCCTCCACTCTGGATCTATCAACCAAAACCAGGAGGGTGACAAAAATCTAAGACAATGTTACTTCTGAAAAGCCTAATATCACCTTTCCAACAATAGCATTATTAGTCTGTGAACTCAAAACGTAACCTCAGATAATATTCATTATAAACTGCAGTGCTTATTTGTGAATACTAAATGTTTCAGATGAACATTCTTTTCTTCATAAGGCCACAATGCAACCTATTTTACAGTATTCTTAAGTATTTCACTGATTGCAAATTAAATACGTATTCTTTCATAATTAGAAAATTGGGGAAAGTGTTTACTCAAATCTAGAGTTCAAGGTGCCCATGATACAAAAAGGAATTCACTGATATTCAATTTGCTGCATCAATTTCACACTACTTCCATATCTAAAGAAACAAAAAAATTACCTGCTGCATATAAGCATCTTGAAGTAGGTGGTGGTGGTGGTGGTGGTGGTGCTGCTGCTGCTGCTGCTGCTGCTGCTGTTGCTGTTGCTGCTGCTGCTGTTGCTGTTGCTGCTGCTGCTGCTGCTGCTGCTGGTGAGGATGACGATGCTGTAAATGGAGTTGCTGTAATCTCCAATCTCCCTGCTGTAGTTGCTGGAGTACTCTATGCTGCTGTGGCGGCTGCTGAGGAGGTCCCTGACCCAATAAAATTTCAGGGCCATTTCCAGGTCTTAGTGCCCCTAAAGACAGGTCCAAACACTTACATTAACATACTAATGATTTCAATTAAAAAGCTGGATTTCAACATGCTCATTTCAATAATAATTTAACTAAGGCATTTATATCCTTATTTATAACACAAAAACTTCCATATGCATAGAGTTTATAGGGATTTACTTTAATTGTAAGTACCGAAGAAGCTTAATTTTGTCGTCTACAACTCTGAACAAGTCAACATCTTAGAAACACTTCATGTTTCATACTTCGGCTCTCCATGAACACAACATCCATGTTAGTTTGTTCTACACTGCTCAACAATATCATGTACTATCATGAGTATGTATTAGTACCAATATAATTCTCTGTCTAGAATGCCACTTTCCACCTAGTGAAATTCTTATTCTTTAAAGTTTAGCTCAAACCTCTCTTCCTTATTCCTTCATCTAGCACTTCCACTCAGTTTATTACATTTCAGTCTGTCTTGCACATGTTAATGACTTACATGGCTATTTCCTAACCAGGGACCCTGAGGGAAGAGATGATGACTTACTCATCTGTTAAGAGTCCCAAAAAACCTTTTATACAAAAGATGATTAATAAATGCTCACTGTAATGGATCTATTAACACTGTCTCCTAAATGGATATTTATTTATAAGCTCCATAAATTATACCCTAGGCAAATCCTATGAATAAACTTTAAAAATTAACTAAAAAGTAAGATATACACTTAATGCAATATACTAATATACCATAATTTCTATATTCTCCTCTAATAAACTTACCCTACATTCAAATGCAACTGTTCAATCCTAGAAGATAAAAAGAGTGGGGAGAGAATGCAAGGAGGGAGAGAAGGGTTCTTTTTTCATCAATGTTAGTATCCTCAAACGTCCTCAGACCTAAGTACAACAGCTTTATGAAAATAGTTTTATAACTATTTCTAACTTTTCTAATTATAAGGAAATGCATGTTCATTTTAATTATCCTTGAAAATACTTATAAAAATGTAAGTTAAAAAATGAAAATCACAATTCCACCACACAGATACAACCATCATTAGCCTTTAAGTGTATTTCTTTCCAGTTGAAAGAGTACTAAAATAACTACTCAAAAATCATTCACCTTGAAAATTTTTATTTTTTAATTGGCAAATAATAATTGTACATATTCATGGAGTACATATTGATGTTTTGATACATATTTTGCATAGTGATCAGATCAGGATAATTAGCAAAACGGTCACTGCAAGCATTGTCATTTTTTTGTGTGTGTTGGGAACACTCAATATCCTCTTTCTACCTATTTGAAATTATACAAAATATTGTTAACTAGTCATTCTACAGTGGTATAGAATGCTAGGATTTATTCTTCCTATCTAGCTAAAATTTTATATCCTTCAGTAAATCTCTCCCTACCCCTCACTTCCCTCTATCCTTCCAGCCTTTAGTATATTTTATCTCCTTGAAAATTTAATAACAACAGCCCCCTAAGTAACTTATAGGTTAAAAAAAAAAATCACAAAGGGGCCAACGTAGAGCTCAGGCTGTGGCTTCAGAGAGTGGAAGCCCCAACCCTTAGCAGCTTCCATTTGGTGTTGAGCCTGTGGGTGCACAGAAGTCAAGAACTGAGGTTTGGGAACCTTGGCCTAGATTTTGGAAGATACATGGAAATGCCTGGATATGCAAGCAAAAGTTTGCTGCAGGGGCAGGGCCCTTATGGGGAACCTCTGCTAGGGCAGTGCAGAAGGGAAATGTGGGGTCAAAGTCCCCACAAAGAGTCTCTACTGGGGCACTGCCTAGTGGAGCTGTGAGAAGAGGGCCACCATCCTCCAGACCCCAGAATAGTAGATCCACCTACAGCTTGCAACATGCGCCTGAAAAAGCTGCTGATACTCAACGGCCAGCCCATGAAAGCCGCCGGGAGAGACACTGTACTCTGCAAAGCCACAGGGGAGGAGCTGCCCAAGACCATGGGAACCCACCTTTTGCATCAGCATGACCTGGATGTGAGACCTGGAGTCACAGGAGATCATTTTGGAGCTTTTAAATTGGACCACCCCACTGGATTTCAGACTTGTATGGGCGCTGTAACCCCTTTGTTTTGGCCAATTTCTCCCATTTGGAACGGCTGTATCTACCCAATACCTTATCCCCATTGTATCTATGAAGTAACTAGCTTGCTTTTGATTTTACAGACTCATAGGTGGAAGGGACTTGCCCTGTCTCAGAGGAGACCTTGGACTGTGGACTTTTGGGTTAATGCTGAAATGAGTTATGACTTTGGAGGACTGTTGGGAAGGCATGATTGGTTTTGAAATGTGAGGACATGAGATTTGGAGGGGTCAGGGGTAGAATGATATGGTTTGACTTTGTCCCCACCCAAATCACAACTTGAATTGTATCTCACAGAATTCCCATGTTGTAGGACGGACCCAGGGGGAGGTAACTGAATCACGGGGGCGTCTTTCTTGTGATAGTGAATAAGTCTCATGAGATCTGACGGGTTTATCAGGGGTTTCTGCTTTTGCTTCCTCCTCATTTTCTCTTGTTGCCGCCATGTAAGAAGTGCCTTTCACCACCCGCCATGATTCTGAGGCCTCCCCAGCCGTGTGGAAATGCAAGTCCAATTAAACCTCTTTTTTTCCCCCAGTTTCTGGAATGTCTTTATCAGCAGCATGAAAACGAACTAATACGTATGTATAGTATGACTCCATTTATTTTATTTTATTTACTTACTATTTTTGAGACAGAGTCTTGCTCTGTTGCCCAGCCTGGAGTGCAGTGGCATGATCTTGGCTTACTGCAACCTCCACCTCCTGGGTTCAAGTGACTCTTGTGCCTCAGCCTCCCAAGTAGCTGGGATTACAGGCATATGCCACTACACCCAGCTAATTTTTGTACTTTTAGTAGAGATGGGGTTTTGCCATGTTGGCCAGGCTGGTCTCGAACTCCTGGCCTCAAGTGATCCACCCAACTCGGCCTCTCAAAGTGTTGGGATTACAGGCAGTGAGCCACCATGCCCGGCCTCCATTTATTTTAAATACAACATGAATTATTTATATCTGTATATACACATGTAAAAACATAAAAAAGGACTGGGAAGATGACCATTAAACAGCGCTGGTTAACTCTGGGAAGAAAATGGAGGGAGACATTTACATTTTCACTGAATACTACTGTATAATCCGAATATTTTAAAATACAATACTCACGTGTTAATTTTTGTATTATTTTTAAAGGGTGAAGAAATGTTAAAAAAAAATGCACTTATTGGGGGAAAAAGCGGAACATTTTTCCAACTTAAGCTGAAAGCATGTAAGAAAGAGAAACACGGCCCCTGACATCAGGATTAGGCCTGGCAATCACAGCTAAGTCTTGGTGCTCTCCTGTTGAATAATCTCATACAACATTAGACAAGGACACTATGACTTTGATGGATCAAAATAAGACCACTCCAAAATCATGTCTGAACAGCGACAAAACCATGAACATTGTCCAAACCCCAAAAATGCCTCAACATCTTTAGCTACTGAGGCTTTAGCTTCCTTCTTTCTAGACAAAATTTATATTAAGAAACCTAAACATATCATAACACCTCTTGCTTTTTTTTCTTTTTTTCTTTTTTTTTTTTGAGACAGAGTCTCATTCTGTCACCCAGGCTGGTGTGCAGCAGTGAGATCTTGGCTCACTGCAATCTCCATCTACTGGGTCCAAGGGATCCTCTGCCCCTCAGCCTCCCCAGTAGCTGGGACTACAGGTGTGTACCACCATGCCATTGCTCAGGCTGGTCTTGAACTCCTGGCCTCAAGCAATTCGACCTGCCTTGGCCCCCCAAAGTGCTGGGATTACAAGCATGAGCCACTGCACCCAGCTTCATATGCCCTCTTCTTGACAGTATCCAATACAGAGCAAAGCCTACTTCCCTTTGAGTTCGAGACCAGCCTGCCAACACGGTGAAACCCCATCTCCACTAAAAGTACAAAAATTAGCTGGGTGTGGTGGCAGGCCCCTGTAATCCCAGCTACTTGGAAGGCTGAGGCAGGAGAATGGCTTGAACCCAGGAGGCGGAGGTTGCAGTGAGCCGAGATCGTGCTATTGCACTCCAGCCTGGGGGACAAGAGTGAGACTTCATCTCAAAAAAATAAATAAATAAAAAATAAAAACATCACCTTTCCTGAACATATACTTTACTTGATAGTAACAACAGTAGTTAATAGTTAACATTTATCAAAGGCATACCGTGTATCAGGTAGCACATTAAACAGCCATTTAATCCTCCCAATAATCCTATTAAGATAGGTACTAGTACTTTTAGAAGCTATATTACTAAAAAATGGGAGAAATAGGACTCAAATCAGGTTCGTGAGACTCAAAACGTACACTCTTAACCATTAGGGTATCCTCATTAAAAACATTTTAACATTAAAACACGACAGATTTATCATGAAATAAAGTGCAAAACAGGATTTCTTTAAGGTGAGTCTTCAGGTTATACTCCCAGATCCTTGAGAAAAATAAGTTTACTCAAATGTTACGGACATTTCTTTGGGGGGAAAAATTTTTTTTAAGTACCACACTGTACCATAATGCTTAGGAGATACTTTAGATGAGTAAATTTTTCTCAAAATCAGGTAAGTTTTTATGTTGTAATGTCCATATGGATGGTTCAAGATAGCCCTTCACCAAGGCTCTAGGTGCAATACAAAGACATAAACTTTGTAAGACTAGTGTTTCAACTTTCTTTCTCATATAACATAGACTTTTTCCATACCGTTGAACTTTATTCCCAACCTCAAACCCTATTAGTTGATGACTCTAGGGATAAGAGTTTGTATTTATAGTATCAAAGCAAATTGTGAGTTTTTTGTACCATACTTTTATATTGCCAGTAACTTCCCTTTGCCTACAACAATTGAATTGTTGAGAAACCAACTGAATTTATTAGACATCAATAGAAAGTTTCTGAAAGCATTATGTTATCTACTTTACAATATTAAGGATCACCTGAGGTCAGGAAATCAAATCATGAAAGGTTTATTAACATTAACCTTTAAGAGGATGAGGTTGGCGGGGCTCTATTACCTTTTGGTCTATGGTTACCGAATTCACCAGGAGCAAGGACTTTAACAGGTGTTGCTGAACTTTGAATGGTCAGCACACTGGGAGTGGCAGTAGTAGCAGAGTTGGCCTTTGGTCTTTGTCTTGGTGCAATTGAGGTTTCTGTTGGTCCAATGGTATCTGTTATTCTACAACAGAAGAATATATTTCATTCTAAATACTGGGATTATTTCTAATTTACTATTTATTCTATAAAGCATCCAACTCAACAGATACATTTTAACTATTACTGATAATCGCATTAGTCCTCATCTTTCTCCTAAGGCTCATTTTCAAGTATTAAACGTTTACTAAACACAGAAAAATAAATAAAACTAACAATTTTCCTTAAAACAGTACACAACCATTCATAATCTCCTACTGAAACCAGCAGAAAAAGAATATAGTCCCAGAAACTGCTCTTAAGGAGATGAAATGATACTGAAAGGAAATAAACAGAAACCTTTTCATAAGCTTTTGGACAAAACTGACAGCCACTCTCTGAACTTGTCAGGGAAATAAAAATAAGAAACAACAAGGAATAATCTCCCTTTACTTGGACTCCAAGGCATAAAAAAAGAAAAGACTGTGGCCTAGGGCACGTTAAACAAAATAAGCCAAAACTTTTAACAGATGCCACCTGCTCACATTCAACTTCTTGAATCTTTAACTTTGCTTTACTTAGAACACAGAATGGAAAGTATATAAAATTTATCCCACTAGGACTTAGTTTAGGCCCCAGATGTGAGTGGTTAAGCAGTAAACACAGTTTTGAAATCAAGAAACAATAAATATAATTTGAGAAGACACCAACATTTGCTTTTTTTAAAAAACAAAAAAGGTAAAATATTTATATATTTATCAACTTGCTTTCTATAAATTAAGTACAAAAACTCAAATACTTGTTAATAGGACCAAATGTTCACTTTCCAACAGGATTCACAATAAAATATCTTTATTAAATCCCCTTACACATTTTCAAGTGAATACTTAAAATTTTTACATACATATGATTTATGAAGCACACATCTGCTGCATTTGCATCTATCAACAAGTGCACAGATCCAGTTATTTCCCAATATCTGTGTGTACCACAAGAGGGAGCCCTATTAACAACTATCTTTCCAAGAGGTACCAAAAAAAAAAACGTGACACTGAATCAAAAGATCTTAGAATTATATGTATGCCGTTTTCTGAAAGTAACACTTAAGCTCTAGATGGGATGGGGATGGTAAAAGACATGAAAATTTAACTAATAGGCCAAATATATACAGATATTACATATATATATACACCGATATATATATCGGTGTATATATATATGTAATCAATTATATCTTGTTTTAATGATAATCAAGTATTTACTGACATTAAATTATTGATGTGGCATTACAATCAATGCTATACTCCCTAAGCTCAAGTAATTTGGGGGAAATATTGTACACAATCTCTCTCTTTAACTATCCATTCTGTATTAAACGGCTAGTACAGGCCAGACCTGATGTTGCCTTGTTGCTGGTCTAAACCCTCTTTACAGATTCACAACACACGTAGGCATAGCAAAAGCCCTAAGAAGCATATTAAAAGTCTGTATACTTTGTTCACTCTGATGTCTCTGTTTTATCAATACAGTAATATGTATTGTACATTTACTGATATCCAGCAAAACACTGCATAACACCCTGTCTTCAAAGAATTTACAGCATACCTAGGAAGACAGGGCATATGTTAGTGGAAATGTAATAAATATAAGATAGTAAAAATCATCAGTGCCAAGCTAGTGCTGTCAAGAATTTATGGAGATGTAATTGTACTTTTAACCTAATTTGGCTACAGAAGGCTTCAGGTAGAAACTGGGGTTTAAAATTTTCATAATAAGTTTGACTTTATTAGGCAGTGACAAAGAAACCAGGCATTCTATGTGAAGGAATGGGAAGAAAATGCCTGGGCAGATTAGGCATAGGGAAGATACAAAATCGACTGAAGTTAAAAACAGTAATTATTGCATCGATACTGCTGTACAGTCTCATTTTCACTATTACAACAGTCACAGAGCTGTTTTTCTGCTTCCCTTCTTTTCTCCTTGCCATCACCTGAACAAAATCATCACAGGTTTCCTAGAACTCAGACTCACACTCTCCTGCTTAAAATCCTTCAATGTTTCCATCTGCCAGGCCAGTGATTCTCAGTGTCTCAATCTTTAAGACATGTGTCAGATAAATTTCACATCTTAAACCATACTAAGAGCAGATGCAAAGTTTGGGGAGATGAGAGCGACCTTTTAAGAAGGCAAAGAATACCACAGATTGAAGGCAGCTGAGAAACCCACAGGCGCTTTTTGAAAACGTGGGTAATGAAACTGCTAGTAAATGATTTCTCCTCCCAAAATGTGCTCTTTACATGGAAAAAACTAAATTTTTTAATATTAAGCTTTGTATACATTTAGATTTTTTCAAGTTTTCACTAATATTCATAAAGAGTAAATTTATATTAGTAACCAATAAGTACCAATCAACCTTATTTTTTAATATACATAATGTTCAGATTTAACATACTATAAATAAGCACTGTGAATTTTAATAGCACTATTTCATTGTCTTGTAACTCTAAAGCTATAACTTGCATTAGGGTGAAAAAATAATCAAATCATCATTCTTGTTCAGCTGACTTACGCTTTTTTTAAAAATCTGCACCTACTTTCTCAAAGATTTAATTATTTACTAATTATTTTAAAAAACAGAAGTCACAATAAAATTCAACTGACAAATCCTACAATAATTCATAATTAACACTCAACTATAACAGTGGATGCTAATTAAAGCTATGTCATAGATAAGACCAATTGCTGTTCAACCTGGATTCCTGCAAGTTAGATATAACTTTACACCTTCACCTCTTCTCAAAAGAACATTTTGAAATTCAAGTGAATGAAGATATTTTTAAAGTAACACCATTTTTTAAAATAAGTCATTCGCAAATGAAATTTTAACAATGTATAAGTAACAGATCATTTACAACACAGTCACAACCAAGTCTCAAAGAGTAGAACTGACTAGAAGGTTGAAAATTAACTGACCTATAGGCCAAAGTCCAAATTTCTCAGCATGATATATAAACAAAGTTGTTCATGATTGGCATTTATCTACCTCTCCAGCTTCATTTCCCACTACTCCTGTATATGTCCCCTTTTGTCCTAGTCCTGTAGTTTCACAATAGTCATTCTTGCCTAAACTGCCTGCCTGCTATAATTTCACTCCACACCCTTCCAAGTGATTGACTATTCATCATTCAAGGAAGAGTGCAGCAACTCCCATCCGCAGGGAAAGCATCCTTTATGTGCTCCTGTTTTCTCTGTTCCCAGTCTTTCCCCTCCTCCACACTCTCAAAGTAGCCTAATATCTATCAGGTTGTAATCGTTTACTTGTCAATTAGAACGTGAACTCCTTGGAAATAAAAACTGCTTTTTTTTTCTTTGTGTTTAAATTGTCTACATCTTGCATATAAAAAGCATATGAACAAATATATTTTTGTATTGTGTAAACAAATAAACTTTGCATAAATAGCATACAATACAAAATTGCTGTGACCAAGAAATCTCCCCAAATGTAGTATTATACCTGTCTGATAATCTAAGATATAATCCTGCTTATTAACTTTTAAATTCAAAAAAGTGTGAGGGGGGGAAAAATCAATCATTAACAGATTCAGTCTTAACTTACATAATATAGTTCAAACTTATTATTAATATAATAAATACTCTGAAAAATAAGATTGAAAACATATACCAGCCTTAAAAAGTATTATAATCACTCATTACAAATTCTACAAAGTACATACATATTCTATATATTCTAGTTACCTGTAGGAGCTATTTTTTTCTTTCCTTAAATTAAAAAAATAAACATCTATAAACTCAAAACATAGTATTTCCTAAACTAGAGTTGCTATGTGATGAAAATGACAAATCCTGTCCAAAAAAAAGACCCGCTGTCACATCATCAGTTAAATAATCACTTGTCATAGAGTGAACAGTTCCAGTGAGATGATGCCAGACTCCTTATCTAATATTTTTAAAAGCTTATTTTGTATTTGCTATCTCAATTATACCACATACAATAAGCAACACAACATTCTTTGTGGATGAAGATGATATTTAATCAATTACACTTGCTAGGATTAAAAACAAGACCTATCATTTTTTTTAATGCCTTTTCAATTTCAGCATAGTTTTGCCTACCTGGCTTTTATTTGGCTTTTCCTAGCAGCTGCTTCACTAGCAGTCATCGGTTCAGGAAGAGCTGAAGGAATAGAAGAATTCTTGGAAGAAAAAAAATAAAACGTCTCATTTTAGTTTTTTATTTTAATTGCAGAAAGTTTTTGTAAGCTATGGATATATCATTGAACTTTAAAAGTACTATGAGACACTATTACTTTCACATCAGATACCTATAAATTATTCACATGTATTTGCCAGATCTAATCTGCAAATATCACTACATGTTACACAAATGTCAATTTCATATTCATGTGCCACAGAAACCTTGGAAAATAAGCAGAAGAACACCACTGTATCCATTTATAATTGGGTAAATCTTGAGTAAAAAGAAAGATTATATTACACTCGTAAATCAATAACTATTTTACATTTTGGAAAAAGCAACAAACACCAAGGATAAGAATTAAGTGTTGTTTCTACATACTACAGATAATTTTCAAGACACAGAATGTAAGGCCTGGAAAATGAGGGCAGAAGGCCTTGTTTATTTGTCTATACCCAATGTTTAGTTCTTTGTAGGTACTCAATAAATACTTGCTGAGTAAATGTCGAATGAGTCTACTTATCTACTTTTAGAACTGCAAAGCTTTCAGCTTCAACAGAGAAAAGAGTACATCAATATGGCGAGGGCTTCACAAAAAAAAAAAAAAAAAAAAAAAGGAAAGGTACCACATTCCTTCTTTTTTCTTAGTGGGGTAGATTAAGTTACACATAAAGGAAACCCTACAGAAACAGGTCAGGCCAGAATGATCTTTACAAAGTCAAGAATGGCTTATAATCAGTGATGATTGCAGAACCTTTATTAAGATTGGCAGAGACTTGCCATACACCATTCACCTAAAGTAGTTAAATGCACTGTACAGTCAGTGAATAAAATTGAAAGCTTTTGAATAATACTAACTATTGCCAACTGAGCACCTTCCATGGACTAGGCACTGGGTTTCACATGTAATCCTTATAATTACTATCCTTGTTTTACAGAAAAAGAAATGGACATTAAAGTAACTTACCAAAAGATTCAAAGTCAGTCACTGATAAGGACAAAACTGAATCTGGGTCTATTTACATTGCCTGTGCTTTTTAAAAAAAAACTTTTTTGTAGTTTTAGGGGATACAAGTGCAGCTTTGTTATAAGGATATACTGCATAATGGTGAAGTCTGGGCTTTTAGTATGACCATCACCCAAATAGTGTATATTGTACCCATTAGGTAACTTCTCATCCTTCATCCGCTTCCCACCTTTCTGACTTCCAATGTCTATTACTCCACTGTCTATATCTATGCGTACACATTGTTTAGTTCCCACTTAACAAGGCCTGTGCTCTTTATACCAAAGTTTCCCAAACTTACTCAGTTAACAGTGCTCCGTGTCTCAGTAATTGTTTACAACACTTCTAAGAAAAAAAAAAAAAAACTAACAGTCCTGTTTATTAAACTGTTAGGCCCAAATAACTTAATAAAATTAGTTTTGTGCTAAGTCAGAAAGATGTCCCTGTGTTTTCCTCAAAAATGCAAAATATTCTGCCTGAGTCTGCTGCAGCTCCCCAAGGTATCTCAGTGCATAGTTTGGGTACTGAAGCTTTATACCACAAATATCAAACACACAATCAGATCACTTGTCATGAAACAAGAAACTCTGAGTTTTAGCAACAGCAACAAAAAAAAAGTAACTCTGAAAGTAAATATATTCACATACGATAAAATGAATTTTAAATTCATATCCTACTTGAAAATCTACTTACATTGATGTTGGAGACTGGACAATCCTTTTTGGCAAATTTAAATGCAAAATATGACACTTGAAATATATCAGGTCTATGTTCCGGATCTGGTTCAAGCATGAACCCTGCAAGAATAGATCAAAATGTTAAGAAGTTTTATGAAACACACATTATACTACTTAGGGGCACATTATAAGGATAAAAAATATGTATTTTCTGTTCCACTCTAAGATCAGTGATGATTCTAGCAAACTTTATTAATGCCTACAGAAAATGCAGAAATTGCTATTTTATAAATAAAGCATTATCCCAAGCTAAGGGTAGATCAATCACAGAACAGCTCTACACTAGAAGTATGAATGACAAACTTGATTATTCTATTGAAAAAGTGACACAAAAGAAAAAGTGAGTTTAGTGAACACTGGGGAATTATTCAAGAAAGTTCCAAGGCCATAGTAAAAAGGTCCTTCAAGATAATTCTATTCAAAATAATTATTACTATTATCCAAAATACCTGTATTAATTTTTAAGTGATCCTTAATCATTAAGAAAAGCCTAAATTGTATATGTTATAATCTAACAAAGTAGTAATGGATTGGCACTGTCGTTTTCCAAAAACATACTCTCTTCCCATATTGATGCTAACAACATTCACCATAGTTCTGTATCTTAACATGTTATCCATATCATGCTCAGAAATATGGGCAGAGTTTTCTGGTTTTTATGAACAGATTTCAAAACAACCTTACAGCATTGCTTGAAATGCCTGATCTTTTTTCTACCAAAATGACCACTACCATTTGGTAGTACTCCACTTCTTGGATAATTTTTAATTCTAAATTTCACAAGGTTGACATTTATACTCAATTCCGTAAGTAAAAGATTTTGTTAAGACATCTCAAAGTCTACCTCTGCTTCATTAACTCTAAGTTGTTATAATGTTTAAATCCTTTTTAAACTACTTAAAATGTAAAATTTAAAGAATTAGATATTCTTAAGTTTGCTAATAAAATAATGTATAGAGAGATCTAAGTATGTAAATGGGTTAAATAAAATTATAAATCAAAATGAATTAAATCTTCCCTTCAAATTTAAGTAATATTTTGAATACAGAATGTGTGATACATCTTCAATGACATGATAAACTTATTTTGGCTAAAAACACAGTTATGTGGAAAGTTATAATTTATTTGAGAGATTCTGAGCTCAGTGTAAAATATACGAAAACTCTGCATGTAACTTGATTTTATATATTTATAATGCTAACATATATCACTTATAAAATGGATGTTTTTTATAATTTTTACCACCATTGCTAGACTGAAATAACTAAAAACATTTTAATTCTAATATTTGCTAGTTTATATTCAAACTCAATCCAAAAAAGATTTGAGGAATCTACAAAATT
Source organism: Homo sapiens (assembly GCF_000001405.40). NCBI lineage: Eukaryota > Metazoa > Chordata > Mammalia > Primates > Hominidae > Homo > Homo sapiens. The sequence goes on along the minus strand of NC_000004.12, from coordinate 78,858,300 downwards.
TATTTTATCTTGATACCAACAGATATTAAATGTTTTTAACGTAACAACAGTACACAAAATGGGGATAAATTTAAACATACTGTTAACAATAACTACTTATTCATATAATTTTAAAAACCAAACAAATCACACGAAACCTACCTAATTCACAAACGTATAGTCCTATTTTTCTATTCTAACAAATTTATTTGGCTTTTAAAATCTAATTTCAACAATAGCTAATTATACATATTTAGTCCTATAAAGAACTTGAAGTGGCACACAAAACTAAGATTTTTTTTAAATATATAAGAAAATTAAAACTAATGGAAAAATAGTGGCTTGGGGGTTGAGATGGACAGGATAATGAGGTCAGTTACAAACTACATATGATTTGGTCTTAAATGCAGGCCCAAAATTTGCTCTCCATTTTTTAGCTGTCAATATAAACAGGGCAACATGATCCATTACATGAATCACAGTGTATCTAATACAAAAACAAATCAGGTGCTAAGGAAAAACACTATTCGTGATACTGAAAGCTAGAGAGCAAATTCTCCGTTGAGTCTTTCTAAAGATAGCTCACACAAAGTGAACAACATCCTTAAGGAATAGCAGTGAGTGACACAGGGTCATGTTTTAAACACGCTATCAGTATGGACTAGTGGCCTAAATGCCATGCAGTAAAAGAAAGGGGTATGGTTTAAGAATGTACTTCTTTTGCGGCCTGGTTTAATCCAAGAAAAACTTTTTAAGTATTCAGAGAGGAATTAAATGATAGTTCAGGCATTCCTTGTTTTTCTTTGTTTTGTTTTCTTTCATAGCAATTGAAAAGCACTGAGAGAGAAAAAAATAAATTTGAGATTTTGTGTCCTAACCTATATGGGTATAGGTATTTCTGTATCTCAGGTTAAGCACAGCATATCCTCTAATGATTAGGTAGCTAGGTTGCAGGTAGAACTGATATTATCTTATAAGCAAACACAAGGACCTCCAATTCCCCTGGGTCATGTTTTCATGTGGGAATATATCTGCTGGAGCCAGTTTAGTCTAACTGTACTGATTCCATTTATGTGACATAAAATCAACTCAAAAGGTCAGAACTACTATTTATTTTAATAAAGAAGAACAGAAAATATTACAGTACATTAATATGGTAAATGTAAGCAATATTTCATGAAATGTGATTCAGTTTACATGTGTGTATTCTGTGTGTGGAGTGTATACCAGGTCATAACTAAAATGTATTTTTTATTAATATATTGAATCACAGTCACAAAAAGTTTGAAGCCACTGTGCTAGTGTAGTGCCACGATCGCTATCTACTACTATAACTCATTCTCCCCAGTGGGAAAGACAGTGATTTGTCAAATTGTTAGACTAGAAAAAAGAATGAAGCACCTCCACCCATCAATCTCTGATGATCTTTCTTTCAGAACAGGTTATTTTAAGAACATACATGTTCTCTGCTAAACCACATTTTGTAAGTAACCTGTCTCTGTGGAAGAAGTCTAAGGTTTTCCAGCATTGACTATGACTGGATGTTAATAAATTTGAGGGTTGGGAACAGAGGAACAGGCTCCTTCGGCTTTAGATCTAAATTTCATTCTGCAATCTGCTTTACCAGTACTAAAAAGTTGACAGTTTTATCTGATGAGCTCCAGTGGACCATCTCTGACTTGGTTCTAAATTCAAAGTATGAAAAGATGAATAATCATACCTAAAACCCACAGGTAGAACTTGGCTACATTTTTATCTCTGAATATTTCTAAATTGAATATTATCAGCAATTTAAAAAAAAGGAAAAAAAATCAATAAGGCATCTTTAAGCACTTAAGTTAAATAATATAATTTACTGAACTCTTCAAGAGAATGGGTTGCAAAATGTACCACTGGATTACTGAAGGATGTAATCTAGAGTGCGCAGAGGTATCACATTTAATACAGCTAAACACTGATTCAAGGACATTTCAGCCAGGCATGGTGACTCTTGCCTGTAATCCCAGCTACTTAGGAGGCTGGGGTGAGAGGATGGCTTGGGCTTAGGAGTTCAAGACTGCAGTGAGCTATGATCTCACCATTGCAATCCAGCATAGGCAACAGAAAGACCCTGTCTCTTTAAAAAAAGAAAGAAAGAAAGAATTTGACCCTTCAATTTTTATAGTTTTTCTAAAGCCATTTTCTCCTGCAAATAATTAAACCTCGAGTTCAGTGTTTTATTAATTGCTACTTCATGACAATAAAACCATATCATCTATTAACAAAATACGCTTTTGGGGAAAAGAAATGGATTAAGGAATGTATGTGTCCAGTTCACCTAAAAGTAGTATTACGTGATCAGGTTTAAAAACAAAACAAAAAAGGCAGAGAAACTAGAATACGCCCTTGTTTACTCAACTTAAAATGATCACCTGAATCATCACAAGACCATTACCACTGAATCTGATTCTACTATAAATATAAAATCAACTTTTTAAAACTTAGCCACGAAGAAATAATATTTCTCTGCTCACTCAATAGTGTAAATCTTTCTATTGACACAAATACTACTAACACAACCTAAGAACACAAAATAGAGCTTCAGCACTGAAGGTAGTATAAGACTAAAACTACAACAATATTTCTTATTGATGTACACACTGGTCTGAGGCAACTGATTTAATTATGCCTATACCAATATTGCATAGAAAAGCACAAAATCCCTGCACATTCCAACAAAAATAGAAGCTAAAGGAGCTGCCTGTTGCAGCAGCCAAGTTATACCATGGTTTAGTCAAGGACCTAAGCCAAAAATTAAAGTAGTTACCATTCAAGTTACACAAAACGAAGGATCCATGCCTGGGCCTAGATAAAGTTAAGCCACCATCTCTAATCTAACAGCTCAACAAATTTAAAAAGAAAATACTCTGGATAGAAGTCTCAAAACAATTTTCCTGCTTAAAATTTGTTTGGTTTTCCCTCCATAAAGACACATTTTTCTCTCCCACAAACTTCAAGTTATTGCCCTTAATTTCCCTGAAATGAGAAACATCCACTCCAATTTTCCAACCATAAATATTTCATGCATCAACATTATTTCTATCTGTTAACCTACAGACATTGTTATAGAAACTTACATGTTACTCTATATGTCCTACATATCTTAGTATATGGGTGCTGAAATGAAACTAAATTTAATAGCTGATAATATGTTCAATCATAACTAAAACATTAAGTGGCACTAAATAATGCCAGGATAATATATTTGGAATAGACCTGGTAACTACCCCGAAAAGTTACTGATCAGAGCCCTCTCTCTACAAGTAGAAACCCAGAGCCAGTGATTGAAAAGCTCCAAGGAAACCGTATCTTCATCTTTCATTTCAAAGGTACTTTTAAGTAGCTATTTTTTTTTTCAAAAATAATATAGGAGAAGAGAGTGGGTGAGGTTATAGAGGAAACAAGATTGGCCATGAGTTGATAACCAGTGAGGTTGGGTGAGGTATTTTCATGAGGTACATGAAAATTTATTGCACTGCTCTGTCTGTATTTGTAGAGATTATTAAATTTCCATAACAAATTTAAATGTAGTAAAAACAAGCAAGCAAATTCCTGGTTTCCCACAATATGGGTATTGAAATAAATTTAACCCTAATCGAACCAGTCACAGTGGCTCACACGTGTAGTACCAGTTACTCAGGAGGATCAGCTGAGCCCAGAAGGTTGAGACCAGCCTGGGCAACATAGCTAGATCCTGTCAATAAATACATGGCCGGGCGCAGTGCCTCATGCCTATAGTCCCAGCACTTTGGGAGGCCGAGGCAGGCAGATCACTGAGGTCAGAAGTTCAAGACCAGCCTGACCAACATGGTGAAACCCCATCTCTACTAAAAATACAAAAATTAGCCAGGCATGGTGGCATAGGCCTGTAGTCCCAGCTACTCAGGAGGCTGTGGCAGGAGAATCTCTTGAAACTGGGAGGCAGAGGTTGTAGTGAGCCAAGATCACACCATTGCTCTCCAACCTGGACAACAGAGTGAGACATGGTCTTAAAAAATAAATAAATAATAATAATAATAATAAATTTAGCCCCAATAGATGAGCTCTTAAGAGCAAAGATAAAGAAACCATAAAGCAATAAGTGAGAAGACCCTAAAGTTTAAAAAAAAAAAAAAAAAAGCTTTTACCTGGTGTTCATCATTACCTTACTGCACAAAATAAGGAGGTAAGAAAAATAATCTTAGTAGTTATATTTAACAGTATATTCTGGAATATATGATAATTTATGGTAAGCCTTTGGTAGATCCACCATTAACCCATAAAACCAAATTCCACTTCAAAGCATCCAAAGACATTTCTGCAGGGAAAGTATGCTCTAGTAAGTGTCTGACAGCATGTCCTGCCCCTATCCAGAAAATCAGAAATTAAGTTAGATGAAGAATTGTAATATTGATATCAAGAGTAGTTGTAGTACTAGTTTTTATAGTAATAATGACTATAGTATTAAAGGCTATCTCTTACTAAAAAGCACTTTTCAGCTTTCATTTAATTCTCACAATAACCGTAAGAGGTGGGTACTTTTTAAATGCCCCTTTTAGAAATGGGAAGACTGAGATAAATGGAGGTGCTCAATGTTCCATACCAAACAGGGACAGAGCAGATGCAATCCAAGGCTGTTTGGCTCTAGAAGTCTTGCTCTTAATCTCTGCAATGTACTTCTTTAATCACCTTACAACACAGGAGCCAAAAGACAACTGAGGCAGCCAGCTTTCAGTACATTCTTCATAACTATTCAGTAATCCCGTTAGTTATGTTTCTCATTCTCCTCTAAATGGTTCTCTAAGTTCTTTTCAACTCCTGGATCTGGAAAGTACTTCTTTCCTCATCCCCCATGTCGGCCCCATTACTTGTCTATTGGGAGAGTTAACAAAAGCTAAGAAAAGTTCTAAATATTTGACTCCACTACTTTTAAGAAGAAAAGTCTCCAGGAAAGAAAGAAGAAATTAATAGGTTTATGAAGAGTAAATAATGGTAACTACCCTTGACCTAAATTAGTAATAAGAAAAGTATATTCAAATTCTTAGGTAACCACAAACCATACAGTTTTAACAAAGATTTGTCATGGCTATTTCATTTTCAAAATTTCTGTGTGTTATAAAATGGATGCAAATGGAACTAATACGAAAACGATGTGTATCTTCTTATGCTTTATTTTATGTTAATATATGGAAACAACTACATTGCATGAATACACAATTGACAAAAGCTTCACATTCAAAAACTATGAGCCAAGCTAGGAATTCCTGATTTTTCTGAATGTAGGATTTATTTAAAAGTAATATAAATCACTAATTACATATTATAAACACAGAGACACTGAAATAAAATGGCAAAAGACACAAAAGGCCACATTTGAAAAATATAAAGAATAAAATGGCAGGCCAAACATGGTGGTTCATGTCTGTAATCCCAACACTTTGGGAGACTGTGGTGGCAGGACTGCTCGAGGCCAGGAGTTTGAGACCAGCCTGGGCATACAGCAAAACCCAATCTCTACAAAAATTTAAAAATTAAACCAGCATGGTGGCACATGCCCATAGTTCCAGCTACTCAGGAGGCTGAGGTGGGAGGATCACTTGAGGCCAGGAGTTTGTATAGTAAGCTATGATCACAACACTGTACTCCAGCAGGTCCTGGGCCACAGAATGAGACCTTGTCTCTTGAAGAAGACAAAGAAAAAGAAAAAAATTGCAAAGAATCTAAATGTTTTCTAAAACACATTACATTATAGGTAAGTAAGTTATGGTTTTAAAATCTGTACTTTATTAAGCTTTTACTACTCAATACAATACTTTAAAAGTCCATAAAGCCCTCTGACAGGAGGTAAAATACTAGGAATATTGTAATTTCAGATTGACTTGAATGCTTTTATGTTTTTTCAACCTTTTGTTATTTTTGCCTAGCTCTCAGAAATAAGTTCAAAGACATAATACATGATTAAATTTATACTAGCAATGATAAAAACTAAAATTAGCACATTTACTGACAGTAAGGGAAGCATATAATACACTGTAATGCATCAATTAACTAGAGCCTAATTAGATCTAAAATTATCAGTAGTATTTTTTTCCATCTCACATTACAAACACACATAACCCCACCCCACTCCCACATTACATACACACAGAGAAAAAAAGAAAAACCTAATCACAAGAAAATAAGATCCTACTACTGTAAGCAAATTAAATCACAAGTCAGACTAGATTTCTTCTATGCTCCCTTTTTTCTTTTGGTCATTTTTGACCTTTTTTGGAATTTTTACCCTTTTCTTTATGATTTACACGAGCTTCATAAATTATAAAACTTAGACATTTGTCAAATGAGTAATAAATATTTCTAATTTATGAGTTTGGGTTCATGAGTCTGGGGGAACTTTTAATGGTTTAAAGTTATATGGCAATGGATTAATCTTTTTTTAATAATAGTTCCTGGGATTAAATGTCTAGCTTATAAATTCCACATTCTACTCTTATAAATAATTTCACACTTATTTTCTTCAAGTACATTTATTTTTATATTTAAATCTTTGATTTATCTGCAATTTTAGCATAAAGAATGAAATAGAGATCCAGCCTTATTTTTTGCCCACAAACGGCTGAGAAAGTTGAACTGCCATCTTCATCATACAAACCTCAAAATATTTCTATTTCTCTCTTTTCTATTCCAGTGAGCTGGAGGCTACAACAAGGGGTACTTGAATGCAGAAAACAAAGCAGAAATGCTAGACACAACACACTTAATGCTAGACACACTCCGTGTTAAAAGGAGCTATTTAAATATTGTAGCTTCCTAATTTATTTTAATAGCTGATGGTCCTCCCCGCTCCTCAAATCTTTTTAATAAATTTTGCCTTGTAGATATATAAAAAGTTAAATTACAGTACCTACCAAAATGGAAGAAAAAAATCTTAAAGGAGGTTGGAAGAAAAATTAAAATATTCTTTTGAAATCGAGGGCCTCTCGAAGACTAGCCCTTCTGACATTATCCCTTGGTGTGTGCTACTAAATCTTACCCAGGGGCTTAAAAACATCTATATTAATCAATAATTAGGTTGCTTTCATTCTTATGTAAGTTTTTAAACACTTTTTTAAATGTTTTTTTCTTTACTATAGTTTCACAAAATTTTCATATATGAAATTAAGACTAGATTTAAGTAAAGGAATGTAAATAGTAGGCCCTAAGTACAGTATCCTACAATATTTTCATACATTTTCCCAAATACTTACTTATTAAGCAATGTATGTTACGGGAGTAACGAGAATTGTCTGGGATGGTGAAGTTGCCATCACAGATAGCAACCTGACTCTCACCAAAAGGAAGAGTGAAGAAACAAAGTTTATAGAGTAGACATCCCAGTGCCTGTAAACCAAAGAAGCATAAATATCATTAGAGCTCAAGTTAACAAGACACAAAAATAGCCAAAAACTCAATGTTACTTTAAAAAAGTCATGTTTCTATACTGCAGCAATCTTTTTACAAATTATTTCTTAAAAAAATTAATATATTTAATTTTTGAAAAGACATTTAACTATATCATTTCCATGATCTTCTATCACATCTGTGGCTAGTTGGCTGAATTAATGGTATCGTAAAAATTAGAAGTAGCTGGTTCTTTTTGGAAAAAAATTAAACTTTTATTTCTTCCACAAGGAAAATATATACTTAATACATAACTAGCATATAACCAACAAAGTATAAAGCTTCTTCTTTAACAGCATTTTTAAGCATTCACTATAAAGCATGTTTAAAAGTCCTGGGATTCCAAATATGAATTAGCCAGCACAGTTAAACTTATCAGACTACCATCAGTAAATTCTTACTATTTACCAGGTACACCTCATTATTTTACACTATAAAAATTAAGTTCTGTGTTTCTAGATATAACCCTCCAACTTCTACTGTACATTATACTAATTGTATGTGTAACCTGGGTAATCTATATTAAAATTCAAAAGGGAAAGGCTCTGTCTGCTTAACCTGCATGGCTTCATAACCATCACAGCACTAATAAATCTACTTGCTGACAATGAGGGCAAAACACCCTAAAATACCAATTGCATCTATAAAAGTAGCACAGGAAATTTCTAGCTAAGGTGCTAACAGCTCAAATTTAAGAAGGATTTTTTTTTAAGTGATTTTTTGGCTCAAGAAATCATTACTTTTTCCCAAGAAGTGTCACCTACAGGCCTTAAGAGTGTAAGGGGTATTTCCAATTCTAACCAAATTGTATAAAATTGTCCAAGTTAGTATACACTTATATCAGCAATACCGAAACTTGGCCTTATTATCTAAAAATTACCAAGTCAGCTTTCCTTTGTTAAATTTTCTCCACATATCAACTTAGTAAACTCAGCTAACAAGTGCACTTATTTTTATAATTATTATGGAGCTTATAATAGACCTAAACACTCTTGGTGAGTTCAGCAACAGTAATTTACAAAAGATTGCTTTCAATATTGCAGCAATGGTCCAATGAAAACAGTTCAAAAGCTCTAAAAATTTCAAAATGTTAGTTCAAAAAAATTACTGGGTTATTACATGACAAAATTATAAATATCTGAAGTAGGGATAACAGGTTCCATATGGTTACAAAAGATTTATGATGCTTTTTTCTTTAAGGAAGATATTTTCAGCTCATATACATCAAATTGAACATAAGACTCCCTTAACAACACTTAAAAAAAAATGCTATTAATGGTATAATGTCCACATTAGACTACATCTTTCTTTGCACTGTCCAGATGATAGCCTAGGCAAAAGAAATCTTAGCCAGTTTTATTTTGTCAATCAAACTTTAGGAATTTGTCTTGTGTTAGAGTAAATGTTGTAGGGTTCCCAGATAACAATTTTAGCAATGCAAGTATACTTTAAAAATATATAAATCTAAATATTCTGCTTTGTAAAGTGTGAACACAATGAGGTACACTAATTTTTTCACATCAAAGGTATTTCCCTTTTTATCAATCTCAATGAGAATTGTACAAGAAACAGGAGGGAACCAGTGACTGAATTTTGAAGGCTGAGGATAACCATCTTCAATTTTCTTCATTAATAGGTAACATAAAGCATTTCTTTATGTTACCTATTAATGAATTTTCTAATACTTTATAAAATCAGCATCCTAAATCTCGGGATAAAAATAATAACCTAAAACAGAAACTTCCAAGCAAAAAATTATTTTTTAAAATAATTATTTTCTAAAATATGAAGTGCTAAATACTTCAATATCATGCCTCAATATCATAACTCTCTGAATCAGTACTACATTGAAGCAGGATGAAAGATACAGTTCTTGGCCAATTTGAATTTAGTATTTTTTTCTGGATATTACTGAATTCACACCTAAAGTATTGTAGCAAACTTGTGTTTCACCTGAGCTAAGTAAGACAGCATAAAAATGGCATCAGGGAAATTAAAATTCTCCCTCTTTCAAGCATATAAATACACTGTTCTCTAATTATGTTTCTTTTTTTTTTCAAGTATCTATTTGTAAGCCCACAGCTTACAGTTTTTCCATCACAGAATCTCTACTCTGTAACTAATATATAAACAGTACAAATTTTAAAAGTGTCATTGACAATTTAGTATGCTACCTCACTGGCATACTAAGTCTGAGGAAAAAATAACCCAGAAAATGATCTCCTCCTTTTTTGTTAAGATATTGGATAACAGTCATGTGCTTAGAGAATAATTTTTCTGCAGTAAACCTTCAATGGCTTCAGAATGAAAAGTATGATGCCTATTGTTTATCTGCTATTGAAATACTCTTTTCAAGTAACATGGAATTCAACAGCAGTCACAAAATTAGGCCAGAAAAGACCTCCATAATCACCTCTTCTAACACCTTGATTTTATAAATTAAAATCCAGTTTAATTTGCTTTCTACATTATAATAACCTTCATCTTTACTATAAGCCATTCAATGAGTCAAATGTTAATGCTGCAGAAAGCAAACTAAATTTGAGTTATGTAAGCTGGAGATCTATAAGTAGTACCAAATTAATAAACTTATTTTTAATTAAATTATACATGTGATTTTAAAAAATTCATCTACCACAAGAATTACTGTTTGGTGAATGTATATATGTTATATAGATGAAAAGATATTAAAGATTTTTTTTTAATTACCTTACAAAAGAATATCTGTCTCTCAAGACTTTGGTACCCCAACCCTAAAAGGGAGGAGGCCAGGAAAGGAAAACCAAGGAGATATTCATTTGGTTTCTACACATTACGCCTGACAATTTTCTGTACATTACGTTTTCAAAACAAAATAAATCTGACCTTTTCTACAAACCCTAGAACTATTTCCAAAGAATTTTATTCCTCCATTCCTAATATGGTCACTTGTGATAGATATGGCTAAGTAACTGCTGAATTTAAATGAATTAACACTTAAAATACTCTCTTCCTACTTTATTAAGTACAATCACAAACGTATTTATAAAATAAGTTCTAAAGAGATGTCTATATTCTAACAAAGTTCAACTATAAAGAAATATGGTCTATCTCAGTAATTATATCCAGATATATACAGGCTAAATGATAAAGACCCTCAATATACAAAAGCTAGTCAATGGTATGTTTATACTGTAATTAGAAAAACATTTACTCATATCAATTTCCATTAAAAAGACCCTAAAATACTCCAGAAAATTATTGTGTAATTACTTAAGAGTTATGTCCAGCTTTTCCATATTTTGATCAACCAAAATTCCACTCAAAAAAAATGTTAACACTCATATATAATCTAAATCCTCAAAAAATACTGTAGTTAAAAAGTTACATTATATGGAAGTTTTTTATTTGCTTTTTGATACATAAGCTTTCCATCTCAGGATTGAGAAGATAAAATGTTCTAGTACTTTTCTTCTCCCAAGTAAGAAGCTCTACTGTACATCACTCTCTTCTACTTATTAGGAAATGCCTTTTGGGGAGCAGAGTAAAAAATAATAAACTGAACTCAGATTTTTTAATTTGGTTAGAGCAAGTTCCAGCCTTTCTTGGCCTTACCCAGATATCAGCCTTGGTGGTGATGGGTTTCCCTCCATAAAGGTTGATCATTTCAGGGGCTCTGTATGACAGAGTTGTATACCTGGCAGTAAATGAGTGAAATGGAGTGGAGATATATATATATATATAAAAAAAAGACAGATAATACATTGTTTCTACATAAAACACTACAAAAAAAGTCTTTTAGGTTCAATAACATTATATAGAGTAATACTATTTTTAAAAACTCATTAAAAACCCGTCAAGGATTAAACAATACAAAGCATCTATATACATTTTTATTCAATAAATACAACAGTATTTCTAATAATCTAAAAGCTTAATTGTCTTTATTATAAAAATCTGAAATAATGACAATATATTGGAAACAGTTTTCCTTGAATTTCTTATGTGAAATAACACAATTTGGCTATTATAGTCTCCTTATCAAAATATTTTAGTCTATTAACTTAAAAGTAAAACTTCCACCCTCTCAAAAACTTAATTTATATATTTACTAAGGAAATTGTTTTTATGGACTCTAACGTACTTCCTTGACACAGTAGTAAATCTCTTTTGAGTTTGTTTTTATAATTATTTTAAAAGTAATCTGTTTGCTACAATCTAACTGCACTCATTAAGTATATTTCTAATACTGACTGCCATAATAAGCTATTTGGAATCAAAAGGTATTATGAATAAATATTTACCAATAGAAAACCCCCATATTTATTATGAACAGAACATTTTAATGAAGTAGTGCTCAAATCTCATGTCACAAATGCTCAGAAGATGAATGGACATCCTATATCACAGCATAATTTAAGATTTGGATTGCATCATTTTATTTTGCAAGAAGTATCTTAAAAGTCAACATTCTACTATCTTACTTTTTCCAAACACTCTGACTGGTGAGAGAGTCTGAATACTACTACTGTGGAGGAATGACCTAAGAAGCCAGAAATATAAAGTTCACCAAAACAGGATTTTTATTCACTATACCCCCACCCCAGCATCAAAAAAGTGTTGGCCCTTAATAAATACTTGTCAACTGAATGAATGGTAAGTCCATTAATTGAGCCACAAAGGACAAAACCCCTCATGAACTTTTGTTCATCGCTAATAAAACATTCAATTGAACCTTATACTTCAAAAGGCAACAGCAAGAAATAAAATGTCTAGCAGGTCAGGGATGCTTGGACAGAATCCTATACAGCAGCCACTAAACATCACAATCCAATAAATTTTTAAAATTATATACATGTATTCTCCAATAAGCCAATTCAATACTTTATTATTCTTGTATTCTTCAGGACTTTATATATTTACTAACATGTTTGTTTTTATTAAATCTAACATAATCATCATAGGCTAAGTTTCCTGAGTAGTAGTATGTAGCGTAGAAATCTACAGTATTATACAAATGGGCCAGAGTAAAATCAGCTCTATTTGAACTATTTCAAAATATTGCAGTTCAAATGATGGCTCTGACATAGTATTAGGCAATAGAGAATTTGTGAGGAAGTGATGAAAGGCAACTCAGAAAAGGTTAACTATTTAGAAAGTCCTATTCTGAGAGATCTTCCTGCATTCTGTATCACTTTATTAAGATAACCTAAAATTTACAAATAGTTCCATTTTCTAAAAGTAGAAAGCAGAAGAGTCAGCGAAAGATTCTCACAGGTACTTTAGCAACCACAGAAAGCACCGGATTAAGAGAACATAAAGTAGATATGACATATTTCCATTCCAGAGCTTTCCAGTATAACATTACAAAGTAACAGTGATGATGCAGTCTTAACACTTTCATTTTCTACACAGTTTTCAATGCATAAAAAGTCAATCCTTTTAATATTAAATAAGAAGTAAAAGCTTAAATGTTTTCAAATAATTTAACTTTTTCTTAACAAGGACAAATCCTCAGTATCAGTAAAAACAAAGATGTTTAACTGAATTCAATAATCATTTCAAACTCCCTTTAACAATTTCACTAATTACTACAGCTTATTTAACAAATTTTACAAATCTGTTTACAATGTAGACTAAAAAAATCTGCATCTATGGCAAAATATATTTCCTACTGAGCTAGATCAGACATGAATTAATCAACATCTATGGCACAGAAATATTTCAAAGAAATCTATAAATGAAATACCTAAAATTTGTATTAGCAGTGCTGGCCAGAGACTCAAGTTAACTTAAAATTACCATGACAAAAGTGCAATAAAGACAAATACTTACTTTTTAATTTCTTCTTCTACTACATTAACTCCATCTTTTTGAGGATTAAGAAATTTATTAGTGGCACTGCCAAAGTCACAAAGTACATAGTTCCCACCATCATTCAACAAAATATTTTCTACCTTAAGAAAAGAAAATCAATAATGAGTAGTATTTTCAAAGTGAAAATTAACTTTTTACAATCTTTGTAAAAAATGGTTATTTGTACATACGAAGCTTATTTTTACACAATAAACACCGAAGGGTATATGCCATATACAAAAATAAGTATACATGTGCCATATATATACATATATGTGCACAGTGCACACACACATATATAGACATAAGATACCCAAATTATGAGGAAGGTCAAATGAATGGGAGCAAAAATATACTATGTCTACTGCTTCTCTTACTAAGAACAGAGAAATGCTTCTTCCAACCCAGGTTGATTTGTACAGGGGCAAAGAAACCCTAAATCCTATCTAAAACTGTTTTTATAAAAGAGAAGAACTAGTACCTGGCAGAGTCCAGCTTCTCTCTTTTACTATACTTCCAATTTTCTCCTTTTCTGACACTTAAGCTTCTCTATAGATAATAACAGAAACTACTGGAATTCCATCTTTGATTTCTAGTACCATTTTTATTTAAAATACTACACTGAAAAAATACAAATTTGACTTAATTTGGAGATCAGGGTTGTAGTAATTAAAATAAATTATTATAGTCAGTTTCTTGAACAGTAAAATATGGGTTCAGAGCCCAATCTCCTACTAACTAGCATATGGACCCTTGGACAATCTGCTTAACCATTCATGTGCATTAGTTTCCTTACGTAAAATGGGGACAATTAGAATATGAATCTGCCATATGGAACTGTTGTGAACATTAAATGAGTTAAAATATGTAAAGTGCTTAGAACAGTCTGGAATATGGTAAGCACCTAATAAATTACTATTACATGTTTTTTCCATAATGTCTTTTATTTTTATGATAGTCTTAGATAAGTAATTCATTTATTTCCATTTTATCGAAATACTGTTTTATTATAACTTTTCTTCTATATTTCACTTTAGTATACTTTTTTAAAAATTTGTACAAAATAAAGATTCAGAAAGAAATCTACTTAGAACATATATTTTTGCATAAGTTTACACATAAAAAGCACTAAGCATATAAAATATGGACAATACAAAATTATGCAGTTAAATGTCTTCTGAATTTAAAGAAGAGTCAGCTGAAGATATCAACTTTGCATGCAAAAAAATTAATGAACTATAATAGCACAAAAAATGGTATCAAATTATTAGGGGAAATGGAAAAGCTGCATATTCAAAAGAACTAACATGAACTACACTGGTTATCCAAATTAAGGCGAGATGCCTGCAGTTAAGCATTTCAATGCTGCCTTATCTCCTACCATCATAGGTTTTCTAGATGATGCTTTCATGATTAACAGCCTATATTTTTAGTGACATTTTCTCTTTTATCTTACAAGCATTTTATAATAAACTTTCATAAAATTCTGTATAATCAGTCAGAACTGGGATTTAATCATTCAATATTTATTAAGACTCTGCTATGTATCAGGCACTATTTTAACTGCTTAAACACATCACTAAAAATGGAAGAAAAAAAAAAGAAAAGTCCTGGCCCTCATGGAGCTTACATTCTAGAGGGAGAGGGCAGGAAATAAATAATAGGCATAGTACATAAGCAAATTATACAGTATCACAGGAAGTAATATGGACTAATAAAAGGTGCAGCAGGTTAGGCTATAGTGATGGGACTCACTGAGAAGGTGAACCTGAGCAGACCTGAAGGAGTGGAAAGGGTAGTCAGAGGAATATCTAGGCATAAAGCAATTCAGGAAGAGTGATTTTTGTAATCTCAGTGTTCTTCTGGGCATGAAAGAGGACACCTGCAGTTATAAATTATATCTCTAGCAATATAATGCCAGAATATTCAATATTCTTTGGGGACTTTTTTCAATGTAACAAGTGGGTACCAATATAAGAGGTCAAGAATCCACAGAAGATGAAGTGACCTTCAAGATAACTACCACCAAATTATAGAAAATAATAGAAAACTGTACCAAATTATAAAGAAATAGAAAAAGAGACCCACTTATGGTCTCCTCCAGTATCTCTTGAGAACACTTTGATGCTTAATATTGATTACAGTTAATAGGAGAAATGCTGGCTGAACTGAGAGACAATAGTGTGGAGAGACATTTAACATATGTCAATGAAAATCACATTTATGTTCAAATGAAACCTTTTAAAGAAGCCTACTATAGAAAACAGGGATGCAGGGTAGAAGGTACAAAATCTGCCTCCACAGCCATGCTAGAAATCCTCAAAGTCAAGTAAAGCACAATTTCAAAGCTACAGTCATTCTTTACATGACCTCAGGAAATGTAGAAGGGGAGAGAGAGACCAACCTCAAAGCCAGTTTTTATACTGATTTAGATGAAAATACTCCAAGAACATTTTAACTCCAACTTATTACTTAATCCATAGGAATTCTAAAGTTCTTACCTTCAGATCCCGGTGAATTATTGGAGTCTTACACTGATGCAACCTTGCAACAGCTTCACAGGTATCACAGAATATCTGTAACACTTCTGGTTCTGTAAAACCCGTCTGTAGCTTCTTATTCATTTGATTCACTACCTGTCCAGCTAACCAAAAAAGTAATTTTGAGAGGACATATTTTTAATAAATAAAGTCTATCACAAGCAAATTAAGAAATGTCTTTATGGCTTCAAGTAATGGGAAATTGGCTTTTTCATAATTCTCATGTAAGGATGCTTATTACATCATACTGTATTAATTCAATGACACACATTTTTTCACATTTTACATCTCAAAAGATCATCTTAAAATAGATAAATGTCTTATTAATGCTATTGCCCACTTTTCTTTAACACGTCTGAGATCAAAGTATATCTTATAATACTGGTTTTAAGAAATAGCTATTTAACACCATACTATTTATGGGCTAAACAGTGGTGAACAAAAATAAGGTTTCTGTTATCACAGAATTTACAGTCTAAAGGTAGAAGCAATCACACAAATAGATATATTGTAATAATTATATATCATAATAATATGAAAGAACTTATATGAGAAACCTAAATTTAAACTGTGAAGGAAGATGAGGAAGACAGGGTACCAGATCAGGTCTAAGGAAGTGATATTTGAGATTGAAGGATAATTAGGAATCAACCAGGCAGAGACTTGGGAGAACAATATACTAGCGATACTGAGTACTATGTACAAATGCCATCAATTTAGAAAAGAATTGATGACTCTGAATAACTCAAAGAAAGCCAGTATGACTTTCTTTACAACTTAAAGAAAGCTGATATGCTCTAGGAAGCAGAGGAGACGATAAGGTGAGATGAGACTGGCAAGGCAGACAGGGATCAGCCATACTTTAAATTCTATCTCAAGAGCCAAAGAAACTTCCTCATCTGACTTTCAAAAAAATCTCATCTAGGGTTAGGGGAATCAAAAGAGTCAAAATGGGCTAAGAGGTAAATTCTATCCAGATAACAGATAATGGACCAAAATAATTGACTAAAATCAAATTGCCACACATATACCATTAAGCCCTGAGAAGGTTATATATTACAGTATAGAAATTGATAGTCTAATAATGATTCTTTATTAACAAAACGTTAATCATCATATTTTAAGAATGCAAGTAAATATGTGATTCGCACAGAAATCAGTCTAATAAAAATTGAGTTTGGGAATTCAAAAAAACATAAAGCATTCATTAACTTGCAACTTTCCTTTAACAAGGTTAGATAAATGAACATATGCTATTTTACAATCTATGAGAAGGTACATATAAACTTGTTCCTTTTATTATTACTGTCTAAGCAATCTTGTCTTTTCTGAGAATATTTTTCTCATAGAATTTTAAAGCAAAAAGAACATTAATTTTACCTATGAATCCCCAACTTTCAGAAAACTCAGGTGTAACTTGTTCAGATTATCTCACAAGACTGGGGCACCTGACCATGCAGCAACTTCCACCACTCCCTCATTTGGCAGACTCCCTGTCTTTTAATTAAACCCAGGCTTCTCTAGTTTAAGAATAATTAAACAGAATAAAAAAATGCTTTCTTGGTGTACATTCACATCCTTGAAATATCATATCATAGCTAAAGAAATCATAACCTTGAACTCAATCCACCTCTTCCAAACTTTTAATGTTAAAATAAGCAGAATAAATTTTAAACAAACTTTAATTCCCTTTCTTCTGTCCAGAGACCTTTGAAGTAGAAATCCTCAATCACAAAAAACAAGTCCCTAGAGAAAACTAAAAACTATATTTGGGCTGAATTTCAAATGAAATAAATAAAATTTCATTACTCAAAACTCAGAGTTTTCTGAAAAATAAAGCTTAAAAGAAGGTATTCTAATTTAAAAAAAAGGTAAAAAGTCAGATATGGAAATCAAACATTATATACTGAAGGTTTTTTAAAATGAGATACCCCACCTTTAAACGTCGGTTGCAACTTAGCTCACACCTGACCAATCAGGTAGTAAAGAGAGCTCACTAAAATGCTAATTAGGCAAAAACAGGAGGTAAAGAAACAGCCAATCATCTATCGCCTGAGAGCACAGAGGGAGGGACAATGATCAGGATATAAACCCAGGCATTTGAGCCGGCAATGGCTACCCTCTTTGGGTCCCTCCCTTTGTATGGGAGCTCTGTTTTCACTCTATTAAATCTTGCAACTGCAAAAAAATAAATAAATAAAAATAAAATAAAATAAAATGAGATGCCTACAACTCTCAACTCTTTCCATATTTTCCAAAGAGGTATCATTAACCCAAAACAAAAGCTTTTTACACTCTGCCAAATTTCATCACTAACATTAAAAAGCAACATTTTTCTAATCTCTTAAAAAAGGTGTTCAACAACCTATCTGAGTACACATATTACCACTTAGTTAAAAAAAAACCAAAAATACAACCTATTACTCCATTTAAATTTTTGATAATATGACTTTTTTATTTTTACAACTGTGATGGTTAATACTGAGTGTCAACTTGATTGGACTGAAGGATGCAAAGTACTGATTCTGGGTGTGTCTTTGAGGGTGTTCCCAAAGGAGATTAACATTTGAGTCAGCGGGCCGGGAAAGGCAGACCCACCCTTAATCTGGGTGGGCACAATCTAATCAGCTGCCAGCACAGCCAGAATAAAAAGCAGGCAGAAGAACAGGAAAAGACTAGACTGGCTTAGCCTCCCAGCTTACATCTTTCTCCCATGCTGGATGCTTCCTGCCCTTGAACATCTCTCCAACTGCTTCAGTTTTTGCAGTCGGACTGGCTTCCTTGCTCCTCAGCTTACAGATGGCATATTGTGAGACCTTGTGATTTCATGAGGTAATACTTTATATACATATAAAGCTCCCCTTTATATGTATATCTATCCTATTAGTTCTGTCCCTCTAGAAAACCCTGACTAATACAACAAGATTTTTCAATTTTATCTGTAGTAGATTGCATTATTGGCCCTAAATTTTCAAACTTCACTTTTTACATGCACTTTGTCATGTAACTCTGCAGTCTGTCCCAATAAATGAGGCAGATAAATTTCCTGCTCTTTGATTTGGGCTCAGTCATGTGATTTTCTTTGGCCAACAGAAACAGGTAAAAGCGTCAGTGTCCTAGTCCCAAGACTAGGCCTTAAGAGGCCTCATATGCTTCTACATGCCTTCTTATGTTTCTATCATCCACATGAGAAAACCATCCACAGGACAGCTTGCTAGTGACAGAAAGAGGATGACGGACACGTGAAGCAGAGCTACTCCAACTAATCCCAGCTAACCACTGCCATGTGAGAAAGCCCTGCCAAAATCTGCAGTGCCACCCAACCAAGCTAAGTTGAAAGCAGCTGGCCCATGGATACACAGGTGATAATAAACGAAAGTTATTTTATGCTATTGAGTTTTGGAATTTTTTTTAATTAAGCAAATACTAACAGATACATAATCCATGGAAACATATGTAGAATACTTCCTAAAAACATACATTAAAAATTAATAAATTTTCATAATTTACTCACAAATTATTCATACAATAATATAAATGTGCTCAAAATACCAATACTGATTTCTGGAAGTCTGAGACCTAAAGTACATAATTTCTCTTTAAATCTATGTATCAAAATATTAGCAAATAAAGCAGTACCAAACCACGAATTTACCAAGACAAAAGATGATTACACTTGACAGAAGATGATGGTAAACATTGAATACCTAAAACCACGTAAGGGGATATGAGCTATATAACATATTGTTTTACTCTCTGTACAGTTTTATCCCTACATAATAAAAGCCAATGTCCCTGAACTGTATACATTATATAGGTTCCCTTACTAAAATACCTTAATTGTTAAACAATTTTATGTAATGCAGTTAGCTGTTACAGAGGAAGTAAGTGGAGAGTATTTAGTCCTCTATTCTCTGCCCTTCCAAATCTCTCCCCCACCATGGAAGAAAAAGGAACTTATCTAATTGATTCATCTGAGAAAAGATATCATGCATACTCCATTGAGAAAATTGAGCATACTCCATTCAGGCCTTCTGGATTTCTTCTATAAAGAAATAATTGCCCACTTAGAGGGTGCAACTGATCTGTAATACATGTAGTAACCTTAACAGGTAAAACATCCGAAGAAAACTTTGAACAAAAAAAGAGAAAGCATGGTTTGTCCGTGTCCCCACCCAAAGCTCATCGCGAAATCCCACATGTTGTGAGACGGACCCATCGGGAGGTAGCTGAAACATGGGGGCAAGTCTTTCCTGTGCTGTTCTCGTGATGGTGAATAAGTCTCACGACATCCGATGGTTTTAAAAAGGGATGTAAAAGGGACATTACCCTGCACAAACCCTCTCTGTCTGCTGCCATCCACATAAGATGTGACTTGCTCCTCCTTGCCTTCCACCATGATTGTGAGGCTTCCCCAGCCACATGGAACTGTAAGTCCAATTAAACCTCTTTCTTTTGTAAATTGCCCTGTCTCGAGTACGTCTTTATCAGCAGCGTGAAAATGGACTAATACAGCAAGGAAAAGAAAAAAATTTAAAACTAACATTAGCTGGCCACACTGGTTCTGCCCTTAATCGCAACACTTTGGGAGGCTGAGGTGGGAGGACTGCTTGAGGCCAGGAGTTCCAGACCACCCTGGGCTACAAAGTGAGACCCTGTTTCTACAAAAAATTAAAAATTAAGAAATTGGCTAGGCATGGCCATGTGCACCTCTAATCCCAGCTACTCAAGAGGCTGAGGCAGAAGGATCACTTGAGTCCTGAAGTTTGACTTTGGACTCCAGTGTGGATGACAGAGTGAGACCTTGTCTCAAAAACAAAGAAAGAAGGGTCAGGGGTGGAAAGAAAGAAAAATGGATACACTGAAATTAATATCCACAGACAACAAAAGATTTGCAGCTAAAACAAGAACTAGGTGTATTTTTCCCCCCAGTATCTCTGCATGGTAACAAGGTGTACTTTAGCAAAGAACACTGAGAGAACACGAAAGAGTCAAGCTGGGAGTGGTAGCTCACACCTATAATACCAGCATTCTAGGAGGCCGAGGCAGGTGGATCACTTGAAGTCAGGAGCTCAAGACCAGCCTGGCCAACATGGCAAAACCCCATCTCTACTAAAATTACAAAAATTAGTCAGATGTGGTGGTGCACACCTGTAATCCCAGCTACTCAAGAGGCTAAGGCATGAATGAGAATTACTTGAACCCACAAGGCAGAGGTTGCAGTAAGCTGAGATGGCACTATGCACCCTTTAGCTTAGGTGACAGAGCAAGACTACGTCTCAAAAAAAAAAGAAAAGAGTCCTTGGAAATTAAAAATAATATAATAGAAATACAAAATTCTATAGAAGAGCTAAAAGATAGAGGAAGGCTTCCAACAATAAAAGAATAAAGAAAAGGAAAATAAGAAAAGAAAATCAGAGGATTATCAATCTAGAAAGCTCAGAACATTTGAAAGAAAATGAGAAGTCCAGTAAGAGAACAGAAAATAGAAGACAAAAACGCCACAAAAAGCATACCAAAAATGACACACAGTAAGGCACGTATATCTTGAAATTTCAATACGTTGTAGATAAAGGAAAGATTCAAACTAAAAGTGTCCATGGAGAAAAGATGTCACATAGAAAAATTAAGCAATCACAATAACATCAATTTGTCAACAACACTAAGAAAAAAGTGGAATGATGTCCTCAAAATTCTGGATCAAAATTATTTCCAACCTATAATGTTTTAGCTAGCCAAAGTAACAATCAATGTGGGCACTGAATAAAAATATGTTTATATATGCAAGGTTTCAAAAATCCTTCTCCAAAAAATCCAGTCAGAAAGCTACTGAAAAACAAAGTCTTCCAAATTAGTGAGTGAAAACAAAGGTGTGGCATAAGTAGCAGGGAATCCAAGACAGAAGGGAGGCAAAGGTAATTTCCAGAAGGACAGCTAACTGCTGTTCAAAATTAAGCAGGATGATCGAAGTCTCCCCAAGGGGTGTTTTTAAGGGAAGAAAAAATGAAATCAAAACAAATATTAAAATGTCTAAACATACTGCATAATTATTTTTACTTCTTTTTTTTTTTTGAGACAGAGTCTCGCTCTGTTGCCCAGGCTGGAGTGCAGTGGAGCGATCTTGGCTCACTGCAACCTCCACCTCCCCGGTTCACGCCATTCTCCTGCCTCAGCCTCCCAAGTAGCTGGGACTACAGGCGTCCACCACTACGCCCAGCTAATTTTTTGTATTTTTAGTAGAGAAGGGGTTTCACTATGTTGGTCAGGCTGGTCTCGAACTCCTGACCTCTTGATCCGCCCGCCTCAGCCTCCCAAAGTGCTGGGATTATCAGTGTGAGCCACGGCGCCCAGCCAATTATTTTTACTTCTATTGGAAAATGCGGGACTAAAATATTAATATACATGAAGAAAATTAGGCAAATGAAAACCGAGGTAATTACTAATTCCAGGAAAAAAAAAGGATAAGAAAATACAACTACAGACACCATTAAATGGGAAAATAAACACTGATTTGGTCCAAAACCTGAGAATATCTATACTAGAAGTAAAATTCCTATCTTTTCTTAGAGACAATATCTAAAACATCAAAAGTAGCACTAGAAAACTTTCTTTCAAGAGCCTCTTCATGCACAGAATTATATACTTCCCTTGATTTTCTAAGTCCTTTCTCTTTTGTACCCTTAAGAAATCACTAAAATTACTGATTCTCTTTTATATAATGCAGTGTGGAAATATGGAAGTAAATATAAGAAACATCTCAAATATTTTAAAGGGACTACCTCTGAGAAGAGGGATGAGGCAGGAGGGTACTGATTCAGCCACAGCTTAAGATATTTGACTTTTTTTTTTTTTTTTTTTTTTGACACGGAGTCTCGCTATGTGCCCAGGCTGGAGTGCAGTGGCGCGATCTCGGCTCATTGCAAGCTCCACCTCCCGGGTTCATGCCATTCTCCTGCCTCAGCCTCCCGAGGAGCTGGGACTACAAACACCTGCCACAACGCTCGGCTAACTTTTTTTTTGTATTTTTAGTAGAGACAGGGTTTCACCGTGTTAGCCAGGATGGTCTCGATCTCCTGACCTTGTGATCAACCCGCCTCTGCCTTCCAAAGTGCTGAGATTACAGGCGTGAGCCACCGCACCAGGCCAACTATTTGACTTTTTAAACCATATATACAAATTACTTTGATAAAAATTTTAAATTTCATATACCACAGAGCTTGATGATTTGAATACCGGATAACTATTTCTAAAAAATTTTTAAAACAAAACAATGCATTCCTCAAAAAACAGATATGATCATTCTTCTACTTTAAAATAAAATTTGCCCCTAAAACTTGAAGGTCATTTGATTCCCCTTTTAAGATGTCTTCTAAGTGACAATTAAATTAATCCAAGGTTATGATTATGCTTGATTCAAGTATCTTTTAAAAGTTACAAGTAGTCAAGGGCTACAAGTAAACTCTAAGAATTAGCACTATAAATGCTAGAATTCAGGAAAATGGGGTAGAAAAAAATCAGCATCTTCTCCTAAAAGAGATCACAGTACAGTACTTTATAGTAGAGAAGATAAGATATAAAGAAAAATCAAGAAACATCTGGTTGTTAAATATTGTGTATGGAAATAAGTTACAAATACATCACGGTAGGTATTGTCACATTGATTCACTTCATTTTCCCCATCCTTTCCTCCTTAAAATACTGCAGTAAACAAGATCATATTTTCTCCAACATCACCATCATCCCCCTCTTTTTCCGCAACCTTCAGGAAACTGTAAGAGTTTCTGGGATAGTAATTAACAATCATTACTTTCTGAAGAGAATGTAAATGTAAACCAGGGCTCCCTAGAACCACAAGTGCCAAATATGGCTTGCAAGTTTGTAGGAAATAGAATATTTGCCTCCACCTTTCCACACATTAAAATTTTTAAGGACAGACGCGGTAGCTCATGCCTGTAATCCCAGCACTTTGGGAGGCTGAGGCGGGCGGATCACGAGGTCAGGAGATCGAGACCATCCTGGTGAACATGGTGAAACCCCATCTCTACTAAAAATACAAAAAATTAGCCGAGCGTCGTGGCGGGCACCTGTAGTCCCAGCTACTCGGGAGGCTGAGGCAGGAGAATGGCATGAACCCGGGAGGCCGAGCTGGTAGTGAGCCGAGATCGCACCACTGCACTCTAGCCTGGGCGACAGAGCGAGACTCCGTCTCAAAAAAAAAAAAAAAATTTAAATGTCAGGAATTTTTTTATGATGATGATGATGATTAAGGTATGCTATACAAGTAAATATTTATTTTAAAACATCACATTAGGTCCAAATAAAATGTGATTTTCTATATCTAATGTTTACAAACACCACCAAGAGACTACATAAAACAGGTTTATAAAGTCTATAGATCAAAATGCATCCTCCAAATTTGTTAAATTTAATGTTTACAATAACGTAGTAGAGTTCTGGAAAAATCTTACAACATTAATATTGACATATTATCCTCTTCTTGGTTGGATTACAGAAGAATTCTATGGAGAGCAAGAACTGTAACTCTGTACCTGCTTAGATTTCCTATTTTAAACTCAATATCACTTTTCTCATTCTGCGTTTACATGCTCATATCATAACTGCAGTAACTATGACTAGGTTTTAAATAATGTTTTAACAATATTCCTAATTAGATAATGAAAGGTAAGATTACAATAAGTGACTAGAATTAGTTAGCAGCTACCCTGGAAATAACAAAGATACCTAGTAACCCATTTAAGGAGAAACTTTTTATTACAGTACAAATGCAAAAAAATACTTACCTCGACAATATTCCATTAAGATAAGGACTTCCCATACATTATCACTAATTGAATTAACAGCACAGTCCAAATAGCCCACAATATTTTTGTGACCAGATAGCTCTTTCTGGAAAGAAAAAAAAAAATGAAAACTGGAAAATGTACATTTAAAGGTATAGAATTAGTAATGGTTTGAAGCCTAAATTAATGTAAAGAATTTCAAAAGGTAAGAATTAGGCATGAGTACAGAATCTAACATATTTCAAGCAAGCAAAGGCTTCTATGGTTTCAATAAAAAGTTTACCTGCATGCGACTGTAATTTTCTAACAGCAAATATGAAAATTATTTTTAAATTGAACTGTGAAAATGGTTCACGCAAAAGGAATAGCTCCCAAAAGTGTACAAAGAACTTGAGAATAAAATATTAGAACTTTTATTACATTTGTTTTTATCTAAAAAATAAAATAACTAAGCTCCAATATTTATTAACAATTATATTCTCATTTATTTTGCCTGCAACATATTGCAATTTACGTGTAGCTATTACATGAATTTATAGACACATGCACTTCTAACTAAATAACCTAAAAAAATGAACAAGTGGCTAAAAAGATTTCTAAAAAGAAACCATAAAGATAATGCTAATACAAATATAAGGAAATAAGAAAATGAAACATCTGAAACTTTTGTGTCTTTTACAAAATAGTCATCAGCGTACAATGAGGTTAAGAATAATAACCTACTCTGTTCTACTGGGAAATTTAAAAACAACTATTAAAAATATTATTTAAAATAAATTTACATAAACTATCATTACCAATAAACCTAGTTTTAACTATGCAATGTAATTTGAAATAAGGGCTAAGGGCCACTGAACATGGGAATTATTTATAAGTAAATATATATAATGGGGATGAATCATCAAAAAAGTTGACAGACCACCATTCTAAAGAACTAATCTCCCTAAAAAATGTTCAAAAGCACAAGATTTGAGTGTGCTGCTCCTTATACATCATATCTCTCAAAATCATACAAATTCTATTGAAAGGAAGAAAGAAGTCTTGTACAAAAGTACAAGACTATAATATCTTGACTCAAGTTAGTTAGAGAACTTAGTCTAAGCTTCTCCATCATCTTGAGGTAAATCTTTTCACCCTTCTAGCTAACAGCCTTAACTGTACAAAAGTAAATGCCAAAGTCTAATCATCTCTAATCTAGCTAAGGAATACAGAAAATAAAAGCAGAATTTTAAAAAGTCAGATTGTGCAAATGCAGTTATTTGCTAACAAAAGGGATTGTAATATGTGTGTTAGTAAAGACGTTGATACAAAATAAGAAATCCCCCTCTTAGCAGGTGGATAAGTACAACTGACATTAATAACAAGTGTTGGCAAGAATGCGGAAAAATACTTTCCTTAGAACATAAAATGGTTCAGCTGCTACAGAAAATAGGCAACATAAAAGTACATATAACCCAGCAATTCCACTCCTAGATATATAACCAAAACAACTGAAACCAGGTACTCAAGCAAATAGATGCATGCACATATTCATGCCAGTATTAATTATAATACCCAAAAGACAGAAACAGCCCAAATGCTCATCAAATAATTTTTTAAACTGCATCAACAGATGAATGATAAATAAATTGTGTTACAGACATATAATGGGATATTATTCAGCCATAAAAAATAAAGATGCTATAATTATGTGAATTTCACCTCAACAAAACAATCTTCAAATATATATATGCACCTGTGTCTGTGCTTGTGTGTAAGCACTCAAAAAACCATGGAGAAAGAGAAAAGAGGATGAAGAGGAGGGGAGAAATGGGAGGACAAGGAAGAAGAACAAGAATAAGAAGCCATCCAGAGCACTGAGCATATGTAACCCTAGAAAAGGAGGAAATTTTTATTCTACATTTTTTTAACTACTTAGGCTAGTTAAGTTAGAGTCACTGAAGTTTTTACTGGCCTATTAAAATATTTTTCACTTTTCTTAATACTTAAAAATAAGTTTTCCCTTGTTGAAAGATGCCTTGCCATTAATTACAGAGGTCACAGAAAAACAACATTAGAGCATGATATTAAAAGTGAAAAACAAAACTAATTGTTGTTTGTGAATAAAAACACAAACAGTGAATGCACAGGAACAGTAAACACAGAATTCAGACAGTAGGATTTTTTTGGATAAGGAGAATAGCAAAGGTGTACCTCATTTTATTGTGCTACATTTTTAAAAAGTGGTACTTTGCTTTATTATGCTCTGCAGATACTGCATTTTACACAAATTAAAGGTTTGTGGCAATCCTGCATGGAGCAAGTTTATAGGCACCATTTTTCCAATAGCATGTGCTCAGTTTGTGTCTCTGTCATATTTTGGTAATTCTCATACTATTTCAAACTTTGCCATTATTATAACAACAGTTATGATAATCTGTGATCAGTGATGGTTGATGTTATTTTCTAATTGTTTCATGGCAACACAAACTGTGTCCATATAACACAGTGAACTTAATAAATGTTATATGTGTTCTAACTGTTCCACCGGCTAGCCGTTCCTCAGGCTCCCCCTCTCCTTGGGGTTCCCTCTGTCATAAAACACAACAATACTGAAGAGTCCCACAATTATCGTTTTAATCAAAAGCTAGAAATAGTTAAGCTTAATGAGAAAGGCACATGGAATGCCAAAGAAGCGCGACATCTAAGCCTTTTATTACACCAGTCAGCCAAATTTTGAATGCAAAGGAAAAATTCTTGAAGGAAGTTAAAAGTGCTACTCCCATGGACACACAAATGGTAAAAAAGCAAAACAGCCTTATTGCTGACATGGAGAAAGTTTTAACGGTCTAGACAGATCAAGCCAACCACTACATTCCCTAAAGCCAAAGCTTTAATCCAGAGCAAAGCCCCAACTGCCTTCAATTCTATGAAGGCTGAAGAAGTGAGGAAAGCTGCAGTAGAATAGTTTGAAGCTAGCAGAGGTTGGTTCATGAGGTTTAAGGAAAGAAGCCATTTCCAGCACATATTAAGTACAAAGTAAAGCAGGAAATGCAGCAAGTTATTCAGAAGATTTAACTAAGACAACTGATGAAGGTGGCTGCACTAAACAACAGATTTTCAACATAGACAAAACAGCCTTCTATTGGAGGAAGATGCCATCTAGGATTTTTAGAGCTAAAGAGAAGAAGTCGATGCTGTATTCAAAATTTCAAAGGACAGGTTAACTCTCTTGTTAAGGGCAAATGCTACTGGTGACTTTAAGTTGAAACCAATGCTTACCTTGCCATTCCAAAACTGCTAAGCCCTTAAGAACTATGCTAAACCTACTCTGTTTGTGCTCTATAAATAAAACAACAAAGCCTGAATGACATTACATCTGTTTCCAGCATGGTTTACTGAATATTTTAAGCCCACTGTTGAAATCTACTGCTCAGAAAAAAAGATTCCTTTCAAAATATTACTGCTCATTGACAACGTACCTAGTCACCCATGAGCTCTGACGGAAATGTACAAAAAAATTAATACTGATGGCTGGGTGTGGCGGCTCTTGCCTATAATCCTAGCATTTTGGGAATCCACGGGGGGCAGATAGCTTAAGCTCAGGAGTTCACGACCAGCCTGGGCAACATGGTGAAACCCCGACTCTACTAAAAATACAAAAAAATTAGCCAGGTATGGTGGCACCTGCCTATAGTCCCAGCTCCTCGGGAGGCTGGGGCATTAGAATCACTTGAACCCAGGAGGCCAAGGTTGCAGTGAGCCAGGAGGCCAAGGTTGCAGTGAGCCAAGATCACACCACCACACTCCAGCCCTGGGCAACAGAGCAAGACATCAAAAGAAAAGAAAAGAAAAAAAGAAGAGAAGAGAAGAGAAGAGAAGAGAAGAGAAGAGAAGAGAAGAGAAGAGAAGAGAAGAGAAAAGAAAAGAAAAGAAAAGAAAAGAAAAGAAAAGATTGTTTCCATGCCTGCTAACACAACATCCATTCTTCAGCCCATGAGTCAAGGAGTAATTTTAACTTTCAAGTCTTATTATTTAAAAAATATATTTCTTAAGACTATAGCTGCCATAAATAATGACTTCTCTGATGGATCTGGGCAAAGTAAATCAAAAATCTTCTGGAAAGGATTCACCATTCTAGATGCCATTAAAAACATTTGTGACCCATAGGAGGAAGTCAAAATATTAACATTAACAAGAGTTTGGAAGAGGCTGATTCCAATCCTCACAGATGATGCTGAGGAATTCATGACTTCAGTGAAGGAAGTAACTGCAGACATGGTAGAAACAGAAAAAAAAAAAAAAACAAAAAACTATAATTAAGTGGAGCCTGAAGATCTGACAGAATTGCTGTGAAATGAGGAGCTGCTTCTTATGAATGAGCAAAGATAGTGGTCTCTTGAGATGGAATCTACTTCCTGGTGAAGAGGCTGAGAACACTGTTGAAATAATAACAAAGGATTTAAGAATATTACACAAACATGGTTGATAAAGCAGTGACAAGATTTGACATGATTGCCTCCAATTCTGAAAGAAGTCCTACTGTGGATAAAGTGCTATCAAACAGTATTGCATGCTACAGAAAAAGCTTTCATGAAAGGAAAAGTCAACTGATGTGGCAAACTTCACTGATGTTTAAAACCCACTTATACCCAGTGTCCCATTATTGGAACGCTAAGCATGTGGGAGTTATTTATATCCTACCGCTCAAGGTCATCGCCAAGGTCTGATTTTTCACTATGCAAAAATTCAAAAACTTGCAACCTCCAGCATAAATGGGTTAAGAAACTTCCACAGCTACCCCGCCCATTCCTTCAGCAACCACTACCCTGATCAGTCAGCAGCCTTCAACATCAAAGCAAGACCCTCTACCAGCAACAAGACTGCACTTTGCTGAAGGCTCTGGTGATCATCAGTTGTTTTTTAACAATATTTTTAAATGAAAGTATATACAATTTTTTTAGGCATAATGCTATTGTACATTTTATAGACTACAGTGTAGTGTTGTGATGTTATGATACTATATTGGTTTTTGTCCACAGTTCCTGGTTCGTAACTCCCAAAGCCCTAGTCACAGTCTTTTGTTATAATGTTGGGTGTCTTAGGCCTCAGGAAACAGAATCTCTCTCCTGCCCTCCTTTCACCTGCCCCAAGGCAGGACTCTAATCGTTGCCCACCTTTCTGATTGTGGGTCTTAAAACTCTCCCCAGAAAGAGTCCTGCACTATACCCTGGGGGAAGGAATGCTGACCTCATGAAGCTTCCATAAAAACCCAAGAGGACTGGGTTCAGGGAGCTTCCAGATAGCTGAATATGTGAGGGTTCCTGGAGGGAGGTGTGCCCACGGAGGCAAGGAAGCTCTGTACCCCTTCCCCCATACCTCATACCCTATGCATCACTTCATTTGTACCCTTTGCAATATCTTTAAAATATGCCACTAACCATAAGTGTTTCCCTGAGTTCTGTGAGCCACTTCAGCCAATTAATAGAATCTAAAGAGCAGGTGGTGGGAACTGCAACTTTAAGTTAGAAGGTGAAGGCTGGAAGACTCAGCAAGTCTGCTCTTCCATCTTCTCCTTCCTGCTTTATTCTAGCCATGCTGGCAGCTGATTACATGGTGCCCACACAGATTGAGGATGGGTCTGCTCTCATGCTACCTGGGGAAGGCAAGAAGGAGATACTCTTAAGCAGGGAGTCTCTTTATCCCTAGGGTGACTCTGGAACTGTGTGACGTGCTGCTGGATTCTACTGGACACTTGGACAGTACACTATGAACAGCTCTTAATTGACCAACAAGGAGTGACATGGTTTACAGACGACAGTTCCAAAGTGAATGGACAACATTCTGTTTGGATGGCTGCTACTTTGATCAAAGAAAGTAAAAACGTATCAGCAAGGTGGGCTGAATTGCATGCAGTTTTTTTGTTTTGTTTTGTTTTGTTTTGTTTTTACAGTAATGGCAGAACTGAACAGTGGTGGAAGCCCCTGTGTTTGAGGTTTTTTTACTGACTCACAGGCAGTAATCAATGGCCTGGCCACACAACCTATGGAAATTTGAGGGGTGCATTAAAGTAGAACAAGTCAGTGCCCATCAGAAGAACTCCCTTCCAGATTGGGAAGGTCACTGGAATCAGCAAGCAGGTGTGCTATGTGTCTATGAGCACACATAGGGGTACTGCAGCAGTGCAGACATAGGATGAATAAAGACATGTTCCTTTTGCACCCTCACAGGCACGTAATGCCAGTGAGAACTGTTCTAAGTGTCAGCAAGACAGACAGAGACTACCAATGGCTATGGATGAGATTCCCTGATAGGAAGACCCTGAACATAGCTGGCAAGTGAGACTGATGCTGGTAGCCCTCAGGGGGCTACGAATAGGTCTTGAGAGGAATAGACATTGACTCTGGACCGGGCTTTGCTTATGCAATGGAATACAAAAATGCTCAGAGTGCCATAAAAAAAAAAAGAAAGAAAGATAAGACAGTGTATGGAGTTAGAGGGCCAACTATCATTTCTTCAGACCAAGGAACACAATGTACAGTCCATAATGTTCAACAATGGGGCAGAGAAAGGTTCTCCACAGAGTAATAGTTTGATATAGAAGTAGAATAGGCAACTGAAACATTGGTCTAAAATGGGGAGATAAAAACTGTAACCATAACTTTTGTATGCACTGGGAAGCCAAAAAAACTGTGTGACTTGCTTTCTTGCAACATTCACTTTATTGCAGTGGTCTGGAACCAAACTCATATCTTCAGGGTATGCCTATACAGGGATACAGTTGAGAAGGCACACAAAGAAGGCTCCAGCAGTATTTGTAGGGTTTAATTTCTTAAGCTGGATGATGAACAAGCTTGGTGTTTACTATATAACTCAGTAAATATTTCTATCCTGAAAATACTCCACAATTAAAAAGTATTTAAGAAAAAAAAAAGAAAGAAAGCAGAGTAGCTTTAAAGTATACAGGATGATGTGTGTAGGTTACATGCAAATACTACATTTTACATACGGGCCTCGAGCATTCTCAGATTTGAGCATCTGCAGAGTTTAGTATCCGTAGTGGGTCCTAGAACCAAATCGCCATAGAAGACTAAGGGACAACTATACTGCAAATTACCAGATTATCTTCTAATTTAATGATCTTCAAAGATTATTATAAATAAGCAGCTTGCCTAAAAGCTGGTTAATGTTATAGAAAACAAAACAGGCCAGGCACGGTGGCTCACACCTGTAATCCCAACAGTTTGGGAGGCCAAGGCAAGCAGATCACTTGAGGTCAGGAGTTCAAGACCAGCCTGCCCAACATGGTGAAACCCTGTCTCTACTAAAAATACAAAAAATTAGCCAGGTATGGTGATGGACACCTGTAATCCTGGCTACTTGGGAGTCTGAGGCATGAGAATTGCTTGAACCTGGGAGGTGGAGGTTGCAGCGAGCTGAGATCACGCCACTGCGCTCCAGCCTGGGCGTGCCACTCCACTGCACTCCATCCCAAGAAAAATAAAAAATAAAAACTTGCAAAATTTCTGAAAGAGAACTACTCCTTCACTTACCATAATTGTAATTTCCCTTTTACAAACATTGAGGTCTGGCATGTTATTGACATACATTCGCTTCAATGCACATCGGATTCCACCGTGAGTACGCACGAGGAAAACTGTGGAGAATCCACCTAGAAAAACAAAGCACCAATTAATTTAAAAGAAACAAAAACAAATGCCAAAATCATGTAATATAATCATAGAGCATATTGGAGGAAAATAAACAATGATTGTACCCAAGACAAAAACAAGTGCAATAAGCTACTAGTAGATTAAATGCCAAAACACTGGCTTCCTAAGTCAATCATGAAGTAGTACTTAGAGGAAAATATGCTTCTCGAATGAAGACGCTTCTCTCTTAAAGGCTAAAATTTCACCTTTTGCACTAGAATACCTTTTATGTAGTATAGTGAAAAATGTCACAATTATGTTACTAAAGTTTGGTATATACAAGTGACTGCCTACATATCAGAATCTCCCTCTTGGATGACAAAACACTGACGTTATTCAACATGAGACATCAATGGGATCAGATAGGTGCTTCCCTCCTCCAGTTCCAGAAGATGAACCAATATTATTCTAAGCCCATCACAGGAATCTCATTTCCCCTTATCAGTAACTGATTTAGGATTGGGTATGTAACTAGTTCTTGCTAATTGAACATGTAAAGTCAGCCCGAGTTGCAGGGAATGATTTTCCATAGATAAAAGACTGGTAGAGAAGGCCCTGCTCTTTTGCTTTTTGATTTTGTTGCCTATGATGTTTAGCCCTAATGCAGTCATCTATGGCCATAATGGAACAAAGAATCAGAAAGAAAATGATCCAAAACACAGACATTTGGCCTACTGAATCAGCCAACTCTGGAACCACCTCCCTCTAGAACTCATACAGTAAATGTCTTCATTACTTAAGCCATGGTTTATATGGAAATTCTGTTTTTTGGGTTTTTTTGTTTTTGTTTTTGAGATGGAGTTTCACTCTTGTTGCCCAGGCTGGAGTACAGTGGCACAATCTCGGCTCACCGCAACCTCCGCCTCCCAGGTTCAAGCAACTTTCCTGCCTCAGCCTCCCAAGTCGCTGGGACTATAGGCGCCTGCCACCACACCTGGCTAATTTTTTGTATTTTCAGTAGAGACGAGGCTTCACTATGTTGGCCAGGCTGCTGGTCTCGAATTCCTGATTTCATGATCCGCCCGCCTTGTCCCCCCAAAGTGCTGGGATTACAGGTGTGAGCCACAGTGCCTGGCTGGGAATTCTGTTAACTGCAGCTGAGAAAGCATCTTATCTGAAGCACTAGGTAGGTATTCTAAAGAACAATTCTGTCACATCTAAACAAAGATTTCTACATGAAGTTTTTAAAATTTATCTTGACACAGAATATGCTATAGCTCAATTACTTTTTTTAAAATGGTATGTCACTTGCATTAATTTAATAGCCTTTAAAAAGCAGCATCCTGAGCAATAATAAGTCACCTGCACTCAGATCAATACAGAGTTGTAAAAGGAAAAAAACTATTAGGAATACATAATAGGGGAAAAGAGTTCTGATATGATTTGGCTGTGTCCCCACTGAAATCTCATTTTGAATTGTAATAATCCCCACGTCAAGGGCAGAGCCTGGTGGAGATAATTGAAACATGGGGGCAGATTCCCTCAGACTGTTCTTGTGGTAGTGAATAACTCTCACAAGATCTAATGGTTTTATAAATGGGATTTGCCCTGCATAAGCTCTCTTGCCTGCCACCATGTAAGTTGTAACTCTGCTCCTCATTCACCTTCTGCCATGATTGTGAGGCCTCCCCAGCCACATGGAACTGTCAGTTAATTAAATCTCTTTCCTTTATAAATTACCCAGTTGTGGGTATGCCTTTATTAGCAGCATGAGAACAGACTAATACAAGCTCCTAGGAAACTCCAGAATCAGTACATACTCTTTCCAGATTCTCTACAACTTCCATTTCCAGTTATAAGAAACTGCACAACTTCCCTTTTATAGATCTGGATTTCCACATGTATAGTGTTAGGGAAATCAAATCAACCACCCCACAAGGCAGTTCTAGGAATAAATCAGATGATGATGATGTTTGGGAAAGGTACTTTACGTAAAATCTCTAACAATGCAGGGCATTACTTTAAAAGAAACTCACTTAGCACTAATTTCATATGTAAACATTAACAAGCCAGAAAGTAGAAGACCTAATAGAAAGGGCCACTTAAACTACCATAATTTTATTTGGTTACAAAAACTAAGGAAAATGTGGAAAGAAAGAATTTATCTAGATAAAGAGGCAGTATGAGTACAGCTGAGAGAAATCATTTAAATAGCATTTGTTTTGAGACATTTATCTATCTAGGTCTAGATTATTCCTCTATAACAATGCTTTCCCAAACATAGCTTTGCATCAGAATTGCCTGAGGTGGTCTGTGTATGAATTTATCTTGAACAGTTTCCAAATTCTGGCCCCAAGTCTGAATCAGTAGGCCTATAATGGGGCCCCATTTATATATTTATACAGATATACAGACATAACTATATAACTATATATATATATACACCTATATATATACCTACATATATACCTATATATAACTATATATAACTATATAACTATATATAACTATATATATAACCATATATATAACTATATATATAACTATATATAACTATATATACAAAACTATATATATATATGAGAGAGAGAGCACTAAAAATCTCCCTACTTGTTATACTATTTTACTCTTGTATATGTTTTAAATTGTTTATTAGATGGAAGAGGGAAAAGAGTTCCCCCAAATGGTTCTGATGCACAACCAAGTTATGTAGTCACTGAAGTAAGTTCCCAGAGGAACCATGGATCCTATATACCTATTCTTACTCACCCACAGAGCAATGTGATTTTATCCCTATGAATTACAGAAATGAGAAAAACAAGTATCAAGTAGGTTTTCTTCATAAAAACCATTCCCAAAATCAAAGTTTTCCAATTCTACTAACCCTAATTTAGACAGATCTTATCAAATGTTAAGTTTTCTGAACACAGAAGATACGTTGAACTTCAAGAAAGAAATTCTACCTAAACATGGTAAACAGTGATCGTTAATTGTATCTGCTTTGAGAATAAAATGTAATAAATGTTTATGTTTTCCCCAGTACTATCTTTTCAATAATTTTCTGATAAGCTAATATTATTTCTGTTTGAAGAATGCACTTACAGGGAGGTAACTAGTTAGGACACTATAGTAGTCCAAGAGAGGGGTGTAATACTTGCCACCAATCTATAGCTTATCAAATTCTTAAGTATTTATTTTTCCTCACAGAACTCTTTCATGACCAACCCAATTTCACGTTCATCACTCACTCAGGTACTTCTATCTAGAATTTGACTATATTATCATGTACCTCAGTTTTCCACAAATTTCTGTACACAAATCATAAGATTATTGGCAGTAACCACAGACTCTACATATATATGTCCAATTTAATACTGTAAAGCATAGTTGTTACATTAATGCTAAATGTTATAATTCCAAACATGAAATTATGAGAGTATTATAAAGCATTCTAAATGTTCTCAAAATCCCATAAAAGCAAAATTGTGACAGATATTGATCTGATGAAATTGATCTGATGAAATAAACTGGGATATTGATCTGATGAAATAAAATGGGAAATAAATGTGTATTTATAAAAGTAAATAAGAAAAATAATTGGTATCTTTTGCACTCTATAAACTACATAAATTGTATAACTAAATATAGAAGTTTCATTCATAGGCATATTCTTTAAAGAGCAGTAATTTTCAGCCTCCTCCAACTTTTTTCAAGGGTAGG
Organism: Homo sapiens; assembly: GCF_000001405.40. Taxonomy (NCBI): domain Eukaryota; kingdom Metazoa; phylum Chordata; class Mammalia; order Primates; family Hominidae; genus Homo; species Homo sapiens. Next base: position 78,822,336 of record NC_000004.12, on the reverse strand, counting down.
ATATAACATTTACACATGAAATAATTTCATAGGACACCTAATGGAAATCTTACCTCTGGTCTCCACATACACACAAAAAAGGTAACCAGATTAAAATGAGAGAGTAGTTTTGTTAAGCCAATCTAAAAATTTGTTTCAACTAAGAAAAATCATAATGGACAATCCTCCATCTAATCTCAAGTGCCAGCCCACCCAGGATATCTCTCAATTGTTATACACTGTAGTATGGTAGTAATAAAATAATGACAACATAGTTTACACTCACTTGGAAACCACTGCTCTAGAGATGCCAAGTCTCTGTAATAACTATATATGAACATATGGCATATACTGCTACAGACTAACTTCTTCTTGTAAGCCATTATTTATTCCTTCTATTAAGCAATTATTTTTCCATGCTTTGTCATTTCCATGCTTTAATTAAATCATTTTTAATGTATTGGTGCTTTACATATTTGTAACTCCCCTCAAATTCACTTAAAAAGATAATGCAAAAGAATGAAAAGTGATAAAGCCAATGTATCTATCCTTCGTATCTTTCCCACAGTTCCTCTGGCATAGTTATTAATTGATTAACTAGAGGTACCCAAAGGAGTAGAAATTGATCAATAACAAAATAATCCTTAAAACAGAGCTAAGTAGTTCACTGGCAAATAGGAAAACTGACTTAAAGTCAGTCAGACCTCTTGATTTGCTACCCCATTCCCCACAGCCAGGCCAACACTCGCCCCTATGCAGTATTAATTAAACCAGCAGTATATATGGGACATCAGGAAACATTCTGGGGCATGGGAATAGAAGAAAGGTGAGTGTAGTCCTAAAAAAACAAAGAATTAAGTAAATGCCTACTGAAAAGAGAAGCCCCCCACCTCAACTCAAGACCACTGTTCAGCTACAATAACACTGGCAGCCAGACATACAGGGGTAGTCACAAATGGAAATTGGAAACAGTGTTTTTTTTCTGGGAAACTGGAAAAAACATACAGATAATGAAATGTGGGAGTCACACAATTTAAAAGTGGCTTTCTGCATCGTCACACTAAAGTGAAGCCTCAAGTCAAGAAACTTGCCCCATTTACACAAAGCGCATCATCACTTTAGAACTTCACTCTTTAAAAAGAACAGACATAAAAAGATGATCAGACGTTCAAAGAAACCCTTTAAGATGACAAGATAGTAAAACAAGCAAACAGAAAAAAAGAACTTTGAAGAGGTGCTGGGAGCTAAAGAAATCATCCAAAGAACCTATAAATATTCTTAAGAGTAGAAGAAAGACATTGCAGTCATGAAATAAGAGCAGAGTTCTACAAAAGGGATATTTGGAGAATGAGAAATTACTTTTACAAAATAGAATAAAGAAATCAAAAGTTAAAGCTTCAACAGAGGAGCTAGAAGATAAAATTAGGGAAATATTCCACAATTTTTTTCAGAGGATAAAAGACTGTAATATTAAAAAAACAGTCCAGGCCGGGTATGGTGGCTCACGCCTGTAATCCCAGCACTTTGGGAGGCCGAGGTGGATGGATCACCTGAGGTCAGGAGTTTGAGACCAGCCTGACCAACATGGTGAAACCCCACCTCTACTAAAAATACAAAAATTAACTGGGTGTGATGGCACATGCCTGTAATCCCAGCTACTTGGGAGGCTGAGGCAGGAGAATTGCTTGAACCCAGGAGGCAGAGGTTGCAGTGAGCCACGATCACGCCATTGCACTCCAGCCTGGGCAACAAGAGCAAAACTCCGTCTCAGAAAAAAAACAGTCCACCAGATCCAGTATCTAAACAACAGACTCTCCAGAAAAAGAAAAGAGAAAATGAGGGGAGAAAAAAATGTATCAAAGATATAACACACACATTCACACACACATCAAACTTGAAGTACATCGGTTTCCATATGAAAAGGGCTCACCAAGCAAATACCCAGCACATAGAACAAAAAGATCCACATCAAGGCTCATCATCATGAAATTTCAGAAGGCTCAAGATAACAAGAAAACCCTAAAAGTTACCAGAAGAAGAAAATGGTTGTATATTTGCCTTAGAATGGCTTCAGCCCTATAGCCATATCCAGTCATCGCACATAGCAATAGATGAATGTGTAAGCACAAGTAAGCTAATACTATTATTAAATGGGGATATTATATACTGATGGCATTTTACCAAATACTTCCTGCTAAATTTCTAAATTTCAGTTAGACTAAAATTAGCCTAAAAACTTTTAAAGTTGCTTCAAGATTTCTCCATTTTCACAGTTATTATAGTAAGATAACCAACATAAGATAATTGTACAATAACATTAATAATGCCAGTAAGTAATAGTAAGAATATCCAGAAAATACACTAGAATCCACACCCTACTATTAGATGACAAAAAAGACCTAGATATTATATACTGAGCAAGACTGAGTATTGCAAAATCATTTCAAAGTGCCCAACAAGAAATGAAAGGATTTTGTCCTTTATATTAACAATGAATATTATGGGGGTTGGAGGTTTTGAAGCAATAAGCACTTGTATGCATAATGCCTGGTAAGTGAATAGGCATACAATATTATTTATTGAATGAATGAATCAATGAAAGATGGAAAAAAATGTTCCGCTAAATTTCTTCTTGGAATCTAGCATATCAAGGGGAAGGTGGAAGCAAGGCTTTCGGAGTCAGACATAAAAGTGAATACTAACTCCACCATTACTAATTGTGTGACCAAATGCAAATTAATTTCTGAGCCCCAGTTTCCTTATACATTCAGCAGAGATAATAAGATCTCCTCATAGGACTATTCTAAAGAATAAATGAGATTATGTATGAGCCCCAGTTTCCTTATACTTTCAGCAGAGATAATAAGGTCTCCTCATAGGACTACTCTAAAGAATAAATGAGGTTCTGTATGCAAAGCATTAATACAATTCATTCCATAAATGGTAGCTTTTGTAACTACTACTAATACAATTAGTAGTATTAGGCTGCTGCTATTACTACTTGGCCAGGCACAGTGGCTCACAGCTGTAATCCCAGCACTTTGGGAGGCCAAGGATGGTGGATCGCCTAAGATCACACCTGTAATACCAACACTTTGGGAGGCCAAGGAGAGTGGATGGCCTGAGCTCAATATCCATTTTCTGGATATTCTTACTATTACTTTTATGTCTGACCCCAAAAGCCTTGCTTCCGCCTTCCCCTTGATTATGCTAGATTCCAAGAAGAAATTTAGCGGAACATTTTTTTCCATCTTTCATTGATTCATTCATTCAATAAATAATATTGTATGCCTACTCACTTACCAGGCATTATACATAGAAGTGCTTATTGCTTCAAAACCTGACCAGCCTGGGCAACATGGTAAAACCTTGTCTCTAATAGAAATACAAAAAATTAGCCAGGCATGGTGGCATGCACTTGTAATCCCAACAACTCAGGAGGCGGAAGCACAAGAATCGCTTGATCCTAGGAGACAGAGGTTGCTGTGAGCTGACATCATACCACTGCACTCCAGCCTGGGCGACAAAGCAAGACTCTGTCTCAGGAAGAAAAAAAAAAAAAAAAAACACTGCTTCATCTTACGAAGGTTAGAGTTAAACTACACATTCTAAAAAAGAAGACTGGAAATGAATACATGGCTTGATAAACAAGCTAATATAAACACAGTAAAATTCAAGGAGACTATACTTAACTGCTTAACCATGCCCAAGGCATATGTGGATAAAAGTGTAAACAGAAGTACAAAATAAGTTATTCAAACCTAAAATCAGCTTATAAAACACTTTTTTAAAGAACTGGAAATGTGAGGTGTTAAATGAAGGCTAAGATCATCTCTTTTTTCCAACATCATTTAAGAAATGCAAATCAAAACCACAATGAGATACCATCTCACGCCAGTCAGAATGGCGATCATTAAAAAGTCAGGAAACAACAGATGCTGGAGAGGATGTGGAGAAACAGGAATGCTTTTACACTTTTGGTGGGAGTGTAAATAAGTTCAACCATTGTGGAAGACAGTGTGGCGATTCCTCAAGGATCTAGAACTAGAAATACCATTTGACCCAGCAATCCCGTGACTGGGTATATACCTGAAGGATTATAGGCATTATGATGGGTATATATCCAAAGGGTTGATGGGTGCAGCAAACCACCATGGCACATGTATACCTATGTAACAAACCTGCACGTTATACACGTGTATCCCAGAACTTAAATTTAAAAAATATATATATCTTTTTTTAAACACCATAATTCACCTCTATGTTTTGGCTTAGTTTGCCTAATGGAACAGCAATTCAATATAGCCACTCAAAATAAGATCTAAATGAATGCCTCCCCCATCCATTTTAGGGAGGAAAAGCCTTAAAATTGTATTATGTTTATTAAGCATCACTCTATTACCATAATATAAGAAAAAAATATATGTCTGTTCTTTGTTCCTAGTTTCTGGTACAGAGCTTCAGAACCACTTAGAATTCCTTAGTAGACATTTCTTTATTATGCTAAGAGGTTAAGTCATCATGGGGCCCCTACATAGCTTCAGAATGGGGCTGATCACCAGAAAACCAACTAGAGGTTAGACAGATTAGATGAGAGGGTTGGAACTTTCAGCCCCTCCCTTCCCTTTCCCCCGACCCCCTACCTCTGCGGATAGGAGAGAGACTAGAGATCGAGTTCAATCATATGGCCAATGATTTAATCAATCGTGCTTCTTTTGTGAGACCTCAATAAAAGCACTGAATACAAGGTTCAGAGTTTCCTGGTTGGTGAACATAGGGCTGTACTGGCAGAGTGGTGTACCTAGCATGGGGATAAAAACTTCTGCACTCAGCACCCTTCCAGACCTCCTTGTGCTATGTACCTGTTCATCTTGTTCATTCGTGTCCCTTCTGATAGAAGAGTAATTGTAAGCGTAGCACTTTCCTGAGTTCTGTGAGTCACTGTAGCAAATTATCAAACCCAAAGGGAACCCCCAAATTTGTAGTCAATTAAGTTTATCAGAAGTACAGATGACCCCTAAGACTTAGAGCTGGTGTTTGAAGTGGGGGTAGTCTTGTTGGACTATGTCCCTTAACCTGTGGAGTCTGTGCTAACTCTGAACAGTTAAGTGTCAGAATTGAATGGAATTGTTGGATACCCAGTTGGTGTCAGAGAATTGTTTTTGGAACACAGCTATTTACTCAGGAATAATAGTTATGGATGTATTTTATCTTCTGCTTAGGAAGATGAGAAGTATGCATTCAACTAACATTTAAGAAGCTTTAAATCTATCCAATATTCAAAACTGATTGTCAAGAAGCCAAATGGTCCTCAAAATCAGTACCAAATATTTCAGAGACATGTAATATGAATTAATGAGTACTTGATAAATTTTTAAATATTTGTTTGTCCATACAATTAGACTTCCTTTCAGGTTGTACTGCATTTCTTGAAAACACAAATTCCTGTCCAGACCATAAGCTGACTATCAATATGTCTCTTCTGCTATGCATTAAGCAACTTGAGAAGGGCTTCATACAATAGTAAATACACGATGAATAATCAATGTGTCCAGTTACCTATGAATTAACCAAGCGCCTCTGATTTCCCATAAGAGGGAATTTTTTAAATGCTTTATTATAACTAACATACACTAATTTCTTTGACATGACAAGTAAAAGTGATCGATTCACTACAAGAAATTAATTTAGTCCAGCATAATTTGCACTTAGTGAACATCTCTCAGGTCTTAACCAGTACTTTATTTACAAAGAACTGAAAATCCATCTTGGAAGAAGTCAAATAAAAGTAGATACCATTAAATGTTTTCTGTAACTGTAGTTTTCCATGCATTTTCTTGCCCAATTACTCATTCCCAAAAATGACAAGACACTGTTAGTGAAATTGGGAGAAAAAGTATCAAAGTGAGTAGAAAAAAATGAGTAGAATATTTAAAAATTGATTCACCAAGGATCATCAATGTATGCTAAAATCATAGATGAAAGGTTAATAAACAGGATATTCATATAGTACCCAAGTATGAAAGGAAAAACATCACTTTACAAGGCAGAGATCTGGTAGTCACTATCACTGGGACAACCTGACATTATATGTTTCTTAATGTGATGCAGTATAAAGTAAACAGCATCGCCTATGAAGTACCCTTGCCAAAAAACCTTTAGCCTGAAAAAACCTTAAGGTTTAACTTCACGTTACCAAAAACATACAGGAGCCAGAAAGAGGAAAATGATTACAGAAAGAAGAAATCAGACAAAGCTAGACGTGGAACGCTATACAAGATAACTAGAAAAGAGTCAATGTGACCCATTTTTTAGAGCGAGTGAGGGTCATTCTATGCAATACGTAATCCTTGACTGAATTCCAGTTTCAAAGAAACAACTGTAAAACATGTTTGTTGTTGGTGCCCAACTATTTGAAAGCAATCTGTATACATCATGTCACTTTACTCATCAATATTTTTTTAAGTTTCCATCCTCCATGAAATTCTTGTAATTTACCCACTAATGCTTAATGAGTACTTAAACACATGTATATCCTAAAAGTCCATATATTATTCTATATAAAACTATAATACCCTCTGTCCTACCTAAGAAAATAATTATTATCTTGTACAGTCCCTATTCAAAATTACCCACATGTTGTAAAAATGTATAAAGGAAATGTGGTAAAATGTTATTAGTAATTGAATGTATGTGATGGGCATATTATTCACTGTACCACTCTTTCAACTTCTGTATATTTTAATTTTTTTCACAACAAAATTGGAAGAAAAAGAACAAGAAACAAAGTATGTTTTTCCCCAGGCGATTTCTCTCTTGCCATGCAACATATCAAAATCCTTTTGATTCCATCCTTTAAAAAATACTTCAAATTTACCAATTAATTCTTAATATTACTTCAAATTAGGCTATCATCTCTCTTCTTCCTGAAGAGAAATTACCTCTTTATACTTAAAAAGAAGTAAATCAAAATATTTTATGGGTTTTCATGTACCAGGCTTCATGCTATACCTTCACATAATTACCTCATTTAATTCTTAACACATATTTTTGGCATTAACTTTATTCCTCTACTTTTTAAAAATAGAAATGATAGTAAGCTCTGAGGATTTTAGCAAGTTCTTCAAGATCATGACTATCAATAGCAGAGCCAGAATTAAGATACCAATTTCACACCAAAGTGTATAGTTTCGACTGACCATAGTGGTCTAAAAATGAAACAATATGAGGCCTAAAGATAAAGTAGTAACAGGAGAAAAGGAATGACCTTTATTTTCAGGAAACACATCCTTTCTCATCATTACCCTGAAAATTGGAGTCCTCATCTAATTTCATTCATTGCTCTTAAAGTTGGAGTGTTCATCCAATTTCCCAAATTGGGGGAAAAAAACATTGAAAAATTAGTTAAGCTCCTTTATCAATCAGCCAAATGAAAGAATCTTAGAATTAAGCCACTATGAAATTAAAGTGCCAGTCTCTAGATGTGAATATAATAATATCAAATGTAGTAAAGGCATCAAGAGCAGCAAACTATATTTTTTTTAAAAAGTTATGAAAGGGAAAAAATCTGTAATATATAATTTTTTTTTGCCCTTGACAAGTGTATTAGTCTGTTCTCACACTGCTAATAAAGACATACCCAAGGCTGGGTAATTGATAAAGGAAAAGTTTAATTGACTCACAGTTCATCATGGCTGGAGAGGCCTCAGGAAACTTACAATCATGGCAGAAGGGGAAGCAAACACGTCCTTCTTCACATGGCAGCAGCAAGCAGAAGTGCTAAGCAAAAGGGGGAAAAGCCCCTTATAAAACCATCAGATCTTGTGAGAACTCACTCACTATCATGAGAACAGCACAGAGGAAACTGCCCCCATGATTAAATTACTTCCCAACGGGTCCCTCCCATGACATGTGGGGATTATAGGGACTACAATTCAAGATGGGATTTGGGTGTGGACACAGTCAAACCATATCAACAGGCTAATGTTTTAAAAAGAACACAAATATATGAAACGATTAAAGAATCAATTAAAGAAGGTAGAACCTGAAAGATGGATAATAATAGGACAGTAAGGGAGGAAGAGCTCAAGCACAGGGCAGAGAATAGCATTTGCAACGGCATGAGCATGAGAAAAAGAAAATGCCATTTTTAACTCAAAAAGGAGTAATTCTTGAGGACAGAGGGAAACAGATGTCTACACCATGTCACCACTGCCAAGGAACATTTCCCTACCTTCACCCACTACAAAACACTACTTTTCATCTCATTCCAAGTCCCCATTTTGCTTTTTCACACTCCCCTAGACTCATTCTTACATTGCTGGAGCATCTGCTTCAAGTCAAAGAAACTACACCATTTAGTAATTCATTTATTCATTCAACAATATATATTAAATGCTCAGAATGTGCCAAATACTGATCTACGTGCTATGAACAAGACTAACTACAAGCAAATCAGAGAACTGCCCTTGTGAGCTTACATTCTAGAATGACTGAAACAAAATAAACAAGTAAAATATACAGTACATAGAAGACAACGGTAAGTCCTGAGAAGAAAAAAATTAAATCAAGATTAGATGGTCCCTTGGAAAATTGTGTTGGGAGAAGGATGGAGGAGGCTGAAATGTTTAATCAAGGTACATGGGGAAGACCTGAGGTGACTTTGAGTAAAGATAGGAAGAAAGTGAGGGAATGGGCCATGCAGACCTCGAGGCAAGTACATTCCAGGTAAAGAGAACAGAAGTGCAAAGGCCCTAAGGCAGGAGGCATGGTTGATAAGTTTGAGGAACAGCAAAGGGATCAGAAAGCCTAGAGCAGAATAAATAATGGGGAGTAAAATAAGAGAGGTCAGAGTAAACAGAGAGCCAGATCATGCAAAGTCTTATTACGGATGAGGGTAATGTCACTGGCTTTTGCTCCAAGAGAAATGGAAAGCTACTAGAGGGTTCTCAGCAAAGGAGTGGCATGACTGGACTCAAATTTTAATATGACCACTGTGTGAAGAACAGAGTGAAGACAGACAAGATCAGAAGCAGGGAAATCAGTAAATCTGCTGCAATTTAATAGTGGTTTTGATCAGGGCAGTGGGAATTAGTGAGAAATGAAAGAATTCTAGATATATTTTGAAGGCAGACCTGATACGATTTCCTGAATGACTGGATATGAGAGAAAAACAGTTTAAAATAACTGCAAGGTTTCAGGGCTTTTGGACTGAGGAAATAGAAGAACAAAGTCATCAAATGAGATGGAGAAGACTGCTGACTTATTTCAAATGGGTCTCATGTGTTTCTGCATATCTTTTTTTTTTTCCTTTTGAGAAAAGGTCTCACTCTGTTGCCCAGGCTGGAGTGCAGTGGCATGATCATAGCTAACTGCAGCCTTGATCCTCCAGGCTCAAGCGATCCTCCCACCTCAGCCTCCCAAATAGCTGGAACTACAGGCACACACCACCATGCCAGCTAAGTTTTTTAATTTTTTGGTAGAGATGGGGGTGTGGGGGGCCTCACTATGTTGCCCAGGCTGGTCTCCAACTCCTAGGCTCAAGTGATCCTCCTGCCTTGGCCTCCCAAAGTGCTGTGATCACAAGCATGAGCCACCACAGCCAAATAGTCTTAGCCAGATTAACAGCACTTTGCTATATTTCTCACAGCCTTAATTCCCACAGGGTTATGGAAAAGGGCCAGGTGATACCTTCATATGCAGTGGGTTGCATTACATGAAAACAACCCTGAGTTTAGAGAATCAGAATCTTTAATGGGTAATAAGTCTTCCCCCGGGGAAGGAGACTTAGTAGGGTAAAATTTCAGACTTTTAACAGGTCTTGACAGACAACAGAGAAGGTGTAGGCAGAATATCAACAGCACAGTTTTGGACATACCAAGTTAGAGATGCCTACTGGACATCCAATAGGAGATGTGAAATTGGTGATTAGAATTCCAAGAGTAAAGTTCACAGAAGAGATAAAAACAAGAGATATGTATTTGGGCATTATCCTTATTTGTAGCTTAGTTTTTAAGATCTATCATCATTTATAGCTGAGAGAAGGGGAATTGTTATATTCCTGCATCTTAAAAAAAAATTCCCATTAAAGGCCAGGCACAGTGGCTCACGCCTGTAGTCCTAATACTTTGGGAGGCCGAGGTGGGTGGATCACGTGAGGTCAGGAGTTTGAGACCAGCCTGGCCTAACATGGTGAAACTCTGTCTCTACTAAAAATACAAAAATTAGCCAGGCGTGGTGGTGCACACCTGTGGCTACTCAGGAGGCTGAGACAAGAGAATCACTTGAACCTGGGAGATGGAGGTTGCAGTAAGCCGAGTTCATGCCACTCCACTCTAGCCTGGGTGATAAGAGCGAGACTCTGTCTTTAAAAAAACAAAAAAAAAACTTTTTAAAAAATAACTTCAGTGTGGGAAATTTCCCACTTCTTGAGACTAGATAGAACTTCAGTAACAGTTATAAGTAATCCCTAACCGAGTCAGTTAAATGAAGAGAGAGAGTTTTTGATGGAGGAGGGAAAATATGGGTTTTTGTAAGCCAATACATGATGGGTCAACAAATTAAGCTGTGTATTTTATAAATTGGCCGAGAGAAATGTCTTAAATGACTTCCAAAATGTTTTGTAAGAAATATCTTTATAAATGGATAAAAATAGACCTGCTTGCTAACAATTACTTGGTAAAACAGCACTCATTTGTTTGTACATTTAGCTAAAAGATTAAGCTTATTACCTTATACACACATATACATCAATTTTGTTGTTACTTTTATAAAATTCAGAAAGAAGAAGAAAAGGGAGAAGCTCCTATTATGTTTAAAATTAACTAGCCTTGCATTTGTAATCGCATGGTCTTACCTGCATATGCATACATGTGAAATTCTAATAAGATAGACTTGTTTTCATTTACAAATATCTAGCAGTACATATAACCATAACTTTAATATAAATTAATAGCATTAATGAATATAAAATTATTATGTACTACACAATTAGTAGAAAGCATATTTTAGAGACACACCTGCCGCAAAATACTCAGTCAAGGGTTTACTGTCCTACCCTCTCTAGGCTTCAGCCTCCTCATTTGTAATTCATGTTAACAACTACAGATAAACTCCAAGGATTCTTCAGCTTTTAGGAATGAGAGACAGAAAGTAATCTAAAGTATCCCTACAATCTAACAGGCAATAAAGATAAACAAATGAAATACCACAAGTGCAGTAAAAGAGTTACGTTTAAGGCACACAAAAACAAAAAGTGAGGTACATGCAGGGAAATTAGAAAAGGTATCACTGAAAAAGTAGTATTAATATGTGAGCTGAATCACAGAAGAGTATATAGTACTTTCCAAAGAGGTAAAGCTTGAAAGGAAAAACACGTATAAAAATATCAGAAGTGAAGCACTTACACAATGGAAAAGTAACAACCTCCAAAAATTTGCTCCTTTATTAAAAAAAGCAATGAGGATACTGGCAAAAATTGTCAAAATCAACTTTTTCACAACCCTAGAAATTAGCTAAAGCCTTGTAACAATGTTTTTATTCAAGAATATTGGATGAATCTCAGTAAAAACAGCAAGCTTTGCAGCATTTTAACTTGCTTTATTCCCATCCTTCTCTCTCCAGCTCCATGATAGCCTTCAAGCCATACAGCTCACAACCACAGTAGCTGTGAAAACTACCAACCTAGCAACCACTGGAGGAAACAAAACAGGTTTAGAGCTCACCAAAAAGCCCAAGACTTGTCACTGTTAGACCTGTCAGTCAGCTACCTGGAAAAGCTCCATTCTCCAGGTTTGTCTTTATGTGACCTGACTCGGCACTCTGTGCAAAAAGCCCTATCACCAGGGCATCTGTTTAAAACAATCAGCAGCAATTGTATAATATTGTAGCTGTCATAGGCAGTGATAATAGCTACAGATAAAAAGAGGTCGACCAAAAAACTTAAGTCGAAGTAGGAATGAGATATCTACAGGGGCTTCGAAAAACTCTTTGAAAAGCTCTAGCTCCTAGTAATCTAGAGGCCACACACATGTATGGTAGAGTGTGCACGCCCAGGAAAGAACTGAGAAGGACCTAGCCTCTTACCTCTGGATGTCTTTAAGGCTCTGCAAAAGAAAGAAGGCTCACGAGGAGCTATAAACTGCATTGGAGTATTGAATTCATGCCCCAACACACACCCTCAGCAAAAGCTAGAAGACTTATTAGTCCCAGGTGTTTAAGGAAACCTCTGTCCAATCATTAGTTGACCACTAATCTGAGCAGACTTCAGTGGCAACCCACAGAGTGGGGGATCAGACTTCACAGAATTAGTACAGGAAAGTCAGTAAACAAACAGCAACAACAACAAAAAATCCTGAGAGTAGAGGAATCCAGTTTCCAGAGTTGCCACATTACAATTATTTCAAACGTACAATTTTCAACAAAAAATTATAAGACATGCAAAGAAACAGAAAAGTATAGTCCATATAGAGAGAAAGCAAGTCAACAGAAACTGTCTCTGAGAAAACCCATGTTAGACTTATTAGACAAAGACTTTAAATCAGCTACAACAAATATGTTCAAAGAACTAATAAAAACCATGTCTAAAGAACTAAAGTAAGGTATGAAAATGATGGCTCACCAAGTAGAGAATGTTAATAAAGAGTCAGAAATTATTTAAAAAAAAAAAAAAACACTTTAAACCAGGCACAGTGGCTCACATTTATAATTCCAACACCCTGGGAGACCAAGGCAGAAAAGTCACATGAGCTCAGGAGTTCAAGTCCAGACTGGGCAACACAGTGAAACCTCGTCTGTACAAGACAATAAAAATAATTAGCCAGGTGTGGTGGTGCATGTCTGTGGTCCCAGCTACTCAGGAGGCAGAGATGGGAGGACTGCTTAAGTTCAGGAGGTCAAGGCTGCAGTGAGCCAAGGTCATATCACTGCACTCCAGCCTGGGTGACAGAGCCAGACCCTGTCTCAAGAAAAAATAAAACAAAAAACAAACACACGAAAAAAAAAACACTTTAGATTAAAAGGCACAAGTAGATTAAAACTAAAAGGATGGTAACACCATGTATATAATAACCAAAGAAAGGGCTAGAGTAGCTATACTAATATCAGACAAATTAGACTTTCAGACAAAAATTGTGACTAAAGACAAGGAAATGCATTAGAAATAAAAGAAATGACAAAAGAGCCAATCCATCAGAAAGATATATTACAAACATATATACACTAACAACAAAGCCCCAAAATGCATGAGGCAAAAACTGACAGAATTGAGGAGAGAAACAGATAATTATACAATAGTAGTTGGAGAATTCAATACTCCTCTTTCAATAATGAATGGAACAAGGAGACAGAAGATGAACAAGAAAATAAGACTTGAAGAACACTATAAACCAACTAGACCTAACAGACATTTATAGAACATTCCCCTCAACAACAGCAAAATGCACATTTATCAAGTCCACACAGAACGTTCTCCAGGATACAGCATGTTAGAACATAAAACTGGCCTCCATAAATTTAAAAAGACTGAAATCACATACAGTATATTCCAACCACAATAAAAGTAAATTAGAAATCAATAAAAAAAAGAAATTTGAGAAATTCAAGAGCATATGGATATTAAAGAAAACACTCAAATAACCAATGCATCAAAGAAGCAATCACAAGGGAAATGAGAAAATACTTTCAGGTGAATCAAAATTTAAAAAACAGCACGCCAAAACTTAACAAAATGCAGTTAAAGTAGTTCCTAGAGGGAATTTTATAGCTATAAAACACCTGTATTAAAAAAGGAAGCGGCCGGGCATGGTGGCTCACGCCTGTAATCCCAGCACTTTGGGAGGCTGAGGCGGACGGATCACAAGGTCAGGAGATTGAGACCATCCTGGCTAATATGGTGAAAACCCCGTCTCTAGTAAAAATAAAAAAAATTAGCCGGGTGCGGTGGCAGGTGCCTGTAGTCCCAGCTACTCAGGAGGGTGAGGCGGGAGAATGGTGTGAACCCAGGAGGTGAAGCTTGCAGTGAGCCGAGATCACATCACTGCACTCCAGTCTAGGCAACACAGCGAGACTCAGTCTCAAAAAAAAAAAAAAAAAAGGAAGCAAGATCTCAAATCAATAATGTAACTTCTGATGTTAAAAACTAGAAAAAGTGGTGGCAGGCACCTGTAGTCCCAGCTACGCGGGAGGCTGAGACAGGAGAATGGCTTGAACCCAGGAGGCAGAGGTTGCAGTGAGCCAAGATCACACCACTGCACTCCAGCCTGGGCAACAGAGCGAGACTCCATCTCGAAAAAAAAATAAATAAAACCTAGGAAAAGCCAAGACATACTATTCCCAAAGAAGAAGAAAGGAAATAACAAAAATTAGGGTGGAAATAAGTGAAACAAATAAGTGAAATAAAAAAAGTATAGAGAAATCAAAACTGAAACTGGCAAACCATTAGCTAAACTGGCCAAGAAAAAACTAGAAAAACAAATTAATATAATCAGGAATAAAAAGGGGATATTACTGTTGACATTAAAGAAATCAAAAGGATTATAAGGCAATTACAGGGTAAATAATTTTATGCCAACAAATTAGATATAAAAGGGGATATTACTATTGACATTAAAGAAATCAAAAGGATTGTAAGGCAATTATAGGGTTAATAATTTTATGCCAACAAATTAGATATCTTGGGTGAAACCGATAAATTCCTAGAAAGATACAAATTATCAATTTGATAAAAGAAATAGAACATTTAAACAGACCTATAACAAGTAAAGAGATTGAGTTAGTAATAAAAAAAAAGAAAAAAGAAAAAAAGAAAAGCCCAAGACTAGATGGCTTTACTAATAAATTCCATCAAATGTTTAAAGATGAATTAACACCAATCCTCAAAAAATTCTCCAAAAAAATAGAAGAGAAGGAAACGTTTTGTCACTTACTCTATGAAAGCCAGAAAAATAAATCACAAGAAAAAAAAATACAGACCAATATCCCTTGAGTATAGATGTTAAAATCCAACAAAATACTAGCAAACCAAATCCAGCATACATTAAAAAAAGATTACATTCCATGACCAAGTGAGATTTACCCCAGGAATGCAAGGTTGGTTCAGCATCCAAAAATCAACCAATGTAATAAAACGTATTAAAAGAATAAAGGAAGAAAATCACATGATCATCTCAATAAATGCAGGGAAAAAATTTGAAAATAATCCACCACCCAGCCAGGCACGGTGGCTCCCACCTATAATCCCAGCACTTTGGGAGGCCAAGGCAGGAGGATCACCTGAGGTCAGGAGTTCAAGACCAGCCTGGCCAACATGGCTAAACCCCATCTCTACTAAAAAAATACGAAAATTAGCTGGGGGTGGTAGCAGGCGCCTGTAATCCCAGCTACTCGGGAAGCTGATGCAGGAAGAATTGCTTGAACCTGGGAGGTGGAGGTTGCAGTGAGCCGAGGACATGCCACTGCACTCCAGCCTGAGTAAAAGAGTGAGATACTGTCTCAAAAATATTTAAAAAAAAAAAAAAAAGAAAAGATAAGATCCACCACCACTTCATGATAACAACAGTCAACAAACTAGGAATAGAAGGCAACCTTCTCAATATGATAAAGGAAATCTACAAAAATCCCACAGCTAACATTATACTTAATGGTGAAAGACTGAAAGCTTTCTCCCTGTGATCAGGAACAAGGATGTCTTTTCTCACCACCACTTTTTTTTAAATTTTGGTTGATACACAGCAGGTATATATATTTATGTCTCACCACTTCTATTCAATATTGTGGAGAAGATTCTAGCCCAAGCAATTTAGGTAGGAAAAACTTTAAAAGGTCATCCAGATTGAAAAGAAGTAAATCTGTCTCTATTTGTAGATGTCATCTTATACATACAGACCGGGCATGATACCTCATACCTGTAATCCCAGTGCTCTGGTAGGCCAAGGCAGGAGGACTGCTTGAAGCCAGGAGTTCAAGGCCAGCCTGCACAACATAGCAAGACTCTACCTCTACAAAAAAAAATTTTAAATTCACTGGGCATAGTAACATGTGCCTGTAGTCCCAGCTATTTAGAAGGCTGAGGCTGGAGGAATGCATGAGTCCAGGAGTTCTAGGTTGTGCCACTGCACTTCAGCCTGGGCAACACAGTAAGATCCTGCCTCCAAAAAAAAAATTATCCTAAAAATTTAAATATATACATAGGAAAACCTATAAGAATACACACACACACACCCCCTATCAGAGCTAATAAACAAGTTCAGCAGGTTGCAGGATATAAGATAATTAGTTAAAAAGCAATTTGTAGGAGCTCATGTTCTCAGGATCTCTAGAGGATGTGTCACAGGCCATAAAAAAATGAAAAAAAAAATTTAAAGCAATTGTATTTCTTTTTCTTTTTTGTGAGATGGAGTCTCACTCTGTCGCCCAGGCTAGAGTGCGGTGGTGCAATCTTGGCTCACCGCAACCTCCGCCTCCCGGATTCAAGTGATTCTCCTGTCTCAGCCTCCCAATTAGCTGGAACTACAAACGCCCGCCACCGTGCCCGGCTAATTTTTTGTATTTTTAGTAGAGACGAGGTTTCACTATGTTGGCTAGGCTGGTCTCAAACTCCTGACCCTTGTGATCCACCCGCCTCAGCCTCCCAAAGTGCTGGGGTTACAGGTGTGAGCCACCACACCCAGCCTAAAGGAACTGTATTTCTATACACTAGCAATGAACAATCTGAAATAAATTAAGAAAACACTTCTATTGACAAAGGTATCAGAAATAATAAAATATTTAGTAATAAACTTAATAAAAATTTGTATGCTGAAAACTATAAAACATCATTGAAAGAAATTAAGGACCTATTAAATAAACAGACATTCCTCACTCATAGACTGAAAGACTGGATTGAAATACTTCAAAAATTATTTATCAAATCCCTGTCTTTCAGAACTGAACAAACTCATCCAAACATACATATGAAAATTCAAAGGACCCAAAACAGCCAAAACAACCTGAAAAAAAGCAAAGTTAGAGGACTCACACTTCCCAGTTTCAAAATGTACTGCAAAGCTACAGCAATCAAGACAGTGTGGTACTGGTAGAAGGTAACACTTATGTAGATCATGGAAAAGAACTCAGAGCCTAGAAATTCACCCATACTTTTATGATCAATTGATTTTCAACAAGGGTGCCAAAAGAATTCAATGAGGAAAGACTAACCTTTTCAATAAATGGTGCTGGAACAACTGGCTATTAACATGCAAATGAATGAAGTTTGACCTATAACTCACATCATATACAAAAACTAACTCCAGATGGAACAAAGACCTAAATAAGAGCTAAAATTATAAAACTCTTGGAGGAAAACATAGGTGTAAATCTTCAAACCTTGGATTAGGCAATGATTTTTTGACATTAACATATCAAAAGCATATGCAACCAAAAAATAATAAATTAAAATTCATCAAAATTTAAAATTTTTGAAGACACTATCAAGAAAGCAAAAAGATAATCCAAATAATGGGAGAAGATATTTGCAAATTCTATATCTAATAAAAATCTAGTATCCAGAATCTATGAAGAACGCTTATCCCTGAACAATAAAAAGACAACCCAATTTTACAAAAAGCAGAATAGAAATTTGTCCAAAAAAAAAAAAAGATACACACATGGCCAATAAGCACATGAAAAGATGCTCAACATCAGTCATTAGGAACCTGACTGATGAATCAAAACCATAATGAGATACCACTTCATACTAAGATGGCTATGATCAAAATGACAGAAGACATGTTGGCAAGGATATGAAGAAATTGGAAAACCTCATAAATTGCTGGTGGGAAATTAAAATTGTGCAACCATTATGGAAAAATATAGTAGGTCCTCAAAAAGTTAAACATAAAGCTACCATATGACTCAGAAAATCTACTCCTAGGTATCAAGTGTAGAACAATCTAAAATATATATCCACGCAAAAAATTTTACGTAAATGTTCATAATAGCCAAAAAGCAAAAACAAGCTAAATGTCCACTAACTGATTAATAAACAAAATGTATTATTCATATAAAGGAATATTCAGCCATAAAAAAGAATGAATGCATGTTAAAACATGAATGAAACTTAAAACATGCTAAATGAAAGAAGCCAGGCACAGGAGGCCACATTATCATATGATTCCATTTACATGCAATGCCCAGAATAGACAAATCCATAGAGACAGAAAATAGACTAGTGATTACAAGAGTTTGGGGTGGGGAGGGAGGAATGGAAAGTAAGTTCTAATGACTACCGGGTTTCTTTGGGGGTTGATGAAAATGTTCTAGAATTAGTGGTGGTGTTTCACAACAAAGTAAATACACTAAAATCACTAAGTTTTATACTTTAAAAGGGTAAAGTTTATGATATGTTAATTATGTCTCAATAATTTAAAAAATCAGAGTATAAGAGATTCAGTTCCAGACTGAAACTAGTTCTATATAACTGAAGCACAGATCTCAGAATATGAAGTTATGGGAGATGAGGCATGATAAAAAGGTACACATGATCCTAATCATGAAGGATCATCATATATTATGCTCTTAGGTTCATAACTCACCCTACAGGAGATTAGAAAACAACAGAAAAATGTTAATCAAAGGTTGATATTCATCAGATTTGCTCAGGAAAGTAATTCTCTAGTAATGGCATTCCTATTAAAAAGTAAACAGCCAGGCATGGTGGCTCACACCTGTAATCCCAGCAATTTGGGAGGCTGAGGTGGGTGGATCACTGGAAGCCAGGAGTTCAAGACCAGCCTGGACAACATGGCGAAACCCCATCTCTACTAAAAATACAAAAATGTGCAGGGAGTGGTGGTACACATCTGTAATCCCAGCTACTCAGGTGGCTGAGGCATGGGAATCAGAGGTTGCAGTAAGCTGAGGTTGCACCACTGCACTACATCCTGGGTGACAGAGCAAGACTCTGATCCCCCCCAAAAAAAGTAACCAAGAGACACTGAAACAAAAATAAAGCTACTATTTTTAATAGCAATTTTTAAAAATCAAGGATTAAATCAAATAGAAGACACGTGAGAGCTTTATGAGGGAATTATAAAACTTTAATAAAAGACATTAAAGAAGTTACCAAAAAAGGAGGGGGGTATATATATTTTTATATAAAATATAAAGGAATGTTAAAGGAATAAGATGAAGTGGGGTTAGTCACTTTAACAATTATCAAGATTATAAACTCTGGCCCAGTGTGGTGGCTCACGCCTGCAATCCCAGCACTTTGGGAGGCCGAGGAGGGTGGATCACTTGAGGTCAGGAGGTCGAGACCAGCCTAACCAACATGGTGAAACCCCATCTCTACTAAAAATACAAAAATTAGCTGGGCGTGGTGGCAGGCGCCTGTAATCCCAGCAACTTGGAAAGCTGAGGCAGGAGAACTGCATAAACCTGGGAGGCGGAGGTTGCAGTGAGCCAGGAATGTGCCATTGCACTTCAGCCTGGGCAACAGAGCAAGACTCTGCCTCAAAAAAACAAAAAAGAGAACAAAAAAAAAAAGATTATAAATGCTGATTCGATTATATAATAATGGTGCAGAGATAAACAAAGGACTATAGAATATAATAGAGCAAGCTCAAAAACAGAGTTGTGTATACATAAAAACTACAAAAAGTTGATAAATGACATCAGAGATCATTGGGGAAGGAACCAGTAAACATTTGGCTATAACAACTGGGGTAGTCAGAGGGATTTGATCTTTACCTCATAACACATCAAATACAAATTTCAGATGACTTAAAGATATAACTATTAAAAGATAAACATTCCAGGTCTTAATACATATATTTAGGAGACTGTATGTATAACTTCAAGGTAGAAAATAATTTCTTATTTAGGTATAAAAACATCAAAAAGATGAAAACTTGTAAGTTTGACTATGTTAAAATTTAAATTGCAATTTCTGCTCCTAGAAACGTGGCAGATTACAGGTTCAGAAAAAGCTTTCCTGGAAAAGCAGTGTTTAAAATTCTGGACAAAATAATCATGGAAGCAGATCAAGACAATTCTTTCGAGACAAAAACAAGAAGAAAGCATCAATCCATAAACTGGATGACAGCCAAAGGCCAACATAAGAGTAAGAAGGTCACACTGGGATCACCACATAAAGTCTAGACCCACAAAGCACTTTAGCCTCAATGTGAAATTGCCCACAACTACCAACTTCTCAACAGCAAAACGAAGAAGGCAGTGAAATGACACCTTCAAATGCTAAAAGAAAATAACTATCTGCAGAGAAGTCTATATCGAGCAAAACTCTTTCTAGAATGAAGTTAAAATAAAGACTTCTCAAGCTAACAAAAAATGGCCTTCACTAAAGGAGAGAGTGTCAGACTGAAAGTAATTGAGCCTAGATGGAAGATCATACAAGACCTTCTTTCTCAACATACAAGAAAGAGTCACAAAGATCATAGCTGTTAAACACTGGCTTGTAAAATAAGCCTAATTTCTAAACTGTAGATTTTTTAAAAAGTGACGATAGATGTAAAATCACAAACAATGTCATATCATAAGAACAATGGCATATCCTCTCAAGAGGAGAGAAGACAGTGACAGGAGTTAGAGCATTCTAAGGTTCTTACACAGGTGAGGCACAGAGTTATAACTTTAGTCTTACTGGGATAAACCACCACTAAAACAACAGAAAAAGTATATATGTCTTCCAGATAGCAGAGGGCAAGAAATAAAATGGAGAAAAGAGAACCTTAAGCATTCCAAAACAAAGCAAGAAAAAGAATTAAACCTATAATGAGAAAGCACCGTTTGAAGAGATTGACAAGGAGTCAAGATCAGAATTGGGAGACAAATTAGAAAGCTATTTCAGTATAAAGAAAAAAGGTCTCAAAACAATACATAGCGACTGTTAAGAGGGGAGTAGGGGTAGGGAAGGTTAAACAACTTTTGCCTTACACTGTTTATCTTACAATGGAAAGTTATTTCTCTGTTACTTATGACACACACACACACACACACACACACACACACACACACAGCTACTTCAACCATCCAGGCAATAAAGATAATTCACAGAAAAGACATGGCAAGTGAATTCATTTCTCACTTGAGTATCTAGGATTGGGCCACCTATTCAAACAAGAGAAGCTGACTTGGTGAGAAATTCAGGTTTGTAAAAATCTAAAAATAGATTTTAATAGTTAGATATCATGTCTACAATAGAAGCAAGGAAGCCTGGTTTACAGAAATAGAGCTATGGGTAATTTGTGCATAGATCCATTACACAGAGAGACTGCAGGGGAATAACCAACAGGTAAAACACCAACAACAAGTAAAGGAAGAAAAGTTCATTGAGCATTATGGAATAAGCTACCTCCATCTTAAAAATATTTTAGACAACTGCTATTAGGGTGAACAGAAAATCTTTGTTAAAACTTTTGAAATACACTGAAAGGAAAGGTCTATTAAATGTTTAAATGTATTCATCCTCTAAAAATTTCTCTACATGAAATACAATTTCGGTATTTACATTTGATACTTAATAAATGTAATATTACATTTATTGTATTTAAACACTTGTATACAAACAAAGCAATTCAATCTAAAACCATTAACATGAGTTGAGTTTGCCATTTTTTAGATGTTTATAATACACATTCTAATTTTATTAAAAAGAGCTCTATCTCCAAGCTTTAAAGACAGCTGTAGTTTAAACTATTCCAATTTAAAGTATTAACATGAAATTATTACAGAATACAAAATAAAAAATGTATTTTTTGGAACATCTAGAAATTAACCTGACACTAAACAAGTTACAGACATAACTACATTCCAGTATACGGCTCATTAAAGTAGAATTAAAACTATACAGGACAGTCTAAGACTAGCAAACAAAGACCACCAAAATTTGTATTACTGAATGTGTATGGGTAGGTTAGGAAACATGGTAATTAAGTCACAGAAGATAGAGAGTGTGCCATATGGGCTTTGTTAACTCCTCCTGACCACTATCCTGTATCACTATACTAGCCCTAACATGTTGATGCTTATGCATGCACTTTGTATAACTATCTCAAGTGCCAAGTAAACACAGCCTTCTGTAATTACTTCAGAAGGGGAGGATAGGACTACTGAGAAAAGTCTCATCACAGAGCCAAAGTATCAGCATAGAGCCACTATCTATTACTTCAAGACCTGATACCCAAACCATGGCCCAGAAAACAGATACATATTTATACATTCTGCCTGAGTCCAAAGAAAAGCACACTCTACAATTGTTCAAATAGGTTTATCTTGATGTTACTGAAGACAAACAAGACTTTCAAATTGAAAGAGTAAAAGTTTGTATAATTTCTCCTTTGCAAAGACAGCTCAACCTTGTCAGAGTACGGCATATCCTGCTCACCGACTTCCACTATTCCCCGCACTTAATATTCCATCGACTAAATCTGTATTTATCCTACTAATGAAAAACCACCTAGTTATTATTGTTGTTTTCCAGTAACTTGGCCAGACCACTGGGTAAATGAAGTCTACTTTCAACCTGAGTTGGCAGGCAGGGACCTTCAACCACAACCAGGCTACTCTGAGGGGGTGAAAGGAAAAATCAAATCTTGGTACACCTATAACCCATTTATAGCATATCACTGTAACCATAGCACATGAGTAAGCAAGATTTAGTCAGATTATTCTGATACTCAGAGATAAGTCTAGACACAGCCTTACAAACATCTTACGTACTTTTGATACAAAAGCCAAATCATACTAAGATAAAACTTGGATGTAAAACTCTAATTACATACACAAATACACACATTTGAATCCACAGCAGGATCTCCATTTGTATGTAAGCTAAAAACACAAATTCTTATACACTTTCACTTTCTAATATTTTCATGCTGATTATAAATACCTATAACCACTATGAAAAACATTTAAGTAACTAAAATACAAAACCTGTATGCCAATTTCAAATTGTAAACATTATAAGAAATCAACGAATATAATGCAAGGGTATTTACATAAAGTCTATGCACCATCTGAAACCATATGTAGGTTTTATATGCAAATTTTTCTGGGGAAAGGGTCTACAGAACTTTCATGATATTCTCAAAAAAAAAACGGACAATCAAGTTATTTTTTAATATCTTTATTGAAATATGTAGCAAACAGAACTTTTTCCTAATTCTGGTCCTATATATGTTTGTATGTCCACTTCTTTAAACTGTCAATGTAAATTGGCTTCTAAGGGAACCTGGCCTCAGATTCCTTCTTGTAAAAATTAGAACGGCACTGTTGCCCTGTCTTTTCAGAAATGTTGAGCATATTAATTTGTCTGTGGAGTAGAAAGTTCTCTAGACAATTAGAAGTTTCTAATAAAATCTCAAAATAAAATAATTTGATAATGTTATTATGGATATTTCCATGTGTGTCAGCACGGTCTAGAAAGACATTTAAAATTTCAGACAAAGTAAGTGCCATAAAAAGAACAAGGTTTGTCTTAAAAGCACTGATACCCAGATTTTAATTCTCTCAGCTTGTATTCTCTCATTCAGCACTTAGCCTCAATGTGAAATCACCCACGAAAGCAACTGGAGTAACTATCAACTTCTCAACAGCAAAAGGAAGAAGGCAGTGATATTGTAAATCTTTATAAACATTTAGGTTTATATTAAAATATATTTCACTTAAAAGGACAGTAGTTATGTGTACTTTTGGGTTAATGATGATTACAGTGAAATTCTCAAGTCAGAATTCCAAGTATCCGTTGGAGTTTCCCTAAAGAATACTGCCCATCCTAAAGTGATATGCTGGAAGACTACCGTTAACAGTCATTCCTTTGAGAACACATGATCATAGTTTTTCTAAGAACAAATTGTTTTCAGAGTAAAATAATTTGTTTTTATGCTACAGAAAGGAAGCTAAGAAAAGAAAACCAGTTATGTTCTCCCTTGATGAGACTACATATGTATTTCTATAACTTTTCCTAATCAGGCTGTCCCCTTCGACCCACCTCTGAAACACTTAGGTTTCTCACAGGCATCCAGCAGGTATCTCCATTTCTCGCTTCTTTCAACCAAAATCTTATATAATTTCTTGCAACACTCACCTTTATGACTTGAGTATGGCTTTCTCTATGGACCTGACTTACTGGCACTTGAGGAAACTAGTTCATTAAAAACATACCAAACTCCAAGACTTTCCTAGGTAGGATCTGTCTTTTTGATTCTTAGGCCTAAGTGATAAGCTTATTATAATGCATTCCCGCCAAATGCAGTGGCTCATGCCTGTAATACCAACACTTTGGGAGGCCAAGGGAGGAGGACTGCTTGAAGCCAGGAGTTTGAAGCGTGTCTGGGCAACGAAGTGAGACCCCCCATTGCTACAAAAATTTTTAAAATTAGTCAGGCGTGGTGGCACACACCTGTGGTCCCAAATGAGGAGGAAGTATCCCTCAATTGAGCCCAGGAGTTTGAGGCTGCAGAGAGCTCTATGATCATGCCAATGCACTCCAGCCTAGGCAACAGAGTAAGACCCTATCTCTAAAATAAAAAAGAACACATTCCTAATCAAAGACAAATTATCTTCAAGATAATCAACAGAAAACTTTCTCACATTGCTGAAAGGTCAACCCATTTACAAAAAAAACATAAAACATATGTGACAAGCTTATAAAGCTGCAAGACCTAAATGAAGAATAACTTTACTGAGAGAAACTTTTAAAACTTAATAAAAATGATAAGACACACTATATTTCTGGAAAGCACTACTTAATACTTTCAATATGCCAATCCCTCCAAATTAATATCTAGTTTTCATACAATGCCAACCAAAATCCCAATACTACCGAATTACCTAGAGTATTTATTAAACCTGAAGTTTTCTGGACCTTTTCCTAAACCTGGAATTGAATCTCTGGGATTCAAGTCAAGGAATCTGTTCAATAAAGGACCCTAGATGAAATTTAAGAATCTTTGCATTATTCCTCTTAGCTACTAATAATCCATCTGAAGGCCATTAACAAAGCAGATATTCATAATGGACTGATTTGATCACTTTTGGGGTAAGTTTTTTTCCTTTCTTTTAGGAGACTGGCTAAGGAAGAATGCGATCTGTGGAAACAACAGAACTGGCATCACCTGAGAGCTTGCAGATACCACAGAAACTCCGGCCCTACCCAGATGTACTAAATGTAAGCAGTTTAAAAAATCCCAGGTGATTCATATACTTATTAGAGTTTAAGAAGCACTGTATTAAGGACTAAGACTCCCCAAAATTACAATGTTTTAAAAAATTAATACATTTAAAACAGGCCAGAGGTATTCATAGTACTCTTGAACTTCCTGCTATATCACTAGTCTCTAGGGCCCCTCATCACAACTCCCATGCATAAAGCTGAAATGAAGGCTAAAATGAAGCCACTACTTTTTGACTTTTCTTTATTCCCAGTCACAACATCCTTTCCCCTACTTTATATCCACTTTTTCCTACATCACGGTCACATTTTAGAAGTAATAACTTTTTTTAGCAGAACTGAAAAAGACTACAGATTTAGTTCTCTAATATTACTCTTTCTCCATTTTTACATATCAAAACTCCTCCATTCATAAATACAAAGCCTGGATATAGACCACAATCATCCGTTACACAACTTCCTTCTCACCAGAATATCAGGCCCCAAAAAAGCATTAAATTTTAGTGAACTCTTATATATTGCTGTTCAAATTCAGCATTATGCCAACCTCTCTTTGGGACTCCTTTAAGTGGCCTTATAACTATTAAGTACAAAAATACCTCACCTCTTCCACCAGATTTCCTAAAGAGCATCTGCAACTCTTTTTTATTATTATACTTTAAGTTTTAGGGTACATGTGCACATTGTGCAGGTTAGTTACATATGTATACATGTGCCATGCTGGTGCGCTGCACCCACTAACTCGTCATCTAGCATTAGGTATATCTCCCAATGCTATCCCTCCCCCCTCCCCCCACCCCCCAACAGTCCCCAGAGTGTGATGTTCCCCTTCCTGTGTCCATGTGTTCTCATTGTTTAATTCCCACCTATGAGTGAGAATATGCGGTGTTTGGTTTTCTGTTCTTGCAATAGTTTACTGAGAATGATGATTTCCAATTTCATCCATGTCCCTACAAAGGACCTCATCATTTTTTATGGCTGCATAGTATTCCATGGTGTATATGTGCCACATTTTCTTAATCCAGTCTATCATTGTTGGACATTTGGCTTGGTTCCAAGTCTTTGCTATTGTGAATGCTGCTGCGATAAACATACGTGTGCATGTGTCTTTATAGCAGCATGATTTATAGTCCTTTGGGTATATACCCAGTAATGGGATGGCTGGGTCAAATGGTATTTCCAGTTCTAGATCCCTGAGGAATCGCCACACTGACTTCCACAATGGTTGAACTAGTTTACAGTCCCACCAACAGTGTCAAAGTGTTCCTATTTCTCCACATCCTCTCCAGCACCTGTTGTTTCCTGACTTTTTAATGATTGCCATTCTAACTGGTGTGAGATGGTATCTCATTGTGGTTTTGATTTGCATTTCTCTGATGGCCAGTGAGATGATGAGTATTTTTTCATGTGTTTTTTGGCTGCATAAATGTCTTCTTTTGAGAAGTGTCTGTTCATGTCCTTTGCCCACTTTTTGATGGGGTTGTTTGTTTTTTTCTTGGAAATTTGTTAGAGTTCATTGTAGATTCTGGATATTAGCCCTTTGTCAGATGAGTAGGTTGCGAAAATTTTCTCCCATTTTGTAGGTTGTCTGTTCACTCTGATGGTAGTTTCTTTTGCTGTGCAGAAGCTCTTTAGTTTAATTAGATCCCATTTGTCAATTTTGTCTTTTGTTGCCATTGCTTTTGGTGTTTTAGACATGAAGTCCTTGCCCATGCCTATGTCCTGAATGGTAATGCCTAGGTTTTCTTCTAGCATCTGCAACTCTTTAACCCATCATCTGCTTTCTCAGATCGCCTTCAATGTTCCCTTCACCCAATGACCATACTCGGTCATCTCACCTAAACTGCAATTATCTCACAACAGTTAGATAATTAGAGAGCTCTTCTCATGTTCATTTTGTCAATAAATTTTAATAAGTGTCTGTGAAAGTCTCTGGAATACGTTTTAAATGGGACACCGTATGTGTGAGTTTGTAGTCTATTGAGAGAGAAAGACAAAAAAGTTATTATGGCACACTGCGATAAATGTGAGCAAATATAACTGAAGTACAAAGGGTTATAATGAAGAAATTATGTTTGGAATACCTTCAATCAAGCATTCTCTCTTCACTTCAACAAGCCCTGAAATTTCATTGTTTTAGGAAGTCTTTTTTGATGAGAACTGATTACATAAGCCAAGAATCTACTGCATACACAGCATCACCAACCTATTCAAACTAAACAGGCAAACACTTAATTTACATACCCTCCAATGCAGTGGCTTATTCATATAATCCCTCTTATGATTAGAGATAAATAGTAATCAAACATCCCATAACTTTATGACGGCTGGCATGGTGGCTCACACCTGTAATCTCAGCACTTTGGGAGGCCCAGGTGGGAGAATCACTTGAGCCCAGGGGTTCAAGACCAACCTGGAAAACACAGTGAGACCTCGTCTTTATAAAAATTTTAAAAATTAGCCAGGTGCAGTGGCACATGCCTGTGGTCCCAGCCACTCAGGAAGCAGAGGTGGGAAGATCGCTTGAGCCCGGGAGGTCAAAGCTGCAGTGAGCCAAGATCATGCTACTACCATGACAGAGCAAGGACATCTCAAAAATAAAGAAAAAAAAATAGAATGATTACCACTTTAACACATGCTTAATCTTTTCAAACACTATTAATGCTCAAGTTTAAAAAAATTATCTATTTCGATCAGGTTCCCAGCATGAAGTGTATGAATCTCCAATGTACTAGTAGATTGTATTCTGACAGTTTCTAAGTCTACTTTTGGTATTCAGAATATTTTCCCACAGAAACAGTCTTATATGTGATTCTGAGGTTCTCGGGTCCGTTTACAGTTTAATACTAACAGTACTGTAATACCTAATGACGGTCTGTTAAAACTTTTCTATGGAAACATTCATTCCAGGTTCCAACTTGAGAGGTCAAGAATGCATATCATTGCACCCCAGCAACACAGATTTCACTCAGCCTACCAAATTGTCAGAAAGGGATTCCCCCCCAGATCCAAGATACAAGCAGTACCCAAGTAACTACAAGCAGAGGTCAGGGGAGGAGTCTACAAATTTTACAGCAGTTTCTCACTTTTCTTTGGTCACACGGCCTTTTGGGAATATGATGAAAGCCATAAGCCCTCTCCCAAGAAAAATGCACATGGATGTTTATGAACCCCAGGCGAATAACCCCAACTGCAAAGTGCACACTATACACTGTAAACTGTATACTATAGATCAGCACTGTCCAGTATGTCCAATATAATGTGAGCCACATATAAAATTTTAAATGTTCTAGTAACTACATTAACAAGGTAAAAAAAAAACTGTAAAATTAGTTTTAATAATACATTTTTGACCCAATATATCCAAAATATTATTTCAACATATAATCAATAGTATAAAAATATTAATAAGGTCTTCTATGTTCTTTTTTCATATTAAGGCTTTTATATCCAAGTGCATTTTATTCACACTGCATATCTCAATTCAGTGTAGCAACATTTTAAGTACTCTATAGCCACATGTGGCTACTAGCTACTATATCGGACTGTTTTATTACACTATACATTGTAGACCCAGAGATTCTCAAAGTCTTTTGGCCTCAGGATCCCTTTACATTCCTAAAAACTATCAACAACCACCGAGTGCTTCTGCTTACATGGGTTATATAAATCCATATTATATTAGAAATTAAATCTGAAAATTTTTAAACCTTTATTAATTCATTTAAAATTATAAACTCGGTGCATAACTTTTTTTTTAATTTTTTTTTTTTTTTTGAGACGGAGTCTCACTCTGTCACCCAGGCTGGAGTGCAGTGGCGCAATCTCAGCTCACTGCAAGCTCCACCTCCCGGGTTCACGCCATTCTCCTGCCTCAGCCTCCCGAGTAGCTAGGACTACAGGCGCCCGCCACTATGCCCGGCTAATTTTTGTATTTTTAGTAGAGACAAGGTTTCACCGTGTTAGCCAGGATGGTCTCGATCTCCTGACCTCGTGATCCGCCCGCCTCGACCTCCCAAAGTGCTGGGATTACAGGCTTGAGCCACCGCACCCGGCCTACATAACAATTTAATAAAAAATAGCCATATTTTTCAAAAGAAAAACTTGGAGACTAGAGTGGCAATGTTTAACATGTTTGCAAAACTCTAACATTTGGCTTAATAGAAGACTGTTGGATTCTCACACCTACTTTGACAGTAAATCTATATGATATGTTGTTTTGGTTGAATGAAGTACATAAAGATAATTTAGCCTCACACAGGTAAGTAGAGGAAAAGGTGAAGACTATTTTATAGTCTTTTCAGATAACTATGAATAGCCTATTCTTCTTTGCTATTGTAGCAAAACATGATAATTAGTACTTTCTTAAAGGTTAGTTGTAATATGGAATCTAAAACCACATCACTGAATTTTTTGCAGTTACAATTAAAATCCAGTGGTCAATCTTGTACTTTGTGTAAGATCATGTGCTTGGAAAATATAGGTTATACAGATATTCCATTACAGAATTTAAAAAAAAAAAATCACATTTGTTCATATTATCACCTGTCTCCTCAGAAAGGCTTTTAAAGTAATAGGGAACTGTAAGCTCACAATGGCTAAGACAAGTTTTCTAAAATTCTGATTTTCTTTGAAAGTTCAAATTCCTACATTAATAAGATGTGTAATTTGTTTTCCTCGAAGTGACAGGATCATCTTTTAAGAAAATGTCTGCCAAATATCCAAGTCTAAATGAATAATCATAGTTTGTCACTGTTTCCAGTAAAGACGATATTCTATGAAATCAAACTACTTCAGCAAACAACTCCATCACCCAAGTGCTCTTCCTCAATTACACGATACTGCTTCCTTATGCAGCAAAAGTGCTTTGTATTTCCCATTTTTTCACATATTAAAAAGACATATACTTAAAAATGGCCAATAAACACATGAAAAGATGCTCAAAATCACTAATCATTAGGAAAACGTACATCTTTTATGTTCTATAACAATATTGTGATTTTCTTCACAGAGGTTCTGCACATTTCTCATGAGATAGATAACACTTCATTACGATGGCTATTAAAAAAATTGCCAAGTGTTGGTGAGACAAGGATGTAGAGAAACTGGAGCCCATGTGCAATGCTGTTGGGAATGTAAAATGGTACAGGAACTGTGAACAACAGTGCGGCAATTCCTCAAAAACATTAAACATAGAATTATCATATGATCCAATAATTCCCTTCCGGATATATACCAAAAAGGCATGAAAGCAGGGACTCAAACATATACATATTTGTACACCATATGTACAGCAGCATTATTCACAACAGCCAAAAGGTAGAAACAATCCAAATGCCCACAGACAGACAAAATGTGATATATACATACAATTGAGTATTATTCAGTCTTAAAAAGGAATGAAATTCTGATGTAGGCTACAACAAGGATGAATACCTTAAAGGCATTTTTAAGTAAAATAAGCCAGACACAAAATGCTAAATATTGTTATGATTCCACTTCTATAAGATACCTAGAATAGTCAAATTCATAGAAATGGAAAGTAAATCATGGTTATCAGGGTCTAAAGGAATAGGGGAAGTGGAAAGTTGGTGTTTGATGGGTACGAAGTTTGTTTAAAATGATGAAAATTTTCTGGAAATAGTGATGATGAATGCACAACAATTTGAATGTACTTGATGCCACTAAACTGTACACTTAAAAATGATTATTATGGTGAATCTTATGCATATTTTGCAAAAAAGAAAAAAAAAGAAAAGAAATGTACTCAAGGGCCAAGAGTAATGAAATGCTTTTCACTACCCTTGATTAGTGTTAAGGTGCTTGCAGTGTGAATGCCAATACAGTGTAAATGGCAAATACGTCTTAGTATTATTATGAAAACATTTTTTACCTGATAGACCCCCTATCAAAGGGTCTTGAGGACCCTTTCCCTTGGGGTCCACATACCACACTTTGAGAACCATTACCAAAATCTATTTTTCAGAAAAGTCAATTAATGAAGGAAGGAAAGAGTAGGAAAGATCACAAAAGTTTTATTTGTGTTTTGTCTTTTGAAATTAAACAGGCTTACAGGCTGAACAGGATATAAACTGTTAAGGTATAAACTGGTATACCTCAACAGGTATAAAAAAATATTAAGGAACAAGTAAAAATAAGAGAAAAATCAAATAACTGATGGAAAAAAGAATGGGAGAGAAAAGATGGCCAGGGGCTCAGCCTCTATCTAAAGTTGGAAAGAGAGACAATTATTAGAGGCAGATGGGAGGGGGGAATGGGTTACATTTTTAAAAATTTATTATTTTTATGATTATTATTATTATTGTTATTTAGACACAGGATCTTAGTCTGTCACCCAAGACAGAGTGCAGTGGAACAATCACAGCTCATTGCAGTCTCAAACTCCATCTCAGCCTCCTGAGGTGTGGGCCACCATGCCAGGCTCTATATTTTGACTTATGAAAAAGCTCGTTTTACTCAGAAAAACGTACAGACACTAGATGAATTCTTCTTGATAATGATGGTGTTACTTCCATAGTTTGAAAAATATTAGAAAAATTATCTTTTTTTGTACTGAGTTTATTTAGGAAGAAATAACATATTGACAATATTGAGTCTTCTTAGCTGGCAACATGACATAGTTCTCCATTTAGACAAGTTTCATTTTATGTTCTTCTAAACAATATAAATTTTTTTCACAGAGGTTCTGCACATTTCTCATGAGTTTAGCTCTTAGGTGATATACATTGTTTTGCTATTACGAATGTAATTTATTTTCTAACTATTACTGGGATGTAAGAAAACAATAAGCTTTATTTATTTGGTAATTACTACTCTACAAATATTTCTTATAAATCCTAGTTGCTTTTCAATATCCTTTTGAGTTTTATACCCAAACAATAATGCCATTTCCAAGTAAGTTTAGTTTAGAAACATTATCCTTTAATGTTTTAAAATCATAAATCAAGCACCATTCTATTTCAACTTTTTACTTGCCTGTGTATAAAAATATGCCAAATGTATCATAAAAGTAATGTCATGTCATTTTTAAGGAAACTGTTTTATAATATCATAGGAATTTATATCACTGTAAAGATTCAGATGTTTTGTATTCCAAGTTTAAGTCTAAAGCATTTGTGCTGTCATCTAATAAACAGGAATTTAGAAGAATCGTGTTTTCTTTTTACTTTGAACACCACATAAATTTATCAGGTAAAATGCAAATAGGGATCCGATATTACAGCACTTCAGACTCCACGCGCCATAACCTTGAACTCGGAAGAGAAGAAAAGCAGAGGATAAGAACTTAGCTATTTCTCTCTTTTACCTTTCTCCCTACAGGAGGTCCTCCGTGTTGCTATGCTGAATTCAACTGAAGAAGCTGAAGTATTGCACCTTTACGCTACATACTTTACAGTTCACAAATACACTATTTCATGTATGACTTGTCCTCTCTAAACTGAGAGAACAGACTAACCTGGGAGAAGCTGGAATTTAAACTTTTAAAATTAATCGTGACATCTTAGCTCAAGTAACTGTAACACATGGTTTGACTGCCTTAGGAAAATACAAAGCAGAAAAGCTTTAACTTTGAAATTCAAGCAAAAATATTTGAGAATACGTCTTCCACCTCATACTCCCCATGCACCCAGTAATACTCCAGCTGCCTTCAGACTATTAAAAGTCCCGAGGTCCCTTAAACCAGTTCCAAGTCCCCACCCCAATCAAAGGACAATGCCCATACATACAGGAGCTATGACTATAGCTACAGGCCAATGCCTATACAGCATAGGAGCCAATTAAAGAGGCCATAAGTAAAAGTACTTAGGCATAAGGAAACAAAATGAAAAATAAAAATAAAAGAAAGAGGCCATAACTACTAGAAAAAGTGCTGGTCACGAGAACTAAGTTCTACTCTCCACAATCAACACTAATAATGTGACTTTGGGTTCATTCATTACTCCATTTTCTCATGGTTAAATGAGGGAACTAAATTTGGACAATCACTACAATTACGGGAAATTTAATGAAGCACTAGCATTTTCAAAGAAAGACTATTAGTCCAACAATACCAATTACAGTTAATATAATACTCAGGATATTTTCTGTAAGAGGCTCTGAGAAGGTCCTGTTTTAAATTCAGGTTCTTACACATTGTTTCCTATATTTCGTCTTCCAAAGCAAAAGAAAAAAAGAAAAAAATCAGTGAAATTGACCTTATACTATCCATAATGGCCCACCACAACTTTTTGAAATACCTTTAGTGTATTTAAAAAAAAAAAAAAAAAAAACAGCCACTATTCTAAGATGAAAACAAATCTGAACCTTGAATCTGTATATAAGGGTTTCTCAAGCTAGAAATTTATGGGCATTAGTTACATCCAACCTCGAACACTATGGATTCATACAGCCCTTACAAATGCACTTCCAACCATCCCTATGGATAGGCAAAAAATACCATACACAAACACATATTTAAAAAAAAAAAAACTCATGAGTTTGCAATATTTCTAAAGTTCCCACTGCACTAAGGTGAAAAACTATAAAACCCATAACAGCTACCTTCACTTGTTTAAAAATAAAAACAAGTACCAATTTTGGTTGAGATCCTTAGAATTTCTCCTTTGGGTTGCATAAACATTTTGCTAAAAGATGAAAATTTACCAAAGATTTAGCAATCCAGTTAACTATTCACTAGGATTTAAACTGAGCTGTCTGGATGAGTTAACCATAATACTGTGCTAATGAAACTAAGGATCTATTCCAATTTCAATTTAGGCCCATTAGGTAGACAAAAAAAAAAAAAAAAATCCTTAGATCCACATTACTGCACGTAACAGTTAACTATCTTACATACTCCTGTTAGTGATCATAGAAGACACCATCAAAAGCCTATGCACATCTGAGCACATATACCCCCAACCTCTGAACAAATATTTCAGAATACATGGCCTACTGATCATGAGTCAGTAGCAACTTTTTTTTTCTGTGCCTGTATAAAAAAATAGACCATTAACATTCAACGGAAGAGAGTCTGTGATGCAGGCAAGAGAATGAAAAAATGGGTAATTGCCAGTGATGCATAATCCCACTCCCTAGAAAAATAGTCCTGACAAGATTCAGGAAAAAAAAAAATTACTTTAGTAGTAGTATCTTTATGATTCAGAAAGAATAGTAAAACCTAAACTAACCACTGACAATCTCATTCAAAAGAGAATACTTATGTATAAAGCTCCAGGCAGCCCTAACAATGGTCCAACCAGCAAAAATAAAGCAAAATAAGTAAATACAGCATTTAGGCAAGGGGAAATAGTGTACTGGAACCCTCTCTTCCAGAAATTGAAAGAAAGAATAGTCAAGGGTGGTTTGCTACCCTCTGACCTTTGGGCCAGGCTTACAAATTTCCTAATCTAAAAGCAAACTAAATGTCTTTCCACCTAGAAAATAAGTACCTTCAATATCATACAGTTCAGTTAGAGGAATCCCCAAAGTTAATGCTCATTTGTTTCCCTCCCCAGGAGCCTTAAGGAGATAAGATCCCCTTCTTCTTCCTAATACCCTCATCCTCTTAGACACCATTCATCCCATTGAGTGGTACTATCCGCCACTCAAGATAAAGCCATACACAGCTGACCACCCCCAAAACTGTTTTCTTAAGATCAGTTATCCAAAGCACATACTTTAGACTACCCAGCTCCCACTCTGTCTAACGGTAGTGGCTCAAGGGAATTCAGGCTAGAACATTTTGAGAGTCACATCAAATACAAGCAATGCAGTACCCACAAAACAAAGATGTACTATACATATAACCATAACAGAAATAAAACAGGCTAGGAGTCCAAAAATAAATCTGGTAGTATTTTTTCATCCATCTATTTAATGCTAGAACTACATTATTAACAAATATCTCTATCTCCTTATTTTAAAATGGACAGAACTTCAAAAACAGAGTCAGCCTTCTCCTAAATATCAACTGAACAGCTTGATATGTCAAATATGGCTGCTATCCAATTGTTTCATAGTAATTTGTAGCAAGCCCTCTGATCACTTTTGAATACCAAAACTCAACCTCTTACAGAGGTACTCAATACTATCATGAGTACAGCACTGCAAGAGATAAAAGACGAATACAAGGCCAAGCATGGTGCCTCACACCTGTAATCCCAGCACTTTGGGAGGCCAAAGCAGGAGGACCACTTGAGGCCAGGAGTTCAAAACCAGCCTGGATAACGTAACAAGATCCCATCTCTACCAAATATTTTAAAAATAATGAGAGGGAAAAAAAGAATGAATACAAGATAAGCCTTAAAAGAATTAAATTTTAAAGTAGAGAAAATTACGCATTTTATTAGAATAGAACAAAGCTATTTAAGATAAGTGCTATATGAGTAACAGTTGCTACGCAGAGCAAAGGAAGGCATAATTACACTTATTTGGTTGTAGATAGGGTTTCAGGAAAAAATAAAGATTACAAAAAAGTAACTATTTTAAATATATCCTACAAGACCCCATTTTTAACAGAGTGGTGGAGGCCAGTATTTGCATTCTGGGCAAACATAACAACATAAGCTAAAAAACAGAAATGGAGAAGTGTGGCAAGGTGGCACATGCCTATTGTCCCAACTGTCGGGAGGCTAAGGCAAGGGGACTGCTTGAGGCCAGTAGCTCAAGGCTGCAGTGAGCTATGATCACACCACTGCACTCCAGCCTAGCCAATAGAGACCGTGTCTCAAAACACACACACACACACACACACACACACACACACACACACACACACATTGGGTGGCTTATAAGCAACAGAATTTCTTACTGTTATGGAGACTGGGAAGTCCAAGAGCAAGGTGCTGGGAAATTCAGTGCCTGGAGAGGGCTTGTTTCCTCACAGATGGCCATCTTCTCACTCTAACCTTATGTAGTGCAAGGGATGAGGGATCTCTCTGGGGCCTCTTTTATAAGGGCATTAATTCCATTCATGAGGGCTCTCATGACCCAATCATTTCCCAAGGGCCCCATCACTAAATAGCATCACCTTGGGCGTTGGGATTTCAACATATGAATTGCGGGAGGAGTCACAAACATTCAGACGATAGCAGAAAGCTTGAGAGAAGTGCAGAAAATACCAAGCACATCAGTGTAATATAAGTAGGGAGTAAGAGTAAGAGATTAAGGCTGGAGAGGTAGGTTGGAGGTCATACTGAACTGGAGGTTCAGGTCAGGGGGTCCTGAATCCTAGAGTAACGAGTTTGTACTTTACTTGGTTAGGCAAGTAAGAGAGTGACATGAGCATAAGTCCATTTTAGGAAGAATAAACTGGAAGGAATACAAGAATTGGTTTGGCAAGGAAAGAGTCTGAAAGAACAGTCCAAATGCTAATATAATTCTCTAAACGAGATGTATTAAGGACCCAAATTAGGGCTGACAGCATTGGAAACAAAAGGTACCCAATTTCCCACACATATCAAGGGTAAACTTTGTATCTGTAAACTTCATCAGAGAAAGTACTGTCATACCTCCTCCTCATATATTCTTTTTGAATAAAAAGGTTTTGTTTTGTTACTAATACTCTCTAAAATACATATATTGTGCATGAGTCTCTTAGAGAACACAATCAAGATAGTAAAATAAGCAATTAAGGTGGCATGCCCACTGAAACTAAATAGTATTCTGAAATGTCACACAATTTAATTTGAGCTTCTACCCGGATCTCAAGGACTAGCATGTAAGGCAACTTCTTAGAAAAGACCTTTTTCCAATGATTAAAAAATAATTTTAGGCCGGGCGCAGTGGCTCATGACTGTAATCCCAGCACTTTGGGAAGCCAAGGTGGGCAGATCACCTGAGGTCAGAAGTTAAGAAACCAGCCTGGCCAACACGGTGAAGCCCTGTCTCTACTAAAAATACAAAAATTAGCCAGGTGTGGTGGCAAGAACCTGTAATCCCAGCTACTTGGGAGGCTGAGGCAGGAGAATCACTTGAACCCAGGAGGCAGAGGTTGCAGTGAACCACAACTGCAGCACTGCACTCCAGCCTGGGCAACAGAGCAAGACTCCGTCTTGAAAAAATAAAATAAAATAAAATAAAAATAATTTCATACTTTAGGATTAAAAAATAAATTGCCATTCCATTGTGAAGTCTGTCAAAGAACTCAAATTGTATAACGATCAAACACAATCCTTTCATTATGGTCTCAATCCTGAAATTGTTCATTGCTATTCCTCCCTGTCCCATGCTCCTCATTTATCTAAAAGAGCAGTTAAAATCAGTTACATAGACAGAATCCAAGAATACTAAAATGGAAAAAGATGTTACAAATTCATTTTTTCCACTTCATTTTTTTCTTGAGGAAACTGAAGTCAAAACGTCACAATGCAAGTTAGAGGCAGAACAGGGATTACCAGCTGGTATTTTTCCCCGATAGATGCGTCCAAGAAGGCACTATTTCAAAGATAATTAAAAATGTTAAAATGGGCAAACTAGTAACAACAATCATTCCATATTTTAAAATAATACTTACTGCAAAATGCCTCTAATGTTACTGCAATTCTACAAGACTAGGATAAACCAAAAACAAAGTCTCTCTGTAGAAAAGGCCTTACAACCACTTTCCTGCAGAGAGAGACTTTTGAAACAGTTAGCAGACATGTGCTGACTGACCTCATTTGTAAAGCTGATACACATAGACAAAGAATCTCCAAATTAACTAAGTGCCCAGCTATTTAAAACAGCTCAGTCATTAACCACTCAACTTCCCAACTTAGTCCCCTAAAAATAGCAGGCTGTGGGTAGATGAATGGTTCACCAGATGCATGCAAGATAAAACAAAGGAATAAACAGTCCCAATCTTTTGGAGATGAAATATTATACCCGACCACTAGAAAAGTGTGGCAGCTTTGAAATGGTAGTTCAAGACTCTTAACTTTGGAATCCCAAGTCAAGGCTTTAATCATTTTGATAACTACCAAATGAGCTCTATTGGATGTATATGAAACTACTTCAAGTTCTGACAAAAAAATAGGAGGGAAATGGTGAAAGAAAACCAAGATAATATACAAGATCAGAAAGAACACTATATAAGACCCAGGATCAACATAAGGACATCCGTCTCACTTTCTAGTACATTCTCTAACATTGACAACATCAAGGACCTTTTCCAAGTTTCCCTACTGTGCACCCCATGATGAAACATACTAACAAATATTAATTCATTTTCATTATTTTTAAAATATCGAAGACATAGCCTTTTCAATCTGCCCAGCATGAGAATGTCAGTATTAACCACAATAGTTGACTACAGCCTAAAAGCAAAGATATTTGGCATGTTTGTACAATTTAGCACTTTTATTTTTATTTATTATTTATTTATTTATTTATTTATTTTGAGACAGCGTCTTGCTGTGTCACCCAGGCTGGAGTGCAATGGCTCTATCTCACCTTACTGCAACCTCTGCCTCCTGGGCTCAAGGGATTCTCCTGCCTCAGCCTCATGAGTAGCTGTTATTATAGGCACGTGCCACTATGCCCGGCTAATATTTGTGTTTTTAGTAGAGATGGGGTTTCACCCTGTTGGCCAGGCTGGTCTCGAACTCCTGGCCTCAAGTGATCTACCTGTCTCAGCCTCCCAAAGTGCTGGGATTACAGGCGTGAGCCACCATGCCCATCCTGTACAATTTAGCACCTTTACTGGAGATAAATGCATTATAAATTTCCACTGTTTTTTTGGAATACTGAAAATTTAGAATAATTGTTTTAGTGTCAGTAGCTTGTCCTTGAATAAAACTACTACCTCTAGAGGAAATACATTAACGGACAATCAAAATTACATCCTAGGAGCTATCACTACAATAATAACATAAACAACCCAAAAAAGAACCATTTGTTAATATTGTATATAGTGTCCTTTGTTGCAAATAATTTCCATTTTATAGTGAAATCATATGCTACTATATAGGTCAAAATTTTATATAGCTGATTGAAACTTGAAAATTCAATATGGCTGAGGGACACATAATTATCTAACAAACTATTCAGATATTTTTCAAACACAAATGTGATACTTATTCAGGATAAATGTGATACCAAATATATAATAAAGTCACTATAATTTCCAAATCAGATTTCACTGAAAGCGTATAACCAAATCGGAACTTAAAAGTTCACTCATAGTTATGAAGAGATTTGGCAATGCACTGTCAGGTACTGTCACACATTATCTTCTCTAATCTTCATAATAGATATTAACTCCTTGTTTCAGAAGAGGAAACAATGTTTTCTAAGAGCTTAATTAAACAACAACAAAAAAGGGTGCTGAGTAAGTACTACTGGACAACTGAATGCACAGGTGAATAGACCTTGGTTCTACCCCCAAAAAGCTCAGCATCCAAAAAAAGCTGTCAAAATTAACCACAAAATGTAAAACAATTTCACAATTGCATGTAACATACTTTTTTAAAAACTCAGCCACCTTTGTAGAATAAATAAAAATACAATGTCAATAAAGCAAGATAACTACAAGGGGGCATCTGGGTTATTTTTTTTCTTTCCTGTTTCAAGTTGTTAAGTGAAATGACACTGCCTTAACGGTTGTTTGTCTTCACCAAACTAGAAAACACAGAGTCCTCTGGCCTAAGTACAAAACCTTTGATGGTCCAGTAAAGAGCCCTCCATTGGTGCTCTTCAATTTGCAAATTAGGCCTTAAATTCTACTGAAGATCATCATCTGATTAAAAATAAAAAAATCAAGCACCATTTCCTTTGAGAAGTAGCTGAATGTTCATGGTATGGCCAACTTGTGTGATACAACATCAATTAAAACAGAGTCTGTCTAGCCTTAAGAATTTTACTATCTGGTAGTGGAGATGACAGAGGAACAGTAGTTAACAACCTTAGTGTTTCTAGGTGCTTACATAATTCCATCTCAAGACAGGTTAAATGTGACAAGAGGGAAAAAAGCAAATAGTTACAAGTGTCCACAGAAAGGAGGAAGTGATCATAACCAGTACTTAGGAAACAGGGATTACAGAGACAAAGGCAGAGTGCTAGGCAAGTACAAGATTCAGTCACGGACCAACAGGGAGTGGAGCACATTGCACCAGGCGCAAAGAGTATTCACCTAGCAAATAATTACAGGTAAGCTTTTAAAGATAAGAAGTGAGCATGAATAACTGTGAATGCCAGGCGAAAAAATGTGATCAAGTAAGATGACTTTGCAGCAACACAACTGCTCACTCCCTCCCCTTCTTGAAATACTCTCAAGTTTCCAGGTATCAGAGTGTCCTGGTATTCCTCATACCTCTCTAGCACCTTCTTCTTAGTCTTCTTCGCCCGCTCGAAATCAGTGGTACTCGGTACTCAAGACGTGGTTCCTGAACCGGCAGCATCTGTATCACTGAAAGAGTGGGCCTCACTCAGACATAATCAAAAGTTGGGGACCAGGCTCAGCACTTCTGTTTTACCAAATCCTCTGAATGTTTACAATGAACACTAATGTCTGAGACCAATGCACTATAGGAGTCCTTCAATGAGCACCTTCTCATTCTACACTCTCCCTACATCCATCCTCTCCCAGGGCTTTAAATAACAGCCAGGGCTCACTAATCAATCAGAAGTACCATCTCTAAGCCCAAACACCTTTGCTGAGTTCCAGACGACATACCCAGCTTCCCATTTGATATTTCCTCTCAGATATCTCATCCAAACACATCTCTAAACATGTCTGAACTACTGGCTGTCCTCCAAACACCTCAAAAAAAAAAAAAAAAATCTGTTCCTTCCTTATGTTCCCAAACGGTACTTTCACCTGAGAGATACATAAGCAAGTAATTCCTAACACTTCCTATGACCACCACAAGGTCTTCCCATTTAAGCATTATCATCTTCATCCCCACTGTCATCATTTTAACCTTATAATTTGTATACCTCTCTATACAGCAATCAGCATGATCTTGTAAAAATACAAATCAGAGCATGTCACTGCCCCAATTCAAACCCTTCAATAGCTTCCTGTTGCATTTCAGATAAAACCTAAACTCCTCAGCATGGTATACTAAGCCCCGGACCCTGGTCACCTTGCCAACATCATCTTGGATCTCTCTTACATGTGATTCATTCATTGTAGTCCACAGCTCTGAGCATATTTCAGTTTCTGAAACTTCCTTCCCTCACACAGAGACTTCAGTCTTCATGACATACTTCAAATCACCCCAACCTCACACCTCTGTTTTTACCTAACTTTCTTCATCCTTCAGGTTTCTGCTAAAAGATCAAAAAGGCCTTCCTTGACCCCCCAGTCTAAACTGAATTCTCTCATAAAACCCTGAGCATTGTCTTCACGACACATATAAAAAATTTTAACTATAGTAACTTGGTGATTTTTGTTGGCTTGTTTAGCTTTTACCTTCCACACTAATCTGTAAGTTTCATAGGCCAGAAGAATACCTCCACTATTGTCCTCTACTATGTTAAGTAGCACCTAGCAGTGCTTAGCACACCAAAGGCATTTAATGAAGTTGTGTAGTAGTAACAGTTGTTGATATTTTTATTCGATCCTTCCCTTTTTTCTATCCTCTCTATCTTCTCTTCGGAATGTGAACTTACAAGTTACTGGGCAGCCACAGATGCTTTCTGCAAATGAGATATAATGCTTAAATCTATCATTTCCCTACTAATTTATAGTGCAAAATCAGATGTATAGTACAACCTTCCTGAAAAATTAACAACGAGAACTGGCTAATACTTAGCTTATCTAAGCATTTAACTCTAAGAGAAATACTGAGCTATTTTTAAAGAACCCTGTAGTAAATTCCTGGCCTCCAATTACTAACAATCCAATAACCCCCAACACCCATCTCAGTAAATCTTACCCACATCACCATATTCACACTATCATTCCTACCCAGCCCCCATAACCTCGTGATTACATTATCTCAACAAGTTATCTCTGCTCTCCCAGTCTCAACACCCCATTTTAGGTCCATTTTGTACCAAGGACATTTAGGGAAAACAATGTCCCCTACTCAAAAACCAACTTATTATCAATCAGTATTAAATTCCTCAGACTAGCACCAAAGGCTTGTTATGGTGATGCATGTGGTCAACAAGCCAACCCCAGGTTTTAGTAAAAACTTGGAAGGTTACATTGAATTAATTATATGAGCCTGACAATTTGTCACTGTTTGAAGCTAAAACCAACATACCGCTCTCCCTCATTTCTACAGACCAAAGCTGGGATCTGCTTAGTACAGACTCCTAAACATGTTTTTGAGAAAAAAAACATGAACTGCCTCACTATGTTATCAGTCCTTTAAACTTTGAGGAGGAACTAAAAAGGTGCAAGTTCTATTTTCAAACACTTATGTGCTTGACTACAAAGACATTATGATACAAAGTATATAATGTTTCAGAGAGAAAACTTTAACAGTTTAGTTATAACATACAACCTACCCCTGAGAATCTGCTTTTCAAATTATAGACATAATATGTGCATATACATATCTACCTATAACAAAGGTTGCTCCTCATTAGTTGAGGATACTATATTTACAAATTCATCTACTCACTAACATTTATTTGTATCCCCAAAATCATTACTCATAGCACTTCCACTGTCATTGCAGACATGTGCACAATGGTGAAAAATGTGAGTCTACTGACGTGCACATTCTAGTTTCAGCTTACATAGTGTAAACAAGTGTCCTTTTCATGGTCTATTTAGTGCCATGTTTTTCTCATTTTTGTGCTTGCTATTGGTGATTTCACTGTTGAAAACAGTCCCTAAGCGTAGTGCTAAAGTGCTGTCTAGTGTTCAAGGAGCAAAGACTACAGAGAAAATACAAGTGTGAGATAATCTTCATTGAGGCATGATTTACAGAGCTGTTGGCCATGATTTCAATGTTAATAAATCAACCAAATATATTAAATAAGGTGTATTTAAACTGCAACAGACATAAAACAAGGTTGTATCTTGATCAGTTGACAAAAATGTTGTGAACAGCAGCTTTCAGGAATCTAACACCATAGTAGGAGCAGTGGTTCAGTGTTTGCTAATCCAGTTTTCACGGTGACTTTTTGCAACATAACTAATTATATAAAAATAACAACAGAGAGACGGACGGATTTATTAAAAAGACACTGCAGAGGTCATTATGAGTAAACTACCAATGTTTGCAGGAGCATGGCAAAAACACTTCAGGGCACAGTATCTACTGAGTCTTCCTGGCTCTGTTTAAACAACTTTGGGCCAAAACAAAAAATGCAAAATCTACCAAGTCTGTGCTTTGGTCTATCTTAGCTTCTACCGCTTTGCCTACTCAGTGGTATCCCTCTCCCCAAATCAAGTACTCTAAACTTGAATGCATTTTCACAAGTACATGACCCAATCTTATGATCAGGCAGACCCATCAATTATTGATTAATCACGCTTAAATGCGAACTAGACTTGTGCTTAAACATCTTGTCTAAATTGTGGCACTATTTATTAGGAAGGGAGAGGGGATATTAAGCATCTGAAATAAGACCGGCCAGGATCAAAATTAAACTGATTATACATAGACAATTCCAGTTGTGTGGGTGATGGAGACAGAAAAAATACACAAGGAAAGAAAACCTAGGCCTTGGCCTCCCTTCTAGGAAATTAAAGCTGGGGTGTAGGATGGAGAAGTTTCATCTTCTAAAAGGA
This sequence comes from Homo sapiens, assembly GCF_000001405.40. Taxonomy (NCBI): domain Eukaryota; kingdom Metazoa; phylum Chordata; class Mammalia; order Primates; family Hominidae; genus Homo; species Homo sapiens. The sequence continues at coordinate 78,778,510 of NC_000004.12, read as the reverse complement.
TTTCTTCAGTCCTTGCTTCCTCCTAGCATTTGATTATTGACTTTTCAAGAGAAATGATACATTTATGGCAAAAGTCAGTGGAACACTCTAACAGTGACATTAGCGCTTGAAATAAACTTTTATTCTTCGTTGTGGTTGAACGAACTCTCCTTTTGAAATTCATCTTTATTACTTTCCAAAATTATTTTTTTATTGAAAATGGCTTGCTTAGGGTAGTGATAAGATATGCTTAGGGTAGTGAGTAATACAAGTTACAAATTCAAAATCTAATTTGTGAAATGTCAGTATTTTTTTTCTATTAAATAAAAGACCCATCTGGGATTTAGTGGAATGAGTGAGTGTAACACTACTCAAGCTACATTTCAATTAGTTACTAAAACAATTCAAAGACAGAATATGGCATTTGAGTGAAGAGCCATGTGCTTTTAAAACCTACAACACAATCTAAACCAATAATTGAAATTCATGTGTAATAAAGAGCTAGAAAACTTTATAGTATAGTAAATCTTTTATAAAGACCACTCACCACATATTCATTCTTCTGAAAAACTAAGGATCCTCCTTCTCCCACCTCTCCAAGTTTCGGCTAAGATCATTATTCTGAGCAATGGTTCACGAAACAATGATATGTACACTTGAATAATTCACGATTTCTTTCTCTTTCAAATATTTTATACAAAAATCTTCAGGTTTTTTCCCTTGTGCTAATTTACTGTTGTGTATAGCATTTCAAAAAATACAAGCGGAATCTCAGTCTACTGTTTTCAAACCACATCAACGTCTAACGCTCGGAGAACTGAATCCACTCTTCGATTTTTTTTATCTTAACCATAGAACTTAAAAGGGCCATTTATCAACAAAAAGTATTTCTTTTAAAGTGTTTATTTTGTAGTATCATTTTGCAACTAAAAACTCAAAGGCCAATGAAGCATGCAGCACACAGGGCAAGTATTTTCTACAAGGCAATTATGCCAGAAATACAAAACTAAATTCTAAGTTCTTCTTTTAAAATGGAGTAAACTTTTTTTGTAAGTAGACTTCTACCTGCCGTCATAACCTGTTCCAGATCATGAAGGACCGACCACAAAACCTCGTTAAGTGAAAGTTAACCTGCTTTTATATCACCTTTTAAACTACTATCAAAGAGACATACTGGGAGGGCATGAATAGCACCTTGTCCAACAGAGAAGATTCTAAATAACAAAGATAAATGGGCTCCAAGTTTACCTGCTCCTCAGTGCAACCTACTAACTGAATTTAGAGCAAAGGATCACCTCCAACACGCACACATGCACACAAATACATTGTTTTTCAACAGATGACTGAGCTGCAGCAAAGCCCAGCTTGACACCAGGGGCTGCAGGGTCCTATGCCCTGCAGCGCGGGTGGAGGCTTAGATGAAAAGGCCAACGCATGACACCCGTCTGAGCCACAGCTGGCAGAACGGAGCTTCAACCCTGTTCGATCTGACCCTCTAATGAGTCACTGGCCCAATCGTAACACCAACCCACTTCCTAGCCCGTCTACTACCTATTTTCTCGCGTCAAAAAGCACAGAAAATGATTTAAACTAGGCATGAGAGAACTGTGCACCGGCCGGGGCAGCCAGCGGCAAGAAAAGCCAGCTTAAGAGAGAAAGCCCGAGCCACTCTTTAGGAGCCCCCGCTGGCCCGGCAGCAGAGGAAGAATGGGGTATAAGAGTCAGTCCGGAGGGCGAGGACCCGGAGAAGCCGCCGCCACACCCCAACCCTCCCTCACCTGCCTGTCCGAGCCTCCCCGGGCGCCCGTACCTTCGGCCAGCGACTCTTCCAGGGTGACCTGGTGGCGGCCGACCGCGAACACCCGGACCCCCACGGACGAGCCGCCGGAGCCGCAGCCGGCCCCGGCCCCGGCCCCGCCAGCCCCGCCACCCGCCGCTCCGCCGCCGCTGCCGCCCTCCGACTTGGGCATCCGAGAGAACTTCTTCATGGTCCCGCCGGCGAGCTGGAGGGCGCAGGGAGCGTGCAAGGGCAAGTCCCCGGCCCGGCGCGCAGCCGGGCGTCCGCGAGGGGTCGCCGCCCCTGGCCCGTCCGAGCGTGCTGCGGCCCGCCAAGCCTCACATTCCGCGCTCCCCAAGCGCACAGCCTGGGCCCCGCCGCCCGCTCCGCGGCTCCGCTGCAGCTGCCCGGCTCCCGCAGAGGGCGGTGGGGAGGGCGGGGACGGGGCGGGGCGCGAGGGGGCGGGTCCGAATCCAGGGGCGACGCCGCCGCCTCCGCCAGTGCCCCGGGCGTCCCGCCGCCTCACTAAGCGCCTGGAGCGCGAGCCGGGGTAGAGGAAGAGAGCGAAAGAGGCTGGGCGGCCGGCCCCTCCAGGGAGTGGGCTAGACGTCTCAGGCCACAAACCCGCAGGACCGCAGCCCGTCGCGCCGCCGCCGCCCCGGCCGAACCCGCGCCGCCCGCCACTCGTGGCCGTTGGCGGGGGGGGGGGGGGGGCGCTGCTGCCAACCGCTCACTGAGGCCGGGCGACCCGCGCAGGCGCGCTGCCCGCGCCGCCGGAAGTGACGGTTCCGGCTCTTGTCACGTGGAGGGGGACCAAGGGAGGTGATTGTGGGGGTTGGGGACTAGGGCAAAGTCGGGGGTCCCGGGTCCGGGGTTGCGCCGGGAGGGTACTGGCCAGGCCCGACTTCAAGCAGGGAGGTGGCCCGGGACTGGCTCCCGCGCTGGTCACGCACCGGGGTCCGTCATCTCGACCGGGAGTCGCTGTGCCACTCTAGGGGCTTAAAAATGCCGCCAACAACTTTACCCCTGCTGAGGAACTTCTCGCTTCGTTTCTTAGCCAGTTTTCCAGGCCTTCTCCCTTGAGAGTCTCCTTCCGCTCGCCCACCCTGAGCGTAGGAGGTGGGAGCAGGACGGAACTGGAGTGGATTCCAGTAACTGGACTTCTAAACCGGCTCGGTGTCGTCGCGCTCTGTAGCGGACGCTTGTGCTGGGAAGCGTTTTGCAGTTTATAAATTACTTAGGAGTACTTTAAACATCTCACGCCTGCTGTACCACAGCCATGTGGGGGTATTCAGAACAGGTATTAAGGTCGTTTTGCAGACCATTCATCACTCTTGGCTAAAAGAACTTAACGGAGTCGCCCAAGGTCACACAGCTGGCTCGTGGTAATTGGGGACCATTCTTTGATTCATAATTTTGTGCTTTTGGCCACCCTGAAAAAGTAAGGTCAGATCGTTGAAAAACGGGCAGATTTAAGGCTGTTTGGAAGCAAAAGCGACCACTGCGTTCCCCTCAAATCAAAGAGATTTGCACCCCCTACCAAAAAAAAAAAAAAAAAAAAAAGCCCTGTTGTATCAATTTCATAAACTGCAGGAGTCTCCCGACTGCAGGGTGAAGCAACAAAATAAATATGGGTGTAAAACATTCAGGAGTGGTAGGGAATGGCAAACTGTAGAGCCTGTGTAAAGAGAGCAGCCAATTCTCAGCTCCAGCCTACTTTTCCACAAAAGAAGATAGGCACACACACTGTGCCCAGAGGTTCCAGTTTCTTAAGAGAACCAAAAACCTGGAACTGTTTTCTAATGTGGCATTTCCCTAATTTTTAAAATATAGATCAAATAAATTGTATCTGCAGGACTCCAGTATGCACCTTCTATGAAAGTAGATGAATGTGGTTCTATCCCCACCCCTATTTCTTTATTCTTTTTAATGAGATAACGGGTAGAAACATTAGAAAATGTGCTTAGACAAAAACTTTGAACTTAAAATCCTTGTTCTTTCTTCCCTGCTATTTGAAGAGAAGCTATTTCTGCCAACACTAAAATAGTGCTCTGGATTTAGGCATTTCTGCTACATAACCCACTAAACTAAAATTCTTCATCCAGAGACCTGACGTTTAAAGTAGATTCCAGCTTAGTGGAAGTGAGATTATATGTCAGATGATTGATGTGGTGTGGCAGTTGGGGATTTCCATTTAGAAACAAGCTGACCACTTTCGTTGCTGTGGGGCTTCATTGTGGAGTCTCATTCCTAAATTTGAATTGTTTTTTAAGCAGAATAATGGAAAGATTAAGTCATTTCATGCAATTCAAAACTGGAGTCAGACAAACATACAAAGTTTGGGCCTGATATAACTTCACCTGATCACAACAAGCCTGCTATAATAAGTTTCAAAGTTAGTTTACGAGGATCACTTGAGGCCAGGAGTTCAAAACCAGCATGGTCAACATAACAAGACCTCATCTCTTTAAAAAAAAAAAAAAAAAAAATTAAAAATTAGCCAGGTATGGTGGTGGTGCACCTGTAATCCCAGCTACTCAGGAGGCTGAGGCAGGAGGATCGCTTGAACCAAGGAGTTCAAGGCTGCAGTGCGCTATGATGGCACTGGTGCACTCCAGGCTGGGTGTCTCTTAAAAACAAACAAAAGTTTGACCAGTCAAAGTGGCTTGCACCTATAATCCCAGCACTTTGGGAAGCCGAGGTGGGTGGATTGCTTGAACTCAGGAGTTCAAGACCAACCTGGGCAATATGGTGAGACCTTCCATCTCTATCAAAAATACAAAAATTAGCTGGGCTTGGTGGGGTGGCGCAGGCCTGTGGTCCCTGCTACTTGGGAAGCTGAGGTGCGTGGATCACTGGAGCCAAGGAAGTCGAGGCTGCAGTGAGCCATGATAGCATCAGCTGCACTCCAGCCTGGACAACAGAGGAAGACACTGTCTCTAAGTAAATAAATAAGTCAATTTACAATTAATGTGGTAAAGATTACTTGTATGTACCAATGTAACTTGACTTTTGATATTGAAATGTATAATTATAATAAATGTATAATTAAATGTGTAATAATGTATAGACCCCCTCTGAAAGACGAGGGTAACACCAAGCAATATGTTCTTTGATTTTTCTCACCAAGCATGTGACAAAATTTGGATATCCTCCCATCTTTATAGTACGTTAACGTCACAATATTCTGTAACACTCAATAACAAACATATAACTTAAAAATGCAAAGACTACTAACAATCAAAAACATTAGAAAGGTGTGGTAGTGCACACCTATGGTCCCAGCTACTCAAGAGGCTTAGGCAGGAGGATCGTTTGAGCCCAGGAGGTTGAGACTGCAGTGAGCTGTGATCACACCACTGCACTCCAGCTTGGGTGACAGAGCAAGACCCTCCCAAAAAAAAGCAAAAATGTTGTAGAGTATTTCCCCTCTTATCCAGGAAGGATACATTCCAAGACTCCCAGTAAATGCCTGAAAGTGAGGATAGTAACCAAACCATCTATATATAATGTTTTTTCCTATATATACATACCTTTGATAAGGTTCAGGGTTTAAGTTAGGTACAGTAAGAGGTTAACAACAATAATAAATTAGAACAATTATAACAATTTCGTGGATGGAAGATTCATTTTTACTGTAGATCTTAGCAACCTCAGCATATGATTTTTTTTAATTAAGTTGAGAACTTCACCTTTTCATTTAAGGAAAGCACTTTATGGCTTCTCCTTGGCATATTCGAATTGCTAGCATCATTATGCTTGCACTTGGAGCCATTAGTAAGTAAAATAAGATTCCTTGAACACAAGCACTGTGACAGTGGATCTGATAACTGGGAAGGCTACTAAGTGACAGGCAGAGAGTATAGACAGATATACTGGGCAAAGGGATGATTCACCTACCAGTCGGGCTACCCAGAACAGCGTGCAATTTAAAATTTACCAATTCATTTTTCTGGAATTTTCCATTTAATATTTTCAGACCATTGTTGACCACAGGTAACTGAAACTGAGGAAAGCGAAACTGTGGGGATGGGGGATTACTATATTACTAATAACAAGAAGGCCAAACATTTACAAACACTTTTATTACCAAAAGATATTAACATCTATTGTTAAATCATATTCTTCTAGCAAATTTGTGAAATAAGAATGTGTAACCTGAAATCAATTTTTAGGCAGAAATTGAGATATTAAGGGCAGACTGTAACCAGCAGAAAAACTATATTGAAATTTCTAGTCTTTCAGATTTCTTTGAGAAAATCTTATAGCCATATATTAATTTCTCACTCCTGCACCTTAAATTTATTTACTGGCTTATAGTAGATTAAGTATTGTAAAGACTTTCATTTTAATGACTCATGCAATTCTTGGACATAAAATACTCTTCATGAGTTAAAAACCTTTGTAATGCACTAGCTAGTGTTTAGAACAAACTAAAATGCTATGATGTGATCTGAAATTTCAAGAGGTACAAATACAGAAGTCAAATCCCAGACCCCAAAGCAAACTTTTCTATCAACATACAATATTAAACATGTAGTATCTTTCCTAATTAATATTAGACTATTAAAATGTGTGCTTATGATTTTAAGAGGTTCCATACATTTTAACCCTTAGCATTTTTAATGAGTCAACATAGTGAATATTTCTTTAAGTAAATAGATCTTTTCCAAATATTCTTTGTGTGTGTGTGTGTGTGTCTGGGTGGGTGGGTGGGTGTGTGGTTACAGTTTGATGATCTTCCCCAGCATATACTGGAAGGATTACTGAACCTAGTTGCATCACAGTATGTATACTCAGAGTGCCCTAATCACCATTATTTGGATTTGAAGCCAAAAAGAATGGGCTCAGTGGTTCTGAAGCAGAAATTTTAGTGAATACAAAGATGTGGGAAGGCCAGGCCTGGTAGCTTACGCCTGTAATCGCAGCACTTTGGGAGGCCAAGGCAGGAGGATTGCTTGAGCCCAGGAGTTCAAGACCAGCCTGGGCAATATAATGAAACCCATCTCTACAAAAGAACATTTAAAAATTAGCTGAGTGTGGTGGTGCATGCCTGCAGTCCCAGCTACTCGGGAGGCTGAGGTGGATCGCTTAAGCCCAGAAGGTGGAGGTTGCAGGGAGCCGAGATCACACCACGGCACCATTGCTAATGTTGAAAAATGATATGTTTCTAATGTCTATATCCAGGAAAACTCTCTTGTGTATTTGGAGTTCCATGCAGAAGGCAGTCTCAGGCATTGTTTTGGTGGAGACGTAGCTTCTGTTTCTCTTACTGACAGTCCAAATTCCAAGTTCTATGAACAGTTGTAACCTTTCTTGTTTTTTTTTTTGTTTTTTTGTTTTTTTTGCAAATGTCCAGATGCCATTCTTTGCATGTTCCCAACCACCTCCCAGTAGTACTGACCGGGTGAACCAAGATGAGCCCAGTGCACAAACTAATCTTTCAGTGCACTTTTTCAGCTTTTGTCTGATACTTCCACAATGGGCATTCTTCAGATGATCAGAAGTGATGAGATTATTACTGTGTCACCATCTCACGTCATATCCAGTTTTCTGGTTTATCATAAAAGATATACAACTCAGGGACAGCTGCCTAGATGGGATGCATAGGGCAAGGTACAGGAAGTGGTAGTGCACAAAGCATCCATACCTTCTCTGGGTGCACCACCCTCCCACCACCTCGATGTGTTCACCAACACAAAAGCACCATCTTCTAGTTTTACACTCATTATTAGACCATGGAAGAAAATCAGATGTGGCTTCCTGTCGGAAAATGAAATCTCTACCAAACAAAAAAAAAAATGTAGATTCTGGCCATCTTAAACAATGGCATTGAGGTGACTTACAGTCAAAATACAGATATAGATAGTTTAATAAAAGTAAAAGAATTATAATTTTATTTCAATTTGTTTTAGATATATCAATCATATATTTATAGCTGTATGACTATAAAAATAATTGGAAAGTTGCCACATAATGAAGACTCTTATTTTTAAAAATAGATTGCTTCCCTTTACACATTTCACGTTACACATTTCTGATAAAGTCAATACATCATCATAGCTAACTACAGGATTCTGAGATCCTTAAACAGGAAGAATTTTGACAATGAGGGAAGAAAGAATGATTGTTACATTTTGTTTTCTACTGGAAAAATATAACCTAACCCCCATGTATTTTGCATTAAGGTGGCTCTCAAAGACCTATGAGAAGTGAGAAAGAGTGACACAGATTAAATAAATGTGCTTATCCCAAAAGGCTTATTCCACTGCCACAGTGACCTTCATAAGTCATGTGTCCCAATAACTGATTAATCATTTTTCCTCATAAGTCAGTGTTTTCCTTTGATAACATGTCTTCTATCATCATTAGCCTCACTGTGTTTTACTGTTAAGAATAATTATTTTTCCTCGGCCAGGCATGATGGTTCATACCTATAATCCCAGCACTTAGAGAGGCAGAGGCACGAGGATCATTCGAGGCCAGGAATTTGAGACAAACCTGGGCAACACAGTGAGACTCTGTCTCTACAAAACATTTTTTTTAACTTTTTTAAAAGAATATTTTTCCTGGCTAACATTATTACATTATACCAAGTTAAATGTTCATGTCTTTGCTTTCCAAAAAAGTAAAAGTTCTAAGGTCTATTAAAAGAATATATATGCCTCCATTATCAAAACAAATGTTTTTAAGATATCAGTAATATTTAAATCCTCTGTTAAAACTACTCAATATCATCACTATACCTTGTAAAAATTCATATATACCTAAAAAAAATCAATCTGATTGTATAGTGCAAAATACCAAGATACTCACAAATATTCTTAACAGGAAATATGACTCATTTGACATGAAATACAATTCTATGATAGAGTTTTGACTATGCTTTTAAAACAGCTTGACCATGCTTTTAAAAAAGACTGCAGGATATAGGCATCTTCACCACCAAGAGAGGCGCTTTCTTCCTTACCCAGCAAATGGAGTGGCAGATAGGGGAGTTCTGCACCTTGTCCTCACACCTCATGACAGGGATAGCTTTCTCCCTAGAGAAGTATCTGTCCTAGAGAGTAGGATTACAAACACATTTCTGGATATGTTCCCGCCCTCCCTCTTCTTTTTTTTTTTTTTTTTTTTTTTTTTTTGAGATAGAACTTGCTCTGTTACCAGGCTGGAGTGCAGTGGCGTGATCTTAGCTCACTGCAACCTCTGCCTCCTGGGTTCAAGCGATTCTCCTGCCACAGCCTCCCAAGTAGCTGGGATTACAGGTGTGTGCCACCATACCCAGCTAATTTTTGTATTTTTAGTAGAGAAAGGGTTTCACCATGTTGGCCAGGATGGTCTCGATCTTCTGACCTAGTGATCCACTCGCCTTGGCCTCCCAAAGTGCTGGGATTACAGGCATGAGCCACGGCACCCAGCCCTCCCTCTTCTTTATAGCCCTGCATTACCTTCCTGTAGAAAGGTAGTAACCTTTCTCCTGTTAACATTTATATAAAACTTCAGCAGAGTATAAAGTAAGAACTAATTCTTATTGGGCACTTGCAATGTGCCCGTGCTACTCTAAAGTGCTTTACATGTATTAACTCAGTAAATCTTTATGACAAGACTATACAATAGCTTCTATGATTTCTCTTACTTTGCAGAAGAGAATACTGATGCACGGAAAGATTAGGTCACAAGCCCAAGGTCTTATGACTTTAAACAGGGTTCAAAAACACCTGTTATGACTTTATGGCTCATGCTTTTAACCACACCATACGGATTCTTTGAAAATACACAATAAATGACATGATAGCTACAGTCTGAAATGATAAGGTACTTCCTGCTGTACCCTCCATCTACTTATCTTAGATGTGTGCCACCACAGCTCAGGGAACCCTGCTATAATAAGTGGGATTATGTTTAATTTCTGATTAACTGGGTATTTAAAAATTTTTTTTAATTTTTTTTTAGGTTTACACTGTTTATTTATGACAAACATTCCATATCCATGATTCTCTCCTGTCAAACATGTTTTCAGATGATGCCACTGGCCTTGGCCAATCAGAGAATGTAGTCATCTGACTCACCCATCCTGCAAATGACCTTGCAGACAGCATACGTTTTAAACTAGCCATTAAACCTGCCTGTGACCTTGTCAGCCTCCACCACGTTCATCTGGATGGATGCATGGTTCTTGGCACCGGTGACGCGGTTACTAGCAGAGACTTTCTGCCGCATGTACAGGTCCACAAGCTCGCCGCTGTCCTTCTGCATCTCAAGACTGTGCCTGCTGCCACGACACTGCGTGTGAGCAGAGAAAAGAAAACAACTGAGTATCTGTAAAATTTAACAAATATTTGCTAAATATCTAAAAAGGGTAAAGCACTGTAGATTGGGGCAGCTAGGAGGACCTGAACAAGTTGAATAAAACAAATCATGGCTTCAAAGTTTATACACTTTTGGAGTGGATAAAAGTATGTACAGGACCATGTAAGAGAGACGGAGACAAATTAGGAGTGGAGATAAGGCTGACTCTAAGTTATGTACAAATGATGGGCTCTAAGGTCATATTATTATGGTGCATTGCCTTCAAGTCTCCTCCTGGCAGTATGGTTGATGTTGTGATCTTACAAACTTCTGGAGACAGAAAAGCAGCTTTTGTCGGTTTGGAAGCAAATGAACAATCCCCCTGGAAACATATTAAATTCTACCCCAATGTGTTGAACTGATACTGAAGCTCTATACATCCATGACACACATATACACATGCAAAATAATCGATTCAAGTTACTGTAGTTACTGTGGAGGGACAGAGAAGAAGAAAGTGTTGAAGTTCAATTCAGCTTTTGCTTCAATCATTTATTAAAATTTACATCTTGTTTTACCCAGCCTTCTATCAAATGTGGTAGAGACTATTAACTGAACATGAACAGTGTGCCAAGTAGTGTGTGAACCAATTCACAATAAGAACCCATACAATGTGAAAAAAATTATGGAATTTCAGAGGTGGAAAATGATATAATCAATTGGAGAAACTGAAAGGAAGCAGAATAGAAACACTTATTGAGCACCTTGTATGTCTCAGACATTACAGTTAGCACTTTCTATATGTTACCTCTTTAATCCTCTAACAAGTGAAGTAGATTTTATTACCCCTACCTTGCAGCTCTCTACTCCAGCCAGACCTGAAACACTTTCATTTCTTACCAAGTTGTTTCAGGCCCTAATGCTTGCTTGGGTTAGAATGTCTTGTTCTTTCTCATGATCACCTGATTCAATGGGTGACTATGTGGATCTCAGGGCAACCTCCCCTCTGAGAGCTTTTCTGAGCTCTGCCACCTGCTAATCCAGGGTTAGAATGGACTAGGTTCTAATTTGTACCCCCTATACAGTTTACAGACCCTCAGAACTACATCTGTCACTTAACTACAGGGGCTTCCTTACATGCCTGTCTGCCTCTACTGAACTGTAAGAGCTTTGAGGAAAGGGAGCATGCCACAATGTTGCCTTAAAACCCAGTGTCGGTCAGGCGCAGTGGCTCATGCCTGTAATCCCAACACTTTGGGAGGCCGAGGTGGGTGGATGACCTGAGGTCAGGAGTTCAAGACCAACCTGGCCAACATGGGGAAACCCTGTCTCTACTAAAATACAAAAATTAGCTGGACATGGTGGCGTGCGCCTGTAATCTCAGCTACTCAGGAGGCTGAGGCAGGAGAATTGCTTGAACCTGGGAGGTGGAGGTTGCAGTGAGCCGAGTTCATGCCACTGCACTCCAGCCTGGGCAAAACAGTGAGACTCCGTCTCCAACAAACAAACAAACAAACAAACAAACAACAACAAACCCAGTGTCAAGCAGCATGCTTGACATATACTAGGCATTGAATAAATGAATGAATGACTTAGCCAAAAATCTAATAAGTGGTAGAGCTAAGGAGTTGAGACCAGGGTGAAATCTCAGGTCTGTCTGAAACTCCAAGGTTAGCCTATCTGCACCTAAGTTTCGGTCGTCTTTAAAAGAGGAAGAATCTAGTTTTTGTTTTCGGTGGTGGTGGTGTGGTTTTCTAAGGGGGTTTGGAGGTGGTGTGATCTATGAATATTAAATAATAATATATAATTAATACCAGTCACAGTTCTGGACACATCATAGATAATCAAGAAATGTCAGTTCCCCTCTGCTTTCCCTGTATCAACTTGTTCAAAGTTATACTTGAAGCGACAGAGTAAAGACCCAAACTACTCTACCACGCTACCCTTTCATCACAGGTGCCTCACAGATATAAGCTATTCATTCTTATTTTTGGTGAGTTTTTAGCCTTCTTAACATTTATCATTTCATTTTATTTTTTCCTGTTTTGGTGAACTTAAAATTGCGATTGTAGTTGAAAACAATGTAGGCAGACTTGAGGCAGGAAAGAGGCTTTGCCCTGGCTAAAAGCCTCCAAAGGGCAAGAACCATGGCTTTTCCATCTGTGTATATGTCTGTTCCCAGTAAGGGCTTAATAAACATTTTGCGGACTGAAGTGCATTGGCCAACTTAAGCCTGGATCATTTCCCGGATCTTTGATGCTAGTCTTAAGAGAAAAAATGCTGGCAGCTAGGAAAAAAGAAAAAAAACAAAAATCAGGAAATGGGCAACTGTTCAGTTTATAGAACTATATAAGAAAGGATATTCTGATTCTAGAGTGAAAAGCTTATGCAATAAGGTAAAATCAGGACAGCATGACCAAGAGAATGCTATAAGTAAAGTCATCAACAAGATAAAGATAGGTGAGAAACTCTGAAACTTGACAGTTGTAAATTTGAAAGCAAAGCTTGGGGATATAAAAAAAGCCTGGTCCCCACCACTCCAAACACACAAATCTGCTTTAGGATGATGATTAATTTTCCCCTGCCTAAAATATCTCACCCTTTTCACTCTTTTCGTTCTTGCTGTTTCCCTAACCTTGAACACTGTCTTTTCCTCCTCACCATCCACTTTAGGCATTTATAGCATTCCTAATTTGCTTTACCTTCTCCAAGTTTTTTCCCAACTTCCTCACTTCATAGTAATACAACAATTCTCAGAATTACCATAGCACTTTTGTCTGCATACAAAGCCTGGCATACTGTGTTCTTTAATTGGTCACTATGCATAAGTCTTAACTATGAAACAAAATGCATGCTTTTTGTTTGACTATGAAACAAAATGCATGGTTTTTATTTTTAAGTAATCCCATTGCATATGTAGCCCAATACTAGGGATATTGCAGGTGCTAAATACTTAAGTGCCTGGATAGTAAATGCCACTTTGAATTGACATTTTGAGACATGTGGGGTTTTTAAATTGCATTTTGGATTAACAGGAATAAAATGAATTAAAGACAAATACTTTGAAGGGGGAGTTACAACTGAACAGAGTCTAGATAAGCAGAGATAAATTTCTCTGCACTGGTGTTTAAAGGTAAAAAAGAAGTTCCTATTATAGATCTTTTCTTGAAAAAATCTCCATGAAGTATGAGCAGATATTACCTTAAAACAATTTTTATTATTTGTTTTCATCTTGATGAAGATCATATACCACCTTAGTGTATATTACCAGTTACAATGGAAACTATATGTACCCACTTCTTAAATTATATTACTTGCAAATTGCTTTTTATTGAATGTTTTCAATTATGCTATTTGTGTATTACCCTAAAAATAATATTTAAAGGAGTCACTCTTAAAAGGATAAGTACAGTAGTTCCCCCTTATAGGTGGTCTTACTTTCTGAGGTTTAATTGACCCGTGGTCAATCTCAGGCCAAAAATATTAAATGGACAATTTCATAAATAAACAATTCATATGTTTTAAGTTGCACACCATTCTGAGTAGCCTGATGAAATCTCATGTGATCCCACACCACTGTGAATCATCCCTTTGTCCAACATATCTATGCTCTATATGCTACCCACCCATTAGTCACTTAGCAGGCTTTTTGGTTATCAGATTGAAAAAACATAATATATAATAGGACTTGATACTATCCTTGGTTTCAGGTATCCTCTGGGAGTCCTGGAACATAGCCCCTGAGGATAAGGAGGGTACTATTATATACTTTTTAAAAGTCTTTTAGTTTTTCATACTTCAACATGACACCTTATTTCTCTTCTCTCTGTTATCTGCTGACACTAGTGGGCCTACTTATACTGACAGATAACATTTTTTCCATTTGCTGTGACAACACCCAACTAATGTTTACTGATAAACTAGCAGCAGCAAGTCAGAGCATCTACAAAATGTAAGGGGAATTTGCATTCCTGAGTTAACTTTAATTCAAACGTGAAATTGTGTAGCTAAAATAAACTCATATAATGTAAATATTTTAAAAAATTCTTGTCACTTTTACACAAATAAAATATTCTCTGTTGAATCCCCATACCGTATCCATATTATAGACAAGCACGTTCGTAATTTCTAAACTTATAAACTTTTTTTTCTTTTTTAGAGACAGGATCTCACTGTGTCACCCAGGCAGAAGTGCAGTGGTGCAATCATAGCTCACTGCAGCCTTGAACTCCTGGCCTCAAGCAATCCTCCTTCCTCAGCCTCCTTAGTAGCTGGGATTACAGGTGTGTGCCACCATGCCCAGCTAATTTTTTAACTTTTTTATAGAGATGAAGGTCTTGCTATATTGTCCAGGCTGTTCTGAAACTCCTGTCCTCAAGCAATCTTAATGCCTCAGCCTTGCAAAGTGCTGGGATTACAAGCATGAGCCACTGTGCCTGACCAAACTTATAAACTTAATATAGATATATGTATGTCTGTGTATATGAGTGTATTTAGGCAGCAATGCATTAAAATGCCCATTCTGTATTCACAGACACCAAATTCAAATTTTATGTACATATATGAACACAGTTCATCATTGAAAATGTGCCTAACAACACATTTAAATCAAAATAATTATTATGAGAAAAATTAATGTCAATATTTTGTACCAAAGAGGATTAATCATAGATTTGGCCCACTTAAACTTTGAACTTTCTGATAATAATATGACAACAAACAGGTGATCAAAACATTTAAAAATTAAGTCAAACAACTAAAATTTTTTCAAATAATTTTACATAACAATTTAATTTTCATTGAATTTATCACTTGTTTTGATAACATTGACCTACAGCCTCAAAGACATAGAGTTAGTAGGGCCAGCTACTTGGCTGGCCCTATGTACATAATTAAATTAGTTAAATATGTACTTAATGCAGGTCTATACACACACACACACACACACACACACAGCATTATACTAGTCACAGTAGGAAAATAGAAACAAGACATAGCCATATTCTTTGCCAAACATTGAATCTAGTGGGTACAGGCATGATCTCTTGTGTTAGTTGTCATCCTGTACTTTTTTTGCATTTGTTCTGCCTCTGGCCATGCATTCTTTCTTTCATTCACCATTGTTACGTTTCTCACTTATGACTTAACTATTTTGCTTCCCTATAATTATAATAACATTTGTCTAATAATGAGAATGCTAACCTTAGCAATTAAACTCCTCCTGATTGTACTCTATAGTAATGCCCTGCGTATCGGGAATAAAATTTAATTAAAATATATACTGTATGTACATTTTGGTTAAAAAATAAGTAGCTTTAAGAGAAACATCAATGTTTCAGTTTAATAAAATATATTAAGAATGCGAACACATTTCCTTATTTAAAAGAGGTTTGCTTTAAATTCTTTTTCATCAGAAGAATCCATCATCTGCAATTCTAGTGAAACATTCATTAATATTTCATGTTGTCACATCTCTCTTCAAAAAAGCAACATTAATCACTAATTCAACCAATTCAATCTACTGAATTACTAAGAATTTATAAACACATTCTAATTAGGTACTAATTAAATCTTTAAATTCTAAAACTGATTTTTTAAAAAGAACTAAAATGCAAAAACTACATTGTACTTTTAGTTATATGATTGTTTAGGGGAAGGCTTTTGTTCATACCTATCTATCAGCATACCTACAGAGTGTGTAATCAAACTCAGTTTTATAGTTATGCTTTATCTGGTAGTATGAGTATATGGATATTGTTTGTGACGGCGCTTTCAAGATAGTATGTTATCATCTTGTAAAAAATACAATTTCTTAGCCAACAAGTTTTACTGGTTGTAGTGCATGTAAAGCAATATATTTTGTGAAAGAACAGAGAAGAATATAACTTATTTCAGTGTTTTTTATTCATTGGCAAAGAGAAAAATAAAGGTTGACAATTTCACATAAGTCATATTTTCTTGAATAAAAGCATGATAGTATAAAAAGGCAATGGTGTTAGGGTGCCTAAATTCTAATGTATAATGGTTAATTTAGTAGGCTGTATGAATAATGCGTTTTAGCTCTGAAGACAAATTTAAGTTCTTAATTATGCCATTATTTTGCTTGATCTGTTTGGCATGTTAGTATCTGGCATTTGTTATTAGAAATCCAGGAAGAGCAGAAAATAAAAACTTTCTCCAGCTAGCATTTATTATGTCTCTGGCCGTATAAATGTTGGCAGAAGGGACCAATGTAAGCATGAATGGAAGACTGGCATTCAGTATCTACATACTGACTTTATATTTTTGAATCCTAATATCAGGATTCTCTTTTATAAACAATTGAGCACTTTGTCAATTCACGTTTAATTTAGGATTCATTATTCAGCACACACTTATTAAGCTAGCCCATATATGTGACTCTGCACATTGATTAAATGACTAATAAGGCACATTCTGTTTATTAAGGAATTATACTCTGATGAAGAGTTAGATGCATTCACATCTAACACAAAGCAGGTTCTGAGTGCTGCAGTAGAGGTGGGAAGTATGATAGGAGCATAGAGGGAAGGATTAATTTTAATAAGGTATTGAGCAGGATTTTATGGAGGAGGTGGCATTTGAGATGAAGAATGAAGAAGAGCTAAGATGTCAACAAATGGTGATGATGGGTCAATTCTATATGAGTGACTCCATCTGGCCCATACCTCACATCTGATCCCCATATAACCTGTTCTGCTTCATCTTTATTCCACAGCACTCATCTTCTAACATATTTTACAATGTATCATATTTATTGTCTGCCTACCCCCACTAGAATATTCTGACAGACACTTTCGTTTTGTTCACTGATGTACATTGGTGCCTACTAATTCCTGCTCATTGTAGATGCTTGACAAAGATATGTGGAATGAGTTAATGAGAGGAAAACATAAGTAAACCATTGAGGCAGAAAATGCAGATTTTTTTTCAAATAATAAAGGATCCAGTGTGGCTGTTAAGACTAGGAAAGACCTTTTCATGGCCATATAGTACAAGTGGGAAGAGTGCTTGATGCAGAAGGAAGTGGCCTAAATGCTTTTCCTTACTTTTCCACTAAACAACAAAGCCAATTTCTCTGTAGCTCAATTTCTCATTTGAGCAATTGATGATTCAACTATAATACCATGCATTTTATAAATAGTTATTGAATAAGTTAAATAAGAACCTCCAGTTCTGACATCTTTGTGATTTTTTACCATCTCCCATTTTATTTGCATATATTTTCCTTGTATTTTGGTTTTGCTGCTCTGAAATTGTACTGTCTTGCTAAAGTTGCCTCTATATCGCTTCAGTTTCTTTTTTAAAAATACTGAAGTCTATAAAGTGTATGAATCCCCTCTATCAAATAAAATGATGTTGACTGAATATGTCCAACATTTGCTGAAGTCAGATGACACCAGAACATGACATGCAATGTCAGAGTAAATACAGGCTACTCTCAGCTGCTACATCAGTTTTTATTGTTCCAAATTGCATCAACCTATGGGAAAAGGGATGGTCTTAGAGACAGACCTAAGCAGGCTATAATCACTAAAAATATAATTTATGGTGTGATAGTGGGTTAGGTGTTCATTTTGGAAATTTGCATTGTGAATAAATTCACATCCCTCCTATTTCTGTCCTTCACAGTGTCATTTATTCACCCATCTGTCTTCTAGTATTATTTAACTGTTTTGTTTTGTTTTGTTTTGTTACTTTTTTTAGAGACAAGTTCTGGCTCTGTCACCCAGGCTGGAGTGCTGTGGCTTGACTGATCAAAGCTCACTACAACCTTAAACACCTGGACTCAAGTGATCCTCCCACATCAGCATCCCAAGTAGCTAGAACTAGAGGTGCACACCACCATGCTTGGGTTCTTCCCATATTTTTCTGTGGCAGGTCAATATTTAGTGGTATCATGAGCTATGTTTGTTCATTACTAAGTCAGCTTTGTCCAAAAGACTTTCACATATGCTCAAAATGTTCTGTATCTGCACAGTCCAATATGGTAGCCACTAGACTACCATTACATTGAGCACTCAGAATATTGCTAGTATAACTGAAGAACTGGATTTTTTCTTTTGTTCAATTTTATTTATTTTATTTATTTATTTTTATTATACTTTAAGTTTTAGGGTACATGTGCACAATGTGCAGGTTTGTTACATATGTATACATGTGCCATGTTGGTGTGCTGCACCCATTAACTCGTCGTTTAACATTAGGTATATCTCCTAATGCTATCCCTCCCCCCACCCCCCACCCCAAAACAGGCCCTGGTATGTGATGTTCCCCTTCCTGTGTCCATGTGTTCTCATTGTTCAATTCCCACCTAAGAGTGAGAACATGCAGTGTTTGGTTTTTTGTCCTTGCGATAGTTTGCTGGGAATGATGGTTTCCAGCTTCATCCATGTCCCTACGAAGGACATGAACTCATCATTTTCTATGGCTGCATAGTATTCCATGGTGTATATGTGCCACATTTTCTTAATCCAGTCTATCATTGTTGGACATTTGGCTTGGTTCCAAGTCTTTGCTATTGTGAATAGTGCTGCAATAAACATATGTGTGCACGTGTCTTTATAGCAGCATGATTTATAATCCTTTGGATATATACCCAGTAATGGGATGGCTGGGTCAAATGGTATTTCTAGTTCTAGATCCCTGAGGAATCGCCACACTGACTTCCACAATGGTTGAAACTAGCTTACAGTCCCACCAACAGTGTAAAAGTGTTCCTTTTTCTCCACATCCTCTCCAGCATCTGTTGTTTCCTGAATTTTTAATGATCGCCATTCTAACTGGTGTGAGATGGTACCTCATTGTGGTTTTGATTTGCATTTCTCTGATGGCCAGTGGTGATAAGCATTTTTTCATGTGTCTTTTGGCTGCATAAATGTCTTCTTTTGAGAAGTGTCTGTTCATATCCTTTGCCCACTTTTTGATGGGGTTGTTTGTTTTTTTCTTGTAAATTTGTTTGAGTTCATTGTAGATTCTGGATATTAGCCCTTTGTCAGATGAGTAGATTGCAAAAATTTTCTCCCATTCTGTAGGTTGCCTGTTCACTCTGATGATAGTTTCTTTTGCTGTGCAGAAGCTCTTTAATTTAATGAGATCCCATTTGTCAATTTTGGTTTTTGTTGCCATTGCTTTTAGTGTTTTAGGCATGAAGTCCTTGCCCATGCCTATGTCCTGAATGGTATTGCCTAGGTTTTCTTCTAGGGTTTTTATGGTTTTAGGTCTAATGTTTAAGTCTTTAATCAATCTTGAATTAATTTTTGTATAAGGTGTAAGGAAGGGATCCAGTTTCAGCTTTCTACATATGGCTAGCCAGTTTTCCCAGTACCATTTATTAAATAGGGAATCCTTTCCGCATTTCTTGTTTTTGTCAGGTTTGTCAAAGATCAGATAGTTGTAGATATGTGGCATTATTTCTGAGGGCTCTGTTCTGTTCCATTGGTCTATATCTCTGTTTTGGTACCAGTACCATGCTGTTTTGGTTACTGTGGCCTTGTAGTATAGTTTGAAGTCAGGTAGCGTGATGCCTCCAGCTTTGTTCTTTTGGCTTAGGATTGACTTGGCGATGCGGGCTCTTTTTTGGTTCCATATGAACTTTGAAGTGTTTTTTTCCAATTCTGTGAAGAATGTCATTGGTAGCTTGATGGGGATGGCATTGAATCTATAAATTACCTTGGGCAGTATGGCCATTTTCACGATATTGATTCTTCCTACCCATGAGCATGGAATGTTCTTCCATTTGTTTGTATCCTCTTTTATTTCATTGAGCAGTGGTTTGTAGTTCTCCTTGAAGAGGTCCTTCAGGTCCCTTGTAAGTTGGATTCCTAGCTATTTTATTCTCTTTGGAGCAATTGTGAATGGGAGTTCATGTTCAACTTTAATAAATTTAAATGTAAATACTCCCATATAGTTACCAGTTCTACCCATTGGACAACACAGATCTAGATATTGTTCTTTCAGAAGGTTCAGTAATAACTATCTAGTTATTTAACATTTGTAAGGAATAAAATATATTACAGGAGCTTCTATATCTAGGAAGACAAAGCAGAGGTGCTTTTTTCTATTGCTGTTTCCTTATTTTCCCCTGAACATTATATATAAAACAAACATAAGAAGACTCTGAAAGGTGGAGAGAGGGCAGACCTGCTAGGGACCTTTGGACCCATGGAACAACATAGCAGTGAGTTTACTGGATTTTAGTTTTTGTTTTTTTTTTCTCCTTATATATTCTAGACTTAAAGCTGAAGAAGCAAGCAACCTAGGATGACAATGGCCAAGACCAAAAAAGCTTACTTTCTCTAGCCAAAGGACCAGGAAATAGGTACCCTCGTAAGGCAAAAATTTTTGACACTGATTGCTGTACTTCAGTCAAACTGTGACCCCCATCCCCACCCATATCAGTAAAAGCTTAAGTGGGGACCCTGGACTTCCATTTTTGTAAGGTTATAAGGATACAGTCAGATTTTCCAAGGACCTATAGAAGTTCCAATAGAAACCAGGTCTTTCATCCCCACTTTTCTGTAAGGAGTGCTCTATCCCCGTTTAGTATCAATGGGGACCACATGTGGGGCCTGGATTTCCATCCTCTCCTTGCAGTAACAAGACATCCCTTCCCATCCCCACTGAGGTCATATCTGAGAAAGTCTAGTGGAAAGTCAGGCCTTTTATGACCACTCAGCAGTAATGAGGCCACCCACCTGTGATGCCAGTGGAGACCATGTGGGGAGATGGGACTTCTACTCCACCAGCATTCATGAGGAGCCTGCCCCCATCAGAGGACAATGGAAACAAAGTAGGAAATGTTGACTTCTACCCCTGCCTGGCTGTAAGGAGGTGGTGCCCACACTTCTCCTGCCAGGGTGGTATCAGATAAAGCCAGTTAGAAGATAAAATTAAAATAAGATCCAGAATCTCGTAATGCAAAAATATTCAGGTTTTCTTCAAAAATTCCTACTCATATAAAGGAGGAATATTTCAGACTGATATTTTTATTTCAGGTATTCCATAATAAATGAGCCTCAATTGAATAAATGAATCTCAAACTCAAATGAAAAAAAAGGCAATCAATAGATGTCAATGCTGAGATAACAGAGATGTTAGAATAACCTAACAGAGATTTCAAAGCAGCCGTGATTTTTTAAAAATAAAAGCTTCAATGAGCAATTATAACACACTTGAAACAAATGTAAAAATAGAAAACCTCAGAAATTAAATAGAAGACACCAAGAAGAACCAATTGGTTAATTTAGAAAATTGTGGGAGAAATACAATAACCAAAATAAAAAACTCAGTAGATGGGCTCAACAGTAGAATGTAGAGGACAGAGGAAATAATCAGTGAACTGAAAGAAAATATTTGCAAACCACATACTCAACAAGGAACTAGCATCTGGAATATATAAAGAACTTACAAAATTCAATAGTAAAAAAACTGACAGTCCAATTGCAAAATGGCCGAAATATATGAACAGACATTTCACCAGAAGGGCATAAGAAAGCAAATGAAAAGATGTTCAGTATCATTAACCATCACAAAAAGATGCATTTAAACCACAATGCAATAGTAATACACACTTATCAGAAGAAAAAAAGTGACAACACCAAAAGCTGGCAAGAATGCAGAAAGTGAATTATTTGTACATTCCTGGTGGGAATGTATAACCACTCTGCAAAACAGTTTGACAGTGTCTTTAGAAACTAAATGTGCAATTACCATACAACCCAGCAATTGTAACCCTGAGCACTCATCCCAAAGAAAGGAAGTCTAAGCTCACAGAAAAAAACTGTGCATGAATATTTATTTATAGTAGCTTTATTCATAATGGCCAAAAACAAAAACAACCAGATGTCCTTTAACAGGTGAAGGTTAAACAAATTATAGCAGATCCATACTATTGGACACTATTTAATAAAAAGGAAGAAAGTAGTGATACACTCCACAACTTATATGAATCTCCAGAGAATTATTCTGAGTGAAAAAGCCAATCCCAAAAGGTTACATGCTGTACGGTTTCATTTATATAACATTTTTTGCGATGACGAAACTATAGAAATGGAGAACATACTAGTGGTTCCCAGGAATTAAGGAGGTATTGGGGGAAAGAGGGAAATAGGTTAGCTGCAAAAGGGCAACATGAGAGATCCTTGTGGTTTCAGAAATATGCTATATGTTCACTTATGTCAGTGTGGATTCTCTGGCAGTAATACTGTACAATAATTTTGCAATATCTTATTGTTGGAGGGGTTCCCTCTGTATTGTTTCTTTTTTTCTATTTCTTTCTTTCTTTTTTTTTTTTTTTTTTGAGACAGGGTCTCACTCTTTTGCCCAGGCTAGAGTGCAGTGGTGTCATCATGGCTTACTGCAGCCTTGAACTCCAGGACCCAAGTGATCCATGTCCAGCTAATCTTTTACTTTTTTGCAAGGACAGGGTCTCTCTATGTTGCCCAGGCTTGTTTCAAATTCCTGAGCTAAAGCTATCCTCCTGCCTCAGCCTCCCAAAGTAGAGGAATTGCAGGTGTGAACCACTGCAATCAGCCTCTGTATTATTTCTTACAACTGCATGTGAATCAGAATTATCTCAAAATTAAAAGTTTAATTAAAAGTAAATAAACAAATACGTCTCATGAGCCAGTCCACGTTAAGCATTAGAATTATTCAAGTTTAGGATTTTGGTTTATTTTTTAATGTAATAAAGTAGGACTTTTAAAAATCCTTTCACTTCTAGCTGCCAATTAAAAACAGATTCAACTTAGTTGTATTTATCTGTAATTTGTCAAGCAGAGCACAGAACCATGATATTAGATTGTTTCTCTCCCACTGGTACCCATTTTCACTTTTGGATTTACTCGTGGTTTTGATTGTTAGAGGTTTCTACTTCACTTATCATCCAAATTTTGTTTTAATAAACAATTGGCAGTCTAAATAGAAAAAATCACTAGTTTCTTCATAAGAGTTGCTCAGTAAAACAAGTCTTATCATACTACTTATTCCTTTATTCAACAAAGATTTATTGAGTGCCAATTATGTGCCATGCACTATTGGGAAAACAGTAGAAAACAAGACAAATCTCCCTATCTTCATGGAGTGTATACATTCTAGAAGGAAGATATATACTGATAATTAAAATATAGAGAATGTCAGATGGAGATAAGTGCTACAGGAAAAAAACTGCAGCAAAAAGGACTGTGGAATGAAGGCGGTCAGGTACATTATTAGTGTGATCAAGAAGACGATTGTCTTACTTCTAATGATGAACAATCATACTGTAGCAGAATTAAATATAAATTTTCCAAAGAAGATTATAATTCACAGTAAAAGAGAATGAGTATAGAACAGGAATTTGCAAGTTTTCCTTCACTGTGATGCATGTGACTGATGACATTCATATGTGTCACACACTTCCATAGGTAAACCAGTGAGACTTCTTGTGTGCTATGTGTAATTGCTGGTATCTGGCTGTAATCCTCCTTATTTTCTCTCAGAAAGATCAGCTCAAAAAAATCGATGAGTGAGAATGTATGTTATTACAGTAGTCTTAAATTTGAATGTTTAAATCACATGTTTAAAAAATGTACTCTATTGCTTTCAGTAAACAACTGATTTTAACACATCTGCATATTGAATCATGGACAGTGAGAGTAATAGTAATTGTAGGTGTATAGCAATATCCCTTTTCACAGATATTCCTAGGGAATATGCAATTATAACATGGATCTTACAAGCAGGGAAAGATGAGATGCAAGGCAAAAACTGTAAAAGTCAATTTTAGAAAAGCTTCAAATCAGCACTGTTGATGAATACTTCAACAGGAGCTGAAATTTTGGCATTAAAGTAAGTGAATACTCAGTGGACTGGATGACTGAATTTCTCTACCTGAGTGAGCAAATTTTCCTGGCTTAAAAGTAAAATAAATCAATTGTTATTATATTGCTATTTAGTATTACTATTCACTGGTTCAAAAACATTGCAGGTGAGAAAATATCAAGCCATGAATTGCATCCAACCAAACAAAGCCCAAGGTAACATACTTCTCATCATAGGAATTATTTTCTTTTCAATGTAATGAACATCTCTAAAATGTCCACTATGGGCTAGGCACTGTGTTATGTACTTGAGGCCAAAAGAAAATTAAGATCGTTGTTTATTGATTTAAAATAGATCTCATTTTTATGGATTAATAAACAGTCCAACAGCGTTGGCCTTGATGTCTTCTACACAGTAGATCTAAAAAATATTTGATGAATGATAATGTCAAATAGGTCATTTCCATTTGAGGGCATGAGTGAAGTATGGGACAGGGGTTAAGTGAAGAGTCCCTTGGCCCCATACTTAGTGCTGGTCATCTCCAGCAATCCTAATTCCTCTGTGAAGTGGTCCTCAAACTACGGGATTCTACCCTTTCTAGTTTCACAAAAATAGGTGCTTAGCTTAATATATTATTGCTGGACAAATGAAGAAATGAGTCTAGCTTCCTGGCTAGAGGGTAATCCTGTAACCCACATCAAAATCTGCCTGATCTGTTTTAGGGTCTCCTGAAATGGCTGTAAACCCCCCGCCCCTGCCACACTGCAATGGGAGTTCTGTATTCAGGTTTGTGGCCCTCTATGGTGCACCACTTCTGTATAGAGCTTCAAGAATCCTCCACTGTAGTGGCATCTTACTCCTTCCAGAATGTAAGGCCTGAAGCAGAAATTAGAGGTTGAGAACTGCTAGAACTTCTCCAAATAAGGTAGCTGCTTGCCAAGATCCAGCGGTCGTTAAATGGCCAGTTCTGTATAGAATGAAAATGAAGGGAAAGCTTGAACCACACTCATCTCCTTTAGGCCTTGGGGGCTCAAATTTATGAGTGAAATGGGTTCTGTAAGTCAGCAGTAGGCTCAGGCATTGTCCTCTGAACTTTAATTTCCCTCTGGAGTGAGGGAATCTGATGATCTTGGATTCCTAAATAATGTGGAAGCATCTTGAAAGTTACCTCTCTGTCCCTTCATCCATTTTTAAGAATCAGATTCAGTCTGATGATGTTTCTCATGCAAATCCAAGCCATGGTGGGAAACTCCTCAATGGGGCACATGAGCTTCCACTGCGATAGGTGGTTTCTTGGTCTACAGGGTAGATGAGGGGCTCTCAGAGGTTCCCACAGCCACCTCAATACCTGCCTTTCAGAAGCATTAGATGGGCTTCCTTAGCTCTTTGCTTTAGAGATATGAAAGTTACCATGGATTTCCTGAAGCTTATGGCTGAGACCACAGAATACCATTCTGTCTCTGTCTCCTCTCAACCCCCCAAAAGTAATTTGACTGTTCACCCATTGTCCTCGTAGTCAATAGTAGATGCCAATTCAGGGTACATAAGGACTTGGAAATGCTGAGCATATCCTTTAGTCTTTATTCTAATTCTCAAATATATGTTCCGAGTAAGCACAAGAGAGCTACCTGCCAAGGTTGTTGTGGCTGATGAGAACTTCCCATCTCCCTGAAGGAAGCATAATTCTGGAGTTAGTTGGGTTCCCTGGTGGCAAAACGACTCAGTAATAGAAAATGTTTCCAAATGTTGAGAGTTTGGAAAACTGCCAAATAAATGATACTAGTTCTTAAATCTCAGTCATTATATGTATTATGTCTAAATTAGCATATTTGGACATTTTCATTTTATACCTGTATTTAATGATGAATACATGTAGTCAAAGTGTAGCCTTGTAATAGATTTTTCTTGGTTAAGCATTTTCCCAGGTCTTCAAATGTTTATTTCTAGAACAAGAAAGAATGTATGTTGCCCATGTTATGATGAGCAATATAAAATTAGGCATTCATTTATTATTTCAGTAATTGACTTTTTGTTGAATGCTTCCTATGTGCATATCACTGAGTTGAAATTAATTCTATTTTAAGGGTTTTTCCTGTTTTACTGTTCTTCATTTGTCATGGATGACTGAAGTGGCTGAAGTTTGTCTCATGCAGTTACTTAGCTGGTCTGATCAGGCTACATTTTCCTTTGCTTTTTTCTTCTCTACATTACCAATAATGGCTGTGTTATGCCTTTTGCTTTATGTAAATATTTCTGAGTGCTTGTCATATGCAACAATATAGAATTTTAAGTCAGATGCTACTTGTAAGTTTTCTCATTTATTGAAAAGAAGGAGAATGAACTTTAAAACTTTTTTTGCTCTTAACACTTTCAGGATTTTATGATGTTAGTTTCTAAATGCCAAGTATAAGGGACAACATTTTTGCCAGCAAAGTTCTAGAAAGTGTTTGTTAAAATTAAGTAGGTGAAATTTATCTTCTGTACTTTGGTTTTTCTAACATTTCTCTTTCTGTTTTTAGTATTGATCTTTTCCTCAAAGGCCCCAGTGTCCTTGTCCCAAATGAAAGGAGTGAGTAAGGAGGACAAGTCACAGTTTTGCCACTTAATAGCTATATCAATTTGGATAAGTTATTTATCCTCTAGGCCTGAGATTCCTCATCTATAAAACAGGCATGATCACAAAAAATTCCTCACAGTTACTGTGAAGGTGTAATAGAATATTGAATGCATGTATATCCATTAATGATTAACAAAAAATTGCTAGCTTTTTATTTTGTCAAACACAGACTTTTAAAAAAATTCAACCTTCATCTACTATCATAATCATCTTATAACAGAAGTGACAAGATACCATCCAAAAAGAAGGACATTATCTCAGAATTTATAATTTTATAATTTTAAATGTATAGTTTTAATTAGAAATTTTACTACATTTTCCCTGTTGCTCCTATTTCACCAAAAATTAATGAATACCTTTGTCTAATCTGCAAGCCTGTGTTTGAAAACCACTGTTATGAGCTTTCCAGTTTTCTTTTTTTCTTCAAAATTTACCTATCATGGTCTCATTCCCTCAAAGCTCTGTCCTTTTCTAACATTACAGCTATAGTGTTAACCATCACTGTCTGTAGTGAATATTAATGGCTTAACGTATTCATCTTTTCAAGAACATGTTTATATTCTAATATGGGGGCTTTATCCAAATAAGTGATAGTAGTGGTGGAAATTTCAGACTAGTTGGCAAGTCTAGGGGAAAACAAATATGATGCAGGTACCCTTTTCAGCATCCTGAATGTCTACCTGCTTTATACATGTATATGGCTGACTCTGTACCCTACCTTTCTTAGCTTTAGGATATTAAGGCCTGTCATAGATAGGCTAGGACTTTGAATGGTTTCCTCAGCAGCACCTGTGAAATACACTTAGTGTTAGGTAACATTAAGTGAAATCAGGGTACAAAGGTTTTTTTGTTTCGTTTTGTTCTGTTTTTTGAGACGGAGTCTCGCTCTGTCACCAGGCTAGAGGGCAGTGGCCCAATCTCCGCTCACTGCAACCTCTGCCTCCCAGGTTCAAGCGATTCTCCTGCCTCAGCCTCCCCAGTAGCTGGGACTACAGGTACATGCCACCACACCCAGCTAATTTTTTTATTTTTAGTAGAGACGGGGTTTCACCATGTTGGTCAGGATGGTCTCTATCCCTTGACCTCAAGATCCGCCCGCCTCGGCCTCCCAAAGTACTGGGATTACAGGCATGAGCCACCGCACCTGGCCCCAAAGGTTTTCTTGCTTAAGTTTATGCCACTTCTCCTGATTAAAGCCTACAGTATCAAGTAAAGACACATCCCCTCCTCAGTAGATCTTTGACCTGTCGTGACTCTAATGGAAAAAGAACATATTTTTAAGTAGGTTTTTTCTAAGGATTAACACAAAAGAGGCACATTATGCCCCAAAGGCTGGCCTACAGATTGCTGGTCACCCTACATAGTAAACAATGGGCTGCTCTGGGGACAATGACAGCAGTACTGACACAACAAGACTGGACTCCATTTCAGATCTACCAAGGGTAGGTGGACAAGATATAAGGAAGATACAGGTCTGCAGTCAGAAGACCTTGATTCAAACCTGAAGTTAACAGTTATCAGCTGTGGAAAGTAGTCAAGGTCTCTAAACTTCAGTTTCCTGAAAATGGGGTTAAGAATAGTACAAATATCATAATTAGTACAAGGATTAAACAAGTTAACTCATGTGAAACGTTTTAGTACAGTACCTGCTCATGGTAAGCACTCAATATTAGCTTTGTTATTATTATGTGCACTGTGACAGGATGTGCCCACTTTGCTGGTAGCTTCATTAACCACTTATATTAAGTGTGTTTGCTGTTTTAGTCAGAACATACTCTGAAATCACAAAATATGCAAACTCAGATCTAGATCTGGGCAAATGTGAGGCATATCTTGGAGTTCCCCTTTTAGTAGGTTCCACAGAAATATCCCAGCCTTTACTAAACTTTATTTTACTTCCTCAAATTATCTCTCACTTCTCTTTTGGGGCAATGCCTGTCCTGTCTCATTACAATTGTCTCTAAGGGAAAACTTTGTTGTTGTTGGCTTGTTCTCTTGTGTTTTTTGTTTGGGATATCGTGATTGATAGTACATTCTTAACCATGAGCAAATATTATTGGGTTGCCTAGTGAATAAAACATCTCAATTCACATTGTTTCTAAAAGAAAGATGTTCAATGAGTTTGTCTTGAGGTTGTCAGATTTCATAATTATAGTCAACTTTCAATTATCCACATAAATAAAAAGGGCGTCAGTACAGATAACAGAAAATTACAGGCTCTGAAATTGTGGTTAGCTATCCAGCAGAGTTGAGCCCAGCTTCTATATATAACCAACAGCAATGCCAAGTGGGTTAAAGGAATTTAGTCCCTCTGTAATCTCCTTCAAACTCTATTCTTTGATATGGATACTTGACATTTTCTCAATCTTATGTAAAGTGCTAAGAAATTATAGCTTTAAGTCCTTTCTTCCAGTGAGATTGTGGCTCCTGCATTTCTATAAAATACAGTTCCAGAGTTGGCTCTGTCATAGGTCTGGGACTGTCTCAGGCAATGTGTCAACCACAAGGCCAAACCATGATGCATATGATTAATTTCCGATTCACAAAACCCAGAGACTGATACCTGTACATATGGCTTACTTCATCTCCCTAGAGCCAGCTTTAATACCTAAATAGGTGGTGGTGGTGGGGGAAGGGTGGTGAGTGGCAACCCCGAGGCAACCTATTTCAACAGTAGAGCACTAAGATTGAGATTGTTAGATGTGTATTTTCATATAGTTTCCTCTAGCTTTCACTACTGATTTGATCCCTTGGGGTCATATAGCGCAAATGTTTTCTTCTTTGAATATTTGGAAAAAGCCGTTATATTCTATCTGGACTTGCCACTGAGAACTATACGACTTTGGCTAAATTCCTTCATCCTTCTGATTTTTTTTTTTTTAATTCTAGAAAAGGAGGACATTTGACTAGGTGATCTATATTAGATTCTTTAATTTTAATACTATATTATATAATTCTATGAAAGATCTCTTTTGATGATAGTCATAAAAATGGTTTATTAATGATACACAATACAATGTACTTCCTATACATAATATCAGATTCAGTGCTCATAATATTACTATGGGGAAATTATTATTTTCAATTATGAGTGAGGAAACAAAAAGTCAAAGAGATTAAGTAAACCCTGTCCT
Organism: Homo sapiens; assembly: GCF_000001405.40. Lineage (NCBI taxonomy): Eukaryota > Metazoa > Chordata > Mammalia > Primates > Hominidae > Homo > Homo sapiens. The sequence continues at coordinate 78,748,893 of NC_000004.12, read as the reverse complement.
GAGTTTCCGATTCTAGCCCTCTGCTCCAAGATAGGTTCTACCTCCATGTAATATTTTCTTGAGAAACTGATTTTAAAATCCCTGGAATTGGTTGCCCAAATGTAAGATGTGTTTAAAAACAAAACCAAGTTGATCTTCAATTCAGCAGGTAATACAGCACACCTGGTGGTCATTGCCACAAGATGATGAGAAGCCTCAGGGAAAACCAGGCCTAGACTCATCTGAGCAGTATAAAGGTTGCAAAGTTTATCAGAAATTGGCGCCTGTTTCATAAGCATGTGAGCCTCTCATCAGGACCTTAAATAAACTAAAGACATTATTGTACAAAGATAATCATTCCTCCAGCATTCAGTCACTAGGGCCTGCTGAATGCTAGGCATTGATTAATCACTCTTACCCACAATTTCTGATTTATTTCTCATAAAAATTCTGTGGGGTAATAGTTCGTGCATGTATTATCCTCATTTTATCTAAGATGATCTTGAGATTAATAGAATAACTTACCCAGGCAGTAAGTGGCAGATCAGGATTATAACCAAGTCCTTTGGGCTCCCAGTTCCAGACTCTTTCTATTCTGCCAGTATTTCCCAAAGTGTGTTTTAGTCTACACTCATCCCACAAAATGTCTTTCCAAAAATGATGCCACAGTCAACAATGTTTGATTCTGCACATTGTGGGGTCCCTTAGAGATTCATAGAGTTTAGCACATTCAAGATTCCCAGAAAATTTCAGAAAGGAAACATGTTTAACATTTTTCTTTCTAAATTTTTCTGAACTTATTTGCAAAGGCATCTTTTAATCCAATTAACACATATTTAATATTCTGAGGAATGGTATCCTGCAGAACTCTTTGAGAAATCCTGCATCATGCCAGGCTACATTAAAAAGAAATTTTTATAAGAAAGGATTGTCACCATAAACTGTTATTTTGCTTCATGTTAAAAAAATAATTTTCCCATGAGTTAACTAGTGTATCTCATGAGATCATAAGCCAGATGTTCATAGAATTCAACAGACTTCCTGGCCCTGACCTGAGAAAATAAAATGTTGCCATAGAATTACATACATGAGAATACCAGATGGGAATACGAAGAAAGTATATAAACAAGTATTATCCATTCTCACGATACTCAGCCTACATTCTAAAGAAGTTTGTATATGCATGGAAGTTACAATTTATCCTCCCCCCAAATTCTTGCTATTTGACATGCCTTACATTTTTATTCTAATGTGAATGATTGCAAGAAAAGGTCTTTTGCAATATTATGGATAATTTTGTGATTGCTTGAAGCTATTAGCAATGCCTGGTATGCTTTAAAACTAAGGGTGGAAATCATCGAACAAGGCAAATTAAGTTGGGTTTGGTTATGAAGATTAATTGCTTAATTCAGCTGTCTAGTTCATTGCATACTTTTAAGATCTGCCTGCCAGTTCACCCTGGTTCTGTGACAGCCTTTACATTTTTTTTTTAAAAGTAACTTTTTAATTGGCAATTATGAGTCAACAAGAATCTTTGAAATGTCTTGATGAAGTTTAAAAAGTGAAATATCATGACTTTCAGATGACTACGCATAGAGTGGCAAAAGCTGGGGATTTATATTTTATTGAAAGTAAACAAAAAACAAAAGGGAGAAACACAAAGTAATTATTTGCTGTAAAATGCATGTAAATGCCTCCTGCTGTTCATCATTCATGTATGCTGTTCAAGTTACCTATATCTGTGTTACAAATTATGGCAAAATGTAGTGGACTAAAAAAAAACCCTTTTATTATATCTCACAGTTTTGTAAGTCAGGCATTTGGGCAGGGTTTAGCTGGATGATTCTTCTGCTCAACATGTTGATAACTGAGCTGGTCTAGATGGTTCAAGATGGATTCACCTACATGCCTGGTGCCTTGACAGGATGACTGGAAGGCTGGGCTCAGTGGGGCCCCTCTCCTACTCCATGTAGTTCTCTCTAGCAAGATAGTTGGACTTCTTACTGGGTAGCTCAAGGTTCCAAGAGAAATTGTTACACGACACAGGAAATAAAAATAGCTGGGCTCTTAAGGCCTGGGCCTAGAAATTAGCACAGGGTCACTTCCAGTGTATTCTGTAAGTCAGAGAATTTGAGAGGGAACAGCCCAACTCTCATGGCAGTATCAAAGAATTTGTGGCCATTATTAATCTGCCATATAGGCCAAAATTCTTTGGCAGAAAGGCTTGTGTAATGCAGGAAAAGAATGCAAAAGCTATTCTGAACTTTTAAACAGGTTTACCTTCTGATAACATACATTGTTTTATCCATAAAGCCAAAGCGATACTACAGAAATGTATACAATACACAATATGATACATCTGCAGGAAATTGCTCCATGTCCATATCTATGTTGGTGCTGACTTTCCATTTGAACATTTCTCTCATCACCTTATGCCTCTTGCGAGTACTTTCTAGCACTTACATCCCATCTTTGCTATTTTGCACATACTAGCCATGATAGCTAATGTTTTTTAAAAATCTCCAAAATAAGCAATAAGGTACAACAAATCTGCCAAAACTAATAACACAATGATCAAGATGAGAATGGCTGCTGCTATTCAATGTCTGTTGCTAGTTAGCAGAGTTGTGCCTTTGCACTGAGGTCAAGTTGGGCTTTATTTTTCCACAGCACGTAATCTTTGTTCTAAGATTTGTAAGTTTTAAAGAACTATAGCAGAGTTTTGGTATTTTTACTTGGGTGAAGCAAAAGGAGCTTCTTCTTTTTCTTTTTTTCTTTTTCTTTTGTTTTTTTTTTTAGACCAGGTCTCACTCTTATCACCCAGACTGGAGTGTAGGGGTGCAATCACGGCTCACTGTAGCCTCAATGTCCCAGGCTCAAGCAATCCTCTCACCTCAGCCACCCAAGTAGCTGAACTGGGACCCCAGGTGCTTACCATTACACCCGACTAATTTTTTATATTTTATATTTTGTATTTTGTAGAGATAAGATCTTGCCATGTTGACCAGGCTGGTCTTGAATTCCTGGGCTCAAGCAATCCTCCTACCCCGGTCTCCCAAAGAGCTGGAATTAGTGGCATGATTTTTTTAAATTTCAATCTTTTTTTCTTGACTCAGACTAGCCCCAAAGTATTTAGCCCCTGGTGTCTCTTTAATTAATTCCCTTTCCTCCAAATTCAGCACCTCAACTTCTAAACTGTTTTCCTCTAGTCTTAGAACTCATAGACATTTCCCTCCTATGCCCCTTCTGCAAGAGTAATCATCCATTCTTGGAATATTAGTGTCTTCATATATGATCCCCCTCAATTATCAGATGTTTAATAGAAATCATATCTTAATGTAAAAATGATTTCATTTCATATAAACAATGATTTCATTTTAGGAGAATAATTATGCAAACATTTCTCAGTGCATTTTTTCTTTCTTTTTACTTTTTTAAGAGACAGGGTCTCACTCTGTCACCCAGACTAGAGTGCAGTGGCGCCATCATAGCTCACTGAAGCCTCGAATTCCTGGGCTCAAGCAATGCTCCTACCTCAGCCTCCTGAGTAACTAGGACTACAGGTGCACACAACACACCTGGCGAATTAAAAAAAATTTTTTTTGCAGAGAGTGTGGCTGACTTGTTGCCCAGGCTGGTCTTGAACTCCTGATCTCAAGAGATCCTCCCACATTGGCCTCCCAAAGTGCTGGGATTACAGGTGTGAGCCATTGTGCCTGGCCTATTTTTTCTTCATAATCAAATTGTATGATTGAACAGGAATTGGCAAACTACAGCATGCAGGTCAAACCCAGTCAGGCACCTGTTTTAATAAATAAAGTTTTATTGAAATACGGTCACACTTATTTGCCTACATATTATTTATTGCTGTTTTTTACACTATAAGGGCAGAGCTGAATAATCCTGCCAAAGATCATATGGCCTGCAAGTCCTGAAATATGTATTATCTGGCCCTTTACAAAAAACATTTGTTGATGCCTCTGATAGATTATAATTCCTTTGAAATTTTCTAAGGAAGCTAATTTTTGTTCTTATTTTTTAATTTGTTTACGATGCAGGGAAATAAGGTAAGTTTTTGTTCATTTTAAATAAGCTTATTTTGCTGTAATAAAAAAACTGAACAAATCACAGCTTTCCAGTCTCGTGGATAAATGAACAAATATACTGTAACAATGCATTGACTATGTAAGAATAAAGGGGCCATCCCATATACTATGTTCCAGCTCACTTCTTTTGCTGCTGACCTGACTTTTGTAAACTATTGAGTAACTTGAAACAAAAGCAGCCTTCGAGCTAAGACACATGAGAGTACAGATGTTTCTTGATTTATGAAGGGGTTATGTCCCCATAAACTCATCCTAAGTTAAAAATGTCATAAGTTGAAAGTACATTTATTATACCTAGTGTACCAAACATCATAGGTTAGCCTAGCTTACCTTAAATATGCTCAGAACACTTACCTTAGTCTACAGTTGGGCAAAAAATCATCTAACGCAAAGCCAATTTTATGATAAAAAATGTTAAATATCTCATGAATGTATTTCATATTATACCGTAAGTGAAAAATAGAATGGCTATACTGATACTCAAAGTATGGTTTCCACTGAATGCCAATTGCTTTCAAACCATAATAAAGCTGAAAAGTTAAACTGAACCATCATAAATTGGGCACCATCTGTACAAGGAACAAATGAGTTAGACAAAGGAAGTTATGAACCATGGTGACCAAAATTAGGATGTCAATGTTGTCCCTTTGTCCCTGCTTTCAAAGACTCAGTTTTGACTCAGATGATATGGGAGCACAAAGGAAGACTTGTGGAATCTCTGGACAAATTTAGAAGGAAACACATGTACTTATCTACCTTCTGCATTTGTTAGATTTTGTTGCGTCTACATATGAAAACAGGTAGTTGATAATTCTCAGTGTTAGTTAGGGCATGGGCAAACTAGCTTTCTTATCACTATTTGTGAGAGTATAATTTATTTCAAAGTTTCTAAAAGGCTAAATGTTCCAAAGGCCTTAATAATTATCTTGCAATTCAAATACAACTATTTGAAATATGAATATGAAATAATGAAATAATCTAAAGTGGATATACAAATTTATGTACAAAGACATTTATTTCAGCTTTATTTATAAAAACAAAACATTGGCATCAATGTATATATCAATCATAAGAGATTAGATGTAGTAGAATAAAGGAAAACTGATCATGCATAATATTGAGCAGGAAAAAACAAATTGCAAACAATATATACAACTTTAGTCCAATTTTGTTTAAACACATAATTTATGCATAGAAAAGTCCAAAGACATACACTAAAAAAGCAACAATTATACCTGAAAGGTGGATTTACGGATAATTTTGTTGAGATTTTCTCATATTTTCCAAATTTTCCATAACAAGCAGGTGTTATTTTGTAATTAGAGTATAACAAATATTATTAATTCAAAATGTGATATTAAGAATTTTTTAATATCCTCAACTAATCAACTGTTTATATCACTTATATGACTGAAAAGAAAAATAAAGGACTTTTATTTATTTTAGTACAATTTACTTTGTTAGTTGAATTCATGTAATTAAATGCTTAAATGAATGTTTGTAATTGTGTAGACACAGCCATGGATTTGCTTCTTTGTTTATCCTCAGAATTGATATGAATTCTGAGATGGGGTCTATTCCATCTCTTTCCTAAATATACACTTTTGTTTTTAGCTAAAATAGAAAATATTTTCCTGGCTGGGTGTGGTGGCTCATGCCTGTAATCCCACCACTTTGGGAGGCTGAGGCGGGTGGATCAAGAGGTCAGGAATTCGAGACCAGCCTGGTCAACATGGTGAAACCCCATCGCTACTAAAAATACAAAAATTAGCCGGGCGTGGTGGCGTGTTTCTGTAATCCCAGCTACTCGGGAGGCTGGGGAAGGAGAATCGCTTGAACCTGGGAGGCAGATGTTGCAGTGAACCGAGATCGCGCCACTGTACTCCAGCCTGGGCAACAGGGTGAGACTCTGTCTCAAAAAAAAAAAAAATCTTTTTTCAGAAGTAAAACATTAGCCATGTCATTTTATTTCCCAATAAGAAGTTATACCTTAGTATTTATATTATTTAGCTTCTCATCATGCTCAATTATATTTATGGAAAACATGATGTTCAAAGAAAAGTGTGAAGATCAAAGACCCAAGAACGGTTTTTTAAAGGTTAATATGTATTTCTTGAGTGTTATGATTGTAAGAGATGGTGCCACAGCAATTGCGTGCTTAAATCCAGGACGGGACCAGTTTCCCTCCCCAGAAGAGTTGAGTCAGTTTCAGTGAAGAGTTTAGTCCTGTAGGCTCCATTGCTCTTTGGCCTTATTGCTAAAATTGCCACAACAAAAGAGAAATGACACTATTTGGTACCAAAAACACCTGCCTACCCTCTATGACTAGAACCAAGATCAATTTATGTCTTGCAGGCCACTGAGCAGCCCAGGGAGAAATAGAGCTTTTGAGCAGTTATAGCTCAGATGCTTAATCTTCCATTTCCTTCTTTTGAGTCACTTAGGTCTCTCTTTAACTCCCACTGATCAGATTGTTTAGAATTCAAGCAAATATTTTCTATAATCTAGCTACAGAATTGATTTCCTTCTAATAAAAGACTCACAGAAGCTGTGTGAAATCAAAATGTAAATAGTAATCCAGCAACTGTGACAGAAAACAGAATATTTTCAACAACAGGTGGAAAAGCAGATTGTATTGCAGGAAGCACTAATATTTATTGGGAAAGGAATAATCTTGTCTTTGGCCAGAAAGGTAACCAGGAACATTGTGTATATATGCAAAGTTGTCTATACTTCCAGTCCGGCTAGAAGTCCAAACAAAACTTTTAGGCTTTATGGTAGTAGAGCTTGCCAAAAATTATGAGAATCTCAAAACTGGGGCTCATGGCTTTTACCGAATCCCTTTTTTCATTGGCATTGAGAAAAATAAAACAGTAGCTGTAACAGGTGTTGATCTATGATGAAAAGTTTTGACATGAATGTTGATAGGCTGAATTTCTAAAAAAAAAAAAAAATTGTGTGTTTTTAAACATCACATTTCAAAGCTTTTCTCAAATGTTAATTGACCTTGCTAGATTTCAAGATATTTTTATTTTCATTCACTTTATTTTGCAGTAAGAATTTTACAGAGCAGATTCTTTAGAAAGAAATTATTTTTGTAACTGTTTAAGGTGAGAAATAATTTGGTATTAAATTAAATATTGGTATTAAATATTAAATTAAATATATACAGTTACCAGTTCAGCATTTTTACTTTTTACCTTGTAAAACCCTTACTAATCACTACTCAGTAATGAGCTACTCAGTTAAAGGATGAGATCTCTTGAGTGTCAAATTTATCACTTCAAATCCTTGCATTAATTCCTTAGTATAACACTTGATATGTCATCTACCAGTTTCTCCAATAAGAAGCTTGACGGTGATCATGATGGTGATGGTCATGTCATGCATGCTATCCATATGCATTATCTGATGCTGACATTTGTCTGACAGCATCTGGCCCCTTGTTAATGTGATCTGCACTTTTTGATCAACCAAAAAAATTTTAAGACAACCACGAAAAGCAGGGGATTTCATAAATGTCAAGCATTTCTTCCTTCCAAAGGCTTCTACACTCCTGCCTTTGTCTCTCACTTTTTATGCCTGACAGGTTACCAAACTCTGATCTACTGGAAAGCATCTTACATCAGAAACACACACACACACACACACACACACACACACACACACACACACACACACGCTTTGAAGTTAGATACCTGAAGTTTCAGTTATTCACTCTACCACATTTTGTCTGTCTGACTTTGGAAAGTTTTCACAGTCTTAAGAGATTTTGAGGGGCCTCATGTGAAAGGGTAGTTAGGTACTTAGGGCAGTGAAAAGAATTGCTTTTGGTGATTGTTGTTCCAGGTCTCAGGCTGGGTCAAACATCTCTTATTCTAGGTATTCTAGATATATCATTTGTCCTTCTTAATGAGTAAATACCTTTCCACCCTGGGCACATTTAAATTTAAGTTTAGAAAGGTTTAAAGTAATCCAAACCATACTGTAAATATTTTTATATTATTAAGAAGGAATCTGGCTGGGTGTGGTGGCTCACGCCTGTAATTCTAGCACTTTGGGAGGCTGAGGTGGGTGGATCACTTGAGGTCAGGAGTTTGAGACCAGCCTGGCCAACATGGTGAAACCCCATCTCTACTAAAAATACAAAAATTAGCCAGGTGTGGTGGCGGGCACCTGTAATCTCAGCTCCTTGGGAGGCTGAGGCGCGACAATTGCTTGAACCAGGAGGTGGAGGTTGCAGCCACTGCACGCCAGCCTGGGTGCCAGAGTGAGACTCTGTCTCAAAAAAAAAAAAAAAAAAGAAGGAATCTGTACATATTTGGCATTCTTTTTTATAGCCAGCTCCTAAATACACATGCCTATCTGTTGACAATATCACATCATCAATATTTTTCAGTGAAAATTTTCCTAGTTAATTGAATTAGTTCAGATCTACTGTAGCGAGTCTATTTTTTTCTCTGTAAATTAAAATATGTTTAACTGAAATTTATATGTTCATCCATTTAGGTACGCAACAAATATTTACTAAGCCCCTAAAAGGCATCAGGTGTTTTATAGAAGCAAATAAGCCAGATGAGGCTGTTGCTCTTGTGGCGCTTCCATTCTAATGGAATTAGACAACAAACATACAAAAACATTTCAGATAGCGATAAGTGCTTTAAAGAAACGAAAATGTTAATTGGATAAAGAGTGACTAGGGGAAGTTTAATTACACTTCAAATCCTTGGACTAATTCCTTAGTATAACACTTGATAAGTCATCCACTAGTTTCTCCAACAGCAAGGAGGTTGGGAACAGCCTAGTCTTATTGCAAAAATCTCTTGCTGTAAAGGAAGCTTGTAAAGAGATTTCACAAGCCATAATTTCTGAGTTTACTTCTTTCATTTCAATTTAAAGGCTTAAAATACTTTAATCTTTTAAATCAGATGTGTAAATAATTCAAAGTATATGTTCATTGTTTATCTACTAAGCCTGATTATGTGAAATACTGTATATGTATATTAGTATATTATTCCCTAATTGAAAGAATCACTTAAACTTCCTCTTTCCTAAGTGTTAATTCATTTGATCAATTTGTAGTTGTGCAGTGCAGTGGCACAATGATAGTTCACCGCAGCTTCGAATTCCTGGACTCAGGCAATGTTCCTGCCTCAGACTCCCAAAGCGTTGGGATTAGAGGCATGAACCATTCCACCAGCCAGTTTGCAGTTTTTACAGTTGTTCTTTAGGCTTTTGGATAGTTTTAAAAACCACCTTAACAGTGACTTCTGTTGCCAAGAATACAACAAGGACAATAAATCACCAAGCAAATTGTTAGTCTCTTCTGTATCATCATTAAACAACAACAACAACAACAACAACAAAAGTGGCCAGGCGTGGTGGTTCATGCCTATAATCCCAGCACTTTGGGAGGCCGAGGCGGGTGGATTGCTTGAGCACAGAAATTTGAGACCAACCCAGGCAACATGGTGAAACCCCATCTCTACAGAAAATACAAAATTAGCCAGGCATGGTGTTGCAGGCCAGTCCAGTAGTCCCAGCTACTCGGGAGGCTGAGGTGGGAGGATCACTTGAGCCCGGGATGTAAAGACTGCAGTGAGCCGAGATCTCGCAGCTGCACTCCCACCTGGGTGACAGAGTAAGACCTTGTCTTCAAAAAAAAAAAAAAAAAAAAATGAACAAACAAACCAAACATACCTTCTAACTTCTCTATCTGAAAAACCATTTCCTTGAAGAAAAAAATTACCATTTTCTTTCAATCGTGAGGTCATTGGGAAATGATTATTTCCTCCTGCTGCTCTATCAAACTTTCAGGGACCAGCAGATGTAGCAGTCACAGCTACAAAAACTATTCTGTTTTCCTCTAAGAACAATAAAATATTCTAGAGTTGCAAATCAAGGTTGATGGATCCTTAGATGATGGATGAATGGAAATAGGACTTTTTATTTTTTCAGTAACAGTAAAATATTCACACACTGGCTGATAAGTTTTTCCTCTCTCTAAATTGTACAGTCCTACCATTTAGAGATTCTATTCTGGAGGTATCCCAGATGTATGTTACTTTAATAATCATAATCATAAAATAAACCTAATAACTCAATTGCTTGCTATATTGATAAGTTAAAAATCAATGTTGACTCCCTTCCAAGCCTTAGGAATAGGAAAACATTCTTACATTAGTTCTCCCTCACTTTTCCAGAGCATCTATGAGTTAAATGGTAGCACCAACTTATACAATTCAGTGGTATTTGAATGTAAAGTCCTAGAATAAATATTGGACAGAGGTAACTGTGTCCAAGATTCAAGAAGGTTAAAGAAATTATGGGGTGATAATAATTTAATTTGAGTATAGAGCAATCAATCTTTTCAGTTTACATCTAGATGAATGTTAAGATGTTTTGGCTGTGGTAACAGAAATCCTCACTTGAAGTGGCTTGAACAATAATATCTATTATCTCATATAACAAGAAGTCCAGAGGTAGGGTTGGATCCAAGGTTGGCTGATTCAGTGACTCAAATACTCGAATTCTTGACTTAGCATCCTCTGCTTTGCTGTCCTCAGGAGTGCTTTATCATGTTGTTTTTCTCTTAGCTGCCAGCAGTCATTGAACTACAAATGTCTCTTCCCTTTCCCTTTTCCTTCCCTTCTCTTCCCTTCCCTTCCCTCTACAAATTTCCCTTCCCTTCCCTTCCCTCCCCTCCTTTCCCTTCCCTTCCCTTCCCTTCTGTTCCCTTCCCTCTCCTCCCCTCCCCTCCTCTTCACTCCCCTCCCCTCTCCTCTTTTTTTCTTTTCTTTCTACTTGCCACGTTACCCAGGCTGCTCTCAAACCAATGAGCTCGAGCAGTCCTCCCACATCGGCCTCCCAAATAGCTGAAATCACAAGTACATACTACTGCATCCAGCTTCATGTATTCATTTTTATGTCCAGAAGAAGAGAGGCCAGGTACAGTGGCTCACAGCTGTAATCCAGCACTTTGGGAGACTGGGGCGAAATAATTGCTTGAGCTTAGGAGTTCAAGACCAGCCTAGACAATGTTAAGACAACATAGTGACACCTTGTCTCTACTAAAAAAGAAGAAAAAAAAATTAGCCAAGTGTGGTGGTGCGTGCCTGTAGTCATATCTACTCAAAAAACTAAGGTGGGAGGATCACTTGAGCCCAGGAATTCAAGGCAGCAGTGAGCTATGATGGCATCACTGCACTCCAGCCTAGGTGACAGAGTGAGGCCTTGTCTCAGTAAAATAAAATAAATGCTTCAGAAACAGTTAAAACACAAAAACAAAAAGAAACAAACAAACAAACAAAAAACAAAGAAGAGAAACCTATTCCCTAACCAGGCTGATTTGGCCTGCTTGGGTTATGTGCATATCCCAAACCTGTAACAGTTGTAATGCACAGATTGCTCTCAACTTAAGATTCATCATGATCAGGAGATGCAGTGGAATCAGGTTTTTTTTAAGCACATGGCTGTGTGGGAGAGGAGTTATTTGTGGGGTAAAGAGGAAATGGGTGTTGGGTAGGCAACCAATATTATGCTCTATTTCCAGATACTAAGACAATTTGCAAATGAAATCACAAGATAGCAACCTTTGAAACAATCAGAAAAGCAAGAAATATTCAAAACTGCAAAGAAGTTGACCACAAATAACAGACCAATAACCTTAACATTCTAGTTCAGAATCAAACTGGTTATGAGAAGCTGCAGACAGCTGGTCAGACCACAGGCCTCTCGGCCCACCAGATAGGTAAAGCCCATGAGTTCTCCCCCATGTTTGCCCCAACTCTCTCATCCCAGTCATCCTAGGCCGCTTGCTAAAAGGCAAACTCTTTTCTGTCATTATTATATTAGCCCCCATCTACTCCATTCTTTTTTTTTTTTTTTGATAAGGAGTCTCACCATGTTGCACTGGCTGGAATGCAGCAGCTCTTTCCAGGCACCATCCTAGTGCACTGTAGCCTCAAACTCGTGGGGTCAAATGATCCTCCTGCCTAAGCCTCCAGAGTAGTCAAGACTACAGGCATCAGCTACCCCATGCCCAGCTTACTCCATTCTTCCTTCTCTTGATTCTTTAATTACAAAGCAATCTTGCTACAGCCTTTATCTCTTTCCCTAATGTGCTTTTCCCCTTTTTCACAATTTAAAGTGTTTAAAGAGGAGCCAGCTTTTGTTCACAGGCGGTGTATGTGTATTAATATGCATGTGTGTGCATGGATGTGAAGATTTTGAAAGGTTTGAAAGTGCTCACCCCCCTCCACAAACCCTACACACCACCCACCCTACTCTGCTTGGCCGTTGATTTGGGTGTACCTGCAGCCCTACCAGCTTGAGTTAACCTAAACCCCATCTCCCTATCAAATCAAAGGAATTACGCAGTAAAGAAAAAAAGATGAAAATAGGGTGAGTGGCTGGGTGCAGTAGCTCACACCTGTAATTCTAGCACTTTGGGAGGGTGAGGCAGAGAATCACCTGAGCCCAGGAGTTTCAGACCAACTTGGGCAACATAGTGAGACCCTGTCTCTAAAAAAAAATTAAAAAATAGAATGAGATTGGAGATGTAAGTCTAGGGCTTCACAGAGGATGTGACACTTTAACTGACGGTATATAATCTAGACAAAACAGTGAGTGTTGAGGGCCTCCATTTAATATAGCTACATCAGTGGGTAAAGGATGAGAGATAAGACTGGACAAAAACATAAGGGCTACCTCTGGTGTTTTAAAGATTCAGGCCAATCTCTATTACTTCTGATTCAATTAGTCTGGGATGGGGTCTGGGCTTAGATATTTTTTAAAAGCTCCCCAGATTATTGCAATATGTAACTGGGTTGAGAACCACTGCTCTCAAGAAACACTGAAGCATTTCAAACAGGGTAATGATGGAGACAGATTTAAGTGAGAGCTCAAAGTGAAACTGCTTAGAATGAGAAGGGAAGCTTTTGAGAAGTGATGTGAGGTTGGAACCAATAGTGTCTGAAACCCTAGAAGAAGAAATAGCTATCAAAGTCAAATTCATTATAAAAGTCAAGACTCAGCCTGAAAAGAGACTATTGCATTTTTCTTATTACATTATTTGCAAGAGTAACTTCATATTACTCAGATCAGAAGGCTTGTGTCACCTGGGTTGAGGGGTGAATAGAAGGTAAAGAAGGGAGGGTATTTGCTTGTGAAGGGATGTCCATTGTAGGAAACATGGAGACTTTTTAAATTGGAACTATAATAATAATTGTAAATATTAATACATAAATATTAATATAATTATAATATAAATATAATTCTAATTGTAATAATGATAATTATATAATAATTGATCATTATTATAATTCCAATATAATTGTGTGCAAGTGATTTGAGATGTTTGTATGTTGAAATAAATTTGTTTTGCTGATGGCATAGATGAAAGTGATTTGCATGTTTTAAATCACAGTAAGCCCAATATGAGTATACCCTGTGACATGATCACTGCTATATTTGTGTCCACTCCCTCCAAAATTTGTATGTTGAAATCTTAATTCCCAAAGTGATGGTATTAGGAGTTAAGGCATTTGGGAAGTGATTAGGTCATGAGGGTGGAGCCCTCAGGAATGAGATTGGTGCCCTTATAAAAGAGGCCCTTGGGAGCTTGGTAACTCCTTTCGCTAAGTGAGAACACAAGAAGGTGCCATCTGTAAGAAAGTGGACCCTAACCAGACACTGAATTATGCCTTAATTTTGGACTTCCCAGTCTCCAGAACTGTAAGAAATAAATTTCTTTTATGTATAAGCCACTCAACTTATGGTATTTTGCTACAGCAGCCCTAACAGACCAAGATAATCCCCAGTGTACATATCTGGTGAGAGCATACTGGCCACTCTTACCACTGTGGTAAGAGTATGCCATTGTTATAACAAGTAGGACACTACTCTTTTCTAGTCCACAATGATCAGATCACCCAGAGAACTGTATTCCCCTTTTGGTGTCAATCTTTAGGAGATTTATAGACAAACTGGGGTCCATTTCGAGGGGAGTGGCCAAAATAGGGAATCGAAACCATGCTGTGTGACACACAGTTGAAGAAAATGAGAATATTTTGCCTGGAGAAAAAAATATTTGAGAGGACATAATGCTTTCTTTATAAATTTGCAGGCTATGATGTGAAAAATGAAGGGAACATTCTATAAATGCCTGGGAGACCATTCGTAGGCTGTCACCACAGCAAAAGTATCCTGGGGGCCTAGAAAAATAGGGAAAGCTTTTTCCAAGTCAGAATAGGAATGACTTACTGGAATAAAGGGCAACAACCTCTTTGAAGGAAGCCAAATTAGATGGTTTAATCAGAAAGGGAAAAGAATGTATGGAACAAGAAAACTAGTGTCCAGTGACCAAAGGAGTAGAGAGTAGATGAAGGCAAATTACCTCTTTTAACCTTAGAAGACGATGCAGTTGCTTCAAGCAACTGAAGTATAAAGGACAATACAAATCAAGAAGGACACAGGAATTCTAAGATTAGGTGGAAAATTTAAGGATATAGATTTTATGTCTTCATATCTTTATATTTAGAGATATCTATATTATTCTGTGTAATATGTGCTCATTTTAATAAAAAATTTAAACAATGCAGAAGCATAAAAAATTAAAAGAAAATATTGTTTTTATTCACACTTGAGGGCTTCTAATGAATAATACTCCTGTTACCTAAGCTCAAAACCAATGAGAGAAATACAGAGTGAGGTGGATAAAGATCAAAACGTCAGTTTTGTTACTGCTAGAACTACTGTAGAATGTGGCCTAGGTGGGAGGCAGTGGTGGGCCAGGTTACCACTTATCTGCCCTAGTCTCTAGGAGCATTGTACAGGCATAGCCTGCCCTCCTAAGTGAGCCTGTCCCCATAAACTTACAGATGGAGTGAAGGAATAGAGGGATGGTTTCTGCTAGAGTCTGATTCCAACCAGAGGGAAACAAAATGTGATCGAGCTTCACCTGTTCACTTTTACAAACCTGTCACTATGAGAAGCCACTCCTCCACCCAGGAGTGGTGGTTCTCCAATGCCTGCTGCTTGCCTGAATAAGAGTTGAAGACAATAAGCATTTCCCACTGTATTGCCCAGACAACCTCTAGAGACTGGAATGAGGAGTAAGAGCAAAGAAGTATAAGGGAAACTCTCCTCCAATGGAAACAAAAGGAGTGGGAGTAATTGTTTTCATTATCCTCCCCATGAAAAACACTGTTAACAGTTTGGAATTGTTTGGAATTTATCCTAGACTTTTTAAAAATTGCACTTGTATATAAACTTTTACATCTTTCGTACAAAAATCAGAATAATATGAAACTATTTTACAATTTTTTAAACTTAATATATTGGAGACTTAAAAAAAAAAAGCAGGTATTAGGGCTGGGCATGGTGGTTCACGCCTGTAAGCCCAGCGCTTTGGGAGGTAGAGGCAGGAGAATCACTTGAGCCTAGGAGTTCAAGATCAGCCTGGGCAACATAGTGAGACCCCGTCTCTTAAAATTTTTTTTTTATTTCAAATAGGTATATATAGATTCAACTTATTCTTTCTAATGATACTTAGAATTTTAATGAAATAAGTTTTCTTATTGATTGACATTTAAGTTCTTGCTAATTTTTTTACTGTTAAAAACTATAATGCAGTCAACACCATTGCTTAAACAAGGAGGTGTATTATTAGTGCTGTTGCAGGCATAGTGACCTGCTTGTTTCTGAACATATGTAAGCAACATGGCAGGTGTCATCAGAGACAATGGAAGCTGCAGATGAGCAGTTAAACCAGATGACAGTTGGGACCTGCACCAATAGTAGAACTCTGGCAAGTGAAGGAATTGTATACTACCAGTTGTAAAATTCCTTCCAGCCTTGACAAGATAGAGCTGCCTCATACTCATTTGCTCAAGTGGCTAGCAAGTGTACATTTAGCTAATTAACAGAAATTTCCCCCATCTTATCTGTGTTGTCTTTACTAACTCAGCAAGAGCTTTTCCTGGCCAACACTTCTAAGAAACCCTGGGAAAAAATTAACATCAGTGCATGACCTTTGAACCCAAGATCTCAACAGTTTTACCATTTTCTAATGAATGTTCACAGTACTATTGCCTGCTGGTCCATTAAGATAAGGAAAGGGCCAACCAACTTTTTAACGGTGGTAGCCAACATTACTTTTTTTTTTTTTTTAAGTGGGACAAAGTGTGACTGCTTAAAATCATGTCTGAGTGAAGGTTTCCTCTTATTCTTAGTGGGCCCAGATAGGAGCCTTTATTATTAATATCAACTTGTCAGCATTTTAGGACTTTTTTTTTTGGTGATGGAGTTTCTCTCTTTTGCCCAGGCTGGAGTGAAGTGTTGCAATCTCGGCTTACTGCAACCTCTGCCCTCTGGGTTCAGGCAATTCTCCTGCCTCAGCCTCCCAAGTAGCTAGGATTATAGGCGCCCACCACCACACCTGACTAATTTTTGTATTTTTAGTAGAGACAGGGTGTCACCATGTTGTCCAGGCTGGTCTCGAACCCCCGGCCCCAGGTGATTCATCCGCCTTGGCCTCCCAAAGTGCTAGGATTATAGGCATGAACCACTGTGCCCAGCTCATTTTAGGACATTTTAAAAGATAGGTGGTAAAAAGAAAAAGGGCTGCTGACCCTGAAGCCTTATGACTTAAGTTTGCTGTCTTGAAAAGTCTATAATAACTTTTTCTAACTTTTAATTTGGAAATTCACACTTACAGAAAAGCTGCATGAATAGTCTAAAGAACAACCATATACAGTTGGCCTTTCATCTTCATGGGTTCCACATCCACAAATTCAACCAGCCTCAGATTGAAAATGTTCAGAAAAAGATTACGTTTGGACTGAATGTAGACAGACTTTTGTTTCTTGTCATTATTCCCTAAACAATAGAACAACTATTTACATATTATTTACATTGTATTAGGTATTATAAAAGTAATCTAGAGGTGATTTAAGGTATATGGAAGAATGTGCATAGGTTATATGCAAATACCGTGTCATTTTATATTACTCAGGGACTAGAAAATATGGATTTTGTTATGTGCTGGAGGTCCTGGAACCAATCCCCCATAAATACCAACAGATGACTGTATGCTTTGAAAAAATGTTTATGGCCAGACGCAGTGGCTCACACCTGTAATCCTAGCACTTTGGGAGGCTGAGGCGGTGGATCACTAGGTCAGGAGATCGAGACCATCCTGGCTAACATGGTAAAACTCCCATCTCTACTAAAATACAAAAAAAAAAAAAAAAAAAAAAGCTTAGCCGAGCATGGTGGGGTGTGCCTGTAGTCCAAGCTACTCAGGAGGCTGAGGCAGAGGAATTGCTTGAACCTGAGAGGCAGAGGTTGCAGTGAGCCAAGATCGCACCACTGCACTTCAGCCTGGTGACAGAGCGAGACTCCATCTCAAAAAAAAAAAAAAAAAAAAAAATTGTTTTGAGACAGGGTCTTGCTCTGTAACCCAGGCTGATCTCTAACTCCTGGGTTCAAGCAATCTTCCCACCTTAGCCTCCCAAATGCTGGGATTATAGGCATAAGCCACCACGCCCAGCTAAGAGTATACACTTTACCCAAATTTACCTATTGTAAACATTCTGCCCATTTGCTTTATCTGTTTCTCCCATTCTCTCTCTTTCTCTTTCTCTGTTTATACATATACACATGTATACATACAAACATATAGATGCGTATTTTTCCTGAACTTTTAAGAGTAAGTTGCATATGCCTAAGGATAATATTCTCTTATATAACCACAGTGCAGACTACAGTTTCAGACATTGCTTTCCTCTCTACTTAATTTAATAAGGAATACATTTAAATGCATATTTCTGGTTCTCACCTTAAAGTTTTAATGTATGGTTCTTCAACAGTATTTTAAGAACCTATAAAATATTTCTAGTATTCTTCTATAAGGGCTCCAACTTTTACACATGCCTCATCCTTTAAACTTGATAGATCTCTGTCTTTGCTTGAATTTCTGATAAAGACTTGGGTGCAGGCAGTTTTAGGGGCAGGTGACCTCAGCGAGCTAGAGTGAGGGAATTAGACAGGGAAGGAGGAAAAGCTGACATAGGGCGCATTATCAAGGTAACTGATGAAGATAGTTTGTACGTGACCTCTTGAGGAGCATGTGGAGTAACTCTCAGAATTGCTCACCTGAATAACGGGATATGAGAAAATGTATTGAGGTTTTTATCCCCATTGGTTGAGGAATGCCACTGGGAAGCTTTGATTCTTCACTTTTAGACTATTTTTCTGTTAATGAAATTCCTGTTGAATTTGATGTTGATGCAAGAATTAGTAAATTTACGTGGACAGATGTAGGCTTTTACAACATAGTCAAATCTATTCTTCTAAAAAAGAAGAACTAGTTTTGTTAATGTCGATGTGAATATTAAAGGAAGATATATACATATATGTACATGCTAGAGTGACAAGAAAACTTAAGTACGTTTGGAGCAACTTGAATACATGAATATATATTTTCAATGTAAATTTTATGAAATCTAAAGTCACATAAGATATTTCTGATAAAAATTTAAGATCCAAATGGGAATGTACTGTAAATGTGAAATACACACACTGGATTTCAAAGACTTTGTATGAAGAAAGAATGTAAAATGCCTTATTAATAATTGTTATATTGTTTCTATGCTGAAATAATACTTTTGGCACATTGAGTTAAATATATAACTTATCATTAATACTTGTTTCGCCTATTTCTTTTAACCATTTTAATTTTAGCTGCTAGAAAGTTTTATTTTTATTTTTTTCAGACCGAGTCTCGCTCTGTCACCCAGGCTGGAGTGCAGTGGCACGATCTCAGCTCACCGCAACCTCTGTCTCCCAGGTTCAAGCAATTGTCCTGCCTCAGCCTTCTGCGTAGCTGGGATTATAGGCACACACCTCCACATCTGGCTTTTTTTTTGTATTTTTAGTAGAGACGGGGTTTCACCATGTTAGCCAGGCTGGTCTCAAACTCCTGACCTCAGGTGATCTGTCCACCTCAGCCTCCCAAAGTGCTGGGATTACAGGCACAAACCACCAAGCCCTGCCAACTACATTATGTTTTTATTGGACCGTGCTGCTCTGAATAATTAATTATAAAACTTATACAACACTAAAACCATTCAGTAAGTTAGCAGCGTATAAAATTAACAGGAAACATGTAAAAATTAATATTTTTTGCATACACAAATAAAATCCAATTATTTTATATCTTTTTAAATACCCATTTAATGAGGTATCAAAAAAAGATAAAATATTTAGGAATAGCTTTTACAAAAAATATTTATTTGTTTGTTTATTTCTTTATTTTGAGGCAGAGTCTCGCTCCGTCTCCCAGGCTGGAGTGCAGTGGCATGATCTTGGCACACTGCATCCTCTGCCTCCTGGGTTCGAGTGAACCTCCTGCTTCAGCCTCCAGAGTAACTGGGATTACAGGTGCCCATCACCACACCTGGATAATTTTCGTATTTTTAGTAGAGACAGGGTTTCACCATGTTGGCCAGGCTGATCTCAAACTCCTGACCTCAAGCGATCTGTTCACCTCACCCTCCCAAAGTGCTGGGATTACAGGTGTCAGCCACCGTGCCCAGCCTACAGAAAATATTTAATATCCATGAAAAAAAGCAAACCTGGCCGGTCGCGGTGGCTCACGCCTGTAATCCCAGCACTTTGGGAGGCCGAGGCGGGCGGATCACGAAGTCAAGAGATCGAGACCATCCTGGCTAACACAGTGAAACCGCGTGTCTACTAAAAATACAAAAAAATTAGCCAGGCGTGGTGGTGGGTGCCTGTAGTACCAGCTACTCAGGAGGTGGAGGCAGGAGAATGGCGTGAACCCGGGAGGCGGAGCTTGCAGTGAGCCGAGACAGGGCCGCTGCACTCCAGCCTGGGCGACAGAGCGAGACTCCGTCTCAAAAAAAAAACCTATAAAGCATTCCTAAAGACACAAAGTAAGACTAAAACAAATGAAAACATGTCCCTTGTTCTTGTCTCAAAATCATCAAGATATCAGTTGCCTACCTAATTCAAAATTTTAATGTGATTCCAATAAAAACAAACATTATTTTTGAAACTAGGCAAGTTTCAGAAGTATAGTTCATATGAAAAAATAAACATCCTAGAATATCTAGGAAAACATGGCAAAGCAAGAGCTATAAGGAGGGCCTAGCCACACCAGCTTTTAAAATAAAATGTAAGGCCTCTATAATTAAAATCATATGATACTGGTACACAAGTACTCAAACAGACCAATGAAATAGAGTTAAAAGTCCAGCAATAGAGTCAACTACATATGGAAATTTCATATATGATAATGATGGGATTCCAAATCCCTGAGAGAAAGATGGGACTTTTTAATAAATGGTGTAGGGACAACGGGATAGCCATTTGGAAAAATATGAAATTAGATTCATTCCTCACAGCATACATAAGAATAAACTCCAAATGAATCAAAGATCAAATGTAAAAAAATGAAACTATACAAGTACTAGAAGAAAACATGGGTGAACTTCTGGGCCTGGTGTGGTGTCTGGGCCTGGTGTGGTGTCTCATACCTGTAATCTCAGCACTTTGGGAGGCCAAGGTGGAAAAATTGCTTGAGCCCAGGAGTTCAAGACCATCCAGGGCAATATAGTGAGACCTTGCCTCTACAAAAAATTTAAACAATTAGCTGAGCATGGTGGTGTGGGTCTGTAGTCCCAGCTACTTGAGAGGCTAAAACGGGAGGATTGATTGAGCCTGGGAGGTCAGGGCTGCAGTGAGCCAAGGTCACGCCACTGTACCTCCAGTCTGGATGACAGAGCAAGACTCTATTTCAAAAACAAACAAACAAACAAAAAAACAAAACCCCCCCACCCCACAAAACATTTTTATTAGAACCATTATATACATGTCAAAAATAAAACAGGGTTAGTTCTTATGTCATTCTCCAATTCCTCTGAAGATTGAATCAATGGTAACTTATTACTTTGGCTAAAGCAACAGTTCTGATCCAATCTACATTCTCTTTGTGACTCTCTAATGGCAGGAAATCTTGAGAACTAGATGTGATAAGAAAATAAACAGAGGCAGGCCAGTGTGATGGCTCATGCCTGCACTTTGAAAGCCTGAGGCGAGAAGATTGCTTGAGTCCAGGAGTTCAAGACAAACCTGGGCAACATAGTGAGATACCCGCCTGTACAAAATTTTTTTTGAAAGTTAGCCAGGCATGATGGCATGCACCTGTAGTCCCACCTACTCAGAAGGCTGAAGTGGGAGGATCACTTGACTCTAGGAGGTCAAGGCTGCAGTGAGCCGTGATCACAATACTGCACTCCAGCCAGGGTGACAGAGTAGGAAACCCTGACTCAGAAAAGAAAAAAAGAAAAAAAAAAAAAGGCTGGGCGCGGTGGCTCAAGCCTGTAATCCCAGCACTTTGGGAAGCTGAGGCAGGTGGATCATGAGGTCAGAAGTTCGAGACCAGCCTGGCCAAGATGGTGAAACCCCGTCTTTCCTAAAAATACAAAAATTAGCCGAGTGCAGTGGTAGGTGCCTGTAGTCCCAGCTACTTGGGAGGCTGAGGCAGGAGAATCGCTTGAACCTGGGAGGCGGAGGTTGAAGAGAGCTGAGATCGTGCCTCTGCACTCTAGCCTAGGTGACATAGCGAGACTCCATCTCAAAAAAAAAAAAAAAAATGGAAGGAAGGAAGGAAGAAAGAAAAAAAAAAGGGAAGTAAAGGGAGGCAACTCAGCCATACAGAAATCCAGGCCCAGCTCTCACAGCTATAAGGAGGATCTTCAGTGATTATCCTGGGAGAAATAATATCATATTGATATCAGAGAGCAGGCATAAATAAAGCAGTCTAAGTGAATGTCAATGAAGGGGATCAAAATATGCCACCCCAAAATATGACACTTTAACATATGGATTATTTTGAGCTGAAGGCAATTGAGAAACAGCAGATGTAGGAGGAATTCTCTGCCTGCCCTCTGCCTAACAGCAGGGCATAAATTTTTCTTTGTAAAAGTGTCCCTTGATTACTCTTCCATACCAAGAGGACAAGATGACTCTTAGCACAGGAAATGAAAAATCAGCACTGAGATGGGTAGCACAAATAAAGCTTTCTAAAATAACTCTTACGTTCTATTAGTTTCCCCCATATATTTACCTTCTCTCAATTTTACCACTCCTAGAAGTACAAACATCAAACCTCTTTTTTTTCTCATCTGGTCACTTCACAGTTTATCACCCTTTGTTATAATGATATATAAGCTCCCAGCCATTATTGCTTCTACGGGTTTTAAATTCTTTTCCATGAAGCCCCTATGTGCCTGCAAAATCAGTAATTTTTTAAAAGTCCTATTATTTTATTTTATTTCACTTTTTAGAGACAGGGTCTTGCTCTGTCACTCGGGCTAGAGTGCAGAGGTATAATAGTAGCTCACTGTAACCTAAGCAAGCCTCCCACCTCAGCCTCTTAATAGTTGGGACTACAAGTTGTGCCACCACACCTGGATAATTTTTTTGTGGAGGCAGGGTCTTGCTATTTTGCCTAAGCTAGTCTTGAACTCCTGCCCAAGAGATCCTCCTGTCTCGGTCTACCAAAGCACTGGAACTACAGGCACATGCTGCCACACCTGGCCTGGAACAAATTTCTATTATCTCTTTTTTGTCACAGATTGACACAGAGAAGTTTTCCCTTTCCCTGCACCAATAATATCACAAAGAGTTTCGATTGATAACCACTGAGAAAAAAAATGGAAAAATGTCGAATTGTTCTCTGAGGTACAACTATTGTGCTTTGAGGAAAACTGATAGTGATATGCCATATTTAAAGTTGTACACTTCCTCACACCTATAATCCCAGCACTTTGGGAGTCTGAGGCAGGAGAATCTCTTGAGGCCAGGAGTTCAAGACCAGCCTGGACAACGTAGCAAGACCCTGTCTCTATACTATTAATAAAATTAAAAAAAAGTTGTCAGCTCTAATGGATAAGGTTTTAATGTTTATTTTGTGCACAAAACATCCTGTTTTGTGATTATACATTTTTATTTGATCTATTTTCTCCACTGCCAATATGGCATGAATGTCTGATACACTTGGTTAGCTTACTATTCCTATATTAAAGGATAATTTTTAAAAAGGAATGGGCTAGGCGCGGCACCTCACATCTGTAATCCCAGCACTTTGGGTGGCCTTGGCAGGCAAATCACTTGAGGTCAGGAGTTCAAGACCAGCCTGGCCAACATGGTGAAACCCCATCTCTACTAAAAATATAAAAAATAGCCAGGCATCATGGCATACACCTGTGATCTCAGCTACTTGGGTGGCTGAGGCAGGAGAAGCACTTGAACCTGGGAGGTGGAGGTTGTAGATCGCGCCACTGCACTCCAGCCTGGGCAACAGAGCGAGACTCTGCCAAAAAAAAAAAAAAGAAGAAGAAAGAAAGGAAGGAAGGAAGGAAGGAAAGAAAAAGAAAGAAATCATGGATTTTATACAAATACAAAATGAACACATGAAATATTTTATTTATAAGGCAACTGTAAGATGTGAAAAACAGTTCATAGAGACTTCAAAGAACAGACACATCTACTGGCAGTCAGGAATGCTGAAATGAATTTGCTAATAGAGGCAAACTAGTCTCTTCTATATATGAAACCATTGCATATTCACTTTGACAAAATTTGTTTGCAGTTCTATGAACAGAAATTGTTGGCATTATTATCAATTTTCTACAACTTACAGAGTTATAAGACAGCTCATTCAAAGACAGGGAAAGGCACAGACCCCATACAATGAGACAAACCCTGAAAGGTATACTAGATAACACTTCATATTCCATTAAAAAGACACCTGGAAATAAAAATCTTTTTTTAAATTTTCACATTTCAAAGTTTCACAAATTTTCCTTAAAAGTTGTTATATGATAACACACACACACACACACACACACACACACACACACACACATGAATTGGCCTGATTATTTACATAGGTATGGCAAAAGTATTAATTAACCATATTGATTTTTTTTTTTTTTTGATGGAGTTTCGCTCTTGTTGCCCAGGCTGGAGTGCAATGGCATGATCTTGGCTCACGGCAACCTCTGTCTCCCAGGTTCAAGCAATTCTCCTGCCTCAGCCTCCCGAGTAGCTGGGATTACAGGCACATGATACCACGCTCGGCTAATTTTTTGTATTTTTAGTAGAGACAGGGCTTCACCCTGTTAGCCAGGATGGTCTCGATCTCCTGACCTCGTGATCCGCCAACCTCAGACTCCCAAAGTGCTGGGATTACAGGAGTGAGCCACGGCACTGGCCATCAATTGGTGGGGCACTTATAGAGTACTTAACTAGTACTCTATAAATGCTAATTAAAGAGAGCAATGTTTTAGCTCTGAAATAGAATTATATAAACTTAAACAACACATTTTTTCATTTTTAGTACCTAGAATATTATTCTGTTCAGTTGGATGTATTATTGAAGTGAGGAACAACCTGCAGTCAAACATTGAAATGGGCATACGCCCTTGTCCTCCTTTGTCCCACATTGCTCTGGGGCATGATTGACCTGCTGCAGGTGTTGTTCCAGAAAGGGTCAGTTTGCTGCCATTGTACGTTTCCCTAGGCTATCTCATTTGTAATCCCTTCTTCTTCCCCCTTGTCTTAATCAGTTTGGGCTGCCATAACAAATACCATAAACTGGGTGGCTTATAAACAACAGAAATTTATTTCTCACAGTTCTGGAGGCTGAAAGTCTGAGATCAAGGTGCCAGCATGGTCAGAATTATGTGAGGGCCCTTTTCCAAATTGCAGACGGCAGACTTCTCATTGTATCCTCACGTGATAGAAAGAAGCAAGGCTGGGCACGGTGGCTCACACCTGTAATCCCAGCAATTTGGGAGCCGGAGGCGGGAGGATCACCTGAGGTCAGGAGTCTAAGACCAGCCAGGCCAACATGGTGAAACCCCCATCTCTACAAAAAATACAAAAATTAGCCGGGCATGATGGTGGGTGCCTGAAATCCCAGCTACTTGGGAGGCTGACCTGGGAGAATCAAGAATCGCTTGAACCCAGGAAGCAGAGGTTGCAGTGAGCCGAGATCACGTCATCGCACTCCAGCCTGGGCGACAGAACAAGATGTCAAAAAAAAAAAGAAAAAGAAAAAAAAGAGATCTCCCTGGGGTCTCTTCTTATTCATGAAAGCTCCAGTCTCATGGCCTAATTACCTTCCAAAAGACCTGCTTCCAAATACCATTATATTGGGGGATTAGATTTCAACATATTATGAATTTTGGGGAGACACAAACATAATCCATGATGCTCTCTTTTTTCTTTGATTAGAAAATTGGCAATAGTTGTTTCTAAACTTACAGGACTCCTCTCAAGATAACTGCTGAGAATAGAGGGAAATTCCTGGTAGATATAGATATTGATATACAAATAAGCTCCCCAAAAATGTCTGATAAGGGCAGAGTGAGGGGTGGTTTACATTCCAAGGTCCTCACTGCTGTCAGTCAAGGGGATGCAAAGTAGTGAGCTGGATGGGAGGCCTGTGAAATCCTAGCAGTGGATAATCAGATAAGGGGGAAAAAAATAGGGAAAAAATGGGCTTGGCTTTCTTTGAGACATTAAGGTCTTGTTCTGCATTCACTTACTCATTCTCACTTACTGGTTTATTTATTCAGCAATATTTATGCATTTATATAACAGGCCCTGTGGTACTCACTGGGCACAGGCAGACTCTTGTTTAATGGCCTGCATCATTCCCATCTCTGGTTACTTGCACCTTCTCTCTTGTCTCACTGTTACAGCATTGATTTTTATAACATGTCTATTTCCTTTCATAAAATTAAAACTTGAAGGCAGTGGAGTTCCCCATTGTTTGATTTTTCACAGTCCCTAACCTAATTCTTGGGTTTTAATGGACTCTCAAAAAGTGTTTGCGGCTTTGATTTTTTTTTAATCTCAAAACTTGGTGATTGTTGGTGAGAAATTTAACCAATTATTTCATGTTAACACCTTGTGGACTGTAAACATGTGCTAAATCAAGCAGCTCAAAATGTCTGGGCTACTGGAACTCACTAAGCAAGGCCTTAAATAGGATAGAAGCTGCTGGGGAGGTCCTGGGCCTCCAGTCACTCCAGAAGGACCAGCATTTGACCTCTGAGGGAGGCCTGGAGAGGGAAGGGAAGAAGAAGCCTCAGGACTTACTCAAAATGCACATGCTCAGAGGTTCAGGTCTCTACATTTTTGCTTTCCCCCTTTTCACTTTCACAATTACAAGGGACTGTAGTCCTGTCCACCCTTTGGGGCAGGGGATAAATGCGGCTCCCAGGGACATTTTTTTGCCAAGCTTCCTCTCTCATTCCCATTCACTCCTTCCTTCCTGTTTGCAGAGAAGCTCATAGTTGTATTTAATTCTTCAGTGAGGTTTCCGCTGGCAGCGAACAACTGCTGTTAGTTCGTTTTGAAAGGAGCTTTACTTCATTAAAACACGGTGAAAGGAGGATTGCAATTAATAGAATAATAACTAAAAATGGGCATGTTAAGTGCCCACTCTCCAGAAGGAGAGTGAGAATGAAGAAAAAGTAGAGTCTGGAAATCCTAGAAGTTCCCAATCTGGAGAAATCTCAGGTTTTTAAATATATGCCCTGGGGCCTTGCTATTCAAAGGGTGGTTCATGAAAGAGGAGCATCTCCATCCCCCGGGAGCTAGATAGAAGTTCTAGATAGAAGTTCAGGACGTCTACAGTTAGAAGCCCACTGCAGACCTAAAGAATCAAAATCTGCATTTTAACGAGAGCTCCAAGTGATTCTTCTTCACATTAAAGTTTGAGAAGTGCTGATACTATCTCGATAGATTTGAATTATAAAAGACTTCAAACAAGGGCTTTGCACTTTGCCCTCAGGGAACCTATTCAACTGCCCCCTGTCTCTCATTTTGGCTGTGTACTCAATCATTCCTGTGGAACAGAAAGGATCACTTTGGGCTGAGCTCAGCAGTTACACCAGATTCATGTTCAGATGTCTGGAAGCCTCTCAGCCAGGAAGGAAAAATTATATTGTAACTTTTCACTCTAGCAAGAATCAGGTATTGTTTGTTCCATTTTATAGATAAGGAAATTGAGGTTCAGAGAAGTTAAGTAATTTATTCAAGATCACCCTGTCAGCAAGTGGCATGGTTGAGTCAAGCCCAGGTCTACCTAACTCCAAAGGTCATGCTTTTTCATATGCATGATGCTTTTGTGGTCACTATTGTTAGCTATATTCTTTTTAAGCAACACTTTACTGGTCTCTCCCTTCAGAGTACATATACTTTTTTCAGGATATATTTATATAAGAGCCTAAAGTCATGCTCTTTCATAAGGTTTGAATTTAGTTACTTACAACTGCCAACCACCCCATCCCCCTTTGAACAATTTTCAAAGCAAGGTTCTTTCACTGCTGAGGGGAAGGAAACAGAAAGGCGGAGTGACCGAGCACGGGTTCCACTTCGGAAATGACCCCGAAGGGAGTCTGGGCTGTGCCAGAAAGAGGAGCAAGATAAAAGAGCCCAGGACTCAAAACCGGAAATGGAAGAGAACTGTGTACACAGATGATTCTGTCACCTTTGGCAGTTCTGCCTCTGTCACCTCATCATGATCAACTCCGCACCAGATACAGAGGGGGCAGACTCAAAATGTCAGCAGCGACAATGCCAATGCCACAATATGAGATACCCTCACCAGAAAGGATTCGGCGTGGTGCTATGAACATGGCTGCATGCTGCAATCTTATGACACAGTCCAGCAACTTGTGGGGGAAAAAAAGAAAAAAGAAAGGGGGTTTGTAAGCATGGGGAAAGCAGGAGCTAAAAGTTATAAACGGCAACCCCAAACCTGAGTAGAAGATTTCTATAAGGCCTTCCATTATTTTAGAATATAATTCTAATATTAATGAACTTTTTGAAGTAGACCAACCCTCTTCTGCATTTTAAAAGGAAAAAAAAATGTACTGTACATTGAACTCTGCAATATTTCCCCCTCAGTTTTACTTTTTCGAAAAGGTAAAGCCACAGAAAAATTGAAATAGTAGTGAAATCGCCTTTGCAAAAATTATAACCGTAAGAAAATTATGACAGTGAAAGAGATCTCATCTAACCAATCCCCATCTTGCCCTTAATCTTCAAACTGCCCTTAAGGATTCCTGGGCTTGGGCCAAGCTAACTTTGGAATACATTTAGTTTATAGTTTAAATGATAATAGCCCTTTCCAAAACTAAACTGCCTTTGTAAAGCTAATGAATGACCACTAGATTAGAATGAAAGGAGCCTGAATTCTGCTGTAGTGTAGATGGAAAGGACTACCAGCCATTATTCCAGAGATCACAAGATTTGTGACTTCCCCAATTACTCCTGCAGATCACATCACTCTTGGAGAACCTGAGATTAGCCTTTTCAGGTTTTTGTCTCTGAAGGCTGATGGCTCCACCGATCCTGCCAACTGGTCCTGTGGCCACACCCGGAAGCGGACTCAGCAGGCTCAAGGACACTTTCCACACTCCTAGGACTGCATCCCCAACCAATCAGCAGCACCCATTTCCTGGCTCTCCAAACTGTCCTTGAAAATCCCTAACCTCCAAATTTTCAGGGAAACTGCTCTGAGTGATAAAACTCCAGTCTCCTGTTCGGCAGGCTCTGCATGAATTAAACTCTTTCTCTATTGCAATTCCCCTGTCTTCATAAATCGGCTCTATCTGGGCAGTGGGCAACATGAACCCACTGGCTGGTTACAATAGTACAATGAAAACCTGTATACCCATCATCCAGATTTAACAATCGTTAAGATTTTGCCTTTTTCTCTCTTTCTCTCATTCTGTTGTTTTTTTCCTCTATTTCAATTTGACTGGTATCTGGGTTGTTTTTTTTTTTTTCACGGATAATTTATCATCTGTTGTTTTTAATTGAACCATTTTCACAGCATTTCATCCCTTAATACCTTAATACAAGCAGTAAGAACAAAGTCATTCTCCGCATAACTATAATATCATCATCACTTCTAAGTAATATAACATTGATTTAATATCATATAATATATTGTCAAGGGCCAAGGGAAAACTTCTGTCAGGCCTCTGAGCCCAAGCCAAGCCATCACATCCCCTGTGACTTGCACATATACGCCCAGATGGCCTGAAGTAACTGAAGAATCACAAAAGAAGTGAATATGCCCTGCCCCACCTTAACTGATGACATTCCACCATGAAAGAAGTGCAAATGGCCGGTCCTTGCCTTAAGTGATGACATTACCTTGTGAAGTCCTTTTCCTGGCTCATCCTGGCTCAGAAAGCACCCTCACTGAGCACCTTGTGACCCCCACTCCTGCCCGCCAGAGAACAAACCCCCTTTGACTGTAATTTTCCTTTACCTACCCAAATCCTATAAAACGGCCCCACCCTTATCTCCCTTCACTGACTCTCTTTTCAGACTCAGCCCACCTGCACCCAGGTGAAATAAACAGCCATGTTGCTCACACAAAGCCTGTTTGGTGGTCTCTTCACACAGATGTGCATGAAATTTGGTGCCGTGACTCAGATCGGGGGACCTCCCTTGGGAGATCAATCCCCTGTCCTCCTGTTCTTTGCTCCATGAGAAAGATCCACCTACAACCTCAGGTCCTCAGACTGACCAGCCCAAGGAACATCTCATCAATTTTAAATCAGGTAAGCAGCCTCTTCTTACTCTCTTCTCCAACCTCTCTCACTGTCCCTCAACCACTTTCTCCTTTCCACTCTTCAATCTCTCCCCTCTCTTAATTTCAATTCCTTTCATTTTCTGGGAGAGACAAAGGAGACACATTTTATCTGTGGACCCAAAACTCCGGCGCCGGTCACGGACTGGGAAGGCAGCCTTCCCTTGGTGTTTAATCATTGCAGGGACGCCTCTGTCATTATTCACCCATGTTTCAAAGGTGCCAGACCACGCAGGGACGCCTGCCTTGGTCCTTCACCCTTAGCAGCAAGTCCTGCTTTCCTGGGGAAGGGGCAAGTACCCCAACCCCTTCTCTCCTTGTGTCTACCCCTTCTCTGCTTTTCTGGGGGAGGGGCAAGTACCCCTCAACCCCTTCTCCTTCATTCTTAGCGGCAAGTCCCGCTTTTC
Source organism: Homo sapiens (assembly GCF_000001405.40). Lineage (NCBI taxonomy): Eukaryota > Metazoa > Chordata > Mammalia > Primates > Hominidae > Homo > Homo sapiens. The sequence continues at coordinate 78,718,687 of NC_000004.12, read as the reverse complement.
TAGAAGAGGGGCAAGTACCCCAACCTCATATCTCTGCACCCCAATCCCTTATTTCCGTGCCCCAACCTCTTATATCTCTGTGCCCCAATCCCTTATTTCTGTGCCCCGACCTCTTATCTCTGCACCCCAATCCCTTATTTCCATGCCCCGATCCCTTATTTCCATGCCCTGATCCCTTATTTCTGTGCCCCAACCCCTTATTTCTGCACCCCATCCCTTATTTCCATGCCCTGACCTCCTATCTCTGTGCCCCAACCCCTTTTCCCACTTTTCTGGAAGGTAAGAACCCCCGAACCCCTTCCCTCCATTTCTCTACTCTCTCTTTTCTCTAGGCTTGCTTCCTTCATTATCATCAACCTTCCACCCTCCATTCCTCCTTCTACTCCCTTGGCCTGTGTTCTCAAAAACTTAAAACCTCTTCAACTCACACCTGACCTAAAACCTAAATGCCTTATTTTCTTCTGCAATGCCGCTTGACCCCAATACAAACTCGACAGTAGTTCCAAATAGCCAGAAAATGGCACTTTGAATTTTTCCATCCTGCAAGATCTAAATAATTCTTGCCGTAAAATAGGCAAACGGTCTGAGGTGCCTGACGTCCAGGCATTCTTTTACACATCAGTCCCTTCCTAGTCTCTGTGCCCAGTGCAACTCTTCCCAAATCTTCCTTCTGTCCCTCCCGCCTGTCCCCTCAGTACCAACCCCAAGCGTCGCTGAGTCTTTCTAATCTTCCCTTTCTACAGACCCATCTGACCTCTCCCTTCCTCCCCAGGCTGCTCCTCGCCAGGCCGAGCTAGGTCCCAATTCTTCCTCAGCCTCTGCTCCTCCACCCTATAATCTTTTTATCATCTCCCCTCCTCACACCTGGTCTGGCTTACAGTTTCGTTCCATGACTAGCCCTCCCCCTCCTGCCCAGCAATTTACTCTTAAAAAGGTGGCTGGAGATAAAGGCATAGTCAAGGTTAATGCTCCTTTTTCTTCATCCCAAATCAGAAGCGTTTAGGCTCTTTTTCATCAAATATAAAAATCCAGCCCAGTTCATGACTTGTTTGGCAGCAACCCTGAGACACTTTACAGCCCTAGACCCTAAAAAGTCAAAAGGCCGTCTTATTCTCAAAATACATTTTATTACCCAATCTGCTCCCAACATTAAATAAAACTCCAAAAATTAAATTCCCGCCCTCAAACCCCACAACAGGATTTAATTAACCTCGCCTTCAAGGTGTACAATAATAGAAAAAAGTTGCAATTCCTTGCCTCCACTGTGAGACAAACCCCAGCCACATCTCCAGCACACAAGAACTTCCAAACACCTGAACTGCAGCGACCAGGCGTTCCTCCAGAACCTCCTCCCACAGGAGCTTGCTACACGTGCCGGAAATCTGGCCACTAGGCCAAGGAATGCCTGCAGCCTGGGATTCCTATTAAGCCGCATCCCATCTGTGTGGGACCCCACTGAAAATCGGACTGTTCAACTCACCTGGCAGCCACTCCCAGAGCCCCTGGAACTCTGGCCCAAGGCTCTCTGACTGACTCCTTCCCAGATCTTCTCGGCTTAGCGGCTGAAGACTGACACTGCCTGATCACCTCGGAAGCCCCCTAGACCATCACGGACGCCAAGCTCCCAGTAACTCTCACAGTGGAAGGTAAGCCCATCCCCTTCTTAATCAATATGGAGGCTACCCACTCCACATTACCTTCTTTTCAAGGGCCTGTTTCCCTTGCCTCCATAACTGTTGTGGGTATTGACAGCCAGGCTTCTAAACCTCTTAAAACTCCCCATCTGGTGCCAACTTAGACAATACTCTTTTAAGCACTCCTTTTTAGTTATCCCCACCTGCCGGGTTCCCTTATTAGGCTGAGACACTTTAACTAAATTATCTGCTTCCCTGACTATTCCTGGACTACAGCTATATCTCATTGATGCCCTTCTTCCCAATCCAAAGCCTCCTTTGTGTCCTCCTCTTGTATCTCCCCATCTTAACCCACAAGTATAAGATACCTCTACTCCCTCCTTGGTGACCGATCATGCACCCCTTACCATCTCATTAAAACCTAATCACCCTTACCCCACTCAACGCCAATATCCCATCCCGCAGCACACTTTAAAAAGATTAAAGCCTGTTATCACTCGCCTGCTACAGCATGGCCTTTTAAAGCCTATAAACTCTCCCTACAATTCCCCCATTTTACCTGTCCTAAAACCAGAGAAGCCTTACAAGTTAGTTCAGGATCTGCGCCTTATCAACCAAATTGTTTTGCCTATCCACCCCACGGTGCCAAACCCATATACTCTCCTATCCTCAATACCTGCCTCTACAACCCATTATTCTGTTCTAGATCTCAAACATGCTTTCTTTACTATTCCTTTGCACCCTTAATCCCAGCCTCTCTTCGCTTTCACTTGGACTGACCCTGACACCCATCAAGCTCAGCAAATTACCTAGGCTGTACTGCCGCAAAGCTTCACAGACAGCCCCCATTACTTCAATCAAGCCCAAATTTCTTCCTCATCTGTTACCTATCTCGGCATAATTCTCATAAAAACTCACGTGCTCTCCCTGCCAATCGTGTCCGACTGACCCCTCAAACCCCAGCACCTTCTACAAAACAACAACTCCTTTCCTTCCTAGGCATGGTTAGCGCGGTCAGAATTCTTACACAAGAGCCAGGACCACACCCTGTAGCCTTTCTGTCCAAACTTGACCTTACTGTTTTAGCCTAGCCCTCATGTCTGCGTGCAGCAGCTGCCACTGCTGTAATACGTTTAGAGGCCCTCAAAATCACAAACTATGCTCAACTCACTCTCTACAGTTCTCATAACTTCCAAAATCTATTTTCTTCCTCATACCTGACACATATACTTTCTGCTTCCCGGCTCCTTCAGCTGTACTCACTCTTTGTTAAGTCTCCCACAATTACCATTGTTCCTGGCACGGACTTCAATCCGGCCTCCCACATTATTTCTGATACCACACCTGACCCCCATGGCTGTATCTCTCTGATCCACCTGACATTCACCCCATTTCCCCATATTTCCTTCTTTCCTGTTCCTCACCCTGATCACGCTTGATTTATTGATGGCAGTTCCACCAGGCCTAATCGCCACACACCAGCAAAGGCAGGCTATGCTATAGCACAAGCCACTAGCCCGCCTCTTAGAACCTCTCATTTCCTTTCCATCGTGGAAATCTATCCTCAAGGAAATAATTTCTCAGTGTTCCATCTGCTATTCTACTACTCCTTAGGGATTCTTCAGGCCCTCTCCCTTCCCTACACATCAAGCTCAAGGATTTGCCCCCACCCAGGACTGGCAAATTAGCTTTACTCAACATGCCCAAGTCAGGAAACTAAAATACCTTGTAGTCTAAATAGACACTTTCACTGAATAAGTAAAGGCCTTTCCTACAGGGTCTGAGAAGGCCACCACAGTCATTTCTTCTGTTCTGTCAGACATAATTCCTCAGTTTAGCCTTCCCACCTCAATACAGTCTGATAACAGATGAGCCTTTATTAGTCAAATCAGCCAAGCAGTTTTTCAGGCTCTTAGTATTCAGTGAAACCTTTATATCCCTTATGGTCCTCCATCTTCAAGAAAAGTAGAATGGACTAAAGGTCTTTTAAAAACACACCTCACCAAGCTCAGCCACCAACTTAAAAAGGATTGGACAATACTTTTACCACTTTCCCTTCTCAGAATTCAGGCTTATCCTCGGAATGCTACAGGATACAGCCCATTTAAGCTCCTGTATAGACGCTCCTTTTTATTAGGTCCCAGTCTCATTCCAGACACCAGACCAACTTAGACTGTGCCCCAAAAAACTTGTCATCCCTACTACCTTCTGTCTAGTCATACTCCTATTCACCGTTCTCAACTACTCAAACATGCCCTGCTCTTGTTTACACTGCCGGTTTACACTGTTTTTCCAAGCCATCACAGCTGATATCTCCTGGTGCTATCCCCAAACTGCCACTCTTAACTCTTGAAGTAAATAAATAATCTTTGCTGGCAGGACTATGCTGAATCTCCTTAGGCAGTCTCTAATCAGATATCCTGAGTCATCCCAATTCTTAGACCTTTTATACCTGTTTTTCTCCTTTTGTTATTCCATTTAGTTTTTCAATTCATACAAAACCGTATCCAGGCCATCATCAATCATTCTATATGACAAATGTTTCTTCTAACATCCCCACAATATCACCCCTTACCACAAGACCTCCCTTCAGCTTAATCTCTCCCACTCTAGGTTCCCACGCCGCCCCTAATCCCGCTTGAAGCAGCCCTGAGAAACATCGCCCATTCTCTCTCCATACCACCCCCCAAAAATTTTCGCTGCCCCAACACTTCGACACTATTTTGTTTTATTTTTCTTATTAATATAAGAAGGCAGGAATGTCAGGCCTCTGAGCCCAAGCCAAGCCATCGCTTCCCCTGTGACTTGCACGTATATGCCCAGATGGCCTGAAGTAACTGAAGAATCACAAAAGAAGTGAATATGCCCTGCCCCACCTTAACTGATGACATTCCACCACGAAAGAAGTGAAAATGGCCGGTCCTTGCCTTAAGTGATGACATTACCTTGTGAAAGTCCTTTTCCTGGCTCATCTTGGCTCAAAAATCACCCCCACTGAGCACCTTGTGACCCCCCACTCCTGCCCGCCAGAGAACAAACCCCCTTTGACTGTAATTTTCCTTTACCTACCCAAATCCTATAAAACGGCCCCACCCTTATCTCCCTTCACTGACTCTCTTTTTGGACTCAGCCCACCTGCCCCCAGGTGAAATAAACAGCCATGTTGCTCACACAAAGCCTGTTTGGCGGTCTCTTCACACGGACGCACATGAAAACTTCCCCTTTGCCTTCTGAAGTTTTGCTGATAATCACTGACAAGAGGTAGATTAATAAAAGAAAGGGCATACGAATTTATTTGATCATGGTTTTAGGTGACACAGGAGCCTTCAGAATGAAGACCCAAAGATATAGGGGAAACTGTCCATTTTAATGCTTATGTTCAACATGATTGGACAAAAAGAGAAAATCCGATGCTAATAGACTGAGTGGGAAAACCCAGTAAGGCCTGTCTGTTCATATTCTTGACCTCTTTGAGAATACATTCCTTCCTTCTGAGTATAGGGCCAGACCCCCTCTGGAATAGAGGTCTTATGACCTACAGTCAAACAAAGTTGGTCACATAGTTTCTTAAGGACCAGTTTTTACAAAGAAAGTTTGAGGGGAGGGTTAAGTAACATTTTAGGTTTTATGGCTGGCTTTGAGGAAAAGGGGTTCTGGTTTCTATGACCTTCTTTGGGGAAGAGGGATTCTCATTTCTGTAACTAACCTCAAGGAAGAATGGGACTGAGGACAGGAGAGCAGGAAAAGGTCAGAGAAATGCTTTTCCTTCTGAGGCTGCTTCTGAGGTCTTCATTTGGGAGTATTGCTTTCTAATCCCAACAATATTATATCCAAATAGATCATATTCAAACACCTCAATTGTCCCATAGATTTTTTTCAACTTTTTATTTTTGTTTTTGATCCAAGATCCAAACAGCTTCATGCATTATATTTGCTTGTACAGTCTCTTAAATTCCTTTTGATTTAGATTAGAACATTCTCCCTGCTTTTCCACCTCATTCCTCATCACATTTTCTTTTAAACATCTAGGAGCATGCTGGGTGTGGTGGCTCACACCTGTAATCCCAGCATTTTGGGAGGCCGAGATGGGTGAATTGCTTGAGCTCAGGAGTTCAAGACCAGCCTGGACAACATGGCAAAACTCCATCTCTATGAAAAATACAAAAATTAGCCATGTGTGGTGGCATGTGCCTGTAGTACCAGCTACTTGGGAGGCTGAGGTGGGAGGATTATTTGAGTCTGGGAGGTCAAGGCTGCAGTGAGCTGTGATCATGCCACTGCACTCTAGCCTGGGTGATGGAGTGAGATCTTGACTCCAAATCAAACAACCAAAAATCCCAAAAACCATCTAGGGCAGTTATCTTGTAGAATATACCACAATCTAGATTTTACTAATTTTTTAAAATCCTAGTTTGTTTCAGATTTATGTTTATTTAAACTGAAGCTATTAAACGTGATTTTGGGGAGGAATTGCTACCATGAGCCAAAAATCTTGGAGCTAAACTGCATTATAAACTTTCAATTAGACTAAATGAAATTATCTAGAACCAAGGTGGGCAAACTACTGCTTCCCATAGGCCAAATCTGACTCACCAAATCTTATTAATAACATTGTGTTGGATCTCAGCTACACCATTTCTATGTAAAATATGTAAAAGATATGGCTGCTTTCTACTTTCCTTCTATGAAGGCAGATTTGAATAGGTATAACAGAGACTATGTGGCCTGTAAAGCCTAAATTATTTACTATCTGGCCTGTCAAAAAACAGAATGACAACAAATTCAGTTTAAAGATCTAATTTGTTTTATTTGTGATTCTAGAACCACATAAAACCTCATTCTGTAAAATAGAATAAGTGCTCCAATGAGCTGAGCAGAGGAGCTTAGCTTTATAGACAGAAAGGGGCTGAAAAAAGCAGAAACAGAGCGAAAAGTGGAATCGTCATTTCAACGTTACTTTCCTTGTAAATGTTAAAGTCGAGGGGACTTCTTTATCATGCAGCTAAAACTGGCCTATTTGGAAAATTGGCTGTTATCTCTTTCTGCCTCCGGATTTCTCAGATAAACATGTTGGTTTCATCTTGGTGGCATGGAACTTCAGCATGAGTGACTACATTTTGGTTTGGTCTGTTGGGCCTAGTACAAAAGCTCAACCCAAACCAATGGCCTTCTATAAATTTTATCCTTTAATAGAATATGTTTGCTGATTTCTGATCTAGAACAATAAATACAAATATTACTTTCTCCTTTGACATTTAGTCAAAGCATCATTCAAATCCAATCAGATAAATCACACAGATACCCTCAACGGTTTTAACAGCTGAGAAGTAGGAAGAACTGCATTTATCAAGATCATTGATCTTGAGTTTTAAAATTTCTTCCCTTCAAAAACTCCTCTAATGGCCTTATATTGCCCACTTAGATTGAATTCAAACTCTTCAGCATGAAATTCAAGGAAATAATCTTCATAACCTGACCCTAGGCACCGTTTTCTGTGTCACGTTGGTTCTCCTACATTCTAGCTCAGTGGTTCTCACATATAAACTTGTAACTAAAACAACAGCCACAACAACAACACAAAACAAAGAACCACTTATGGAGCATGTTTGAAATGCAGATTATCAAATCCTACTCCTGAGACTCCTGCCTTACTCTCATAATACCTTCACTTGAGCCTGAGCTCATGGAAATGTGTACATATTTATTATCATTTATCTCTGTACATTATTGTAATTTATTGCCTACCAACTTCATGGAGTCCAGTGAATTCCATGAGGGCAAGAAGAGTCTCAGTCATCTTTGTACTGAAGGCACAGTGCCTTGCACATAGTTAACTTGAGGTGAATATTGAATTATATGTGTGAATGAATAAAACAATTATTTGAAATAGGTTTTATTTGAAATAGATTTTACGTGAAACTATTCACATAAATTTTATGACATTGTACATGTTGCTAACTTAACTAGATAAGCTCTTTTACATTTGTTATATAAAATACATTTAGTCCTAAAAAAGATTCAGTGTCAAAAGACACCATTAAAAGAGTGAAAAGAGAAACCACAGACTGTGAAAATCTATTCCTGATTACATATATCTGACAAAGGATTCATAATACGGATGTATTAAGAGCTCCTACAATTCAATAAGAAAAAGACAAACCACCTAATTAACATAATAAGCAGATTTAAACAGGCACTTCACAAAAGAGGACATCCATATGGCCCACAAAAATATTAAAAGGCACTTGACATCCTTAGTCATCAGAGAAATGCAAATTAAAACCATGATGAGACATCACTACACATCCACTAGAATGACAGAGTTGGCAGGAATGTGGAGCAACTGGAACTCTCATGCATTCCTAGTGGGAGTATAAATGGGCATAACTCTTTTAGAAAACTGTTTGGCAATATCTATGAATTCTAATACACATCTACTCTGTAATCCAGTAATCCCATTTCTAGGTATACACCAAAGAGCAATGAAAACATTTGTTCTTTAAGATACATGTAAAATAATATGCATAACAGCTTTACAGTAACCCCAAAATGGAAACAACCCAAAAGTCCATCAACAGGAGAATGGATAAATAAATTTGGGATATTCATACAAATGGAATACTATACAGCAATAAAAAGAATAAATTTCTAATACATACAACAACAGAAATGAATTTCACAAGTATAATGTTGAGTAAAAGAAGCCAGAAATAGCCAGGCGTGGTGGCTCACGCCTGTAATCCCAGCACTTTGGGAGGCTGAAGTGGGCAGATCACTTGAGGTCAGGAGTTCAAGACCAGTATGCCCAACATGGTGAAACCCCATCTCTACTAAAAATATTTTAAAAATTAGCTGGGTGTGGTGGTGCATGACTGTAATCCCAGCTACTCTGGAGGCTGAGGCAGGAGAATCGCTTGAACCCAGGAGGTGGAGGTTGCAGTGAGCCAAGATCGTGCCACTGCACTCCAGCCTAGGTGACAGAGTGAGACTCTGTCTCAAAAAACAACAACAACTACAACAACAACAAAAACAAATCAAAACAAACAAAAAACCGCAACCCAACAGCAACAAAAAAAAGAAGCCAGAAAAGAGTACATACTGTGTGATTCCATTTTAGGATGATAAATGTCAGAATAATTATTACTTTTGGGGAGGTATTGACTAGGAAGAGACTAAAAGGAACCTTTGAGGAAGCTGGAAATATTTTATATTTTGATTTGGGTGATTTCCCAGTGGATACATATATAAAAATTTATCAAGCTATATACTTAAGATTGGTGCACTTTATTATACATATGTTAAATTTCAATTAAGAAAGTTAAGAAAAATGGGCCAGGTGCAGTGGCTCACACCTATAATCCCAGGACTTCAGGAGGATCACTTGGCCCAGGAATTTGAGACTAGCTCGAGCAACATAGCGAGACCCCATCTCTAAAACAAAAAAATACATATATTAAAAGAAAGTTAAAAAGAATCTGGGATGTCTCACATCACATCTCTATGTTACCAACTGTAGGGCTCTGGATGGCATGGACTTGTTAATCACTTAAATCAACTTCTCCCCAGAAAGTGTTGGTTTATCTGTAAATAAGGATTATAATAGTACTTTCTTCATCTGGTTGCTGTAAAGATTAAATAAATAAACACAGAACAACAAACTCAGAACAGTGCTTTGGACATAGTTAGTGATATGTATTAGTTATTATTATGACATACCCATGCTAAAATTTATACAGTACCATGAAATATACCTGGCTGGTAATTGTATTTTTAAGCAATTTTTAACCTAATGGCCAGCCAACATTTTTTTTAACATGGTATGGTTTCCCCCTGCAACCTGATTTTCTTTTCTTTCCTTCTTCTTCTTTTTTGTTTGTTTGTTTGTTTAGAGACAGGGTCTCGCTCTGTTGCTCAGGCTGGTGTGTGCAGTGGCACAATCATAGCTCATTACAGGCTTGGACTCCTGGGCTCAAGCAATCCTCCTGCCTCAGCCTCTGGAGTAGCTAGAACTACAGGTGTGGACCACCACCCTGCCTGACTAATTTTTTAATTTTTTTGTAGAGATAGAGTCTTGCTATGTTGCCCAGGCTATTCTCAAACTCCTGGCCTCAAGTTATCCTTCTGCCTCGGCCTCCCAAAGTGCTGAAATTATAGGCATGAGCCACAATGCCCAGTGATTTTATTTTTTAAAAAAGTGTGTGTGTGTATATATATATATATATATATATATATATGTGTGTGTGTGTGTGTGTGTATATATGTATATATATGTGTATATATGTATATATGTATATATGTGTATATATATGTGTGTGTGTGTGTGTGTGTGTGTGTGTGTGTGTGTATATATATGATTTTTTTTTTTTAAGACGTAGTCTTGCTCTGTCACCCAGGCTGGAGTGCAGTGGCGCAATCTCGGCCCACTACAAGCTCTGCCTGCCGGGTTCACACCATTCTCCTGCCTCAGCTTCCCGAGTAGCTGGGACTACAGGCACCCGCCACCACACCCAGCTAATTTTTTTTGTATTTTTTTAGTAGAGACGGGGTTTCACTGTGTTAGCCAGGATGATCTCGATCTCCTGACCTCATGATCCACCCACCTAGGCCTCCCAAAGTGCTGGGATTACAGGCGTGAGCCACCGCACCCGGCCTATGCTTTTATATACATATATACAGAAAACATCAGATGGAAAAAAAAGTTAAAAAGCATTACCCATAATCCACTACTTTTAAACTTTAACAAAATAGCATTTACGAAACTATCAAATGGAACCAAAAAAGCAAGCCAACTAAACAAATTTCACCTTTTTTTAGACTTTCTAAAATAAGTATCACTTCTCAGCCTTTTGGCTAAGATAAAGTGTAAAATAATAAGTAAATGGGTCGTTGAGTGCAGTGGCTTGTGCCTGTAATCCCACATTTTGGGAGGGCAAGGCATTGTTTGAGGCATTGTTGGAATTGTTTGAGCTCCGGAGTTTGAGACCAGCACGGGCAACATGGTGAGAACTTGTCTCTACAAAAAATTTAAATAAATTAGCCAGGTGTGGTGCTGTGTGCCTGTAGTCTCAGCTACTCGGAAGGCTGAGGCAGAAGGATTGCTCAAGCCTAGGAGGTTGAGGTTGCAGTGAACCATGATCATGCCAGAGCACTCCAGCCTGGGCAACAGAGTGAGACCGTGTCTCATAAAACTAAAACTAAAACTAAAATAATAAAATAATAAGTAAATGTCCCTCAATTTCCCCTTCACTCTTCAGAGGTATAACTACTCTTACCAGATTAATCTGTGTTTGAATTTAGTTTTCAGAAAAGAAACATTCTGCTCTGTGTACATACTGTTGATCTGAAGACGATAAATACCAGGCAATCAGTACACACAAGCTAAAGACAAATTAAATATAGGTCTCTGATGGAGAAGATGCTTTGTGATGTATTTTCTTCTTGATGGAGTCACGAGTTGCTCCTTTATTGCCTAAACCAGCACCCTTAGCATCACTGCTGCTGGCACCAAGATATTTGGTAAAAATAAGTTCTAGGGGGTGCACAACCACAGACTCACAGCTGAGGCTTTGTCTTTTCTCAGATAAACATAATCTAAACAATGAGACACTGTCTGAAGGTCAAAGGGGTGGGAGGAAGAAGAGGAGGAGGAGGAGGAGGAGGAGGAGGGGTTAGTCAAATTCTCCTTTTGGACTACGTAGTTGCTAGATTTATAAAGCTCCCCTCCTTTACTGTTTTCTCTTTCTTTTCTTGAACAGCTTCCAAGTGACACTTGATGTTCCTCCTTCTAGTGTGACTTTGCATTGAGGGTCCAGTGAGCCCCAAAGCAAGGAAACTTGCTCAAGGCCTCTTTCTGCAGCTGGGGGTGGGAAGAGTTAAAGGGTTTCTGGAGTCTGCAGGCCTTTTTCCTCAGTATCAAGGGTCCCAGTTTTTCTCTTTGAGAATTATTTGATTCTTTCCTCTAATGCTTATAAATAATGTTTCTAGGCTATTTAGATTGAATTTTGGGTGTGCTTAGGGTCTCATATATCTTCTTAAATTTTAAGATACATGATAAAAGTTTTTACTGTTATTTGATTTTTGTACTTTTATTTTGATGTCTTCTTCCCCATCTTTATTCATCACACCTCTATTCTAGACACTTGTACTAGCATTCTGTCTTATCCCTTTCTCAAATCCCTTCATTGGTTTCATTCATTTATTCAACAAATACGTTGTTGAATACTTGCTATTACCAGGTACTGCTCTAGGTTTGGGGATAAGCAGTGAACAAGAACAGGTTCCTGGCATCATGGGTCTTATATTCTAATTGAAAACAGAAGATAAACAAACATATTCATGACACAAAAAATCATGTCATGGAGTAAAAAGCATCATGAAGAAAACGACAGTAGTGCAAATGGATGGAGAATGCTATGTTAGTGTTAGGGTAGTTATTTTAAGTACATTGCTGTGGTAAGGCTTTTCCAGGGGGGTGACATTCCTTTTGACACTTTACTTTCTTCTCAAGTCTTTCAAGGTGTTGGTGACTCATTTCTGAGCCTGTCGTCTTATATTACCCTTCTTACCTATACCTTATGTCAACACATCCCGCACTGCCTCGCTTTGCATATCCATCCTACTTTCTTATGCTTGCCACACTCTCGACTTCTTCCTGATGATCCCCTATTATCTCCCAAATCACTCCCAAAGTTTCTTTAAACATCTTAGACTGGCCACCAAAAAATTTGCACGTGGGTGCTTAGCACATCCTTTTCAGTGATTTTTAATATTATTCATGTGCCTTGGAAATTGCTGTTTTAGAAATAATTCTACTATAACCCAGAGGTTTTCAGACTTCTGGTATTTAGGGGATAACATACCCTACAAGAGTATATTAAAAGGCTGTAAGGCCTTTTAAGGGTCTTTTAAAGGCTTTGAGGCCAGTCCCTCTCCTAGCTCCTTCAACTCAGCCTTGCAAATGCTGTTTATACTTATAAAAATATCAATTCAATAGAGCTTTGCCTTAATACACAGCCATTGTGGTGGCTATGAAATACCCACTTTATTCTGAGCAACATACATTGAAATCTGGAGTGGAAGTGACCCTTAAAAAAAATCCTATCCATTTTTAGTGTGACTCACATTTTGAATGAAACCCAGACCACCTGTTGTTTATTCTCTACCATTTGGAACTCTACCTTCATTTCTGTGTTTCTTCCAGAGGACATGGAACAGGGATTTCCACATAGTCTTCCATTAAATAAATAAATCCAATAGTGGAGTGGGTCCTGGGAGTTTCATTAAACTACATGCAAAGGCTGAATTTCTGCATTTCTTGGCCAGGACTTTGAGATTGTACACCATCTATAGCATGTGACCGTGCTTAGCACAGTACCTGGACTATAATTGTGACTGAATGTATCAATAGATAAAAAGAGAAGGGCAATGTCTGGTAATCAAATATTCACAAGCTCTTCAAAACAATTTGATTCTGTTACATGTATCATTTGGAAACTGTCTATGTCAGCTTTTAAGGTGCTTTTATTTTAATAATGCAAAGTAGTTTTTATTAGAACAGTAAACAGGAAACTGTATTATCTGCACAGACTCAGTGGCCTACAAAAAGAGGACTTTGCACTCTAATTAAGAACAAAGCACCCAATTACATCAGATTGAACTTCAGAATCACCTCTTTGTTTTTGTTTCATCTTGTAATGCTGAACAAGGATTCAGAGGGAGTGGGTCAGGCAAAGAAGCTATTTGAGGATTTAATTAAAGGATTGCGTCTCATGTCCGCTTTAGGAGCTGCTCAGGTGAAGCAGAAGGATGGTAGCATTGAGGAGGTTGAGAAGCTAGTTGCCAGTTTTGCAGGCTCTGAGATTTCATTCTGTCAGTTTGCCAAGGAATGAGCTGTCAGGCTCTGTCTACTTCACAGCTTCTCCCCCTGGGTCTGTGCCTTCTGATTCTAGCTTCAGGCTTAGCCTCACCCAGACTGTATGGCTCATCTAGCCTCATCGTTTGAGAACTTGTTAGAAATGCAGAATCTCAAGCCCCACCCAAACTTTCTGTGTCAGAATCTACATTTTAGCAAGATCACATGTCTGCATATTAAGCTTTGACAAGCATGATTCCATGGGGCTCTAGCCCAGCACAAAACAGCATGGTTATCAAACTTTAGTGAGCTTCAAAATCATTGACAAATATAAGAAAATGAAAAGACCTGGTCTCCTACTCCAGGGATTTTGATCCAGAGAGTCTAAGATGGGGCCTTGGAATCTGCCCTTTCTTGGGTATATGCTGCTGGTCTAGTTCCAACAGTTGGGTTTCTGCATGCTTTTGTGTCTTTATCCCGGTTCTATTAATTAGCACCATTGTGTCTTGTTCTTTGCTTAAGAACTGTTTCCAGTGTTGGTTTCAGAATTTCTATGCAGAAAGATCTTAGTACAGTAATCCAGTTTGATAAAGGAAGCTTGAAGCTGTTTTTGTCTAACACTTATTTATTTATTTATTTATTTATTTATTTATTTATTTATTTCACTCTGTCACCCAGGTCTCACTCTGTCACCCAGGCTGTCACCCAGGTCTCACTATTTATTTATTTATTTATTTATTTATTTATTTATTTATTTCACTCTGTCACCCACATCTCACTGTCACCCAGGCTGGAGTGCAGTGGGACAAATCTTGGCTTACTGCAACCTCCACCTCCTAGGTTCAAGGAATCTTCCCACCTTAGCCTCCCAAGTACTTAGAACTGCAGGTGCACACCACCACACCAGGCTAATTTTTGAATTTTTTTGTAGAGACAGGGTTTCACCATGTTGCCCAGGCTGGTCTCACTGTCCAGGGCTCAATGAATCCTCCGGCCTCAGCCTCCCAAAGTGCTGACTTTGTGGGCTACTGCACCCGGCCTTGAGTAAAAGTCTTAACAGAATGTATCCATTAGGAAGAGTAATTTCCCAGTGGAACTGGGGGTGCTAGAATAGACGCCTGGAAGCCAAAAAGCAATGAATGTCTGCCACACCTATTTAGTGTGTAAATAGTGGGTCAAGTCTTGCTACCCAATGGTGCAGTTCTATTGCTTTTCAGATTTTATGGAAATGCCTTTGCAAAAATTATAACAGTGAGAAAATTATGACAGTGAAAGAAATCTGACCTAACTAACTTTATCTTGCCTTTAGCCTTCAAACTTCCCTTAGTCATTCCTGGGCATGGACCAAGCTAACTGTGGGAGAAATTTAGTTTATTGTTTAACCTTAAAGCAAGGATGATAATAGCCCTTCCTCAAACTACCCCCTCCTTAGTTGGGGACCAAAACTGCCTTTGTAAAAGTAATGAAAGCCCACAATATTAGGATTATGAAAGGGACCTGAATTCTGCTAAGATGTAGACATAGTTAAATGAGAATCAGCCATTGTTCTGGAGGTCACAAGATTTATAACTTCCTCAATTACTCCTATAAATAACATCACTATTATAGAACCTAAGATGGCCATTTGAGATGTCTTTTCAGACTTTTGCATTTCCGAGGACCAGATGATTCCACCTGAACCTGCAATTCTTAACTCAACTGGTCCTGTGGCCCCCACCCAGAAGAAGACTCAGCACACAAGTACTGTTTTCCACACCCCTATGGTTTTATCTCCAACCAATTAGCAGCACCAATTCCCTAGCCACTTGCCTGCCAAAAATTATCCTTAAAAAACCCCAAATATGGGGGGAGGCTGATTTGAGTAATTATGAAACTCAAGTCTCCCATTTAGCTGGCACTATGTGTATTAAACTCTTTCTCTATTGCAATTCCCCTGTCTTGATAAATTGGCTCTATCTGGGTAGCAGACAAAATAAACCCATTAGGCAGCTATAAATTTGGGGCTTGTCCATGATAGCCTTTGTAGGTACTTGCCTGTGGTTCAGCAGCCTCTCACTGGCAATGGATTCAGAGGCCAGCCCAAATGGCCACTTAGTTTTCTTGGACTAAGGACTACCCCTGGCACCATCTCTTCTAGTAGGGTGCTATTTACCCATAATGCATGGATCTAATTGCAATGGAGAAATATTTCCTGAAAGACATCCAGTATTTCAGGTGCTGCCAACATCCCCTTCCTTCTCCTGATCTGTTGGCCTCTCTAGAGGCACTGTTGTCCCATCATGGGAACTATCCGGCTCTCCCTAGATTGTAGGAAGAATCTCGGTTTCGGGAGATCTCTCCCCTGTTGGATGGAGCATAGGAGACCTGTTTGGAAGAATGCTCTTCCGGTTTGAAGAACGAATCTGGTCTGGAATCTTGGTTTAAAAATTCTTCTGTTTGTCTTTAGTTCACTGTGTGTGTTTATATATGTGCAGAAAATCTCTAAAGGAATGGCTGATGGAAGTCCAGCCGGCTCTCCTGTTTTGTCTGACCAGTCACATTCAGTAAGCCCTGAAGGAAGTGTTAGAGGGAGCTCAGCAGGTCTAACTCAGGGTGACCATCTGCCCTTCCATCCTGCCCTTCCATCCTGCCCTGAGACCACCTGTTAAAATTCCCAGTCAGAGGTGATCCCTCCCCATCTTGAGTGGATGAACGGGCACAAATTTGAGCCTTGCCAGGTCCATACTTGGGCACTGAGTGGGATATCTAGTGTCTGTGTTCTGTCACGTGTATTTCACTCTGGCCAGAATTGGAAATGTTAATTTGGTTCCCCCATGTAGCCTGTTGGGTGGCAACTTGCAAAATTGAGAAGCTTTTGCCTATGGTTCCGTGAAATGAAAAAGGACAATTTTTTTTTTTTTGAGACAGAGTCTTACTCTGTCACCCAGGCTGGAGTGCAGTGGTACAATCTCAGCTCTTGCAACATCTGCCTTTCAGGTTCAAGTGATTCTCCTCCCTCAGCCTCCTGAGTAGCTGAGATTACAGGCACCCGCCACCACACTCAGCTAATTTTAGAATTTTTAGTAGAGACGGGGTTTCTGCATGTTGGTCAGGCTGGTCTCGAACTCCCAGTCTTCAGTGATCCACCTGTCTTGGCCTTCCAAAGTGCTGGGATTACAGACATGAGCTATCACGCCCAGCCCGGATGATTTTCTTTTGTAATGCGGCCCCCATAGCTATGGTGCAGCAAGCAGGATCATCAAAAGCTGCTTCACTCTTCTGGAAGTCACAGAGAGAGGAAACCCAGAAACCTGACAAGCTGACAAAAGGGTAAGAGTTTCTTACCAGCCAGGCTTCTGGTCTCTCCATTTGTGTAAACTGGTTGAGTGAATGGTAAAAGTTACTGTTTTTCTCCTTCGCAAAGTTTTGATTAATAGGATAAAGGATTTGTGTGACTAGTCTTTTCATCTTTTCTGTGTTGTTCTGTCGTGGAGAGGGGTACCATAGTGTAGAATGTGGGCTTAGAACCCCTATAAGCCTGCTGTTGGAGCCAGCCCTGCAGACTGGTCAGTTACATACTTTGCTGTGGATCTCCAAAACAAAAACCAGATGAGGTTTTCCTTTCATCTTGTTTTATGTCCTTGAGAACTTGACTTTGTGATCATGTGGAGGTACTCTCTCTTGGTCTCTGCCATCCAGACGGTGGGAATTTTTGGTTTTATGACATGCAGCAATTCTAAAAGGACACATGATAATATCATGGCTAGCCTTAGGAATACCCTTGAACAGTTAAAATCTTTTGCAAACTCAAAACTACCTGCTCTAGATTGCTTCTGGGAAAAATAATAGCAACTGCCTCATGGCTGTAGCTCAGTAACTAAGGTTTTGCCCTTTTGCTACAGCAGCCTCGGTTCAATTCTCAGCTCAGGAAATAGGCCCTTTCTGGTTTGATATTTGTGTGACTTTTGCAATGTGTTGATTCTTTACCCTTCCATGAACAACTTCTAACTTTCTGTCTTGAATGTTCTTTTCTCAGAGCCACCTTTGGGGGGAAAACTGTGAAAACTGCTTGCCACCTCTTTAAGAATACCTCTGACACCCATGGTGAAATCATAACCTTAGTTAAGGCTTATCAGTTTCACATGGGAGGTTACTTTAGGTAAAAAACAGAAATATTGGCTGTTTGTCCTGGCTAAAATCTAATGATGAAAGATTTAAAAGCGTTTTCTATTGAGAGCCCTATAGCTGAAAATTGTCTTAATAAAGGCTAATATTTGGGCTATATGTGTCTAGATATTGTTTAAAAGCCCCTGCTCTCCCTCTGTAAAAACTTCTCAGTCAACAGAATTCTGATTGTTTGTCATTTACTCCTGTCTGTACCCCCTTCCTCTTGTATCTAATCTTTTTGATTTTTTTTTTTTTTTTGAGTTGGAGTCTCACTCTGTCACTCAGGCTGGAGTGCAGTGGGGCAATCTCAGCTCACTGCAACCTCTGCCTCCCGGGTTCAAGCAATTCTCTTGCCTCAGCCTCCTGAGTATCTGAGACTACAGGTGTGTGCCACCACACCTGGCTAATTTTTTGTATTTTTGGTAGAGACAGGGTTTCACCATGTTAGCCAGGATGGCCTTGATCTCCTGATCTCGTGATCCACCTGCCTCAGCCCCTCAAAGTGTTCAGGTGTGAGCCACCTTGCCCGGCCATCTTTTTGAATTTTTGGAGGAACTAGAAATTACTTTGAATTATAAAACATTTTAATCTAGATATGTAATAGCTAGATAAGAGCCATACTTTTAAAAATGGCTAATGGTAATTGCTTACAATGAATAATTATTACTACGGGGCGATATTCCTTTCTTTGCACATGTAAATAAGAAAAGTATGCTCTTACACAGCAAAAAGGTATAGAATAGAAAATGGACTGATTACAGAGTGGGCTAACTGGTACTGGATTGTCCAGCAGCCTTGGGAAAATGTCCTTATAATAAAATTCACTATGGAAGTATTGCATTCTCATCCTATAGTGTTTCCCTCTTTTGGGGACCCAGGATTCAGTGTAAAAATGAGATCCTTGAATTTGGGGATCTATTTTGCCTTCCAGCCATGCTTGCTTATTAGGCCCTAGGATCTGCATGCTTTCCTATCCCTATTCCTTAAGAGTCTCCACCCTAAAGCCAAAATCCAATGAAGAAATTTACATCTTTAAGGAAATCTCCATATGTCAGAGTGTCTACTTTTCCTGGACATCTTGAGTAAACTTTACCCACACAATTTTCCCTTGGTTTAAATAAAATATTAATTCTCCATTTTGTTTCATCTAAGAATTATCCCTTTAAAAACATAAATTTGGAACTGCCTGGCTGACACTTTTTAGGTCAGCAACAGGTAATCAAGAGACTGAGGGTTTAAAATTAAAAAAAAAAAAAAACTTTAAAACTGGTAAATGGAAATCTCATAACTTATAGGCAGCGCAGACACATGTGCTTCTGTTAATGTATCTATATTTGTCATGTGAGTGATGTTTCACTACAAAAACATATAAAAGAACTCTAAGTAATTAGCTTTAAAAAATAAGCACCTAGAGCTGGGCGCAGCGGCTCATGCCTGTAATTCCAGCACTTTGGGAGGCTGAGTTGAGTCGATCATGAGGTCAGGAGTTCAAGACCAGCCTGGCCAACATGGTAAAACCCCATCACTACTAAAAATACAAAAATTAGCCAGGCATGGTGGTGCGTGCCTATAATCCCAGCTACTTGGGAGGCTGAGGCAGGAGGATCTCTTGAACCCAGGAGGTGGAGGTTGCAGTAAGCCAAGACTGCACCACTGCACTCCAGCCTGGGGACAGAACGAGACTCTGTCAAAAAAAAAAAAAAAAAAAAAAAGCACTTAAATCAGATGTTTTGTTAAAAAAAAAAAAAACTTCAATGTGTTTTAGTTCATGTGACTCTAATAATCCTTTAAAAATACAGTTTTTAAAAAGTCTTCAAAATTTAGACATTTGTTCATTAGTTCTGTCCTGTGTCCTAGGCTCTACACCTGGTACGTAATTAAACTTGCTTTCACTAAAAACAAAAGTCATGTGTTCTTAATAAAGAGACATGGAAACTGGGCATGATGGCTCATGCCTGTAATCCTGACACTTTGGGAGGCAAAGGCAGAAGGATCACTTGAACTTAGGAGTTCAAGACCAGCCTGGGTAACAGAGTGAGACCCTGTCTCTACAAAATAATACAGAATTAGCCAGGCCTAGTGGCTCAGGCCTATAGCCCCAGCTACTCAGGAGGCTGAGGCAGGAGGATCGCTTGAGCCAGGGTGGTCAAGGTTGCAGTGAACTA
This sequence comes from Homo sapiens, assembly GCF_000001405.40. Lineage (NCBI taxonomy): Eukaryota > Metazoa > Chordata > Mammalia > Primates > Hominidae > Homo > Homo sapiens. The sequence goes on along the minus strand of NC_000004.12, from coordinate 78,698,891 downwards.
TCATCAGGTTACTGTACTGCAGCCTGAGCAATAGCATGAGACCCATCACACACACACACACACACACACACACACACACACACCCCACCACCACCACCACCAGCACCACCACCACCACCAACAACAACAACAAGAACGACAACAAAACAAAAATAAAAAGAGACGGAAATGTGATTATTTATTTATTTATTTTTGAGACACAGTCTCACTTCATCAGCTAGGCTGGAGTGCAGTGGCACTATCTTGGCTCATTGCAACCTCCACCTCCCAAGCTCAAGCGATTCTTGTGCCTCAACCTCCTGAATAGCTGGAATTACAGGCACATGCCACCACGCTCAGCTAATTTTTGTATTTTTAGTAGAGGCAGGGTTTCACCATATTGGCCAGACTGGTCTCAAACTCCTGACATCAGGTAATCTACTCACCTCAGCCTCCAAAAGTGCTGGGATTACAGGCTTGAGACACTGCCCCTGGCCGAAGTGTGATTTTTTTTACCAAAAATAATTTTGACTAGTTTAAAGAGTTTAAGGATTAAGTTTTAAAAAGATAAAACTAAATTTTTTAAACATATTATAAAAGGCTCATAAAAACTGATCTCATAAAAAAATTCTATCAGTGTGAGCAAATTGGCAAAAATTTAAAGGGGGTTATTTAATTTTTCTATAAATTAAACATTAATATGAAAACCACACTGATGTGGGGCCAGAGTCTGCACTCCTGTGTCTAAATAACAGGGTTTTCATTAAGCATTAATCTACTCCTTAATAAAATAATTATAAAGGATTAAAAGAATTTATAGGTATCTTACCTTATGGTCAAACTAATTAAAATTAGATTTGTTTATATGATTTTATTAAAAAATAGCTTTAAAATTAATGATATACAAAGATGGAATTTGGTTTACTCTTTTTAAAAAATTTTTTTGTGTAATATTGAGAGACAATGAAAATTTTTATTTGCCTTGTAGATAAACTGCAGGAAAAAAAGGAGAGAAGAAAAAAGAGAGATTCACTTGGCTTCATAATGTCTTCATTGGGTCTTGTTTGGAAACCTGAGCTTCTTATTAGAGTAAGGGTTCTTGCCTTTAAAAGTTTTTTGAGCCAGGTGCAGTGGCTCATGCCTTTAATCCTAGCACTTTGGGAGGCCAGGGTAGGTGGATTGCCTGAGCTCAGGAGTTTGAGACCAGTCTGGCCAATATGGTAAAATCCCGTCTTTACTGAATCACACGCGCATGCACCCACACACACACACACACACACACATTAGCTGGGTGTGGTGGCCTGCTCCTGTAATTCCAGCTACTTGGGAGGCTGAGGCATGAGAATTGCTTGAACCTGGAGGTGGAGGTTGCAGTGATCTGAGATTGTGCCACTCCCCTCCAGCCTGGGTGATAGAGCAAGACTCTGCTTCCAAAAATAAATAAATAAATAAAAGGTTTTTGAGTTATCACTTTGACTAAATAAATGACCTGTGATCTTATTTTGTGATATATAATAGTATTTGATGACTTTTCCAAAATCAAATAATAAATTAAGGCTTTTTTTTCCTCATTAAACTTTTAAATATTAGGTCCCCTCAAGTCCAAAAGAGACATTTGGCTTATCGTACATTAAAATCGTACAGAAAGCATTGCCACATACAAAATAGTGTTTAACTTTCTTTAAATTATGTTCATATAAATGTATTATTCCAAATTTGTATAATTCCTATAATTCTGATATGTCTCAGTATATTATCAGTAATAATTATGATTGTTATATTAAACTATTGTGAGTCACAGAGATGGCCAGATTTTTTTGTGGATTACATTTTTTTTTTTTGAGATGGAGTTTTGCTGTAGTTGCCCGGGCTGGAGTGCAATGGCACGATTTCAGCTCACTGCAACCTCCGCCTCCCGGGTTCCAGTGATTCTCCTGCCTCAGCCTCCGAAGTACCTGGGATTACAGGCATGTGCCACCACGCCCAGCTAATTTTTTTATTTTTAGTAGAGACAGGGTTTCTCCATGTTGGTCAGGCTGATCTTGAACTCCCAACCTCAGGTGATCTGCCCACCTCGGCTTCCCAAAGTGCTGGGATTACAGGCGTGAGCCACTGTGCCTGGCCCGTGGATTACATTTTTAACTGTGGCTGTTCTAAGACAATTGTTGTCTTGTTTTGATCCTTTCGAATGGTGGTTGATAATCAGCTTTAAGATTCTGATGGGTGCTCTTGAATGCAGTTTTCTGATAATGTTAGGAATTGAGCCATTAAAATTAAAAAAAGCAAAAGCAAAAACTTTCAGGACTTTTGTAGAGAGCCGATGTGTTCATGAGGACTGCTGGTCCTATATCAGGCAGAACAGGAACTAATTACATGGACTGAACTAAAAAAAATTAAAACAATCTTTTTATGACTTTTTTTGTTTAAAACGTTGCTAACTCTTTTGTTTTTCAGAGCCCCCCAAAACCCCTTGTTTGAGCTATTTACAGAATATATCCTTGTGAACAAAATTTAAAGCATATTTCTTTCTCTTTATGTGATTTCTCCAGGATTTAAAAACAATTTGTAAGTATACTTAATTTATGGCAATACAATTGTTCACATAAATTTAATAATCTGTTTTCTTTGATACCAGGATACCATTAGAGACATTGGTTATTTTATCAAGGTTTTGACTGAAATAGCATAATTTCACATATGAACAAACTGCTTTAAGGAATCAAAGTTGACTTATAGAGGTAATAAAAGCCCCTTGAGAAAACTGGCCTCATACTTTGTCTATGCAGTCCCTTTATAGGGTTCCTGACCTGTGATAAATAAAAAGAGTCACTTTCTGACAGGCCCAGGAAGCCCATATTATCTTGGAACCTCAACGGGAAAAACATTTGCCCAACTAATACAGATATTTGCAGGCACAGATAAATCCATGGTTGGACTCAAGGCTTTAAGAAGTATATCTGAGATTCTTCATTTAAAAAAAGTTAAAGCCAATTAAAGAAAAAAAGAAGCTTATATGGAAAATAATTATTCTTGCTGCACTTTATGCAAATAATCAGACCAAATATAATCAGGCTAAAACTTACTTTGCAAATAAATTTGTCCTACTATGATTTGTTTTTAATAAAAATGGTGACCAGAAAAAAATTATGTGTAAGAAAAAAACTCATAATACACCTGTTGTTAGATTGTAGTCATCTCTATTGTTTTTGAGGTTTTTATTATTTTCTGCAATTTAAAATATCCTGAATTCTTTCCAAGCTACAATTTCCCAAACTAGTGCTTTAACATTTTTTTATCTTCCATTTTTCTTTTTTAAAATTCCTTTAAATTTTGTTTCTTTTTCAGTCTTACTCCTTCTATGTCTTCCATTCAGACATAGACGCAATAAAATTGCTGCTACCTTTTTCCTGAGGCTCTGCAAGCTAAAGCTCATTCCTTGTAATATAGGCAAGAAAAACCTACATTGCTGTGTCCTTCCTTCTCTCTAACCAGAGATGCTTTGAGTCTAACGTCTGAGTAGATTGTGTCTAACATTAACCTTTAGTTTTCTTCAGTTGCCATAAAAATATCTCATTTAAAATTTGTGCTGGGCATACTGACTCATGCCTGTCATCCCAGCACTTTGGGAGGCCGAGGTGGGAGGAAATCTTGAGATCACGAGTTCAAGACCATCCTGGGAAGCATAGCAAGACTCTGTGTCTACAAAAAAATTAAAAAATAAATAAATAAATAGCTGAGTGTGGTGGCAAGTTCCTGTAGTCCCAGCTACTCAGGAGGCTGAGACTGGAAGATCACTTGAGTCCAGCAGGTCAAGGCTGCAGTGAGCCATGATTATGCCACTGCACTCCAGTATAGGTGGCAGGGTAAGGCTCTGTCTCAAAAAATACATAAACATGTGTTTGCCTTCATCACATATAGAGGCCTACCCCATCTACAAGGCCACCTCCTGGAATGGAATATAGCTGTTTAACTAAACTGATCTATTCTCAAGCCAAACAATGACTACAAAATATATGGACTGGTATATTTAAATTTGCTCTTTCCTGTTTATCCCAATTCATCTTTCTAACAACCCCATATGTAATTGTTTCTCAGGGCTATTCACTTGGGTCACTTAGGGCTTTAGATCAATTGTACAAGAATGTCTAAAGCTAGGACTTTCACTCCTTATATTAAAACTGATTATCTCACAGTCTGCTGTTCACTTAAATGCTGTGCTAAAACTATGGATGAGAATACTAACCTGTTTGTCATGCAAGCCTTAAAACCCCAATAAGGCACCCATGAATACATATAGACAGCGGTAAAGTGGCTTCATTCCTCCTACCCTGAGGCCAAGCCCTATTCCAACTTTGCCCTCTGTCAACATAAAAAAGTTAGAGCGGTCATCAGACTTTTTCCATCTTCATAGATCACACCTTAAAAATAAGATATGGTGAAATGCAAAGGAAGGATTGAAACTGCCTTTGTAAAAATTGTCAACAGTGAGAAAATTATGACAGTTAAAGGGACCTGACCTAACCAACTCCATCTTACCTTTAACCTCCAAACTGCCCTTGGTCATTCCTGGGCATGGGCCAAGCTAACTTTGGGAGAAATTTAGATTATAGTTTAACCTTAAATCAAGGATGATAATGGCCCTTCCCAAAACTAAACCACCTTTAGAAAACTAATAAAAGTCTGCAAGTTTAGGATTATGAGAGGAACATGAATTCTACTAAGATGTAAGCATAGTTAAAAAATAACCGTTCATTGTTCTGGAATCACAAGATTTATAACTTCCCCAATTACTCCTGTAAATAACATCACTATTAAAAAACCCAAGATTGGCCTTTTTTATCACTTGAGCCCAGAAGGTCAAGGCTGCAGTGAGCCAAGATTGCACCATTGCACTCCAGCATGAGTAACAGTGTGAGACTCTGTCTCAAGAGAGGGGGAAAAAAAAAAAAAAGGCTTTTAAAGTGTCTTTTTAGACTTTTACATTGCTGTGGCCTGAACGACTCTGCTTTGACCTAGGATCTTGACTCAACTGGCCTTGTGACCCCCACATAGAAGAGTACTCAGCACACAAGGGCTGTTTTCCACTCCCCTATGATTGCATACTCAATCACTCAGCAGCATCCATTCCCTAACCCTCTGCCTGCTAACCTATCCTTTAAAAAACCCTAGCCTCTGAATTTTCAGGGAGGTTGATTCGAGTAATAATAAAACTGCTATTTAGCCCACTCTTCATATATTCAACTCTTTCTCTGTTGCAATCTCCCTGTCTTGATAAATCGTCTCTATCTGAGCAGCAGGCAAAATAAGCCCCTGGGGTGGTTACATTCACTAGAACTTAAATTTTGTGAGACCAGGAATTTTCATCTGTTTTGGTCCCTGCTATATCCCATATGTATGGAACAGTGTCTGGCACATGGTAGGTTCTCCATATATATTTTTGAATGAATGAATGACTAGACAGGATCTATGGCATGATGGTTAAGATACAGTCTCTGGTGTTACGCTAACTGCGATCAAATCCAAACTCTGTTCCTAGTAGTGTTAGCCTGTGTGGATACTTAACTTCCCTGTACTCATGTACTAGTTTTCTCATAGTTAAAGTGGCATTGATAATAACAGATCTTATTTCATAAGGATGTCATTAGCATGTGCTTAGAAACATGCCTATTATGTTGACTATTGTTTCATCTATCTATTGCTGTATAACAAACTATTCCAAAACATCTTGACTTAAATCAACATCTTATTTACTTGCTCATGATTCTTCCATTTGGGCAGGGCTCAGCAGGGAAAACTTGTCCCTGCTCTCTGTGATGACTGTGCATGCTGAAACATCCATGAGAGCTTCTTGGCTCATGTCTGTCACTTCAGCAAAGGCGGCTCAAATGGTTGGAGACAGGCCGGAAGAGCTTGCCTGGAATGGTACATCTGGCACCTTAGTTCTTTCCGTCAGCTGTGTTCTCAGCACTCCTCCATGTACCCAGCCTTAAGACTGCTTCCTTTCCACGTGTCCTCTCATGTGGTGTCTCCATGCAACCCTGAGCTGGCATGTAAAAAGTCTGGCTACCCTCCTTTAAGGAGTGCAAAAGTGGAAGCTTCTAGGCTTTTGAAAGCTCAGTCCTTTTAAAGGCATAAGGTCTTAAAGCTTAGGCTGCATTCTATTGGCTTTTCAACCTTGACACTATTGACATTTTTGGCAAGGTATTTTTTTGTTGTTGTGGGGGACTGTACTGTGTATTGTAGAATGTTTAGTAGCATCCCTGGCCACTACCCACTAGTACAGTAGGAATGCTAGTAGCATCCTTTCTCCACATTCCCCATTTGGGTCAAATAAAAGTGTTTCTAAACACTGCCAAATATCCCCTGGAGAACAAAATCTCTGTGAGAACCACTGGGTTAAAGTAAGTCACAGGTTCAGACCAGATTCCAGGGAGAGGATTGTCAAGGATATGAATACCAGAAAAAATGGTTCATTGAGGGCTGTCAGTGTAACAGAGTATTATTGTCTCTGAATCTTGCATCTCCAAGGAATTCATGTTCCTGAATTCTGCTCATATGTTGAGCCGTCTTTCCTTCTTCCTAATGGGCTTCTCATCCTAGTTGCTTATCTGAGTGTCCCTGCTTGTCACTAGCAGTGCTCTGCAGTTTCCAGCAGTTTGCATATCTGTGTGCTGCTCTTGGCTTCCTCTCTTGCACGACTCTAGAGATAGTCTGACATCAGACTTGCCTCTAGGGTGATTCTTTCCTCTCCCTCCCATCCCCTGTGGTTCAGTGAGTTATCTCTAGTGCTCATGTCGTAGCACATGACCAGGTTCTGGGGACAGATAAGGCTAATCTTGCAGCCTCCTAATATGTCATACTCTGTCATATCCACACGTATACTCAATTGCTCTCTCCCTAAGAGGTACTTGCTTTGCCACCCCTCCCTTCCCACTCCCAATTAACTCTTTTATTTTCTTCAAGATTCAGTTCCAGGCCTGCTTCTTCTAGGAAACCTTCCTGGAAAGCCCATTCTCTAGTCCTATTTAGCAGTTTATTGAGGGCAGAGGACATTTCATATTCATCTTCAAGTTTCCAATACAGTGTCTCTTGCATGGAAGGTATTTCTTAGATCAATACAAGAATGATTTAAAATGCAAAACAAAAAGTTTAAAATTTGAGGAGAGACTGAGAATGTGTAGAAGTGAGTCATATCATTCTCTTGGGGAGAGACTTCTGGGCAGGAGGAACAGCCAGTGCTTGGTCCCTGAGTGTGGAGTTCGCTGAGCGGGGAGTGGCTGTGATGTTTAAGAAAGACCAAAGGGACCAGCTTGGCTGGGGGAGTGAAGGAGGAGAGAGGAAGCCAGAGATGGGATCAGACAGGTAACAGAACAAAGCATCTGGCTGTGTAGGTCAAGGTAAGGGCTCTGGATTTGACTCTGAATGAGATGAGAAGCCTGGTGGAAGTTTTGTGCAGAACAGTGGCTTACACTGAACTGTATTCTTGGAGGATTGTTGTGGTTTCTGTGTTGGAAATAGAATATGACAGGGCCAGGGAGGAAGCAGCAAGACCAGTCAGAAAGCTATAGCAGTAATCTGGTGAGAGATGATAATTGCCTTTCCTGGTGGATTTGATGTGGAATATCGGAACAAGAAAGGTATCAGGGATGACCCCATGGCTTCAGCTCCGAGCAGGAAGAAGGGTGAAACATTTTCTGACAGAAAAGTCTACTTAGGGGAGGAAATGAAAAGTTTAGTATTTACATGTTAAGTGTGAGATGCTTACTGTACATTCCGTTTGTTGCACAGTAGACAGTTGGCAATAAAAGTGTGAAGTGCAGAGAGGCATATAAATTAAAGATACATAAATATGGATGTTCTTAGTTCTATTACTTAAGCTAAGATTGACTTCTGTGATTCAAACAATAACAACAAAATACAATGGTTTATTACAATAGGAGTTTATTTCTCATAATTCCATAGCCTAGGAAAATTCCAGATCATTGGCAAATTGTGACAAGACCTATTTCTGTGGAGAGTTGGGAATAAAAACCTGATTGAAGTCGTTCAACAAAGAATGAGAAAAGGGGAATTGGAAGTGGAGACTGTGTATAGACAATTCATTCAAGGAGTTTTGTTATAAAGGGGAGCCAAGAATTGGGGTGGTAGGTTGAAGGAGATGTAGGCTTGGGACATTTTGTTGTTGTTTTAATTTTTGTATTATTATTATTTTTTACCTGTGTCTAGAAACAAGTTCAGATGTTTTTAATTTTTAAGGCTTTTTTTTTTTTTTGGTCAGGCTCTGTAGCTCACTCTAGAGTACAGTGGCATGATCTCAGCTCACTGCAACCTCTGCCTCCCAGGTTCAAGCCATCCCCCGACCTCAGCCTCCTGAGTAGCTGGGACTATAGGCATGAGCCACCATGGCTGGCTATTTTTTTTGTTGAGACAGGGTCTCACTTTGTTGCCTAGGCTGGTCTCAAACTCCTGAGCTCAAGAGATCTGCCCACCTCAGCCTCCCAAAGTGAGGGATTACAGGCTGGGATTATAGGGATCCCAAAGCTGGGATTACAGGTGTGAGCCAACATACCAGGTCTCTTAAAGCATTTTTTAGTAGGAAAAATTATAGCGTGTTTATATGCTAATGGAAGTGGTTCAGTAGAAGGAAAAAGATTGATGATGCAGGAAAGAGGGAGGAGAATTTCAAGAGCCCAGTAGTTGAATAAGTAGAGAAAATGCCAACCAGAATGAAGACTTGGCTTTAGATAGGAGCAAGGATGATTCATCAATAAAAACAACAAGTGGCCGGGCACGGTGGCTCACGACTGTAATCCCAGGGAGGCAGAGGTGCGTGGATCGCCTGAGGTCAGGAGTTCAAGAGCAGTCTGGCCAACATGGTGAAACCCTGTCTCTACTAAAAATACAAAAATTAGGTGGGCGTGTTGGCAGGTGCCTGTAATCCCAGCTACTCAGGAGGCTGAGGCAGGAGAATCACTTGAACCTGGGAGGCGGAGGTTGCAGTGAGCCGAGATCGTGCCATTGCACTCCAGCAACAAGAGTGAGGCTCCATCTCAAACAAACAAACAAATGAACAAACAAACAAGCTAGCCTGAGCATATGGGCACAGAGGCAGGTAGGGGGATCAACAGGTCTGGTTTGTCTAGGACTGAGGGGTTTCTGGAATCACGGAACTTTCAGTGCCAAAACCAGGACAGCCCTTCATGAACTAGAATGGTTGGTCACCCTAGAAGTAAGAGAATTCATAGGGGGAGTTTATAGAAGTTATCTTTGGTTTGCTTTGAGCATCGCTAAACGAGAAAGGGCAAGACTTCCTCAGTGGCTTCAACTCATTAATAAAATGAGATTATAACCCATCTATGTAACCTAAAACCCAGTGTTATGCTGTGTGAGGAATATTACAATGAATAAGTTGTAGGTCCTGTTCTAGAGGAGTTTAAGCTAGTGTATGAGAAAAAAGAACATGACTACATGTAAGGCAAGCCAATCTGAGATGTCTGTAATGAGTTTATTCACTGTAACTTCTCTGAGTCATGTTCCATGTTCTTCAGGAACCTATTATCTGCTAGAGTAGATAGTACTCAGTAAAAATAATAGGAAACATTTCCTGAGATTTTACTGATTTCCAGCAGCTGTACATCCATTATCTCTTTTCATCTCCATAACAGCTTATTAGATAGGTCCAGCTATTATCACCTTCATTTTACAACAGAGAAAAAAATGCATACTGATTAAGCAATTTGCTCCAGGTCACACAGCAAGTGATGGAAGGTCTTGAACCCTGCTTGACTCTGCAGCCCAAGCTTTTAAACACAACATTACACTGCTTTCTAGAAATTATTATAATGCATGGGAATAAACTATGATTAGCACAGACAAATGTCCTAAAAATTTAGAAGAAGGCAAGGTAATTTTTGTTTGAGAAGAAGTCGTCATGAATGGAACTTGAAGAAGGTTAGTATTTCATTAGGCAGAGGTGAGGGGAGGACAGGCCAGGCAAAGTAACCTCAATAAGCACAAAAGTTCTTTTTTACCACCTCCAATTCTCATGGAGTCCCCAGCTCTGTGATCTGCTTGGTTTTCCTTCCTCTGCCTCCAAGAAGGATGTTTGAATTTTCAGAAGGTGGAATCACAGCATGAAATGATGCCTTTGACTTTCTTACATGCCTAGCTTACCTTTAGAGTTCTAGAATAGAGAACTCTGTTCGTCTTCAGGAGAATTAACACATGAGTGAATAAACGGATGAATGAATTCATTGCTTAAATACATTTTTTAAAAGTATGACACATACAGAAAAGTATGTGGACAATAAGTATCTTCATTAAGTGAACATCTGTATGACTGGCATTCAGATTACAAAACAGAGCATTACCAATACCTCGGGAGCCCTCGTTATGCTGCTTTCTAATTATTACCCCTCATTCCTTGCCAGGGATAATGACTCTCCTGACTCCTAAAATAAAACATTCACTTTCCCTGTTTTTAAACTCCGTACAAATAGAATTCTACATTTTGTTGTTTTTCGTATTTGGCTTTTTTTACTCATTATAATATTTGTGAGATTCATCCATATTATTGGATATAGCAGTAGGTTTTTCATTCTCATCACTGAATGGTATTTCACATCATGAATAGTCCAGAAAATCCCACTGTTTATTAAAGAATTCTACTCTCTATTTGTGTTGGAATAATGTCTAGTTTTTGGCTAACAATAGTTCTATCATGAACACTCTGAACTTGCCTTTTGGAAACATACTCTTTTCTTTTGAGCATAAACCTCCATGTACGTTTAGACGGATGACAGATTTTTTCTAGTGCTTTCATATTCTAGCACCTTGCTGGGCTTCCAGTACTATCCATCATGTACAGGAAAGGTTACAGGGTTAAAGTGGCCACTTATCAGTGCTCTTGGGTTTGTTGCAGAGCTTCTCACCAGATTACAAAATGTACCACGTAACTAGGCCTCCAGGATGTATTACTGAGATGAAAATCAAGTATTGCAAATAGGCTGTTTACCAAAGATCAAATAAAAGCCAACTTTACCTTCTTCCTGAGTAGCTCTGATCCAAAGCTATGAACATGGCCAATTTTTTTTTTTTTTTTTTTTTTTTTGAGATGGAGTCTCACTCTTGTCCCCCAGGCTGGAGTGCAATGGCGTGATCTCGGCTCACTGCAACCTCCACCTCCCTGCTTCAAGTGATTCTCCTGCCTCAGCCTCCCGAGTAGCTGGGATTACAAAAGCACCCGCCACCATGCCTGGCTAATTTTTGTGTTTTTTTTTAGTAGAGACGGGGTTTCACCATGTTGGTCAGGCTGGTCTCAAACTCCTGACCTCAGGTGATCCACCCACCTTGGCCTCTGAAAGTGCTGAGATTACAGGCGTGAGCCACTGTGCCTGGAGAATGGCCAATTCTTATTCCTTCCATGTAACTCCAATTGCAAAGTCCTTATAGCTAACTTGTCCTGGCCAAGGGTGTTTTAGCTGCCACTATATCTACTACATGCAACACGTGAGAGACACTCAATATTTACCTATTGGTTGACTGGTTTGATTCTTGATGGTATACTGAATCACATCCTTGTACCTTTTCATAGGGAAAATTTTCTGTACTCTTCAATGTGGTAGCCACCAGCCTTGTAAAACTATTGAGCATTTGAAATATGACTAGTGCGACTGAGGAACTAATTTTTTTAAATTTAATTTTAATATTTTTAAATTTTAAAAATGATACTTGATGCAGTTATAGAAAGTTTTAAGTGTTCTTGGACTAACTTGGCTATGTGAATCTACTTTTTCAGCTGTAAATCGTATGAAATCTAAATTCACATCAAGTATTTTTTTTGAGATGGAATCTCGCTCGGTTGCCCAAGCTTGAGTGCAGGGGTAAGATCTCTGCTCGCTGCAACCACTGCCTCCCTGGTGCAAGTGATTCTCCTGCCTCAGCCTCCCAAGTAGCTGGGATTATAGGCATGTGCCACCATGCCTGGCTAATTTTTGTATTTTTAATAGAGATGAGGTTTCATGTTGGCCAGGCTGGTCTCCAACTCCTGACCTCAAGTAATCTGCCTCCCTCCCAAAGTGCTGAGATTACAGCCATAAGCCACCACACCTGGCAATGTTTTTGATAAATATTTCACAACCAAATTGAGACATGCTACAAGTGTAAAGGACACAAAAATACATTGTATAAAAAATTTTACATTTTAAAATATTGATTATATGTTGAAATAATATTTTGGGTATGTTGGGTAAAATAAAATATATTATTTAATTTAATTTCTCTTATTTATTTTCCTTTTTATTGAGAGCACTAGTAAATTTTAAATTACACAGGTAGCTTTCATTGCATTGATTTTAGGTAGTGCTCTTCTAGAGATCCCCAAATATAATATTTCACTACAATTCCTGATAGAATCTTCTGCCTCAGGAAGCTAGGTTAATAATGTCTATTTATATAAATACAGAATATGTTCCTGAATATATAACTGATGGTCAGGAAAGGGAGGCACATTTGGTAGAGAAGAGTGAGCATGAACTGTGGAGTCAAATCTGTCTGGGTTTGTAGCCAAGCTCTGCCCCTTAAACAGTTACCTTTAATGAAGTACTTGACCTCTCTGAGTGTCGGATTTTCTCCCATGTAAATTGGGGATATGAATGCCGTAGAGCACGGGTAGGGCTCTGCCCTGATTCTGTGGGCCTCCTTCATCATTTCTGTGCAGAAAGCCCCTCTGTCATTTGCTTGCCCAGCCCATATCTGTGGCTGTCTTTGGGGAACTGCCCTTGGGCTACTGGAGCTGCTTGGGGTCATAGCCAGTGAGTGACTGGTGCAGGAGTTTGAAAGCCTAATTCTCTAACCTCAAATAAGGACAAACTTCAATGTGTAATTTACACATTACCCTAGAATACCCCAGCCCAGGCAGAGACTTTACCTGGAAAAGAGACTTTTATCCCCATCTTACACTTCTCTCTCCTGCGTCTAAGGGTCAGCTTCTGAAGAATCCAACTTGAGGCAGCTACCTACTGCCTATGTTTTTTAGGGACTAAAGGAGAAATGCCTGGCAAAGAGACCATTCTTTTTTTTTTTCCTTTCTTTTTTCTTTTTTTTTTTCTAGAGTGGTTATTGCTCCATCACCTAGGCTTGAGTGCAGTGGTGTGATCTTGGCTCACTGCAGCCTCAACCTCCTGGGCCCAAGCAATCCTCCCACCTCAGCCTCTTGAGTAGCTGGGACCACAGACGTGCACCACGAGACCCAGCTAATTTTTAATTTTTTTTTGTAGAGGTGGGGGTCTTCCTATGTTGCCCAAGCTGGTCTCAGACTCCTGAGTTCAAGTGATTCTCCCACCTAAGCCTCCCAATGTTCTGAGATTACAAGCGTGAACCTCTGTGCCCAGCCACAGAGGCCATTCTTAATCCTCTTCAGTTGCTTATACCATCCAATACACTCCAGTGATTTTACTACCACACTGGGAAGATATGACTTGTCAGATATTTTTTACAGTCCTGGAATGGGTTTGTGTTGAGACAGCCATAGTCTCTTTCTCAGTTCCTTACCCCTGGCTATTTCTTCATTAGCTCAGATGTAACAAACATGTGAGAACTTACAGGTTAATGAGACCTTAGAGAACATTGAATCTACTTAGGAACAACCAATGTTGCATACGTTTCTGTGATTTCTCTGTGAGTACAATGTTAAACAGATGCTGTGGGTAATTAAATCACTCTCAAGGTATAAATGAGACTACTTAAAAGGAACGTTAACTATTTCAGAACCAAAATAGGAGATTCCTTCAGTTAAAAAATAACTTACTCAAATGAAATATAATATACATACAATATGCTTTCTCACTATACAAAGACATATACATGTTGCAACTATAGTATTTTATATGTGAAAGACAAGCTGCTTGTATTTTTGGTTCATTTTTTGACAAGTTTTTATAAATAGTAATACTTATCATTTATGACACTTATTACATGCCAGACATGATTCTAAGACATTCACAGACACTATCTCATTTAGTTGACTCAAAAACTCAGTTCAGATATGATCGCTTCAGAGGGTCCCTTCCTGGCCTCTCTGAATTCATCACCTTCAGTTGCTCTGCCATGGCCTTAACTCTACCTGTAATTTTGGTTTATTTGGCTTATATGTTTAATGAGACCCTCCCCACCAACTCTTTCCCCACCCCAATTAAACCGTGTGCTTCAGATAGCAAGTACTATTCTGCCTTGCGTACTTCAGTATCCACAGTTGCTAGACTAGTGGCACATGCTAAGCATTCCATAAATATTTATTGAATGACAGAATGAATGAAAAACTTAATGTAGATGAGAGCTCTGAAGCCCAGAGAGGCTAAAAAGTTAAGATCCCAGAGCTGGTATGGTAAATGACAAAACTCATATGTAAATTCTTGTCTTTTATCCAATAGGAGATATTGTCCTTTATTTTATGTGGGCTATAGAAGGTTGACACATCTCGCCTGTAAGGAAATCACTCTCTAGTAAGGGAAGGAAGTCATTCCCTTCCAGTCAACAAGTACTTATTAACCCTTGCTAGGTATTTTATTAAGCACTAGGAACACAGACGTAAACAATACAAACACAGCCGAGGCTGGCGTGGAGCTTTTTGTCTAGACTCTTGAGTAAAGAAGACAGACATTATAGGTAACAACAAGGGAGATAAGTATTTTGAAAAGGAATGTACAAAGATAGAAAAGAATAGCAAGGTAATCCAACCAAGTGAAAGGGGTCAGGGAAGCCTTCTCTGTGGAAGGGAATGTAGCTTGTCCAAAAAACCGAGAGAAATAAAATGTGAAGGTCATGTAGAGGTGAGAACAAGAATGGCAGGTGGTAAATAGAGAAGAGCCTTGAAGATGATATCTGCAAATAATAATCACACATGATGAAGAGTGATGTGTCCTAACAGAGGTGGATTACAGTGCTATTGGAGTTAGGAGAATGGTAAGATTCTCATTATAGGGGAAGCTTTATGAAGTTATTATAATGACATTTATAATAACTTTGAGGGCTGAAAAAATATAGATACATTGAAACGGGAAGGAACATCCAAACAGTTTCTTGTATCTCTCTTAATTTCACTTTTTGAGTAGGTAATACATTCCCATGTTTTTATAGGTGTATAATGCCTTAAACTGTACAATATCTCATTTCCACTACTGTTTCTCACCCATCCAATCCCCAAGCCCCACACTACCACAGGTAATCTCTTTTGTTAGCTTTTTTGTATCCTTTCAGAATTACTTTATGTAAATATAAACAGTTATAAATATAAATGCTTATCCCTAAACCTTTTACCACACTATATAGCATACTGTATACACCATTCTGTACTTAACAACATGTCTTGGAAGTCTTCCCATATCAGCACAGGAATTACTTCCTCATTTTTTTCACAGCTGCTCAGTGCTCATATGGATGTATCATAATTAATTTAATCTTTTATTGATGAGCTCTTGGAGGGTTTTCAACTTTTGTCTATCAAATAGTTTTATAGATATGGCAGCTTATAACTGTACAAATATATTTATAATTTTAAAAGCTATTGCCAAATTGTCCTCAATGGAGGTTATATGAAAATACCTCCAAATGGTTAGATTTAACTGCCTAACTAACGATGAAGCTAGAGAAGCAAATAAAGTAAATTTTTTAAAAAGACACCACTCATGTACTTGATCATTTCCAATAAAACACTAGGTACAACTAAAAGTTAGAAATGGAAAATTGTATTGTATGTTGGCTCAGGTATGGATCCAAATTTTGTGAGGCTTGAAGTTTATGCAATTGGAGGAGGCTTCTTTAAGAAAAATAATAAGAAATTACAAAATGTAAAATTAGCAAACAGAACTTTGGAAGGGGCTCATGTGAGAGAGGGGCCCAAAGTGTAATCTTCATTTGTTTTGTGGCAAATCTGCTGTGTATAAGACCTACATACACACATGTGAAGGAGAACAAATTACTCATCCTTTTCACCTGGGAGAAACCATGTTCAAAACATGTGGACCACTGCCCTCAACGACGTGTCACTGAGAATAATTCCACAGGCCTTAGTGCTTTCCGCTCCATGATGTACGTAATATTCCCTGTAGTTGCCTTCTATCTCTCTAAGTGAATTCATTCAATTTATGCAACACCTTTCATCTTCAAAATCCCAAAGACCTTACAGGTACTTTTTTTTTTTTTTTTTTTTTTTTTTGAGACAGGCTCTCACTCTGTCACCCAGGCTGGAGTGCCATGGCACAACCACAGCTCACTGCAGCCTCAACCTCCCAAGCTCAAAGGATCCTCCCACCTTAGTTTCCCAAGTAGTGAGGACTACAGGCATGTGCCACCATGCCCAGCTAATCTTTTAATTTATTTAATTTTTTTTTGTAGAGACAAGGTCTTGCTATGTTTCCAGAGCTGGTTTTGAACACCAGGGCTCAAGTGATCCTCCCACCTTGGCCTCCCAAAGTGCTGGTATTACAGCTGTGAGCCACCAATACTAACCATACTAACCATATGACCTTATAACCAATGTTAACAATATGACCATGCTATAGAGAAAACTGTAACATTATAAAGATAATTCCCTGGGAAGAGTTCAAAGGGCCCCCATCAATCTCACCTATCCTGATAATATGCGTCAAAGTTGCAGCTGGCAAGTGGTTACCATTGGGAAATGACTTCTTATATAAAGTTTGAAAAAGATAAGCTGATGAATTGCATGTAATGGTCCAAAGTTAATTATCTATCTCTGTAATAGGCAGCAGCTTGTTTGTCTGTTCCCACGTTTTACGTGTTCCTTAGGCTGGCACCTTTATGGTCCCTCTGGAAAGAGAAGACAGTCAACTGATGAGGAGACAAGACATTTCTTGGAAAAGCAGAACAAGAAAAAACAGGAGCGGAGTAAGGAATAGAAAAGAAGAAGAGGATGCAGAACCAGGGTTAAGAGATAACAGAATTAACTGGTGTAATGCTAATTAAAAACAAAGGGAGAGCTAACAGAGTGATGGGAGGAAGACTTGGAAGGACTGCTGTTGTCTCACCACCAGCAGCCCACAAACCTGTCCTTCAAAGCAGGGCACTTTGTTTCACAGCAAAGATAAATGTACAGGAAAAAAGAAAAAAAAGTGAAAATCAAGTCTAAAAGAATATACAGCATGGAATAAAAATTAAGAAACATGGAGTGCCTGCCAAACAAGATTTAGGTTTTAGTGGAACTGACTTCATTTAATAGAGAAAGACTCACTTCTGATACTTAAAACGTAGGCATTATCCAATTAAATGAGACTTGGAAGGAGTCCATATCCAGTCACCTGCTTTGCAAATTGTAGATGTCCTATGATGAACTTTAAGTCACCTTGACCTTTAGCCAAATATGCCTCATAAGCTGAGTTTCATGTTCATTGCTGGTGTCCAAATGTCCACAGTTGAATTCTCAGGTTTGTGGTGAACAGATTTGGTAACTTCTTTTTAGGAAGCATCTGCTGCTGCTCTTGTTTCTTTATTTTACTTATTTTAAAGATGATTCGTTAGGTAAGGAGAAGAAAGTCACTGAGGCCTTTGTATAAGGTAATTAATTTACCACCACAAACTGATATGCTAGAAATATCACCTTTCATCCTTTCTGATTTTGTTGTTTTAAAAATGCATTTTTTTCAATTTGTTTTTTTAAAAATTTATTCTAATCCCATGGTGTCTCACTGGGTGATGGAAATTGAATCTGTTTCATTATTGAGGTTTGCTCTCCCTCTGATCACATAGGACTCAAGGATACTTCTGCAGTGCCCAGAAAATTGGGTGTAGAAGTCACTATTGTTTTGGCTAACCCAGCAGACATTCTCAAATACCTTCTACTTTGCCACTTTCCTTGCAGCTAGGAGTGGACAAGTGGTCAAGTGATGGTGCTGGCCAATGAGAGGTAAGCAAGTTTCGGAGCTGTCTGGAAAGGCTTTGCTTTTCCTGACAAAATGAATGTAACATCCCAGTGCTCCCTCTTCCTTTCTTCCTCCTGACATTAACATGCACATGATGCCGAGAATTGCAGCAGTCATCTTACAACCATGAAGAACAGGTAGGGAGAATTGCAGACTTGGTGGCCCCAACATCACTGAGCCACTGTTCAATTCCCAGAGCCACTTTCCTCCAGAATTCTGTTGTGAGAGAAAAAGAAACATCCTGTTTGTTTAAGCCACCGTATGTTGGTTTAAAATTTTTTTTATTGTTTGCAGTTAAAAACATTTCTAACTGATTTAAAGAGTAAACAACTCTAACCTCCAGTCCATGGAGGTTATTGCAGATATACTTATTGTTGAATGGTTCCTAGAAATCCAGTAACAAATTGATCTTGGGCCTCTCATTGGAAATGGAAAGTGACCAGGGTTGGGATCCTGGTGCTTGGAGCTCAAAAGTCATGCAGTGATTCTCTCAGAGACCTTGCCTAGGGACCAGAAGTGGGTCCCTGCTTCTCCAAAAATCTATAGACTGCCCAGACTGGAGAAGTTAACCCTTTTCCCATCTTGCCACTTTTAAAGGCACTCTCCTTCATTCAGATCATGTATTACCATCTCTTCTATGAGTTGAGGTTTTTACAAATCAAATGGAGTGCCTTTCTTCAGGAAGCTCCTACTTTCTGCTCAGTTACAAATCACCTCTGAGACAAGGAGACAAAAACTGACTTATCTCACCAGAATTGAGGAGGTTAAAACTATAGAGAGAACCAACACAAATTCATATTTTAATGAATTACCTTGCCACACCTACCACTCCAGAAAAGTAACATCTGTGACAGAAAACACTGTGGGACTAATGATAATTGATTAACTAGGACAACTTTTGATCCCTATACCTGTACCTATTTGCATGGATAAAATCATTTGGCATGATTCTACATCTACACAGAAGGCTTTCCAATGCATGGAGCATGGGTGATATACAGATGCTGCTGCTGCTTCTTTTTCTTAAGTAAAAGGGTCTTGTTTTATCACCCAGGCTGGAGTGCAGTGGCACAATCATAGCTCACGGTAGCCTCACACTCCTGGGCTCAAGTGATTCTCTCCCATTAGGTTCCTGAGTAGCTAAGACTATAGGCACATGCTACCACACCCAGCTTTAAAAAAAAAAAAAAAAGTGTTTTTTGGAGACAAAGTCTTACTATGTTGCTCAGGCTGGTCTCCAATTCCTGGCCTCAAGTGACTCTCCCACCTCAGATCCTTTCGTCTTGGCCCCTGAAAGCGCTGAGATTACAGACATGAACTACTGCATCTGGTCTGAATGCTTCTTCATACAAAAGCAAGACAGCTGGAGCCCCAGAAGCATGCATTCGGATTGTGATGTGGGGATGGGAAGGAGAGTAAGGATGTCTAACCATCTTGGACTTGGGCACTTCTTTTTTTTTTCTTCAATTTTTGATACAGTCTCACTCTGTCTCCTAGGTTGGAGTGCAATGGTGTGATCTCAGCTCACTGCAACCTCCACCTCCTAGGTTCAAGCAATTCTCCTGCCTCAGCCTCCCAAGTACCTGGGACTACAGGTGTGAGCCAACACACCTGGCTAATTTTTGTATTTTTAGTAGAGGTTGGGTTTTGCCATATTGGCCAGGGTGGTCTCGAACTCCTTACCTCAAATGATCCGCCCACTTCAGCCTCCCAAATTGCTGGGATTACAGGTTTGAGCCACCATGCCTGGCCTTGGACTTGGCCATGTCTAAGACTTCCACTGTTTATATTGTTTATATTTTAATTAATTAATTAATTTATATTTTATTATTTTTTTTAACAGAGATGGAGTCTCACTATGTTGCCCAGGCTGGTTTCAAACTCCTGGGTTCAAGTGATCCTCCGTTCTCGGCTTCCCAAAGTGTTTGGATTACAGGTGTGAGCCACGGCACCAGGGCAATATCATTCATATTTTCTTTCTTTCTTTTTTTTTTTTTTTTTTTTTGAGACGGAGTCTTGCTCTGTCGCCCAGGCCGGACTGCGGACTGCAGTGGCGCAATCTCGGCTCACTGCAAGCTCCGCTTCCCGGGTTCACGCCATTCTCTTGCCTCAGCCTCCCCAGTAGCTGGGACTACAGGCGCCCGCCACCGCGCCCGGCTAATTTTTTGTATTTTTAGTAGAGACGGGGTTTCACCTTGTTAGCCAGGATGGTCTCGATCTCCTGACCTCATGATCCACCCGCCTCGGCCTCCCAAAGTGCTGGGATTACAGGCGTGAGCCACCGCGCCCGGCCTCATTCATATTTTCACCTTTACTGTCTATACTTGAGTGAGAGCTTTCATTTGAAAGTATCTGCTTTTTATCTCTGGATTTGTTGTTGTTGTTATTGAAAGTTTTACTTATGTTTAAAATCAATTTTCTGAAGAGGTAACATTTATATGATTAACTGCAGGATTGATTATACTAGCAAATGACTGGAAACAACCTAAATATTATCAACAGAAGTCTGAATTAAACAAATTATAACACAACCATATCATGGATTGCTGTAGCTGTAAAATCAAACAAGGAAGTGCTCTGGATAATCAGTGTGCAAATTCAATCTCCCATTTTGGTCTCTTAGCTGCTAATTTCCCACACCCCTCATAGGTAATTTCTTATATATTTTTCCAGATTTTCTTTATACACCAGTAAATACAAATGTAGATTCTTACTTTCTCCTCGTTTTTATATGAAAAGTAGGATGCTTTACATACTGTTCTGTCGCTTATTTCGCTTAATAATGTATTGGATCTCTTTCCAAGATAGAGCCTTTCATTTGTCCAAAATCATCTTTCACATCTTGTAGTAACATTTTAAAGTTTTTTTCCTGTAGGTCTTGTACATTTCTTGTTATGCTTATTCCTAGATGTTATACTGTTTTTATGGCTTTTGTAGTCTTTCGATTCTATCTTTTAATTAGTTGTTGTCATTTCATACGTCTTAATATCTGCTTATTAACTGTCTGTCCTTTTATTTTTCTCTTGATTTTTAAATATTTCCACAAACTCTGATTAGGTTTAACAAATCATACTCCTTTTGGTCCAGGTTTATCTTTGCAGTGCAAAGTTCTATGTTCTGAAGTTTTTGGTGCCCTGATTGCTGTAAGCCACAGTGTGCTCAGGGCTTCTCACAATAAAGATATTCTTCCTGACAGTCAAAGAATAATTCTAAGTCAGAGAGGCTAAGTGTAAGGGCACTGCCAGACTGGAGCTCAATCAAAACTACGACATAATTTCACAAAAACTGTTCCATTCATTTACTACAACACAGCTAGTGTGTATCTTTCACAGATGTTTGCTTTGTCAGTTGAAACTACAGTCTTTGATTCCTTGGTGCTCACAGCCCAATGTACTTCACATTTTCAGGAACCTGAAGGAAAACATTTTCACGTATTTAGTTTGGGGCCAGCTCAGCACCTAGGAGGCCATCTATCTGCAACATCTTCCTGCACAATTATCTTAACTGCCTACTCTCATAATGACATACAATTTTAATGCAATATAATTACCAAAAATGTTTTCCATTCCTGCATTACTTGTAGGCTGTCATAATTGGCCAGAAGGGACAAATATGATCAGATCTATTACATAATTTCTACTGCACTGAAGCTGTAAGTGGGTGGCTTTTAAATGGGTCAATCTTAGTTATTTTCCAAAAATTTGGAGGCAAAAGGCCATTCAATCCAAACCCAAATATTTGTGACCAACTATCATTCCCTTTCAATAAAAAGCCCTACATTTTCATAATAGTCTACAATAACTGCTCCTAAATTACAGCAAAATTATTTTCAAAGTCAGGTTTCCATTATTTAGGGAAAAATTATAAGGTGTGTGACTCTTCCTAGGCCATATTTCTCTCTCAATGCCTATTTCCCAGTTATTTCAGGTTTCATTGGCAGCTTCATCAGAGCCCATTAGGGAGAAATGAAAATCATGAGATTTGGAGAATTGGTTGAAGAATCACAGAGTGTTAGAACTCATCTAATCCAATCTTATTTCACAGGTAAAGTAACCGAGGAAGAGAATGGTTAAATGACTTGCCCAACGACATGCAAGGACTTCCAAGAGACCAGGATTGCAGGCTGTCTCCTGCTTTCCAGTCCATCATTCCTTCTACCACATCATGATGCACCTTCCTAGGCATGAATGAGAAAACTTGCCAATAATTATTATTGACAAAGATGTGAGAGCTACCAATGAAACTCCACACATACATGCAACACTTCTTCAGCATTTCCTTTTCCTATTGGGCAATCTCATTCACTCTCATAGTTGTCATTACCACTGTGTAATCAATGACTTAAATTAGTATAGCCAGCCCTGGCCTCTTCTATGTACACCATTGCCTGTACTACCCGCCTAATTCACTGACAACTCAAATGACATCTTGTTGAAACTGAGCTTATATTTAATTTCCACTAAATGTGTTCTTTCTGTATTTCCTATTTTGGTTTTTGGCTTGATGATCACCCAGTTGTCTAAGTCCTCACGTTACCCTTCACATCCAATTTATTTTTAATTTCTGTGGTTCTATTACCTAGATATTTCTCACATATTTTCTCATCTTTTCATTTCTATTTACATGTCTTTGTTAATTCTAACCTATACTCTGTATCTTTTCTCTTCAAAATTTTTCTCCATACTACCTTCAGAGTCATTTTTCCAAAGGGTAAATATTCTCTTGCTATGCTTTAGTCTAAAACTCTTTGCTATCGTTTTCATGTCCATTAAATCATGCCCATATAGTATGATGATGATTATTTTCTTTTTTTTTTTTTTTTTTTGAGACGGAGTCTTGCTCTGTCACCCAGCCTGGAGTGTAGTGGTGTGATCTCAGCTCACTGCAACCTCTGCCTCCCGGGTTCAAGTGATTCTCCTACCTCAGCCTCCTGAGTAGCTGGGACTACAGGCACCTGCCATCACACCTGGCTAATTTTTGTATTTTTAGTAGAGACGGGGTTTCACCATATTGGCCAGGCTTGTCTTGAACTCCTGACCTTGTGATCCGTCCGCCTCAGCCTCCCAAAGTACTGGGATTATAGGAGTGAGCCACCACGCCTGGCCTCTTTTTTTTCTTTTTTCTTTTAGATTTGGGGGTACATGTGCAGATTTGTTAGATGGGTATATTGCGTGATGCTGAGGTTTGGGCTTCTAATGATCCTATTGCCCAAGTAGTGAATGTAGTACTGGATAAGTAGTTTTTCAACCCTTGTCTCTCCCCATACCTCCCCACTTTTGGAATCCCCAGTGTTTATTGTCCCTTCTTTGTGTCCTTGTGTACCCAATGTTTAGCTTTCATTTGTAAGTGAGGATATACAGTATTTGGTTTTCTGTTCCTGAGTTAATTTGCTTAGAATTTTTGCATCCATGTTGCTGCAAAGAACACGACTGTATTCTTTTCTATGGCTGTATAATACTCCATGGTGTAGATATACCACATTTTCTGTATCCAATTCATTGTTCATGGGCACCTGGGTTGATTTTATGTATTTGCTACTGTGACTAGCACTACAATGAACATAACAAGTGCAGGTGTCTTTTTCAGTACAATGATTTATTTTCCTTTGGGTATATACCCAGTAATGGGACTTACAGGATTATTGAAGATCCTTCATGATCTGTCCCCTCTTTGCCTAGCTTCATCTCCCACCATAACTTTTCAACGTTAGCTTCTATAAACACAAAAACACTTGCAATTCTTTTAACTTAAGCTATTTCATGCCTCCATGTCTTTACACGTGTAGCTCCCTCTGTCTAAACTATTATCCTCTGCTCACCCTTCCTACATGTCCACTGTTATCCTCATATTCATCCTTCAAGATGCAGTTTAAGAAAGAATCAACACCTCAGTGAAGACTATAGGCCGGGTTTATTTTCAGATTCTTCCTTTTGCCTCATACATACTTCTATTGTTATATATCACCACATAATTCCTTATTTACACATCACTGTGGTATTTATTATTATTATTAACTTTTTTAGACACAAAGTCTCTGTCACCTAGGCTGGAGTGCATGGCTCACTGCAGCCTCGACCTCCTGTGCTCAAGGGATCCTCCCTCCTCAGCATCCCTCCTGAGTAGCTGGGACTACAGGCACACACCACCATACCTGATTAATTTTTTAAAATGTTTTGTATTGACAAGGGTCTCACTATATTGTTTAGGCTGGCCTCAAACTCCTGGCCTCAAGCAATCCTCCTACCTCAGCCTCCCAAAGTGCTAGGATTACAGGCGTGAGCCACCATGCCCAGCCTGTGGTATTTATCTTTGCCTTGAGACTCAGCATAGTTCCTGAATGAATAGTAGAACAAATAAATGGGCACATGTAATAGAGAAACATTTTATGGTCAGATGTAACCTGGTATACTTAAAACATCCTGAAAATAATACTATTGGTCAATGCTGCTTGGAATGGACTCATTGCCCAAGCTTTATAGAACTAAAGTGTTTTAAATTTATAGAATTTTAATAACTATAATTTAAAGTGATTATGATTCACATCTACCTTACCCTTTCATTGAATCATGAGTTTGTTTCCTCACTATGAAATCATTGCATATAATTCTCTCCAGATGACAAAATAGTCATTTCAACATAACATGCAGTATGGAAAAGACATCTTACATTTAATCTCTTTTTCAATAAGGTATTTAACAGAGTATTTTATATATTTGTAGCAGCATTAGTTAGCATCCATAGCTCTACCAATCTTTAGTCAAATTTTGTTGCACAATTGTTAAGATGTTCTGGACTTCCAGGCTTTAAGAACATAAATGGATAAGGCTATTATATATAAACTCATAAATCACATATGTGGGGTTAAATACTGGTTTTACTAAATTAAACGGGGATATTTAGCTAATTGGAACACTAGCCTAAGGATTGGCTAATGTTTCATTTCAGGACTTCTCATATATTTTTACCGGGGTACACATTACAAAGATTAATGATTTTGTATTCCTGGGGAATCTAGATGCTCACCTCCTACAAAGGTAAAATTTATTTAAATTACTAATTATACCTAGATCTTGTATTTTACTCCATTATATATTGCTTTAAATAACTTAATTTTAATAAGACTTCTACATAACTTTAGAGCCTGTGCCAAGTGTAAGCAATAGCTTCTAGCCCTTCCTTTCATTTTCCTGTATATGCCAGGTATTAGGAGTACCAAGTTTGGTAAGCAAGTGGGGAGTGTAAAGAGTACTGCGACCATCACAAAGATTTGGTTGGATCCAACCCTGGGTGTTCCACTTACTAGCTTTTGCTCTTAAGCAAGTAACCTAACCTTGTAGTTTCATTTCCCTCATCTTAATGAAAATAATAACACCTGCCTTAATTCCTCAGAGGATTATTTTAAAGATCTGATGAAAATAAATTAGAGACCTGAAGACTCAGGCTCAGAAAATGGGCAAGAGCAAAGGAAGTTCAGGTAACCAGAACCAGAGCCAAATACAACATATTGAACCACTGCATCAAAGACACTGCTGCTGCCACCAGCAGCCCCTGGATATACTTACCTTGGGCTGCCATCACTGCTGGCCCTGAGTCAGGCTCGCAGAGCATCATTGCTGCTGTTTCCTCTGCCAGCACTGCCAGAATGAATTGTAATATCACCTTATTAAGTCTTAACTCAAGCTGCAAGCAAGCCTAGAAATGTTTGTATCAGCCTTTTTATCTTTTATAGTAGGAGATTGGCCTATGGTCCTAGTCACAGGCCAATGGAGAGGAGACTCTCAGATTCAGCAGAGGATTAAGGCACTAGGTTCACAACATCTCTTTCTTGAACTACTGCCATGGTCTCCTAACTGGTATCACTGCTTCCAGCCTTGCTCCCCTTCAACCACTCTCCCTACCAGCATCAGAGTTTCCTTTTCAAAGGAAAATCTAATTTTGCTACTGTTCTGTGTAAAGCCTTGAATGACCCCGGTTTCCTCAATGCCTAGATAAATACAAACTTATTCTAATACCCTACAAACCCTTCTAATCAGGTGTTCATCCCCCCAGCCATATTCCTCTGAACTTCCCATCCTCCAATGAACTCTTCTGTCTGGCTGAAATACTAGCTTTCCCAGTGAGTCACGCTGTTTAATGCCTCTTTGCTTTCCCTTTTATAAAAAGGTGAACTATGAAGCAATTAAAAAACAAAGATGAGCATCTTTTTTCAGAAAAGGCCAGCACTGTGGGATCTTCCAGGCAGGGAGGGAAGTAAGGAAGGGTTCTTTCCAAGTTAAGGCTAAAGCGAGACCAATGGAAGAGAATTCTATGGCACGCTGCTGCAGGTGGAGGCACAGTCAGCCTGTGATCAGTAGAGAGGACCGCTGAGCCTACCCAGGGCACATAGTCCACATGGAAGAGGACAGGGACCTGTGTCAGGGAGCAGCAAGTAGCCAATTAAGCAAACTCACACCTCTATCCTATTTTTGGGGATGAACATAATCCTGGGATGCTTGTTTTGACCCATGGAGGAGAGAAAGCTCCTCAAATGAATACAATGGAATATTTTACTAATGGACAATGTGATTTCAGGCCAAATTATACTTAATTTGAAGACTGTATACTTGTGGACTAGAAATCAATCATCATGACAGTGCATGCTCATGTTGTTCCTCCACTTGTAGAAACAACCTGTCAACTTTAAGTAATGAGATTCAGAAAATATGATTAAGTATAGAGCTTATTCAAGCACAAAGCTTGCCACCAGGAAACACTTACTCCAAACAAATGGGGTCAGTGTTTCAAAGAGGAGAAGTTAATGTTTCGCTTATATAAGCAGAGACAGAAATTTTAGCAGAATCACAACATTTTCCATACAAGACAAGTGCATACAGTACAGTGATTTGATTGGTTACAAAATGCTACATTTGCTTCATTCTATGAGGAGAGGTAGTAATCTTGGGGGGTGGGGGTGGGGGGTTCTTATCTCTGGTGCCATTTGGTCTTCTTAATGATTTACAGGGAAAAAAAAAAAGGCAGAAGTTGCAGTTGTACATCAAGTGACTCAAGCCACATAGCCGTATTCCTCTTAAGGCTGGAATACTTTAAAATTCTAACAGCTTTAAGTTTGAATTATTTAATTTCACATTTCTCCATTTTCATTAAGATATTTCGAGTAAAGCATAGTAGATGTACTCAACAGCTCTGGGCTCCTTTTATATTCAGGAGTTTAGTCCTGCGTCACTAGGAAGGCTCATTCCGACAGTGTCGAGTCCCACAGCAGGGGAAATAAGTCAAGCTATAAGGCTGATGGGATATTGGCCAATTTTTTTTTTTTTTTGAGATGGAGTCTTGCTCTGTCACCCAGGCTGGAGTACAGTGGCACGATCTCAGCTCACTGCAACCTCTGCCTCCTCGGTTCAAGTGATTCTTCTGCCTCAGCCTCCCAAGTAGCTGGGACTACAGGTGTGCACCACCACGCCTGGCTATTTTTTGTATTTTTAGTAGAGACGGAGTTTCACCAGGTTGGCCAGGCTGGTCTCGAACTCCTGACTTCATGATCCACCCCCCTCAGCCTCCCAAAGTGCTGGGATTATGGGCTTGAGCCACCACACCCAGCCTGGCCAAATTTAATGCAAAATGAAGGAAGTGACTTTGTGACCTGAGTCAGGCTACGTGGCTGCAGTTAATGCAATTCTGTGAACAATCATTATTTCATTTTTTTCAGCTCTGCATTGACTTCATTGTGAACAAATGCCACAGCAGCAATAAAGACAAAAACAGGAAAAAACCGAACAAATGATTATGTTTCCAAGAATAAGTCCCAGCTTCTGCCACCAAATTCCCCATGATCCAAACCAGCTGCTTAGCTGGTCATTTAGAGTGTTGGATCTGAAAGATTAGTTGAGTTTTTATATCAACCATTAATTTAGTGATGTTATCTGGATGATAGACACTCAGTTTTTATGATAGCATAGGTTCCCCCTTGGGCGGCAGTGAGTGTGTCTAAAGCCACATGGTTTTATAATGCAGCCTTTCTCATTGGAGCAGCTTCATTGTTTAATAACAAGATACCCATGCAGCTATTATTTAGGACCTTTTGGTTAGGGCCTCTACTTGCCAAATGACATCCTCAATACCCAGTTGTGGTAGAGAGATGGAAGCAAAATGATTCTACCAATGGAACAAAGAACAAACACAAGATTGTAAATGATTTGTGGGTTTTGAAAGGGTACCAGCTATTTGACCTTGGACCCAGGCACAAACCAAAAAACACCATCCTAACTGTCCTCGGGGTAAGCTTGGCCATTGTATTTGTCTGTCCTCGCACTGTTATAAGAAATACCTGACACTGGGTGACGTATTTTTTTTTTTGACACTGGGTAATTTATAAAGAAAAGAGGTTTAATTGGTCCATGGTTCCACAGGCTGTATGGGAAGCATGGCGGTATCTGCTCGGCTTCTGGGGAGGCCTCAGGAAAACTACAATCATGGCGGAAGGTGAAGGGGGAGCCAGCACTTCACATGGCCAGGAGCAGCAGGAAGTGGAAGAGGTGCTACACACTTTTAAACAGCCACATCTCATGAGAACTCACTATCTCCACAACAGCACCAAGAGGGATGGTGTTAAACCATGAGAAACCAGCCCCATGATCCAATCACCTCCTACCAAGCTCCATCTTCAACAATGGGAATTACAGTTCAACGTGAAATTTGAGCAAAGACACAGATTGAAACCATACCAGCCATAGATGGGTGCTGCACAGCCAGGGCTTTCCGTTTGGAGCTGCCCATTAAATACCCAGTTGCTGTGCCCATTCACTGGCAGGCCAATTAATACTTTCTAATATAATTTAATAAACCCTTAACTTTGTGAGTGGCCAAATGGCTACTACTACTCAGTTTTCAAGACTCAGTTCCAATATGCAGATAAAGTTGTGAAAGAATGGAGAAAACTGTTAAGATTAGTTATCTCTGGGAAAGGAGAGTAGGTAGGGGTGATCATGAGAGGGACTTTTCACTGTATAACCTCCTATGCTATTTGAATATCTCACAATATTAGTGTATTATTTTTATAATTGGATTTTCAAAAGTTAGAGAAATGGGGGTGCCGTCTTTGTTTTTTTTGGTTTAAAAATGACCTAAAATGTCTTGTAAAGAAGGCGCAAAAGCCATATGGGAAACAATAAGTAAAAATACCTTAAGTAGTTTTTAAAAATTATTGTCTTAAACATCATTGAGAGCTGTTGTCTCATTTAAAATGTACTCATTAACACGCCAAAGGATAAAATAAATAAGTAAATAAGGAGCATGTCGTATGTCCTTTGTAAATGCAAAGCAATTCTCTCATCCACCATTAGTGGGCCATCAGCCTTCCTCTTCAATTCCTACCTGACTGTGGGACATGTCCAGCCTTCTGAACTGGGTAGACCATGTTCTCCTGTTAGTCTTCCTACCACATGTACCCTGGTATCCTACCACAGTACCATATACTGTACTCTTCTTTTCAAATGTGAATCAGGTGTATGTGATCATTTGATTTTCATTATAACCCTGGAGAAATAATGAAAGACACCTATTACCTCTTTGCTGATGAGGAAAACCTCTGCAGTTTTTGATGGAGCTAGGATGAGGATCCTGGTCTCCTAACCAGGTAGGACATTTTCTCTGTTTCTCCCATGCTGCCTCATCTCTTAGATTGTTAGACCTGGACTCCCAAACCACCATGCACGCATTCCTTTTTTTTAAATGTGATTATTCTAGTGATACTGTAAACATAGCTCCCTAATTCTCTTCTAATGCTATTTCACAGCACTCTACTGTTTTCCTGATAACATAAAAAATTGAATATATATACATATATTCCAATAGAGTGTGTGTGTGTGTGTGTGTGTGTGTGTGTGATATTTTTTTCCCTAACCAGGCTATAAGCTCAATGAGGGCAAGGACTATATGTTGCCCATCATGACTCTATGCCTATTTAGTGCCTGGCATATTTGTTGAATGAATGAACAAACACTAGCTACTTTGTTAGTTCCTCCTGTTTCCGTTGCAGAATTATTAAAACTAATTTGAATGGAGAAGGAAATTGGTTGAGTCAGGTATCTAGGAGGTTCAGGAATCAGTTGGCTTCAATCATAGCTCTGTGGAGGTTAGACTACACTTCTTTTCTTCTTCTTACCCCTTCCACTCTTCCCCTTCTTTTTCCTCTTTCTTTCCTCCCCATTCTCCCTCTTTTCCTCTTCCTCCTCCTTCTCCTTTTGCTCCTCTGTCTCTGCCATTTTCTCCTTCTGCGGCTGGACCTGCTCCACCTCCTCCATGCAGGGTGGTGAAGATGGCACAGGGAAGCTCTGGGATCTCTTGCCCTAGCTTAGCATCCCAGGGGAAAGAAACATATCTATTTCAACATCACTATTTTAATTTCAGGAACAGATAATTTTAGGGTTGGCCAGGCCTGTGTCCTATGCTCCCAGTGTGGCTGGAAGGGGGGTAGGGTACAGTGATAGGCAGCCCCTCTGAAACCATGTGGAAGCAGGGAATAGTGGTTTCCCCAAGGAAGGAATGATGAAAATAACATATGTCTGCCATAAATATTTTCTTAGGGAATTTTATTAAGAAGTAAAGAAGAGGCTACTTTTAATATGAAGCAACTTCCTGTCTTTTTGAATTAAAGTTCCTTAGATGGAGCTAAATTATGACCTTTTGAATTGTTTGACTTAGATCATAAACTTTTACAAGATGAAGTACACTTTATTCTTCGAGTCTCAAGGTGTTAATAAGTCAAGTGCAGTAATAAAGAGAAGCCCACCTACAACCTTTTACATCTATCTGTTCAGCAAAGCAGAGGACAGCAAAACATAGTTGTTTTATTTTGGCTTCCAGCCACATAGGAACTTTAGAAATTTGTTTGCAGATAAACTGTTTCAATGTTGGAGAGGAACTGTACTGCTCAGTAACTACTATGGGATGCAGATCCCCATTTCATGGAGAAAAAGCTGCAAGCAGCGTGCTCATTTGCTGTGCATATGGAAAAACATAGAATGCTCACCATTCACATGACTGCTAAAGCATTGAAAGTACTGATATTTCTGTACCCTCTATTCTCAGAGGGGGAAGTGGGTTTTCAGTTTTGAGCATTCGTTGATTTGCCTAGGTTCCTATGTTTGAAAGTTGTCTTCTGGGAAAGAAGTAATAATAAAAAAAATTTTTGTTTTAAAAAAAGACCAAGCTTTTCTTATCCATTGCTGCTTCAGGGTACTTTACTTTTATATCCTTCCCACATTGGCGTGAACTGTCTGAGAATGCAACCGTTTTGTTGTTGCTGCTGTTGTTGTTGTTATTGTTAATTTTTAAACAAATATTTTTGTAGAGATGGGGTCTCACTCTGTTGTCCAGGCTGGTCTCTAACTTCTGGCCTCAAGCAATCTTCCCACCTCGGCCTCCCAAATTGCTGGTATTACAGGTGTGAGTCATTGGGCCTGGCCTGCATCATTTTTTAGAAATAGAGAATGAGTGTGACAAGTATTCTATTCAGTTGCCCAATAATGTAGTCAGATCAGATACTTAATTGCAGCTAGAAAGTATTAAGTGGGTTCTTTTTTTTTTGGTCACAGGTCTTTTTTTTATATATAAATTTGATCTTAAGTAGAAGAAATAGTGAACTTCTCTGCTTTTTAAAGTTATAAATATATATGAATAAGAAAATACTGACAGAAATGAAAACAACCTCACATCCTGTACTTCCTGACATCCTCTTTTAATTTTGTAAAGTTTCCTGTCATTATTTTCCAGTGTATTTATTTTTAAGGAAGTGTCTTTAGCAAGAAGAAAGAGACAAGCACTGCTTCCCTTCCCCATATCCCTCCCTCTCTCCCTCTCTCTCTCTCTCACACACACTCAGACACTCACATACATACACACACACGCCCCTCAGAGATTTAGCAATTTTGCAGTATTATTATTCTACGATTCAGCAACCATGACCCATTTCTAGGTGGACACATAGATTTGGGAAGCAGTGGAGTGAAGCTTCAGCACCAAAGGGAAAGCAAGAGGTACTAGGTCCTAGATCTCTACATTTATTCATGGTGAAGGTGTGATGAAATAAACATGTCGTAATATCATTAGTTATTGTTGTTAAGCTACCATTCATTGAGCTATTGCTAGGTATTATGTGCTAAATACTAAGTGTGCTGTCCTAAGTCCTAAGTACTTTACATGCACACACAGACACACACACACACACACACACACATACATTGCAGGTTTGTAATATGCCCACAATTTTTTAAATCAGCTTTGTTTCTTTTTCTTTTTCTTTTTTTAGAGACAAGGTCTCGCTCTGTTGCCCAGGCTGGAGTACAGTGGCACAATCATATCACTGCAGCCTCCACCTCCTGGGCTCAAGCAATCCTCCTGCCTTAGCCTCCTGAGTATCTGGGACTACAGACATGCACCACTGCACCTGGCTCCATGATTCTTAATATCAGAATTTCTTCTGTGGGTTAAGCCTGTGTTTTTGGTGGTCATGACCCATTAGTAAATTATGAAATTAATTTAATGAGTAGAGATAAATTCAATTCTATAACATCTTTGTGAGGTGCATTATATTAACCTCATCTGACAGATGAGGAACATCAGAGCTTGGAAGGTTAAGTAACTCACCCAAATTCACAGACCTTGTTAAATGTAAGATTGCATTTGGAGTCTTTCTGTCTCCAAAACCTTAACTACTAAAGCTATACTGTACCATTTAACATATCTCACAGTAATTCTGGGCATATCACACCACAACTATAACTACATATAGAAGAAAACCTACCTTCTAATATATCTTATAAAAGAGAAAATAGGGTTTGTAAATTAGCAACCAGCCTGTATTGTATTGAATATAGGCTTAAAAGTCTAATATGTATGTGCATATGTATGCATGTGTGTGTGTGTGTGTGCATGTGTGTGCGTATCAATTAGAGGGTGGGGAAAAACATTTATAGAACTCAGTACCATTAACAAAAACATTAAAATTCATTGGCATTCAAAATTCATGAAGGCCCTAGTCAATTTTTGGCTGTTATAGCAGAATACCAGAGATGGGTAATTTATTAAAAAAAGAAATTTATTCTGTTCATGGTTCTGAACGCCAGGAAGGCTGAGAGCATAGTACTGGCATCTGGCAGGAGTCATTCCATGGCAAAAGGATGGATGGCAGAAAGGGGCAGATGAAGCAGAAAGAAAAAGGGGGCCAGGCTCACCACAATTAACCCATTCCCATGATAACAACATTAGTCCATTCATGAGGACAAAGCCCTCATGACCTAATCACTTCTTAAAGGCCCCACCTCTTAATATTGTTACAATGGCAATTAAGTTTCCAACACATGAACTTTGGGAGACATGTTCTAACCATGGGGATGACTGACTTCTTAGGCAAGAGTTTCTTACTTTAAAAAAATGCATAATAATAATATTTTGTGTTTACACAATGCTTTCCAGTTTATACAGGGCTTTTCTAGATATCATGTGACTTTCAAACATGCTATGGACTTTATATGTGAGGCCTTCACATGGTACAGGCTGTAAAAGTGGTTCTAGCTGATAACAAGTAGTTATCAACAAGAAAGCTAACACATTTTTACCACAATCCATGTTATAAAAATGATTCTTATAGACAATCTGCCATTCCCAGCTCTTAAAGAAGTAGCATAGCTGCCAAATGAATAACCAAATAGATATATTTAATGGGCTCTAAAAAGTCAAACATAAAACCAATTAATGAATTGGCTCTGGGACTCAAATAGCTTTTGCAGGAAACATCTTTACTTTCAGAAATAATTATAATGGTGTTTCTTAAACACTTTTGCCATTTCAGAAAGATCCCCTGAAATTACTAGGAACACATCAGGTGTCAGCATTCATATATTCTCACTCACTCTTCATTTTTTTAGGGGAAACAATGTATCCAAATTGACACAGACAGAACTTCTTTTAGTTGGTGTTGGCTGTCATTTTATTCAGGTTTAAGTATGAGTCTAATTACCCTCAAAGGACTTTTTGACAAGTTTATCACACGACCACCAGAATTTCTGCTGTGGGTGAAGGAAGTGTTTTTGGTGGTCACAACAACTATCCATGACATCAATTTAGTGAGTACAGACAAACACTTTTTAAAAATGAAATAGAACAGAATATGTAATATCAGAATGTGTCACTGGTAGTAAAGGTAAGTGTGTTTCATAGAACTTTTCCTGCAGTGTTGTGTTAGTCCCTTCTTGCATTGCTACTCTAAACCCCGAAAATCTGAGACAGGTCTCAGTTAATTTAGAAAGTTTATTTTGCCAAGGTTGAAGATGAGCCTGCGGCACAGCCTCAGGGAGTCCTGATGACATGTGGCCAAGGTGGCTGGGGCACAGCTGAGTTTTATACATTTTAGGGAGACATGAAGCATCAATCAGTATATGTAAGAAGTACATTGGTTGGGTCTGGAAAGGCGCGACAACTTGAAGCAAAGGCAGGAAGCCTTGAAGCCGAAGCAGAGAGGGGGCTTCCAGGTCACAGATAGGCGAGAGACAAATGAATGGTTTCATTCTTTTGAGTTTCTGATTAGCCTTTCCAAAGGAGGCAATCAGATATACATCTATCTCAGTGAGCAGAGGGATGACTTTGAATAGAATGGGAGGCAGGTTTGCTCTAAGCAGTTCCCAGCTTGACTTTTCCATTTAGCTTAGTGATTTGGGGGCCCCAAGGTTTATTTTCCTTTCACATTATAAAGAAATACCTGAGACTGGATAATTCATAAAGAAAAGAGGTTCACAGCTCTGCAGGCTTTGCAGGAAGCAATGATGCTAGCATCAGCTTGACTTCTGGGAAGTCCTCAGGAAGCTTATGATCATGGCAGAAGGCAAAAGGAAAGCAGGAAAGCAGGCATGTCACATAGTCAGAGCAGAAGCAAGGAGAGGGGGAAGGTGCCACACACTTTCAAATGACCAGATGTCTAGAGAACTCACTATTGTGAAGACAGCACCAAGCCATGAGGGATCCAAACACCCTCCCACCAAGCCCCACCTCTAGCACTGGGGATTACAATTCAACATAAGAGTTGGGCAGGGACAAATATCCAGACTATATCAAGTGCCTATGTGTATATTCTGTGTATACTGAGTGAGGATACTTAATGTGGGTTATGGTTTTAAAAAGCTTTGGAAACCACCATGTTAAGGCATTATCACCAAAGGAATTTTAGTGAAAATATAGTTTTTGGGTGGATGTTTCAGAGCACACAAGACTTTTTGTTATATGGAGTGGGGCACAGTGGAGAGAATTGCTGAGGGGTGAGGGATGTTGATGTCGAAAGTACAAAGGAGGGCAAATGAGCAAAACTCCACCTAATCCAGTTATACCTAGTGGTGGTCCTAGTCTTTGGTCATGGCTATGGCTAATAAGATTTAAGATATACCTGTGGGTAGCACTGGCAGAAAGAAAGGCAAAAGGGAGAGGGACAGAGAGAAGAGGAAAAGAAAGCAAGAGGGAAAGGTCAGAGTGTTGACAGTGTGAGTTGGAACAAAGATTGGGATTTATGTGTGAAAAAGAGGAAAAGGAGAGATAAGAGCAAAACTAAGAGACGTGCAAGATGAGGATTGGCAGATAGAATAACTTTCAGCTTTCAGCTGCCAGTAACGTAAGCTCAACTACAATGGCTCAAACAATAAATAAATGTATTGATTGGTTCACTGGCTTGGTTATGTCACAAGGATCCACAGTGTTGTCCTCAGTTGCTCTCCCCTTGTGAATATATGATGGCTATAGGATGGCTAAAGCAGGGCTGTGGGTCTGGGATGACTGGAAGAGCAACTGGGATTATGTGCTTCCTTATCCCATTCAAGGAGCAAAAGGCTGGATTCCTGTGGATCTCTGAATGACAAGGGATAATTTTCCAGAATACCCAGCACTCTTCTGCATACATCTCATTGGCCAGACTTGAATCACATACCCATTTCTGAATCTATTACTGACAGATGGATGGCATTACTTAGACCATTCGGATGCCTTTCTGGAGCTGGCATCAATCTTTCCCAGGCACATGACTAGAAGAGAGGAAAGCAAAATTGAGGTTCATTAGGAACACAGGAGATGATTTTTTGCTGAGTAGGCAATCAACAAAGTTCACTGCACACAAGAATTTTTAAAAACTTTGGTAATATATCCTAGTGGCTATAGTAGATTTGATATGGAAAATTTCCATCACTAAAACAGTTTCATTTTTAGAGTCCTATTATGTCATGTTCCTTCTCATAGAAGAATACCTTTGAAGGTATTTAAATAAACTTAAAGAAATCAAGTACAGAGAGTTTCTATTTTCTGTATATTTTACCACCAAAAGAAATCTCAATTTCTACCCCAAAATAATATGCTGTATTCACTCCCTAGAGACAATGCACAATGATTGACCTCCGTTGGAACACACATCATAATACAGAAGCACTAGCCATTGTGTAGAGCTTTACTTCTCTGCCTGATTCCCTCCCCCACTCAGAAGTTATACTTCAGCATTATCCTCCTATGTCCTAGCCAACTTTCTGCATCATGACACAAAGACACTGATGGTTAGGATCATTCTAGCCCGAAGATAGCAAGGGCAAAGCCAGCCAGGCTTAGATGAAACTCACACTGTTTGCTGAATGGCCACGGTGTTTTGAGGTTTCTCTTTATGAAAGGCTAGCATAAAGTCAACAGCCCACAGTTGCTCAAATCTGTGCTTTAGTTTCATTGCCACCACCAAACACTTCTCCACCCAGGAGAATTACAGCTAAGTGTTGTTTTAACTACATCCCCAGGGGAGTATTGAGTAAGACAAAAAGCATGCTAGGTCAACAACAGATCTTTTCTGTAAAAAGGAACATTTCAGGAAAATTAAACAAAGTGTAGAAAAGCCTTAGCTTGCAATCTGTTGTTGCAAAGTTCAAACAATGGCTTTCCTCCCTACTTAGGCAAACACCAAGCAGGAAGCTCTGAACAGAAAAAAAAAAAAAAAAAGACCGTCCAGAGCCATAGAAGAGAATAGCTCATGATGACAGTCATTGTTACTTCATTCCTATTTAGACACAATTAAGGCCATTAGTTCTTTAATTCCGATTCATCTGATTATTTTCAGAAGTTCTAGAGTGAGGACCTTACAATCCTAGAAATCCTACCTGATGAACTCTTAAAAATTGAAGCATAGCTTTTCAGTTATTTCAAAGCTCAGCTAAATCCCCAAATAGTTTGACTCGCCTTCCCTTGTTCCCTGGCAACAATGTGCAGGTAAATTGCTCTACCTGGGATCTCTACTGATGGTAGGGCCTATGGGAAAACAAGATTCATAGCTTGCTCACTGGTGTTTGCAAATATCTTCTGGAGTTTGAAAACTATACTTTTCCTATGTGGACCTTGTGATTTTCTGTTTGGAAAATTTTGTTATTGTCCTCCTCCTTTTCTTTTCCTCTGCTGCATAATTTCAACATTCAGTTTTCCGTTAATCGATGTCATAGTGCCATCCCACAACAATGTCGGCTGAGCTCACTGCTGGCTGCCTTCATAGTGACCAGCTGAAAATATTATAGGACTTTTCCCCATGAGCCCACACTGAACAAAAGCACCTTGCCACTTTTTTCTGTTTTAATATTTGTCTACCCCAAGAGGAGCTGGGCAGAATTCAAAAAATATTTGTCATCTGGGAACAGAAATAAACAAACAGGTCATATGAGAGGTCTTATTTTTTCAGATGCTCTACTGATTATCTCACTTTGTTGACTGATTAATGCCATTCCCCTTGAATAAGTCATTTATATTATCTCAGTTTCTATTCTTATGCTTCCTAAAGTTGACATTGCTAGGATGAGTAAATTCTTATAATAGGTGGGGATTTAGTGAGCACTGATATATTTGACTAAAAAATTTCTTTTATAAAGTGTTTTAAAAATAATTTAAAATTTCAAAAGCTCCTTAGGACATTACCTAGCATTTTAAGGAAAGCCTAGGACACTGATTTTCATTCCCTTCGGAGTTCTTCCAGCTTTAAAATTCTATGAATTTATGAATAGAATAGTTCCCCCTTATCCTTGAAGGATACGTTCCAAGACTTAGTAGATGCCTGAAACTGTGCATAGTACTGAACCCTAGACTGTCTATACTATGTTTTTTCAATCTGATAATCTAGATGGTTGCATCTACAGTGCAGATAACTGGACCAAAAGATGATTCACCTTTGGAAGGGACTGAGCGGAATGCTGTGAGATTTCATCACACTACTCAGAATGGTGCACAATTTAAAACTTATGAGTTGTTAATTTCCAAAATTTTCCCTTAAACATCTTCAGATCGTGGTTGACTGCAGGTAGCTGAAATTATGGAAAGCAAAACCACGGATAAGGGGGGAACTACTGTATATACTTCCTAAGTCTCAGTATGAGATTCTGAATTTGTTTTACAAAGGTTAAATAAATCAGTTAAATATTGACTAGGTAATGCAAATCTATGCAAAAAGCAAAATAATAGTATAATTCT
Source organism: Homo sapiens (assembly GCF_000001405.40). Lineage (NCBI taxonomy): Eukaryota > Metazoa > Chordata > Mammalia > Primates > Hominidae > Homo > Homo sapiens. Next base: position 78,660,459 of record NC_000004.12, on the reverse strand, counting down.
GTGATTATGTAATAATACCTTACACACAATAGGTACTAAAAAACTATTTCTTGATTCTTACCAACTTTCACATTTTCGCATACCAGTTTTCTAACTGTGGAAACTCTATGCAGTAGGATTTTCAAATAGGTGAGTCATTTTATAGCAATATATTTTATAGCTTATACAACTGTAATATGTTTGGAAGGAAATTTATTCCTTTAGTAGGACGAGATCTGTCATTCCTATCATCCTTCACAGGGTCTTCTTGTTTCACTTTATGTGTGTATGGCATTATAAAGGCTTACTGGAGTGCTATTTTTTTCTTCCATTACACAGAAGTCAGATATTAGAAGTGCAAAATCCATAATATTCCTTCCCAGGAATATCCCAAACCAGACAAATAAACAGAAAACCAAAACGCTTTTGCCTTGTTTGACCTTAAGTAATGCTAGTGGGGTTCAACATCTTCTCTAAGGTTCAGGCCCTTGTCTAGTTGGATACAGACCAGGTAATGTCCTCTTTGCTCCAATAAGAGAAAAAGGCATGCTTATTCCTCCTGGTTTTACCACCATTCTCTGTATCTTTCTTAACAATCCCTGCCAATTTGCCCTGTCAATCACCTTCTAAAGCTTGCTGCCTGGTTCACATTTGTGACTCCTGACTTCCAGTAACCTACTGAGTCTACCAGGTACATTCAGACTGGTCTCCCCCTGGACACCCATCATCATCATCACAGTAATAATACCTCCCACCTATTACTATGTGCCAGGTAGGCAGCATGCATAATGTGCACTATCTCAATTAAACCTTACAACAACCCTATGAGGCTAATACTGTTATTCATTGCTTCAGGTTACTAAGAAAGCACATAGCAAATAAGTGGTAGAGGCAGGACTTGAACCCAGGAAGTCTCCCAAATACTATTCTCCATCTCCTCTCAACTCTTGCTCAAATGGAGAACTGAATAGGAGCCACTTGGGTAACAGCCAAGCTCCCTAACCATATGGCATTGTTCCCATCTGTGGAAGGGCATAGGTCCAGCTGCATAGAATGATGTTGCCTTCTGACAGTCTTCTCTTAACTATCTTAGTGGCAAGAGGCTTTATTCATTTTCTTTGTACTCAAAATTAGCTTTTACTTTTTATCCACACACAACGCCACAGATAGCCCAGATTGAATTCATTATGGGCTATCATGTCCCCTGTCATTTGTTTATAAGAAGAGCTCTGGCCTGGCCTTAGCAACTTTTAGGTGAAGCCATCTTAAAAAAAGTCAAGAGCCACAGAAATAGAGTTCCAAAAATGACAAACATTGCAAGCATTCATTTTATACCCACACAATCTTTATTTTCCAATTTCTGTTAGTTGAAAACAAGAACAGTAAGAGAGCTCAGAAGAGAGTGGATCTTTAGAAATACTTCCAACTATCTATAGCCAAAAGCCAAACATACTCCTACATCCTTATTTCATGCAAACTAGATAATATAAAAAAGACTTGGAAAATGCTTTATAGCTGTGTGTAAGCTAAAAAAGCTACATAATCACACACAAATGAATGGGAGATATGAGTAGCAAATACAGGGCCTATGTTCTTTACCATAGAAATCGAAAGGATAAAAGACTAAAGTGTGGATTCAATTAAGAACTTAGTGGTGCCTTTTAAGAGGTGGCATTTTCCAGTATGTATCTCAGGCAGTCTAAAGAGTGATACCACAGAGCAAATGAAAGTCTCTAAGGGGAACTATTCTGTCTTGTGGTGAAAGTCAAGGCAAGGTGAGAGATAGAAGTAGATTTGTGGGCCAGGTGCAGTGGCTCACGCCTGTAATCCCAGCACTCTGGGAGGCCAAGGCGGGCAGATCACCTGAGGTCAGGAGTTCGAGACCAGCCTGGCCAACATGGTGAAACCACGTCTCTACTAAAAATACAGGAATTAGCTGGGCATGGTGGCAGGCACCTGTAATCCCAGCTACTCGGGAGGCTGAGGCAGGATAATCACTTGAACCCAGGAGGCGGAGGTTGCAGTGAGCCGAGATGGTGCCATTGCACTCTAGCCTGGGGTACAAGAGCAAGATTTCATCTCAAAAAAAAAAAAAAAAAAAAAAGTAGATTTATGGTTGCCAGGGTTCAGGTCAGAAATATTGTAAAGTAAGAGGGACCTTCTCACTTGATGAGAGCAAAAGTCTTAGCTTGGTAGGAAAGGAACTATCTAGCTCCTGTCTGAGTGACAGAAACAGGAAGGAAGAGTGAGCAATACCCCTCTCTGTATTGCATTTGGCCTGTTAGGAAACCACGAGATGGGGCATATGATAAACCCAGTCTGCTCCTGTCTCAGTGTTCTCCTCTGGAATCTTGAACCACACAGGAGTTTTCTCAAATGAGCAGACTGTCTGATTCTGGAAACTGATCACCCACCCAAGTACGAGGTTCCAGATGGCAGGGATCTGGTCTGTTTTGTACACAGCTGTATTGTGAGGACCTGGGACATAGTAGGTTCTCAGTGAATATTTATTGAATGAACATTCAAATGCACACGCCACAGAGCCCAATAATTTGAGAGTAGCCCAGAAATATTTGGGACTTGTTTTGCGCTTCACCTAAACAATGATGGCAAAACAAGAAAAAGGAGGAGGAGAAGGAGGAGGATGAGAAGGAGGAAGAGGTCATTGGTCATCTGCTGAGTTATTTTGTTCATATCCAGTTTGTGTTTGTGGCTTCCTTGCAGAAAAGATGCCAGAAGATTGTAAAGGAATAATTGTGTGTTTCTGTGTATGTGTGTGCATGACTATTCTTATTGATGTATGTATATCAAATCATGTTGCTATATCTATGTCTGTGGATGACTTTAATTAACCTTTTTTCAACCCTGCTGAAATGAAAGACTTTTCTAATTCTCCTGATTTAGAAGTAGTTATTTAGAATTATAAGAAGTATGATTAGCTCACAAACGAAAGAGCCCATCTTTGCTAATAATAGTGCTAATAAGAGAAAGGTAATCTGGTAAGGCCAATCCTCTACTCCAGAAATCTCAGGACATCTAAAATTGGGAGTTGGTGGCCATGTAAACAAATTCAAATTACCTTCCAGCAAAAACCTCAAACTACTTGTTTGAGATGGTTTTGGCTGGAAGACGTGAATCCAGATCAAAATCAAAAGCCACAGAAATACTGAAATAGTTGAAACAGAGACACAGTCATTACAGGAAGCTTATGAAGGTTCAAAGGAGGTTAAAAAAAGAAAAAGAAAGAAAAGGAAGAGCTGCAGCAAGAAACGTTTGTGGCATTCATTGCCCATCCCTACTGGAAATGTTGACGATATCCTTTGAAGAGGAAGAGGAAGGAGTTCGAGGTGCAAAACAGGCAGCCTAGACAGTGACAAAACAGGAAACAGGAGTGCTGATGAAACTGAACTGTGAATTGGGAAGACAGCAACGCATTAAAGCCACAGGGCTGTGAAAGACACTCGAAAAGGACAATGTAAAAGTGGCGAGGGACTCAGAATGAACTATGGATTAAATAAGCATTGACAAATAGATAACGAAGTCTAAATTTTCTTATTGAAATGACCTAAAAACAAACTTAGTCATATTATTATCATTCTAGGAGTATTCTATTGTACTAGAATTGCATTGAATCAAATACTGTTTGAAATAAATGGATAAATTTATTTCTGTTGCTAACATATAGAGATATCTCATAATGGTGTTGGTTAATAGTAATAGGTAACAATTAACACAATGCCCACAATACTTTATAGGTAACATCATTTAATCCTGACAAATATTTTTTTGCTTGTTTTTTTGAGACAGGGTCTCCCTTTGTCACCCAGGCTGGAGTGCAGTAACCTGATCATGGCTCACTGCAGCCTTGATTTTCCAGGCTCAAGAGATCCTCCTGCTTCAGCCTCCTGAGTAGCTCGGACTACATGCATGCCCCACCACACTTGCCTAGTTTTTTTTTTTTATTTTTAGTAGAAACAGGGTCCCACTATGTTGCCCAGACTGGTCTCTAACTCCTGAGCTCAAGTGATCCTCCCGAAGTGCTGGAATTACAGGCATGAACCACTGCATCTGGCCAAAAAATCTTAAAAGGTATATGATATTAACACTTTCAATTTATAGATGAAGTCTCTGAGGTTGTATGATTTGTTAAGGCTCAAGTTACGGGCCAATGTAGAATAGTTTATGACAATAGCTTCCCAGTCTTGACTCCAGAGCCTGGGTTCTCTGTGCCATTTGATCAATACATGACATGACATTCTACTGAGCACACCTCTGGCTCATTTCCATTTCCATTTGCTCTGTTTACCAGAATTGTTGCTATGTCCCTTTGCCAACCTTTGAAGAGAGAGGTAATGGGCAGCAAAATGCCCAGAATTAAGGAACAACCCAAGGAAGATGAAAGAATCCGAGATAATAAGGCCCAACGTCAAGTCAGTTATTACAGATTGTAAAATTCAAGTCCCTCATTAGAGTGAGTAAATTTTTGACCTCTAATTAAAAGTCTTGCTAAAAGAATTTTAGCAGGTTAGTGACAAAATCCTTGGACTAAGAAGAGAATGACCAGTAAGTTATTTTATGTACACTTATTTAATAATATAGCATTACTTTTTGAAGATTACTGTGTTAAGAGTCTAATGTAACAGCCTTATTATAACTTAGAATATTGATTTGAACATCAGCATAAAATAAGGCACCCCTGAATTTTTCCCAACCAAGAAAAATGTCCTTGTACTGTGGCCACAGGACGTGTATCTTTCCCTCCCTCCCTCCCTCCCTCCGTTCCTTCCTTCCTTCCCGTCTTTCTTTTCTTTTCTTTCTTTCTTTTTTTTTTTTTGGAATCTTTCTCTGTCACCCAGGCTGGAGTGCAGTGGCATGATCTTGGCTCACTGCAACCTCCGCCTCCTGGGTTCCAGCAATTCTCGTGACTCAGCCTCCCAAGTAGCTGGGATTACAGGCGCCCACCAATATGCCCAGCTAATTTTTGTATTTTTAGTAGAGACAGGGTTTCACTATGTTGCCCAGGCTGGTCTTGAACTCCTGGCCCCAGGTGATCCATCCACCTCAGCCTTCCAGAGTGCCGAGATAACAGGCGTGAGCCACCGCGCTCGGCCAGCATGTGTATCTTTCTAACGTAACTTACACTCTTGACACAGTAATCTTCAAAAAGACTGTCAGTTCTTTTGGCATTATTATTGCTATTTGACATTACTGTTATTATTCATATAATAACAATAACTTGGTGTGGTTAAGTTCTTTGTCTAAGGTCACATAACATAGTAGATATTTCAAATTTCTCCAAAATATTTCACCCAAAATTCATACTGTTTTCCAGTAAGGTCCAAATTGGATTAAATTTAAGTTTATGTCACTTTAATGCAGTTGTTTTTAAAGAAATAAAAACTTTGCATCAGAATCCAGAGCATATGTTTCTCATTTGGCTGCCATTCCTGCTTTGTGGCATGCAGAGTTCACTTCCCCAATCAGGACAGTTTTGGATGGCTGCTGCTCTTTCATAACCCAGCTGGTTTGTAATCCTCGTTAGGTTAGGGAATGAGCCCCTCAGACACTATTGCTCAGAATTCTTTAAAGTCTTAAGGCAGATTCTCTCTGGGTGCAGTAGCTGACACCCATGATGTGCTCTAACACTTGGGACAGTGGGGTGGAAGGATCACTTGAGCCCAGGAGTTTGAGACCAGCCTGGGAAACATAATCAGACCCCATCTCTAAAAAATAAAGAATAAAAAATTAGCTGGGCATAGTGGTATGCACCAGTAATTCCTGGGGGTCAGGGGTCAGGGGCTGAGGCTGAGGCAGGAAGATCTCTTTAGCCCACGAAGTCAAGTCTGCAGTGAGCTACAATCACACTGGTGCACTCTATCTAGCCTAGATGACAGAGTAAGACCCTGTCACACACACAAAAGGCAAACTCTAAATGAACAGAAAGACCTACATATACTTATATGGATGAAGGCAACACAGAACACCAAGAGGCTTCCACTCAGAGCACAATCATGTTGTTGGGAATTTGAGGGCAGATGTAGAAAGATACACATGCTGTGACCACAGTGCAAGGACACTTTTCTTTGTTGGTAAAAATTCAGGGATGCCTTATTTTATGCTGACGCTCAAATCAATATGCTTACTGGTAAATGCTCCTGGGCTAAGGCTGTTAGAAGATGGAACGCTGCTGTTAGCTTGCTTCCATACAGAATGGATTTCTAGACTTCCATAATTTTATTTGATTTGGATTAATGGGGCTTGAATATATTCATGTGATAAAACAACTGAAAATCATGTTGCTCTTTGTAGGATAAAATGAAATATAAATAGATTGTTAAAAAAATCCAGTTTATAATTTTGTTTTGAATCATATACTATTGTATACTATTATAGGAGAATGATAATATTCTTAAAACCAAAGGAATATGTAAAAGGTATGGAGAAAAATGTGTAATTGAGAACATTCTATCCATTAACATCTTTTTTCTGTAATATTTTGTGTGGAAAAGATAGCTAGTTGCCTAACCTTGATTCTTATCCCAGCAGAATAGCTCTCAAGACAAAAACTACATTTCCTAGTCACCCCTGTGGCTAACTGTGGCCACGTGACTAATCTCTGTCAAAGATATGAAAGCATAATTCCTAGATAAAACGTTTAGAAGGGCTACTTAACACAATTTTACTCAGCTGGGGGTGATACTTTCTGCATCTCCTTCTTATTTTGGCTTGCAATGCAGGTGTGATAACTGGAGCTTCAGCAGCCCAGAGATGACCTTAATAATAAAAGCCATGTGTTAAGATAATAGAGAAAAGAGCCTGGGGGTCCCAGATGATATTATGGAGTGGCCATAGCTAGATAGTTTCTCTTCCAACTCCTTTTATCTGAGAAAAGAAACCCCCAAATTCCAGCTTGCTTTAGGCTTTGGTAGTTTGCTTTTTTTTTTTTTTTAAATGTGCAGCAAAACCTAATCCTGATATATTAGCAATAAAATCCTCTACTCCCAGTCCTAGCATTGAATTTCAGAACCCAAACACCTAAAACTACTGATAATCAGTATAAGAGTATAATTTGAGAACCATGAGTTTGGTTCTTGTCTGTGGATTTTCACTGAAAAAATTATAAAAATAATTATTGAAACTAACTTCTATTTTTATCGTTGTAAGTCTTGCTTTCACTGAAAAAAAGAAAAGAATAGGTAAGTGGCACTGGATCTCATTTGCATTTTCTTTCTCTGTCTCTGTCTGTCTCTCTCTCTGTCTCTCTCTGCCTCTCTCTCTCTCTGCCTCTCTCCCCAAGTAATATTCAGCAATGATGTAAGTTTTGTTCTGGTCAAAGTATTTATTTACTTATTTTTCGCATATCTATCTAACACTTTAAGTTCATTAAGTATACCCACATAATTATCTCTTATGATTCTCATAATAGATCCATGAAGTAGGCAAGACAAACATATTTCCATTTCTACCAAAGTGGAAACTGGGTTTTCATCCTCATTACATCAATTTGAGGCAGATGGGACTATTATCTCTAACATACATAAAGCAGAATCATGAAATGATCACATCATTTCACCCAGTGCCTTGAATACAAGCTGGCATTCAATACATACTTGCTGGATGCCTGGTTGAGTGCCTGGGTAAGTGAGTGAATAAGGAAAATGATGCAGGGAAATTAAAGGAGGTATCAGAGTCACAACATTGGAATTAAAATGAGGGGTTTTCACTTCTATTCTAGTTCTTTTTTCATTAATTATACCGTGTTGCCTCTCCCTAGAAATTCATTCTTCAATTTGCTGAGTTGTCCATTTGAGTGTACTGTGAGTGGAAGGCAGTTTTCAGATGGTCATCAATGGTGAACTTCAGCTGATGTCCCAGCACAACATTGTACACACCACAAAACAGTTTGCTTCCACTGGCAGCTCTCCCAATCCTCACATATTAATGCTTTGCCAACAGCTATTGTCTTTGACAAGTGACTGTGCTGGCAACATAGCATTTCCTTAAACAAAGCCCTTCACATGGATAGCCAGCAAGGAGTCCCATTTCTAGCTTTGCCTGATACCCTCACACAGCTAGAGTATTTGTTTTACTTGGGAAAATGTTCCAGGAGGCTCTGTGCTTGTGGTAATTGTTGTGGTTTAACAACAGTTTAAAGATTTGAACTAGGAAACATAACAGCCCCAGTGGATCCTAACATTTAGAACATTTTCTTTCTTCTGAAGGAGCTAAGAAATAAACAAGAGCCAGAAAAATCTGAAATTATCACCCTGGGTTATTCTAAGATGTGTGTCTGAAGTGAATTTACATTTTTTTTTTTTTTTGGCAGACAACTGAGACAAATATTAAATGATTTCTCCTAAGTCACCTAATTTGTCAAGCTATTAGCTATAAAGTCTAAGTCAGGGTGTTCAAGGCTTCCCTGGGCCACATTGGAAGAAAAATTGTCTTGGGCCACACATAAAATACACTAACACCAATGATAGCTGATGAGCTTAAAAAAAATCGCAAAACAATCTCATAATGTTTAAGAAAGTTTACAGATTTGTTCTAGGCCATATTCAAAGATGTCCTGGACCACATGCAGTCTGTGGGCCGTGGGTTGGACAAGCTTGGTCTAGGTCCTATACTACTCAGTTAGCTAGTGGATGGAATTCTAAGCCTGCCATTTGCTGGCTGTGCAAAATTGGAGAAATTAATATTTCTCTCTGAACCTCAGTTTGATTTTTTTTTGTTTTTTGAGACAAGGTCTTGCTCTGTCACCCAGGCTGGAGTGCTGTGGCACAATCATGACTCACTGCAGCCTTGATTTCTTAGGCTCAAGTGATCCTCCCAGATCAGCGTCTTGAGTAGCTGAGATTACAGGTGTGTGTCACCATGCCCAGATAAATTTTTAATTTTTTGTAGAGAGAGAGTCTTGCTGTGTTGCCTATGCTGGTCTCAAAATCCTGGGCTCAAGCCGTCCTCTTGCCTTGGCCTCCCAAAGTGCTGAGATTACCAGCATGAGTCATTTCACCAGGCCCGAACCTCAATTTGTATATATTCATAGCTGGAATAATGTTTCTTGACTCAAAAGTTGTCAAAAGTTTAAATGAGATGTAAGGGGTTTAGAAATTTAGAAGTCACTCGATTCCATGTTAGTTTCTTTCCTTCCCCCACTAAATCTATTTCTAGAACCCCTTGCCATATTTTGTGACCAAGGAGAAGCACTGAGAAATCCAAAATAAGCTTTATCAAAGCATTCTAATTTGCTTTAGTATAGACAAGTTTAAAATTTCCCATAACATGTATAATTCACAAAAATACCTAAGAGGATCTAGAAAACAATTGGCCTGGTTTACTTCACCTGTGATAATTCTGGTTCTTTGGTGTATTATACTTTTGGCCAGGATTCTGTAATAGGACTCAGAAAATTGAGTGAAAACATCTTGGTGCCAATGACTTTCTCACAATCTGGACCCAAAAGTCCTTACCTATCTATGCCTTTTCATAGCATGCCCATACTTTATTCAGCAAGTGTATTTGAAGCACCAAGTATGTGCCAGGCACTATCTAGGTGCTAAGTATACAGCAATGATCAAAATAGATAAAAGAACTGTCTGTCAGTAGGGGCAGACAGACAATAAACCAAATAAGTGAGGTCTGTTGGTGAGTGATAAGCATGATGGAGAAAAATAAGGTAGAAAGAGAGACATGGAGTGTTGGGGGCAGGAGTTTGCAATTAAACATGGTAGGAAAGTCGCATGAGAAGATGAACAAGTAAAGACATAAAGGAGGTAGGAAATGAGCTCTGCAGAAATCTGGAAGAGCAGAAAGCATGGGAAGTACATAGACCCTGAGGCAGGAAAGTGCCTGGCATATTTATAGAACAGTAAGAAGGCCAGTGTGGCTGCAGCAGAGACAAACAAAGGAGAAAATAGCAGGACATGAAGTGAGATGGGTAAGGAGATGGGGAGGGGGCAGATTGTGTATGGCCATTATAAGGACTTTGTATTTTACTCTGAGTGAAATGGAAGTATTTGGTAGGTTTGAGAAATGACATGATCTGACCTATGTTTTAAAAGAACTATTTCAACCGCTGGGTTGTGAAATAGGCTGAAAAGCAGTGAGATCAGCAAGGAGATGGTTGCAGTATCCAGTGAGACATGATGCAAATATTTGCTGATGGATGGGATGTGGGGTGTGAGAGACAGAGATAAATCAAAAAGGACTCCAAGTTTTTTGGCATGAGAAAGTAAAAAGATGGCGTTGCCTTCAACTTATGTGCACAAGACTACAGGAAAAACAGGTTTGGAGGCAGATCAGCAGTCTGGTATTGGACATACACATTTGAGATGATTATTAGTCATCCAAAGAGAGATGTCATGTAGGAAATTAGATATCAAGTCAAGACACACGGGAGAAATCTGGGCTGGAGATATGAAAATGTGAGTGTTGTCAACCTATACATGGTATTGAAAGAAAAGAAGACAGATATTTATGTGCATAGAGACAGGCAAGTGGGTAAGAGGTGGTGGAGGGAGCTTGTGGAAGGTCTCTACTGCATGCTTCAATTTTCCCAGTGGAATGAGAAGCCAGGTTATCCATAGGGAGTTTCTAGTTAAGGGACAGGAGGAATGGCACACGCCTAGCTGTAGAGTAAGAGTGATTCCCAGTAATAACTGCCAGACTACTAGTCTTTATCTGGCCTAAGTTTCCCAGACTCTGGAAGTCTAGGGCTCATTCTGTCAGTGTCTCTCTTTGGTCCACCATCCCAGGCTTCAGTTTTTCTCACCTGTATCTTTGTGGTAGGGTAAACATACAACGTGGCTCTTTCCTAAACAGGGACTTTAGTATCCTGGCTCAGAGAACCTGCTCTTCCAAGTCATTTGAATGTAGCGTGCCTGGAAAGAAGAAGAAGGAACCATAGAGTTCAACAGCTTCAAACCTTGCTCCATGTTTTTTTACGTGAATCCTAGGGAAACAATTTTATTTGTGGTAAAAGATTTATATGTACAGATGTCCATAAGTGTTATTTATAATTTAAAAATGTGGAAACACTCTAAGCATCCCAAGAAGGGGAACTTTTAAATAAATTGTCATACACCTGTAAGATAAAATATTATATAAGCATTAAAAGCAATGTTTACAACAATGCTTAATAACATGGCAAATGACTATAATATGTTAGATAAAAAATTAATATAGAGGTCAGTTGGATTGTGAGAGATTTTCTCACTCTAGGAAGATTCTTCAATCACTATGTCAACAGACACAGATGTTTCCCTTTCTTCCTATGATAAAGATCAAGGATCCAAACTTGTTCGAAAAGTTGAAGAGCCACCATTTGTTCTCACTGGAATGGCAGGCTTTCCAGCAATTGTTCCATAAGGATTATACAAATGGAAGAGCAGAGGAAATGCTAAAAGGTCCCTTCTCCTGATCCACATGTGTTGTAGAAGCAATGACTGTTGGTATGGGCTGTTCTGTGTATTAGGAATTCTGGGCAAAGCCTAAGCCTTGGAAGGAGGATGCTGTCTTGATCTTGTAAGAGGACCTTACTTTAGTTAGACATCTCATTATTGAGGTTACATGTTTATGTTGGAAATAAATTATTTGAGTGGGTTCAGACGATAACACGGTATTTTGAATACTGGCTTCCTTTCTTGCATGCTTGATTTGCCTGGTGACCAAATTACTAGTGACTAGTTCACTAACTAGGTCATTCAGGGAAGTCAAGTTAACACAAAGGAAACATGTCACCTAATTCCACTTGATGATGTTAAAACTTTAAAACCACCTTCTTAGACTGTAAAGATTAAATTAGGACCGGGTGTGGTGGCTCATTCCTGTAATCCCAGCACTTTGAGAGGCCAAGGCGGGTGGATCACTAGAGGCCAGGAGTTTGAGACCAGCCTGGCCAACATAGCAAAACCCTGTCTCTACCAAAAATACATACACACACACACACACACACACACACACACACACACACACACACACAATTAGCTGAGGGTGGTGACACATGCCTGTAATCCCAGCTCCTTGGGAGACTGAGCCATGAGAATCACCGGAACCTGGGAGGCGGAGGTTGCAGTTACTGTACTCCAGCCTGGGTGATAGAGGGAGACAGAAAAGAAAGATGAAAGAAGGGAAGAAAGAAAGAAAGAAAGAAAGAGAGAGAGAGAGGGAGGGAGGGAGGGAGGAAGGAAGGAAGGAAGGAAGGAAGGAAGGAAGGAAGGGAGAAAGAAAGAAGAAAAAAGAAAAGAAACAGAAAAGAAAAGAAAGGAAAAGAAAAGAAAAGAAAAGAAAGAAGAAATTAGTTCTAAAGAAGATAGCTGGCGATCCCTGAAGTATTCCCAGTTTGCTGAAGAATTTCACATGCTTTGTATGTTATATAGGAGTCTTATCTGCCCTGGTTAATCTAACTTTTCTTCTTCCTGTCTTGTGAACTGGCTGTCTCTATTAGAACTTTTCTGAAACGTGCATGGAATACATTAACAACTTGTAACGCCTCTCACAACTCTTAAGTGTATGTATGTGTGTCTAAACCGAATCAAGAAAGCTTACAATAGAGCTTCATAGTAACAGTATTTATTTCAGAATCATAATTGTAAACATGAGAATAACTTAATTATGAACTCCAGTTTAGCTCTTTTATAAGTGCAGAATTATATTTTAGCTGCTGTTATATTAGAATAATTTTTAAATGTCATCCTATTTTAAGCACTCATGCTAAGGTAAGTGAAGAACACTTTTCAAATTTTCTCCAGAAGAATCATAAACAAGAAACTAAACAAATTACCTATAATGAAAGTGACTAATGAGCAAGCGGGTTTGGCCAGATACTATACACAAACTTTGATAAAAGGCAAAATGCTTAATTTATATATATATATTTTTAGATGGGGTCTTGCTCTGTCACCCAGGCTCTAGAGTGCAGTGGCATGATCACAGCTCGCTGAAGCCTTAACTTCCCAGACTCAAGCAATCTTACCACATCAGCCTCCAGAGTAGCTGGGACTACAGGTGCACACCACCACGCCCAGCTAATTAGAATGCTTTATTACACTTGTGAAATTTTCTTGTCTAACCTGAATTTACATTCTATAGTGATAACATAGCATATGTATTGTTATTAAAGTGACTATGTAAAAAAATTAATATAAAACTGTATATACAATATGATTCCAATTTTTTACTTTCATATGTGCAGAGAACACAGAATGAAAAGAAATAGTCCTAATAATTATTTGTCAGTGGTCGACTTGGGTTTTTTTCTATGTTATATAGCTCTGTGTTTTCTAAATATTCAGTCAGAAGCAGATATTTTTCTTATCATTACATGTTTAAATTATGGTGGAGAATTTTCAGCAAATATTAAAATAAGGAACTCCTTGGGAGGCCGAGGCGGGCGGATCATGAGGTCAGGAGTTTGAGACCAGCCTGGCCAATATGGTGAAACCCCGTCTCTACTAAAAATACAAAAATTAGCCAGGCGTAGTGGTGGGTGCCTGTAGTCCCAGCTACTTGAGAGGCTGAGGCGGGAGAACTGCTTGAACCCAATAGGCGGAGGCTGCAGTGAGCCGAGATCGCGCCACTGCACTCCAGCCTGGGCGACAGAGCGAGACTCCATCTCAAAAAGAAAAAAAAAAGGAACTCCTGAGTTATCCCCAGTCCTCCTTGGGTCACTCTGTCCAGCTTCTGATTCCTCTGCTTATTTTAGCTGCAGGCTTTATGAGATCTCCCTAGTATTTGGTACCTCATTCCTGGACTAAGTGGTCAAACGTGTGTAATGGGGCAAAAGGCCTTAGGATGTTGAATAATCGCTGAGCAGGTGGTAAACCTGTGACACTGATGTGATGGATGTAGGAGTGGTCTCCTTGCAGCCCTGGAGCCTTTCATCAGAGTAGGATTTCACCCATCTGAGCTGGCAACAAGCCCTGTTATTCCCAGGACATCTAGAATTCATCAATCGTGCCTGGATTGTTTATTCACTTCACTCATGCTCCTGAATTCTTTGTAGCAGAGTCATTTCCTGTTTAATTCTCTCCAAAGTTTCCCCCTTTGGCCCAGGACTGAAAATTATCTGTTCTACAGTGCATAAAATATTTTTCACAAAGGTAAGCCGTTAGTTATGTATTAGTCTGTTCTGGAAAAAAAAAGTCAAAATAGTTGAGACCTACAGTTAGTCCATGTGATCTGGAAGTGACCAATAGTCATCACAGGGGGTGCACTTACCTAAATCGAATCCGTGTGTATCATTTTCTGCGTTGGTAAGTAGATCCACGTTTTCCTTTGGGAGGCTCACTTTAATATCCTTCTGCTTCTTTAAGATTGGGAAACCACCCAGGCCTCCCAGCTCTTGGCAAGCAACACTCTGACTTCATGTTGTTACTCAGCATTTTGTTCCTTATTGAAATGCCTGGCTCTGCACAACTGGTTTGTAAAGTCTGAAGATCCCCTGGCCATGCCCAGAAACAGCAGCCTCAGGAAGACAGAACTGAAAAGAACACACAGTGAGAACGAGAAGGGCTTTACAGCTCCGGTCAGCCTGACTCAAACCTGTGTTAATAGCCCAGACTCTTGTTGCTCCATCCAGACCTTCCTCTCTCTTCTAGTCACAATCCTACACACCCTTCTAGTAGGAACTCAAAAGCCACCTCACTCAGCCTAAAGTAATCTATCCCTCTTCTGTGTTTCTTATAATACTTTTATTTACTTTGTCTTACAAATTTTCCTTGTATCATACTTACTTATGTATGTATGTCTTCCTACGAGGTTGTAAGTGTTCAGGAAAATTAGAATGATCCAGTTTAGCTTGTACACTTCTCCTTGAGCACAATGCCTTGTACTTATTAAATAAAAATGCTTGAATTGCATGGAATTGAATCAAAATCTAAGAAAATAATCTGCTTTAGAATAGATCTGAGAATGCTGAGTAATGCACAACTCCTGCCTTCTTTGGGGGGACCTGAAACCTTAGGGGGACTTCAATTACTTCTGGATTTGGTATAGCTTCAGCAAAGGCAAGATTTCCCAGGGTTGCTATGGCCTACAGGAATATCAGCCTCCATTGGTCTTAGTGTCTGGCTTTAAATGGTAATGGAATCACACTGATTTTTTATGTTCGTATAGTAACATCATAAAGATACTGAAAATACTGGCAGTATGAAAGGAGAAAAGCAAATTCATTTCTTTTTTGAAAGATAAATCTCATTCATAAGGGATTAAACTTTTATTGTAGATAAGGTGAAATTTGGTAAGTTAAAATGAGAAGAATTTCAAAATGCTTTGTTGGGTGAAAAAAACCTTCTAAAGTAGTATGTTTATTATGATTCTTTTTTTGGTAAAAACAAATTTAAAAAGATAACTTCTATATAAAGTATATGTATACACGCCTGGGGAAAGCATTTGGAAAATTATACAGGCATTAATTTCTCCTACAGTTAAAGTGTCCCTAACAAAAATTGGACATAGCACAATTAGCTGCTTATTGAACATAATTTAATGAATCACTGTTAGTAATAACCAGAACTGACTGGGAACTGGGAAATGATAAAAAGCTGCTGCTTCCCCTGGCTGTAATGGACTGTACTGCAGGCAGACCTGCATGGCAACAGTGATGAGGCATTAGACGGTGCTGAATACGTGGCGGAAAGTGTAAGGAAGTTTGTGTTTCCTTTTGTAGGTTTTGATCTACCTTTTTAAAATTAAAGCTAGCAATAACCAAATACATTTATGGTTATGAAAACAAATTTATTGTTAAAATTACTATTTTTAAAATTCTGTTCTACTGTGAGTTTTAACATTTCTGTTCCCATTAAAACATTTTTTTTTAAAAAAGTTAGTTTTAAATTGCAATTTGGCTTAATTTTAATAGGAGATACACTTTTAAAGGACAAAATCTAAAAGGCACATGCTAGTATTTCTAAATGAGAAATTTTTGTTCCATCCCTATTCCCCAGCCATCCTTCTCCAATTTCAACCAGTGTTACCTGTTTCTTTACATTCTTTTGATAAGTTGAGATTTCTTAGAAATGCACCTATTTTGCAACAGTAGAATAGGCTATATACTAAAATACTAACTGTAGTTATTTTCAAACAACAGGATAATAGGAAATATTTATCTCTTTATAGTTTTCTGGATTATTTTTTTCCCCAGTAAGTAAAAGAATTAAAGATAATTTCTAAAACCATTTTGTTGGACTCTGTGTGACAGCATGCCTAAATATTACATTGTCATCACTTTTTAATTATTCCATTTCTCTGCTTCTGGTCTTTAGTCTTGGTTAACAGTATGGCAATGCAAAAAAAAATTTCCTTTTACCTACTTTCTCTTCCTTCCTCTTCCTCAGTCCATACCTCATGAAAAAAGTAAAATTGCATCAAAGTCATATTCTGAAAAGAAATTTCTTATTAAAATTTTCACTGGGGTTTCTGAATATAATTTGACTCATTCTAATTAAATCAGATTAATTAATACCTGCTATGCTTGGTTCACTAAAGATGTTTTAAGTAACAGCAATAATAATAGCAAATTCTTAGGACACATTTATCTTGCTGGGTTAGGTAGGAAAAGATTATATTTATTTTTTAAATGATTAATGAAATAAAGAAAAGCTTGGAGATTGGAGGTGGGATAATGGTAATTGTCCATATTTACATTTTGAAAATACATATTTTTGAGCTACTTTCACTATGCCTGGAATTAACAATTTTGCTAGACCTTTTCCAGATGTGAGAATTTGATCAATAGCACCATTTATCCATAACTACAATGTATCTGCCTTGGAGTAGACCACCTCGGGCCCAGGAAAACATCAGCTCTGGCCTTGTGGCTATGCCACCTGCAAATACAACCCCAAATTTTCCTTACTGGGTGTTCTCTTCTGTATCCTCTCTCCCTTCCCTTGTTATTTATCTCATTTTTCCTTCTTTCAGGAGGCCAATGTAAGCCTAGAGTGGTAGAGTGGAATGAGCATGGATACAGGACTTTGGGAGCCAGGATTCGTATCTAGTTCTCTGCTAAACTAGGTGTCTTAGGCAAATCACCTCAGTATTCTGGTTTCCTTCTCTTCCTTCTTTCCACAAATATTTGCAGAGCTCCTACCCAGTGCTAAAGACTATTCTAGGTGCTAAGATGTAAAGATGAACAAGACATGACCACTGCACTTAGAGACTGTGTACTTTGTCTCTCCAGCTGTCCCTGAGAAAGCTGCATCTCAAGACAGCAGCTTAAGTGAGTTTGTGGTTCTGCCCACCTGCTGTCTGGCCAGTGAGGAAGTGTGTCTAATGTGGGCACCTACTGGGCTCCTCAGTGGCAAAAGAGGAGCCTAGAGATGGAAGACATGGAGTATAGTAGGGACACAAGGCTCTGTTAGATGGTGTCAGGGAGCAAAAGGTGGCAGCAGTGACAGCAGCAATTTGGCTCTATGCCCTTGGACAATGCAGGGTGTGGCTAGGGCTGCTGTGGTCAGAAGGAAAAGCAACTGTGCTTTTCTGGGTAGAACATCAAGTGAAGACAGTTAGCCGAGGTAGCATGATTTGTTACGATTGACTGTCAGAAAGAGTCACAAGAATGCAGGCTTACCTTGAGCCTTGGGTTAGAAAGATAATGAGTTTGGAAGTCAAGGAGAGGCCAGTGAATTTGATGCAAATCATTTCATGAAATTAAACCCCTTATTCTATGGGACTCTTCTTTCTCTTCCTGGGACTTGGCATTCTTTATGTCTTGACATTTATTGGATGAATGTATGAATGGAAAATCTTCACAGAACTTAAATGTACATTGAGAACACATCACATCCTTGGTGGAAAACTGGGAGGCTGGTAATCAAGAGCTGAACATTTTATTTCATGAAATAATATCACATAAAATGCTATAATTGAGTGAATGGTCTCGTCAACAATTTTACTCATAGAGAGGGCTCACTGCAAGGCCAGATGGAGTAAAGTGGAGAAGGGGAGAAGGCTAGTCCTGTCCCCATGCATCTCAGGGATTCTCTGAGCAAATGACTTCTCCTATAAGCATGAAAACCTAGGAGGGAGATTTTTATTGCCAGCTCACGAAGGGTGCCGGGTGGGGACAGAAAGAGGACAAGGCTTGGAGGAAATGATTAGAGAGTGAAATTTCATTTTCACATTTTGCTGCTTATTTTTGGCCAAGACAAACACTTTCTGAGACTCAGCTTCCTTTTCTGTAAAATGTCACCTCCCATCCCCTTTTCTGAATTTCTTCCTATTAGAGGTGGGGTCCCTAGGACCCTGGGCAGTGGACTGTTACTGGTCTGTGGCCTGTTAGGAACCGGGCCACACAGCAGGAGGTGAGCAGCAAGCGAGTGAGCATTACCGCCTGAGCTCTGCCTCCCATCAGATCAGCAGTGGCATTAGATTCTCACAGGAGCATGAACCGTATTGTGAACTGCTCATGCAAGGGATCTAGGTTGTGTGCTCCTTATGAGAATGTAACTAGTACCTGATGATCAGAGGTGGAAATGTTTCATTGCAAAACCGTAACCCCATCCTCACCCCCAACCTGTCTGTGGAAAAATTCTCTTCTAGGAAACTGGTCCCTAGTGCCAAAAAGATTGGGGACCATTGCTAATTAGAAAATTTACTTGCATTAGAAACTTTCTTGGACTGATACATTCGTCTTTGAAAACACAAATATGCCCTGCTAGTCCCAGTTTTTTAGTCAAGAGAAACAAAGCATTTTCCCATTCAAACTGGAATCATCTGATGCTGCAGGTTACTGGAGACAGGCAGAGGAGCTTCTAAGTTGGGCTGCACTGGATTGACAGGTATTGAGAGTAAAGATTCAGGAAGAAACTGATGGGCATGTCTGATCATACAGGTTGTCCGTGCAGATGACAACAAAGGGAAACTGTTAAGGGCTTGCTTGGGCACTATCAGAAGAAATCCAAGCGATTATATGGGGAGAGAGAGCAGGTCGCCTGATGGTGCTAGGAATCCAGACCTAACAGAGAACAAAGTCAGGGCGAAAGAAAAACTGAGGAAAGAAAGACCCCTGGTCAAAAGAAGGCCAGACAGACAAATGTTAACATCCTGGCTCGGCTGTTCCTGTGCAATCCTCATTTTTTATGTCTGTAAAATAGTGATTATATGCAACTAAAAGCATTGTTGGGAGGATTAAAATGAGAAGATATGTGTTGATTCTTAGCATGAAGTTATAATAACACTCAATAAATTATAGACACTATTTTATATTATTAGGACTCTTGTATGAAGGACAGGTAAGTTCATGGTTGAAAGTGAAGAAGATGAGAGAGGAATGAAAGAGGAGCTGGGCTGGGGTCTGAGGTGATGGCTGGGTTTTCTGCCAGGAGGTATGTCACATCAACAGACAATGCAGATTTTTAATAGGCCATCGTAGGGGCTGTGGCATCTGAACTGGCCACAAATGATCCCACTGGCTGGGATCCAGTGGAAAGTGTAGTACTGCAGGTAAGTCCCAGGAGTCTGGTTTATAGGGCTCTACTGTATCCTCAGGACAAAAAGGAAAGGGAGAGAGGCAAGATATGCCAGGTCCTGATGACAAGGTCCAGATGTGACTAATTTGCCCAGAAACATGGGGGCAGAAAATTGAGTAAGTAAAAAAAAGATTGAGTGAGTGATAAATGGTTTCTTAGAAATGCAGCTCTTTGCCCCCTAACTGTTTAACCCCTGCCATTAGACACCAGAGAGTTTCAGATTCTTAGAATGTGTGATATACATTCTTTTGTTTTCCCCAAATAGAAATAACTAATAGAAAATGATAAGGCCAGGAGCAGTGGTTCATGCCTGCAATCCTAGCACCTTGGGAAGCCAGGATGGGGGTATTGCTTGAAGCCAGGAGTTTGAGACCAGCCTGGGCAACATAGCAAGACCCCAATCTCAGCAAAAAATAAAAAATTAGCTGGATGTAGTGGGCATGTGCCTGTAGTTCCAGCTACTCTGGTGGCTGAGGTGGGAGGATTGCCTGAGCTCAGGAGTTTGAGGCTGCAGTGAGCCATGATTGTGCCTCTGCACTCCAGCCTTGGTGACACAGTAAGACTCCATCTCTAGAAAAATTAATTAAGTAATTAATTAATCAAATTAAAATTTAAAAGGATAAAACTAATACATACTCTTGAAAAATGAATAAATACATGAATATAGGAAAGTATAAAGTAAAAAATCAGATTTTCATTCATTTTATTACCAGTGAAGTAAACCTTTTTATAAATTACTTAGCCATTTCCACTAGTGTGAATTGCTTACTTTACTGTTACATTACTTATTTTTATTATTATTATGTTCATATCAGATGGTAATGTGCTCATGTCTTAACAAGGCTTGAGGGAAGCACATCTCACACCAGAGCATGAACCCCCAATCAGCACGCATATGAACTATGAAAGGATCAACTCTTATGTTACTCATTTTTATATTACTCATTTTTAACGATAGGTTGCATGCCTTCTTTATTATAGATTTGTAAAAGGGTGGTAAGGATATTAAATCTTTGTCATATATTTTATTCTTCTGATTTGTTATCCGTGTTTTCACCTTGTGGTATTATTTCTCACATAGAATTTTTAAGTTTTTACTTTTCTTTTCAACCAATATTTCCATTTGTTAAATGCCCTACAAGATCAGACGGGAGATCCCAAAGATTCAAAATCATGGTGATGGAGATGGAAATATAAAGATGACCAGGAACACAAGAATCTAAATAGAGTTGGCAGTTGAGTGGCACAGACAGCAGGGGCTGAAGTCACCGAAGTCCTAAGAGTGTGCACTGTAGGGTTAAGACTTGCTGGGTTTGAATTCTGGCTCTGTCAATCAGTAGCAGTTTGAACTCTGGAAACTTTAATCTTCCTGTTCCTTAGTTTCCCCATCTGTAAAATGTAGAATTTTTGTGTAGAATGTAAGATTATTATGTAAACTGTCAACAAATGCTAACTGTTTTTATTAACTGACAGTTTTCTTGTTTGTTTGTTTTTGTTTTTTTGAGACAGAGTTTTGCTCTTGTTGCCCAGGCTGGAGTACAATGGCACGACCTTGGCTCACCGCAACCTCTGCCTCCTGGGTTCAAGTGATTCTCCTGCCTCAGCCTCCCAAGAAGCTGGGATTACAGGCATGCACCACCATACCTAGCTAATTTTGTATTTTTAGTAGAGACGGGGTTTCTCCATGTTGGTCTGGCTGGTCTCGAACTCCCGACCTCACGTGATCCACCCACCTCAGCCTCCCAAAGTACTGGGATTACAGGCGCGAGCCACCGTGCCTGGCCTATCTGACAGTTTTTAGGGCCTGGTAAAGAAATGGGACTAGAACTGGTCCCAGGATGCGTATGAATGAGACTAGATGAGATAGGAGAGAAAATTCAAACCCAGGGACCCTGGGGGTACAAGTGGGGTCATGATCCAGGTGGCTGAACGCCCTGATCAGTGTCACAGAGGTCACCTGGAGGAGTGGCTCTGAGAGGTAGTTAAGAAGTACGTATCAGGGTGACTGAAAGCAACATTAGGGGAAAAAGAAAAACAAAGACAAGACAAGAAAGAACTCACCAGAATTTCTTGTAGAGAGGACAACTTTAAGTAAAAGAAGAAACTGGAACGAAAGTATCTAGCCACTGTGTGAAAGGAAATGAAACTCAAGTAGCAGAAAAAAAAAAAGACTGCCAACAGTTGGTACTGAAGATAAAATGTGCCCCAGCTTCACCACAATGGCCAAAATGCAAAAGACTGATAGTAACAAGTATTGACAAGGATGGGAAACAAAAGGAGCTAGCTGCTGGTAGGAATGCAAGTTGGAACAAACCTTTTGGAAAATGTTTGGCACTCTCTATTCAAGCTGAACATATGAAGACTCAGCAAGTCTACTACTGAATTTTTACAGAACAAAAATTCATATATTGGCTCACAGAAAGACATTTATGCTAATAGCAACAGTAGTCATAAAAGCCCCCAGCTGGAAACTACCCAAATGCCCATCCACTAGAATGAACAGACACTGTGCTATGTCCTCTCTATGGAAGACTGCACAGCAATAAGAATGATCACAGCATGGATAAATCATACCAAACTGAGCAAAAGTGATGGGCAAAAAGGAGCCTAGTGTGTGATTTAATATGATTCCACTTATATATAGTTCAAAAACAGGCAGAACTAATTTCAGTGTTAGAAGTGAAGATATGGTTACTCTTTGGGGAGGCTGTGAGGAAGTGGCTGTGGAGGCTGGTTTTGGAGGCACTGGGAGTGTTCAGTTTCTTAATTTGGGTGACGACTACATGCTTATGTTTGATTTATACAAAATCCATCACAGTGTATACTTACTACTTGTGCCTTTTTCTTTATGTATTTGTCAATTAAAAGTTTAGAATATTTGCCTATATTAGAAACTAACAAAAGTCATTGAAAATCACTTTGTTCACTTACTGAAGGTGTAGTTGGTTTATTGTCAGCTTCATGTTGATACAGACAATAATTTTTGAACCACCATTTCTATATTTATTAAGTATGGATAATAAGACATTTATGCTAATAGCAACAGTAGTCATAAAAGCCCCTAGCTGGAAACTACCCAAATTCCCATCCACTAGAATGAACAGACACTGTGTTATGTCCTCTCTATGGAAGACTGCACAGCAATCTTACCATAGACAATTTAGGTGGAAGAGCTTTGAACGTGGTGAAATCCCATACAATTTGCTAGGGAGATAATGTTTTGTTCCCATTCCCGATGTTTCCTTTCTATTAGCACAACCTTCAGCTCTCCCAAACTGCTGACCATTCTATCCCAGGAGAGTGAAACTGACAAGTTTGGTAAGTATAGAACATCCCTCTTCAATCTTTCCCTCTTGGAATCCAGACTGTCTAGCATATGGGTTATTGAACTATAGAGAAGCTGAGTGCATTCTCCGAATTTAGACGGGTAATAAATCACAGAGCCAGAATTTGAACTCAGGTTTCTCTTGGATTATACAGACCATGTTTTTAACCATTCCACTGTATTGCCTGCCTCATAAGTAATCTATTATATACAAAATAAAGAGCTGAGTTGTTTGGTACAGGTAAGAATACAATAGGAACTCAGGGAAGGGAGTCTATATAGGGATTAAAGATGACAACACAGGCTATGTGCAGCTGGAATCCCAATGCTTTGGGAGGTTGAGGCTGAAGGATTGCCCAGCAGTTCGAGACAAGCCTGGCTAACATCAGGAGACTCTATCTCTACACAAAATTTAAAAATTAGCTGGGCATGATGGTGCACACCTTTAGTCCCAGCTACCCAGGAGGCTGAGGTAAGAGGATTGCTTGAGCATGGTAGGTTGAGGCTGCAATGAACCATGTTCATGCCACTGCACTCTAGCCTGGGTGACAGAGTGAGACTGTCTCTCAAATTTTTTTCTTTTTCTTTCTTTCTTTTTTTTTTTTTTTTTTTTTTTTGAGACAGGGTCTCATTCTGTTGCCTAGGTTGGAATGCAGGGGCATGATCTTGGCTCCCTGCAGCCTCCACCTGCTGGGCTCAAGCAATCCTCCCGCCTCAGCCTCCTGAGTAGCTGGGACCACAAGCACATGCCACCACACCTAAATAATTTTTGTATTTTTTGTAGTGATGGGATTTTGCCATGTTGTCCAGGCTGTTCTGAAACTCCTGGGCTCAAGCCATCCACTTGCCTCAGCCTCCTAAAGTGCTGTTGCTGGGATTGCAGACATGAGCCACCATGCCTGGTAATTTTTTTTAATTTAAAAATTAAATTAAATTTAAAAGATGCCGGGCATGTTGGCTCACGCCTGTAATCCCAGCACTTTGGGAGGCCGAGGTGGGTGGATCACAAGGTCAGGAGATCGAGACCATCCTGGCTAACATGGTGAAACCCTGTCTCTACTAAAATACAAAAAATTAGCCAGGCATGGTGGTGGGCGCATGTAGTCCCAGCTACTCGGGAGGCTGAGGCAGGAGAATGGCATGAACCTGGTAGGCGGAGCTTGCAGTGAGCCAAGGTAGCGCCACTGCACTCCAGCCTGGGTGACAGCAAGACTCTGTCTCAAAAAAAAAAAAAAAAAAAAAATTAACAGATGATGACACCAGATTTTTCTATTCCCATACTATATGTGTCAGTTCTTGCTAAGTTCTCTCAGTGTAATCCCCAGGAGCCAGTATAGTTAAAATTAGCATTTACCTACTTCTAAGCCAGAATAGAAGAGGTGTCTGTTCGTGACAAAAATACAGTTAACAGGGTTTAATTCCAGTGCCCCATGCCAAGGCACTCACAGCCCGTTTCTCCATGGGTTTAGCTGCAGTGTGTCATTTACTGCTGCTGGTGTTTGCCTTTAAATTCTAGACTGCTTTGTAAGCCATTCTAAGGTATTAGAAGGGACAGGAAGCATATTTTCCAGCACCTGAAGTGTGAGAATAGGTAAAGGGTATGTTAACAGCATTTCATAAAAGATTATTTTTGAGGTATAATGTATATTCAATAAAAGCCTTGATTTGAGATGTTCAGTTAAATGGGTTTTGACAACTTTATACACTCATGCAACCACCATTCAAAACAAGATATAGAATATTTTCATCATCCCAGAATCATACTGTATAATTTTGTTTGTGTGCATCTGGCTTTCTTTCACTCAGCATACTGTTTCGGTAATTCATTCATGCCATTGCGCTTACCAGTAGTATTTAAATTTTTTTATTTTTTAATTTTTGTGGGTACATATTTATGGGGTACATGAAATAGTTTGGTACAGGCATGCAATGTGTAATAATCACATTATGGAAAATTGGGTATCCATCCCCTCAAGCATTTATCCTTTGTGTTATAAACAATCCAATTATACTTATAGCTATTTGTAAATGTATAATTAAATGAGTACTGACTATAGTTCACTCATTGTGCTATCATGTACTAGATCTTATTCATTCTTTCTAACTATTCTTTTTTTGTACCTATTAACTATCCCCACCTCCTGCTCACCCCCTCTGCCATTACCCTTCCCAGCCTTTGGTAACCATCCTATTCTCTATCTCCATGAGTTCAATTGTTTTGATTTTTAGAACCCACAAATAAGTGAGAATATGCAATGTTTGTCTTTCTGTGCCTGGCTTATTTCACTTAACAAAATGACCTCCAGTTATAATCATGTTTTTGCAAATGACAGGATCTCATCCTTTTCTATGGCTGAATTGTATTCCATTCTGTGTAGGTACCACATTTTCTGTATCTATTCATCACTGGATGGACACTTAGGTTGCTTCCAAATCTTGGCTATTGTGAACAGTCTGCAACAAACATCGGAGTGTAAATATCTCTTCGATATTCTGATTTCCTTTCTTTTGGGAATATACATAGCAGTAGGGTTGCTGGATCACATTATAGCTCTATTTTTAGTTTTTTGAGGACCCTCCAACTGTTCTCCATAGTGGTTGCACTAATTTACATTCCTAGCAGCATTGTACAAAGGTTCCTTTTCCTCCACATCCTCACCAGCACTTGTTATTGCCTGTCTTTTGGATAAAAGCCATTTTAACTGGAGTGAGATGATATCTCAGTGTAGTTCTGATTTGCATTTCTCTGATGATCAATGATGTTGAGCACTTTTTCATATGCCTGTTTACCATTTGTATATCTTCTTTTGAGAAATGTCTATTCAAATCTTTTGCCCATTTTAAAAATCAGATAATTAGAGCCAAGTACTATTGAATTGTGTAGATATACAACAGTTTGTTTATCCATTTTCCTGTTGATAGATATTTAGGTTGCATCCAGTTTTTGCTTGTTATAAATAAAGCTGCCATGAACATTCTTGTGATAGTCTTTGTGTGAACATATATTTTCACTGCTCTTGGGTAAATACCCAGGAGTGGAACTGTTGAATCACAGGGTAGATATATGTTTATCACTGTGAGAAACTGCTAAACAATTCTCCAAAGGGTTGAACCATTTTAATTCCTACCATCAATGTTGCTCTGCGTTCCTGAAGGAAAATTTTTTACAAAGCCAAACTGTGATGACATCTTAGTAAAGAGTATTTATCATGGTGTCTAGGGTGGGAAAAATTTCTGTGGGAATCATTTGGAGGGAGGAAAAAACAGCAAGAAGGAGCCGGGGGAGTGGATTGGCATTCACCAAAAAGCATTCACCAGGAAGCCAGCCTGGGGACACCACGTGGGCAGTGGGCTCCATAGCTACCAATCAAGGCTGTGTTCTCTGCTGATGGCATTCATTCCACATGCCAGGCCCTCTGTCTGTGATCCAAGAAATCTGGGCAACTTATTGTTTTTGTTCAAGTTGTACTTCATTGAAATTCTTTTTGGAGTGTCCCTTTCGGTCACAAGTTCCCTTTCTTGTGTGAGAGCCAAGATAGTGAAGCTTAGCACAGCAAGGCTTTTTGAATTTGTGCTGCTGACTTCACCACAAGTTGTGGTATCAGAGCTGGCTAACCTGACCTAGCTCGTGATCAGCTTTCCCTCAGCTTCTACAAGTAGAGAGCAACTTATTGTTTATCTTTTGAACTCTTCCCCCAGGTTACTTTTAGCAAGGTTTTTAGTTTGTTTTTTATGCTGTTATATTTGAGGGAGGGCAAGGCCTTTGGCACTGCTTTAAGGTGATTTCATTTTGAGACAAAACCTCATTCTCTGAGTTTTTCTTTAGATCATCATGACAGAGGCCAGAAATAGGTGAAGTAGCCCCCAAAAGAATAAATCTCAGCTTTCTTCAAGCGTGGTTTATCCTGTCTGTGTATTCCTTTTAATTCAATCCTGTTAGTAAACATTCTGCTAAAGTAGGTGACCAGCAGTCCTTATTCCTCAGGCAAATTCTGTATGGTAGACTAGGGTCCCAAATTTGGGCATAGCTTGGTTTCAACTCCTATACTCTTTATGCTGTTCCTCCAATTGGCACTCACTATAAGTGAGAAAAATACAAACCCCTATTTACTTCTCATTCCTTCTCTTTCAATGGAGGGTTTCTCCCTTCTCCTATCAAAAGCAAATTCTTTCATGTATGTTCTGGATTCTGTTCTGTCCTGCCTTCTCAGAGAATGTTTCTAACTGGTTATTTATTACCTGTAGCAGAAATCATTGTCCTCCTAAATCTGGGCTGCTTCTTTCATGGTATAAAGTTGTTGCTGGGAAGTAGTGGCCGCCCTACCAGTAATGACATTCCCTAACCTCCCTTGCCTTTAGGTGGAACCACATGACTAGTTCTTCTCAATATAATATGATTAGAAGGGGCATGGGTCCATCAGCTAGCTTCAAAAGCAGGAATGCTTCTTCTCCCTTTCTTATGGGTGGCAAATATCTGGGTTACCCGTGGCAAATCTGTACCAGTCTACAGCAACCTCAATTCTTGCCTCCTCAGAAGAAAGAATTCAACTGAGGGCCATAAGGCAGAAAAGAGATGGAGGTAAGTTTCAGAGCAAGAGTGGAAGTTTATTAAAAAGCTTTAGAGTAAGAATAAAAGGAAAGTACACTTGGAAGAGACCCAAACGGGCAACTTGAAGGACAAGTGCAGTGTTTGACCTTTTGACTTGGAGTTTTATATGCTCGCATATTTCTGGCATCTTGCACCCCTTTCTTTTGATTCTTCCCTTAGGGTGAGACAGCTGCATGTGCAGTGCCCTCCTTGTGCTTGGGAGGTGAGCATGCACAGTGTGTTTAAGAAGTTGTACACATGCTCACCTGAGGCTTTCTTCCCATTTCCAGTGGAATGCCCCTGGAAGGTCATACTCTGCCATTTTGTCTCTCAATGTGCATGCTTGGGTTCACTTGCCCAACTCCCGAAAGCTGCGGATTACCAGTTACAGGTGTTTCCTCTCTATATAGGAAGACTGCCTTTCCCTGGTGCTGGCCATGACCAAGTATTATTTTAGAGAGAAAGTTAACAACTGCCTGGCCATCACCTGATGGGCACCTGACCTTCCCAGTAGGGGTGTTGGGGGAGCCCTCTCCTGCCCCGCTCATGCCTGGCTAGCTACCTACTGTAACACCTTCTGCCATTTGATGCAGAGAGGCACAGCAAACTTGAAAACCAAGTATTAAGGGTGGCACTTCCACAAGATGGATGGAACCTGGGTTTCAGTATCACCATTAGAGAAGACCCAGGTACCATTAACAATATCTATTTGGGGCTGGTCTGAAGGTAGTGAGTTATCTCAATTGATTGGTCACAGTCAGTTACAGATCAAATTCCTCATTCTACTCTTTCCCCACTTCTCACTACTGCACTTGACTCATCTGAAAGAAAGAAAGAAAGAAAGAAAGAAAGAAGAGAAAAGGAAAGGAGAGAAGGAAGAAGAGAAAAAAACAGAACATCTGTTTTGAACTTCATGTGAGTGAGAAATGAATTTCTATTGTGCTTGACCTATTATATATTGCAGAGTCCTTTGGTTATATCATTACCCTGACTAATAAATTATTTTTCTTTCCTCTACATCTTCCATTTTTCTGTCTATCAGTATCTATGTATCTGCATTCAGACATGAGCAAGCATTTCCCAGCTTAAAAACAAACAAACCTTCCCCACACTTCACACCCATGTTCAGTTTTCTCTTTACTCTCTTTCATAGAAAATCTTATTAAGAATGTTGTATATGTGCAGTCTTAATTGCTTTGCCTTTCATTCACTCTTTACTGCAATTCACATGGCTTCTTTGCCACCACTCTATTAAAACAGCTCTTGTTCAAGGTCCTCAAAAGCTGTCATGCTTCCAGATCCAGCAGACACCTTTTGGTTCTCATCTTAACTCTCAGAAAGATTTAACACAGTTGACCACTCCCTCCTTTCTGACATACTTTCTTCTCTTGTGTCCTTGAAACCAACCTCTTACTTGAATAGCTCACAGGCATTTTAAATTTATCATATCCAAAACTGATCTACAATCTCATTCCTCTATTTTCTCATCTCAAAAAAAGCTACTTCCATCCATCCACTGGCTCATGCCATAAATCTGAGGCTAATTTTTGACACTTGCTGGAGAAAGTCACCTCCATAGACAGTCCAACAGGCCAATTTACTTCCAAATTTTTCTTAAATGTAAATACTCTTCTTGTTTGCACTCTTCCCCATAATCCTGTCCTTTCTCCATATATATGTTTTAAAATATAGATCAGATTGGCTGGGCGTGGTGGCTCACACCTGTAATCCCAGCACTTTGGGAGGCCGAGGCAGGCAGATTCACCCGAGATAAGCAGTTTGAAACCAGTCTGGCCAACGTGGTGAAACCCTGTCTCTACTAAAAAGACAAAAGTGAGCCAGGTGTGGTGGCTGGTGCCTATAGTCTGAGCTACTCAGGAGGCTGAGGTAGGAGAATTGTTTGAACCTGGCATCTTGGGAGATGGAGGTTGTGCAGTGAGCCAGAGACTGCACCACTGCACTCCAGCCTGGGCAACAAGAGCGAAACTCTATCAAAAAAAAAAAGAAAAATCTATATATAGATATATAGATAGGTCAGATAATGTTGCTTGCCTTTAAAAATCCTTCAGAAGATTCACACTGCACTTAGGAGAAATTCCCTAATTCTGTTTTTCTTTCCAACTTTTACTTTCAGTTCAGGGGGTACATATGCAGGTTACATGGGTAAATTGCATGTCACAGGAGTTGGGGTACAGATAATTTTGTCACCCAGGTAATCATCATAGTTACTCGAGGTAGCTTTTCAAACCTCACCCTCTCCCAGCCTCCATCCTCAAATAGGCCACAGGGAACCTCTTGTTCCCTTTTTCGTATCAGTGTTTAGCTCCCACTTATAAGTGAGAACATCTGGTGTTTGGTTTTCTATTCCTGCATTAATTCCCTTAGGTTAATGCCTAATTCTTAATATCACTGTTAGACCCTCACATAATCTTGCCCTTTCCTATGTCTTTAGCTTTATCCACCACTCACTTTCCCTTGCTCACTATATTCCAGTTTTTCTTTCAAATGTTTGAAATGAAAAATCTCTCTCCTACCTCAGAACTTCTCTAATTCAAAGGGCAAATATAAACAACTTAAGCGAAAAAGGAAATATGGTAGTGCATGCAAGTGAGGAACCTAGGAGGCAGCTGGCTTCAGGCGTGGCTGGTTCTGGGAACTCACATTATGACCTTATTGCTCTGTTGCTTCATCTTTTAACTCTGCTTATCTTTGATTTAATTCCTTCTTATCACAGACTGTCATTATGGAGGCAGAATATTCACTGTCAGAGATGACTGTTTGTGAAGTAAGGAATGAACCTTACTCAAAGAGTGATCTGGCCTTTGCTCTTGGTTTCTGGGAGGTAATCTTTAGGTCCTTGGAATGTCATGCCTGACAAGAGTGTCTCTGTTTGCCTGGGGGCCTTGGGCCAGCCAGATAGTAACAATGTGATTTAGAGCTTTGTGATTGTGGCTTTGAGCCACACCACCAAGGTTACTTAAGGTGGGGACTTTGGGTACTGGAGACTGAAATCAGTCACGTGGGGACTTTGGGTACTGGAGACTGAAATCAGTCACGTGGCTAATCAATTTTGCCTGTATGGAGCTCCAGTAAAACTCTGGACCCTGAGGCTTGAGAGAATTTTCTGTGTGGCAGTACTTTGCATACCGTCACAAACTTACTCCAGGACAGTAATGCTGTCCTGACTCCATGGGGAGAGGACAACTGGAAGCTCCACATCTGGCACCTTCTGATATAGGAGTTAAAAAGAAATTATTTACGCAGATAGTGAGGGTAAGGAAGTCCTCAGTAAGGTTTTCCTTTTAATGAAAAGCAGCCACCAAATCATTTATTTTGTAACAAAGCGCAGCCTGGAAAATTGAGCTGCAGACATAGAAGAGAAAGCTAGAAGCTTGCACGGGTGAACGCTGGCAGCTGTGCCCATAGGAAAAGGCTACCTGGGACTAAGCATGTTCAAAATAACAGCTGTATCTTCCCTTCTCTTTGCCAGATACATGTACAGTAAGGAGCAGACAACATGGTGCCAGCCAAGTGGAAAGCCCATTTGCATAATCAGATTAGGGTGGGGTGACCAGCCTTCCCCACCCTGTATGTAAACATCACACCTGGTCCAACCAATCTGTGGGCCCTATGCAAATCAGACACTGCCTCCTCAAGCGTGTCTATAAAATCCAGTGCCCTCCCACTACACACTGTACTTCCTTTTCAGGCATCTCTCTCTCTCTCTCTCTCTCTCTCTCTCTCTCTCTCTCTCTCTCTCTCTCTCTCTCTCTCTCTCTTTTGCCTGTTAAACCTCTGCTCTTAAACTCACTCCCTGTGTGTCTGTCGATGTCCTTAATCTTGGTGTGAGACAATGAACGCAGGGTATTTACCCTAGACAATGATACCACTTCACTTCCAGGCCCATGTGTCTCTTCCTTGGCCTGCATTTGACTTGTATTCTTTCCCTGCAGTCAGCTGTAACCATGAGTACAGCAACTTTCTGTGAGCTCTGTGAATTCTTCCAGTGAATTATCAAAGGTATGTTTTGGGAACCTCCTGAGCTTGCTGTTGGTGTTGGAAGTAGGTAGTCTTATGTAGACTGTGCTCCCTCTAACTATACAGTTGGCTGACTCTCACACCATGACACATTCTCAGCTTAATAACTGCAGCTAAATGATTCAGTTTTTCCTGATATTATACAAGAAAGGCTCCAGAGAACAACACTTTGTCTGGCTAGGTTAAAACAAGTGTCCATTCCTGAACTGATCAATACCCTGGAGAAAAGAGTACTGCAGCAGGTCTTGGTCACGTAGCAGCCTAAACTACAAGAATTTAGATTACCAAAAGAATGGGGATAGGGATGTTGAGTGAACAAAAACAACAGGCATCCAATATGGAACATCTTCAACAGCATTTTACTTTGTTTGGAACATTTCTGATTTCGAGTCCCCTCCCTCACCATCACAATTTCCTAATGATTAAGTCTACTCATCATTTGGGTTTCAGATTATCTGTCACTAAACCAGAGAGGCTTCTCTAATGTCTTATAGCTTTTGTCAGTTGGTAATTATATATTTCTTCATTTGATTGTTAGTTGAATATGTATATTTTTAGAGACAGGGTCTTGCTGTATTGCCCAGGCTGAAGTGCAGGGGTTATTCACAGGCATGATCATTGCACACTACAGCATTAAACTCCTGGGCTCAAGCTATCCTTCTGCTTCATCCTCCTGAGTAGCTGACGTATGTCACCTCGCCCAGCTTAGTTTAATATTTTAATGTCACTTTGACTCTAAGCTCCATGAATGCAGGACCACATCTATATTGTTCATCACATTGTAGGTGCTCAAACACATTTTCGATCAAATGAATACAAATGAAAGAAAAATCTGTCTGTGGATTACCTTCATCTCAGATCTTGTGCTAATTCCTCAAATGTTCTTTTTTAGTAAAAGGTCAGTAAATGAATATCTGATTAAACTTTGGACTCACTTGTTGAATCAGTGAAAGAAACTTGCTTCAGTTTTGCAGTCAGGAATTCAAGAACTGCACAACCCTCAGAAGTGAAAAATCACTGGGTAGATTTGCCTCATCATCCTTTATTGAAACAAAATACATAATATCTGTTTGGAAATATGTCTCATGATAAATTAATAAAACTATTATTAAATGTTTTATTTGATTTCAGCTACACAGTAACCCAGTAAGATAAGTAACACAGGCAATTCTGTTTAACAGATGGAAAAAAAAAAAAAAGCCTGAGAACCTGAAAGGTGAGATGAATTACTCAGTATCACATGAGAAACTTAGTGGTCAAACAAGATGATTACTCAGCGATCCTGAAGCGTAGTTCTATATTCCTTTCCACCAGCCCAATGTTGCCCGTCCTCTCAACCTTGGTGAAAACACATTGCTATCTCCTCTGTTATGGGATGTCACACAATATTCAATGCAGTGAATTTGAATATGAACAGATATTAAGTTTTCCCTATTTTATGAACATTCTGGTTACTTGGCCTTTCCTTGTGACATTCTTTGTTACACTTTCCACTTTTTAGTTAGTGATTTACTCCATCCCTGTACTCAATGCCAGTGGTTATGGGATTTTCCCCTTCCCCATCCCCATCCCAGAGGCACTCTGGCCAATGAGAGTCTGGCATCCTCCAGGCAGGCACTCTTTCCCAGTGGACTTGAACCTGGGACAATAGGAAGCTGGCACTTCTGTTTAGTCAGCTTGCTCCCATGTAGAACCTGAGACTAAAACCAATCTGTGGAAGGCAGAGCTGAAAGATGAAGGAAATCCATGACCTAGTGATACATTTTGAACCCTGAATCCAGCTGTGCCTAAAGCCCATACTATCCCTGGATTTTCAGTTACACAATCCAGTAAATTTCCTCCCTTGCATAAGTAGGATTTTCTGTCTTTATCATACAGAAGGATCTTAAGTACAATATCCTATAATATTATACTCTCATTCAATTGCATTCCCATACTCTTCTTCAAGAGGAAGAGAAATTAGTGAAATTATAGCTATTTCCCAGAGAGTTACACTGCATATAACAATAGGATTGGCTACAACAAAACGAAACTAAACTGAAAGTCACTTCACTAGGAGTTAGCTGCATTCTCCTAGTCTAAAATGCTTCATTTGGTACCATTCTCCTTCAGGTGAGTGATGAGAGGAAGCCTCCTCTCATCCCTAGGATAGATTAGCCCCTACTGCTGGTCTCTTACTTTGCTCACTAGCAGGTCTTCCAGAATTTTCCCCAATGAGATTTGATGTTCTAGATGGCCTTAACACTGCTGAGATTCCCTCTAGCTATCTAGACAGATATCTTCCTTCTTCTCTCTGTCAAGTGTCATTGCAAATGTATCCCAGGAAAATCCCGCTACAATTCTTTCAAATCTCAGAATAGAATTTTCAGGTACAATCTGTTTGCAAATAATACACCTGTCCAAAAGTTAAGCCTAACTAATGACTCACTTTTCTGATTGCCAGCCTCACAGAAACAAGAATGAGGTACGGGGTCGGGGGTGGTGGGATACTATAGGAATTCTTTTGAGTCAGAAAAATTCAGTATACAGGACCACTTAGTTGGCAATAATGGTTTCAGCACCAGACATTTTTAGACTTTTACTTAAAAATTCAAAGCTTTGATATTTCTCAGGACCAGATGAATTTTGTCTGTGCCCTGGCTAGTGAATCCAGCAATTACTTTTCATTTGCCAAAATGATGAGTGTTTCAGTTTTCCAGGAACTAACATTGCCTAATTGGATGTCACCTCAATGGATGTCAGGATCATAGTGAATAATAATAATTTGGTAAAATTGTTTTGTTACTAGTACTTATAGGAATTTAAACAAAGTTGGTAGGTGGTGCTGGTTCTTCTCAACAGATCATTGTCTTTTAAAAGGGGGGAAGTGACTAGAGAACAGGCACAAACTAATTCCTTTCATAAGTGAGGTTGTAGAACTCATGATGCCAATACTTAGGCTATATATAAGTGAAGACAGAAAGCCATGTCATTTTCTAAGCTCAACAAAAATAAAAGAGAGGGCTGGGCCTGATGGCTTGCGCCTGTAATCCCAGCACTTTGGGAGGCTGAGGCAGGCAGATTGCTTGAGCTCAAGAATTCGAGACCAGCCTGGGCAACATGATGAAAACTCATCTCTAAAAATATATATAATATAATATAATAATAATAAAATTGAGGATTGCCCATATTAGTCATTTTTTTCTCAAATATTCCTGGTAATAAGAATACCAAAAGCATAGACATTGCTATGACATGTAGCAGAAAATACTCTGGCCTGCCAGGTGCAGTGGCTCACACCTGTAATCCCAGCACTTTGGGAGGCTGAGGTGGGTGGATCACGAGGTCAAGAGTTCGAGACCATCCTAGCCGACATGCTGAAACCCCATTTCTACTAAAAATACAAAAAATAGCTGAGCGTGGTGGCACTCGCCTGTAGTCCTAGCTTCTTGGGAGGTTGAGGCAGGAGAATCGATTGAACCTGGGAGGTGGAGGTTGCAGAGAGCTGAGATCACGCCACTGTTCTGCAACTTGGTGACAGAGTGAGACTCTGTAAAAAAAAAAAAAAAAGAAAAGAAAAAAGAAAAGAGAAAAGAAAATACTACTCTGGGCTCAGAATTAGGAGACCTAAACTTTGGCCCTGTGTGGCCCTAAGCAAGTACTTCTCTTTCGGTCTGTCCTCATGTATAAAATATTGAATAACTACTGAGGAAATGTTTAACCTAAATTTTGATGACTGATGATGTCATTCATCTCAGTTTCAGTTCAGTGTGCATGACCTAATTGACATGACCTAAACACAAACTCTCTCTCTCAAGAAACTTTGAAGGTGACCACAGCAGCTAAAATGAATTGAACTGGGAGAAAAGGAGAGGCAAGATATTAATATTAATTATTCATTCATTTATTTACAAATACTTTTGAGCACTTAATAAGCACCAGACACTACTACAGGTGCTGAGGATACAACAGTGAACAAATCGAAGATCTGGTCTTCTTAGAGTTTATTTTCCAGATGGGTGGATATGTCATGAGCAAATAAACATGTAAAACAGAGTGTGTCCAAAGGTGACAAGTCCTGTGTAGAAAAGCAGAGTGAGAAAGAGGGGGTGCTTCAGGTTGCTTTTATATAGGATAGCTGTGAGTGAGATGGCTTTTGAAGAGAGACCTGCAGGAGGTCAGAGACAAAGTCAGGCTATTTCCTGCTTTGGACTAGCAAGTGCAAAGACCCTGAGGTGGGAGTATATTTGGCATGCTTTAGGGGTTGCTGGAGCACAGTGAGGAAGAGGAAGAGTGGTAGGAGATGAGATCAAAGGGAAGGAAAAATGGAAAAAGAAGCTGGAAGCTGTTATTTATTTGAATATGAATTGTCCCCATCTCCTTATTTGTGAATTTTTTGCTACCTGAATTAGGCAGGGGGAAATATACTGGCTCAGTGTGTTAATAGCATCTGTTCTGATTTGGATGGAACCAGGATCTGATCTGCACAGAAACACAAGTATTCCTTGGAGAGTGAAGCAACATTTCCTTCATTTTCAGCAAAGTTTAACTGATTTTATATCAGTGCCTTCAGTCTCTCCCTTCCTCTAGTGTGTGGCCCTGTAGTAGTCCTACTAACCAACACAATTGTGGTGGATGCAGTGAGACAGGCACCCAGCGTCCATTCCAGCTTCCTTCATGCGTGTCTTCCAGTACTGCAGAGACTAGAAATCTAAAAACCATTTAGATTTCTAGCCCCAGAACTCATCTATGGCTGGATTAGATGCTCTTGCATGAGTCAGGAAGGTGAAAATGAGGCAGAATCACTTCCTGCTTTTCTTGCTCTCTGTTGCCCAATGAGCTTTTTCTGCAGTAAACGCCAGTATCTAGTCACCAGTTTCATGGGCGTGAGAAGGCAATTACAAAGGCAGCAGCGGGAATGGCTTTCAGGGCTGCGTTAGCATGTTCATTGGCCTTAGACACTCTTGCTTTGATGGGCCCCTTCCTCCATTAAAAAAATTAAAAATTTTATGACTGTGTTGGGATAAAGACGAGTATATATTTTTTAAATTTTTTTATTTTCATAGATTTTTGGGGAGTAGGTGGTGTTTGGTTATATGAGTAAGTTCTTTAGTGGTGATTTGTGAGATTTTGGTGCATCCATCACCCAATCAGTGTACACTGAGCCCAATTTGCAGTCTTATATCCCTCACCCCCTCCCACCTTTCCCCCCAGGTCCCCAAAGTCCATTGTGCCATTCTTATGCCTTTGCATCCTCATAGCTTAGCTCCCACTTATGAGTGAGAACATATGATGTTTGATTTTCCTTCCTGAGTTACTCACTTAGAATAATAGTCTTCTATCCCATCCAGGTTGCTGTGAATGCCATTAATTCATTACTGAGTAGTAATTTTTATTTTATGGCTGAGTAGTATTCGCTTTCTCTATATATAGGTCTCTCTATATATAGCTATATAATAGCTCTATATATATAGCTATATAATAGCTCTATATATATAGCTATATAATAGCTCTCTATATATATATAGCTATATAATAGCTCTCTCTCTATATATAGCTATATAATAGCTCTCTCTCTATATATAGCTATATAATAGCTCTCTCTATATATACACATATATCTAGAGAAATTCTATATATACATATAGAGAGATACATATACCTTCATACATATATAGTATGTATTATATATGTATTTATTATATATATAGAGAGAAATACACACACGCACACACATATATATATAGCAAGAGAGAGAGACAGAGATTTATTTTAGGAATTGGCTCACGTTATTGTACAGGCAGGCAAGTCCAAAATCTTCAGAGTGAGCTGGTCACCTGGAGCCCCAGGGAAGAGTTGGTATTGCTGGTCAAGTCTAAAGGCAGTCTGCTGGCAAAATTCTCTCTGCCTAATGGGAAGGAGAGGGAGTCTTTATCTGTTAAGGCCTCCAGCTGATCAGATGAGAGCCACCCACATTATGGAAGATAATCTGCTTTACTCAAAGTCTACTGATTTAAATGGCAATCTCATTTAAAAAATATTCTCACAGACACAATTAGAATAATATTTAAACAAATACTGTGGTCTAGCCAATTTGACACAGAAAATTAACCATCACAGTCCCCATTCACATGGATCCTCTTTCTTCTGCCGTCTGGCCTGAAAGATGCTCTCCTGTGAAATCACTGTTCTCCCAACTGTTTTCAGCATGATAGCCTTATCTTCTCTGCTCAAGTCAGCGGGTGAGGTGGAGCGGCCAGCTCTTTCCTCCCTCCAGTGTGCTTTCTCACCCTTGAACTACCCTCACCCACTCTCACCCTCTGCCCAGTTGAAGACTGTGCAGTTCTCAATGCTGTGACTCACCAGATTCCATCCTCACTTCCCAAGCTTACTTCAGCAGCGGACTCAGTCCTGCTCCTCTGCCCTGCCCTTTGCCATAATCTATATTGACTCTGGAATCCACATTAACCTTTTAGATTCCTTTACCCCAGAGGTATTTCCTGGGTTGAAGACCTCCACCTTTGACCTGCCTTAGTCAGTGTCGTTAACACTCAGGGTAATCTCTGTTTCTGAGATCTATTATCCCATTTGCAGCCACAGCCTGTCATCTCCTTCACCCCACCCAGGAAGCCCATCTCTAGCTTCCCTGGAACCTCTCCTGCGTCACATGATCTATCCCATTTCATTCACTAATTCTATTTGCCTTCACTGCTTCCTGCCTTGCTTACTAGAATCATAGACTCCCTGTGTGCCCCTAAATTCTGGACTTCACTTCCAAAGAACCCATGGAAATAAATGTAAAGTAGTAATAAGGTGGCAATGTGGTAGATAAAATTAGATGGGATTTCCTCCTCCTCTTCTTATTGCTCCTATTCTTCATCTTCCTCTCATTCGTTTTCGTTTGTGTTTCCAGGTAACTGTGCTTTGAAGAAAGAGGTGGAACTTTGAAGCTGTGGCTCATTTCCTTCCCAGAGCCATCTAACTTGAGCCACCCCAGTGCTCCTCCTACCTCTCCATTTCACTTCCAAAACAC
Source organism: Homo sapiens (assembly GCF_000001405.40). Taxonomy (NCBI): domain Eukaryota; kingdom Metazoa; phylum Chordata; class Mammalia; order Primates; family Hominidae; genus Homo; species Homo sapiens. The sequence goes on along the minus strand of NC_000004.12, from coordinate 78,622,048 downwards.
TTGGTGACTCCCTAGCACGCCAACACAGAGAATCACTGTTCTAGAGGATTTCTACCCTAAAAGCCTCCGTTTTCTTCTCTCAACTCCTCCACCCTGTAACCCCACAAAGTTACACACAGTTACACCTCCTACTTTATAGTGACTACTGAAAATAGTCCTTCCTATTTTGGGATGTGTCCCTCCAGAAACAGATGCTGAGAAAAGGATCCAGGGATCCCAGGAAGCACTGGGAAGTGAGTGCAGAAGTGAGACAGAAAAAGAAAGAAAGCCGGTACAGGGTGTGTTGTGAGTCAGTTGTCACTGCGGGCAGCTGGGGCTCAGACTTCCTGGGGGTCTCAGGGGCAGCATAGATCATGCCTCAGAGTTGTCTCACTTGGGAGGCAAGAGCCTGTGGTATTTATCCATGGCCTCCATCTGTCACTGGTTGAGAGCCACCCCAGGGGTGTTACTCCCTGACACTTCTGTTCTGACCCAAGTGTGGTCAGCTCCCACAGACAGATAAAGGCTGCAGCAGGGTCACCGGCACTTGCAGTAAGGAGAGTCAGAACGTAGGAAATGCTGAGTGTCAGGGACATCTATGGAGCACCAAGAACCTTCTATGTTTCCTATCTAACTAGCTTTACTGTAAATGTAACTATCCCTGTTTCTAGCTTCCTATCCTTTTATTCATTGTCTTAGGTATTCTTGGATGTATCATTTTAATTTAATCTTCTTGACCATAGAAGTTGGCATTATCTCAATTTTATAGAAGAAGAAACTGAGAAATTAAGAGTAAGCAACTTCACAAAAATTACCAAGCTAGTAAGTTCTGGAACTGTTATTTAAAGTCTCAAAAATCCAAGTATTTTCTAGTGGAGCAGAAATGCAAGGGCAGAACCTTGGGACCACCCATCATTATTAGCAATGTCCTGGGTAATAAGAGATGGGTTCAGAGTAGAAATAGAGGGGTTATGTCAGAGAAGGGAAAAAACTCTTCATCTAAGACTGGTTTTGACCCTGTTCCCTGATTCAATTACTATTGACACAGCACACTAAAGCTTAGTAGGCCAGAATCTTACTGTTTCTCCCAGAGGCCCTTATATAATTTCTAAGAACAAAGATCAGATAAAATGCAATTTGCAGAATAAGTGATGTCTGGCATATAATAAGTACTCAATTTAATTTAACAATTATGTATTGATAATCTAATATGTGCCAGGCGTTGGACTAGATGCTAAGAATGATGGTGGACCACAAATATTGACTGACAGAGGCAGGAGTTCGCTTTTGAATATGAAATATATACCCCACATTCTCAAACTAACTAATTATACATAACCATCAACTAACAATGGCCACTTTCACAGTTAAGACGAACCTAGTACTCAATAGTTTTCTCAGATCTGCCTTGACTTATTTTCATTTAACATTTAACAACAGCAGATAATGTTGACGTGAAAAGAGCACACTAAACATAGGATTGCTGTGAGGATTAAATGAAATAAGTGCCAAATCCCAGGCATTTAATATAATTGATCATTCTTATCTTTATTATAGACTGTAAGTTCCATGAAAACAGGCACTGAATTTTTTTTTCTTTTTTTTGAGATGGAGTCTCGCTCTGTCACCCAGGCTAGAGTGCAGTGGCATTATCTAGGCTCACTGCAACCTCTGCCTCCCAGGTTCAAGCAATTCTCCTGCCTCAGCCTCTTGAGTAGCTGGGATTACTAGTGTGCGCCACCATGCCCGGCTAATTTTTGTATTTTTAGTAGAGACTGGGTTTCACCATGTTGGTCAGGCTGGTCACGAACTCTTGACTTCAAGTGATTCATCCGCCTCGGCCTCCCAAAGTGCTGAGATTACAGGCTTGAGCCACCGCGCCCAGCCGAACAGGTAGTAAATTTTTACATGTATATGCAGCTTTTAGAGTAGTGTTTAGTACACAGTAGGCTTTCAGTTCACATTGATAGGCTAAATGAGTAATATGGATATTATTACTCCAATTTCTCAGATGAAATTAATACTCAGAGAGATTGAATAAGCTGCTCACTTTCTCAAAGCTAGTTGCTGTAAGAGTTAGGATAAATGACCTATTTCTTTTTTTTTTATCCTATGTACAGTCATTCCTAATAAATAACGTACTTCTAACTCCACTGTGCCCTAAGGGCTTCTCTAAAGCATGTAGCGTGACGCTGAGCACACAGTAGTTCTTCAACAGTTGCCACTATTGCTGTGTGTCACCGGTCAGCGGTGTGTTATTAGTTCATTACTGTCTTATGATAAACTTCTCCATTGGCTTGCAGGTACAGAGAGCAACTCTGCTGCTTCTCCTCCGGAGTGCGGCATCATCTTCCTGCTCTTCCTTCCATTTGCTCTGTTGGCTCCTACTCCCCTTCCACTGAAGTAACTGTAGCTTTCCCCAGGGCTTAGGCCCAGGCCCTACTGAACCTCTATTTCTGTGTGTTTGTCTGCACGTCTGCAATCACTTCAACTCAAACTGCACCCACCAACGACATGACCCTTAGAAGCTGCCAAATCCTCGTTGCTGAATGGTTTCAGTACTGCTACTGCTGGAGAAAAAGAAGAAAAATTCACATCCTTCCCCCCAAAAAAGAAAGGGGGAAACATGGAACCAGGGAAATTCTGTAAGTAATGGTGAACTGTTTATTCAGGGCTCCAACTCTGCCCTTGCACATGTGCCCCGCTGTGGCACAGTCTATAGTTTTGAACTTCGGATAGTACAGTGCTCAGCAAGTGAAGATATTACCTTCTGGTCTGAGAGCCTCCTGACCAGTCTTGTCAGATTGAAAGATACTGACTTGGCTCTATCAAGGTGGCTTCTGTCCTGTACTAGATGACTTTATATTATTGATATGTAAGCTTCTGAGAGACTTATTTAGACTTCAGTATTACTGACCGTTAGATGCCAGTGATGTGTGGTGAAGTTGCTCAGTGTGTGAAGTCAGAGAATTTATGAGACACCCAAGTGTTCAGACCTACCTCCCAACCCCAGAGCCCAAGAAACGGGCCTCTAAAGTAAAGAGCTTTGTAACTGTTGCTACTGCTGTATCATGGTCCCAGCGTGAGAGAGTCAAGCGTATAGATTTTGGATCTACTGTATAGAAATCTCAGTTTGTTTTGTGGCTCCAGAACTATATCTAGAGTGGTCTTAACGTTTCTGAGCCTCTTTCCAGACTAGTAAATTGAGATAAGGTTACCTGCCTCATGGTGTTGTTATAAAGTCAAAATGAGACAAAATATATGAATTGCTCATAGTGAGTGTTAAGAAATGGTGCTTATTATTATTGAAACAAGAGGACCTCTGAAAGAATGCAAGTCAATGCCTACTGGCTCTTCAGGTCGGTTGGCTGAGAAGAGCATGTGAGGTTATAAAGCCACAGTCCAAAGGGAGCTGAATTCTCTCTGCCTGCACAGAGAGGTCAAGAATGTGGTGCAGTTGGTTAAGTTGTGAAAGTTCCACATGATTATACAGAATTTGCAGTCCTTTGTCAATTTTCCCATAATGACTAAGTCTTTCAAAATAAAAAAGACCTTATGCATATACTTGATAACAGCAAAAGAGACTGGGAAATTGGGGAAAGATGTAAATAATAGCCAATGACTACATATTTCAGATATTGTGCTAATTCCTTTACTTGTGTTTCCTCATCTAATTCCTTGTATCTTCCATGACAGATCTAAGCATTCCATCCTTCCTGGCACCTGGGTCTTCCTGGCACTATGAATTGATAAATTATTACTCCTATCTTAGAAACAAAAGGAAATGATGGATCAGCGAGGCTAAGTAATTTGCCGAAAGTTACACGGCAAGTTGGTGGTACTGAAACCAACATTGTATGGCTCTGGCATCTTTCCTTCACATCTAGGAAAGGGAAGGCCAGGGGGCCTGTTTTTCCTGAAGAAAGAAGACAGGACCATCACACTGAGGAAGCCAAGAAAAGCAGTGCAGGAAAAGCCGGGCAAGTGCAGTGTTCCCAGAGACGTAACCAGAGAAAGATCTGTGAAGTTTCCTCACAGGGACTTTCTCTGGGTGGATTCTAGATTCTGGGAAGCCGTGGGCCTCCCAAGAAGTTTTTGGCAGCACCTGGTCCAGCCAAACTACATATTCAATACCCAGAAGAGAGAGAGAGGAGAAAATCAAGAATGGACAGTTTGTTGCCTGGTGGCCAGGGAAGGTCCCCATATTGAAATAATTCAAAGTAGACTTAACAGTGCAAAGGCTTCTTTTTCATGTCAACAGTGCTGAGGTTAGCCAGAAATTAAAGCAGAGGAGGTTAGGAAGAGACAGGAGGTAGAGAGAGGAAGGAAGTGCTTTTCTCCCCACCACCGTCTTCTCTCTAGAAACATGTTTGAATAAATTGGAGACATTCTCCAGTCATTGCTGCCTAATGGAGTTTTCCATTGACAGAAGGCTCAGGTGTGGGCTGGTTACACAGAGGATCTGAAATAACACTCAGGGGCCCTGTGCTTTTTGGTCCTACCTCCTTGGAGTCCTGAAGACTGAGGTGAGGCACAGGAAGAATTGGAAAAGACGCATGTCTATCCATACCACTCACTTCCTAGGAAAGAGTCAGCTCTGAGTGTACACAGGATGGGTCTTACATGGCTCCAATCCATGGCAGGGTGGTCTACTTGGCCCTCTTATTACCTGTCAGTATCTGGGAAAGCAGGCAATAGAATTAGCATCTATTCTGTAAGCTCCAGCATGGAGAAGACTTAAACTGATCTCTAGTTATCTTCAATAGATAGGATACCGTAATAAGATTTCTGAAATCAGAGAAAGAGAGAAACAGAGAAGCCAGACTTTCCATTAGATACTTCAGAAACAAGAGGAACACACACAAAAAATAAGGATGGACTCTGATATTCAGTGCCCAGTGATGGCCTCTTCACTGAGGATTAGTAGCCCACTCGGCTGGGTGTGGTGGCTCACACTTGTAATCTTAGCACTTGGGGAGGCCGAGGAGTTCGAGACCAGCCTGGGCAACACAGTGAGACCTTGTTGCTATTTTTTAAAAAAAGAAAGAAACAGAAAAGGATTAACAGCTCACTTAACTCATGTACTATTTGATACATTATTTTCCAATATTATCAAATACGGGGATCTTGTTCTTATCTCTACTAATCTTTATATCTTCAAAGCCCTACCAATCAATTCCTTTAATACCTAGCTCAGAGGTGACATTCCTGGTGAATCCTGCCCTGCATACTTAATTAATCCTTCATTTGAGTTCTAGGTGCCTTTTAATAACCAAATTTTCTTATATGTCATGTAAAGATATTCTTAAATTATTAAGTCAATAAATTTAAATTTACTTAGAAAACACAACTTTGACAAAAAAAGAAAAATGCATCAGCTGTAATGCTACTACCCAGAGATAAACAGTTACCATGGTCATGTACATTTTCCCAGCCCTTCTGGTGTCAACTAAAGAAAAAAAAATCAAGCTTGTAAAGAATGAAAGGTGGTTGTATTTAGAAGTCTTACTGAGGACTATAGACTGAGGCCTAGAGCCTGGGAACAGTCCTTCAAAGAGGTTCTGTCAGACTGCTCTGAAATGGTGTTTTAGCTCACAGTTTATATATGAGTTGTGAAGGTTTAGTACTTGTAAAATCACATCAAATGTGTGCAGAAGTTACATTAAAGCAGAATCACATCGAAGTTTGGGTGTAAGAGTACAGCTGGTTATAGATTACAGAGGCATCATCACTAACCCCATCAGATATTACCTTACGTGTAAGAAAAGGCAGGGAATAGAGTCATTTATCTTTTAAGGAACTTAGTGACTCAGGCAAGAGACATGATGGGGCCATGTGCTCTATCCTGCTTTGCCTTCAAAGCATATTTCCGGAGAGCTGCACGTCGTCACAGAGTTAGGCTTCGTGAAATTATGCTGGCATGCAGAAATGAGCAGACATGCCTCCTTACATTTGCTATGTTGTCTCACACTGGTTTTCTTTTTCTGTTTCGTCAAGCAACTTTTCTTCCATTTAGCAAAATATCATAAACATCTTTTGTGTGTATCTGTATCTATTTCTATATCTATCAGTATTTCTGATACTTAGTAGTCCGCAGCATTTTTACTAGCATTGTTACAGTACATATCATATTTTACTATAGTTAATTTTAAGTAGCTAGCATTTACATATGCTTACAATGTACTGGGTCATTCTAAGTACTTACATGCATCGATCCATTTAATCTTTGTAATCCTAGGTGGTTGGTCTAATTACTACTATCACTCAAATTTCACAGATGAAGGAATCTGAGACATAAAGGGCTTAAGTAATTTTCCCACGATCACACAGCTAGAGACTTTAGAGCTGTTAGAGCTAGAATTTGTCCAGCTAGGCTGACTCCAGACTTTTAACCACTGTGCAATACAACTTTAACAGTCTTTAACTGAACACCTAGTAATTGGCAGTTGCTTCAAATATCTTATCCTTTAACTCTGCAAGTTGCAAAGAGTGTGAGAATTTTGTGTGGAAGCCACATTTGCTTAATCCCCAAACCCACCCACCGCTATCACCACTATGCTGTCCTTGCCAATTAGCCAAGTATCTGTCTTTCCTCTCCTTTGCTTATTCCCCAGATCGTCAACTCCTTGAAGTCAGGAAATGTGTAGCTTTCTTCACTTTTATAACTCCAACACCTGGCGTAGTTTCTGGACTACAGTTACCATGTAATAAATGTTGGAAGAATAAAGGTTGGAAGGAGTTTGGTTTGACTGATAAAAACCAAGAAAAATATTTTTCATGAAGTTATCAGATGTCAAATTCTATTTAACACCGGTTTAAATAGAATTTGCAGACATGATCTGGAACTTTCTTTGTGGACTTGGCTCTCTGACACAAAACAAAACAAAAAATTTAAATGCAACTTTGGAAATCTCTAAACTCTTCTGAGGTCTGTGGCCAGGGGCACCAATGCAAGCCAGTTACGCTGTGGATTGCTGCAGTTCTCTAAAAGGAGGGGTGAATTTGGGCTAATTCTCACCAACTCCCTACCCTTGTGACCTTTGTTCTTCTCTACTTTCTACCCCACTGTGGCATGCTCTTTTTCGTAGGAGCTGATTTTATCCCAATGTTCTTTTTCAAAACTTCCTTTTATCTGGTGGTTGATATTGTAGCAATTGGCAAATCACATCTGTCGCTTCACAGCAAGTCTGATGCTCTGCCAGGTCACCTTGGACCACTATGTTTTTTTTTGAGATAGAGTTTCACTCTTGTCACCCAGGCTGGAATGCAATGGCACCATCTCGGCTCACTGCAACCTCTTTCTCCCATGTTCAAGCGAATTCTCCTGCCTCAGCCTCCTGAGTAGCTGGGATTACAGGCATCTGCCACCACGCCCAGCTAATTTTTTTGTACTTTTAGTAGAGACAGGGTTTCACCATGTTGGCCAGGCTGGTCTCAAACTCCTGACCTCAGGTGATCTGCCTTCCTCGGTTTTCCAGAGTGTTGGGATTACAGGGGTGAGCCACCACGCCTGGCCTGGACCACTATTTATTGCCACATCCAGTTCCACAAAGTTTATGCCCAAAGAGGTCACATGTACATTTTGATAGCTAGTTTTTTCTTATGCATGGTTGTGTCATAAAACCTTTCAGCTGAATGGGCTGCTCTGGTATTCTGGGTTTGGGATTTCTTTTAACAGTTTACTGCAGCAGCCATTCAATGTTACCTCCTACTCTGTAACCCTCCTCCTCATTTGAAATTCTCCTCTCTCTCACTGTTGACTTTGTAAACTCTACAGAAATAGGCAAACTTTGGTTTCAGAGGAGGGCTGGCCCTGGTGGGTAAAACTGGCACAAAGCTGAGTTTGATGAAACTGAAAGAAATATAGCACCAGTAAAAAGGCTTCAGCACACAGCAACCTGTACTTGCTTGACTCTCACAGTCCCACGGGAGACATACAGAGTGGGTGGGAAAGATCTGAGTTTGTCAGTTTGCTGGGGGTGGGGTTGAAAAAAAATTTGGGGTACTTTCCGTGGCTCATAAAACACAAGGTTTCACAGGCAGGAAATTGCCAAGAAGTTTGCTTTATCTTCTTTCCTAATTGCAAACTAGAAGAGGTAGCTTTACAACATCTCAAAATCCCCCAAGTGATTAGAGCACTGTATAAGCAATTGTAAGTCTTCCAAACTGAGCCAGAGAATAATGGCTAATGTTTATTGAGCACTTAACGGGTGCAGGCACTGTGGTAAGTGCATCACCTAATCTGGCTTATTGAAACCTCACGCCTACTCTGAATGATACTTGCATGGCCATCCTGGCTTTACAGGTGAGGAAACTAAGGTACAGAAAGAGTAAGCGACTCACTCCCTCACATGTCATACTACTGTCAACTGATGGGCAGGAAATAAGACTAGGAAACTTTCTTCAGATCCTGTAACCTCATCACTGAGGTGAACACAGTTGGCTCTTATCGTTGGAGGACACACTGACAACATATTAATAACACTGATTTCAGCTGACAGTTCTCTGAAGCTTCCAAGGCCTCAGAGTTACTGTCGCTGAGTAGTACTAAAACAAGTATCGCTTATTTATTCTACAAATGCTTGTTGAACACTTACTATCTGCTCTTCACTGGCAACTCACCATGCCAATGCAGTTATTGGTAACTAATTTTTATTGAGTTAAATTTTTCACATGCTTTATTTCATTTCATCCTTGCACATATTTAAGGTAGGTGCTGTTATTGTCAGCTAAAGAATTGAGTTGTATGGAGGTTAAGTATTTGTCGAGCACTGTTATCTACGCTGCTGCCATAAGTGGTGAAGCCAGGATTTGAACCCAGTTTGATATGACCCCAAAATTATTGTTTTAAAGACAAAGTAAAACTGTGGGTTATCCATATGGCATGAAATTGGGGAAATGGAAATAGGGGAAGGTACATGGAAGAAATGTCTGAACTACTGTACACTATTTTAAAAATTTCCTCAATACATTCTTACAAATAGGCTAGAGAATCTCCTATTCAACATCCTCATTTGCCATTTTTGCAGCTCCTGATTTATAGACCAAACATTCTGTTACTGTAGCGTGAAGTGTACAAACCTTCTGCTTCTGCAGCTCACCAACCACAGAGCCCAGGACTCTCTGCAGCTGGCTATTTTTCTCTTCTTTCAATCTTCAGGGACTAAACTTAGGGCTTAATGAGATGACATGAATGCACTCAATTCTGCAGGTGATCCATGTCAGAGCTAATGCACATTCATGTAAATGAAGATGGTCCTGGGAATCCAGAGAAGCCAGATGATTAAATTAAATGTTCCACATGTTTCCTTAAGAAGGAGTTTACAGTGACAATAAGATTTCTGAACCATGACAAACCTTCTATAGAAGAAGTTTCCAACAGTTTAGATTTGGCCATGTTATTCTGAAGCAAGTTAAGTAGGTTTTGCCATTGGGATGCAAGGCCGTGGGGTTCACTTTGAACTTGACATGCCACCTTGTGGAAATTGGAGGCAATAAAAAATGTGGCCATTGAATACTACTCTATAATAATTATATGATACAGGCTAACATTTATTAAGGGCTTACCATGTGCTATGCACTATGTGGAATACCTTTTAAGTGTTTTTTTTCATTTATTTTTCAAAACAATCTTATGAGGTAGGTACTATTGTTGTCCCATTTTAAAGACGAGGAATATGTGGCTTAGAAAGGTAATTGCCTGAAGTCCAATGCATACAAGGCAAAACAGATGTGAGTAGAAGGGTTAGAGGGTTACCTCATTGGGGCTTTTTTTTTTTCTGCAGAATTCTCTTGTGTGATCACTACTGTGTTCAAGTTCTCACCTTCTTCAAACTCACTCATGCACAGGTAAGGTTTTTTTGTTTTGTTTTGTTTTTGAGACGGGGTCTTGCTCTGTCACCCAGGCTGCAGTACGGTGGTGTGATCATAGCTTACTGCAGCCTCAAACTCCTGGGCTCAACTGATCATCCCACTTCAGTCTCTTGAGTAGCTGAGACTATAGGTGCACACTACCACACCCAGCTAATTTTTAAATTTTTCGTAGAGACAGAGTCTCCTGATGTTTCCTGGACTGGTCTCAAACCCCTGGGCTCAAGTGATCCTTCTGTCTCAGCCTCCCAACATGCTGGGATTAGAGGTGTGAGCCACTTTGCCCAGCCACAGATAAGTTTTAAAGTCCAGATGACCCGGATCTTAAGCCTTGGCTTTGCCACTGTGTAACCCTGGGCTGGATACCTAACCTGAGTCTCATTTTCCTCACTTGCAAAACAGGGGAAATATTGACACATGTAACCATGCTTTGTTTCAGAAAGTACTTAATACATAAGTGGTATAACAACTCTGAGGATGAATGAGATCTAAAATAAAGATTCACTGTATTAAATGCCTTTTATGTGCTGAGCACTGTTCTAATCTAAGCACTAGGCATTGAAAACTACAGTGGCCCTGGGATGGGATAAATTCTAAGGCAAAACAGTGGTTAAGAGCCTGGACACTGGAGTTGGACTACCTGGCTCTTACAGTGACAAGTTACTTAATTTCTCTAAGCTTCCATTTCCATTTCTATATCTGTGTTGGTATCTACATTGTAAGATGCCTTGAGGATTAACAAATTAAAATATACTACACTGTTTAACATAGTACCTAATACATAGTAAGCACTCTATGAGTATTAACATTGATTTATTGCTTCGTGATATACTTACTCACTAAATCACTTACACTAAAATCGTGAAGGCATACTTGACTGACACTTGGTAACTTTGAATACCATGTTTACTCAATTTTATCTCCCAAATATTTAAGTAGTTGTTTTCATTATCTCCTGCCATCATCTTAGTTATGACTGACATTTATAGTATTGATTACAGAACTAACTTGCCAAATGAGCTTCCTGACTCAAGCAATCCTCCCACCTCAGCCTCCCAAGTAGCTTGGACCACAGGCATGTGCCACCATGCCAGGCTAATTTTTGTATTTTTGGCAGAGACAGGGTCTCACTAGGTTGCCCAGGCTGGTCTCAAACTCCTGGGCTCAAGCAGTCCGCCTGCTAACCTCCCAAAGTGCTGAGATTACAGGCGTGAGCCACTGCACATGGCCAGTACGATCATTTCTATTCTGGTCCAGGAAAATAACTCTAACTGGAATTTTTTTCACTTTATCTATTTCATATCAGTCAAGGTATTTCATATTAGGTCCCACTCAAAGATGGCATGATGGATTCTTTAAATGCATAGTTTTGCCAACTCAAGAGAAAAGGAAACCTTAGAGGCTTGATTCTAAATGCCCATTCTGGGAAAGTAGTATTTAGCATGAAGCAACCATAATTCATGCTTGCCATTCAGACAGGAAGTGGTTAGATTAATCCTTCAGCAGATGTTTTCTGAAAGCTGAAATAACTTATCATGCATTACCACTCCTATAGCTTGATCACAACTACAAAGGGTAGGCCAGGGTCACATACATCTTCATCTTATTCCTTTCTTTCAAAAAAGTGTGATTAACAAGGTGATAAACTGAAGCAGTAACAGCTTCTATACAGAAACATGTTTTAAAATATTAGTTGTTGGCACCAGGCATCAAACAATGTTGGCAAGCTCTGAAAGCAAACAAAGAAATTACTTTTAACAAAAGCAACAATTTTTATTATCTTGCTTTATATTTAATGGAGTAGAACTATAAAGATTCTTAACTTTGAAAGCAGAAATATAAGTTGGATAGTAGTTGCAGATCTTTAATACCATTTTCAATTTCATTTATGAGCTGCTACATTATAAATGAGATGCTCTAAAATAATAATCGCTTTTGTTGTTGTTGTTATAGAACAATGAAAATTCCTGTTAGGAACACAAGTTGCTGTTTATATTTGCTTGTTCTCTTAAATAGTATGAGAAGAAGTAAGGTGGAGCTGTTGGGAAAGCCCATCGTGGACCTTTGGAGATTATCTTCTTGGTTCAGTCATCTCCACCACAGATTTTTAAGAGTGTGATTTCATAGTCTCCAGAAGTATCCGACTGCAAAGAATAAAATCAATGAAGAACAAATACAGTATAAATAATGGGAGACCATAAATGAATCAAATCCTATAGCACTAGGGAATTCACCTGGGTGTGAGACTCATGAGCTATACCATTTAGTAAAACATACCTGCAATTCCATCATTCATTCATACCTGAGTGTAATTACGTTCTGACCAGCATCTTCTTCACTGTAAGTAATATTTAGATTCTTCCTGATATACTGCAGTTAAATTTCAATTTTGGTTTAATAAAATAAGATTGCATCACTTACATAATATTGATTTCTATAAAAACTTCAAATTTTAGTTTTAATAATATTTATCGAACACTTGCTATTCAAAAGGCTTAATGTGTATTAACTACTTTAACCCTTTTAAAAGCTCTCTGCAATAGGTACTATACGTATCCCCCATTTAACAGATAAGTAAAATGAGAAAGACAGGTTAGGAAACTTGCCTCAAATCTTATCGAGAATAAGTGACAAAAGCAGGATTTGAATCCCTATATCCTGGCTCCTTAATACCCTGCTACACTGCCTAACTTAGGAAAGTGAAATGAACCACATTTTTAAAGAATATGTTTATCAGTTCCTTTTCCCAAGGCCAACCAAAAATAGACTGTTGTCCAGAAAAGATACTACGTGAGGTTGAGGCTTAAAGGGCAAAGATACCAAGTTTGTAACGCAAAAGACTTCACAGGAGGTAAAACTTGGCTTTCAACCTGGATTGTGTAAGATGCTCACATTATTTTTATTTTATTTGAGGTAACCCAACCAGTGAGCTCTTCTTATCACTTAAGTTTCACATTTGGAATGGCTGTTACTGGGGTGAATATTAGAGAAAGTGGTAATATAAAGGAAGTCTCAGAGAAGGCTCATTTAGTGAAGAAGTTAAGCATTACTTTCATAGTAAGACACAATAGGCCTTTATATATATTTTTCTGTTTTCTTTATTTCTTGTTCATTTGTCTGTTTCACAAAATATATGACAATATTCTTCGTTTTTATATAGATTTTAGTTCTTATGCTATTGGTTTTCCTGTCTTGCTCTGCAATAGCAGAGCTGACAAGTCAACAATGCTCCAGCTTTGTATTAAAAGAGCTCCTTCTAGACATCTCTGATCAGAGTTGTAAACAATTAGGCGTTCTACCAGTTAGTCAAGAAAATACATCCAAGTAACTCAAAGTATATTTACACCGCTAATGACTTACTTGACCTCTCCACATGTCTTACATGGCTCAAAGACATCTCAAACTCAATACATGTAAAACCAAACTCATAAACCTCCCCCCACTCCCCCAAAAGAAAAGGAAACAAACAAACAAACAAACAACCTAAAACCTGATCCTCTTGCAAGGAATGGCGCCACTGTCTGTTTTCCAAGTTAGGAACTTGAGTGTCATCCTTGCTATCTTCCTTTCCTCACACCAAGATATTATACCAAGTCCCTTAAGTTTCAACTCCTAAATATCTTTTGAGCCCTTCTTATTCTCCAGAATAAGAAGATCTTACAGGGATCTTTTCATGATCCTGATACTAACTCTTCAAGAGCTCATGCCCAGAACTCTTCAATGGCTTCCCCTTACTCTTAAGCTAAAGCCAAAATTCCTTAAACATTGCCAAAAAGGTCCTGCATGATCTGGCCCCCACATCCTCATTTTTCATTATGCTTCCTCCACCATGAGGCCTTTCCATTTGTCATTTCTTTTATTAGAATGTTCTACTGGCTCCCTTACCTCCATACATTTTGCCTTATTAATATCTACTTATTTTCCAGATCTGAATCATGACTTTCTCATAGAAGCCTTTCCTCTAAGTCAAGTCCTACTATTGTAGGATCTTTTAGCACAATGTCACTTTCCTTTACATTTAACATAGTTGTAATTCCATAAGGGCAGAAAATGTCTTCCCCCACCCTACCCCCTTTGCTTATAATTGTAACCCTGAGCCTAGCACATAATATGCATTTGATAATATTTTTAATTGAATGAGTGAATTCGCTGATCTCAAAGCTCTCTTTCAACTGAACTCATCTTGCTACTTGGATTTTATTTCTCAATATTCCCCAAGGTAGACCCTCTAATCAAACAAATGCCTTATTACTTCTTTCCCTCTTGCTTCTTCCCATATCTGTCTCTAGAGCATTTACTTTTAAGACCCTATTGATCTGGGGTCTTAAAGGTAAATGCTCCAGCAGAGCACCTGGCCCACAGGAGACACTCAACACATGCTTGTTGACCTGAAAGGCAGGCTCAAGACCCATTTCTCTAACCCCAAACTTCTTTTCTTCTCAATTCCGATAGTACTAGCTCTATATTCAACAATCTAGTATTTAATTGTCTGTTGTTTCAATTATTATCTTCTAATTGTTTCTTCATACCTACCTCAAGTCTCCACATAGATTATGAGTTGATTGTGAGTGGCTACTATATTTTCCCATAAAAAGCTTGGAATTGTGCTATTTATTAAATAAATACAGAATTTGTCTATGAAGGAAAACTACCAAAAAATATAATTTCATCTAAATTTTCCATAATATCTTCTTATAAAGTAGTAAGAGGTACACATTGGTTTTTCACCTCTGTTCTTCCTTGCCTTCTCCTTCCCACCGGTTACCCCCTGAGAAAGGTGTCAATGGACAAAGAAATGTCTAAACAATAGGTGGAAGGAAGAAAACAGGCAGGATGACAGGCTGAGATGATATGCAAAATGGAACTCTATCCCATGAATTTCAGAAACAACCATCTAAAAAGATCCTGTTCTTCAATAGCAAAAATGTAATGAGATTACTTAATAATATGTGTTAGGTGGTAGAAATAAAGAAATCTTGTACTATTTCAAACTGCAAACTGAAGTTTTCAGTGATGGATTTTTCTTTTCTATCAAACTACAAATAGTTTAAATGTTTTCTAATACAATAAGCCTCAATTACCCAGACCACTGGGGAACGGAGAGCCACTGGTTAATTTAATTTTCTGGTTTGCTGAGGGTGAACTGAAAGCCCTCTTTATGTCTCAACCTTGTTACTGACAATCTTTAGAAAATGTGTGAGTCTATTTTTCTGCCTTAGTAGCTACAACATGGTTAATGTTATTGAATCTTCCTCTGATGATTGAAACTATTGTGATGTGTCAGGACTGATTCAAATAGAATTGAGTGTGAGCAGTTGATGCAATTTGTGCTAAGTCCCAGGCACAGTCTGAGAATTGCCTTTTTGAGTAAGTTCCTGATTTCAACTTATGCATGCATCTCAGCATCTCTTTCTGTAAAAGTTTAGTGCAAAAACAAAAACTCTGATTAAAAAGAGAGAGAGAGAGATTTTAGTGAATGAATCTAGTTGACTGATTGATGTTCATTCATTCATTCATTCATTCAAAGGCCATTTGTAAAGTCAGAGGCAGAAACCTTCCCAAGATAGCTGCAGAAAGACCCAGGCTAATATTTGTGCCTGTTCAAGGGTGGCTATTGTGGGTAGGGCCATAGCGAAGGTTGGACCAAAGACTCCAGCTGCTGGCAGGGACACTGGAATGTGGTCTAAGCCAGGTGTCCCCAGGGGACATCGCTGAGTGTAAGCTCCCCCACAGAGGTAGTGCTCCAGCCTTGTAGGGGCTTGAGAGAGGGTGCTGCTACCCAGGATCAGGATGTGCATGGTGCATAATGATCCACAGCTTAGGGGGTCTAATCAGCATGGACTCCATTCCCAGTTTTAGACCCTCAGCACTCAGAGCAAACACTCTGCTTGGCTGCTGCTTCCCTCTTCATCCTGGATCACCTTCTAGGCCCCAAGTCTCAGCTTAGACCTTGGAGAGTTCACCTGGGTCCAATACTCTCTAGTGCTGATTTCCTCGAGACATTCAAGGGTAGATGGAGTAGCAAAGAGACGGAGAGGTCTGCATAGCCTGCAAGTCCTCTGCGAAGGCAGCCCTGACTCTGTCTTTTCCCCTGGTCAGTGTGGCCTTGGAGGCAAGGACAGTGGATTGCTCCACTCACCAACCCCAGCTTCCACTTTGTTCCAGGGAACCAGCTTGGACTAACACTCTCTATCACTCATTTACTAGAGACTTTCATATGTGGTCTGGAGCATCAAGGTAGAAAAGTAAATCAATGGAAGGCTACTGAGCAGGTGTGGGGCTAGCCCCTTAGTTCTCCACTAACTAGTTGCCATCTTCCTGTTGGGACTATGACTTTTGAACCACGAGCTTAAGGTACAGAAGCCTCTTGTACAATTTTTGTCAGGCTTACTGCCCTATTAATTCAAATAATTTGTAATTTATTTGAAGTTTCTATGTATAATATATCAACTGAGATCTGAAAACAATGAAAATGGGTTTCATGCTTTAAAAGAGAAAGGAAGGAGCCCATTTTAGGAAGATTCTCATCCAGAATGAAAGAAACAGAAGGGACCAGATTTTTTAAAAACTAAAATACTGTGAAAGATTGATAAATTTAATTAAATAAGATGTGCAACCTCTGCTTGGAAAAAAATACTTTTGGCCAAGTCAAAGGACAAAGAACGGACTGGGAAAATATGACCAGACAAAAGGCTAATCTACCTTATGTGAAAAACGTCTTAGAAACTGACCAAAAAGAACAAAAACCCAAAAGAATGTGGACAAAGAATGTAAAAAGACAGATCACAGAAAGAGAAATACAAATGTTATTTCAAACATGAAAATATATTCAGCCTTACTTATACTAAGAAAAATGTATATTACAACTACACTGAGATACAATTCCTCACCTATCAGATTATGAAAACCCAAAAGTTTACCTATAGTCCCAGCTACTTGGAGGCTAAGGCAAGAGGACTGCTCGAGCCCAGGAGTTCTAGGCTACAATGTATTATGATCGCACCTGTGAACAGCCACAGCACTTCAGCCTGGGCAACACAGCAAGACCCCATCTCTAAAAAATGTTTTAAAAACCTAAAAGTTTGAAAATACCCTCTGTGCCAAAGCTATGGAGAAAGAAGTTCTCATACATTCCTCATGGAATTGCAAAATGGAATTCAATTAGTAATATTTGTCAAAATTTAAAATGCATTTATATCTGTCTCAGAAATCCTACTTCTGAGAATTCATCCCAAAGATACACTCGTACCTGATGAAGTTGTGTATGCATTATACAACATTGTTTGCAATAGCAATAAACTGGAAGCCTCTGTTTGTTGTGGTGGGTACAAATATACAAACAATGGAATGATATACAGCTGTTAAATAAAATGAGAAAGTTTCCTATATACTGAAATGAAAAGCACTCTAAGCTGCAGAACCATGCTGTCTCATGTAAAACAGAGAGGAAATTTAAAATACGTATTTTTCTTTTCTTACATTGTCATAAAGACTGAAATAAATAAAAACAGTGCAATATAAAAAACAGGTAAACAACTTGCATATGTAATTCACAAAAGAAGAAAAATTAGTGGCTAGTACACCTAAAAAAATATTGAGTGTCTATTATATGCCTGGGATTTTAGAGCTGAAAATAAGGGATATTTTGCTGCTACTATTTTAAGCTCAGACAACACATTTATACATTGACAAGGAGAGAGAAATCTAAGTCAAATATCTTTATATTTTAAGGCATATAAGAGTAAGGAGATGGGTAGAGAAGGGCAAAATATGTTTTGCTATTTTTAAAAGTAGACTTACTTTAATTGCTGAATATAGGGAATAGCCATAATGCTTCTTGAACTCTGTTCGAATGTCCAAAAGGTCAATTTCTGATCTGGACACCATTATTCGGTTCAGAGTAAACTCATCAGTTCCAATACCCTGTTAAGGAATGCAGGTGTTCACAACACAAATGTCATTGGTCACAAAGCAACATAGAGATCTATATTTATAAGAATCAGATAATGGTGTGCAAAATATTCAACTATAGTGATTCTTTTTCATTTATTATCAAACTCATCATTCATTATTCAAGAAATATTTGTTGAGCACCTACTCTGTGACAGCATCATGCTAAATGCTGCAAAGCAGAGATGAGATACCCATGTTAAGCTTCCAGTTTTGTAAAGAATACAGGCAAGAAAGTAAGCCATTGCAAAACAGTCTGACATGTTGAAAATATTGGGTACCATGGGAGCATACTTCAGGGGGGCCTAAGAAAGATTAGGGATTAGGAAAAGTCTGAGAAAGTGACATTTAAGCAAGGACTAAACAGTCAACAAGAGGAAGGAGTAGGTTCATGTAGGGAGGAGAGAAACTTCCTATAGAGGAAATAGCAGGCGTGAAGGTTTAGGGCAATAAAGAACGCCACGTTCAAGGATACGTAAGTTAACAAAGAGGGATAAAAAGAAATGTGTCTGGAAAGGCCAGACCTTGTTAACCATGAAATGAAATTCTGACTTTATCCTAAGTGTGGAGAGCTCTTGTAATATTTTAAACATGAGAATGTTGAGATCAGATCAAATTCGTGGTTTCAGAAAATCACTTTGACTGCAGCATGAGAAACAGATTGCAAGGTAGGAGTAGAAGGAAGATAAGGGAGTTAAGACTAGAGGCTTTGAGACTCATCTTGAGGAGACTGAGTAATTAAGAGATGATGATGGCCATCCTTAGAATAAAGGCAGTAGGGATGGAGAAAATGGGAAGATTTGAGAGTTGCTTATGTAAATGGATTGACAAAACATAATGATGTATCGCTACAGGATAATGAAAAAGAGAGATAGTGTAAAATTTCTAGCTGAGCAGTTAGGTGGATTTTGACCTAATGATGGCCAACATACTAAATGATATTCCATTCATCTATGTAATTCATCCAGCAAATGCTTATGAGCGTCGACTATAGCCAGGCATTATTCCATGTGCTGTGCCAATGGCGGTGAACAGAACAGATTATATCTCTGTCTGCATGGAGCTTATGTTCTAGTAGATGGAGACAGACAGCAAAGCAAATTAACTATTGCTTAAGTAAATAGTGATCAGAAATATGAAGAAAAGAAAGCTGGAAATGGCATGGAGAGTGACTGAAAGGGAACCAATTGGCCTGGTACAGTTAGGGGAGACCTCTCTCAGGAGGAGAGCTGAAACCTGAAAGATGAGAAGGAGTCAGCTAGGTAAAGATCTAGAGGATGAGCATTCCAGAGAAGGAATGGATGCAAAGACTGTGATGTGAGAATAGACTTGCCACAGTTGAGGAATGGAAAGAAGCCTGGGGTGGCTGAGGCATAGTCAAGAAGTCTGGGGAGGAATGGTACGACTTCAGAGAGTTGGGCAAATTCCTGTTGGGGCCATTCTCTGGGATGACTGAACAGGGGAAGGGGAGCAGATGTGGGGCTGGGCGAGATGAAGGAAAGGATGTGTTCACTTAGGATATGACTTTGAAGGTACGTGTGGGACCACAGAAAATGGCTGGTAAAGAGATGGAGGTAAGCATCTTCTGTGCACAAGGCCCTAGGGTCTGAGGATAAACAGGAGTCTGTACTCATGGAGCGCACCATCTGGCAGTAAAGACAGACAAGCAAACACAGGGTTACGGCATCATTAAAGGCTGCCAACTCAGCTTGGTTTATTTTAAGCAAGGCAGTTTGAGAGGCCACAGGATCTACTGGGTCTCAAGCTTGAGGTTTGGCATTCTAAAACAAGTTTTACTGCCTGCACTTACTGTGAAGCAGTGAAAATAATGTGGTCAATACTTCTCTGTACCTATCTCTATATGGGTTAGAA
Source organism: Homo sapiens (assembly GCF_000001405.40). Lineage (NCBI taxonomy): Eukaryota > Metazoa > Chordata > Mammalia > Primates > Hominidae > Homo > Homo sapiens. The sequence continues at coordinate 78,602,377 of NC_000004.12, read as the reverse complement.
TACTATTAACCTATGAGGCAAATCAGTAGACAAATTAGCTACTGTAGAAAACTAATCTAAGTGGAAAAGAAATATGACATTCTATCAACATTAAGCCATATTTTTACCTTCTCATTTTCTTTTTTTTTTTTTTTTTTTGAGACAGAGTCTCACTCTGTCGCCCAGACTGGAGTGCAGTGGCGCAATCTAGGCTCACTGCAACCTCTGCCTCCTGGGTTCAAGCAATTCTCTGCCTCAGCCTCGCGAGTAGCTGGGATTACAGTGCATCTGCTACCACGCCCGGCTAATTTTTGTATTTTTAGTAGAGACAGGGTTTCACCGTCTGGCCAGGCTGGTCTTGAACTCCTGACCTTGTGATCCACCCGCCTGGGCCTCCTAAAATGCTGGGATTACAGGCGTGAGCCACCGCGCCTGGCCTGCCTTCTCATTTTCTATTTAAAATAGAGGATGAACTTTTAAAATTTAATATTATACATGAATTTTCATCTTTCATACAAGTGGAATATTAGCATCTACTTAAACTCATCATATTAGAGAAAATGAGAATGTTTTAGTTAAATAGAAATCAAATTATACCTACTTAGAAAAAAATTATTTCATAAACCCAGGTCTGTTTATTTTGAAGAGAAAATCAGGTGTCTGTGTAAAGAGTGTATTGTATCATACCTTGATTTGCTGTAATATAATTTATCTTAAAATGTTTAAATTACATTAAAATAACTAATTTTTAAATATTTGTTCTACTATTTGCATACTTTCCCAAGGGAATTAAGGGACGCTAAGAATGCACATGAACTTTCCAGACCAACCTTCAAGGCTCGATGCAGTCTTTCGGCTAAAAAGGCCGGCGTGTTCCTCACACAATTAACTGTAACAAAAAGCAAATAATGTTCAGCTTCACGGAATAGAAATTGGGTTAATCTATAGTAAGTAATATGTTTTTTAAAAAGATTCTTTGGACTGTCATACCACTCTATCCCCTCCCCACAACTGGCTTTTACTTGGAATGAAAGAAAGGCTGCTTACCCTGATTTTCATAGCCTTTTAATACCATATTTGCACAGAACTTTAGCACAGTAATTATCTCCAGCCATGGGGAAAATAAAATTACCTGCCAAAGAAACTCCCACAGCGACTGACTCATCTCTGGATCCCAGACACCCCGAACACCTACGCTTTCCCTGATAACTCCCTAGGGTGCGACACTGCTCAGCTACTAGCATCTCGGGCTACTGATGAACAACCTGGGCCTGACAACTGCAGCGATGTTGCTCCAAATAACTCATTAGGCACGCAGGGGCACTGGAGTTCCATTTAAAAGCAATTTTTCCCATGGAAAGAATTTTCTTTTAAATGACTGGATTAGAATTTATAGGCTGGTTAGAGTGACTCCATTAGAACAAGTATCTGTCATCTAAATTCAGTTGCCTTAAAAAAAAAATACAATCCTTCAATTCTTTATTTTGAAATAACAAGTAAAGCAGAAATAAAACAAGAAAAAGGAAACTGACAAAAACGCAAGAGTAAATTATCTTTTAAATAAAAAGAAAATAGGAATAGAAAAGTCTGTAGGGAAGAAACCTATTTACAGCAACACAATTATTTTTATAATCTTAAATCTGATCTCTAGGTAGGAATCCAACCAAAAGTGAATGGATTTTATAATGAATTTTGGAGCTCAGAACAAGAATAAGTGACTTTCTCATCGTGGCTTATAGACTGTCTTAAGGAAAGCTAAAAGACTTTTGGCTTTTTGAGTGATTTAAGGGAAATAGAAGGAGAAATGTATTAGAAACCCAAACACAGCATTTAGAATCAAACTGTTACATGAAGTTCTCTGACAAGAAACTAACCATTTAAACTAGTAAAACTCACATTAAGTAAGCCATAATAGCTTGATAAAAAATAATGATGCCCACTTTCATCCTATTAAGCTTTCCAGTCACCTCCCTGCCAACTAGATTTGTACAATCCCTTCTTTTCATGATCCTTTCTTCCCTTTAGCTTGCCTTCTGCTTTATATTCTTACCTACTAGATTTGTTCTTCATATCTGAAAGTTTTGGAAGGTGGCAGTATGTTTCAGTGGGAAGGAGGCTTTATCACCCAGCACCATAGGCAGGGAAGCTTGGGAGTCCGTTAGAGTTAATTACCATGACCAAGAATTCATAATTGCCCATTCCCTACCCTCTTCATTGTCTTGACCACACTTCCATCAGGCCTCTCTCCTCCCACAGGTTCCTGAACTCTGGCTTGTCCCCAGTCCTGGGCAAGCCCTAAAATGCAGAACATGCCTCTGTTGCAGCTTATCTTGAGAGTCCAGCTGTCCACTGCCAGACGTGTTTCCTGTCAATCCCCAGTGATCATGCCCTTGTGCTTGCCCAACATTAAAAGTTGCTGCTAAGACTTTTCTGTTGGATTTTGAAACTTTTGCACATTTTTCCCCATCTTTTAGAGATGGGATCTCACTTTTGTCACTCAGGCTCTGGTGTAGTGGCACCAACATAGCTCACTGGAGCCTCGACCTCCTGGGTTCAAGCACTCCTCCCACCTTAGCCCCTTGAGTAGCTGGGACTACAGGCGTCCACCAACCTACCCAGCTAATTTTTTATTTTTTTGTAGAATCTTTAATATATAGATTAACAATATAAAATGGAAAAAAAATTAACCAGTTCTATCATTGCCATTGGAACAGTCTCAGAATGCTGCTCTCACTATGTTGCCCAGGCTGGTCTTGAACTCCTGGCCTAAAGGGATCCTCCTGCCTCAGCCTCTCAAAGTGATGGGATTATGTGCATGAGCCACCACACCCAGCCCAGTCTTTCAGGTTTCTGAAATCAACATGTTCTCTCTATTGAAATAGTTCTACTGAATAAAGCCTCTCCTTACTTAAGTCTGGATTTGTTCTTATTTGGCAAGTAGTATGCTCCTATTACACGATTCTAAGATGACACAGCTCAGATCGTTTTTCATGTCAAAAACTATGTGTTGACCATTGTATTGGATTCCTTGTGTATGAAATATGCAGAGTAGGCAAATCTATAGAGACAGAAAGTAGATTAATGATTATAGGAGCCAGGGGGTGGGGAGGATTGGAAAGTGACTGTCAATAGTTACAGGGTTTCTTATGCGGCTGATTAAAACGTCCTAAACTTAGATTGTGGTGATGGTTGCAAAACCTTGTGACTACATTAAAAAGCATTGAATTGCACACTTTGAGTGGGTGAACTTTATGGTATGTAAGTTATATCTCAATAAAAAATTTTATAAACTGGTTTATTCCAATGGTAGACTGAAACAAAATGAAAGTGTAACATATTTTGAACTTCAATTGAATTATAAGGTCTTTTTTTACATGATAAAATAATGTGCATTATAGCCCAAATGTAATACATTATTCAATGATATATTTCCAAGAATGCTCCTTAGCTCAGTGAATGAGAGTTTGTACATCTCAACAAAGTTTTTCAAACATTACGGCTTAGCAAGAACACCAAATGAAAAACAGCAAGCAGAATTAATATAAAGATTAACAATATAGGCCAGGGGTGGTGGCTCAAGCCTGTAATCCCAGCACTTTGGGAGGCAGAGGTGGGCGGATCACTTGAGGTCAGGAATTTGAGACCACCCCGGCCAACATGGTGAAACCCTGTCTCTACTAAAAATACAAACGTTAGCCAGGCGTGGTGGCGTGTGCCTGTAATCCCAGCTACTTAGGAGGCTGAGGCACAAGAATTGCTTGAACCTGGAAGGCGGAGGTTGCAGTGACCTGAGATTGCGCCACCACACTCCAGCTTGGGCAACCGAGCGAGACTCCGTCACAAAGAAAAAAAAAGAAAAAAAGATTAACAATGTAAAATGGAAAAAAAAATTAACCAGGTGTATCATTACCACTGGAACAGTCTGAGAACTAATTATGAAGACTGATCTCAATTCTACTTTTTTAATTGAAGAAGAAAGTTTTCCCTTTCTTAGCCTCCTCGGCTTATCTTTTAGCAATTCAGAGTCAACAATGAGCTGAGATTGTGCCACTGCACTCTAGTCTGGGTGACAGAGTGAGACTCCATCTCAAAAGAAAAAAAAAAAAGAAAGAAAGAAAAGAAAAGCCACTGATATCTTTCATAAATAACCAAATATGGTGGATTACCAAACTGGCTTAGGTCTTAGTTGCATGTGTGTGTGTGTGTGTGTGTGTGTGTGGTTTTTTTAATTAAAGAGACAAGATCTTGCTATGTTGCCCAAACTGGCCTTGAACTCCTTGGCTCCAGCAATCCTTCCACCTCAGCCTCCCAAGTAGGTAAGACTACACGTGCATGCCACTGTGCTTTGCCTACGTCTCAGTTTTCAACAAAGCTCAATAAAAATGCCAGTAGAAATAAAATATTTCAGCTCTCAAGAAGTCTACAAGCTAAACATGGTCACAAGACAAATACAAATTTAAAAAGCAAGGTAAGATTTAAAAAGATGGCTGGATGTGGTAGCTCACACCTGTAATCCCAACACTTTGGGAGGCTGAGGTGGATGGATTGCTTGAGCTCAGGAGTTCACGACCAGCCTGGGCAACATGGTGAAACCCCATCTCTACAAAAAATACAAAATTAGCTGGGCCAGGTGGTATACATGCTTGTTGTCTCAGCTACTTGGGAGGCTGAGGTGGGAGGACTGCTTGAGCCCAGGAGGTTGAGGCTGCAGTGAGCTGAGATCACACCACTGCACTCCAGCCTGGGTGACAGAGTGAGATCCTGTTTCAAAAAAGAAAAAGAAAAAAGACTTAAAAAAATAACTTCTTCAAGCATTCATTTAACAATATTTGTTGAGCGTACTGTGTGTATCCTGGACCATGTTGGGGGCTGTAGGGAGCAAAAAAAATGGATCAGTCAGGATTCTTGCCCAAAAGGAGCAGGCCTCGGCACTGAGTTAAAGCAAGTGCAAAGTAACTTAGTTTACCAGCACTCGAAGTCTTACCTATGGCCAACAGTAAGTCTTCAAAATGCCCAGATAATTCTCCTTTTATGCTGTCCACAATGTCCTTTTGGCTGATATTTCTGTATTCATCAAATGCTAAAAAGAAGCACCACAAAATTATTTAAAGCAACGCAGTTGAGCACATTTGAATATATTCTAGTTTTTTATTTGATATGCAGAAGATCAAGTAGCAAGCTAAAAAACTCCCTCTTTAAACCATGAAAATCTGGGCACAGAAGTTTTTGTTTTTCTTTTGTTCCTTTTTAAGGAAATCATCTACAACAAAACCCAAACTCCCTAGATGATTTTCTTCAATGATCTCTCTTTCTCTTTCCCCTTCTCTCAAGCAGTAAGCATTTTAAATAGCCTAAATAGTTAAATAATAAATAATTTATCCAGTAAGTTGGGCTATTTTAAATTTTATTTATAGCAGCACCTGGGAAATGATACTATAATCACTAGTCAAATATGTTTTCTCTGGTAAAGAAATCTTAATTCTGAAGACTTCCTTGTGCTGAATCATTTCCTAAGGTGGCATGGCCTACTTCACACCTCCCAGAAGGCATTTGAATTTCTTGATCAGTATTTGCCCCAAGCAAAACCTGTACATATGTCACCAAGTATACAGGCATATTTTGTAAGCCAAGTATATTTTTCCCCAATACATTTTTAAAAAAAGAAATTTTGGAGAGAGACCTAGGGTTATCTGGTTTTTGTTTTTCAAACAAAGACATGAATAAAGCAACTATCACATACTGTTGTCATTATTTTATAAAATAAATGTGATTTTAATGCAAAAGTTAAGAAAGAACAATTTCAGAATTTCAAAGTCACAGTAATATCCTTATGTTTACTCATTGTTCCGTCAACTCAGCATAAGCTTGGTCTTGCTGTGTGGTTGTTCTGTAAACTAGCATCTGGAAGCCACAGTCAGAAGATGTTCACAGTAAATGAAGGTTTAGTTTTCTAGGTGTTGTTGCTTCCAGAACAGTTCTAGGAGATGCCATGAGCAAGAGGGCGGGTGCCCACAATTCCATGTAATAGCTGGTCTGACGATAAGAGTTGATCCATTCTACCACTTACCTTCATATCAGAAATAGCTAAAGGTTAATCAGTATTGATGTGTCAACAGAGACTCACCTGCAGTGTCTGGCTTTTCTGGAAGTGGCTAACTAGGGAGAACTGTTAGGTGGAGTGGAAGCAGTTGGGCTTCTCCATTCCACAGGAACAAGCCCTTCTACTCTCACCCTAGAGGGTGGCCTCTTTTCTTCTCCCTGCCACCTCCCTCCCCCATCTATTACCTGGTACTCACTAGGTAATCTACTCAGCCTCTATGGAAAAACAAAAGTGTAGTGTCAGTACTTCCTTGAGTTACAATACAGCTTTCCCATTTTGTTTCCTGAAGTGTGAATAACTGGAACAGACTTCGCAATTTTAAACTTCGTTTTTCTAGATCTTTGTATACTAAATGCAAAAACATTTGTAAAAACAACATACAACACAAAGGATTGTAATGTGAGTTTGTACTTAGTTTTAATTGAGGAAAGCTCCTTAAACACAGGATCTCAGTGAATTTGTCTTCATCCGTGCCCCATCTGTTCTCACCAGCTTTATAGAGAATCTATTCACAAGAGAATGATATTAGAGACACAATTATTTTCTTTTTGAGAGGTGACATGAGAAGAATCGGAGTTGTATTTCAGAGGTCAGTGCCATCATCTATTATCTAAATCTCTCACTTTCAGAAGACTAGAAATCAAAAATTGGGCTGTCAGGAGCCAAGGAGAATGATAACTACCACTGGGGCAGGCAAAAAGTTAGGGTTCCGATCCCCAAGCTTCAGGCTTCTCTTTCAAACAGGAAAAAAAAAAAAAGAAAAGTCCCTGTTGCTGCTATTTTTCTCCCTTTTCACATAAATGCAAAGGCAGCCACATAGGAGAATAGGTAAAGGAAATGTTTTCCCGCTTTGTTACTGACCTGGGCATCTTGTTTGGCCAGATGCTCATCCACTTTCAGACTTTCATCTCTTCTGCCCTAAACAGGAGGACGAAAACAAGGGCCATCCTTTAAAGATAGAAGATTCTAACACATAGTACTTCAACCAGCAGGGGATCTTAGTGGTTTTTCTTTAAGGCAGGACAGGTTGCACAGAAAAATCATGTACTCAGGGCTCCAGTTCTGGTTCTGCCATTGACTAGTCATGAAATTTTTAGCAAATCACACAATTTTGGGGGCCTCAGTTCCCTCCTCCGAAAATTCATATATATATATATTTAGAGACAGGTTCTCACTCTCTGTTGGCCAGGCCAGAGTGTAGTCCTGCAGTCATAGCTCACTATAACCTTGAACTCCAAGGCTCAAGCCATCTTCCCGCTTCAGCCTCCTGAATAGCTAATATGACTACAGGTGCACACCACCACACACAGCTAATTTAAAAATTTTTTTTAGAGATGGGATCTCGCTATGTTGCCCAGGCTGGTCTCAAACTCCTGGCCTCAAGCTGTCCTCCCACCTCAGCCTCCTGAATCTCTGGGAATACAAGTGTGGGCCACTGTGCCCAACCCAACACAGAGGTCTTATGTGGAAGAAAAGACAAGGTACAAACTGGGAGAACATATTTGTAACATGTATCTGATAAAGAACTTGTATCCAAAATACATAAAGAACTCTTAAAACTCAATATGAAAATAACAACCCAATTTAAAAATGGTTGAAAGATCTCAACAGACATCTCACCAAAGAAGACGCACAGATGGCACATGAAAAGATTCTCAACATTGTATGTCATTAGATAATTACAAATTAAAACAATAAGATGCCACTACACAACCTATTAGAAGGGCTTAAATCCAAAACACTGACAACACCAAATACTGGTGAGAATGTGGAGCAACAGGAACTCTCATTCACTGCTGATATGAAAGCAAAATGGTACAGTCACTTTGGAAGACAGTTCTGCAGTTTTTTAATAAAGCTAAATATCTCTTACTATATAATCAAGCAATTGCACCCCTCGCTATTTAACTAAAGGAGTTGAAAACATGTCCATACAAAAATCTGCACATGAATGTTTACAGAAGTTTTATTTATAATTGCCAAACTTGGAAGCAAAGAAGATGCCTTTCAGCAGGTAAAATAAATATTCTATACAATGGAATACTACTCAGTACTAAAAAGAAATGAGCTATCAAGCCATGAAAAGACATAGAGGAACCTTAAAGGCATATAGCTAAGTGAAAGAAGCCAGCCTGCCTGAAATGGCTACGTACTGTATGATTCCAACTATAGGACATTCTAGAGATGGCAAAACTATAGAGACAGTAAGAAGATCAGTAGTTGGTGGGGAGGAAGGTATGAACTGGCAGAGCACAGAGGATTTTTAGGACAGTGAAACTACTCTATCATACTGTAATGATAGACATATGACATTATACATTTATTAAAATCCATAGAACTATATCACAGAAAGAGTGAACCCTAATGTAAACTATAAACTTCAGTTAATAATAATGTATCAATATTCATTCACCAATTATAATAAATACACATACTAATTAATGCAAGAGTGAGACCTTCTCTCGCTCTAAAAAAAAAAAAAAAAAAAAAAAAAATTAGCTGAATGTGGTGGTGTACACCTGTGGTCCCAGTTACTCAGGAGGCTGAAGTGGGAGGTCTGCTTGGGCCCAGGAGGTCGAGACTACAGTGAGCTAAGATCACACCATAGTTCTCAAGCCTGGGCAACAGAGCCAGATCCTGTCTCAAAATAATAATAATAATAATAATAATAATGGAAAGGAAAGGAGAGAGTAGAATAGGGTCATATGGGAGCTCTCTGTACTTTCTGCTCAATTTTTCCATAAATCTGAAGCTGCTCTAAAAAGTAAAGTTTATTTAAAAAAAAAAAAAACTCAAAGGCGGGGCGCAGTGGCTCACGCCTGTAATCCCAGCACTTTGGGAGGCTGAGGCGGGTGGATTGATTGAGGTCAGGAGTTTGAGACCATCCTAGCCAACATGATGAAACCCTGTCTCTACTAAAATACAAAAATTAGCCGGGTGTGGTGGCGTGTGCCTGTAATCCCAGCTGCTAGGGAGGCTGAGGCAGGAGAATTGCTTGAACCTGGGAGGCAGAGGTTGCAGTGAGCCGAGATCGCACCACAGCACTCCAGTCTGGATGACAGAGTGAGACTCTGTCTCAAAAAAGAAAAAATAAAAAGTCCTCAAAGATCCCCAACTGTGATATTAAAGGCTCTATGGTTTAAGTGGTGTGTGTGTGTGTGTGTGTGTGTGTGTGTGTGTGTGTGGTATGTGTGTTCATGTACAAATACTTAAGCACATTATGGAAAGACAGGAGACAAAACCAAAACACGGGATTGCCTGAATTATTTGGCAAATTATAGGTGAATGAAACATTTAGCTACAATAGTTTAAAATGAATTTGTTCCTATTTTTAAACATTAGGTCCTTGTATGACTGTCTGATTTTTGCCTGGTTTCTTTTCTGTGCTGCTGATACCCTGCTGCTGTTTGCTTTCTTCTTGTTCTCTTTCACTTACGCTCGCTCCAATGACATAAATGCTGATTATCATCGGTCTTAATATAATACTAACCACTACCACCCTGTGTTGATCACTAAGTACTTCACATACTCTCTCTTTCTCTTAATCTTCATAACACCCTATGAGTACTTGTTATTGTTAGTATTTTAGTTTTACAGATATGAAAATGAATGCTTTAAGACTTAAAGAACTTGTCCAAATATACAAAGCTAGTTGGCAGCATGAGATTCCAGCCCTGTTTGATTCTAGAACCCTGTCCTAGAGCCCTACTCTATACTGCCTCCTGTGGGTGGGTGCATTCATGTCCATACACAAACAGATGTGCACTTAGGAATATATACCTCTGAGAGCATATGTTTGCAGCAATGCTTCATAAATTTGGTGTTGTGGGTTCAACCTTCATAAGTTTTTCACATTTAAAGTAACTGAAACCATAATTTAGATAAATCGCTTCCTAATGGCATAATGCCTCACTTTGACAGGTGCTGTTTCAACCATGAGGCTGAGACCGTTGTTGGGATTTTCTCACATTTAGGTGCTATGTAAATCAGCTGAAAGAAAATTGGTGAGCTATGGTTTAAATCACGTTCTCTCTTACACACAGCTGTGAATACACCTCATCCTTGACCTTACCATCTTTATAATAAAAGTCATAAGCCTTCTAAAAAGAGAAAGCAAGGTGTGGCCTCATTAGGTCACATGATGATTAATAGTTTGGCAGCTTTTCCAAGGTGGCAAGGCTGAAATTGCAGCAATCATTTTCTTTTTTTTAATCCTGAGACTGATACTCAATTTAATTCCCATCTCTAAAGATCATTCTTCTGTATCATGCTTCCTATTTAATTTAGAAGCTAACAAAAGAAATATTTATTCTTCAGAGTCCAGAAGAAAATAAACCTGTTCTTTAAAATGGAGACACTTATAATGGAAATAAATATTGTATGTCAGATGATGTATCAGAATGTCTTCTAATGTCAAAATTGTGAAACCTGACCAAAACACCTCCACTTACTGACTCAAATAAGTTTTCTTTGTTGTTACATCATTATGTATGCTTTTATGATCTTGGTTAAACATTATATTGCTTGGTGGCAATGAAAATGTAAAATGAACAAACCATTTCATAAGGAAAATTGTGAACTCATTGTCTCAGTTTGGTTATTTTTAAACTCCCTAAAAATTGTTATTGAGCATGCAGCTTACTGGGGAGTTAAAAAATAAAAAATAAAACCTTACATCTGCCAAAGTCAACAGAGCTTTCCGGAAGTCACCAGATGTTTCGGAACTAATGTCATCTCCAAGACTCTTCTTGTATACTGAAACCAAATCAGAATGAAATTAAGCCTTGACAAACTGAAAAATATGATTATAAAACAGAGAAAAGTTTAAATGCCAACACTAGCAAAGAATGGGTATGTGATAAGATAAATCTTGCCCTTTTATTTAATTTCTTCATGCTTTTCTGTTGTGAGATGGTACATTCTTCTTGTAACTCTTACTGCACTGTGTTGTGGTAGATGCAAAAGAATAGAAAGAGTTGTCATTCTGGAGCAAATCTTGGTTTATTTCATCTGACAATGGCACTAAGGGATGCATAGTGGAAAAGCTGGGGTGGATGAGCTACTAGTGTGCCTTTCAATTTCCATTCTGGCCATCTTCCATACTAAGAGAACCCTAACCTTAAGCAAGATATAATGTACACAGCTTAAAAACTACTTTCTCAGCTTTCCTCTTAGCTAGTACAGTTCTATAACTTAGTTATTCACAATGAAATGAAGGCAGACAAATCTCCTTAAAGGGATGAGGCCATGTTCATCTTAGTCCTTCCTCCATCCAACTGCCTTACATGTGAACTGATATCTGCATCTTGGGCAGCCATCTTGGACTGTGAAGATAAGGACCACTTCTTAGTGATGGCATAAAAGTAATCAAGAAGAAGTCTGAGTTCCTAAAAGCTTTGAGTAGCTGTCATACTAGACTTAGAATTGCCAATGTCTAGACTTCTACATATGATAGAAATAAACTTCTACCTTTTGTAAGCCACTGTAATTTTTCTGTTTTATCGAATCTAACCCTAATCTTAATGAATATAATTAAACCATATTTTTTCGTATCTCCCAAAAGTAAGAAAGCTACCCAAAACATGCCATTTCCCTTTACAAATGCCAACTGTGTGTTCATATATTTTAGTACTGACTAGTTGTAGCCCCTTTTGCATGGCCTGTGATGTGCAGTGCCCATCAGTCTTAAATCTCTGTCTGCCCCATCCATGGGGTGGTGATTCTCTTGGAGCCACTATACCCTTTGTTGTAGGTGACACCATGTGGCTATCTGAACTGTCTGCACCATTCTCAAGAATTCTATAAATTAGCCATACTAGCCATGAGAATTCTCATCTATTTAAATCAATGAAAGACAATTATAGAAAGTGATATGAGATTATCCAATAGCAAGAACTGCGCTGAGATGGAAACTTCTTCAGCATGATTTTAGTAAGTCTCTTTTTTATGAAATCTGTAACTTTTCAAAGCAATTCATATAAGCAAAATCCACCAAAAAAGTGTGTTATTTTTCTAAATAATAATATTTAGTAGGCATCATTAAACCTAATGGTTGTGATATTGTTACATCTATCCTTCATTCTAGTTAGATAAAAAACTTTAAATTTGAAAATATCAAGTAGAAGAATGAATATCCCATTTCTTAGAACTTGGGGAAGTATTTTGTAATTTTGGAATTATTTAGATGAGACTTTATAAGTCATTTCACACAGCCTCTCCCTTTCCTTCAAATATTTTGTGGGATATTAGAGTAAAAAATTATTTCAACCTAAGTTGACAACTACTTTATCCATTTTGAGGCACAGTAGAGTATAAAATCAAATAGAATATTTTAATAGTACAGGTGCCTGGACTAGAACTTTGAGTCCCTGATCCCTGTTTCAGTGTTCTCTCTCTCACACACCATTGACTTTAGAATACCGAAAAAAGTTAAGAATTTAGATCTCTCTTTATTTAGACTCTATTGTGCCACTGTACTGAATAAGCTGTAGAAGACATCTGGTCCCTTTATGAGGGCCAACATGATAGTGACTTCCTGAACCCATTGTATCTTCTCTCTTAGGGAGCGAGTGACACAGAAAAGGAGACAAAGACAATAGAATAACAAAGAACCAAAAGACTCCTGGAAATAATGAAGAAAACAGTAGCCAAGAATAACCAAAAGCTATGCACAAATATTTATAAGCCTTGGGTAGACAAACACCATGTGGTAGGGGAGGGGATGTTACTTGCTGGTGTCAAGAACATTAGAAGCAAAAAGGAAGAGGAGCAGTTACTGTCACGGAAAACATTAGCATGGGGAGCAATGGATGCCTGCTGCCGAGAGAGTGACAACATAACTGGGTCCCTCGGGTAGTGCTGTGACTTTAATCTCTGTAAAGTTTGGCTATGCATGATTGAGACAATTTCCTTCTTGATCTTCTTGTGTATCATTAATCTCTAGTAACCAAGGTAACCTTGATGCAGTTGTATCCTTTGTAGCCTCAGAGAGCATTACTCACATAGAAATTGAGGCTCTGGTAACTTTGTGCTATTATCATCTGTCATATCTGCACAACACTATCCTGAATGGTAAAAGTTTCACTTGGCTCTTAAGACCTTAACCTCAATTTTGAGGACACTCATTTAATAAATATTTGCACTTATCTGCCCCACTGTTCTTAGAACTGAGGATACAGCAGTGAACAACATAGACGAAAATCCTCATCCTCATAAAGCTCACATCCTGGAACTGTTTGTACCTAAATGCTGGGCTCCAGGGATCTGTCACAGGGCAGGTCCACTTGGGGAGCAGTGGCTCTTCTAAGAAACACCAGAAAATACCAAGCCAACTTGGGAAACAGTGCCTGGTTCTGATGGGTTTTGTAAAATATGTAAACCTTGTTGAACTGAAATATTTTAAACACCTAAAACATACTCTTTTGTGCATTAATGATTAAGCAATTCTCTTGTCTACTTCTGTCTGTACCCGCTCCCTATTAGGTTCCACCAGTACTGGGGAGTAGAGGGGACTGGAAGGCAGGAGGTGGAAAGAAGTGCAAGCTATCTGACGGCTAGTCATGTCAGTGTCAACCCAGGGAAGGCTGTTCACCCCGACAGCAGCAACTGGCTCCAGCTTCCTAGAAAAAGTCACTTTGACCCCCGTGTAGGTACTGGCTCCAGTACCTACAGATGGAGCCCTCTTTTCAGAGATCTGAACTCCTGCTCCTTAAGCCTCTGCTCTGAGCCCCTGAGGTCCCGACATCAGCCAGGTATGTCCCTCATTCTAGCTTCCAGTTTCTGATAGCCTCAACCTCTTTCCTTTGTTGTCTCAGGTCTGGGGGGTTATAACCTGCATGAATCCTTTTGTTCCCTTTTTGCTTTTTCAGTCCTCTGAAAGGTGTTTAGCAATTCTTCTTTTTTTTCCAAGACAAGGTCTCACTCTGTCACGCAGGCTGGAGTGCAGTGGCATGATCAAGGCTTACTGTGGCCTCAATCTCTTAGACTCAAGTGATCCTCCCACTTGAGCCTCCTGAGGAGCTGGGACTGTAGGCGTGCACCACCACACCTGGCCAATTTTTGGTATTTTTTATAGAGACGGGGTTTTGTCATGTTGCCTGGGCTGGTCTTAAACTCCTTGGCTCACGCAATCTGCCCACCTCAGCCTCCCAAAATGCCAGGATTACAGGCATGAGCCACTGTGCCCAGCTTAAGCAATTCTTTTGAGATGGAATCTCATTCTGTTGCCCAGGCTGGAGTGCAGTGGCACCATCTCGGCTCACTGTAACCTCTGCCTCCTGGGTTCAAGCAATTCTCCTGCCTCAGCCTCCTGAGTAGCTGGGACTACAGGTGCACGCCACCATGACCATCTAACTTTTTTTGTATTTTTTAGTAGAGATGGGATTTCACCATATTGGCCAGGCTGGTCTCGAACTCCTGACCTTGTGATCCGCTGACCTCAGCCTCCCCAAGTGCTGTGATTACAGGCGTGAGTCACCGCACCCGGCCCTTTAAGCAGTTCTTTATATTACATTCTATCTGTCAAAATACCTAGTGCTGTTTCTGTTTTTCTGATTAGAACCCAATTGGTACATCAATAACAAAACAGTCACCTGACATTGAGGTATTTACCTTCTAACAAGAATCTCCCAAAGCATCCTCTTTAACACCTACATGAGGACCAATATGTACTCCTTCTTTGGACCTCTCCCACTGCAAAAGCTGCTATGACACAACTGACCTCTGTGAGACACAAACAGAGAAACTGTGGCTCCCTTAAAGTACTTGGAGAGGGTTCTATGGGGCCATTGAATAGTAGAGAATTGGGCTGGTCTTATTCCTGATTCCTGGGAGGTAAACTCTAAATCCTTTGGATTTCCCAAGTCATAGGTGTGTCCTTGTTATTCATGGTTGGTCTCTTGGACTACAGCTCAGTTATGCTAACAATATGACCCAGAATAAAGGCTGGTCACATCAGAAAGATCAACCATATGATTAAAAGGTTGAGGCTTTGAGCCACAATATCAGCCTGACCTCTGGGGAGTGTAGGTGGACTGGTTCAATCACATGAACAATGGTTCAACCAATCATGCTTATATAACGAAACCCCAATAAAAACTAAGGCTACCAATAATCAAGTGAGCTTGCTGGTTGGTAATGATATATCAATGGTCAGGAGAGTGGAAGCTTCCACTGGACCCTTCCAAATATCTCCATATGCAGTCTCCACATTTGATTGGCCCTGATTTGTTTCCTTTATGATAATATCGCATTTGTGAACACAGCACTTTCTTGAGTTCTGTGTCATTCTAGTGTGCTATTCAACCTGAGAGGGTAGTGAGAACCCTGAATTTGTAGCCAGCTGGTTAAAAGCACGTGTAGCCTGAAAACACCTGAGCTTGTGGGCTGGTGTCTGAGGTGAAGGTAGTCTTGTGGGGACTGTGACCTTAACCTGTGAAGTCACACTAACCCTGGGTAGTTACAGTCAGAATTACATTTCAGAGTCTTTCTAATTTTACACAGCCAGCAGACTATTAGGTCTTTAGCTACTTCTATTGAATCCTTATGCTCAACACATCCTCTAAATTAATCTAATTTCCCACACCCAAAATCGTGGATCTAATCTGAGTGATTTCTAACGCCTAAAAATAAAATACGATTTGAGTCTCTTACATTGATGACAATGGTTAATTCAATTAATGAGAGATTGCCGAGAGCAAAATCCACTGCAGCTGTAATATTATAAATGTAAAGCATTAATGCTATTGTTATGTAGCAGTCTCTAGCTCAGATCATATTCCAATTTTTCCTGGAAACTCATAGTCTTTAGCTGATTTTAGAATGTATTCTCGTTTCTGTAAGTCTTGTCTTCTCAAAATGCCTCATGAAGAGATTGAGAGGATTCTAGGAAAAGCAACATTGGCTCAAATATGTGTGAACAGTGGTGAAGGTAAGCAGAAAATAAGACACCTGTATAATAGGCTTGAGAGATATCCTTCATTTGCCTGCTTGTCCTGGTAGTTAAGATTTCAATCAAGGCATCTTCGTTTGTTCCCGCGCCCTAAAAAGGAAAAGAAAATCTAATTTTTAGAACACTTAAATAACTTAATCTCATGCCTTTTGGTCTTATTATCTTGTTTATATAGATGAAAGGACACTTTTAAGTAAATCAATACAAGGTTCTCTATTGCTCTCGTTTTCTATTTTTCCATATATTTTAGTAATAACATAAATCATCTGGAATAAAGTGACAGCAAATTTTTCACTCTAGTGTGAAAATCAATTGAATAATTCTGGAAAGAAATAGTATAAAAGAAAAAGCCTGTGTCATTCAAGATTAGAAGTGACAGTCTAACAGGATTAACCCTACCAACATTCAAACATTCCACTATGTTTAGAAAAGGCTCTATAATACTTTTGAATGATTTCATCCTTGCATCACTGTACTGGGTCTATCAGCATGTATCATTCTCTTCATACAGGGAGCCTTTCAAATCCTCAGTAATGTGCATCATGGGCCTGGCTGGCATGGGGACTAATTACCTCTCAGTCCTGTTTATATCAAGGTCACTGAATCACACTGTGACTCCAAGAAAAGTCATATACACTACGACTTGATTGAATAAGGCCAGTGCAGCATATGAACAGAGACTGAATTCTGTCTCTCTGTAGCAGAGATTCCTAGTTTACCACAGTATCTCTTTTGTCTTTCTTGCTTAGTAATGGAACCCCCAACTTTTAACTTGGTACATTGCTACCCATATAAAGGCTATGTTTCTCAGCTTCTTTTACAGTGAAATATGTCCAGAAACTAAACTCTGACCAATGGGATATATGCAGAAGTACCATATGTATGCTCAGGGAGTATCCTTAGAGTGAGGGAGTGAACCCTTCTTTGTCCTTTACTCTTTTGAGTTGCCTGGAATGAAGACATAATGGCTGAGTCATGAGCCTTCTTTAGCCAGGAAGTGAAAACCATGAGTTAAAGACGGCAGAGCCTCAAGATAGAAGGAGACTGAGTCTCTGATAATGGTGGTGCCACCACAGCCTGGATTTCTTTTATGTAAAAGAGAAACTGTTCTAATACTTATTGGTGAATCTAATCCTTACAATTACACCTGCTAAACCCTCCCCTTTGGGTAGCCATAGAGAAACAATGCTCAGATTTCACTTCAAGAGAATCAGCTGCAAAGAACGCAGTTAGCTAACAGCCTCCAACTGCCACACCTTTGGGTCTACCAAAGTTCACACTGAGGTCATGCCCTCTCCAGGTGGCTGTCAGTCAATGACTGTAAACAACAGGGGTACTGGACTTGCGCCCAACACAGAACTCCTCCAAAGGGCAGTCTTTGCTCAGGGGCTCCCCAACAGCCTACCAAGGTTTTCTCGGAGCTTCACTATGCACTGAGGCTCTTCCTAATCTCAGCCTACTTCCTCTCCTCTCTCCTCTCATAGGGGTCAGGCCACCACTGCAGTCTGAAGGTTCACCCCACCTACCCTGCTCTTCGCCTCTTTATCCTTCACAGGTGTTTCTCAAAATAAATCTCCTGTACATCAAATTCCATCTTGCCATCTGCTTCTCAGATGCCCATATGTCCTCCACAGAAAAGAAGATAACTCCATTCCCTGATGGCAAGGCAGAATATGGCTTATGCCTCAGATCTAGGCTCCCTTCTTTTTCCTCCTTCCTATTAATTAATACATTGAGCACCCACTTCATTTCAGGAGTTGCTCTAGGAACAGAAGATATAGGCCAAGACCAATGAGGTTCCCTGCCATGGTGGAGGTTTGCCTTTTAGTTAGATGAAAAAAGATAATAAACAAATGGATTTTAAAAATAGAAAAGGCCAGGTGCAGTGGCTTACACCTGTAATTCCAGTACTTTGAGAGGCCGAGGCAGGAGGATTGCTTGACTCAGGAGTTTGAGACCAGTCTGGGTGACATAGCAAGACCCTGTCTCTACAAAAAAAAAAAATTTTAATTAGCCAGGTGTGGTGGTGTGTGCCTGCAGTCCCAGCTGCTCAGGAGGCTGAAGTTGGAGGCTTGCCAGGGAGGTTGAGGCTGCAGTGAGCCATAATTGCACCACTTTACTAGAGCCTGGGCAATGAAGCGAGACCTTGTCTCAAAAACAAATAAATAGACAAGATACTTTTAGACAGTAATAAGTGCAGTTAAGAAAATATATTTGAGTGAATTAATGGAAAATGTCTGGAGGAAAAGCATTCCAGATGGAAGAAACATCATGTATAAAGATCTCAAAACAAGAATAAGCTTATGATGTTCAAGGAGCAGAGAAAAGGCCAGTGTAGCTACATCATTAATGGGTGAGCAGGAGGGGGTATGACGGTCAGTTTTATGTGCCAACTTGGCCAGGCTATAATGCCACTTATTCAATCAAACACTAATCTAGGTGTTGCTGTGAAGGTATTTTGTAGATATAATTTCAGTTTATTATCGATTCACTTTAAGTAAGGGAGATTACCTTTCTCGGCAGACCTGATCCAATCAGTTGAAACGCCTTAAGACCAGAGGCAAGGCTTCTGTTTAGAAGATTCTTTCTGTGGACAGCAGCTTCAGCTTGTGCCCAAGAGTTCCAGCCTGCCTTTCCTGACAGCCTGCTCTACAGATTTTGAACTTGCCTAACCAGTCCCATAATCATGTAACCAATTCTTCTTTCTTCTTCTTCTTCTTCTTTTTTTTTTTTTTTCTGAGACAGCATCCCAGGCTGGAGTGCAGTGGCACGGTCATGGCTCATTGTAGCCTAGACCTGCTGGGCTTAAGTGATTCTCCCACCTCAGCCTCCCAAATAGCTGGGACTACAGGCATGAGCCACCATGCCTGGCTAATTTTTAAAAATTTTTTGTAGAGACAAGTTCTCACTATGTTGCTCAGTTTGAGGCTGGTTTTGAACTCCTGAGCCCAAGCAATCCTCCCACCATGGCCTCCAATTCTTTCCAATAAATTTTTGTTGTTGTTGTTTTGAGACAGGGTCTCACTGTCACCCAGACTGAAGTGCAGTGGCACAATCACAGCTCACTGCAGCCTTGACCTTCTGGGCTCAGGTGATCCTCCCACCACAGCCTCCCAAGTAGCTGGGACTACAGGAATGCACTACTATGCACAGCTAATTTTTTTTTTATTTTTTGTAGAGACAGGGTTTCTCCAAGTTGCCCAGGCTGATTTCAAACTCCTGAGCTCAAGCAATCTACCTACCTTGGCCTCCCAAAGTATTGGGATTACAGGCAAGAGCCACAGCACCTGGCCTTACAATAAATCTTTTAAAGTCTATGTCCTGCCTATTGGTTCTGCTTCTCTGAGGGAACCCTGACTGATATAAATAGAATTTTAAAAAGCCACAGAGTTAGACAGGAGCTGCACTATGTTGGGTGATGAAAGTCATGATAAGAAGCTTGGATTTTAAGCGTACAAAGCCATTGGAAATTTATGCAGGTAAGTAGCATAATCTGATTTTTAAAATAAATTAATAAAAATAATTTTGGCTATTCTGTGTAGAATGAATTTGAGATGGGCAAAAATGGAGGCAAAGGGACCAGTTAGAAGCCTATTGATATGGACCAGTCAAGAGATGATGGTGGTCAGACTAGAACAGTAGCAATGGATTTTGAGAGAAGTGCACATATTTATAATGGATTTTGAAGTAAAACTAAGGAACTTGCTGATAGATTTGGGAGCTTGGAAGGGTAAGAGAAAACAAGGGCTCAAGGATAATGCTAGGTTTTTAGCTTGAGTGTTGGGGTTAATCATAGTGCTATTTACTTTCAACGATGACAAATTAGAGAACTTGACTCTTCATGTCAAACAAAGGATATGACAAAATTCTTCCAGCCCAGGAACATTTGGGCTTAAGGTTCTATAGCTGTTGCCTATTTCAGAGTCATTCTACCACTGGGAGAGTCCAGACCAAAAGGGCATCCAAGTCCACCCATCACAAGTGTGCACTGCAAGAAAGTCACTATTTTTGATGACTTGGTCAAACCCTGGGCAGAAATGGCTTGTGGGGGGCTCATACCTTCATGGATTTCTTTAGCTGCTTTGCATCAAAGACTGCTGGTGGAGTCACTAGGGCCACCATGAGATGCTCAAAGTGGCCAGAGAGATCACCCTTCAAGTCATCTTTCAGCTCCTAAAATCAAAAAACCAAGGGGAAAAATGTGAAATACTTTTTTTCTCTTTCTCTAAAGTCACCTAGTGAAAGATGAACATATGTATCAAAATCAGACAAAACATGTCCATCCACAGGGAATAAACAGAAGTGTTGAAAATATTTCTATGAATATTAATCTGCATTTTCTAATTACTCCCAAATTGTTCTGTTTTGTAGAGGTTTTTTGAAGGAGAGCCAAATGGGAGGATTCCATGAGTGCCACAGTTAGGAACTGTATTCAAATGCATTTCCTAGATCCGCCATGCTTTCAATGCTTAGATTGGGGTAAGGGAAGAGGAAGAGGAACCCTTATAAATTCACGCCCAGCTTCAGTGGGAGGTGCTCTCTTCCTCGGTGTCTTGCCTCTCAGTAACTCCCAAAGAGCTCCAAGAGGAAGGGGAAGGGAGGACAGTGGCTGGTCATTTGTCTCTGGTGAGAATGTGGAACTAGGTGGCATCAGAAGCAATTTTCTGGCAACAAGTAAAGAAAAGAAAACCCTAAGTGTGGCAATACATTAGACTTATTTTTTCTGACAAATAATAATTGTACTTATTCATAAGGTACATAGTGATGTTTCAATACATATAATGTATGGTAATCAGATCAGGGTAATTGCATACCCATCATCTCAAACATGTAACATTTTTTTGTTTTAGGAATATTCAATATCCTCCTTCTAGCTATTTGAAACTATATTATTGTTAACTATAGTTATCCTACAGGGCGATGGAACACTAGAATTTAGCCTCTTACAGACATTACCTATTGATATTGTTTTGAGCACTGTTTTCACACCTAAGTACAGTCCATCTCCCCTGCTTAAAGGGGGGTAACAGGGTTTCTATTTTCAATATTCAATGGCATAATACTGAATAATGTTTGTTCCTGCTCCTGATTATTTTCAGCTCTGAAATAGAGGCTGGTAGCCTCTGAGCCTGCTGAAACGCTGTGGGCACAGATTGACACAACCACACTCCTGGGGGGTGCAGCAGTGGCATGTTCCTGCTGAAACAAATGGGGTGGCATTCAGTGTTATCAACTCTGCTTTAATTGCCACAGTGTTTTTTTCCTCTCTAAATGGTAAATTTCACTACCATCTGTCCTCAATCCAAGCCACTGCAGCTGAATCTTATTTCACAGCTCTCATCCTATTCCACTGTGAGAAATGGTTGTTCCCCTCCACCTCCATCTTTCTTCCATATTTTGGAAATACCAAA
This sequence comes from Homo sapiens, assembly GCF_000001405.40. NCBI lineage: Eukaryota > Metazoa > Chordata > Mammalia > Primates > Hominidae > Homo > Homo sapiens. The sequence goes on along the minus strand of NC_000004.12, from coordinate 78,580,938 downwards.
AGGCCAATAGATCATTCACCTTCTCTGTATGTGAAAGTGTTGTCTTGCCCTGAAGCTAGGCAATTCACTCAATTCAACAAATGTTTTCTGGGCACCTGCTCTGTGCTAGTCCTTTAAAGGTAAGTTAGACAAAGTCCTTATCCTAAGGCATTCTGCCCTCATGGGAAAAACAGAAATATTCAAAGATAAAATTTCAATATAATATGTTATCTGATAAAGGGAGCTCAGAGAAGGGTGTCTTAATGGAGCCTGGGGGCCTGGAGAACACTCCCAGGAGGTAATTCCTGAGGTGCCTGTGGATGGTCACTAGACCCTCTCAACAGTTGGCCGGGTCTGTTTGTACCTTTTCCCCCCACAGTTCATTATCTACAGCAGCCAAAATAATCCTTTAAAAATAAAAACTGCAGTATATTATTCCTCTGCTTACAAACCTCCAGTGGTTCCCTGTAGCCCTTAGAATAAAATCTAAACCCTACCAAGACCCAAGGCTTAGCATGTTCTCAACCTGTCTCCAGCCTCATCTCTTTCTTCTGCCCCCTTCACTTTCTACATTCCTGCCATATTGGAATTCTTTATTTCTCACATATTCCCAGTTTCTTTTTGCTTCAGGGCTTTTATATTTTCTGTACCTTAAATACTATCTCCTGATCAAGCAGGGCAGAACCCCTAGTATTGTTTAGGCTTAGTGGGGAGTGAGGTAACAACCCCTCACTGACATTCCTTCATCACTCTATCTGCAGGAGCCAGTCACCAGTCACTGTCTATCATATCAACCATTTTAATTCTTTCATATCACTTATCATATCTGAATTATTTTTATTTACTTGTTTATTATATTCTAATAGAATGTTAGCTCCATGAAAGAAGGCAGGATGTGCTTTTTATACCAGTCTATTTCCAATGTCTAGGATATCTCCTAACACAGATTAGTACTCAGAAATAGACATTGGACAAATAAACTGTATAGCAAAGACCAAGTCTTACTTTTACTTTTTCCTTTTTATTTTGTTTTTTGAGACGGAGTCTTGCTCTGTTTCCAGGCTGGATCAATCTCGGCTCACTGAAGACTCCGCCTCCCGGGTTCAAGCAATTCTCCTGCCTCAGCCCTCAGCCTCCCGAGTAGCTGAGATTACAGGCATGTGCCATCACACCAGGCTAATTTCAGTATTTTTAGTAGAAATGGGGTTACACCATGTTGGCCAGGCTGGTCTCAAACTCCTGATCTCAGGTGATCCACCCGCCTCAGCCTCCCAAAGTTACTTGTTCTTATATAGTTTCTGGTAATTACTAAATTTTCTTTGCTGAATGAATTAAACCTATAACTACATAAATATTTTAAAATTAAAAGAGAAATAAAAGGTTACCTAAGACAGAATTAGTCAGATAGTTTCCTTAGTAATTCTTTGTTGTGGAGGGCTGCCTTGCGCATTCTCAGATGCTTGTAGCATCCCTGACCTATGCCTACTACATGCTAGAAGTACTCCCCACCATCCTGTTTGTGATCATCAGAATGTCTCCATTCATCCCAAATGTCCCCTGGGGAGCAAAATCACTTCTGGTTTAGAACCCACTGGGCTAAGGCAAACCTTATCCTACAGGTGAAGAAACTGAGGCCCAGAAAGACCAAGTAACATGCCCAAAGCCAGTCAGCTAGTTCAAGGCAAAACCACGACTCAGATTCCAGGCTCCTGACTGGATGCACAGGGCATCTTCTGTTACACTCAGCCTGAAACAGAAGACTGTGGGCATAACCATGTGGGAGCGACCATGGTACATTAATGATCTCTTTACTGCCTGTCATGTTAATGTGACCTTACCTTTCCATATGCTGCTTGATATTCCTTAACAATCAGCTGCCGCTGTGCATTTGACCTCTCAGTCAGAATGCTGATGAGCATTTTCTCATCAGTTCCTAAATGAAACAAAAGTTATTTTACTCAATATTTATGCTCAACATTTGTCTTGAACAAAAGCAAAATGATCAATGGCCTGAGACAAATGCAGAGAGTAAGGCATTTTAATTTCTAGCATCTTATCTGGTTGGAATTTTATTTATTTATTTATTTATTTATTTATTTATTTATTTTGTTTGCCTGAGTTTTGGAAAAAAAAAGTTAACTTTATTTGGATAGTTTTGGGGGGAAGGAAACAATCATTGTCTAAATACTCCTTTCTGTACATCAGACAAAACAACCTACTACTTTTGAACTTGACTTTTTTACCTTTATGAGGTTTGGTTACTGTCTTATTGCCTTTTATCTCTCTCCCATACTTGATATCAAAATATTTCTTCCTCTGGAAAACAGGAACCAACACTTATTGAAAATCTGCCCTGCATGAAACACCCTTTTATTCATTGCCATAGTTAATATTCACAGGGGCCCGCTGTACTAAAGATGAAGACACGAACTTATCTTCCTTGCCAAAGTCACACAACTGCTGAGTGGTCCAGCAAGAAGTTGAACCCAAATCTCTGACCCCAAAACATATATTTCTATCTTTGGTCCACATCTCTCTCATGCATTTCTTCCACATCTCTCTCTCCCTCCCTCCCTCCCTTCCTTCTTTCCTCCCTCTCTCCCTCCTTCCCTCCCTCCCTCCCTCCCTTTCTCTCTCTCTCTCTCTCTCTCTCTCTCTCTCGCTCTCTCTCTCCCCTTCGCCCTTTCTCTCTCTCTCGTTGCCCAGGCTGCAGTGCAATGGCACGATCTCGGCTCACTGCAACCACCACCTCCCGGGTTCAAGCGATTCTCCTGCCTCAGTCTCCCAAGTAGCTGGGATTACAGGCATGTGCAATCATGCCCAGCTAATTTTTTTTTTAATTTAGTAGAGATGGGGTTTCACCATGTTGATCAGGCTGGTCTCGAACTCCTGACCTCAGGTGATCCACCCGCCTCAGCCTTCCAAAGTGCCGGGATTTCAGGGGTAAGCCACCGTACCCGGCCTCTCTCATAAATTTCAAACCCATATACAAAATGAATTGTTTGTAAGCAAAAGGTAACATCAGGCCAGAGCTGATGCTGGCCTGCCTAAGAATGACCTCAAGGTCATTCTTATCTTGGTGACTACAGTAGTAAGAAAAACGTGGAAAGTTGTGTCTAATTAATTTCCCAACCCACGATGATACCTGGTTTGGGAAGCTGTGAATTGGCTTGCAGGCCTAGAGCATGCATGACTAGAGAGGTATAAAAGAGCACCTGGAACTCAATGCTCAACTTCTTTGTGTCAAGGTGACCCTCACAGACCTCATCTACACACTTCCGTGGCAGTGGTACACAGCTTACATCAATGATGAAGCAAAAGCTTCTGTGTACTTGGTTAGCTGCTGGGCCTCCCAATGAAAGATGCTGCCTTTCTGTGTCTTTGGTTTTGTATTCTTACACATAGTTAAATAAATACCGAATCAGATTAAAGTGTATTTGTGCTCTGTGGGTCTGAGCACCAATTTGGTGCTGTGTATTGTACCCAGCATCTGTGTCAGTACACTACCGGCCACCACAACTGCACAAGTATCTGAAACTCAGCACATTCTGGGTGGAATTTATTGTATTTCCTCTCTGACTTGTCTTTCTTTTTATGTTCCCTCATCCACAACTATGGATATAGTCATCCAGGCAAAAACCCTGGGAATCATCTCAGATTCCTTTCTTTATCTTATTCTCTATATTATAGCAATTATCTGCATCTCTTAAATTTGTCGTCTCCTCTGCATGCCCTCTGCTCCTGTGTCCTTATCATATTTTACCTGGATAACCTAAATCACCTCCTAATGTGACTCCCATATAATTATTCCTGTAAACTACTGCCTAAGTAAATGTTTAAAAATACAATCTGATCATGTCACCCCCTTGGCTAAAATTCTAATGGCTCTTTGTAATCTTCAGGATGAAGTTTAAGCCCCTTAGCTCATGTATCAGCTCATTATGATCTCTCCTGCCTTATGTCTTTGTTCTCATTTTCTACCCCCTCTCTGCATCTCTATAACCTATGCACCTAGACTACAACTATACCAAACTACCTGCAGTTATGTGTAGTTTGTATGCCTGGCAGTTTCTCATCTCTTATTTTTAAACATGCCCAAGATCAAAAACTAAGCCAAGATGCCTCAGGTTCAGAGACTGTGTCTGACCCATCCCTAATGCAAACACCGTTATGATACCTCATTCTGAACTCAGAACCTATCAGAAGTGGTGCTCATAAACAATAACCTCCTTCTTAAAGAAGGCCTGTAAGCCAAAGTGCAAATTCATGAAGAAACATAATGTTTAAAAAGAGGTGACAGAATTTAAAGACTATTAACCTCATGAAACAGTCTATTCAACACTAGATATAAATAGGGCAATCAGGCTGGGTGCAGTGACTCACATCTATAATCCCAGGACTTTGGGAGGACAAGGCAGAAGGATTACTTGAGCCCAGGAGTCCAAGACTAGCGTGGGCAACATAGCAAGACCCTGTCACTACAGAAAATTTAAAAATTAGGTACACATTGTGATGAGCATCTGTAGTCCTAGCAACACCAGAGGCTGAGGCCATAGGATCCAGGAGTTTGAGGCTGCAGTGGGCTGTGATCATATCACTGCATTCGAGCCTAGGTGACAGAGCAAGCCCTTCTCTCTTAAAAAAAAAATAAGGAAATCAAGAGATAAATGAAGAAATAACTTACATTGAAAAATGGAAAAAATAAACCTCAAACAGGCAGAAAAAACATAATATTATATTGATATAAAGTTCTAATATAGTATATTTATTGAATTTGACAAGCTGATTTTAAAATTCATAGAGGAGGGCAAAGAGCCAAGAAAGACCTTGCCTGGTAGATATTTAGTGTCATTATAAAATCCTAATAATTGTGACAATGTGGTGTTGGGAGGGCCAAATAGATAAATGAAGCATAACAGAGAAGAGAAAAATAGGGAAGCATAAAACATAGGTGATATTACGTACAAATCAGTGTGAAAAGGAAGAGCTCTTCAATACATTGTTCTGGGACAATTAAATGTCCACATGAAATAGAATAAAATGAGACACCTTTAAATACCATCCATGAACACTAATTCCATGTAGATTTAAGATCATAATACGAAAAATAAAATTTCAAAACTTTGAAAAAAAAAGTAGGAGAATATCTAACTTTATGACTTCGTTATAGAAAAGATTCAATAAGCATAAATCCTGGACAAAAATATTGGTAAACTTGATTTCACTAAAATTTAAAACTTCTATGCAATAAAAATTACTGTAACCAATTGTATTAATCCATTTCACGTTGTTGATAAAGACATACCCTAGCCTGGGCAATTTATGAAGGAACTCTTTAATGGAGAACTCACAGTTCCATGTGGCTGGGGAAGCCTCACAATCATGGTGGAAGGGAAGGAGGAGAAGTCACATCTTACGTGGATGGTGGCAGGCAAGGAGAGAGCTTGTGCAGGGAAACTCCACCTTATAAAGCCATCAGATCTTGTGAGACTTATTCACTATCATGAGAACAGCACGGGAAAGACCTGTCCCCATGATTCAGTCATCTCCCACCAGGTCCCTCCCACAACACGTGGGAATTATGGAAGCTACAAGATGAGATTTGGGTGGGGACACAGGGCCAAACCATGTCACCAATGTTAAAAAAAAAACCATAAACTTATAGGAAATATTTTCATGGCTTGTAATATTTTTTAAAAAGTCTGTATTGAGGAATTATAAAAAAACTCTTGCCAATCATAAAGAAGACAAACCAACTGAAAAAAATAGATAAAATATATTTTATATTTTATTGACATATGAAAGTGGAAGCAGATGCACAAGTGAGGATGCTTAACTGCATCAGTCATTGGAGTAGAGACAGGAAACAAACACACATGCAGTATAAGATACTGTTTAGACACACTTAATTAGAAAAATGGAATAGTCTTACTATAGCAAGTGTTGGTGAGAATATGGAGCAAAAGGAAGTCTTGTACATTGCTGAAAGGAATGCTAATTTCTGCATTCATTTCAGAGAGCAGTATGGCAAAATTTCTAGTTGATTTGAAGAGAAGCATCCCCATCAATGTGGAAATTCCAGTTCTTGTCATATTCTAGAGAAATGCTAGCAAATATGCACAATGAGACATGAGAGGAATATTCATTGCAGCATTTTTATATTGCAATATAAAAGAATTGTAGGCAATTTAAATGTTCCATCAATATTCCCATCTTCTGATATAGTGATGCAATAGACTACCATGCAGTTAAAATTAATGCACTAGAGCTCACCATATCAACATGGATAAATCTCAAAAACATAATGTTAAGAGACAAAAACATATTGCAGAAGAATGTATACAGTATGATTTCATTTTATGCTGTTTGAGACCATGCATAACAATATGTACATGTATATGTAGTTATGGTATTAAAAGTTTCATGGGAATGAACTCTAATTTGGGATGGTGTTTATCTCTAGGGAAAGGGGCAAGAGTGAAATCCAGGAAGAACTGACGGGATTGTGTTGGGTTTTTTTGTTGTTGTTGTTTTGTTTTTGAAATAGACTCTCACTCTGTCATCGAGGCTGGAGTGCAGTGGCACAATCACAGCTCAGGGCAGCCTCAACCTCCCTGGCTCAAAGTATCCCCCTACCTCAGCCTCCCAAGTAGCTGGGATCACAAGCCCAAGCCACTAAGCCCAGCTAATTTTTTGAGTTTTTTTGTAGAGAAGGGCCCTCCTTATATTGCCAGGCTGGTGTTGAACTCCTGGGCTCTAGTGATCCTCCTGCCTCCCCCTCCCAAAGTGCTGGGATCACAGGCAGGAGCCACCATGCCCAACCAAGGGGGCCATATTTGTAATGATTTATTATGATAATTATTACTGTTGTTGGTGGCAGTGGTGGTGGTGGTTAGATAGGACTAATACAGGATGGTCACAGGAGAACAGAAAATTCCAGGCAGCAGTTTCACATGACTAGCAAAAGGAAACTGTTGAAATAGCTGCAGAAACTAGGGGCTGATATGACCCTGAAAACCCATAGTGTGGATCAAGCTGGCTAAGACCCACTGGACCCAACATGGCGCTGGATTTGACCTAGGATTCTCCTAGGATCTCATTATATGCTAATTAACATACTCAATCACACACCCACCAGTGCCATGGCAGTTCCGGAAACACCGACATTTGGTGTAAAAAGGGGTGGCACTACAGTTTCAAGAAATCACCTTTTTCCCAGAATCTTCATGACTATTCCACCCCTTGGTTAAAGAAACCCATAAAGGCAACAGCCCCAAACCCCCTTGTGCACGACTGTCTCTTGAGTACACTCACACTCCCCTTTCCTGAGTGTGTATTTTTCACTTTGCAATAAATCTCTGTGTTTTCAGTATTTTTTGACCCATCCTTGAATTTCTTCTCTAGATGGTGTCAAGAGTCTGGATACCAGCCAGGGTTGAGATTCCCCCGGCATTTGGGGATCTCCCCTAGACCACTAGTATCAGTGGTAATTTTTAATATTAAGTAAATATGATAAATGTTAAGATTTAATAAAACTGGGTTCTCTATATATTTCCTCGTTATTTCACAATTTTAGAAAATTCCTGACAATTTATTAAATTGAGTAAGCCAATCTGAGCAAACTGAACTTTTAGATTGTAACTTGCCTGATTTGCTTCAACATTAAGAAAGGAATTGTAAAATATCACTCACCAATTCCTCTGATTGCTTTCTGAATAGCTTCAGCATCCACTGATGGGCTAAAGTCTGGATAATCTCTTACTGTTCCTCGGTGTCCAACCTAGAAGGAAATACTTGAAAGTCCCATTGGTTCAAAATGACATCTTTCTTGTATTACATATGCATATTCCTTCATGCATATGAGAGGCATATGACAAACCCATAATTCGCACACCTTCCTACCACTTCAGGAGTGGCTCTGAAATTGCCTTTGGAAAATTATGACAGTAAGAGAAATCTGACATGGTTGACTCCATCTTGCTTCTAGCCTCACAGGCTGGCTGTCTTTGCTCATTCCTGGGTGTGGGGCAAACTAACTTCAGGAGGAATTTAGTTTATAGTTTAAATGATACTAGCTCTTCCCAAAAGCTAAACTACCCTTGTAAAATTAATGGAAGTCTACCAAGTTAGGAGGATGAGAGGGGCCTGAATTTTACTAAGATGCAGGCATAGTTACATAATTACCTGCCATTATTCTGGAGGTCACAATATTTGCAACCTCCCCAATTACTCTTGCAGATAGCATCACTATTATAGAACCTACAGTTGGCCTTTTGAGAAGTCTTTTAGGCTTTTGCATTTCTGACTACTGGACAGCCCCACCCAGACCAGCAACTCCTTTGGTGGCCCCCACTTAGAAGCAGACTCAGCCTACAAGGACTGTTTTCTATACCCCTATAATTACATCTCCAACCAATCAGCATGCCCCTTCCCTAGCCCCCTGCCCTCCATTTTAACCTTGAAAAACCCCTAACTTTTGAGCCTTCAGGGAAATTGATTTGAGTAATAACTCTGTCTCCCACATGGTGTGGCTAGCCTGGCATCAATTAAACTTTTTCTTTACTGCAATGTGATGGTCTCAGTGGACTGATTTTGTCTGCACAGTGAGCAGGAAGAACCCATCTGGCAGTTACAGTTGAAGTGATGGTCTACCCCCCAGACACAGGGAATATGATATCTACCCCATATCTCAGGAGTCCTCTTTTTCTTTTGTGTAACAAATTACAAATATAAAACATTGGTTCTCTAGAGCAGTAAGTTGTGTTAATCTTGGTGACACTGAAGAAAATTTGTTTTAAAGTAGCATTTGCAGGAGAGCAACAAGAAAGCTGAAATTTCCTAAATCTTCTTATTTTTCAAGTGATAATTCAAAGCTCATCATGGCATCTCGCACAGAAGTAACTGTGGTTTACAGACTTCAAGATGTTTTAATTAATGTTGACCATTGTCCTTGGGGAATCCCAGACTAAATGATCCATAAATGAAAACCCCCTTAGGACTGTCTGTTCTTAAGCTTTGTTTAATGAATGTGCAATTAGAAGACCTTCTAAAAGCTCTACTGACATCATAGATCTTCAGGAATTGCAAGGAAGTAAAAAATGCCACACTACTAATTTTAAGCATGTAAATTAGAAGCATGTCAGTAAGCTGGGAAAGACCATAATATAGAAAAAATATTTTAAAATTGCTTATGAGACTAAAGAAGGACAGCCACAAAGATGTTGAGAAAAATCAAAGTAAACGTAGATTTATGTGGTAGTTCCTAACTTCTTGAATAAAAATCTGTCTTTACAGTAATAATATTTCCTTTTAAACAGCATTTTTCTATCCTGTTACTGAATAGTATTGGCTCTGTTGTCTTGTATTAATATGGGTTCATTTTGGCTCTCTTGAAGGGTTTAATATTTTCATGAAAGGACATTATCTGTCACATTAAAGTGAATGGAAAATTAGTGTTCTGGCACAGTAAAATATGATAGTCTGCTGATTCATTAGATTAGACTGAATAATTGATTTCAATACACTCAAACACTGTTTAATCTTATAGCATCTAAAATAAGAACTTTAGAACCTAGAAAATAATTGCAAGTTAGAAACTAGTTGTGAATGTTCCTGACCTGAAGATACCTGTAACAAACCAGTCACTTTAGTCTGGACATGGTGGCTCACTCTTGTACTCCCAGGTCTTTCGGGGGCCAAAGACAGAGGATCATTTGAGCCCAGGAGTTCAGGGCCAGCCTGGGCAACACAGTAAGACCCTGTCTCTACAAAATATTAAAAAATTACCAGGTGTGGTGGTGTGCAGGTGTGGTCCCAGCTACTTGGGAGGCTGAGGTGGGAGGACCACTTGAGCGCAGAAGGTCAAGGCTGCAGTGAGCTGTGATTGTGTCACTGCACTGTAGTCTAGGTGACAGAGTGAGACCGTGTCTCACAAAAAAAAAGAAAGAAAGAAAGAAAGAAAATAAATTAGTCACTTTAATATAATTTTTGATGAATTCTCTTTCTCCAAGGCTTGATAAATATTTTATGGATTCACAGAGCCAACTGGCTTCATTTCACTTCTATCCATCTAGGAACTTTTGTGTTGATCTTACCTGTCCACCTTCCAGTGTCTGGCATTGTAAAAGAACTACCCCAATGTTAGATTGTTTGAATGCTTCATGCCCAGCACACTTTACATGCTAAGCACTTTATATATGTTAATTATAATCTGCATAACAGCCCCAATAAATGAGAGTGAGCAATTTCACATAAACAGCACCAAGATTTAAGAAGACCAGAGAATTTGATCAAGTCTACACAGCTAGTTGCAGGCAGAGGCTGAATTTAAAAGCAAACTAGACTATTCCAGACCATTCCTGGTGTTTCATGAAGTGCAGTCTCTGTACCACCTGGAGTGATACTTTAAATGTATATGACCAGGACACACCTTCTATATACTGAATCATATGTTTTAGAGATGGGGTGCTAAATTCTACATGTGTAAGAAGCTCCCAGGTGATTCTGTGCCATGCAGATATTGACGTGGCTGATTCTAAATATAAAAAGACAAAATTGTGGTCAGATCCCAGTTGTTCATGCATCATGAAAACTCAGGGTTTGCACTCCAGCTGTGAACTTTTCACTGGCCTTTACCACCTACACATCAAAATATGCTAAAATGCCAATGCACAGAATTAGAGAAGGAGGAAATTCCCAATTTATTATGCAATTTAGTACTTAGCAAGAATTAAATGGGGGAGGAATAACTTGTTTAATTACAAGGGGGGAAGAAAGTACGCACACACACACCCCAACTTGAAAAAGGGCTTGGGAATTCTGAAGTGGAATTTTAGTGAAATATTTAAAACTGCTTCCATTATTTAAACGAATGGCATTATTCATTTGATAGACTTGGTTGCCCAAATCATTCGGAAATATTACATGACTTACAAAATAATCTTACAATCAAAGATTAATGAAATCTTTTAAAACTAATACATGAACAAAGTGATTTACAAACATTTAACTCTTACAAGAGCCTTCATGAGGTGAATTTTATTATTTCTAATTGAAAATGGAAGAAACCCAGTCTCACAGAGATTATTTGCTTAAAAGAGCTCTGCTAATAAGGACAGCCCCAGGACTCAAACCCATCACCTTATGACTAAAATGCCCCCTGCTCTATGTCACATCACAATGCCTCGAGGGAGTTCATCTTAGTGGTTCTCAAAGTGTGGTTCCTGAAGCAGCTGCATCAGCATCACCCGGGAATGTGACAGAAATGCAAATTCTCAGGCCCAACCCCAGTGTTCCTGAACCAACAACTGCAGGGCCAGGATGCAGAATCTGCGATTTAACAAACCTTCCAGGTGATTCTAGTACACAATAAAGTTTAAGAAGCACTGCTTTATTTCCTTCTTAGCTGTCTAGAAAACCAAAGCAAAAATGAGCAAACAAGCCATGAATTCTCTTATGGGTGTGGAAGATGAAGAATTTAATGATGAGCTCATCGCTTCAGGAATGTCGGCATTTTTACAGCCAAACAGGACTGCTTGCATTGCCTGCTCCACTGCAAGCTTAATTCCTTGACATTTATATTACTAATCAATACTTGGCTGAGTTTATTTCCAGTAACCCTAGTGTCCTAACATAGTCAGTGCTAGCGTAGAACATCACCTGAATACTTGGCAAAGTCTATTTAAAAAAAAAAAAATTGCCTTTGATCAGATTTCCATCCACACATTTAAACACATTTAGTTGCTTTCCTTTTCTGAAACTTGACCTTCAGATGCCTCCAAAAGAAAAATGCTGCTGAAGCCAGTTGGAAAACAAATTAAAGCAAAGAATGTCTAGATAAAGGGGGAAAGTAACAGGAGCTCTTTATACTAAGAACAATTGCTGCTAATCACTATGTGCCAAGTACTGTGCTAAGCGCGTTTCCTGCATTTGCTTATTCAATCCTTGCAATAAACTTATAAGGTAGATATAATAAATCCTTTTCACAGATGATGAAACTGATGATTAAGTAACTTGTCTAAGTTCCCACAGCCAGTAAGTGGTCTGTTCCAACAGTCTTTGCTCCTAAACTAGACTAGCCTTCATCTCATTTAAACCATCTTTTTCAAGACAATATAATCTCCCTTGATCTTCTAAAATCATCCTTCGGAGGTCAGCCTTAGCACATGACACCTTGAAGCCACTGCTTGGCCAAGCTGGGCCTAGGGAGCTGTTTGCTATTGCCCCTGGGAGAGGCCAGTCTGTTTTTGACTCACAAAAGCCAGTTGTACCTATTTCTTTATGCAAAGTGTACTGTGTTTGCAAGAAGTTAAACATTTACATTCAGAAGGATGAGTGGAAGAGAAAAACAGAAGGTGCCAACCCTGTTGATATGAAACATATTTAAAGCCAAATGCTACAGAGCAAGAATAGCAGTTGCTGCAGGGACATTTTGAAGATGCGGTGAAGCCAGATCACTCATCACTTCAGAAAGCCCTATAAAGGCCACATCCAAAAATTGAGGCATCAAATCAAAGCTCCAGATAAAACTCCAGGACAAGGAGCTCTCAAAGAGCCGGGGAGAAACGATGGCTCTCTGTTCAATGTCAAGATGCTATGTTGGGTCATGAAGCTTTATGATACAAGGAAAAATGGAGTAGATTATAAAAAATAAAGCAATCAAACTTGGAAATTGTTAAGACTTCCTGTTCAATTTTTCCAGTAAAAAGCATTTTTCAAAACCAAAGAAAGTTTACTGTAAACAGCCCTGAAATAAAATGCAGTCAAGTGAGGCAGGTGTTATGGGTTGAATTGTGTCTCCCCAAAAAAATACCTTAAAGTCCTAACCCACAGTACCACAGAATGTGGCCTTACTTGGAGACCAGGTTATTGCAGATGTAATTAATTAAGATGAGGTCACAGTGGCAGGCCCCCAATCCAATACCACTGGTATCCTTATAAGACAGCCATGTAAAGGCAGAGACATACAGAAAGAATGTGATGTGATGGTGAAGGCAGAGACTGGAGTTACGCAGCTGCGAGCTGCCAGTATGAGACCAGAATGTGCCTCTTCAAAACATGAAGGATTGTTGAAGACAAGAAGAAACAGATACTCAAGAGATATCTTTCCTCCATTTGCCTAAAAGCAGGACAAAGATTTATGAAGACAAAAGGTATTCTGCCCTCCTGACTACCAGGGAGAACAAAGGTTAAAGACTGAAGATAGTTTAAGACCCTTATCAGCCTGACAATGGTATTAGAAGAATTTATATTAGCAAGCTGTACTAACTAACCTTTATCTGCAAGTTATTTGCCTTTCTTCACTGCCCCACCTGCAAGTTGCTGCCCACAGAGATTCAAAGGTCCTTTTCTATTGTCTTGTTACAAAAAATTTACTGTTCTTTGTTGAAGATGCTATATAAGCTGAAATTCAAAGCCACCTCTGAAAACTACTCATTCTCTTGGTGTCTCCATGTATACTCAAAATACACATGTTAATAAACTTCTGTCTGGTTTTCTCTTGTCAATCTGTCTTTTGTAACAAAGGTGCTTTCCAACTAAGAACCTATGGGGATTACTGTTACTCCCCTATACCAGTAAACCACTAGAAACCAGGAAGAGGCTAAGAAGTTCTCCCCTACAGCTTTCAGAGGGAGGACGGCCCTGACCACACCTTGATTTTAGACTTCTGGCCTCCAGAACTGTGAGATAATATATTCATGTCATTCGAAACCAGCAGCTTGTGGTACTTTATTACAGCAGCCCTAGGAAACTAATACAGCAGGTAAAGGCCAGAGAAAAATACTGGTAACCAAGCGGTTCCTACAGGGCAAATCCTGGGGGCCTCGCCTAAGAGCCTCCTCACCTAGAAGTGCCACTGGCTGGCAATGATCACTGTGCCTATGGAAGATGATGCACAAACAGAAGCCTCCCACCACCACCGCAGGCATGCTCTGCAGCCCACAGGGCAGTAAGGAGTAGGCGGTGCTGAACGTCCACAGCAGGCAAGACTGGCAGACGCTGGGATCCCTGAGATATGCCAGGCTGACAACATGGCTTTGTTCATAATGTGTCCAAAGTTCTGAAGAAAAAGTTTATATTTGTTCTTGGGCTCACTCAAAGAAAAAATATTCATACTTTTCAGCTTTTCTTTTTTAAATTTCTTAAAAATATTTAGGGGGTACAAGTGCAGATTTCTTACATGCAGATGGTGCATGGTGGTGAAGTCTTGGCTTTTATTAGTGTACCCGTCACCCGACTAGTGAGCCCTGTGCTCAATAGGTAATTTTCAGCCCTTAGCCCCTCCCACCCTCCCACCTTTTGAAGTGTTCAATCTCTATTATTCCGTTCTCTATATCAATGTGTACCCATTGTTTAGCTCCCACTTATAAGTGGTATTTGACTTTCTGCTTCTGAGTTATTTCACTCAGGATAATGGCCTCCAGTTCCATTCATGTTCCTGCAAAAGACATGATTTCATTTTTTTTTTTTTTGTGGCTGAGTGGCTGAGTAGTATTCTATAGTATAGTATAGTATAGTATTCTACATTCATTTTCTTAATTCAATCCTCTGTTGATAAACCTTAGTTTTATTCCATATTTTTGCTACTGTGAATAGTTCAGCTTTTCTTTTTTAAATAGAGTGATTTCATCATCAGGGCAGTGTCAGAGCAAGAGGACTGGAATGTGAGAACAGAGGAGGGTGTGGGATGGAGTAGAAAGATGAATGAGATTCAGAAATCAGGGAAGACAGGGACAAACAAGCCATTGATGTTGTATTTTCCATGACACATGAGTTATAATAAGAAGCCTTGACCCCTTGGAGCATGTGTCACTCACAGCTAGCCTGCCTTCCATTGGCTCCTGTGCCTCACCTCCTAGGTTTCTTCCCGCCTCTCCAGGATGCACTCACCTTTGTCTGACCTCTATAAAATACGCAATTCTAAAGTGGAAAGTGGCTCTCTCTTTTCTTTCCCTCTAATCCTGCTGTGGGTTATTTCTTCCACTCCCTCTTCTGTATACAGAAAAATCCCACATTATAGCTCTAGCCCAGACTTCAGTTCTGAGCACTGGTCTTGTATATTCAATGTCTCCTCCATGTATTTGTTTTGATTATCTCCTATATCAACTCATTGTTTCCTCCCAAGCTATTTCTTCCCCCTTCTGACACTTACATAGTACTTACTTGTATTTTACATATACCTGATCATTTAATCCTCAAAACCACCCTATGAGGTAGGTACAATTAATACCGTGATTTTATAGAGGAGAAAAAAGAGGGTCCAGAGCGGTTAAGACACTCGCCAAGGTCACATAGGTAGTTTGTGGCACAGCCAGGATTTGAACCTAGGCAATCTGGCTCCAGTTTCTGTGCTCATCGCCAATTTGCTCAGTTTCCTCAACCTTCCCCATCCCTGTAAAAGGAGCAATCATCAGCCACCAGAAACCTGGGAGTCCCCTTTGATTCCTTCACCTGCATTTCCCTCTGAATTCCATCTATCAGCAAGGCCTGCTGAGATTATTTTAAGAAGATAATCGCATGGGCGCTCCTCCCCAGGTTCTTTGCTCCTGCTCTTGTCCAACTCACAATCATCGCTCTCCCGTACTTGAACATCTGAGTCATGTTCCTCTCTACTTCCTACTTCCCATCTCCAGCCATTTCCCACATAGCAGCCAAGGGATCTGTTAAAGATCTAAGTCGGGCCAGGTGGGGTGACTCACACCTGTAATCTCTGTGCTTTGGGATGGATCACCTGAGGTCAGGAGTTCGAGACCAGCCTGGCCAATATGATGAAACTCTGCCTCTACTAAAAATACAAAATTTAACCAGGCGTGGTGGCAGGTGCCTGTAATCCCAGCTACTCAGGAGGCTGGGGCAGGAGAATCACTTGAACCCAGGAGGCAGAGGTTGTAGTGAGCTGAGATCGTGCTACTGCACTCTGGTCTGTGCAACAGAGCGAGACTCCATCTCAAAAAAAAAAAAAAAAAAAATCTAAGTCAGATCTTGTCACTCCCC
This sequence comes from Homo sapiens, assembly GCF_000001405.40. Lineage (NCBI taxonomy): Eukaryota > Metazoa > Chordata > Mammalia > Primates > Hominidae > Homo > Homo sapiens. Next base: position 78,564,966 of record NC_000004.12, on the reverse strand, counting down.
TATTTCACACTGAATAGAGTCCAAACTCCTTACACTGGTCCATAGGGCCCTGCATGGTTTGGCCCAACCACCTTCATGACTCTTATCTGGAGCCACTCTCTCCAGATGAGAGGTAGAGTTCCCACACTTCAGTTCTTTGAAAGTCAAGCTGGTATACAATGAACTCTTTCCCACCTTAATGCCTTGGTTTGTGTTGTTCTCTCTAACTGGAATGATTTTTACCTTCAGTCCTCTCCTTAAAGACCATCTTCTCTAACAGATCTTCTTTGGCACTTGATCTGAGTAGGTCTTCTACTGTTATTCTGCATCTCAGCCACCTCTCCATTGTTAGGGCACTCAGCATTGAGTAATACCTCTCGCTGTTTATATCTGTCTCTCCACCCCCTCTAAAATAAAATTCCAGAAGGCAGAGACATTTGTTTCACTCATTCCTATTTATCCAGCTGGGAGCCCAGTGCTCAGTCCCCAGATAGGGGCTTAATACATAACTGTGAATTAGTTTGCTAAGTAAGAATATGAAAGCAAGACAATGACATCTCACAGTGTGGACTTTCTCCAAGCTCTACACTAGATGGTTGGCTGCCCGATGAGTTGCTTCCTTCAAGTATCAATAGTCTAGAAATCAAAGTTCCTATTGTATTCTGGGAGATTTGGGAGATACTTCAGAAGCTGAGTGTTTTCTAGTACACTGGAGACATGAAATGCATGACTGTGTCTGGTGATTCTGTTACATCTTCCTTCCTGTCTCTCCAAGCGCTCAGGGTTTCTCTGACAAAGGTAGCAAACCCAACTATCTGGATTGAGTTTGAAACACTTGGCCTCCCCAGAGACTTTATTAACATGAACATCTTTCTCAGAATAATTTTCATGTATTTGTTTAAAGCAGATTATAAATAATTTGTATTAATCTTCTTTTGAGTCATCTAGCACCAGTATTTGTAGATTATCTCTTTGTTCTACAATCAAAGTAAAGTGCTTAACCTAGTTAAGAGTTCTTGACCAAATTCTCTTGGCCAAGGGTCACAAAGATTTGAAGACTAACATGGCTATTCTGGCCACATACTCAGCCCTGTGCATGTGTAACTTCTGCGGGAGACGTCCCTGTCTAAGGGTCCTGCAATCTAACAGGAATATATAGAGAATTTATATCTTCCTGGATATATGGAGAAATATAGGGAATTTGGCTCACTGAAGTGCAGAATCCACATCTTCTTAAATGGCCCTTGGCTAGAGAACGGTGGCTGTCTGTCTTAGCATTCCAGGCTGATATAACAAAATACCACAAACTGGGTGTCTTATAAATAATAAAAATTTATTTCTCACAATTCTGGAGGCTAAAATTCCAAGATCAAGGTGCCAGCAGATTCAGTGTCTAGTGAAGGTCCACTTTATGGTTCATATACGGCACCTTCTGGCTGTGTTCTCACATGGCAGAAGACGTGACCAAGCTCCCTCAGACCTCTTTTAAAAGGGCAATAATCCCCACCTAACCTAATCACCCCCCAGAGATCCCATCGCCCAATCATCCTGAAGGTCAGGATTTCAACCTATGAATAAGGGGCAGGTTGGTGGGGGAGGGGGAACGACACAGACATTTAGACCACAGCACTGGCTTTGCAGGATTTGGGGACACTTACTCTATCCACCTCACTCCTATGAGGATGAGAAACCTGTGAGGGACTGGGATCAGGGATGTCTCCTGTTTGTAATATTCTGGGCAGAATACTTCTTACATAAATGGCCAAGGTAAATGATGTCTACTGGACATGATGGTAAATGCATTATTTTATGGGTTATTTATGAGTTTTTTTAAAAAGCGATAATCCCAACAAGAAGTTGCAGCAAATTTAAGAATGCTTCCTAATGTAAAGTAAACCTAGAGAATGGAAACTCCTTGAACAGTCCATGTGAAGACTTCTTGGGACTCTCTGTGGCCCTTGGAGGATAATAAAGTACCATAAAAGAGAATTGTAATACCTCCCCCAATCCCCTTGTAATCTTGTATCCCTGTTTTTGCTTCGTGGGAATCTTCCTGTTGCATTCAAATGTGTCTTGCCCATCTGCCTCAGGGCTTACACTTATCATTCCGTCTGCCTGGCTGCTCTTTCCCGAGATATTCCCTCAGCTCACCATCTCATGCCACGTTGACTTCTCCTCCTATATCTGAGCAGAAAATCACACCCCCCATCATATTTATTATCCACCTTTACTTTTCCCCAGAGCACTTAAAACTGTCTTTTTATACTGTACATTTATTTCTTCATTTATTGTCTGTCTTCCCTAATAAAATGTAGGTGCCATCCTTTTTATTTCTCTTTCTCTGCTGTGTTGCCAGAGCCAATATCTGGCATATAAAAGATAGTTAGTAAATATTAGTTGAGTGAATAAATGAATTAAAAATGCTTTCTTGTTCTGCATCCTGTTTCTTTCAATAATTCTCAAATGCCGGTGTCAGACTTTTCAGAGCTCCATGCCATATGGTAAAAATTCTACAAATGCAATCTTCACCTTTCTTAAACCCTGTTCACATGGGACTGTCACTACTCCTATTTAAACATGCCTCCAGAACCTACGTGAGGTACTGAATCAAACACAAAGAGTTACAAATGAAAGAAATAAAGATCTGATAATGAAGGGATAGACTTGAGAATTTTCTCCTCTTTTGATTTATTCTCTTATAATTCATGTGAGACCTGTGTATTCATTTTATTGCTCAGTACTCTATATACTTCTTTTTTTCTAACTGCTTTACATCCACCAAAAAAATAGACTTTCAAGAGAACAAATCATACCTTCTCCACTTTACATTCCTTCCTCTGATCTAGAGCTTTTTATTTTCCTCTTTACCTCTGATTTACCAGGCTTTTCCAATGGTTAAACATTAGCTTTGCATACTATAGTTTTATCATGATTAAATATAAAAGAGGGACCCTCCCTCCTTCACAGTTGGGCTAACATCAGAGAATGGCAAAGAACAGCTTTTTAGTGTTCATTCCACTCATTCCTAGGAAGCCTCTCTGTTCTCACTCAGATGAGAAACTTTCCAGGCTTTGTCCCAAAACAAAGCTTAAATGTTTTGATTTGAAATCCAGGTCTAACCTGTTTTAAATCAACTTTCTGCAAAAGACCATTTGTGTATCTGTCTGAATGCCAATATTTACCTAAAGCAGCTTCAGGGAACATGGTTTAAAACACACAGCAGACTTGAACAGCACCTAACCAGGAAAGATGCCTGTTCTGCTTGGGATGTGAAAAGTCTCTTTCAGTGAAAATAGTCACCAAGCTTGATCTTCCATTCCTGGATGTGGTAGATGTGAGGGAGACCAGAGGAGGAGTTCAGCATATTCACATGCATGAACACAGCTTTCTCCTCACACGTTTTAAATTTGCATAGCAAAGAAGAGCAATCACATCAGGAAAGAAAGGTCTAATGGGATGTCTGTGTCAAAGCAAGGAGTATGAAACTGGACAGGACACTCACAAACTCTTTGAACCCAGGAACAACAGCATCCAAATGCCCAGGGCTGGTGTCTTCTATGGGACAGAATTTGAAAGGCATTATCTTCCCAAATTTCTCTCTCATGTTAGCACATTGCACCTTTCCTAAGAGCCTCTACCACTACTGCCATTCCTCTGGGTTAACAGTGGAAATGAGATGACTGTGTCCTCATATGTCAAACTGCACCAATCTTGTTCCCACCAGAGAGGAAGTGTTCGGGAGGGAAGGGGGGCTGTGCCTTCTCTCACCATGAACACTTGATCATAGATTAGCTTTTCCTATCTGCAAGGGTCCATCCTGGCAGCCTTTCCCAACATTTCTACCACCGCGGATCCCTTTTTCGGTATCTTCTATATGGATCCCATGTTTTGAATGATTCTGCCTTGCTAATCTATATTTATTACCAAACATTAATTCATTTTCCTATTTTTCCCACATATGAAAAATACATCTAAAAATCAGAGCTTCTGATCAACATAAATAGCCAGGGCCATTGGTATTAATATAACTTTATTTATTTTTAATATAATGTTAGTCAAAAATAAAAGAATATATATTGGAAACTGTGTGCCTTAATGTGAGTTATAGATGTGTAGTATAATTAGGAATGTATCTGGTCTTTGCACTGGTTCTTGGCATAGAGCTTCAAAAACCCTTGGAATTTCCTGAGTGATAGGAGTGACTTTGTGATGCAATTGGGGTGACTCATGGTAGACCCTTAGATAGCCTTAGAATGATGGCTGGTCTCCAGAAAGATTAGCCCTGTGATCACAGGGTTGCAACTCTGGTCAGCCAGACCTCTGAGGAGGAAAGAGGGGCTGGATATTGAGTTCAATCATGTAACAAATAATTTAATCAATCATTCGTGTCTACATAATGGAACTCCAATTACAATTCTGGACACTGAGGCTCAGAGGAGCTTCCTGGTTATTGAACACACTGACACAAAGGAGGGTGAGGTGCCCTGATGCCACAGGGAGAGGGCATGGAGGCTCTGGGTCCAGGACCCTTCCAGAGCTTGCCCATGGGTATCCCTCATAATAAACTTGCATTCATAAGGATAGCACTTTCAGTGAGTTCTGTGAATCATTCTAGGGAATTCTTTAATTTCAGAGGGTCATGAAAACTCCTAAATTTATAGCCAGTTGGCCAGAAGTGCAGGTGATTCCCGACACTTGAACTGACATCTGAAGTGAGGGCAGTTTTGCAGAGGACTGAACCCTTAATCCTGTGGAATCTGATGCTAATGCTGGGTAGTTAGTGTCAGAACTGTATTCCAGTATGCCCACTAGGAGTGGAAAGGGAGTATTTTATGTCTTTAGAAATATATATGTGTTTAAAATATTATAAAATATTGAAAACAAGAGTGGTCAGAAGGAATCTGATTGAGGACATGACATCTCTTTTAGATGGCTGAAAGAACCATTCCAATGGGGAGAGGGGGCTATTGATGTGTAATAAAATCAGGCCCAGGAAATAGGCAGAAGCCCCTCTACAAAAACAGTTGCAGCGATATTATTTGGCAAGAAATACATTTTAGAATAAAATTAATATATTGAAATCATGCTGATTAAAACTAACATTTATTGAGTGCTCACTCCATGCCAGGCACTGCTAATACATTTTACATGAACTGGCTTAATGCTTACAAACCGTAGATGAGATAAGCACTATTACCCTACCTGTTTTATAGATGAGGAAACTGAAGTAGAGAAAGACTAAGCAATTTGCTCAAGAGCCTACCTTTTAAATGATTAGGGAGTTCTGAAAGGGAGAGTTACAATTTTGGTTAGACTGTCTTCATTCTGCTCCCAGCAGAGCCTGTCGCACTAGGTACTTGCTGCTTTAATTGTTTAACTGTTTTGGATGAACTTCAAAACAAAGTTAGTAGGCATTGTATTTAGGTAATATATTTTTATAAAACTTCTCTTATCCCTTGGTTGCAGAGTAGCTCTATATTCCCTTTCCTCATTTTGTAAATTAGAGTTTGGAGTGGTGAAAGGAGAATGTATCCCAAGTTAGGATGTTACTAACAGTTCATGGTGATTACAATGATTGTGAGTTAATTTAAAAAAATTTTAGCACCACTGGGTGTGGTGGCTCACACCTGTAATCCCAACACTTCCGAAGGCCAATGTGGGTGGATCAGCTGAGCTCAGGAGTTCAAGACCAGCCTGGGCAACACAGTGAATTCCCATCTCTATAAAAAAATTTTAAAAATTAGCTGGGCATGGTGGGGGCATGCCTGTGGTCCCACCTACTCAGGAGACTGAGGCAGTAGGATCGCTTGAGCCCAGGAGGTTGAGGCTGCAGCAAGCCGTGATTGCACCACTGCACTCCAGCCTGAATGACAGTGAAGCTCTGTCAAAAAAAAATAAAGAAATAAAGAAAGAAAAATTCTAGTACCATAATAAAAATTCTAATTTGAGAGTTCAAACTAATAGGAATTACATTTATTATTATTCTGTAAATGTAAGTTAGGAATTGATCAAGGAGGAAAGAGCTCAGAGTATTTACCTAAGAAAGCCAGCATTGTATAACAGAAGGTACGCAGAAAAAATACTGCTGTGGTAGCTTAATAAAAAGTCACGTTCTAAGACATTCTAATTTGTGGGCTTCCTGAGTGCTTGCTGTGGACCTACAGGCAACATATGACAAGGGACTCTAAGTCCAAGGAGTACAAACCAATAAGATATCAGGCCCTTTCATCAAGGGTGAAGTGGTAGAACATATGTCTGAGCAGAGATATTCAAAATTTGCAAACAAAGGAAATACTAATGCAACATAGATTGTTGATTCATCTGAAACAATGGTAGGGTTGCAACACTCCTAGATAGAATATAAAAGACCTAAGAAACCAGCCATTCTTTCATCTTCAATGGTAATGCATTGAAATTGCAACTAATGACTTCTCCCTTGATCATACCACTGTAATAAACTAATCATACACATAATCACGTATACAGTTTTGTAGAAATGCAATGACTTGATTGCTTATTTATGTTTGAGTGTGTATGTGGTTTTGTGTGGCAGAGAGAAAAAAAGAACACATAAAACTTTGTGATAAGAATGTTTACAATTGGAAATCTGAGGGTTTTTACCATCTTAACCATTTCTAAGTGTATAGTTCAGTAGTGGTTAGAATATTCACATTGTTTTGAAACATCTTCAGAACTTTTTCATCTTTCAATACTGAAACTCTACACATTAAACAACTCCTCTTTTTCTCTTTCCTTATTCATTCCTAACGACCAGTCTCCTTCTGTTCCTATGAATTTGACTGCTTTGGATACCTCTTATCAATGAAATCATACAGTATTTTGTCTCTTTGGGACTGGCTTTTTCACTTAACATACTGGGCTCAAGGCTCACCCACATAGTAGCATGTGACAGGGTTTTCTTCCTCTCACACAACATGTGTTTTTAAAAGACTGAATAATATTCCATTGTGTGTGTGTACCGCATTTTGTTTATTCATTCTTCTGTCAATGGAAACTGGGCTGCTTCTACCTCTTGGCTATTGTAAAAAGTACTGCAGTGAACATGGGTGTATAGATACCTTTCTTTAAGATCCTGCTTTCATTTCCTTTGGATATATACCCAGAAATGGGATTGCTGGAGCATGTGGTAGTTCTAGTTTTAATTTTTTGGAGAATTGCTATCTTGTTTTCCATAGCAGTTCTGAGTTGTTCCTAATGTTTGCTCTCTGAGCCACTCATAAGTATTAGTTCTTTAATTGAGGGAGAGGAGGTAAACAGGAAAAAAAAAAAAAAAAAAAGAAAAACCCAGAGACAGTAGGAGCCCTTCTTTGGCTAGGGCCTCTTTCTCCACGTGTGGGTTTGCCCTCCAGGCTCAGGTTAGCCTCCTGTTTTTGGCCCCTCCCCACCTCTTTCCTGCTATCTGATGCCAAATGCTACCATCCCTGATGTAGCCATACTCCTAGCCCCTGTGGTAGGCAGAACAACAGCCTCCTAAAATGTATACATCATAATCCTTGGGAATTGTCAATGTATTGTGTTTCATGATGAAAGAGACTTTGCAAACATAATTAAGGTTCCAGACCTTAAAACACAGGGATTAGCCCGTGTTATCCAGGTGGGCCCAATTTAATCACACGCACCCTTAAAAGCAGAGAAATGTCTTCAGCTGGAGGGAGAAGAGAATGGCAGAAAAGAGATCCCCCAGAAAGAAAAGCCAAAGAGATTCCAAGCATAAGTAAGATTTGATGCATCATTGCTGGTTCTGAGATGCAGGGGCCACATACAAGGACAGGCAGAGACCTCCAGGAGCCAAAGACAGCTTCTGCTGGCAGCCAGCAAGCACTAAGAACTCAATTCGACAACTACAAGGAACTAAATTCTACCAACAACCTAAAAGGGCTTGGAAGAGGATTCTTCCCAAAGTCTCCAGAAAGGAATGCAGTCCCAACAACACCTTCATTTTAGTGCTGTGTGACCCATTTCAGGCTTCTAACATATAGAACTGTGAGATAATAAATGGATGTTGTTTTAAATTGCTAAATTTATGATAATTTGTCATAGTGCAATAGGAAATGAATACACCCTTGATCACACGCACTTGGGTCTCTCCTAGCCCTTCAGAAATGTGCCACGCCTTTGAAGGTGTCAGCAGGAGAGCCTGCCCAAATAATTCCATGTTAATTTACTCATGGGCGAGGGCCAGAGGGCGACTTTTTTTTTTAACACCAGCATTTTGGAGAGATGCTTTTTTCATCTGATTCTATGATATGTTCATAAAAGCAGCAGGGATTTCAGATGAAAGATGAGAGTTTAGCCTCCTAGCCAGTGAGAAGGGAGTAACTTGGGCCAAACAAAGCCTTCCAACAGCACACCTTCCATCCATACGCCAGGCCAAGGGATGGTCACATCTCTGCACAGGCTTTTCTTTAAACTTGCCCTCCACCTTACTTATAAAATATAATGTATGCTCATGATTAAAAAAAAAAATCAAACAGTACAGAAGGTGATATATTGAAAAGTAAAATTCCTTTCTCACAATTCCACCTTTCCACAAAGTTTTGATGTAATAGTCTTTCCGTAAATTTTTTATTTTCTTTGTTCTTTCTTTTAAACAGAATCCCTCTGTACATATTACTCTATAAGTTGATTTTTTAAATTATTACATCTTGGGACTTTTTTAATGTCAATTCACATACAGCTGATCCACTTTTTTCCCATTCATTTTAATGATCACATAAAAATGCCTGTAAGTTATAAATGAGTAATTTACTTATTCCTACCCTATCGATGGACATTTATGCTGTCTGCATGTTTGTTTTCATTAATACAAACAAATGTACTTGGGCCCCTATTTTTTCAACCTTATGCAAGTTTATCTATAAGATACATACCCACAAGTGGAATTACTGGGTTTAAAGGACATGTGCATTTAAGGACTGAGAGATATTGCCAAAATACTATCCAAAAGTGTACCAAATTTACTCTCCCATGAACAGAGAATAAAAATATCACCTTGCCACATCCTCTACATTACTTTTTTTTTTTAACCTTCACCAATCTCTTAAGTAGAAAAGTGTTTCTCATCATGATATTTATGTTTTTTTCAATTCTGAGATGCAGGAGTTTTTTTTTTTTAATAGATAGGGTTTCACTCTGTCACCCAAGCTGGAGTACAGTGGTATGAACATGGCTCACTGCAGCCTCCACCTCTTGGGCTTAAGCGATCTTACCACCTGAGCCTCCCAAGTATCTAGGACCATGGGTACACCCCACAACGTTCAGCTAATTTTTAAAGTTTTTTTTTTTTTTTTTTAAGAGACTGGGTCTTGCCATATTACCCATGCTGGTCTCGAACTTCTGGGCTCAAATGATCCTCCCATCTTGGCCTCCCAAAATGCTGGGATTATAGGTGTGAGCCACTGTGTCCAACCTTGTAGCACCTTCTGATGTTATTGGACATTTATAATTCTTTTTATGTCCTGTTTATGTCCCTTACAACTTTTTCTGTCAAGTTCATTTTTTAAACCAATTTATTCAAGTTATTTGTATGTTAAGGAAATAAGTCTTTTGTCTAATGTGCTGCAAATATTTTTTCCCTGCGAGCTGTCTTCTGCCTCTACCAATGGGATTGTTGGCTGTCATAGTGATAAACTTGTATGTAGTTAAAATAGATCAATATTTTTCTTTTAGGCGTTTGGTTTTGTGTCACAGTTGTAAGCATCTTCCCCACTCCAAGAATATTCTTCAATCCATTCATATTTCTTTCTCTTTTTCTATTTTTTTGAGACGGAGTCTCACTCTGTCTCTCAGGCTGGAGTGCAGTGGCATGATCTCAGCTCACTGCAACCTCTGCCTCCCAGGTTCAGGCGATTCTCCTGCCTCAGCCTCCTGAGTAGCTGGGATTACAGGCATCTGCCATCGCACCGGGCTATTTTTGTATTTCTAGTAGAGACACGGTTTCACCATGTTGGCCAGGCTGGTCTCAAACTCCTGGCTTTAGGTGATCCACCCACCTCGGCCTCCCAAAGTGCTAGGATTACAGGTGTGAGCCACCACACCCGGCCCATTCATATTTCATCTTCTTCATTTCTGTATTTTATCCACATGGAAGTTATTTTATTGTAAGGAGAAAAAGGAATACAGATTTACTTTTTCCCCAAACAGCTAGAAGTTTTCCTAACATTTATTGAATAATCCGTCTCTTCTTCTCTGATATGTCATCTTTTTCATATAATAAATTCCCAAATTATATACTAAATTTATTATCTGATTTTGACCTTTCCGCCTTGGTGTCATCATAAGTTATTTTAACTATGTAACTTTACAATGCATTTTTAAAAATATTTTATTATTTTTGACATCCTCTGGCTTTTCTAGCATGTTAATTTTGCCAGATAAACTTAAAAACTTTCCTAAAATTTTCCTTGCTATCTTGACCTTCTGTGTTTTGGTTTGACTCATATATGTTACTGTGTTGTGAAGGCTTAATTTTTACTTACCCAGATAGATGCCATGATATCCCACCTTTGCCTTGAGCTGAGATCACACTAATCTATTAAAAGAAAACAATTAGTAAATGGTATCAATATGTGATTCAGAACACAATAATCTTAGTCCAACCCTTAATCTTGAATCCAGAAAACAGATGTCAACATTCACAGAAAAACCTTCTCAGGAAGAGCATATATCTGACATTGGGTATCCCATTTGCTAAACAAACATTTACTGAGCATCTACCATATGCAAGGGACTGTGCTAGACCTGTGAGGACTTCAAGACAAGAGACAGAAAAAAATCTTTGTACTTAAGATGCTTACAAATATACTTCCTGAAAAGCCAATTTTTGACTTATTTAAAGTCCAGGAGAACTCTGCTGATTACTGACAGGCTACCACTACGGGGATCAATAACAACAAAAACACAGGATTTTACTCCTCCTCACCAAATCAACACAAAGTTTAGCTGCCTTCAGTTGGATTCCTTGTGCTTGATTGTGAAACTCCATGTACATTTTACAAGGCTCCAAGCCTACAGTCTGTTATAAAGACACATCTGCTCTTTGAGGAGGTGGTCCAGTCCTTGGTGGGGTGCAGAGGTGAAAGGCACAGTTCTTTGATTGGGAAGCCAGACACATTTTTCTTAAATAGATATTATTCAAACATGCTGGCATATCTCCAGGGTTGATTTAGAAATGCAAGTTGCTCCCACCCTTCCTGGGAACAAAATATTCTAAAAATTCCCTGACACCCCCAGAGAAAAGTTCAATGGGAAATTACACTATTAGTCTCTGGAAATATTTCACCTTGGTTTTTTCAGGCTCTCTGTAGCCTAGGGCAGTCAACTCTCCAGTTAGAGTCTAATACTGCATCTCTCTAAATACATGCTCTTTGACTTATGAGGGGTTACAGCCAGATAAACTATTCTGAAGTCTAAAAATCAGAAGTCAAACCATCTGTACAGTGAAAACAAGGCATTATTGGTTCTCATTTTGCCTCTTAAAGCTAAACACAATTTCTTTGGGCCTCAATTTCCTCATCTGTAAAAAGTGAAGAAGGGGGTGTTGCCAGCATTGAACGAGGTCAGTTTCACAGGGCTGGAGATTCTTCTTATCTGTGTGCACTGGTGCACGGTAGATATTTAAAAAAAAAACTTATTGATTAAATGAATGATTTAATACAAGCCGCACAATCATCCAGTGAGTTAGGTATTACATCTTCGTTTTGCATATGAAGAAGCTGGAGCCCAGAGAGGTATGGTAATGTCCCACAGTCACACAGCTAGTGAGTGGACCCCTACTGCATCTAGGCAGCTAGACTCTAAAGGTATGAACCTAACCCCCATGCTTCTGCCTTAATCTGCTGCCTGGCCCACACCTGACCAAATCTGACACTTAATATGCATTGATCCAGCAGAACTGGAAAATTATTAAGAATTATTACTAATCTATCATTTAACTTTTAAGATGTAAAGAATTACTCCACAGCGAAGGCCAAATGACTTAAACAGAATTTCAATATATCCTTTCCTGAAAGGGATTACATCATTTCCTTTTACTTCCTCCTCTACGGTTATTTCTAAACAGGTTTCTCTACACAACCACAGAGTTCTGGGAACAAGATTCTGGTTTTCTTTACATTTAAAAATTCCCTTTCTGGTCAGTCTGAAGTTTTCCGTCTTCGTGAAAACCAAAGGTGGTATCTTCATGGAGTAACGTTTTAATTAGTTACATTTTAAAAAATGATGTTGGTGAACATAGTAAATGTATCTTTCCCGGAGGGCAGGGTCTTGCTGTCAGTGCTGAACACAAATCCTTGGAAAGAATTCGGCCTGGGCTATGCAATTTCGTATCAGTAGCCAGAGGGGCCTCCAGCGACCCAGAACCTCCCAGCACCTGCATACTTTCCTATATATGGTCATCTGCAATCAAGTATCCAAATCTTCCACCTGGTGACTCAAATACCAAGGGAATGATTCATATCTAGTCAATAGGATTCTGTTGCAAAGAAAACGGTTAGTCTTTTCAGGAAAAAGCAAACTTCTTGAACTTCCAACCCTCAATATGCAAATCCACTGTTTTCTACCTTCTAAAAAAAATAAGTAAAATAAAATAAATTGCCTATGTGAGGGGGAGAAGATGCTCACAGGATGGGTGCGATTCCAAGTCCACAGAGCAGACCTCTGAGCCAGCCCCGTCTGCCATGCCGGGGACCCGAGGAACCTTCCGACTCCCAGCTTTTTTCTGTCCCCTAGACCTTTAGGACTGGGGAGGCCGAGATGGCTAAGTGGATCCCTTACGCTGCTAGCTGTAATAAGCGAAGCTTTCAGGGAGCGAGGACAGCTGAGTATCAGCTTGGGCCCCACCAAGACCTGGGTGACCCACCCATGGCACGGCACTTTCCCCCCCGTGGGCCCAGTCTCCTCGACTCTGAAATGCAGGACTGAGGTCCCTCCAGCTCCCCACCCACGCAGCTGGGTTGGGGCCGGGCGCGGGCGCCAGCCGCCAGCCCTGCCCAGGGTCGAGCTGCACTCGCGGGGGAACTGGGCGAGGCGCCGCGACCTCCCCAAGCCACCCGTCAGCAGGCGGCTGTGGGCGAGGCTCGCGGGGACGCGCCGGGAGGCTGAACTTACCCAAAGCGCGGTGGGGGAAACTGGTGTGCGAGTAAACTGCGAACAAACTGCGAGCGAAGGTGTCAGCCGCGGGCGCAGGTGCTCCGCGCTGGCTCCGGGTCCGGATCGCGACCGCACCCCTTCCTCCTGCCCCTCCTCCGGCCTCTCGACTCCACCTGATTGCGGCCCCAGGCCCCGGGAAAGGGAAGCCGCGCCCTGCTGCCGCCGGGCTCTATCCCTGTACACAGGCGCCCCAGCTCTGCTCCCTCACCGGTCTCTAAGCTTCCCCACCCTTTTCTCCCTACGCCCTCATTTCGCTCTCGGTTTCCACTACACCTTTACTTTCTCAAATGTACTGCAATGCTTATTTTGTTCTAGGCAGTGTGGATTCGGAGATTAGACTGTCCCTATACCTAAGGAACTCACTGCGTGGCATAGGTGGCGGACACCTAACATTAATAACATTGATCTGGCATTTACTTTGTACCAGGCACTGTTCTAACTTCTTTAAGAATATGCGCGGATTTATTAGGTTGGTGCAAAAGTAATTGCGGTTTTTGCCATTAAAATGGCTCCGACAACAACTCTATGAGGTAGATACTATTATCCCCATTTTATAGATGAGGAAATTGAGATACAGAGACGTTGGGTAACTTCAGCCAATTTACACAGAAGGTAAATGCCAGAGCTAGTGTTTGGAACCCAACTATTTCAGTAATTCCTCTACTAAACGTGTTGACCCTCTGGTATGAGGATTCCAACCAAAGGCTCAGGGAGACGGTAACCTGGAAGGGCATTCTAGGCATTTGGAAGAGCAAAACAAATCATCGAGGCTAAAAGGTTAAAGCCCTACTCGTATGAGGGAATTATGAGCAGTTGTGTGCTGAAGGATGTAGAAAAAGTTACCATGTATTGAGTATCAGGCATTGAAGTGCTTGAATACCTTACCTCTTTTATCTTCAAGGGAACTCTAGGAGGTGCTATTTTTATCACAATTTGCAGAAGAGAAAACTGAGGCTTAGAAAAGTGAAGTGATTTATCCGAGACCACGTAAGTAAAAAGTATTGCTTGCACTCAGTCATCACTGGGCCCCTTATGTATTCACCCGAAGGATTTGAAAACTTACCTCCACAAACACCTGCACATGGATGTTTATAGTAGCTTTACTCCTAAGTATCAAAAGTCGGAAGCAACCAAGATGTAATTCGTAGGTGAATGGATAAATAAACTGTGATACATCTATACAATAGAATTTTATTCAGCACTGAAAAGAAATTAGCTATCAAGCTATAAAAACACATGGAAGAAACTTAAATGCATATTATTAAGAGAAAGAAGCCCATTTGAAAATGCTACACACTATGATTCCAACTATATGACATTCCAGAAAAGGCAACACTACGGAGACAGTAAAAAAAATCACTGGTTTCTAGGAGTTGAGAGGAGGTAGGGTGAACAGGTGGAGCACAGAGGATTTTTAGAGGATAAGCATGGCTGGAGCTGCTTGAGTGTGAGTTGAAGAGATTACAGTCTTGGTCCTTAAGGCTGAGTCCTGGGACCTAGAAACTCATTAGAAATGCAAATTCCCTGAAACCCTGCGCCATCAAGTGATTCTGATGCATCCTAAAGTTTGAGAACCACTGGTTTAAGAGGAGCTACAACGGAGAAGGCAGAAGTGGTCATGCTTAAAAGGCCAGTGCCCTGGGAGCCCTCTCAGATCTACAAATCCGAAGTGATGGGCTTTCTGCAAGAGAGAAGATAGGATGGTGTTCTGCATTCTGTTCTGCATAGTAATTCCTGACTCCCATTCAGACTTCACCACAATAAACTGTTAAATCCCATGTTACCTCAAAAAATTCTGAGATTAGCATGAAATGGGGGAAAATATTTATTATTATTTGTGCCAGACACTGGGTAATGCACTTGACGTACGTGATCTATGTCATGCTTACCAACTAGCTGTAAATTAGGTATGATTGCCTCTATTTTGCAGATACAGACACAGGCTCAGAGGGACTCAGTAAGTTCTACGAGTTGTATTCCAGGCAACTAGGAAGTCATAGGGCTAGATTTATAGCCAGAAGAAAATGAGTAACAGGTGATGTTTTACATGTAGGCTTTATTTTAATTGTTTAAACCATTCAGGATTTAACTTCTTTGATTTCCTGATGGTAACTTTAACAAATGCACTTTTATCATTTTTTGAGTTTTTCTAGTTGTATCAACAGCCCAATTACCACCATTTATATTAGAAACATGCTATGGCATATTATAAAACTATTTTTTCCCCAAAGGATGAGTTTTCTTGGAAGGAAATATTAGAGGATGCTGTTAGAATCCAGGTTTATGGTTATCCAGAAAAAGAATTCAGAAAAGGTTATTTAATAAAAGTTTCATTATTCTGAATACACAGAACTTTACAGGTTAGTAAAAAGGGAATTTTCCTATAGCATCCTGATCAAAAGAACAATTTAACAGCCAAATACAAATTTTTAAAGCAAAGTTATTGAGATATATTTAGAACATATGGTAAAATGTGAAGGAAAGACCGACTACGTGATTGTGGCTGTTGAATACATAGCTGCTGTTACAGTGATGTGTTGGAGCTGGGTTATACCAGCATGTGAAAGCCAGTTCCTGAATTTTCAGTTATTTCACAGCCAGTATTAATGTAGACATTATTACAAGTTAAATAAATACAATTGAATAAATTACGTTAAAAGCAAAGGTAATAGGTACTCAAAATTAACCACTTCCTAATTATTTCACATTTTATTATTATTTTTTTTATTATTTATTTATTTATTTATTTATTTATTTATTTATTTTTTAATTGATCATTCTTGGGTGTTTCTCGCAGAGGGGGATTTGGCAGGGTCACAGGACAATAGTGGAGGGAAGGTCAGCAGATAAACAAGTGAACAAAGGTCTCTGGTTTTCCTAGGCAGAGGACCCTGCGGCCTTCCGCAGTGTTTGTGTCCCTGGGTACTTGAGATTAGGGAGTGGTGATGACTCTTAAGGAGCATGCTGCCTTCAAGCCTCTGTTTAACAAAGCACATCTTGCACCGCCCTTAATCCATTCAAACCTGAGTGGACACAGCACATGTTTCAGAGAGCACAGGGTTGGGGGTAAGGTCACAGATCAACAGGATCCCAAGACAGAAGAATTTTTCTTAGTACAGAACAAAATGAAAAGTCTCCCATGTCTACTTCTTTCCACACAGACACGGCAACCATCCGATTTCTCAATCCTTTCCCCACCTTTCCCCCCTTTCTATTCCACAAAACCGCCATTGTCATCATGGCCCGTTCTCAATGAGCTGTTGGGTACACCTCCCAGACAGGGTGGTGGCTGGGCAGAGGGGCTCCTCACTTCCCAGTAAGGGCAGCCGGGCAGAGGCGCCCCTCACCTCCCTGACGGGGCGGCTGGCCGGGCAGGGGGCTGACCCCCCCACCTCCCTCCCAGATGGGGCGGCTGGCCGGGCAGAGGGGCTCCTCACTTCCCAGTAGGGGCGGCCGGGCAGAGGCACCCCTCACCTCCCGGACGGGGCGGCTGGCCGGGCGGGGGGCTGACCCCCCACCTCCCTCCCAGACAAGGCGGCTGGCCGGGTGGGGGGCTAACCCCCACCTCCCTCCGGGACGGGGTGGCTGGCCTGGTGGGGGCTGACCCCCCACCTCCCTCCCGGACGGGGTGGCTGCCGGGCGGAGACGCTCCTCACTTCCCAGACGGGGTGGCTGCCGGGCAGAGGGGGTCCTCACTTCTCAGACAGGGCGGCTGCCGGGCGGAGGGGCTCCTCACTGCTCAGACGGGGCGGTTGCCAGGCAGAGGGTCTCCTCACTTCTCAGACGGGGCGGCCGGGCAAAGACGCTCCTCACATCCCAAACGGGGCGGCAGGGCAGAGGCGCTCCCCACATCTCAGACCATGGGCTGCCGGGCAGAGACGCTCCTCACTTCCTAGACGGGATGGCGGCCCGGAAGAGGCGCTCCTCACTTCCTAGATGGGATGGCGGCCGGGCAGAGACGCTCCTCACTTTCCAGACTGGGCAGCCAGGCAGAGGGGCTCCTCACATCCCAGACGATGGGCGGCCAGGCAGAGACGCTCCTCACTTCCCAGACGGGGTGGCGGCCGGGCAGAGGCTGTAATCTCGGCACTTTGGGAGGCCAAGGCAGGCGGCTGGGAGGTGGAGGTTGTAGCGAGCCGAGATCACGCCACTGCACTCCAGCCTGGGCACCATTGAGCACTGAGTGAACCAGACACCGTCTGCAATCCCCGCACCTCGGGAGGCCGAGGCTGGCGGATCACTTGCGGTTAGGAGCTGGAGACTAGCCCGGCCAACACAGCGAAACCCCGTCTCCACCAAAAAAATACGAAAACTAGTCAGGCGTGGTGGCGCGCGCCTGCAATCGCAGGCACTCGGCAGGCTGAGGCAGGAGAATCAGGCAGGGAGGTTGCAGTGAGCCGAGATGGTAGCAGTACAGTCCAGCTTCGGCTCGGCATCAGAGGGAGACCGTGGAAAGAGAGGGAGAGGGAGACCGTGGGGAGAGGGAGGGGGAGGGGGAGGGGGAGAGGACATTTTATTATTAGTGATGCTTTCCAGGTTGTGTTTATTGCATCCATGTGGTGAAAATAGGGCATAAGCCGGGCGCAGTGGCTCACGCCTGTAATCCCAGCACTTTGGGAGGCCGAGGTGGGCAGATCACGAGGTCAGGAGATCAAGACATCCTGGCTAATACGGTGAAACCCTGTTTCCACTAAAAATACGAAAAATTAGCTGGATGTGGTGGCGGGCGCCTGTAGTCCCAGCTACTCAGGAGGCTGAGGCAGGAGAATGGCATGAACCCGGGAGGCGGAGCTTGCAGTGAGCCGAAATTGCGCCACTGCACTCCAGCCTGGGCGACAGAGCGAGACTCCATCTTAAAAAAAAAAAAAAAACCAAGAAAAACAGAAAGAAAAAATAATAATAATAATTTAGCCGGGCATGGTGGCACATGTCTGTAATCCCAGCTACTCGGGAAGGCTGAGGCAGGAGAATCGCCTGAACCTGGGAGGCGGAGGTTGCAGTGTGCCCAGATGGTGCCATTGTACTCCAGCCCGGGCAACAAGAGCGAAACTCCGACTCAAAAAAAAGAAAAGAAAAATAGTGCATAAAGTGGTACTACTGTGCATCTCTTCCCAACTCCACATTCAGTGAAATTATGCTAATGGGTTGTATTCAGCCATAATGGGAGTATATACAACACAAAAACTAGGAAATACTGTAAATGGAGCTTCCCTTTACCCGAAAGGTCAGTTGTGAAGCATTTATCAGCACATCACTCTTTATAATAACAAGCAAATTTAAAATTGAGACAAGATTTGAGTTCAAGTATTTAATTTTGATTTACATTAGAGAAGTGGAACCAAATGGCACTGAATTTAAGGACTGTGTAAGAGTTTGGACAGAAAGACAGAGTACTTAAAGGGTCTGAATAAAGAGTCAAATAAAGGAGCTATTTACAAACGCATGGGCAGAGTTCGGTTAGGTATCCACAGGGATGATATAGTCTCCAAGGACTAGGGACAGGATGAAATCATGACTAGCCTTGCGTGGGCAAGGGAGGGAAGGGGTTTCATCAGAACCCGTGACACCTGTGGCCAGGGAGGGATGCAGCCACCCCAGAATCACAAGGCAGAAGGAAGCAGGGAGGAGGCTAAACACACATCATCTTCTCTCTCATCAGTGGTTCCACTTGGCCAACCTCAACCAGAAGCAAGAGGCAAGGGAGCCTTGAAGAAGCAGTTGATGAAAAGTCGGTTTCCCAGAGCACAGGGCAGGGCAGATTCAGTGTGCAGCAACAGAATCAGCCGCAGAGGGACTCTTGGGAGTTGCTAGTATCCAGCACTGGTTCATTTTTAAAGCATTCCTTAGTGGGATGTTTAAGGGAGATATCTTGATACTAGTTTTTAACAATTTATTAAAATTATTCCAGAGACTGAAATTCTAATAACTTCTATAACTTGCTGAGTAGTCTTGGAACTGAGATATCTTGATACTAGTTTTTCACAATTTATGAAAATTATCCCATAGACCGAAATTCTAATAACTTTTATAACTTGCTGAGTAATCTTGGAACTTGGCCTTAAACCAAAATGAGCCTAGGGATAAAATTCTGCTAGCTTTTTTAGAGAGGGTTGCAGCATAGGTCTATTTTGTTGTATTAATCAAGTGATGTAATTTTTCATGACAAGCATTAAATTTAGGTGATAGGAGTTGGGACCATTTTAAAGCAACATCAAGTTGTGCTTGTGAAGGCCTTCAAAGATTTGAAATTCTGAAATTCATATGAAACTTTCAAAGGAACTTATCCAGGACAACTATGTCTCACGGGGTTGTTATGAAGACTGAATGAGGTACAGAATATAAGTGAGTCATTGTTCTTGATCGGAGCATTGCCAGATATGCCCAATATATCATTTGATATAGTCCCTGTAACAGTCCTGGGGCATTAGCTACTCTCAGCACACAGGGTTCTAGTTAAGAGTTCTCTGTGGCTCATTTGGGGACAGAATCTCTATTACATATTGTGGTATCATAATATTAGGTTGAGACATACAAAACTATTGATATTGGACTATTTTTAACCTATCAAATCAATTTCATGTAGTTGAATGTAATAACATATTCCAAATATAGTCTCCTTCCACCACTCCCAGTGCATTTCTTCAAAAGCAGTCTATGAGGCATTTTAAATTCTAAATGGGAACTCATTTTCTGCCACTATTCCTCAAGATCCCTAAATTTTATGGCCATGACATTTCCAGTCTCAGAAGCATTTTTATAGACAATCCTAACAATTCTTAGATTAATTCCTGGTACAGCTTCTCTGCACTCTAGAGAAGTGAACTCCAGGGCAGAGAGTCTGCTCTAAGGCAACGGATAATCACAGGAAATTGTGAGGATTGGAAGTTTACATTAAGCTCCTGGCAGCATCTCAGCAACTTCCAGGATTGGTTGTGGCATCCCTTCCCCAGATTTTCTATAAACATGCTTTCTCAAGTCTTGCTGAGTTTGCAAACGTGCCAACAGAGCCCTGCTGGTCACTGTTATTGGCAGTTATTTGTTTTATCAGAAGGGAAAGGCACACAAATGCACAGGCTTGCAGAATGCAAAGACCAGCTGGGTACAGCTCCATTTTGACTCTGATTTTTCCTTCCATGAGCCTATAAACTCTTGTTTGGAGCTTTGGTCTTTTCCAGGGTCAGTGATGGATGCTCAAATATTTGCATGTGCACAGAAGGACATAAGCCACCCTCATACTATATCATGTCTCTTTAGAAGTTTTGATAATAAATACAAAAATCATCTTATTATATGGCACATGGAAATTTTAATTATTCCTCTTTGTCTCAGAATTTCAACTGATTGCCAAAGACCTATGATAATCTGGAAACATATAATTTATTCAGCATCTTACTCTGAACACAGTTAATGAGCGTCTCAGATTCACCCTCATTAGAAGGGTTTTCTCCAGAAGACCGCTTCAAATTTAGAATGAATTTTGGCATCTTAATGGCAATGTCTATATTCATAAGAGATATAATCTAAAAAGAACATAGGAAAACAAACAAAAAACCAACAAGACTGTCATTTATTAATACAAATTTATATAGTGGCATATACTATTGGAGAAATCAGAAATTCATAACACACAAATTCATATTGGAAATACAAAAATCATTTGAGAGTCAAGAAATCAGGTTGACAGCACCACAAATGTTTACTCAGTCTGAGCAGGTGTGTAGTATCCAAGAATAACAAATACCTATAGCAGACTGAGACTGAATATCATAAGACTGTGCAAACACATTCCAACACTATTTCCCACCCAACAATAGAATCTGCAGGAGTCCTCTAGGAGGCCTGGGGTACAATAAAAGGGCAGCAAAGCAGAATGGTACAGACCATTCTTTCTTTTAACCTTCACAGCCAGCATATAAAAGCAAGTAGTAACCACTGAGAGTTGTTTGTTCCTTCTCACTTGAAGGCAAGATATAAAAGGTTAGTAAAACACACACAAGGCATTAGTGAGCAAATCAGAGAAATTGAAAGCAGAGCTTTGACTGAAATATAATCCACATTAGTCATCAAATTACTTGATTCCTATAATGAAGTATGAAACAAACCAAATGAATAATTCTACATCAAAGGGGTATATCTCATCTCCACATCTCTTAACACTATTTAACAAGTGTGCATCCACTAGAGAAGTACTGGCATTCAATAACATACATTTAGTGGGGTGAAAGGCAGAAAGAAAGGGAGGCAGAAATACTGCAAGGGCTTTCCTTTCACACACAGTTTCCTATCTCACTCTTGCCCTTGTCATTTCAGACCTTGTACGTGGCGGTTGCTGGGAGCACTCTGGGGCTCAGTCTTTAGTCCTTCCCACTCTAGCTTCATTCTGCCACCTCTGTACTCTTCCCATGCAATGTCCTATTCAGCAGTAATGGAAGGGGTGTGCAAGAAGAATATGTGGGCAAATGGAAAGGTGCTGCTTTAACGTGTAAGCATTCTGGCACTTGGAGCAGTTACACAGTTACAAATAATGGGCCAAATGGAAGTTCGCTCTACAAATTAGCATTCACTCTCTAGGTTGTTCTGGAGATTCTGTGCCTGGCTGATCAGCTCTCCAGCCATGAGATACCAATTCTGGGTGTCCATGAGGCTGATACAGGAGTTCTGCCCTGAATTGCCCAAGCTGGTCTTAAGTAGCACCTGACCAGTCAGGAGTTTCAGACTCTGGGCTCACCCCAACTCATTCTCTCCTGAAAACCTGACACTCATCTCAGAATGCTAAATTAGATTTTGCTCTAAATCTCCTGTTCTGGATGCCAATTCATAGTCTCATCTCCTGCTGATGATACATTTTTATGAATTTTCTGCTCATGCTTCCTTAGGACCACCGCCAGAGTCATGCCTTTGTAAAGCGGTGTTTCTTTCCTCCAAGAAAAGGTTATCTCATAATCCAAGTAGAGAAGATAATTGTTTTCCTCTCTCCTCCCTTGTGATATTGCCACCATACTCTCTCACTTCCCCTTCCTAAATTTACTCCCCATCATTCACCCATGACACCATTCATTCATTCAACAAACATTTCTGGAGTGCTTGTTACATGCAAGGCACTGTTGAAGAATGAAAGGCGTGGCTCACAAAGGTCCTACTTTCAAGGAGCTTGGAGTCTCACAGAGCTGCCTAGAACCTTTCACAGTTCATCCTTTCTAGCTTTTAGTAGCGAAATGTTACTAGTTTGGAATGTTCTCAAAGAGCTTGAGTCATTCTCATACAAATATTACACAATGTGAAGGCTCTGTTATTTGCTTGGTGACTATGGTGTGCCATGCATCAGAAGAGGACATGTCTTTTACTCTCGAATAATGAAATTGTGCCTCCAATTCAAAACAACATGGCATGCACGCTTATGTTTCCGCCAATAAGGCAGAAACAGAAGAGAAACAAAAGCAAGCTGTGTGTAGCCTACACAAAATAGTTAAGCTGATACTTGAACACTAAATTATTTTAGAGCCATGTGTTCATGGCCTTGTCATGTGCTGATATGGTAAAAATAATTGCCTGAGCTACCAGAAAAGAACCCCTCAAAGAGAAATCCCTGAAATACTGCACCAGGAATAGTGCCTCTGTCTGCTGTGTCACACACAGCAAGGAGAACCAGCATGTATCTGTTAAGTCTGATTTCACCCCAACCTGGGCTTTCTCCTAATTTGCCTTATTCAAATGAATCACTTACTTTCCCGAAGCACTAACAGAATAAAAAACCATACCTAGGACATGGGATTGTCTGTTACAGGAACGGGCAAAGACCGGAGTAGGAGGAAAGTGTGGTGGGTTTTCTTTAAAGCATTTATGGCAATGTTGAATTAAAAGGCCGTAGTACATTGATCCTGTTTCGCAGCATCCTTGGTCAGGGATGGATGTCTCAGTGCCACATAAACTAGTTGGGAACAGACACCTCCCTGGGGTGAAGGGCATCACTAATGTGCTCTGATACGCCTGCCAGGCCCCTCCTTAACTCGGGTTTCAGTCTCCCCCTTTGTAGGAGGGAGTTCTCTGTGGCTGAGGAGGCAGAGGCTCCCGTGGTTTTCAGAGGATTTTACTTAAGCACACTGAAATCCCCAGGTAAAAAGGGCTCTGGAAAAGCAAAGTACAATTAGAGGCCAAGGAGCATACGCTGTCAAGTGAAATCATGAGCAAATATATGTGTTGTGTCGATTAGCAGAATTTTTAATGGAATCTGGGTGTCAGCAGTTCATACTCTGCTGTCTGGGGACTCAGGAAAAGCCCTGTAGGAGAAAGCTGGGGCTGGGGGAGGGAACCAAAGGCCCGTACCTACTTCTTCTCTCTGAGATCTGCCATGGTACTCTACCCAGTCCTCTCATCTCCATCTGCTAACCTAATTGTTCAACTCCTGTCCTGATACTAAAGTACTTGTTTTCTAAGACCAGCCTTACAGAAGGAGCTGTGTACAGTTGTTGACACTATTAAAGGGATCTACGGAAATAACTGTAATACTCTGGGGTTCTCAGTGGTTCTTTGCTGAATGAGGTAGCTCAGTTGTGAGTTGATGCATGTGATGTGTGCTGTCTGCCACTCAAAGCTATAGTTTTCCCTTTTTTATCTGCGAGATTATAAAAATACCAGTATTTCCCCCCATTTTATAAAAATGATTTTAGAAAAAAATACACATAGGTCTCCTCCATTAAACTTCTGTTCCATCTTGTAAATTGTTGTGAACTCTGACTTCTAGATTCAGTCTTTTGACTTTAGCACCTTTGAACGTGTAAGCCGCCTCAGGCTCACTCAGGATGTTGACGTTCCGCACAGTGCAGTAGTGTCTATTCACGTTCTTCTCCACCCGGTCCGGGTGCCTCTTGGGCACTTCTACCTTGGTATTCAGAGGATATTCTTCCAAAATGTCCTCTGCGGGCTTCTTCTTCCTCTGTTTCTGGCATTTCCTGTTGATAAAACAAGCCACCAAAAACACCAGAAGTAGAAGCATGATTGCAGCCAGGGCACTGCCAATGGACGCCCCAGTCTGTGACAGGGACGCAGCTACCGCCAACTCTTGCATCTCCAGATTCAGGGACTTCATATTGGTGCCATTCTTGACTTGGTCTCCTTCATTGTCATAGATGAGGGAATCATCAAGGATCAGCTGGCCATCGGGCTCTACCAGGTCCCTTCGGTTGCGTCTGAGTGGAGCTGTGAGAGAGCGCTGGACCCGGGGCCCTGAGATGGTGTCAGGGCCAATGATGTAGATGACCTGGAGATACCACTGGTGTCCTGCTTCCACCTGCAGGGGGACAAACCGAACATGTTGTTGTTGCCCACAGACCACCTCTGAAGAAAGGAAATGGAAGGATAATTGCCACTATATGCCTTGATAGATAACTGATTTCCAGAAAAGCATTAGCAATGGTTGGTGTCTACTAATACATAGAGAACTGAACCAGATATGGGTTCTATTTTATTTCCAAATTAAGATGATCTTGAGTCAGCTATTCGGATTCTTTTTTGTTTCCCTATGTGTACATGGAATAGCCTAAGAAATTATCTTTCATGGTCTCTTTAGCTAAGTGAATGCTTATATTTGTCTGTCTTTATTGATAGCAGTGAAATAATAGCATTAAAAACCACATTTATTTACAGTGACCTTCAATTATGTGTTATGCCAATTTACTATTTATTGGTGAACTTCAGCGAAAATGGAGTCATTCAACAAAATATTCACTAAACATATACTCTGTGCATAATACACAGATACGTGACAAACATTTTCTAAACACCTTCTCAATCAGGCTATATCATCAAGTATTTTATCTCCCCCTCATCTTCCTCCATTAAAATGCTTCATGGTTTCGAAATAACTTCTGAAGCATGATAATAGTTCTGAAGGGTCATAGATTAATATTTAGAGACAAAAAAAGTGAAATTTCATCTTGAAAGTTCATGTTCATTGCTAAGACTTAAGGTATTTGTGTTTATCAAATAGTAATTCTTGCTATTCTAAATTGCTGTATTGTATTATGATTTTTTAAATGTTTTTCATATGTCCGTGAAAATCAGCTGGGCTAGCATAGAACCAAAAAGGGATGCAATATAAAAGAACTTAGGAAAAACTGGAGTGTCATATGCAGCCATGATGTGCACAATGACAAGTGACTATATGCAAAGTCAATAATTGTATAATTGTTTTGGTCTACTGGGGATACATGTGAAAATTTTGGGTGGGTGATAAGCTTAACAATAAGAAAAGATCTGCCAGCAAGAATGGCAGAATGTTGAAGAATCCAGAGATGTTGCAGTCCTCCTTCTTTTTTTTTTTTTTTTCAAGCTTTAAAGTAGACTTGGTCTTAAGCTTCTGTTCTTCTCACCAAACTCACCTTATAGAGTGCATCTACTTTTAGAGTAAATCCATCCACACCTGGCATGTTACTGACCACATGGAAATCAGGCAACTCAGAGGCAAAGTGAGCCTCAAAAGGCACATCATGGAAGTACTTATCAGTTACCTCTGGCTGATTGCGGTCCTAGGATTTCAGAAAAAAGAAATGCAAGATTTAGAAAGATGGTTCCACTATATTGGTAGGTGGCAGTGACTGGGAGGAGAAAAGTACTCATCACTCCTGGCTTTAGGTTGAGTTGAGAGAGTATGTGCTGTGAAGCCCTCTCCATAAGTCAGTGGCTGCCTGATATGGTTTGGCTGTGTCCCCACCAAATCTTATCTTGAATTACAGTTCCCATAATCCCCATGTGTCATGGGAGGGACCCAATAGGAAGTAATTGAATCACGGTGACAGTTACCTCTATGATGTTCTTGTGATAGTGAGTGGGTTCTCATGAGATCTGATTTTTTTTTTTTTTTTTTTTAGATGGAGTCTTGCTCTGTCGCCCAGGCTGGAGTGCAGTGGCGCGATCTCAGCTCACTGCTGGCTCCACCTCCTGGGTTCATGCCATTCTCCTGCCTCAGCCTCCGGAGTAGCTGGGACTACAGGAGCCTGCCACCACACCAGGCTAATTTTTTTGTATTTTTAGTAAAGACAGAGTTTCACTGTGTTAGCTAGGATGGTCTCAATCTCCTGACCTCGTGATCCGCCCACCTCGGCCTCCCAAAGTGCTGGGATTACAGGCTTGAGCCACCGCGCCCGGACCTCTGATGGTTTTTTAAGAGGCTTTTTCCCCTCTGCTCGGCACTTCTTGCTGCCCCTATGTGAAGAAGGATGTATTTGCTTCCCCTTCTGCTATGATTGTAAGAGGCCTCCCCAGCCATGCTGAACTGTAAGTCAATGAAACCTCTTTCCTTTATAAATTACCCAGTTACAGGCATGTCATTAGCAACATGAGAACAGACTAATACACTAACTCTGGGAACCCACTGTCCTTTTCAAAAGGACATGTGGTGGCTTTTGTGATCTCAAAATGCAAAAAGTGGGATATTCTAGCCCAATACTTCTCAAGTTATTTGGTCTCAGGACCCTTTACACACTTACAAATCAAGGACCCCAGAGAGTTTTTGTTTATGTGACTTATATCTATCGACATTTACTCGGTTAAAAATTAAACCTGAAAAAATTTTAAGTGTTTACTTATTAATTCATTTTAAACTGACAATAAGAAACTCATTACATGTTAACTTAAGTAAGATATTTTTTAGTGAAAATACCTAAATTCATTCCCTTCCTCAATAAAGAGAGCTGGCAATGTTTTACATTTTTGTAATCTCAGGGAAAAAACTGGATTCTCATAACTGCTTCTGAATTCCATCAGTTGTGATATGCTGTTTTGTCTAAAGTGTATGAAGAAAATCTGGCCTCATAAAGCTATGTAGTTAATAGCTTTTTCAAACAATTATGGCTTTTTTTTTTCTTTTTTTTTTTTGAGATAGGGTCTTGCTCTGTTGCCCAGGCTGGAGTGCAGTGGTGCAATCTTGGCTCACTGCATCCTTGACCTCCCAGTCTCAAGTGATTTTCTCACCTCAGCCTCCCAAGTAGCTGTGACTACAAGTGCATGCCACCAAGCCCAGCTAATTTTCAAATATTTTTTTGTAGATATGGGGTCTCCTTATGTTTCTCAGGCTTGTCTCAAACTCCTAAGCTTAAGTGATTCTCCCACCTCAGTGTCCCAAAATGTTGGGATTACAGGCATGAGCCACCACGCCCTGCCTCTTTTTTGATACTAAATCAAAACTTGGTGAGTGGTTATTTTTTAAAGATTCATTACAATGTGGAATCTGAAATTTTATTGATAAACTTTTTAAACTCTCTAAACTCATGAGGGAATAAGTATGAAAAAAAGAGTCATCATCATATTATTTTGAAAGTAATTTTGACTCTGTAGACTCCCTGAAAGAGTATGGGGACACTCCAGGTCTCTGAACCATACTCTGAGAAACATTGGCCGAGAGTTTCCTTTTCTGAGGACATCAATGGAAGTTTGTCTTGTTACTCATCGTAACTACCACCTATGTACTAGTATTTAGCTGATCTGAAAGAAACAACAACACAAACATATATAGAGAAGAAAATATCAAGAGTGAGCTCTATCTACTTTAGGCAGAAGTCATAGCTGAGGAAATCTGCTCAAGTGTCTGCTCTTTAACACTAATAGTGAGAACTTAGCATACCAACAGCAGGAATCTGTGTTTTAGGTGTTTGTTTGGCTGAATGCATCCATACTGGGGCCCTTCATTGTAGATTGTCCCCGTGGGATCAAAGAAAGGCACATAACCATCCTTGCCCGTACAAAGATAGACTTTCTCCAGCTGGAGTTTGTAAGCAGAATTAAGATTTTGTTCTGGATTCCAAAGTACTCGGCCATAAAGGATTTGACCTGAAAAGATTGAAAGGTATTAATTAGGTCAGACTTTAAGATGAAAGAAAAACAAATGTCAAGGGTTGAAAGGGGTTAAACATGCTCCCTTAAGAGTGAAAAGCACTTTTCTATGAAGAGCTCCATGATTCCATGTGCCCCTAAAATACTCATTCATTTATTGCTTCGTTTTTATTCTTATTTTCTTTTTTTCTCTGAGTTTTCTTGCTAGGGAACATTTATGCCTTCTTTTTTTCAATAAGCATTAATTAAGCATTTAAGGGAAGCAAAGTATTCTGTTATGCACAGGGGATACCAAGGTGTGTGAGATGCAGTTGAGAGGATGGAAACAAACTCACAGTGATTGACTAAAATAGGCTCATATTTATCAAACTCATACTATTTTCCAGGTACTGTACCAAGTCCTCTCATGTAATAACTCATGGAGTGCTCACAATTTTGCAGATGAGAAACCTGAGGCACTGAGTGGGGCTAAGTGATTTGCTGAAGGTCACAAAGCAAGCAAACGGTGAGGGTGGGATTCCAAGTCAAGGTACTATGCTCTCAAACCAAACCACCACAATACTTTATTAATCACCCAAATGCTATACTGTTACATTCCACAATAGAGGAAGGTATGTCATGTTAAGAGAGCATGAAACCAGGTACAGAAATCTGCCTAGGGAATGGTATGGAAGGTTTCAAGAGACATGATATTTGAGCAGTATCCTGAAACACAAGTAGGCATTTGTCAGACAGTGCATTTGGGGTGGGAGTGAGAGGCAGGAGAGAACACTCTAGGCAAAAAAAAAAAAAAAAAAAAATCCATGTACAAAATACTGAATGCTTCAAGGATGTAAGCCCTGGTGTAGGCCGTTTCCTATGTGTCGGCTATGGCACCAAGCTCTTTACATGCAACTAACTTACTTAATCCTCCCAAGAGCCCAAAAGATAGCTTCAATTATTATTCCCATTTTTAAGTAACTTATCCAAGGTTCCACAGCAATGATGCAGTGGGAGGAGGATTTTGGAATTAGCACAAATCTGGCTAATTCCAAATGCTCATCCCAAACATTTACTATGTGGTGCTAAGTAAGTCAGTGTGACAAGAGTGGAGGGTGTGTAGAAGCTCTGGCAGGAGAGGCTCCTGGGGACATAGACAAACCGTGCTGAGGAGGCTGGACTTGAATATATAAGTAATAAGAAACACTGGAGGGTTTTAAGCGGAAAGGTAGTAACACACTTGGGCCTTAGAAACATGGCAAATGGGTCAAGGACAAAGAGACTTAAGTCACAGAGACCTGGTAGGGGCTATTTTAATCCTCTAGTGAGAGATAGGCACCTAAAATATAGCTGTGAGGCAAGAGGATGAACTCAAGAAATGTCTAGGAGTCAGACTCCACTCATCTTAATGATAGATGGGACGTAGGATGTAGGAAGGGGAAGTTGAGGATAACCCTGAGATTTTTGGTTGGGGCACATAGAGGATGGTGACGCAGTCAGCAGGGTAGCAGATGTGGGAGGAGCATGCTTGGAAGGAGACAAGTCCAGACTTGGGCATCTCTAGGTGTCTGAAAGACATGCTGCTTGGAGAGCTTCAGTAGTTTCATATCTGCATGTGGAAACATAGAAATGAGGCTCGGAGAGATCCAGGATGAGGTCAAATCCTATGGAATGGCCGCAGAACAGTAGGAGTGTAAGAAGTTCAGAGTAAAGGGATGGCCCAAGCCATGGGGATGACCAGAGGCAGCACTCAGAGTAGGAATAGACTGAGCCAAGCATGGAATCTGGGGACACTAACACGGAAGGGGCAGAGGATGGAGGCCAGGGACAGGAGAGTGAGAAGGAGTCATCTGAGAGGCAAGATGGTGTCGGGTGAGGCTGATGCAAAGGAAACCCAACAGGAAAAAAGTGCCAGAATACATCAATTTGGTGTCATCGACAAGAGAAAGATAGGATAGAATCCAGCCTGTGGTAAACGGATAGAGAAGTGACCGTGAAGTGAGCCATTTTCAGCAGAGAAAGCATGATGGAGAACACACATGTTTGGCATCGTTTTGAGACTGGGAGGCAATGGGATTTGAGGAAATAACTGACCCAGAGTTAGACAATGTGCTAGAATCTGGTCGGAAATGCCAGTATTCTTACTACTCAGACCAGTGCTTTCCCATGGCATCACACTGCCAATCATTATAGTGCCAAGTGTGTGATTTGATTTCGAAACAGCATGAAATGGGCCTGTACCTAGATTCAGTCCTGGCTGTCCTGGAACCAACCCTGGGGGATCTTTACTGGGGTGGTGACTGAGAGCATATGAGCAGAGATGCCAGTCCGGTGACTTAGCAAAAGCTTCTCATATCCAGGCAGAGCCTCTTTCTGCAGGTGGAGGAAGCAACTCACCTTTTGAAAAGGCTCCTTTGTAATCCATTTCTGCTAGTGACATATCAGATGTATTGGGATCCATTAGGAACACCTTCTCATTATTGCAGAGCTGAAATTCAGTGTTAAGTGAATACACAACTGGCACAGGGCGGTTGGTCTGCTGGAATGCAATGGGTATCAGGAATCTAAATGCAAGGAGAAACAAAGAGCTCTTTGAGAGCAGGGTCAGCTTTGCATATGTCATTTGAGTCACCCTCCCTTCCCCACCCTCCACAGGATTGTACACAGAGCTTTGTTGTGGGCACTAAATATTCACTGAATAAAGGGATGTGTAAGGTAAAAGGACTTTATTTGGTAGTTATTTCTTTTGAACAGAAATAATTAGTCTTAAAAAATAATTAATTACTCTTTAGGCTCTTTGGTATTCTTTGCTTTTTTTGGCCCTTTCACTCTGGGGGCTCCCAAAATTGCCCTTTGACTTCTAAAGTGCTCCCCGCTTTGGAGTCCAGCTAGATTTCTTCCCAGAGCTGCATGCTCTGAGGCTTTGACTCTTTCAACCTGATCAAAACTTTATTTATCGCATGTCCCACTTTCAGGACTTGCTAGGCGATACTCTCTTGCCTTGCTCTGTGTGCCTACCTCCCCAGCCTTCTTCCTGAGCCCCTTCCTTCCGTGTCTCCTTCTGGCAGATAAGCGCTCCCAAGGCTCAGTTCTGGGACCCTTATTGTTCTCCCTCAATAACTTCACCCAAGATGATCTCAGCCTTGTCACTGAGTGCATTTGCTATCTCAAAGGTAGTAATGCCAAATTTAACTATCTAATCCAGATTTCTCCTCTAAGCTCCGAAACACATATCTGGCTGTCAAATGGTAGCTCTACATGGCTGTCAGATAACCCAAACTCAGTATGCTCTTCCCTTGCAAACTTGCTCTTCCTTCTAGTGTTATTATCTCAGTGAAAGGCAAAAAAAGAGGTGCCAGCACCTTAAGTGTTCTCCCTGGAGTCACTATTAGTTCTGTCTAGGCTATTCTACATCTATCATGCAACGCATGAGCCAGTGTCATTTTCAAAAACTCAAATTTGCTTAATATCCTTCAGTGGTTTCCCATATCCCTTAGAAGGAAGAGCAATATTTTTGCCATGACCGGTAAAGCTCTGGCCTCTGCCTATTTCTACAGCCTCATCTCCAGCTACTCTTCCCCTTCCCTCCATTTCTGGGATCTAGCCAGACTGGCCTTCTTTCAGTCTCTGGACCAGCTCTCTACTCCATGATCTCTAGTGCCCCAGGGCTCATTTATTCAGCAAATATTCACTGAGCATATATTATACAGTAGACATCATTCTAGTAATAGGAATTCATCTGTGGACGAAACAG
Organism: Homo sapiens; assembly: GCF_000001405.40. Lineage (NCBI taxonomy): Eukaryota > Metazoa > Chordata > Mammalia > Primates > Hominidae > Homo > Homo sapiens. The sequence goes on along the minus strand of NC_000004.12, from coordinate 78,533,258 downwards.
AAAAACATGATCTCAGGGAAGTTACGTTCTAAGGAAATAGTAAGCAAAATAAATAAAAAATAATATAGCATGCTAAAAGGTAACAGGTGATAAGGAGAACAATTAGGCAGAGAAAGGGTAATGCTAGAAGGAGGTTCAACTGGAAATTCTAAATAATATGGTCATGGGTGTAAATTGGTGCAGCCATTATGTAAAACAGTATGGATCATCCTCAAAAAATTAAAAATAGAACTATTACATGACCCAGCAATCCCTATTCCTGGTATATACCCAAACAAGGGGAAATCACCATCTTGTAGAGACATCTCCACTCCTAGGTTCATTGTAACATTATTCACAATAGTTAAGATTTGTAAACAACCAGTGTCCATCAATGGATTAATCAATAAAGAAAATGTGGTGTATATATACACACAATTAAATAGTCAGTCTTAAAAAAATAAGGAGATCCTGCCATTCGTGACCACATGGATGAACCTGAAAGACATTATACTATGTGAAATTAGCCAGACACAGAAAAATACTGCACAATTTCACTTATATATGGAATCATAAAAAGCTGATTCGGGTGGGAACAAAAAACTCCAAAAGCTGGATACACAGAAACAAAGAGAACAGTGGTTACCAGGAGCGACGAGGAGGGGGATATGGGGAAATATAAGTCAAAAGGTGCAAAGTTGCAATAATATTATGTACTGGACATTTCCTAAGAGAGTAGATTTCAGGTACTCTTATCATACACACACACGTGTGAATGCAGGTAACTAAGTGAGGAGATGGGTATGTTAATTTGTTTGACTTTAGTAATCATTTCACTATGTGTATCAAACCATAATGTTTTACACCTTAAATATATACCATAAAGAGAGAGAAAGGAAGAAACTCAGTCATGGAAGGCCTCAGTGAGAGGAAAACATGCAAAGGCTTGAAGCAGGCAATGGAGTAAGACATGCGGCTATGTGGAGAGGAAGCCCTCCAGGAAGAGGAAATGGCAAAGGCAAAAAGGTCTGGGGTAAGAGTGTGTGCAATACATTAGAGGAATGACCAGTCAGCCAGGGTGGCTGGAGAACAGTGAGGGAGATAAGATCACAGAGGTAACTTGGGACCAGATCCCATTTAGCCTTACCTGTACTGTCAGGACTTTAGGGTTTATTTAAACTGTGGAGTGTTTTGAAAAAGTGAGGGGTTTGCTGTGTTAAGAAGAAACTACAGGGTGGCTGCAGGGGACTTTGTTAACAGGCTATTTCAATAATTTAGACAAGTGATGATAATGGTTCTGACCAGGGCTTTTGCCAGGTGGGCAGTGAAAATAATTGGATTTTTAATATATTTTAAAGGAGAGGCCTAAAATCCTTGATGACAGTGCCAGAATAAGAGAAATCTCAATGATATTGTTAAGATTTGGGTGTAAGCACCTAGAACAGAGAGATTGACAAAGCTTTTCTGTGAACAGCCAGATAGTAAATATTTTAAACTTTGTGGGCCATATGGGGTACATGCACAGATACATGCTGGTAGGTCTAATGCACAGATGTAGGTATGATGATAGAAGCTTGCATAAGTTCTCTTCTGATTTCTTCTGTTTCCTCACTCCAACAGGACAGAAAGGTCACCAGGTGAAGGTGACAACAGGGGAGAAGCAGCAAGTTTGTGGGAAGGAATAAAATAGGCGAGAGGAAGAAAAGGCCTACGATAAAATACAACAGCCCTTTATGCTAAAAACTCTCCATAAACTAGGTATTGATGGGACATATCTCAAAATAATAAGAGCTATTTATGACAAACCCATAGCCAATATGATACTGAATGGGCAAAAGCTGGAAGCATTCCCTTTGAAAACCTGCACAAGACAAGGATGCCCTCTCTCACCACTCCTATTCAACGTAGTATTGGAAGTTCTGGCCAGGGCAAGCAGGCAAGGGAAAGAAATAAAGGGTACTCAAATAGGAAGAGAGGAAGTCAAATTGCCTCTGTTTGCAGATGACATGATTGTATATTTAGAAAACCCCATTGTCTCAGCACCAAATCTCCTTAAGCTGATAAGCAACTTCAGCAAAGTCTCAGGATAAATAATCAATGTGCAAAAATCACAAGCATTCCTATACAACAGTAACAGACAAACAGAGAGCCAAATCATGAGTGAACTCCCATTCACAATTTCTACTAAGAGAATAAAATACCTAGGAATCCAACTTACAAGGGATGTGAAGGACCTCTTTAAGGAGAACTACAAACCACTGCTCAAGGAAATAAGAAAGGACACAAACAAATGAAAAACATTCCATGCTCACGGATAGGAAGAATCAATATTGTGAAAATGGCCATACTGCCCAAAGTAATTTAGATATTCAATGCTATTCCCATCAAGCTACAAACGGACTTTCTTCACAGAATTAGAAAAAACTACTTTAAATTTCATGTGTAACCATAAAAGAACCCGTATACCCAAGACAATCCTAAGCAAAAAGAACAAAGCTGAAGGCATCATGCTACCTGACTTCAAACTATACTACAAGGCTACAGTAACCAAAACAGCATGGTACTTGTACCAAAAGAGATATATAGACCAATGGAACAGAACAGAGGCCTCAGTAATCACGCCACACATCTACAACCATCTGATCTTTGAAAAACCTGATAAAAACAAGCAATGGAGTCCAGTTTCAGTTTTCTGCATTTGGCTAGCCACTTTTCCCAATGCTATTTATTAAATAAAGAATCCTTTCCCCATTGCTTGTATTAAGTCCAAATTCCCTGTATCAGTCTTGATTTTGTATGTGTGTTGTAGTTCTATCGCATCCACATGGAGCTATATAGGGGATCCAAGGTTAAGCCTGGGGGAGTCACCCTGGGAATAATGGGGCATCTGCAAGTAATAATCTCCCTGATGTAAAGCAAGGACCCCCAACTCTGAAGCCTCAGTATCCTCAGCAACATTCTTCCTCTGCCACTTCCCACATTTATGCCACACAGGGCCTGAGGACAGTGTTGGTGTCCTCCTTGATCCTTTTAGCCAGTTTCAAACCGTCGTTCCTCTCTCCCCTTAAAAAATCCAGAACCTACCCTGGAGAAACTCTACTTACACATGTGCACCGAGATATATATAAGAATTTTCTTTGTAATAGAGAGAAAGCCAAAGGGAGTGGTCAAATACATTGTGGAATTTTCCTACAATGAATTCCTTAATGCAGTGAGCAACAAACTACAGCTACATGAATCAACACAAATGAATCAACAAATGATTCACTGAGTTAAAAAAAAGAGTAGCAGAGATAATTCATGCAGTATGAAACTTATATACAGTGGTTCCCCCCTCATTCATGGGTTTGCTTTTCTCTGTTTCAGTTACCTAAGACCTACCATAGTCCAAAAATATTAAACAAAAAATTCCAGAAATAAACAATTCATAAGTTTTAAATCATATACCATTTTTACTAGCATGATGAAATCTTGTGCCTTTCTGCTCCATCCTGCCTGGAACAGGAATCGTCCCTTTGTTCAGCATCTCCACATTGTATATGCTACCCATTTGTTAGTCACTTAGTAGCTGTCTTGGTTGGCAGATTGAAAAAACATTGTACATATAGGGTTTGGTATTATGTGTGGTTTCAGGCACCCACTGGGGCTCTTGGAACATTTACTCCAAGGATAAGGGGGGACTACTGTCTAGAGTTCAAAAACTTGCAAAACCATGTAGAAGTATACATGAGGTATAACCATAAACCAAAACAATGAATAATAAATACAAATATCAGGTTAGTGGTGACCCTAGTGGGGAAGAGAGAGGGAGTATGATTGGAGAGGGGCACTGAGGGTATTGAAGGAGTACTGGTAATGTTCTGTTTCTTGAGTTTCTTAAGGTGGGTGGTAGATCTGCTATATGATATATATATAGTCTTCAGAATATCTGAAATATTACATAATTTTTAAACATTTAAATGAATTAAAATTCCCCAGCATATCCCATCAGATTATTTTCCCATTGTTCTTCCTTACTGCAGCCAACTACCATTTTCCTGGTCACCTTCCTTCCTTCATTCGGCTAACTATGGTGCTTCCTGGCATTGTTCCTGCCATGAATCTTTGTGACTTAAACATCCATTCAGATGAACTATCAACTACCCCAGACTCCCAGTTCCTTGACTCCCTCACCTCCAAACAGCTTGTTCACCACCCTGCTACAGCTACCTACTCTTCATAGGCCCATTATGCACCATCACCAAAAATCTCATTTCCAGCACCTCGCTCTCTACCACCTCATGTCTTTCCAGCTCCTCTCTTCTTTTCCTCCCACTTCTTAATTACTCAGCCACACCAGGACCTCCCAACCACATTAGCAGAATGCACGGGAAAGGGAGCGCGTGCACTCTCATGGTGGGAATGGACATACATAGTTACATATTTACAAACATGCTGGAAGACAGTTTGGCAGTTTCTTAAAAAGTTAAACATACATCTGTCATATGATCCAGTCACTCCATTTTTAGGTATTTACATAAGAAAACAGAAAACACATGTTTATATAAAGCTCGTACATGTAGGTTCATAGAAGCTTTATTTATCATAGCCCCAAACTGGAAACAACTGAAATGTTCATCAGTTGATCACTGATAAACAAACTGTAGTAAATCCATACCATGAAGTCCAACCCAGAAATAACAGGAACAAATACTGATACACCCAACACAGATGAATCAAAATCATCATGCGGAGTGCGATGAGCCAGAGAGAGAGAATTCACATTGTATGATGTCATTTATAAAACACTCTAAAAAAAGAAAACTTATCCATAGTGGCAGAAAACAGATCTGTGGTTATCTGCAGAAAGGGAATGGATGATGTGAAGGAGGAACTACAAAGGCACACGAGGAATCTTTTTGGAAATGGATATGTTCCCTATCTTGTCTCTATCTTGACTGTGGTGATGTTTCACAAGTGTATACATAGGTAAAAATTTATCGAATTGTACAGTTTAAATATGTACAATTTTATGTCAATAATATGACAATTTAAAAGCAGTTCCACACCGCCTGATCTGCTGCTAGCTGTAACCCTCTAGTATATTTACTCTTTTCCACTGTCTGAGATGGCCCTGTTTCTTTCCTCCTCTCTTCTCAAACCTCGACATTCTTCACTTTCAGCAAATGTAGGGCTTTTCATTTCACAGCGAGAATAGCTTCAATCAGATATCCACTTTGTCATCCTTATCCTCCTAGTGTCCCAATTCTCCTTTCACCTGCTTCCATTGATTCACTGCCTGCCTCTTCAGTGGATGAACTCTCTGTGCTTCCAGCTATGGCCAGCCCTTCCCTCATGCCCTGGATCTACTCCCTTGCCCCGCTCAAATATCTGGCTCTGCAAGCTTTCCCTCTATCCCCTGCATCATCAACTTTCCCCTCGATTGGATTATTCCCACCAGCATACAAGCATCCTGAAATAAAGCAAATAAAACCTGCTGTTTATTTGACTCCTCATCTGTTTCCAGTTATTGCCCCTTTGCTCTGGCATCCTCTATAGCAACTCCTCAAGCACTGTTTATCCCTGCTGTCTCTACTTTCTCGCCTCTCTCTCAAGCTCACCCCAATCAGGCTTGTATCCCCTTTAGTCCACCAAACCTGCTCTTGGCAGAGTTCACCAATGACCTCAGTATTGACGAATCCAATAGCCAATTCTCAGTCTTTTATTTAAAAGCCACATTTCAAATAGTCTTCTCTTAATGTTAATGTCAGATTCTGTCTTGGGCATTTTATCTCAGCAATGTTTTCTATATACTTTGCTCAGCTCCTAGAAAGGTGACCCTAGACTATAAACTGCCTGAGAGCACGGATTACTTTTAATCCTCTGCTCTAGTGTAGTGCTATCACCTCAATGCCTTGACCTGAGCAAAACACATGAGAAGAGCTGAATAAATATGAATGAATGAATGAATGAATGAATGAATATACAGCACAATACAGTCTCAGGTCTGAGGTGAATATGGGCTCATGTATGGTTGAGTCTCATTATTCACAATTGTTATGCTCTATAAAGTCTCCACAAATAATGAATTAGTGGATATTGAGCCACAGCTACTAGAAGAAATACAGGGTTAGATTCCTATGAGCCTCTGTTCACAACATTTATATCAACCAATTAACATATAACCTTGTTTTATGTCTGTTTCTGTGTAAAGACCCCTTATTTAATACATATTGTTGATTCATTTCTATTGAACTCATGGTTATCATAAGGCACATTACAGCCTTCTGATGCTTAGAAATACTAGAAAACACTTTGGCATTATACTTGGGAGCCATTCTAAATGGAGAAATCATCAACAAAAGGCACAAAAATGCAAAAAACATGGCACTGAATAGACTGTGCATAGGATGCTTGTTTGGAGTATGAGAGCCGCAACAAGAAGGCAGAGTATCACCAGGTTTGACTTCAGCTGGGGATGTGTGTGTTAAGTGACTCAAATGTTTTGTGACTCTGCTGTGCATGTCAGTGAATGACTATGAAAGCACCATGTTGATTTGGGGGTTACAAATAAATTTTAGTGAGTAGGAGAATTCACAAATAAGGAATCAACAAATAATGAGGATTGACTATATTTTCCTACCTTTCTGGGGCATGTGCAGTGCAGGCCAAAGGCTTCTCTCCTGGGTCAACCCATGGCTGTGTGGGCTGCACTGTGCAAGGGATCAGGTAGATGGTGTACTCTCCTGAGTAGTCCTTCCTGGAAACATGCAGAGCAGACTGTGATCGTAGGGAACAACTGATAGGTTGCTGGCTTACCCAGAAAGACATGGCCTTCACTAAACAGTTTTCAGGTGGTATTTGTGTCCAGCATCTAAGAACTTTACAAGTCTGCAAACACCATTTTCGGGAACTCATCTTCAATTATCCTAACCTTCAGAGTATTATCCAGAGGTGTTAAATAGAGCTACTTTCATGTATTCAGGTATTCAGGTCCTTCCTATGAGGAAAGCTAAGAAAGGCAGACTACATATGAAAACATAGAAGGCTCAGGTGATGACAGAACAGAATTGGCCATTTCCTTTGGATTTCATGAGACTTGTTTGACAATTTCTGTTTAGTGTTTCTTGATGACAGATACCCTATTCAATGCATTCCCAAATGGAAAAGCAGCTTTTATTTCTGAAGATGTGATAGTGTCAGGTGCTGCTGTGACACAGGAGGTAGCAAATGCCTCAGGATTCCAGGACACCACTCCAGAGCATATGGAAGCAGCACCCTGCAGAAAGTCCCTGCACCCGTTTCACTCACACTCAATTTTGAGGTTCCCCTTTCAAACTCCATAGCCTCATCCCTTTATAAAGTCGAAGAACAAGATCACTTCTCATTAGAGACCACTCACGGGGACTTGGGGACTTCCCTGTTTATGGGGGGCCCAGGATTCTCCAGTTCATGACTCTGTGAGCAGGAAGCCTTTGGACCTCTCTCCTATTTCGTCTCCCACACTTCTCACTGGGTGGCAGCTCCAACCCTGTCAGGTGGCCTGGAAGGCAGCCAAGCATTCAGAAGCTTCAGGAACCTTCTTCAAGGGCCTTGGGAGTCTGTCATCCATTGAATGGAGAGCACAGGACTATGAATCTTCATTATAACTGTTTGTGAGGGATCTGTGAACAGTTCTCATAAATGCTGTGCTTGTTTTGACCATTTTGGGATACTTATCTATTTATCAGTAAATTGACAGCAAAGATTTGGTTAAAAACAATAATAAAACTTTTATGTCACATCCTGGGGTCAGTGTAGTGGACTGGCACAGGCTGAAAACTGGGAACCAGTAGAACCTCAGCTTGCCTCTGCCATGGCTGCATGACTTTAACAAAGCATGAGGACTTTCAGGGCCGTTGTTTCTAAGCTCCTTCCCGTTCTAAAAGTCTGTATGTCTGCAGTTTTCCTTCAAAGCTTGGATCAGCAGGAAATGAGACTTTGTATACCATATTTAAATTACATGGAAAATGACACCTATAATGTGGATAGTAACCCTTCATTAATAGAAATATTCAAATAGGCAGAACAATCCATGCCTGGCTAGATTGTGACTAGCTCTATTCAAACCCTGTAGGGGCTCTCCTTGCACTACAGAGTAGAAGCCAGAGGCTGCACACTGGTTTACAAGGCCCCATCCCATGGCCCTACTCCCACTCCTTACTTCTTCAGCATTATTGTCTACTACTCTCTTCCCTGCTCACTCCATGCCAGCCATATGGGCCTCCTTGTTGTTCTCCAAGCATGCCCAAATGTTGCCATCTTAGGAACTTTACCAGGAACCCTGTTTCCCATGTTTCTGCATAGCCAACTCCCTCACCTCCTTCAAGTCTTTGCTCAGATAAGGTCTACTGGGAACATTCTAATTAAAATTATAATGTCTCCCCATTTCTGTCTCCCCTTACCCTGCTCCATACCATTCATTTTCCCATAGCGCTTATCACCTTCTGACATTTGTTATACTTTGCTTATTAGGTCTACTGTTTTGTGTCTCCTTACTTTAAGTCCTATACTTAGGGATCTTTATTTTGTTTACCAATATATTCAAGGTGCCCAGAACCTTCTCTGACAAACAGTAAACATTCCATAAATACTTGTTGAACAAATGAATGCAAGACAAATAGCATAGCCTCCCAAGCCTTCGGTCCTACTTTTCTCTATTCCTAAATACTACTTAGGTCCATTTCCTCATGATCCCTTCAAACATGTCAAACACAGTCTTAGGCACCTGTCTTTAATCTTGCAGTTCTTTTAATCTCCTTGCTAGAATCTAAGCATTTCCCATATCACAACATGGACCATAAGTTGTCTCACCTCTTTCAGGAATCCTTATACAACTCCCCAGCCTCTGGCTCTCTCTTCCCTGAACAACTACGGTCTTGATATTATCCTGTATCTCTCACAGTGTGTTTAGCATGGAGTGCTTGGTGGGGTTCTTCATTTTGCCATTTATCTATGTATTTTATCTCCTCACCTCAAAGGTAAGCTCCTAAAAGATACTTGCTCAGAACCTATCACATGCTAAAACCTGTGGTTCTGGGGATTTAAGATGAATCATATGTGCCTTCTACTCTGGAGAAGCTCACAATCTAGTGAAAAACTGGGACCAGCAGATAGACCATCATAAGATAATGAGCTGTGTTACAGCAGAAGCTGGAACAGAGTAGGAACCAGGAGGAGGGAGCTGCTAGTACTGTATGGGAAGTCTGGGAAGCTGTCACAAAGGGGTCAGTATTTGAGCTGGGCTGGGTCTCAGAGGAGTTAGTTTTGCAAGGGGAAAAGAGCAGCAAGGGCTGAGGGAATTGCAAAAGCATGGAGGTATGGATGGGCTGGTGGGTTCAGGGATTGGTGAGTAACTAACGTGGATAAAAGGCTGGGTTTCACGTGAAACCAGAGGGGAGGCTGGGCCTTGTATGCTGCATAAGGAGGGTGGGCTTCATCCAAGTGGCAATGAAGATGTCAGCAGAATACTTAAAGGAAGACAGTTTCCCTGTCTATAAACTGGGACAAAGAACATGAAGCACAGTCCTTGAAGGTTATTAGATATCAATTTCAAAGGAATCACTATACAATAAAAATATCTGATATAAGATCAAAAATTTTAAGTTAAGAAAAAATTTTTTTTGAAAATGATTCTCAAGACAATTTGAAGTAAGATTTTAATGCTAAATATAGCTCTTACTCTCATTACCTATAAAATGGGGATCATATATTTATGACAGATTCCTGGTTGCCCACTTATCCTTTTCATAGTGGTTTTAATTTTTTTTTCCATTCTTCCCTTTTACAGATGGGGGATATTTTACTATAGTTGTTAAATTCCTATTCTACCTCTATATTGGGTCTGGGAGAGGAATAAATCTTGTAAACGACACATGGGCTTAATCAGAGGTACTATATTTTGCACTGGTTGTTGTAATTGAAATGAAATTTCTTTATTCAATAAAGGTTTTAGTTAGACACATTTCCCAGCTTCCCTTGTAGGCAGGTGTGCCATGTGACTAAGTTCCCCACCATAGGTTGTAGGTGAAAGTGATGTGTGCCCCTTCTGGTCTCACCCTTGCAATAAGTGTAAGCACTTCCTATTTATATATCAGAAGTTGATCTGAGCAAGATTTGTTTCTTTCTTTCTTTGCTAGAATGTCATTTCTTTTAATTATTATTATTATTTTTTAAGAGTCAGGATCTCTTTCTGTTGCCCAGGCTGGAGTGCAGTGGCTATTTGCAGGTGGCATCATGGCTAACTGCAGCTTCGCACTCCTGAGTTCAAGTGATCCTCCTGAGTAGCTGGGCTACCAGCTAGCACCACTACTCCCAGCTGAGGGTTATTTCTATCAATTCCCCTTTTAAAATAAAAGTCTAGCCTTCAGAGGAAAGCACTATTTCCCAAGCTCCTGAAAGAAATGGAAAACCATTCAGCTCTACCCATGGAGGCCTCCATCACTGTATTTACCTGTTATAAGAGCTTGTGGCTCTCCAGAGTTGATGTGGAGAATCAAAAGTCTGAGCGCTCCATAATAGCTGCAAGTCAAATTCAATTCCTCCTAGGTGGTCTGGAGTCAATACGAAAGATTTCACTTCTGGGAGAGTGTGATGCTCCATCACAAACTGTCCTATTTGAAGGGGAAACACATGCATTTAATGTACTTGTGGTAGAGCTTTAGTTTGACTGTACCTGGTAGAGCCCCACAAAAGCCTGAGAACTGAATTAATGTTCTTCTCTCAAACAACTAAGCTTAGCCCATTTTGCCCCTTAGAATATATTCCACACTGGATAGAATGGCATCTCACCCTAGCCCATCGTCCTACTTGTGATGGTCATCATAGTCATAGGTATTTATTTATAAACAATAGGAATATTCCTTGTGGAAATGGTGCTAATGAGTATATTCACAATAATAGGGGTCTTTATGTGACAATGAACACTGAATATACATAGCTTTGAATTCTAACGAACATGTTTCTTGGAGGTAGAAAGGTCTCAGTAGTTTATAAATGGAAATATCAGCATCAGATAAAAGTCACATTTAGGGCCATTGAAGTCCTTGGTAGAAGGGTATAATTATAAACATCATTAAAAGGGTAAATGTTATCAGCAAGATACCCCCACTCTTTAAAACTGCACTGAAATAGCGTTGTGAATAAATAAAAGTAGGGGGAATATTTTAGATTAAAAGAAACTAAAGCAATATAACAATCAAAATGTAACATATGAATCATAACTGGAACTTCTTTCTTTTTATGTAAGCAGTTATAAAATAAACAAATATAAAAATAAGTGGAAAAGACGTTTGTGGAACAATAAAGGAAATATGAATAGAGACTGGATATTATTGAATCAATGCTAAATATCGTAGAAGTGATCATGATGTTGTGATTCTATAAGAGAATGTCCTTGTTCTTAGGAGATGTCAACTGAAGTATTTTGGGTAACTTGACACGAAGTCTGCAACTTGTTTCTGAACGGTGTGACAAAAAAAGATATGTATGGATGGATGTATGTGCACATGGATGTATAGCAAAATGTTAATCATTGTTGACTGTTTTTTACTGTTCTATTCTTTCAACTTTCTGTATGTGTGAAATGTTTCTTAATAAAAAGTTGGAAAAAAAAAACGGCATTGATATTACCTCTGAATTTGGCATGGGTCTTGAATTCAATGACAAGACGGCCATCCTCTCGAATGTAGATTCTTATTATCTGAAGCCTTGCAGAGAGCACGCTGTCTGTCTGGATTCCTGGGCAGGAAAGCAGAGAGAAAATGCTAGGGCATGGAAAATTCCTCCCTGACAGCAACCACATATAAGTTATCCCAAGGACACCTCCAAGTATAGCTGCACATTTATTTGAATGTAACAAGATAACATTTATATGTCTATAGAAACATATGCCAATTAAAATTGTATGACAGCTAATTTCACTTGGTTCTTTTTTTTTTTGTAATGGTTCCACTGTTCTTGACATAGACTTTTCAAACCTGTAAGTTCCACTTAACCCAGATGCAGGGTTCAGCAAAAAAATGAATCTTAAAACTTCTTACTATCAAACTTTACACCAGGGTATGGTTACAGCACATCTGCTTCTTATTATACTTTCTTTTCCTCGCCAAGATACCTTTCCGGACTTAACAGAGGTATAAACAAAGTCCTGGTGGCTACATTTAGTACTCAAACCAAAGGAGAATTAAAGCCAGCTTGTAGAAAGCCAACATGACACAAGAAAGCTGTGGCTTTAATAAAGGAAATTGTAGTCATGGTCCCCAGTGAGTTCAGAAAGAACAAAACCAAAGAGTAACGTAAGGATTAGAAACATGAACTTGAACAAAACAAAACAAAAACAAGAGCTCAAGGAATTATCTGACCCAGAGTGGGAAAGCTGCCTGAAGTTATTTTCCCATGAGAAATATAAAGCCAAAAATGATTTGAGCCTAAGACATTTCACAGAAGAAAGGACTACACTGCCAGCCCTTTGTATCTGTAGGTTCTACATCATGGATTCTGCATCTGTGGATTCACCCAACCTCAAATAGAAAATATAAGAATAAAAATGCATCTGCACTAAACATATAGATTTTTTTGTCATTATTTCCTAAACAATATAGCATAACAACTATTTATATAGCATATGCATTGTATTAGGTTTATAAATAATCTAGAGATGATTTAAAGCATAAGGGAGTATATGTATAGGTTATATGTAAATACTACACCATTTTATATGAGGGACTTGAGCATCCTCAGATCTTGGTGTCTGTGGGAGGTCCTGGAACCAAACACTAATAGATATGAATGATGACTGTAATTTCAATTAGTAGAGATGAAGCTTTCTCAAAAGAAAACTCTTGTATTTTTTTTAGTATGTTTGCCCCAGATAAAGCACCTCACCCCTGAAGAGGAAAACAGGGAGGATGGGAGCAGCAGAATTTAGGGGAAATGGGTTTGGGGAAATAGGTTAGGGGTAGTGTGTGAAGTACAGGACACTAAAAATGAGGAAAAAAAAAAAAACAAGAAAAACAAAAATAACCAAGAACGATTGGAGAGAACGGAGGAGAAAATTGGGGAGTTTTAAGGAGCATCTATGTGGAAGCAGTAGGAGGAGGTAGGTGTGGAAACTGAGTGGGGGTGAGGTGTGGAAACTGAGTGGGGGTGAGGTGTGGGCTCCCAGCTGAAGGGCTGCCTCCCACTTAGTTCTTGGAGGCTCCTCCCAAAGAGGACAGTAATGGGGATGAGCCTGAGGGAAAGGTCATTTTAAACATTCAGTATCACAGCCCTTGACTTCGGAAGGTTAAAATCCCTTCTTTGGAGGATGCAATTAAAGAGCAGACTCTTTGCCAAATGAATAAAGTGGGCTACTTGACATAAATATTTCAAGTGCTCTTGACACATTTTTCCATTTCCTTGCATCTGATTTGAAGATCCTTTTGCTCTGTAAAAACAAGAACCACACAATTTTTCACTAGGAGAAAATGAAAATCATTTGGGTTATATTCCAAAAGAACACACACCCATCTGAATCCCTAACGGGCAGTAGAGGACTCATTTGTCACTTGCCATCCTCTACGCTGGGACCTTAGCTATCTGGGCTGAGACCTTCCAGCATCAGGACAGAAGGACATCATTCTTTTCAGGAACCACAGATCTGCACTTTGAGGTGGCCCCACTTTGTCTTCGGGATAACAGGATGAGAAATGCAGCTACTGTTAAAAGTCACTACTCTTCTTTTAATCTTGCTTGAGTGAAGCCCTAACTAAAGGGATAGTTAAGGCGTCAGTGGGCATACCTGTTCTCCAGAGAACAGTGTCATAGAAGAAAGAAAACTCCATCTCGGTGTGGTGCTCCAAGGAGGCCCAGCCCCTGGGGGCTGTCACATAGATGTAGGACACATATAGAGGCACGTGCACTGTCAAGAAGGACTGGGCAGAGTCCCTCACCTGCCGAGGAAGCAGTATGCACACAGAGTTATTTCTCCCCTGGGATGAAAAGACATACTATCACCACATCTTGGTTCCATTTTCATTCACCCATGTAGTCACACACTTATTCAATAATTATTAAGCAAGTGCCCATGATTGCACTTACTTATTTAAAAAAATAAAGGAACTAATGGAATAGAAAGCAGCCGGGATGCTTCTTTCGACAGGGTCACGTGCAGAGGCTTCTCTAAGGAGGTGGCACTTGAACAAAAATACTTTTGAAGTGGGAGAATGAGCTCTGTTCAGTTGCTAGAAGATTTGGCTGAAATTTGAGAATATCACAATTATTCTCAAGGATCAACCCGGTGGATGTGGGATCTACCACTCAGTACAAACTCCCTGTATTGATCATTTGCCAGTGACCTGTGGGAGAGCCCAAGTCAACCATCATCAGGAAGATGCCCACATCCAGACGCCTGGGAGGAGCCTGTGCCTAACTCAGGATGTTTTAGTGAGTGCTCTCATCTCCTGCTCCAGGAACAAAGGGCCGGAGCATTGAAATCATATATAGGAAGCTCACCAATGGACAGCTCAGAGCTGCACGTACTTCAGTAATTTCCTGTCCCATGCTATGCTTTGGAAAGAGTTTTGAAAAGGCAGCATATCACATTTCCAAGAGAACATTTCTTCTAAGGAAGTTTGTGTTCCTGCTTTTAATTTGGCCCAATCATTTTCATTTTACTATGTAATGAACAAAACTGGATGGAAAGATAACAGAATGGTAGCAGAAGCTTTTGTGGTGAAGCTAGCTGTATATGTGTGTGTGAATGGGGAGTTAGTTCACACATTTTTAAAATATTTTTATACTTTTTTCCACAAATAAATAAATAAATAAATATATATATATATATATATATATATATATACACAACAAAAAAACTTAGCTTAAAACAATTTTATTTTATCATTGGCTAATTACTATAATATACTATGGGACTTATATTTTTCTTTTGTTTGAAAATACAGTATAAAGTGTTTCTATGGGTAATTAAGGAAAAAACCAAATGTTTTAATATTTTTCTAAAGTTTTTTTTTAATATTCAAAGTTGTCAGGGATTTAAAATTTGATGCCAACTTTCTCAAAAGACTCAACTAACTCCATACTCATTGAAAAATTCCATTTTGACATGCCTTACTTTGTTTGTTTGTTTGTTTGTTTGTTTGTTTTTCAAGAGATGGGGTCTCTCTCTGTAGCCCAGACTAGAATGCAGTGACTCCATCATAGCTCACTGCAGCTTCAACTTCCTGGCCTCCAGTGATCCTCCAGCCTCAGCCTCCCAAAGTACTGAGATTACAGGTATGAGCCACTGTTCCCAGCCCCTCTTTTTGTTCTTTTTAAAGAAAATTTCCAGATTGTATTTGGACCTTGTACCATGTTCTGTCCCTTATACACAGGTTTTGCTAAATACACCTGCTCCAATCACACTATCAGAACTTCAATAAAATCTCTAGCTGATTGGCAAAATTAATTTTTCCTCATTTGTTTTTGTTTATCCTCCTTTAGCCCTCATGATATTACTCACTAATCTTTAAAAAGAAAAAAAAACCCAACAAATATTTACTGCATGCCTATTCTACACCAGGCACACTGTGCAAGGCACCTTCTCATGTTGAGATTATTAGTACAATTTCAGAAGAGGTTCAGAGAGGTTATGTCTTGTCCAAGCCTGTTGATTGACAGCAAAAGGTACCAACTAGGCCTTAGTTCTAAGTTCTATATTCTTCCTATCATACGTCAGTAATTTCAATTATTTTCAAAGAAACAGACAACAACAAAATACTTCTGTGCATGTTTTTTCTGTGTTGGTTTAAAAGTGGGATTATATATAACAAATCCTTGTCTTTGAGTTTTTAAGCATATTCTGAATAAAAATATTCAAACAGTAATTACAGCAAAATCATAAAGAACAGAGAATACTAATTTTTGAAGGGCCAGGAAAGAAACAAAATCACTTAGTTTTGCATTTTCCAAAGTCAAAGTTTATACAACTGGAGAAATGGAAAACCGATGAACGCCTTAAAATTCTCTTCAGTAGATGGCAGTAGTGTGTACAAAATGAGAGGAAACCAGGCTGAGAGGCACCACAAAGAAAATGACAAATTTTAATCAAAGACACTTTCTCTAAATAATTACTGTAAATCCCTCTATAATTTCTCTCCTTCAGTGAGGATAAACCTGATTTGAAATGAAGAACAAACATCTAACTAGTTTTTAGCTCATTGAGATAACTGCTCAAAATTGGATAGAACCTGTTTTAGAATTAATTTTCCCATGAGGACAGATTAGCCTAGTCTCACTGGCCCTTTGATATAACCGCCCTTCTCTGACTCTGGCTTCTTGCTATAAATTTTTCAGTTGTCACTAATTGATATGGTTTGGCTCTGTGTCCCCACCCAAATCTCATCTTGAATTGTAATCCCCATAATCCCTACATGTCAAGGGAGGAACCAGATGGGAGGTGATTGGATCATGGGGGTGGTTTCCCTCATGCTGTTCTTGTGATAGTGAGTTCTCATGAGATCTGATGGTTTTATAAGGCAGTTTTCCTTGTTCTTGCTTGCTCTCTCTCACCTGCCACCATGTAAGACATGTCTGCTTCCCCTTTCACTATGATTATAAGTTTCCTGAGGCCTCTCCAGCCATGTGGAACTGTGAGTCAATTAAACCTCTTTTCTTTATAGATTACCAGTCTCTGGTTTGTCTTTATGGTAGTGTGAGAATAGACTAACACACTAATGTTTAATGGTAATATATATTTTAGAAAGTGTCTATTTTTGTGGGGGCTGGCAGTTTGGAACAGGTGTGAAATAAAAATGTTTTAAGCAATTATCTTTCCACAATGCATAGGACAACAGAGCTCTTCTTATCTTCTGAAAGACAGGCTGCATCATCTGACGCATTTTCCCAGGTGGGGAAGAGAATATATCAATGTAGTAATAACCCTAGCATCAAATGTAAATATTTTTGGCTTTCCAAAATATATGCATTATAAATACAAAAACATATATGCCTAGAGAAGTAAATATTGGATTTTTACATAAGTGAGTATGCCAGACAGTAAGTTTTTTCCACATTAACTTGATTTAGAGGACTTTGGGGGCCTTCTCTAGCTTCAGTGCTGCCAAGATCTTGCTTGAGGGACTTATAAAGAAGACTCCCTTAGTTGGTTGTCCCAGTTCTGGAGGCAAAGTGCTAATTGAAGTGCTTCAGGAACAAACAAGGTTGACCATGGCACCCATATGCAGAGTCCTCAGACAAGCCCCGGGGCACCTACCTGGAAGTCAGCGGTTACAGAGCCCCCACAGACGTCAATCAGCTCAGTCATGTCATAATAAGCATCAAAGGTCCACACGCAGCTCTTCAGGTTCAGGTGTTTGTAGAGCTGGATGGTCTTCGGCTCTCGCACGCTGGGGTCAAACTGGAAGGGGCGATCGTAGCCAGGCCCCAGGGCAGTGCTATCATAGACCACATCATCCAGGAACCCTGCCTCTGCCAGGGAGGGAAGAACAAGGAACGATAACTTGGTTTGTGGATGCCAAGGAGCAGGGTGGGGTGAAGAGCTCACCCTTTTGCACTAAAAGCACTTTCAATCACCTGAGACCCTACTAACAAAGCAACCCAGGGCTCCCAATGTGCAGGGAGAATGTGAGGGATCTTGGAAAGCGCTTGCTAACTGCTGTTGCCAGGTGTTGAATGGAGGACTCCACCTCTAAGAGACCACAGGAACCAGGGAGGAAAAGGTGAGCAAATGATACCATGAATGAAGGCGGCAGAACTTGGAAAGGAAAACTCTCTGAAGCTTTGCCTGTTATACCTGGCAAGTCTGGTCCTGTGCTTCATATATGTCCCCACCACTGCTGAAGAAATGGATTTACTGTATGGCTCATTCATTGGTGAATTATTATTTTAAGAGTGATTTTTAAAATTTCTTTTTTGAGACCCCATCTCAAAAAAAAAAAAAAAAGCCAGCATACCTACATTTGACTACTTCTTGCTCATACAGTTTCTGAACTCTTGTCGGGGGAAAGTCTTAATTTTTTGTTAGTGAGTAAATAGGTCACTAATGATGCCTGTAACTCTCACCTGTGCCAGGCAAAAATTATTTAATCAAATGCTGCCAAGCACATGAATGGCTCTAAATTAAGGGAGAACTTTATGCAGTAGGGAGCTGAACACAGACACAATTTTAGAATATGAGGGTTAAATTTTTTTTTTTTTTTGAGATGGAGTCTTACTCTGTCACCCAGACTGGAGTGCAATGGTGCGATCTCGGCTCACTGCAACCTCCGCCTCCTGGGTTCAAGCGATTCTCCTGTCTCAGCCTCCCGAGTAGCTGGGATTACAGGTGCACGTCACCACACCTGGCTAATTTTTTATGTTTTTAGTAGAGATGGGGTTTCACTGTGTTCCCCAGGCTGGTCTCAAACTCCTAAGCTCAGGCAATCCACCCGCCTCAGCCTCCCAAAGTGCTAGGATTACAGGCATGAGCCACTGCACCCGGCTGGGTTAAAATTTTTATAGTACTAAAAGCAACTGTAGTATTTTAAAAGGGTTGATAAATATCTTAGAATGCTTGAGACCCAGCACCTAGCCCTCTGCCCCATGATGACTAGGTACTCAATTAACATGTCTTGAATTTAATTGCTTTTAAGCAGGAACAGGTGCAAAGTTTAGTATTTAAACACAGTATGTCTCTTCCACTAGCTACAGATGTGGACCAATTAAACTTTCATATGTAGCTCAGTGATTTATAAATAATTTTCACTCAGCTAATTTCTACTGTATAAAGACCATCATGACCAAAAGTGATGCTTAATGAATATGAAAGAGAATATGAATGCATTTCTGTCTTCAAAAACACTGTTAAGTGTTTCATCATTTGTGAAAGGAGGAAATATGCATTTAATGTGCACTTGCTAAGGTAAATGGAAATGGACAGAATTCTTTGTAAAGTCAAATGTCTGCTGTGGTGAACACAGAGATGCGCTGCCTCAGCTGTCAGCTCCTTCAGCTCTGCGTCAGCTGCATATTGGCTCAGCCCAAGGTCATGCCCTTGCGGGGCAGCCTGCATCCAGTGACTTAGCTAGGTAGGCTATAAGGGTCTGGCTGTGTCAGCTGGAAGTAGGACAAGTCTCTCCAGAGCTCCCTGCCATGGCCGAGATGGCTTTTTCAGCCTGCATTGCAGCTTGACTTCTCCCTCTGCCCAATCCTGTTTCGCTCCTTCTCTTTCACAGATATTGATCCCTAATAAACATCTTGTAACCCCAAACTCCCTCTCAGCTCCTGCTTCTGGAGAACTCATCCTATACCATCTTCACTTCAGCTTTCTATAACAGGTTTTTGGAGCACCAATGTAAACATGCTCACTCTAAGGGAATGAAGACACTAAAATATACCATAGTAGGTGCTTTAAAAATGTCAACGCATTTAATCCTCATCTTGAGTGGTAGCAATTGTTATTCCCACTTTATAGACAACAGTGGCTCAGAAAGGTCAAACTATATTTGTTCAGTGGAATAAGGATTTGAACCAGTGTGATTCCAAAGTCCTTGTTTCTTCCTGTCCACTGCATTGACTGAACTGATGGCATTTGCATGTGTGCTAGAAGGAAAACCACTAATATGTGGATTCTGAGGACCAGAAAACATGAAAAGCAGTTCTCACTCTGGCATATCCTGAAAGTCAACTGCACTGGGCTAGCATGGAAAGACCAGTCCTGAACTTGTCAATCTCACCTGAGATGCCTCTCAGGTCATAGGTGGTAACTAAATTGGAGCAGACGTGCTGGTGTCTGTAGATGGACTCAGACAGTAGAAAATGTAAGTTGTGCAACGGCATGGTGGAGATAAGGGGCAGCATTCCATCCTGGTGTGGGATCTGCACCGAAATGTGGATTCTAGGGGGAAAAAGGCAGAAATAAATGTTTAGCTGACTGCTATAAATGGTCAATAGGACATACTTCTTTCTCATCACCTAATTTGTCTTCACCAATGAGCTACCATTTTTTTTTCTTCCTGAAGCTTTCCAGGTAGGATTTCTATCTGAACAGGGGGTATACATATACACATAGTATCATTGCTTCCCTCTAAGAGACCCTCCAGACAGAGGACTGATAGTAATCTAGAATTATAGATTTTTTTTCTATACAGGAAAAGATAACATCACAACCACAAATTACTTTAAAGCTCTCCTTTGCTTTTTAATGGAAACTCTGTTATTTCAGGAGCTAAAGCTGAGTGACTAGAGAGGGCCTGTTCCCCTGCTCTGTCACAGTGAATGTCTATGGAAGTTAGGTAAGGTTGACACTCACATTTCTTTTAAGTATTTGAGTCAAAAATATATCGTTGAGCTTTTAAACTCTAAAACCAATTCCTCTACCCAGCCAAATCTGAGAAACTACAATATCCAGCTACTTATACTGTCTCTCCTGACTGAAAACAGCCTTCTCTCTCCAGTCTGCCTGTAAGTCCTATCAGCACTACGTGTCCAGCCCCGCCAGCCTCAATCTGCAGTGTGCTGTTCCTTGATCTACATCCTCAGCTCTTAGGCAGCCTTTGGACCAGGAAATCTGTAACTTATTTATATTGGCTGCTATTTCTCAAATGTTTTCAGACTCTGTTTGTCTTGCCTCTCCACTATGAGGACAAGGAATATTTCCTTCACTTCTTTTGTTTCTCCAGGGCACATAGTATACAATTCTAAATAAGAAATGAGTTTAATAAATATTGGTTAAGACTGCAACATGATAGTACTTATGGGTTGCATTTTTGTCATTGTACCAGTTTAAACTTTGAGCGTGTTTACTGAAAGTGTGTTTTGAGTTTATATACTTGTCTCTCTGAGCAAAGAGTCACATTTTTAAGTAGAATCAGAACCCTGGAAGTGAAGAGGAGGGCCTTTTTTCTAGGAAGGGGTCACCAAGATACATTTTATTGTGTCAGGAAAGAAAGAAGCATGTACATATTCATTCAAACATGTTTTATTCATACAAAGGAACTCATTTTTCTGAGTTTATGAGCAACTGAGTTGTTCATAAAGGCACACACTTAAATACTATAGTGTTTAATAAATACGCATAACATACACAAATTCTTTTTTGCTATGCAAAAATGAAAACATCCATTTCCCATCATGGTGGCCCAGAAAAAAATTAAGTCCAATGTCTCCTAATTTCTACAATGTTATTATTCATTTGTTCAGTAGATATTTAGGAGTGCCTCTTAGATGCCAAGAAGCACTATACTGGCAGAAGATACTCAAAATACATACTCATGGTCTTCAGGCCTTACCATCTACTAAAGGGCAGAGAGAGTGAATGCTAATAATCTTCTAAAAGAAGCATATACAGGTGCCAGAGAAGCCAGGAGGGGAAGCCTCCAAATTAAATTAGGGGAGATGTTGGAAATGTCCCTAGAAGAGATGCCATGCAGTAGGTATTGTAGGACAGTAGGGTTCCGGCCAGTGGAAGGGGGTTAGGGAGAGTTGAGGTAACAGCATGGCAGAGATATGCAACCTGTAAGAGTCTGTAGCACTTGGGAAGTTACTCATGATTCCTTGTGGTTGGAATGGCCGGTGAAAATGACAAGGTGAGAGAAAGACTAGGAAGATAGGCAGGGGGCCCGAGCTTGAGGGACCTTCACAGATTTAAACTTTTACTGATGCATTCATCATCACATTTTTATCATGCAGAAGCATCCCTTATTGATTGTCCTGGGAAACACACAAAGGAGACCTGAGATTCACTTCAATCTATGTGTGGTGGAAGGCACCACCTGCCTGACCTGTTCGGATGCTCCTTATGTTTGACATCCAGGTATTTCAAGGTTGCGATGAAGGACTGAGCCTGGAAGCCTCTGGATGTCCCAGCCACCACTGGTGTGTGGCAGATAGCACTGTCTGTTCCAATGGTAACAATGTTGCTCCTTAAGGGGGTCCCCACATGGCCCACCTTGTCCACAGCCTTGGCCACACAACGCACATGGAACCTCCGGCTGAAGTAAATGCTGTCCAGGACCTAACAGGAAGAAAAAATCACCTCCAATGTGAGTACCCTACTTAAACAGCTCCTTACATGATCTGGTTCAAGTTAATCTGTAAAGATCATCCATCCACCCATCCATTGATTTTTCCATCTATTCATTCATTCATCACGTAATTATTGACTTTTAACTATGAACCAGACACTTGAGACAGATCAGTGAGTACTTATAGCCTAAGGGGGTAAGATAGTCAACAAGCAAGTAGACAGATGTGGAGCACAAACCCATAGATGAATGATTTCCATTAATAGTATTGTTCTCTTTATATACTAGGCTCAGCAGAAGGATGACCCAAGTGTTATTCAGGCTTCTAGCAAGACTGGTTGGCCTCCAAATCACTGTTGCTGAGAGCATGATGTCAGGAGACAGAGGAAATATGCTTCCTTCCCAGGAATTCTCATGGTCTCTTTATCCTACTGTTATCCTCCCTCGATCATCCCATCTCCCTACCCAGTGACCACACACTGCAAGGGTTATAATAACATGCAGGCTTGAAGCTGAGAACTTGGCCTCTGACACCTTCTAGTCTTTGAAGGTCTTTCCACAGATTCCTCCAAGTCCCCAAACATACAGAAGCCCTAAGAGTGCTTAACTCAATCTATGCAGAGGCAATGTAGGTCACCAGGACTCTTTAGGTTATGTGTGCATTTACATAGGGAAGTATATAACAAGAAAAATTAATCAGTAGTTCTGTGTGCCACAGACCTCTCACAAAGCAATCACACAAACTTATACATTTTACCCATGAAAACAATTTTCACTGAAGTCCATTAAAAACTAAAGAAAATTTTTCCATTAAACTTTTTTTTAATTAGCTGCCAATGCTTTACTTATTTATATATACATGAACTTAGTACAGAAGGGATTTGAGGCATCCTACAAGAATGCATATAATAGAATGGCATTAAATAAATAATTGAAGAAATCAAGATAAAGTGACGGAAACCAGGGTAAAGGGTATTAGTCACAAATTCATTGCAAGAAGAAAACCTGAAGCATAAAGTCATAAATTTATCTGTTAAAAATGTACATTTGGCTCCAACCAGACCACACCTCCTTTACAGTTTTGTTGAAGACAGAAATAGATACTTAAGAAACAACAAGCTGGTAATTCTTGCCATGTTGATTTTTTAATAATAGAGAAGACTATTTAAATTTGAACTAGGTTATGTTGCAAAAGAATTGCTCTTCAGGCCTTTCTGAATAAGCTGTGCCAAAGAGAGTGGGTATGAACGACCCTGCATTATCCAAAGCCTCCCATCTATGTCTAGTGGTTTTCCTCTGCTATTCATCCCAGTGAAGCTCTTATTACAGTGGGAATAAACTGTGGAATGAACAGGAAAATCTAGAGAAATTTGGTCTGAAAGAAATCTCTGATGTCTAAAATCATTCAGTGATATAATTTTAGGCAAGAATTGTTGGATGCTTACTACATGCCAGGTACTATATACTAAGCCTGAATCTCAACTGCTTTCAGCTCACTTTTGGAAGAGAACCAGCTTTATCAGTATGATGTGCAGGATCACTGTGGTGGGCTGTTTGTTAAGGTTGGGAAAACATACTATTCATTGTTCTCTGATGGTGTCAGGGGTGTTGGTCTCTAAGCTTTTTGAGGACAGCAACTGCTGCACAAATGTCTTTTCATGGCCTCCCATAGAGCTTTGTAACGTGCTGATCATTCAGCAACCATTCTATTCTTTTATTTAATAACTGGTCCCCTCTATGTGCCATCGATGTCCTGGCCATTTTGGGCCATGTTTCTACTGCATTACAGAAATGTGGTAGAAACTTTGGTTCATGTCCATAAGGAGTTATGTGTTAATACTTATTGAACGATTGGAGATACATTAATAGTAATCAACAGCGCCTATCTGGAGTTTTTCACTGACTTTGTCATTTATAGGTCACATTTTTCAATGACCTTGTCAAGTAGCCAAGCAAAAGAATTATTACTTTGCAGATCAGGAGACTGAGACTCAGAGAGATTAAGTAACCTCTTAACATTATTTAGTTTAAAACAGGCAGAACCAGAATTTGCAAACAGGTCTTCTAACTAGCTTAGTTTTCTATTACAGCATATAACCTTTTCTTATGTATAAGAGTAAAAAGACTGTGCACCTGCTTATTTGTTTTATTCCAAATGCCATGCATGGACCATAAGGAATTTGATTATCTGAGTAACAAAGAACAACACCAGTTCTCTCCCAGGGAGGGAGAACCAGGCCCAGACCCCCAGACCTACCATGTGGTTGACACTGGTGAATGGTGTGTTGTCAGTGATGGTTTCAAAGGGAGACCGGGCCCCATTGCCATCAGTGGGGGCAGCCACTTCCCAGCTGAACTGCACAGATGTCTGGTTGATGCCGGCCTCACTGCAGCGCTCCTTCATGACAGCGTATCTGGGGAAATGAGGGTCGCAGGGGGTGACACAGACCAGTGGGTAGCCTGGGGAGGGGGATTTCTTGACTCCTTCCTTGGTAACTTCTTCCACATGGTCATAGTCAGCAAGTGTGACCACCTGCGAAAGAGCAACAAAGCTTCAGTTCAGGTTGGGTATTGGCAAGGTCAGAGAACTAAGCCCCCTTTCTTTAGAGATCCACAAGATCTCTTAGTGTCTACAGGTTCTTTGAAATATAACAGGAGAAGTTTTTATAATTCTTTGCCAGGCATCCTTAAAAGATACTGCAGATCTTTAGTGGTGGAGAAGATTCTTCTACTGGTTGGGCTAGAAGCTTTATTATCCTTTTAGTTTTATTCCTAAATCAGAGCCCTATCACTCATGTAAAAAAATACTCTGATTTTCCTGCCCATTGGAACCAAAGCTGTATCATGAATAGCAGTTGCTAGTTTAAAGTTGCATTAAATAGTTGATGGTATATAGTAGAACATTTGGCAAAATAAGAGTAAATAGAGGTGGTATATTTCTTCCATGGCCAAATAAGAGACACATTTTGAAATAATCATCATTCTTTTCTAATATATGAGACAAGTTAGCGGAAGTCAGAAGGCTTCTTCTGATTGCTTCACAATTATGGGTTAAATTTTCCTTGGCAACCTCTAGGTGTTTTCCTCTTAATTGTAAGGACAGTGCATTCATTCTATTCACCCCAAGTTAGGAAATCTGGTACTACCTTCCCACAGGTACTTAATTCTATAAATATAGTGAATATGTGGGATGATAGATATGAGGTAGTATTACCTTCTTACTCTTCTAAGTCCCATCAAAGAAATGAGAAGATCAATTGTATTGTATTTTCTATCTTTATCAGACTAAGATACCAACAGGATTTGGTCTCACTTTTAGGTCAGAACAGGGTTTCTTACCCTCAACACTATTGACATTTGTGCCAAATAATTACTTTTGTTGTCGGGGGCTTCCCTGTGCATTATGGGATGTTTAGGAGTATCCCTGGCTTTTACCCACTAGATACTAGTAGCACCTGGTGTGACAACTGTGACAACCAAAAATGTCTCCAGACATTGCTTAAATGTCCTCTGGAAAGGGGATGATGGAAGGCAAGATGGCTCCTGGTTGGGAACCACTGGGTTAGAAGAATAAAGAAATAGAGTACTTCCCTTCAGTTCTCATCTACTAGTCACTGAGACGTAAAACAGCAATCCTTTGGGTCAAGCAACTCACAATGGGTGGTGCTGGCAATATGAGGCTCCCTGCTGCCTCCTGGTCTAGAATTGTCACCGTGGCAGTAGTCACATCCCCAAGAACTGCTTCCACTGGGTCATCTGGGCCAAGGACTAGTGAGAAAGATTCATGCCATTCCCGGTCTTCATTGGACAGGATCTCAACTTTAAAAAAGATATGATCCACACCTTCGCCAAGGACAGAACAAAAAGAGAGCAAAGGCTTCATTAGGAAACACACCCAAGAGAGTGCAGCTTGGCACTGCTGAGACATTATGTTAAAATATGTTCTTTCTTTTTAGTGGTGTTCTATAAACGCAGTGGCTGCTAATCACTTTAGCCCCATCTCAAGTGAGGAATCTTTTTTACAGACCAAATTCCACCTGTGGTAGAGGCTCAGTATTGCAGATTTACTGTTCAACACCATATGAGGATTAATGGCCCCTGCCTGACACTGGCTGGCAGTAATAAAAATCTACGATCCAAAATACACTTCACCCTGGTTATGAGTTTTTTTGCTTAATTTTTCTTTCCCCCTTACATTTTGCATGAGCTCCTGTTTGGCTGTGAGGGCTTGCACATACAGATATCCTTCAAAGCTGTCTCCTGAGAAGTAGTGGCTCAAGGTTATCTACCAAGCCAGCCTCCACAAAGATGGTAACATGGAGGGTGAGTGACCTGGAACAGGTGAGGGTTCAAGCCTTCAAGACCCACTTTGGGTACCGTTCCAAGATGGCCGAATAGGAACAGCTCTGGTCTGCAGCTCCCAGCATGATTGACGCAGAAGACAGGTGATTTCTCCATTTCCAACTGAGGTACCTGGTTCATCTCACTGGGACTGGTTGGACATTGGTGCAGCCCATGGAGGGCAAGCTGAAGCAGGGAGGGGCGTCGCCTCACCCGAGAAGTGCAAGGGGTCGGGGGATTTCCTTTTCCTAGCCAAGGGAAGCCGTGACAGACTGTACCTGGAAAAATGGGACACGCCTGCCCAAATACTGCACTTTTCCCACAGTCTTAGCAACCAGCAGACCAGGGGATTCTCTCCCATGCCTGACTCGGGGGGTTCCATACCCATGGAGCTTTGCTCGCTGCTAGCGCAGCAGCCTGAGATCAACCCGCGAGGCTGTAGCCTGGCTGGGGGAGGGGTGTCTGCAATTGCTGAGGCTTAAGTAGGTAAACAAAGCGGCTGGGAAGCTCGAACTGGGGGGAGCCCACCACAGCTCAGGAAGGCCTACTGCCTCTATAGACTCCACCTCTGTGGGCAGGGCATAGCTGAACAAAAGCCAGCAGAAACTTCTGCAGACTTAAACGTCCCTGTCTGACAGCTCTGAAGAGAGCAGTTGTTCTCCCAGCATGGCATTTGAGCTCAGAGAACAGACAGACTGCCTCCTCAAGTGGGTCCCTGACCCCTGTGTAGCCTAACTGGGAGACATCTCCCAGTGGCAGCTGACGGACACCACATATAGGTGCATGCCTCTGGGATGAAGCTTCCAGAGGAAGGATCAGGCAGCAATATTTGCCGTTCTGCAATATTTGCTGTTCTACAGCCTCTGCTGGTGATACCCAGGCAAACAGGGTCTGGAGTGGACTTCCAGCAAACTCCAACAGACCTGCAGCTGAGGGATCTGACTATTAGAAGGAAAACTAACAAACAGAAAGGAATAGCAGCAACATCAACAAAAAGGACATTCACACCAAAACCCCATCTGTAGGTCACCAACAACAAAGACCAAAGGCAGATAAAACCACAAAGATGGGGATAAACCAGAACAGAAAAGCTGAAAATTCTAAAAACCAGAGTGTCTCTTCTCCTCCAAAGGATCGCAGCTCCTCACCAGCAACGGAACAAAGATGGATGGAGAATGACTTTGGCGAGTTGACAGAAGTAGGCTTCAGAAGGTCGGTAATAACAAACTTCTCCGAGCTAAAGGAGCACGTTCTAACCCATCACAAAGAAGCCAAAAACCTTGAAAAAAGGGTAGACGAATGGCTAACTAGAATAAACAGTGTCGAGAAGACTTTAAATGACCTGATTGAGCTGAAAACCATGGCACAAGAGCTTCGTGATACATGCACAAGCTTCAATAGGCAATTCAATCAAGTGGAAGAAAGGATATCAGTGATTGAAGATCAAATTAATGAAATAAAGCGAGAAGAGAAGTTTAGAGAAAAAAAGAATAAAAAGAAATGAATAAATCCTCCAAGAAATATAGGACTATGTGAAAAGACAAAATCTACATTTGATTGGTGTACCTGAAAATGATGGGGAAAATGGAACCAAGTTGGAAAACACTCTTCAGGATATTATCCAGGAGAACTTCCCCAACCTGGCAAGCAAGGCCAACATTCAAATTGAGGAAATACAGAGAACATCACAAAGGTACTCCTCAAGAAGAGCAACCCCAAAACACATAATTGTCAGATTCACCAAGGTGGAAATGAAGGAAAAAATGTTAAGGGCAGCCAGAGAGAAAGGTCGGATTACCCACAAAGGGAAGCCCATCATACTAACAGCAGATCTCCTGGCAGAAACCCTACAAGCCAGAAGAGAGTGGGGGACAATATTCAACATTCTTAAAGAAAAGAATTTTTCAAACCAGAATTTCATATCCAGCCAAACTAAGCTTCATAAGTGAAGGAGAAATAAAATCCTTTAGAGACAAGCAAATGCTGAGAGATTTTGTCACCACCAGGCCTGCCTTACAAGAGCTCCTGAAGGAAGCACTAAATATGGAAAGGAACAACCAGTACCATCCACTGCAAAAACATGCCAAATTGTAAAGACCATTGATGCTATGAAGAAACTGCATCAATTAATGGGCAAAATAACCAGCTAATATCATAATGACAGGATCAAATTCACACATAACAATATTAACCTTAAATGTAAATGGGCTAAATGACCCCAATTAAAAGACATAGACTGGCAAATTGGATAAAGAGTCAAGACCCATCATTGTGCTGTATTCAGGAGATCCATCTCACATGCAGAGACACACGTATGCTCAAAATAAAGGGATGGAGGAAGATCCACCAAGCAAATGGAAAGCAAAAGAAAAAAAGCAGGGGTTGCAATCCTAGTCTCTGATAAAACAGATTTTAAACCAACAAAGATCAAACGAGACAAAGAAGGCCATTACATAATGGTAAAGGGATCAATTCAACAAGAAGAGTTAATTATCCTAAATGTATATACACCCAATACAGGAGCATCCAGATTCATAAAGCAAGTCCTTAGAGACTACAAAGAGATTTAGATTCCCACACAATAATAATGGGAGACTTTAACACTCCACTGTCAGTCAATATTAGACAAATCAATGAGACAGAAGGTTGATAACGATATCCAGGACTTGAACTTAGCTCTGCAGCAAGCAGACCTAATAGACAGCTACAGAACTCTCCACCCAAAATCAACAGAATATACATTCTTCTCAGCACCACATCACATTTATTCTAAAATTGACCACATAATTGGAAGTAAAGTACTCCTCAGCAAATGGAAAAGAACAGAAATCACAACAAACTGTCTCTCAGACCACAGTGTAATCAAATTAACACTCGGGATTAACTAAACTCACCCAAAACTGCACAACTACATGGAAACTGAACAATCTGCTCCTGAATAACTACTGGGTACATAATGAAATTAAGGCAGAAATAAAGATGTTCTTTGAAACCAATGAGAACAAAGACACAATGTACCAGAATCTCTGGGACACATTTAAAGCAGTGTGTAGAGGGAAATTTATAGCATTAAATGCTCACAAGAGAAAGCAGGAGAGATCTAAAATTGACACCCTAACATCACAGTTAAAAGGATTAGAGAAGCAAGAGCAAACAAATTCACAAGCCATCAAAAGGCAAGAAATAACTAAGATCAGAATAGAACTGGAGGAGATAGAGACACAAAAAACCCTTCAAACAAATAAAGGAATCCAGAAGCTGGTTTTTTGAAAAGATCAACAAAATTGATTGACCACTAGCAAAACTAATAAAGAAGAAATGAGAGGAGAATCAAATAGATGCAATAAAAAATGATAAAGGGGATCTCACCACCGATCCCACAGAAATACAAACTACCATCAGAGAATACTATAAACACCTCTATGCAAATAAACTAGAAAACTTAGAAGAAATGAATAAATTCCTGGACACATACACCCTCCCAAGACTAAACCAGGAAGAAGTTGAATCTCTGAACAGACCAATAACAGGCTCTGAAATTGAGGCAATAATTAATAGCCTAACAACCAAAAAAAGTCCAGGACCAGACGGATTCACAGCCAAATTCTATCAGAGGTACAAAGAAGAGCTGGTACCATTCCTTCTGAAAATATTCAACAATAGAAAAAGAGGTAATTCTCCCTAACTCATTTTATGAAGCCGGAATCATCCTGATGCCAAAGCCTGGCAGAGACACAACAAGAAAAGAGATTTTTAGACCAATATCCCTGATGACCATCAATGCGAAAATCCTCAATAAAATACTGGTGAATCGAATCCAGCAGCACATCAAAAAGCTTATCCACCACGATCATGTTGGCTTCATCCCTGGGATGCAAGGTTGGTTCAACATATGCAAATCAATAAAGGTAATCCATCACATAAACAGAACCAGTGACAAAAACCACATGATTATCTCAATAGATGCAGAAAAGGCCTTTGACAAAATTCAACAGCTCTTCATGCTAAAAACTCTCAATAAACTAGGTATTGATGGAATGTATCTCAAAATAATAAGAGCTATTTATGACAAACCCATAGCAAATATCATATTGAATGGGCAAAAGCTGGAAGCATTCCCTTTGAAAACTGGCACAGGACAAGGATGCCCTCTCTCACCACTCCTATTCAACACAGTATTGGAAGTTCTGGCCAGGGCAATCAGGCAAGAGAAAGAAATAAAGGGTATTCAATTAGGAAAAGAGGAAGTCAAATTGCCCCTGTTTGCAGATGACATGATTGTATATTTAGAAAACCCCATCATCTCAGCCCAAAATCTCCCTAAGCTGATAAGCAACTTCAGAAAGTTTCAGGACACAAAATCAATGTGCAAAAATCACAAGCATTCCTATACAACTATAATAAACAGAGAACCAAATCATGAGTGAACTCCCATTCACAATTGCTACAAAGAGAATAAAATACCTAGGAATCCAACTTACAAGGGACATGAAGGACCTCTTCAAGGAGAACTACAAACCCCTGTTTAATGAAATAAAGGAGGACACAAACAAATGGAAGAACATTCCACGCTTACGGAGAGGAAGAATCAATATCGTGAAAATGGCCATACTGCCCAAGGTAATTTATAGATACAATGCCATCCCGATCAAGCTACCAATGACTTTCTTCACAGAATTGGAAAAAAACTACTTTAAATTTCATATGGAGCCAAAAAAGAGCCCTCATTGCCAAGACAGTCCTAAGCAAAAAGAACAAAGCTGGAGGCATCACAATACCTGACTTCAAACTATACTACATGGCTACAGTAACCAAAACAGCATGGTACTGGTACCAAAAGAGATATGTAGACCCATGGAACGGAACAGAGGCCTCAGAAATAACACCACACATTTACAACCATCTGATCTTTGACAAACCTGACAAAAGCAATGGGGAAATAATTCCCTACTTAATAAATGGTGCTGAGAAAACTGGCTAGCCATATATACAAAGCTGAAACTGGATCCCTTCCTTACACTTTTTACAAAAATTAATTCAAGGTGGATTAAAGACTTAAATGTTAGACCTAAAACTATAGAAACCCTAGAAGAAGACCTAGGCAATACCATTCAGGACATAGGCATGGGTAACGACTTCATGACTAAAACACTAAAAGCAATGGCAACAAAAGCCAAAATAGACAAATGGGATCTAATTAATTCCATCGGTCATCAGAGAAATGCAAATTGAAACCACAATGAGATACCGTCTCATGCCAGTTAGACTGGCGATCATTAAAAAGTCAGGACACAACAGATTCTGGAGAGGATGTGGAGAAATAGGACCGCTTTTATGCTGTTGGTGGGAGTGTAAAAAGTTCAACCATTGTGAAAGACAGTGTGGCAATTCCTCAAGGATCTAGAACCAGAAATACCATTTGACCCAGCAATCTCATTACTGGGTAGATGCCCAAAAAATTATAAATCATGCTACTATAAAGACACATGCACACATATGTTTACTGCGGCACTATTAACAATAGCAAAGACTTGGAACCAACCCAAATGGCCGTCAATAATAGACTGGATTAAGAAAATGTGGCACATATATACCATGGAATGCTATGTAGCCATAAAAAAGGATGAGTTCTTGTCATTTGCAGGGACATGGATGAAGCTGGAAACCATCATTCTCAGCAAACTATCACAAGGACAGAAAACCAAACATTGCACGTCCTCACTCATAGGTGGGAACTGAACAATGAGAACACTTGGACACAGGGCAGGGAACATCACACAATGGGGCCTGTTGGAGGATGAAGGGCTGGGGGAGGGATAGCACTGGGAGGAATACCTAATGTAAATGACGAGTTAATGGGTGCAGCAAACCAACATGGCACATGCATACCTATGTAACAAACCTGCATGTTGCGCACATGTACCCTAGAACTTAAAGTATATATATAAAAAAAGACCCACTTCTTTTTTTGTAAGGTGAGTTTCTGAAGGTGCAAATACCTCATTGAAGTTAAAGCCCCTTTCTTAGTCTACAGACATCCGGGTTAAGTTCCTTCTAGACCTATCCTTTCCCCAGATCTTTATGCGGAAAAGTAAAAAGTGAAAGACAGTTCCATCTTGAGATATGGAAGGAGGGCATCTAGCTTTCCAGCAAACATCAGTCAGACACAGATGGGATGGAGCCAGAAGCCCTTTAAAGCTCTGGTGAGGGGAGAGAAAATAAAGACCCTCCCCCTTCAACCCCCATGATTTCTGAGGGCATCATTTTCTCCCTCCACTTGCCAAGACAGCTCTAAAAAGTTCTCCTAGCACTGTTGCCCTCCTCTGGCTACGTCGCAAATGGTGTCAGGATCTATACCAGTTAGATTTCAGAAAGTTCTGTGAAGAAACCTAGCATACAGTTCAACCCTTTTCCTGTTTCATTCTCCCCATCAGATTAATACTTAAATGTCCTCCGAAAGGGGGATAGTGGAAGATCACAGACCTTTAAGCTGTGATCTATGACCTGAACGCCATCTCTCTCTTTTCCCAAACTCATCTCCATATAAATTGTGTTTTGGAAAGTCCAAAACTGGGTATCCTGTTTCCTAGCAGATATTAAACCACTTGAACACAGGGATTGTGCCTTTCAGATGTAGTAATCCTTGACTGACCCAGCACAGCACTTTTCAGCAATATTTGTTGAATGGTGCCAGTTACGTGTGTATTTTTTTTTAACAAGTGATCCTATCATTCAACCAAATCTTAGGCTAACAAAAAATTCTTTTAAATGAACCAAAATGCCCAGCATGGTCTAAAGTAAGAGACCTATTTCTTTTTCCCCCATGTCATTTTTACGAATTAGAAATTTCACCTGCAATCTCAAATGTGTGCTTAAAAATGCTTTAGCTATTGGAACTACTGTTTTCCTTTTTCATTTATCTGTTTATTCCTTTCTTCAAATACAAGATTTTTGCCCCTCTATTAAGTAAAACCCACAGATTGAGGTTGGCATTCAATTACCGGGACTGAACTTCAAGACTCGGCTCTTTGGGTAATAATCCACACCAGACTGGGCAGAGCCATCCCGCGTGCTGCAGCGAACCTTGGAGGTCCTGTTCTGATCCCCTCTGCGGATCACCTTGATGTTCAGAATCGCAATGGCATCTGGGCCTGCGGGTTCCCGGACTTGGTATGCAGCTTCTTCAAACTCAATGGTGGGGGCTAAGGAAATATGGTTAGGAAAACAAGAGCCAGTTAGAATAGCACAAAGGATTCAGACTCCCAGGAAAACACCTTATAATGACAAGAGGAAATTGTTCACATTAGTTAACAGTATGAAGGCAAAATGGCTTGCAGTCATAAAACTCAATCAGTATTTACTGCTAAACAATGCTTTGGAAAAAATTATTTATTTGTGATTCTGCAGGAGTTGTGTCTCACATGTTCCTTATTAAAAACAATATAATGGGTGGAATTATTTGTAGAGACTTTGAAATTCATGATGTCCAAGTTTCCAACTCGGCACTACAGTTCACAGAATGTTTTAAAATTTGAACAGTTTATCAAGGGACTGAGACATAGTAGGCCCTAGATAAATACCTGTCACATAAATCAACTTTTCATTCATGAGATATGAATTTCAAAGGTTTATAATTTATCTCATTTATATACTACTTAAATTTACCAAGTCCACCCCTCACCTCTGGTCCTTTGGACCCCCTCCTCTTAGTGCTCTCACCTCCCCATCCTCAGCTTTTCTTAATTTCCTACAAGCTATATAGGTAAGTATGGGTGCTTTCAGTGACTGGCTACAAGGGTAACTCAGGAACACAAGATTTCCTAATGGAATCCTGTTGCCAGGAAATGATTAATAATATATTCAACCTGGGCAACATAGTGAGACCTCATCTCTACAAATAATTAAAAAATAGCCAGGCATGCTGGCACGTGCCTGTGGTCGCAGCTACTCAGGAGGTTGAGGTGGGAGAGTCACTTGAGCCCTGGTGGTCGAGGCTACAGTGAGCCATAATTGCCCCACTGCACTCCAGCCTGGGCGACAAAGCAAAACTCCATCTCAAATAAATAAATAAATAAATAAAATAATATATTGATTTTTACCAAAAAATTCAAATCATGCCTTCTTTTCTATTATATCTCATGGGGAAGGGTGGGGTGGTGGTAGAGAGAGTGAGATAAAAAGATGGAAAAATTGAGAGTAATGATAACTTTTATACCATTTTGAGTATATCATAGAATATGGCAGAAATTTCTACTTTCTGTATTTATTTCCGTTTCTTTCCCTCTCAGAAAGTCAAATCTTCCTAACTGTAGAAGATAAGCCTCATTTGAGGTTTTATAGTTTTTAATAAGAATGCCCTTTGAAATCTAGGAGGGTCACTGCAGCACAGCATAAATCTTTTTTTTTTTTTTTCTTTGAGACAGAGTTTTGTTCTTGTTGCCCAAGCTAGAGTGCAATGGCACGATCTCAGCTCACTGCAACTTCCACCTCCTGGGTTTGAGCGATTCTCCTACCTCAGCCTCCTGAGTAGCTGGGATTACAGGCGCATGCCACCACGCCTGGCTAATTTTGTATTTTTAGTAGAGACAGGGTTTCTCCATGTTGGTCAGGCTGGTCTTGAACTCCCAACCTTAGGTGATCCTGCCTTGGCCTCCCAAAGTGCTGGGATTACAGGCATGAGCCACTGCACCCGGCCTTTTTTAAAATTATACTTTAAGTTCTGGGATACATGTGCAGAACGTGCAAGTTTGTTACAAGCCACATGTGCCACCGACCCATCACCTACATTAGGTATGTCTCCTAATGTTATCCTTCCCCAGGCCCCCGTCCCTGTCAACAGGCCCCAGTGTATGATGTTCCTCTCCCTGTGTCCATGTGTTCTCATTGTTCACCTCCCACTTATGAGTGAGAACATGTGGTGTTTGGTTGTCTGTTCTTGTGTTAGTTGCAGCAGAGTATAAATCTTATTTGTCTGAGTCTCAATGATGGGTTTTCTATGTACCTGGGAGAGGTTCACTTTGGGATCTGAACTTGAGTCTCCTGGGGTCAAGGACTAATTCAACTTTGAGGCTGGAGTTTCTTATTTTATCCAATGTCCAAGTTAGTTACTGATATTTCCCTAGAAACCCTAAGAGTCACTTAAGAGTATACTTAAGAGTACAGATTCTAGAATCAGACAGAATGAAGTTCACATCCAGGTTTGCTGTTTACAGCTGTATAACTAAGAGTGCAAATTATATAGCTTTGCTGAGGTTCAGTTTCTTTATTCGTAATATAGAAATAATAGCACCAACCTCAAGAAATTCCTTCCAGTATTAAATAAGATAATATAATATGCTTAGCATAGTTCTTGGTATACAGTATTCAATAAAAAGAGCTATCACTATTTGTAACATTATTATCTATTCACTCATTAAAATATCTATTTTAGTGAAACAATTATGTCCCAGTTTGAAACAGGTTTTGTCTTCCCTGGTGCCTGGGTCATTCTTGGCTAACACCTGACTATAGAGCTTAAGTTTTTTTTTTTTTAGGTTAGTAGGCCAAATCAATTAGAGAGAAGAAAACTGAGAAATTAGACTTTTCCAGGAAGGTGGCAGTGTTTTAAACCAGTTCATTGGATTCCACTGATTCCAACTGTATTTCCAATCCTGCTCCTGAACTACAGTGACTTAAATGGCTTTTATTCTCTGTCTTAGCATTTCTGTCTCAGCTTTTGACCACAATCAGTCCATATCTCCTAGCACTGTGGTAGGGAACAATGATATTAAAAATACCTATGAATTTTTTGGATCTCTGTAGAGGGAGATCATTTGCCACCAACATTTTATATAAATATTCAGAGAATGTTATCAGTAGGCATTCTTAAAGCACTTTTATTTTTCAAAACACTAATAATTAGTTAAACATCAGTTTATGTCCCCTCAACCTAAGAGTAACTAAAGATAATTTCTTCTGTTACCATCTTCATCATTGGATATGGTGATGGTGGCCATGTTATTCTTTCCAATTCTAGCTCCACTCCAGTGGTTTCCAAGAGGAAGGCCGAGGTAGACCCTGAACTGTTCCTCTGGCTCAAACATGGAGTCATCGTGGATATAGACCGTACAGTTCTTCACCTAGAGCCAATGGCACAAGACAGATTAAAATTTTCAGCAAGATATCAGTGATTTGCTTGGTTTTCCTAGAAAACTATCTTTCTTCTTTATTGCATCAAAAAGTCCACACAAATTCAAAAGGATCCAGTTTCATTTATAAAACAAAATGTTCAAATTTAACAGTTCATGCTTGGGTGGGACCCACCTATATGTGGAGACTTGTATTAGAATATGCCAAACCATTTTTAATTATTGGTGATGAATTATGAAAAACAAGATCAACAAAACAAAGAACCCACTAAAAACCATATGTAGAACATCTGTGTGCTTTCCCACATTTTTTTCTGTGCTGCTTAATACATTTCACATATTAAAATAGGTAGATTTCTGATGACGGGGGTTTAACATACTGATTAAACTTCCTGGAGAGTTGAGTAACACTTCTTTTCCTTTGTAAAAATTGAAGTCTTATAAAGAAATCAGAAAGGCTTTGCGTTAGGCTAAAGATACCTTTAAATGCTAAAGAATTTTCGAATCTGCTGCCAAATGATATCTCATCTGAAAACTGCTGAGTACAGAAAGTCCGAGACCACAATCCAAATCCCTGTTTGATGGAAAGAAACCAAGTGTTTCTCAACAGAATATTCTCTACTGAGGATTGTATTTTTGAGAAAATGTAAAATATGGTCACAACATTTCAGATAACACAGCAGCCTCAATAGTAGAGTCATGTGATGTGAAGGAGGATATTTTTAGTTGGATCATTTCAAATTCACTATTCTAACATATTGCAAAGGATATATGAGTAGAGAGAAGTTTCACTCTCATACTTCCTAAGTCACGCTAAATGGTGAGAGAATATCCCTGTGAATATTTATATGTGACTTGCTAATCTGATTTTAAGTCCCTGAAGAATGTTGTGTTTTTTTTCCTCTACCACATCTTTTGTATAAGAATTCCTTATAGAAAGCATGAAGTTAGCAGTGACTTTTTAGATCTTAAAAAAAATGTTAGTGAATGACAAGTTTCAAAGCATATGCTTAGCAAGCAAAATAATAATAATAATAAAGGTTCTAAAATGTGCTTAAGAATAATGATAGATTGCCATGTGGGTAACACAGACTACTAGACTGTATTTTCTTTATAATTTTATTAAATTAAAAACTACTTCTTGGATAAGCAGAGAATTCTCTTTTGAACTTAAAACAAATACAGACATGTAGACTCAAAGCTGAAGATGGTATCTGTAGTACATGTATGTGTTTTAAAGCACATTTCAACCTGTCACCAGTAAAATTCCCATAAAATATATAACTAAGACAGGCTTTTATGAGTCATAAATGTGTAAATGTCATGAGTGCCCCAAAGAAGGAAGCTATCACTTTTATTTTTGTAGTAAAGATGAACAGAGGAAGAATCTAGGGTGATGTGTGATGGGTATGTTTTATGCTAAACTTCAAAAGGACTAATCATAAGGCAAAAACTGGATACATTTGATTATTTCAAAATTGAAGGCTTCTGATCAAGAACACCATACTCAATGGTAATAAATAAGTGACAGAAAAAGAAAAGATGTTATTAATACCTAAAATGTCTAAAACTGGCAAGGAATTAATATTTGGGAAATATAAGAAAGCATTGCAAATCAGTGAGTAAAAGATAACACAATAAAATAAGAAACAAAGGATAAAAATAAGCTTATATGCTTATTGGAAACCCAATAAGCTAGCAAGCATATGAAAGATTAGTAATTAGAGAATTACAAATTAAAATGAGATATAACTTTATACATATTAAATTAGCAAAAATTCAAAAGATGAATAATGCTCGTTTTGAAGAGAATATAGGGTTATAGCAACCCTCATGCACTTCTAGTGACATTCTGTAAAGTATTCCAACACAAGTTTTTCAAATTAGGTATATGCAGGTCCTGTAGTTTATCAAAATTGATTTTGATAAACTGATTGTATATCCAACAAAATTCTCATTCAAGTCTGTAAGTGGACATGTATGAGGATGTGCACTGAAGCATTATTTGTGATGACAGGGAGTCAGGAAGCTGGTGGGTGTGATCACTGAAGTTCTTCACTGTCTCTTGCTGAGAGTGCATAGGTAAAATATAGCAGACACATACTGATAAATATTTGTCCCCTCCATATCTCCTGTTGAAATTTGATCCCCAATTATTGGAAGTGGGGCCTGGTGGAAGATGTTTGGGTGATGGGGACAGTTCTCTCATGAATGGCTTGGTGCCATTCTCACAGGATTGAATGAATTCTCTCTTAAATCCCATGAGATAAGGTAGTTAATAAGAGTCTGACACCTCCCTACCCTCTCTCTTTCCTCCTCTCTTGCCATGTGATGATGCCTGCTCCCCTTCCTCTTCTGCCTTGAGTGGTAGCTTCCTGAAGCCCTCACCAGAAGCAGATGCTGGCACCATGTTTCTTGTACAGCCTGCAGAACTGTGAGCCAAATAAACCCCTTTTCTTTATGAACTACCCAGCCTCAGGTATTCCTTTATAGCAATGCAAATCGACTAAGACATATACCATAAAATATTATGCAACAGTTAGAAGCAACAGATTACATGTACACCTAAAAAACATAGATCTCAAAACATTGCTGAGTAAAAACAGTAAAAGATGAAAAAAAGAGGACAATAGCATTTTTAGAAATTAAAACTGTATACATAAAACAACAAGCATTTCTTAAGAAGAAATACAAGTTAAGAGATACATATTAAACACAATAGATTGATGAGCAGGGAAAAGAATGTGGCTGGAGAGTAGGGGTAAAACAAAATGAATAAAAAAAAACAAACATAAGAGAAGGGCTTAGTATTGACCAATGAGGATGTGTGCCTTGAACCAAGGGATATAACTGACTCAACCATCTGAAACTGAGATTTTAAAATGGGGAAAATGTGATTCTGATTCAATACACACTTTTGACATACACTGAGGTTGCAGACTAATTCTGGTGCAGCCATGTTTAGTGGTGAGTTTCTTTTTTTTATTATTATTATACTTTAAGTTCTGGGATACATGTGCAGAACATGCAGGTTTGTCACATAGGTATACATGTGTCATGGTGGTTTGCTGCACCCATCAACCCGTCATTTAAATTGGGTATTCCTCCTAATGCTATCCCTCCCCTAGCCCCCCACCACCCAGACAGGCCCCGGTGTGTGATGTTCCCCTCCCTGGGTCCATGTGTTCTCATTGTTCAACTCCCACTTATGAGTCAGAATATTCAGTGTTTGGTTTTCTGTTTCTGTGTTAGTTTGCTGAGAATGATGGTTTC
Organism: Homo sapiens; assembly: GCF_000001405.40. Lineage (NCBI taxonomy): Eukaryota > Metazoa > Chordata > Mammalia > Primates > Hominidae > Homo > Homo sapiens. Next base: position 78,493,522 of record NC_000004.12, on the reverse strand, counting down.
CAGCTTCATCCGTGTCCCTGCAAAGGAATGAACTCATCTTTTTTTTTATAGCTGCATAATACTCCATGGTGTATGTGTGCCACAGTTTCTTTATCCAGTCTATCATTGATGGGCATTTGGGTTGGTTCCAAGTCTTTGCTATTGTGAATAGTGCTGCAATAAATATACATGTGCATGTGTCTTTATAATAGAAAGATTTATAATTCTTTGGGTATATACCCAGTAATGGGATTGCTAGGCCAAATCGTATTTCTGGTTCTAGATCCTTGAGGAATCACCATCCTGTCTTCCACAATGGTTGAACTAATTTACACTCCCACCAACAGTGTAAAAGTGTTCCTATTTCTCCACATCCTCTCCAGAATCTGTTGTTTCCTGACATTTTAATAATCACCATTCTAACTGGCATGAGATGGTATCTCATTGTGGTTTTGATTTGCATTTCTCTAACAACCAGTGATGATGAGCTTTTCTTCATTTGTTTGTTGGCTGCATAAATGTCTTCTTTTGAGAAGTGTCTGTTCATATCCTTTGCCTACTTTTTGATGGGGTTGTTTTTTCCTTGTAAATTTGTTTAAGTTTCTTATAGATTCTGGATATTAGCCCTTTGTCAGATGGATAGATTGCAAAGATTTTCTCCCATTCTGTAGGTTGCCTGTTCACTCTGATGATAGTTTCTTTTGCTGTGCAGAAGCTCTTTAGTTCAATTAGATCCCATTTGTCAATTTTGGCTTTCGTTGCCATTGCTTTTGGTGTTTTAGTCATGAAGTCCTTGCCCGTGTCCTTGCCTTGTCCTTGTCCTGAATGGTATTGCCTATGTTTACTTCTAGGATTTTTATGGTTTTAGGTCTCACGTTTAAGTCTTCAATCCATCCTGAGTTAATTTTTGTATAAGGTGTAAGGAAGGGGTCCAGTTTCAGTTTTCTGCATATGGCTAGCTAGTTTTCCCAACACCATTTATTAAGTAGGAAATCCTTTCCCCATTGCTTATTTTTGTCAGGTTTGTCAAAAAATCAGATGGTTGTAGATGTGTGACATTATTTCTGAGGCCTCTGTTCTGTTCCATTGGTCTATATATCTCTTTTGGTACCACTACCATGCTGTTTTGATTACTGCAGACTTGTAGTATAGTTTGAAGTCAGGTAGTGTGATGCCCCCAGCTTTGTTCTTTTTGCTTAGGATTGTCTTGGCTATATGGCTCTTTTATGGTTCCATATGAAATTTAAAGTAGTTTTTTCTAATTCTGTGAAGAATGTCAAAGGTAGCTTGATGGGGATAGCAAGGAATCTATAAATTACTTTGGGCAGTATGGCCATTTTCATGATATTGATTTTTCTTATCCATGAGCATGGAATATTTTTCCATTTGTGTCCTCTCTTATTTCCTTGAGCAGTGGTTTGTAGTTCTCCTTGAAGAGGTCCTTCATGTCCCTTGTAAGTTGTATTCTTAGGTATTTTATTCTCTTTGTAGCAATTGTGAATGGGAGTTCACTCATGATTTGGCTCTCTGTTTATTATAGTTGTATAGGAATGCTTGTGATTTTTGCACATTGATTTTGTATCCTGAAACTTTGCTGAAGTTCCTTATCAGCTTAAGGAGATTTGGGGCTGAGACAATGGGGTTTTCTAAATATACAATTATGTCATCTGCAAACAGAGACAATTTGACTTCCTCTCTTCCTATTTGAATAAACGTTTATTTCTTTCTCTTGCCTGTTTGCCCTAGCCAGAACGTTTAATACTATGTTGAACAGGAGTGGTGAGAGAGGGCATCTTTGTCTTGTGCAGGTTTTCAAAGGGAATACTTCCAGCTTTTGCCATTCAATATGATATTGGCTGTGGGTTTGTCATAAATAGCTCTTGTTATTTTGAGATATGTTCCATCAATACCTAGTTTATTGAGAGTTTTTATCATGAAGGGCTGTTAAAGTTTGTCGAAGGCCTTTTCTGCATCTATTAGATAATCATGTGGGTTTTGTCATTGGTTCTGTTTATGTGATGGATTATGTTTATTGATTTGCGTATGTTGAACTAGCCTTGCATCCCAGGGATGCAGCCAACTTGATCGTGGTGGATAAACTTTTTGATGTGCTGCTGGATTCAGTTTGCCAGTATTTTATTGAGTATTTTCGCATTGATGTTCATCAGAGATATTGGCCTGAATTTTTTTTTGTTGCATTTCTGCCACAGTTAAATATCAGGATGATGCTGGCCTCATAAAATGAATTAGGAAGGAGTCCCTCTTTTTCTATTGTTTGGAATAGTTTCAGAAGTAATGGTACCAGCTCCTCTTTGTACCTCTGGTAGAATTCGGCTGTGAATCCGTCTGGTCCTGGGCTTTTTTTGGTTGGTAGGCTATTAATTACTGCCTCAATTTCAGAACTTGTTACTGGTCTATTCAGGGATTCAAATTCTTCCCGGTTTAGTCTTGAGAGGGCGTATGTGTCCAGGCATTTATCCATTTCTTCCAGATTTTCTAGTTTATTTGCATAGAGGTGTTTATAGTATTCTTTGATGGTAGTTTGTATTTCTGTGGGATCAGTGGTGATATCCCCTTTATCAATTTTTATTGTGTCTATTTGATTATTCTCTCTTTTCTTCTTTATTAGTCTGGATAATGGTCTATCTATTTGGTTAATCTTTAAAAAAAAAACCAGCTCCTGGATTCACTGATTTTTTTGAAGGATTTTTCCTGTCTCTATCTCCTTCAGTTCTGTTCTGATCCTAATTATTTCTTGTCTTCTGATAGCTTTTGAATTTGTTTGCTCTTGCTTCTCTAGTTCTTTTAATTGTGATGTTATGGTGTCGATTTTAGACCTTTCCCACTTTCTCCTGTGGGCATTTAGTGCTATAAATTTCCCTCTAAACATTGCTTTAGCTGTGTTCCAGGGATTCTGGTATGTTGTGTTTGTTCTCATTGGTTTCAAAGAACTTATTTATTTCTGCCTTAATTTTGTTATTTACCCAGTAGTCATTCAGGAGCAGGTTGTTCAGTTTCCATGTAGTTGTGTGGTTTTGAGTGAGTTTCTTAATCCTGAGCTCTAATTTGTTGCACTGTGGTCTGAGAGACTGTTTGTTATGATTTCTGTTCTTTTGCATTTGCTGAGGAGTGCTTTACTTCCAAATATGTGGTCAACTTTAGAATAAGTGCCATATGGTGCTGAGAAGAATGTATATTCTGTTGATTTTGGGTGGAGAGCTCTGTAGATGTCTATTAGGTCTGCTTGGTCCAGAGCTGAGTTCAAGTCCCAAATAACCTTGTTAATTTTCTGTCTCATTGATCTGTCTAATATTGACAGTGGGGTGTTAAAGTCTCCCACTATTATTTTGTTGGAGTCTAAGTCTCTTTGTAGGTCTCTAAGAACTTTGTGAATCTGGGTGTTCCTGTATTGGGTGCATATATATTTAGGAAAGTTAGCTCATGTTGTTGCATTGATCCCTTTACCATTATGTAATATACCCTTCTTTGTCTTCTCTGATCTTTGCTGGTTTAAAGTCTGTTTTATCAGAGACTAGGATTTCAACCCCTGCTTTTCTTTTTTTTTTTTTTTTTTTGTTTTCCACTAGCTTTAGTGGTGAGTTTCTAGGTGCATATGCATGAGATTTCATGTACATTGTCAAGAGAATACTCTGCTGACTTCAATTTGCTCAACATCTGCCTATTTGGTCCTATACTGGGATATATGTTTCCCTGGGACAGGGGTGCAGGTATTAGACGGCTGCCTCCTGCTCTCAAAGTAACAGTGGAGTATATTCATCTCTAACATAGTTTGAGATTAAGAGGTGGTAATAAGAGCAGAACTCATTTGCTTCTGCTAAGTTCCAAATATGTCACACATCAGCTAAACTTCTCAGATCAACCAATGATATGTGTATTTGATTGTAAGTGGGAGACAAAGAAGGAATAGATGACATCATTAAAAATATTGTCAATTATGGATAACCCTTGAATGACACAGGTTCAAACTGCATGGGTGCACTTAGACATGGATTTTTTTCTGTCTCTCTACTCCTGAGACAGTGAGACCCTCCTCTCCCTCCTTCTCTTCAGCTTATTCAATATGAAGACAATGAGGATGAAGACCTTTATGATGATCCACTATTCCACTTCTTAATAACATTTTTTCTCTAGTTTATTTTATTGTGAGAATGCAGCATGTGATACATATGACACATAAAATATGTGATAATCAACTACTTATGTTATTGGTAAGGCTTTCAGTCAACAGTAGGTTATTAGTAGTTAAGTTTTGTGTGAGTCAAAAGTTATACACAAATTTTCAACTGTGTGGGGAGTTGGCACCCCTATCCCCTGCATTGTTCAAGGGTCACCTGTAGTATACAAAATTCTGAGAATTTTTGGAATTTATATAAATGACTTCATTACAGACAAATAAAGACAATAAGAGAATCTCATCTTTCAGCCACCACCAATCCACTTACTTTGTCCCCTTTGAGAAATGTAATCCGTGAAGAGTCTGCATTTTGTCTCTCCTCAAAGTCCTCCATGACCTGAGCGGAATGGCTCTGAGTATAGCACCTCACTGATGACTCATAGCTCAGGTCTCCGCTCCGAGTGATAGGGACATGCAGGACACCCTCCTTCTCCTTCACTAGGAGCAAATCCTTGGCAAACTGCATGCTGGGCACTAGGTGGGCAGACAGAAAGACAGACGCACCATTAGTGGAAGACAGGGAAGCTGTGGCCATGGTCCTTGTCAGCCTTCAGCAGCTATTTTGGCAGGTGAGCTCCACCAAAGCCCAAGGTAGGCTGACAAATCACAGGTGGCAAGCAGATTCCAAAGCATGGTTGTTGCTCTCAGGACAAGGGAACTGCTTCTACTATAAGTGTGCATCCAGTGAAATAGAACAGATCAATTTTGTACCTATCTTTGTACAACTTCAAAATGCTGTCACCATCTCAAATATGAGCAGGTAATGCAAGTCAATAAATGGGATAATTGTAAGAAAAATTTTGATGGTGTACGAAAAATTTTGGTCATTATTTGGGTACTCAAAAGACTTCACTGTCCTCCTAGGGCTACAGTAAGGAAAACAGCAGTGCAAATCTGGTGCTAAATGGCCACTCACATTGGTCTTGGGGCCAGAGAGACAATAGGAAAGAGTGGGGACATAAGTATAAAGGAAAGAGTAGGCCCTGTTTAAAAAGTTCCAGTCTTCTGTTGCCAGATCTTATTTTCAAATGAAGCCAGAGATGTGGTTTTTTATGACATAGCTCCTGAATTCAAAAATAGCAAACAAATAAAATAGTGAAAAGAAATTTTGTATAAGCCAAAACTATTTGGGACAAACAAAGCATGTCCACAGACTAAATTTGGCCAGAGGGTTCCAGTCTGTGACCACTGCTATAGATGACTCTTCTTTTTTTTTGAGACGGAGTCTCGCTCTGTCACTCAGGCTGGAGTGCAGTGGCACAATCTCAGCTCACTGCAACCTCTACCTCCCGGGTTCAAGCAATTTTCCTGCCTCAGCCTCCCAAGTAGCTGGGACTACAGGTAGGCGCTAGATGCCTCTTCTTTTATAACTCAAATCCTCCTTTGACTTAAGGATGAGACCGTAGTCAAATCATGGTTAAAAACAAGGACTTAGGAGGAAACAGACCTGAATTTCCATCTCAGCCCTTCTACTTACCAGTTGTGTGACACAGGGCAAGTTACTTAGACTTTCCAAACTTTGGGATATTTTTCATATATAAATTGGAAATATTAATATCTAATATAGAATTGTTGGTATAATTGAATTTAATGAGATAATAAATGCATGGTACTCAATGTAGTATCTGGTTTATAGTGAGAACTCAAAGTTTGGTAGGAATTAATATATTATGGTTTCTATTTTCCTCCCAACTCCAGAATTCTCAATATGAAGAATCATTTGCTCTGTATTAAGGCATTTGCCCTTCTGAGGTCAACATTTTGTTGACTGCTGGTTATTAATTTATTCACGAACAATGCAAAGAATCATATGTCAAAGCCTCCTGGGTCAGAATTAGTCTTTGGGTTAAAGCTGTAATCACCAATTTCCTGGCTGCCTCCTGGACACACCCCACCAACCCAGAAAGGAAGGAAAGGTGTGTGTTTGGGGATTGGGGGACGTGGGGGAATGAGAGGAGGGGTGATAAGCACCCAAGCATTCTCCAAGTCAATGTACAGAAAGCTCTCTGTGACTCCAGAACTGTTGGCCATGGCAAAAATAAAACCATCCCATCATATGAACTAAGCTTAATAGTTACTAATCATTACTAAATGAAAAGTCAGATGATACTGCTTAAAAGAACACTATACCTAAAGGAAAATTAACAACTGTAGGCCTAACCAGTTAGGGCTCCGTAACCCAGTGAAATGGCCTGTGCTGCTAAAAGGTGGATGGCAATGACATCGCCCAGCATAGGAGGACAAGAAGGAAGCTTGTTGCCAGGGAAAAAGCAATACAAGCAGGGAAGCTTTTCCGCTCCCAGCAGATATCTGAAGCTTTAGATTGTTTTTTCTTGCTGGCCTGACAGGCCTCAAGTCAGATGAGAAAGTTAAAGGCTGAAGTGGTTATGTTTAGGTTTGGTCATGCATTAATCAACTCCAAATTCCTCTTGAGGTATAAAAGACTATTTTTTCCCTCTTTAACAAGACATTCACTCTCACTTCTATCCCTGTCTGCCAAAAAAAAAAAAAAAAAAAATAGAGAGAGAGAAAGAGAAAAGGCAGTGGACACATCTTCTGATTGCCTGCCCAGAAACAATCCCTCCCTTTAAGAAGACCCCAGACCAGTGGGAGACTGAGGCAAGAGACATATACAACAAGGGAGTTTCAGGAAGAGATTTAGCACAGGGGATTTATGTTGTAAGTCAGGCATTGTGTTAAAGGTTTTCATATATATTATTTAATGTCATTCTGTCACCAACCCCATAAGGCAGTATAATCCCCAGGAAGTGATAGCACTGGCTCTTAGAATCAACTTCCCCTGACTGCAGGGCTCCTCTTTTTCCACACTGATGGGCTGCATCAATATGAAATGGAGGTTACCTGCTGATGGCGCATGGGCTCACATTGGGTATAACGCATTTTCTGTCAGCACTGCTCATAGAACACTTATTGTGCATGGCCAGTCTACAATTATCTTTTTATTTATGGAAGTCTTGTATCCTAAAATAGATTATGGGACTCTGCTCTCCACTACTCTGTAGCCCATACCATGTTGATCACCAGTGCTAGGTATAGAAAATGTCCTATAAACACTGTTACCTCGCTAATCTTCTTAGTAACTGATGAAGTGAATGTAAACGCCAGTGCCTGGAATGCAATAGCCTCTTTACCAGCAACAGTTAAGCCAGAAATTTAGGAGAAATCCTGCCTCTGTTTCACGAGTTAATGAGTATGTTTGCCACAGATGCACACACAGGAGGGTGATACCGTAGCAGCTACAGGACTTTCTAATGCTACCCAGTCAGCATTACTCATGCCCAAGCCCGAGTCTAATTCCAGGTACCAGCACAGCAAAGGTAGGTGAGAACAGGTAAATGTTATAAGATGAGCTGCTTAGATGATTTAAGATCCTGAAATCAGCCTAGTGGGAAAAGAATGAAAGGAGCTAAGATCACTGCAGAAGGCTGAGAGTTGACTTTGTAAGACTCTTGAGTGACGGTTAGCATTGTTATACAGAGGGCAGTGGCCAGCTGAAACTGAAATGTGAAGAGTCAGCGTAGTAGGATATGAAACCAGAAGACTGGACTTGGATAGAGCAGACTTGGATTTTAATTCCAGCTTCATCACTTTCTCTCTGTGTAATCCTACTCAAATTATTCAAACTTGGTTTCACAAGTTAAAGGTCTGTTGCAAGGATTAGGGATAATATGTAAGATCTTTCTACCCTAGAATGTTCACACTGAATGGACTCAACAAAAGTTCGTTATTACTAGGAAGAAAGATAACCAGAAGAAGTAAGTACTGAATGCTATGCTGAGTTACTGAAATAGGTTTTGGGATTTCTTTCTCTGGGATAAGTTATTGATTAAACACATATTGCTGTAGCTTCTCTGAAAGAAAAAGAAAAGCTGTAGCTTTTCTGAAAGAAAATTTTTGCTTAACATATCAGTTTCCTAAGTTGACAAACCCAATGCTCATCAATAAAATACTGAAAAATATTTAAATATAATTTTGTGTGTTGATCAGTGAGGACTCTATATGTTACTGGAGTCTTGTTGGTAAGAGTGATAAATGCCAGGTGTGTCAGGAAGAAAAGAAATCAACATGTAATAAAATTTACTGTGTGCCAGGTATTACAGCAGGCATTTTCACATATTTTATCTAATTTAATCCTCACAACAATCTTGTAAGGTAGTTATTTTCATTATTTATAGATGAGCAAAATGAGGCTTAGTAACCTTAAGCTTCTGGCCTAAGGCCAAAGACCTAGGAAGTGGTGGGGCTAGGATTATATTTCAGGACTTCAACTTTGTATTCACTTTCCACTTCATCAGAGGGAAATTAATGGTCATTTCATGCAAAAGAATAAGAAACAATTTCAAGAATAAAACGTATAGCTGAATTTTCTTCTTTCTGTTTTATCTTCCTCTTTACTAAGAAATAAAATTGCCACTGATTCTACTTCTACACCAATTAAAACCATGTAGTATATAATGCAAGGAGGATGAACTTGGGGTCAAAAGTCCTAGAATGCATGCTGGTTCCTCTAGATACTAGACATTGGGTGACCTATTTCCTCTGATTCTCAGTTTCCTTATCCACTAAATAGAAACAGAAGAAAGAGCACGGGGTTATGAGCAAGTGAGATAAGGCTTAATGGATTGCTTTGTAAACTTGGAAGTAACATGCAACATGAGATAATATAAGTGTCATAATCTTGTTCATGGTGTAAAAGTTACCGTTTTGTGAATCACAAACCTAAATGTAAAACTTAAGGCTATAAAACTTCTGTAGGAAAATAGGAGAACATCTTTGTTACCTTGGGTTAGGCAAAGATTTCTTAGATACAACACTAAAAATATGATCCATAATAGAAAAATGATAAATGAGGCTGCTTCAAAATGAAAAATGATTACTCTTAGGATGTTTGTTTACAGAACAAAAAGACAAAAAACAGACTTGGATAAAATATTTGCAAAATATAAATCTCTGTCCAGAATCTACAACAATGCAATACAAGTAGGAAAACAACGCAATTTAAACACCAAAACCTTGAACAACCCAAATGTCATTCAATAGGTGAGTAAACAAATGGTGGTAAATCCATACAATGAAAAGCTAATCTCAATAAATGGAATGAACTACTCACATATGCAATAACATGAATGAGTCTCAAATGCATTTTCTAGTGAAAGAAACCAGATGCAAAATCATAGATATTATATGATTCCATTTTTATGAAATTTTGGAAAAGGCACAACTTTAGGGCCAGAAAACAGATTAGTGGTTTTCAGGGCTGGTGACTAAGGAGACACAGACGACAAAGGCACATGAGATAATTTTGCAGAGTGTTGGAACTGTTCAACATCTTGATTGTGGTAGTGAGCATATCACTGTATACATTTGTCAAAACTCATAGAACTGTACACTAAGGACGATGGACTTTCATTTATGCAAGTTGCACCTTCATAAACCTGGCTCTAAAACAAATTACTATCATTTTGGATGCATGCAAGTATGTGTATGTTTGTTGTATGTGTGTGTGTGTGTATCACACATACATAATTTTATATATATATATATAGAGAGAGAGAGAGAGTTTTTTTTTTCTCCTGAAGGATAAACACACAAAAAACTGGTTAAAATTGTTGTCTCCAGTGAGGAGAACTGGGAGACTGGGAGATAGGGGTAGAAAGAAGATTTAATTTTCATAGTATACGCTTTTTGCCATTTGAATTGTTTACTACTATATACATGAAATAAATGATTTAAGAATAAATAAAAACATCAAAGATTATCCGACTTGGCTTCTTGCTCCTCTTTTGAGGACTTCTCAGCTGCTAGGAGTTTAATCATGGGCTCTATGGCCAATCTCTGGGAATGCTAATGAGGGTCCTGCTGCTTTAGGTGGAAGGTTTCACTTGATCTTCTCCACCAAACCCTAGTATCCAAACAGTGGATTCTGAAGTTCTGACAATTCTAATTTCGTCAATTCTTCTGAGAAGTAACCATCCTTTCCTGTTTTTCCTCATGCTACTTAGGTTACATCTTCAGCAGTGACTGATATTTTCTTCATATACCTGCCTCTATTCATCCCTGCACATCACCTACAATACTGCCAATATTCGCTTTCTAAAATAAAAAAGCACATCACTCCTCTGCTTATAAGCATCCACTGCTACCCTTTGCTTATAGAGTCCTTAGGCTGGATCACAATGCCTCTCAGAACTTGACTCCAATCTGTCTTTCCATTCCATTCTTCTATTCACCCCCTCCCATGCTCAAAGCAAAAGTAAGGGTCTGTTCCCCAAATGTGGATCTTTCAACACATTATACATTGTATTTACTATATGTCTCCACTTGAAATAGGTTTTCCTTTATTATGCATTAGATAGACTCCTATCACACCTGAAGACTCTGCTTAAATATAATCTCCTTGGTGAAATCTATAATTTCCCCCACTTGTAGTTCCTGTTCAGTTCCCTCTGCTCCCATAGTGCTGGATGTATAGTACTATTAGGTCATTTATCATGATTTATTCCAATTTCTCTCTTTAAGGGTCTGATTCCACAGGGAGACACTGAGCTTCTTGAGGACAGGGCCCAAGGCTTATACATCTCTTTGTGTCTGGCAGAGTACCGGAGACATCAATGGTTCTCTCTCACATCTACATACTCTGCTATGTAAAAGTGCAAATGCTCACGTATACACATCTACACACACATATTTCTTGAATGAAAATGTGAATGAGTTCCAATGTCACATATGTGGACGTTAAAGAAAAAATAGAAATATATTTGGACCTACCAGCTGGCATCCCCAATCTCTTACCATCTTGGAATGTGTCATTAATTGCAATGACTGCCTGGAAGGGTTTGGTCAGTTCGGCTCCTTGTGCTGAGCTGAGGAAAACCACAAATGTCTCCAGTCCTTCAATTACCGGATACTGAGTGTCATCCAAGATAGTCAAGGTGCAATACTAGAAGAGAAACCAAAGCAAACTTGACAGAGGACCCACCATCTAACACCCATTTACCTTGACTAGGGCAAAGGTCACAACTTGCCTGTCTTTGGTGGTTTTAAAGTAAGATTTTCTAATCCATAACATGATGATCTCTTTATTACATGCCACTCGGAGTTTGTTTTTAGATGTTTATATCAAATGAGTATAGTTTATATCCTGAATCTGTAAGGCTGGATATTTGATGCTAAAAATGTCACTAGGAGAGTTTTTAGAAGATCCCCTCCTAAGTTAACTCTCTTGTTTATGTATGTGTGTTTTTAAAGAAAGGAAAGATAGGAATATCGCCAGGGGAGTTTAGAGAGCTTGGGAAGCAAACTAAAGACAACATTCACAAACCGACCTGTCAACTTTGTGGAGTCTCGACTGCTGTAAACGCACCTGTTCAATGACACCAGGCCCAAATTCCACCTTCCGAGAGCTGGGAACGTAGTCAACTCCTGGTGTGGCAGAAGCTGGGTCTGAGGGCCGCGTTGCACACCAGACAGATGCGAAAGTAGAGAGGTCAGTACCATGGCGGATAACTGGAATCTTTACTGTGCCTGAATTAAGATTCATAGAGATTTTAATGGTCAACTTTGAGCCAGAAAATCAGCGAGGTTTTCAGAATGATGTTCTCCCTCACTGCAATAGTGGCAGCTTTTAGCCCTTTGAGCTTTTCTAATCTAGCTTCAGTGATGCTCCTATGGCCCATCTGAGGTGAAGGCCTAGAGGTGTCACTACCTGTCTTTTCACTGACACTAGGATCAAGAGGAGACCTAGAGAAGGGCTTCATGGAGATGGTGCTGGAGAGAGCCCTTAGGGGAGAAGGCTGTTGTGGCTTCACAAGGGAGACTGCTCACAGGAGAACAATGCACTTAAGGAGAGAAGGGTCTATTGCAAAACATCTCAAGCCTATTTAGGGAGAAGAAACTTAGAGCCTGGGGCCTCAGGGATGTGTCAGAAAATAGTCAATTAAGGAGGACCCAGCTAGGGGACTCTATGGAGCCTGAAGCTGAATGTTTCTAATTAAATGTTCCTAACTGAGTTGATTTCTCTGTTTTACCCAAGCACATGTCATGACTTAAACCGCATGTGCTTATTACTCATCTTAGGAATGAAGCTCATCTTCCTGTCCACTGTGACATCATGCTTTGTAGTGTCCTAAGGATATTTAGCTATTTTCACAATCAAGGGCAGAGAAAAGCTTCATGAAAACCCTACAATTTTCAATCACCACATTTTCTAGCCAACATGCTGTGAGATGCAATGTAGTTATGGCTGGGCATTTGCTGTATGGGAAAAGAAACATGCTATAGTAGAAAGGTCTGGCTTTGAATCTAGCCTTGCCATTTTATTAGCTGCTTAATCATTGATGACTGACTTAACCTATCCAGGCCTCCATTTGCTCTTTTATATAATGTTCTCTCTTCCATAGAATATTAAGTGAGAATGCATGGAACATGCACGGTATGGTGCCCGGCATTCGGTAAGTGCTCAAAAATACCTGTTCCCAGTGCTCCTCCAAATCCCTTCATAGATGTGAAAGGCCTTGATCTGGCCCAGATCAGGAGACACTCAGCACAGCTGTTGCCCCTCTGCCAGCAGTATATCTGCCTGCAGCATACATAAGACTTCAAGACCTTTGTGGAGCCACAAGTGGGAAAGGAGCCTGAGTCTCTGAAATACCATGTGAAAGTGACCTGCCCACTGATCGCTTTGGGCTCTTACATGAATGAGAAAGTTTCACTGTATGAAGACACTGAAACTTTGGAGAGTGTTCAGGAGCTAGCAGTACACTAAATACTTCACTTCCATCCTCAATATATCACATTCTCCCCTTTCACAAGCCCAGATGCTCAGTGCCAGGCCCTCCCTCTGGACCACAGAGGTCAGCCCATGAAGCTCTAGGCTCTATGCCACAGCCCTGCCTGCCATCAAGAACCAGAGTAAAACCTTCTACACTCTATCTCCATGACCTCAATGATTTTAACCTTTAGCTCCCACAAATAAGTGAGAACATGTGAAGTTTGTCTTTCTGTGCCTGGCTTATTTCACTTAGCATAAGGACCTCCACTTCCATCCATGTTGTAGAAGGATGGTTACCAGAGGATGGGAAGAGTAGTGGGGGTGGGAAATGGTGGTGGAGGGGGGAAGTGGGCATGGTTAATGGGTACACAAAATACTTAGAAAGAAGACCTAGTATTCCCTAGCACAACAGGGTGACTATAGTCAAAATAATTTAATTGCACATTTTAAAATAACTAAAAGAGTATAATTGGATTGTACATAACACAAAGGATAAATGCTTGAGGTGAGGTGATGAACACCCCATTTATCCTGATGTGATTATTATATATTACATGCCTGTATCAAAATATATCATATAATCCATAAATATATACACTTACTATGTACCCACAAAAATTTACTAAAACAAATCAGAGTAAGAAAAGTGGATGGAACTCTCTATAATAAATTCCATGCTTGGTCTTGGCCAAGCATTATATAGTGCCTTAGACCAACAGTGGTATCCCTGAGGAATGGCATTCTCAATGTCTCCCGGATATTCTGAAACCTAAGGAGAAAACTGCTCAAGAAAGGAATCAGGAGACAGGTGAAGGAAACTCAGAGACACTCTCCATTACCTGCGTCCTCACTGACAGTGAAAGCCGTGTTGCCCAGGGACACAGTCGAGGCATCGTTGGGACCACTAATGAGCACCTTGGCTGTCGCCACCCTTCCAATGCGGGCATTGTCAGAGGCATCTGCCAAGGCAATCTCAAACTCTTCTTCCTCTTCATACTCGCTGTCATCAATAAGCATGACATCACAGGTGGACATGGTCACACCAGGCCCGAATATCACACGACTCGCGGCAGACATCCCTCTAGATTTAAAATCAGAGCCTGATTCTAGAGCATAGAGGCTACTTCCCATAGCTGACTTAGGGACTGTGTAGCAAATTGCAGATACAATGCTGCTTGCATCTCCTGAAATACAAATGGCAAAAAACCAAAGCATTTGAATGAGTGCTTCTCAGATTTTAAAACCTCTGGTAAGTTAATGAGCTTGGTCCCTCCCAAACAGTCCATCACTATTTCTGTTCAAACTCTGACATAAAACCTTCCTGAATTGCAGTTTCTTTGAGCCTGTGGTATAAACCACTTGAGGATTTAATATACCCCAGATACTTCATCAAACAACTCAAAATGGATTTCCTATTCTGTGAATTTTGTGCTCTGTTAATTTGCAAGACTCATTGCCCACCATCTAAGACCACAGCAGGTGGAAAGATATGACACATATTTGGTACTTTAAGTAGGAAAGTAATTGTGTCCTGAAGGTAGTGCTATAAGCACAGTTCACTGCCTTTCTGAATAAACTTCTATACTTTAATTCCCAGAAAGAAACAGGCTTATTTAAAAAGAGAAAGACAAAACAAAATAAAATCTGCCACTGTATACAAATGACTTTACTTATTAGGGCTGCCACTTCCCTTGGTGACAGCCTGTTCTGGGCCTGGCTTGGTGGCCCAGAGCAATCAATGAGGCTTGCTTGTTTTCCAAGTGGCATTACCAAGGGTTTTTGCTATCTACAGTATTTGTTACACTAATACCCAGTCAGCAGATTCAAGAAAGAAACCCAAAATCATCATTTACAGTCTTGTTGTGCCTTTGAATGGGGGTTCAATTTCCATGTGTTTTAAAGTCTCAATCTTGCACAATCAAAATTCCATATGATGTTTATTTTTATTTCCAACTCCTCAAGAATTGCCCTTTTATCAACATGCACAATTACTATGTATCAGTCAAAAATAAAACAAAAAAAGAATTGCCCTTTATTTCTTACACATAGTTTATTTCTCATCTGAGCTCTACATATGACTGTCACATAGGGAAATTTTCAGCATATTTCTGTCTTCCAAGAATAAGATGGAAAGCCAGTCCTTATGAACTGTAACTTCCCTCCTTGACCAAGGTTACTAAATATTTTATGGATTGGGTGATTGATTAAGAATACTGATTCATGAATAATTTAGAAGGCTAAATATAACCAGTCTTCTAGTCCAATTTAAGAGTAAATGGGAGCTCTAACAACTTGAACTAAGAAAAGAGGCTTTCTGATGGTAGTCACTATGGATAGAATCATCATCAGGGTTGTTGTGGGAACCAAATGAGTTAATAAGTGGAAAGTACACATGTGAGTTAAGATAATGCATGAGATGAGTGCTTAGCACATAATAGGAACTCAATAAATGTTAGCAATTATTATAGCTCTTTGTCACCTGTGGAACCAACAGACCTTTTCTTTCAATAGGTGCAAACAGAAAACCAGCGCTCTCGTTAACCCAGTAGATCTTCTTGTCAAACTCTAATGTGGGTTCATCCTCGGTATCGTTGATAATGACCTTCGCCTGGGTGAATTCCCCTAACAGGGCATAAGCTGGCATGCTGAGCTCCACAGTGAAACTCTCAACATTTTCAAACACGTCATCATCGTTGATGACAATGGTGCAGGACTTGGTGTCCTCTCGCTCATCAAACTGGACCTGTCACAAAGGAACCAACAAGAAGTTAAGCTGTGCCTCAGCTTCCCCTGCTCTGCTTCCCCAGGGCATCATAGGAAAAGAGCATCCAAGTCCAGTGGGCAGAGCACTGACTGAAATAGCTGGTTCTCCCAGCCCTGGTTCCCTGCTGCATCACCTGGAACACCCAGCCACCTCTTCCCATTCTTAACCTGTACAGGAGGGCTGCTTTATTGTATAAGGACATGAAGGAGCAAAATCTCTCCTACCATTGGTGACTGGAGAAAAACATGTAGTAACTCTTTATAGCCTGTCTTATTATCTCACTTGGGGCAGCAACAGTCATCATTTGATGACTCAGTTCCCTTTCTGGAAGAACTCTGGCCTTGGAGTATGAAGTTCTGTTCTCAGATCTGGTTCTGTTACTTCCAAGCTGTATTAGGTTATGAAGCTTTACAAACATCAGATTCCTCATCAACTAAAGAAAAGTCATAATATTCCTACCTCATACGCTTCTTGGGAGGACTAAAGGAGGTCTTGTATATGAAGGTGTTAAGTGTATTTTAAAGTACCAAACAAACATAAGATATTATCATTAGTATCACCATATTACTTACACAATTAAAATTGACATAGAATTCCAGTGTACTGAATAATGGAATTTAAATTCATAGAAAATTACATTATAAACAAGGTAGACTAATTTTAACTTGATATTTTGACTACACCCTTTGCCATTAAAATGTGAATCAATTTAGCCCAGTACAAAACAGAGAAATTATTTTATATGTACACAATTGTGAACTTATAGGGACTTATTCTGGTTTTACTTTGTTTTTTTTTTTTTTTAAAAAGAAAGAAATTAAAAATCTTCAAGTGAAACCACGACTATGGACTTGCCCAAAACTGAAACTGCAGGAAATGAGCCTGGACTATACTTTGTGTAAACGGAGATAACTGAAATATGTACAAAAAACAGACATAAATGTCTGGGGACACACAAATCTGCAAAAATTTTACTCAAACAGAAAATTATTAGTATATATCTAATCAACTAATAACACTTTTATTAAGCTTCATATTTTAAAACACTCCCAGTGAAATGAAACACTCAACAGATCTTTATGTAAGATCTAGAATACACTGACAGTCTTCTGTCTTTCCCTGAAAAACACAAGAATATCCTCCGTCTTATCATTTAGCTGAAAGACATTAGCTTATCTGTTCTTTCCTAATTCCTCACTTACATTTGACATTAGAGACATTAGCTTAGTCCAGCTGAAATGCCTCAATTAAAGAACAGAGCCCACTTCTCTTTACAGAGATCTGTGTTGCCATAATAACAATAAAGTTGCTTTGAAAAAAAAATTAAGTGTCAGACATTGTGCCCTCCATAAAAGATGACAAATACATGGGGCCCTGTATTTGTTGACTATTTAAGTTGACTATTTAAGTCCTCCTTTCTCTTCCACTTTCACTCTCTCCTTTTTCTTTCTCATTGCCACCTTTAATTACCACTGGTATGTAGATGACTTGCAAATTTCTCTCTGGACACCAGACTCCTCTCTGCACTGCCTGCCCATCTATACAGTGGTCAACCTGCTCTTTCTAAGACAATTTATACCTAACATAGCCAAAGCAAAGTCACGAGCACCAAACCTTGCCCAACCGGCTCCTCTTATATGTCCCTTCCTAGCAAGAGGCATCATCATCCATCTTTCAAATGGCCCCACTGTCTAATCAATCCACTGCCAAATCCTATCAATTCTCACTCATCTGTCAAATCCATCCGCTTCTCTCAAACTTCACTTCATAATCGAAGCCCAAGCTCCCATCATCTCAGCCAGCCTACCCCAAGGGATTCCCAACCAGTCTCCTTACACACTCTCTTCTCTCCCTTTAGGTAAAGAAGGTGAGAGGAGAAGAACGGTTGGGATACCAAAGCTGAATATAGAACATGATGCTTGGAGACTTCTTTTTGTCATGAAGCAAAATGTAAAGACTGAGAAGCTAGACAACAACTTCCCCTTTGGCAGTTAAAACTTCAATGGAGGTTAGAGAGACTGTGAAGAACAAAGTACTATGGGAGGGGAACATAGGAAAACTATTTAATACTTGAAGAAGGACACCAGTGAAAAGCAAAGTTGGGAAGAAGTAGGAAAGTGCCACAATTGCTTGCAGCCATGTCACAGCCCTTGCTGGAGCCTCCCCCAACCCCACTACCCCACCTACCTGGCCAGCATACTCTACATAGTCCTGTTGCCCAGGTTGGGAGCTGACCCTGGAGCTGGAGCTGGCGGTGCCTTGCTCGGTGCGACACAGGACGATGGCATATTGGTTCAGGTTCCCAGTCCTCTGCACCGTGACACTGACAGACCCTGCCTTCTCACTGACATTGTAGCTGGAAGCACACAAAAAGGCATCTCTTAAACTATGCCCCATGGTTATGAAAAAACAACTTGTTTAATGCCTGTCTCTTCCATTTGGTTCTTGGCATTAGGTAGTCAGAGAAGAGGAAGTTTGGTTCCTCTAAGAATCCAGGCTGTAAATTGAGGGAATGAGTTCACCTGAACAATCAGAGCACGAAACAAACAGGGAAGCTGTGGATGCAGAATGTCGTCTTCCCTGCTTTGCAAGCAAGCTAAGAGTCATTTTGGGAGATGGACAGCACATAGGAGCAATGAACTTCAGATTTCAGGGCACAGAGAAAGGAAAAACAATCTCTCCCTCCTGGGGTTGAGTAATCACAATAGGTCAGTGGGTTCTTAGGGAAGAAAGCTGCTCTGAAGGCAATCAATGACTTAGGTGGGAACTGACTGGACCAGATCTCCAGGAACTGTGTGATGGAGTCAGAGCAGAAGCAGAGGTAAGAAAATGTGAGGTAAGCCTACATAACAGAGATGTTTAGACAAATAGAACTTTATGACAATGGGGGAAGGACATGATTAATTTAGCTTGCTGCTCAGAATCTCTATTGCATTTGTAAAGTAGAAGGCCAACTATTCATATGCTATTGATTCATAATAAGTATCTAGGTTTGGAAAGGCCACAGAAAGTAGGGCATGAGCTGGGCTTTGTTTTTCACCACTGAGGATGGCCCCTAGACCTGGGTGCATGTCTTGTTGCTGTGAGGACAGCAGGGAAAGTGACTCTGAGAGCTCAGTCCTCATTGCCAGCTTTGGGACCGTCTATACCACTTAGTCCATTAAATGTTAGAGGGTTGTCCAGAAAAAGGGATGAATTTTATTGAATTTATTGAATTTTGAAGGTGATACAATTGAGAGGTAAATAACAGCAAAACATTACATATGTAAAAGTTGATTCTAATTTTCCTCTAATTCTCCAAATGTGTGTAAGAGTAGAATAGCCTGAATTTGGGGCACATGAAATCAAGGTTTTAAGTCTTCCTTTTTTCCCCCAAGTTCCAATTTTTATCTGAATTTTCATGAAGTTGATTTCTTGGATAGTGAGTCTCTGAAATGTAGACTTAAAGAATATTTCCCCCACATAAATTATAATCCTAGTTATAATCTAACCTATAAAATCAGCACCATGCTTGCACACTACCTTTAACAATCAGTATCTCTCTGTTTGCCTTTCTAACTCTCCAACAGATTAGAAAAGCATCTTAAAGGGCTGTCCACATTAAGCCATGCATTTAGCCCTACAGATATACATTCCTACCAAACCCAAAGAAGCCAGGGGAGAAAACAGGGTTGGGAACAAGGAGAATACAGATGGAAGGTGAAGATATTGATAGTGTGGGCCAGTGATTATTTTCCAAACTTGAATGCCTATTTTTATTTTTCCTATCAGTTCTACTAGACTCTCTTCTAAAACTTGAAGAGACAGAAGCAAAAACATTTGTCTGAGCAGCAGTAGAGCACATCGTTAAGATCACTGGGCTTACATCCTGGTCTTACTTCTTATTAGCTATGTGACTGTGGACAAGTTACATAAACAAGTTTCTGTCTCTATTACTTTGCCACTGTGGAGACAGGAATGGAATTCATCTCAGAATTCCAAGTATTATATAAGATGATGCATGTCGAGTCCTAGTGCAGCACCTAATACATACAGTACTCAATAAATATTTGGTGAAATTATTACTTTTATCACTGCCATCATCACCATCACCGCCATCAAGAGGTGACTAGAGCTGCCCCCCAGCATCCTTCATCCTGACTCCCTCTGCTTGCCTGATTGATTTCTCAAGAAGGAAAGCACAGTAAAACTTGTACCTGGTATATTTAAAGCTGATGAGTGACCACTGGATATGGAAGACATTGTCGCTGACCACATTGGGTTTACTGTCTTTCACCAGAAACTGAAAACTATCCATCATCTCACGGATCTTCTCCTTGTGCAACACATAACGAATCAACCCCAAGTTCACATCCTCTGTGAGAAAAAAGACTCACTGTGAATTAACCCAGGGATGTAACGACAGCTTCATAGATTACCACACCAACAAACCTAGTTTATTCTTCTAATGTATTACAGACAAAACTTATTTTTCCAAGCACCAAAAGTATAGTAGTTGTTAAAATAAATGTTTCTGTCAGATTTTAAAATAAAATCCTGAAGCTCTGTGAAAAAAAAGATCTGTCTTTAAGTACAGAGATATTGTAAATATCTCTTATGCTGTTATAAAATGAGAATCCCAGGGTCCTGACAAAAAGCACTTCAATAAATGTCTGTGAATGTTGATGGCAAATCCTAGAGTTGACAGAGGAAAGTCTTTGACTCCATCCTCTGTGTTTATAGCCTCATACTCAGACCTAATTCCTTCTAATAAAGGTTCTTTGGAAGGTATGTGCTAATAAGAATAGCTGGGGTTGGGTTAAAACTTCCCATACACAAAGCACAGCTAAAAAGGTGTGAGGAGAGAACATACAATTGAGGACAGAGAGTAAAAAGAAAATTCATGGAGCATGAATTTTGAGATGCAGTTTTGCAATGACTGCTCCCAGTCAAGTCAATCCTGAAAAAAGTCTAGAGGAGCCTGACAAGCTTAACATGGCCTGCTTGAGATGATTCAAAACAGGGAAAATATTTCTGTTGAGCAACCTATACATGTTGATTTTAATTTCTAGGCTGAAGACTTAAAGTCTATAATCCTTAGAGAACAAAAAATAAATCACACAGGATCACAGATCTTTCATAATGTCTGCTTGTTATTTTTTGCTTTCTTGTTGTTATTGTTTTTAAAGAAAACCAAGCAGCATCATGCATTCTTTTCCAGAAAACCTGGCCAACACTTAGAGCAATTTAGGAGTTGAGGAAGCACGGTAAAGGTGAATTTTTCTTTGCCATAGTTCATCATCACAGGGAAAAAAATCAGGAGAAATAAAATTCTTAAGTTGGATGGTTAAGCACTAGAAGATCTCTGCAAAGTGGTTACTTGGGCATAAGTAGCTGGAAGTGGCTGTGAGAAGAATCTGGGAGATAGGCAGTGTGACATTAGCATAGATTTCTCCCATTTCTAAGTTCCCAGAGAGTCCCCACCCTGGGTGAAAGTGGCAGCAGCTCTGCCAGGCTGCAGCTTGTTCTCCACAAAGCCATGCTTAGGGCCCGTCGTTATCTCATAGACAAGCTGCGCGTCCTCGGTGTCTGGGTCCATGGTCAGCAGTTCCTTCTTGGTGATCAGGTTGGTTGCCTAGAATAGAAACCCATTTAATTTAATTCCTGAGGTGGGAATAAAGCAGGAACAAGACCCTCTGACTCAGATTTAATTCAGTTCAACAATGATTTACTGAGTGTATTTACTGCATGGAAAGCTCTGTCAGGATTGGAGAGGCTATGAGGATGAAAACCATTCCAGCTTCTGCCCTTGAGGTATTCACACTTAATAGGGAAAGAAAGGCTCATGCACAAGGTCAATGTGGCAAGAGCTGTAATGGAAGACATAAAAAGAGGGCTGCACACTTTTTAAGAGAAAGAGAGAGAGAGAAAAAGATTAATTTCATCTGGAGTTGAAGGAGGATGGATTGGAGGCAGTGGGATTTGAGTTGGGCCTTGAAAGAAAGTTGGAACTTTGAAAGAATAATTCAGTACAGGGAAGGTGGCCACTTTCTAGGAGTCAATTATGATACTTGAAATAGAGTAAGAGAAACACACTGTACCCTGATATTGCCCAAATACACTGGCTGAACTTTCATTCATTCATTCATTGAAGTATTTAGTGAGAGCCAAGATTTGAGCAAAGAAAGAGGGTGGTCAAGAGCATTGAAGATTTTTTTAGGTCTAGTAAGGTAAAGACAGATAATTGGTCTCTGGATTTGGCAAAATAGAGGTCATTGGTGACTTTAATAACAGTTACTGCAATAGAGTAGGAGTAGGGGGTAGAAACCCAATTGGAGAGTATTGAGAAGAGAATGGAATTGCTCTAAATAAGGTGGGGAAAAAAGATCAAATAGAGCACAGGGGAAATTGGCACTAACTTTAATTCATGTTTGTTTGTTTTTTTTAAAACCCAACCAGTTCAATTAGAAGCTATAGTGCAACATCTACACATACAATGAACTAATTAGCTCCATGGAGATGGTAAACAAGCCACATCCTAGAAAGAATACCACCCACAAATGCAAGAAACCAGTTCTCAACTGAAGAACTATGTTTGGGTGGGGATGTGGATTTAGTGCTTGACATGATTACTAGGTGAAAATTATGGCATAGATCTTAAAATGACCAATTTCGAAATTAGGAGAAAGAGAAAGCAATGCCTAAAGTACAATTCATCTGTGCACACTTACCTACAAAAATGCCCCGCTTCTTTCTCATTTATGGTAGACACTCGATATTCTCCAAAATCCACCCTCCCCTTCTTCTAGTGAACAATGTTTTAGCTGAGCCTCTGCCTGCCCAGCTAGAGATGCTATTTCCCAGCCTCCCATGCAACATTTGGGCCATATGAACAATTTATTGCCAATAAATATGAGTGCAAGGGATGTATTCAATTTCTGTATCACTTGCTTAATATGGAGTTCCTTGCCCCTCTCTTTCTGTTTCCTCCTTCCCATATGCTGGTACAGTTGTCCCTCAGTATCTACGGGGATTGGTTCTAGGCTTCTCTGAGGATTACAAAATCCATGGATGCTCAAGTCCTTTATACAAAATGGCATAGTACTTGCATATAACCTATACACTTTCTCCTGTATACTTTAAGTCAAGATTACTTATAATACCTCACATGGCACAAATGCTATATAAACAGTTGTTGTACTATATTTTTAAAATTTGTATTATTTCTTATTTTTTTTCCTTCAAACATTTTTGAGCCACAGTTGTTAGAATCCACAGATGTGGAACCTGTGGATACTGAGGGCCAACTGTATATTGATGAATTTCTGAAGAAGTTTGGCCAGGAGTCAATAGCAACCACTTAGTGATGACAGAACAATAAGGTGGAGGGAATCCACATCTCTAAGTGCTCATGTAGAGCCCTGCACTGCCCACTTACGTCCACCCTATATGTGAGAAAAAAATAAATAAACTTCTATCTAGCTTGACCTACTATATTTTGGGGTCTTTTCAAAGAGCATCTTAAACTATACACAATCGTAACCGATCCTACACAAGTTTATCCTAACCAAACTCACGGAGCTCACTAATCTCAGGAAAATCAGTTTATTTAGGGAGGGATAAACAGGTGAGCTGAACTGGACTTCTATTCATAAGTCATTGTCGTGAAGAAGGATGTAGCCCAAGTTGGGTGGTGTGAACATGACAGAGGGACAGGCCTTACCTTGCCATCCATGTATTCCAGCCACTGGAGTCCCAGGTTGGTGACAATTCTAGGCGTGCCATCATCTACCGGGAGGATGTCTACTCGGAACGGCTGAGGTGCTGCTGTCATAATCTGAAGGGGAGGGCAGAAAAGAAAACTCATCATTCACAAGTACCTGAAGTATGTCAGGTCCAGGGCCTACACAGCTGTAACCTCTGAAGTCTGCTAACACTTCAGAGATGAGGGATGGGCAACTGAGCCCGTTCCCATCCCTTATCATCCTGGCACAAGGCCTAAGGGAGAAAGCTGAATGATAGAGTGAGAACAATGTAGGAAGAAAAGGAAAAACAAAACAACAACAACAACAACAACAAGTGGCATTCTTGCTGTCATTTCACCTGCTATGGAAGTTGGTTTTTACACACCTATGTCTTCTTTAGTTGAGTTCGATACTGCCTTGGGATGAAAAAAAAACCAAACAGTACTTTTCCTTTCAATAAACCGTGTTAAAATTTTCATGAGAGGCTGACAAAAATAATCATTAAATTGTTAATGTTGAAATTTCTAGGTGGGATTATGCCAGATGTGAAAGAGGTTTTCATGGGAAGATATTTTCTTTTTTTTTCCTTTTCCCATTGTTGTTGTCTGTTTTAAGGGAGAGCTCTCTATATGAGGGTGAGGGGCAGAAGAAATCAGAAATAAAAGCATTTGTGGTAATAGCGAAAAGGAAATTTCATTTATAATCCCATTCTCACAGATACACACATGCATGCATGCAACACACACATCATAAATTGGATCTAGCATCTCCCTGTTCCTGGGTGGATACAGCAAGTTGGGACACAGGGCAATGAGACGTTGGCTTTTCAATCTCCCACAAGCCACCTTCTAAATAATTTCCATTTTTTAAATGACATCGTCCCTCCAGAGACCTGTTGTAACATTTTGTTTATAAGAGCATTAGCCCTCTTGCTGATATATCCTGAAATCTTTTTTCTCTTCTGAAAGTCAAACTAACTGGGGAGCAGCTACAGTTTGGGAGAGAAAAAACAAGAGTGATGACTTGCCAGGTGGTGATGCTGTGCAGACACCGCAATGGCAGGAAAATCCCAAGAGCCATCCCACCGACATACCAGCTAACTGAGAATGACCTTCTCACAGACTGTTTGTCTCTAAAGGACACAGAGGATCTTTTTTTCCAGGAAAATAATCCTTCAGTGTCAAAGTAGAAAAGGAGCTGTGCAGGCCTGAGAAGTGGATCCTTTTGTTATACTGGAAGTATAGAAAGGTGTACATATGCCGCTCACTAAAACTGCCTTCCCCAGGTCAGACACAGATGTAGGGGTGCCCCCAGGCCCACCTTTCACCAGAATTGAAGTTTTTCCCAGGCGAGGTTTATGAACTACAGGAGAGCTGGCTAACAAACAAAGGGATGAGTAAAAATGGCGGCAAGGGAATGGAAGGGGAATCAACATTTCTTCTGGATATCTGGATGTTAGAAGACAGCGATTCCTTTAGGAAGTAAAGCTTGACAGTTGCACAACCTCAAGAGAAAAGCATTTTACTGGTTTCACAAGCTGGTTCTAAAATGATGATGATGATGATGATGATGATGATGATGATGTTTACAGCTTCAGTTTATCTGATGTTCCCTGTGTGCCAGGCACTGGGCTTAGTGCTTTATGTACATCAGGAGAATATGTATCACTTCCACTTTACAGATAGGGAAAACGAGGCTTGGAAAGTTTAAATGATTTACAAGTATATTCAGTTTGTACATGACAGGGCTGGAAATTAAATGAGTATCTTTTAGGATACACATGCAGAAGAATGAACCTGGACCCCTCTCTCTCACCACATACAAAAATCAAATCAAAATCGACCAAAGAATTAAACCTAAGACCTCAAACTATGAAACTACTACAAGAAAGCATTAAGAAAACTCTCTAGGACATCAGTGTGAGCAAAGATTTATTAAGTGTTATCCCAGAAGCACAGGAAACCAAAGTGAAAATGGACAAATGGGATCACATCAAGTTAAAAGGCTTCTGCACAGCAAAGAAAACAATCAACACAGTGAAGGGACCACCCAAGGAATGGGTGAAAATATCTGCCATCTACTCATCTACAAGGGATTAATAAGCAGAATATATTAGGAACTTAAACAACTCTACAGGAAAAAATCTAATAATCTAATTTTAAATTGGGCAAAAGATTTGAATAGACATTTGTCAAAAGAAGACATACAAATGGAAAAGAGACATATGAAAAGACGCTCAATATCACTGATCATCAGAGAAATGCAAATCAAAACTACAATGAGATGTCAACTCACCCCAGTTAAAATGGCTTTTATCTAAAAGACAGGTAATAAAAAATGCTAATGAGAATGTGGAGAAAAGGGAACCCTCATACACTGTTGGTGGGAATGTAAATTAGCACAACCACTATAGAGAACAGTTTGGAGGTTCCTCAAAAAACTAAAAATAGAGCTACCATACAATCCAACAATCCCACTGCTGGGTATATTCCCAAAAGAAAGGAAATCAGTATATCAGAGAGATATCTGCACTCCTATGTTTGTTGCAGCACTGTTCACAATAGCCAAGATTTGGAAGCAACCTAAGTGTCCATCAACAGATTAATGGATAAAGAAAATGTGGTACATATACACAATGGAGTACTATTCAGCCATAAAAAAGAATGAGATTCAGTCATTTGCAACAACATGTATAGAACGGGAGGCCATTCCCTTAAGTGAAATAAGCCAGGCACAATCAAACATCACATGTTCTCACTTATATATGGGATCTAAAAATCAAAACAACTGAACCCATGGAGAGAGAGAGGAGAAGAATGGTTACCAGAGGCTGGGAAGAGTAGTAAGGGGGCAGAGATGGTTAATGGGTAAGAAAAAAAAGTTAGAATGAATGAATAAGGCATAGTTTTTGCTAGCATGACAGATGACTAATGTCAAAAATAATTTAATTGTGCATTTTAAAATAACTAAAAGAGAATAACTGGATTGTTTGTAACACAAAGGATAAATGTTTGAAGGGATGGATACACCATTTTCCATGATATGAGTGTTAAACATTGTATGCCCATATCAAAACATCTCATGTACCCCATAAATATATATACCTACTATGTACCCACAAAAATTAAAAATAAAAAATTATTTTAAAAAATCAATATATTTTGGATGCAAAAACCACACTCTTATCCACTGCTATTTCTCAAAGACTGAGAAACTCTGGTTAGGCTGAGGGGACCTAGTCCAAAAAGAGAAAAACAATCTAGAGATATACAATATTATTCAAAAACCAGATGAAAGAAAAATTAAGGAGTAAAGGATGGGCAAAAAGAAAAAAGAAATAACAGTAATACTAACAACAAGAACTATCACCATTTATTGAGCACTATTTGTCAATGGTGTTAAGCACTTTATGTGGATTACCTCCTTGGATCCTTAAACCAACTATTTGAAGCAGATAATTACTGTCCATTTTACAGATGAAAAACTGAGGCTTAGAAATGTAATTTGCCCAAGGTCAATCTACTAGCTACTGATAGAACGAGAACTCAAACAATGGTATGCTTGATGTAAAACTCCATGTTCTGCCTCTGCCATGCAGTGCTAGGCTACCTCCTCCAGTGTCCTCACCCCTCACCTCTTTTCCCCCTTCCTCAATGATAAAGAAGGGGTTTGTCCCATCAGAAACAGTGAAGGTGAACCGGTCCTTGAGGGAGTTACTGCCGTCATGGCTGTAGCTGACCCGGTTCTGGTAGATATCTTTCATGGTGAAGGTGGAGGTGAGGTGGAAATGCTGCCCATTGCTGGTTCGCTCGATGGTGCCATGGCGTGGAGGCTGCACGATGGTGAATGTGACAGACTCGGCCTGTCCGGAAGGCAAAATACCAGAGGGGAGGGAAGCTCATAACAGAAACCAAAAGAGTGAGTGATGCCCAATTGCTGATCAAGGGTAGTAGAACCCAAAGACATTGATAAAGTAAGGACTGTATTTTCTTTATAGACACCAAAGATAGAGCTAAAGAGAATGACCATACTGTTTGCTACAATTGCGCTTATATTCTGGTACCTTCAGTTGTAAGATTAAAACATTTAAATTTCTTCTCTTCAGGTCATGGGGGAAAGCCTGAATTTTTAACCTCTACCAAGATGAAAGAAAATAGACCTTTTTAAACTGTTCATTTCCTTCCCCTACATCTACCCAAAACTCTTATATACAGAATTTCATATGCATCACAACAGAAGCTAGCTTCTCATTTTTAATTACTGCTTCTCTGGTGACCCGCAGAAAGAAAAAGAGGCATAAAATCCTTCCCAAGGCTTTCCAAGGGTTTCCCACCAACTTAAAACAAAATGCCAAGGCCTAACCAGGGCCAGCATGGCCCTCTGTGACCTAGTCCCAGGGTTCCTCTCTGGTCTCATTCTTTTCTCCTGCCTGTTCAATGGGTTCCAGCCTCTTGGCCTCTTGCCACCTTTGCTACAGTTATTCCCAGAGTCTAAGTGCACTTGATCACAGTGCCTTTGTATTTCTGGCTCCCCTGTCTGAAGGGTGAATTCTCCCAGATAACTGCATAGCTTGCCCTTTTGCTTAATAATGTCTTTGCTAAAGTATGACCTCCTCAGAGAGGCCTTCTCTGGATACTCTAAAGCAGCATATCTATCAATCTCTATCTCCCTCATCTCCCTTTATTTTTCTGCATAGCACTTATTGTATCTGATATAATATGTTCCTTCTTTCTTTACTAGTAAGTCTTTCCCCCAAACAAAGATAGTAGACTCTCTAAGCCTGCAAATTTATCTGTTTTGTTACAGCCCTGTCTTCGGCATCTACAGCAGAGCCTAGAACCTCATAGGTAATTAATATTTGATGAAAGAATCAATCAATCAATGAGTGCTGGCACAGAGAAGGGGATACATAGAACTAATTAATAAGTGTGGCAGTATGAGTTTATGTGAGCTAAGTCATGTCAGAATGTGAGATGCTTTAATCTGGAAGCATGAGAATAAAAGCTTAGTCTCCACATGCCCTGTTTTACTGCACAAAGCCTAGTCTTTGAGGAGGCTCAAATTGTAATAATTAGTTGCCATCAGAGAAGTCCGGATGAAGGAGGTGAAAGGGAGAAAGGGTATATAGGTATAGAAAATCCCTGTTCATGCTAATGGGAAATAATAACATTGGGTAAAATGTCATCTACCTGGTTTTCTGTAAATCAATACAAAATCAGCATGTTAAAAGTATTGTTACATGTACTCAAGGGAGAGGATGGATGTATTTAGGTTTTCAGAAAGGGTTTAAAAACAATTTGATCTCAAATACATTTGTTTTTCTTTTCCAGAAGGCCCTGGTATCTTCTGTATTTTAATCCTTCAAGGATGCTTGCACTCACCTTACAGCTCCTCCCTACCATCAGGATGCACAGCTGCAACGTGATAGCTGCCACCAGGTCAGCCTCTCATTTAGCCAGAGAACCCATGGGAAGAAGTGCTCTTACCTCTGTGTCAGCATCCACCGCCTTAAGCTCAAACTCTGTGATGGTCTTCCTCATGCCCTCCTGCACCCGCATTCCTAAGTTCTGTACGACGGGCAGCGAATCATCGACAGGGTGAAGAGTGATATGGAAAGTCTGAGTCACCTAGAATGGCAGGAAAGTGCAGGTGGGACACCTGTCCCTAGCACCTACCCAACAAGTCCAAGGTAGGTGCTCTCTACTTTTCTCTTTCACACATTGCTTGCACAAGTCAATAATTAGGAGCCCCAGAGTGAGTCCTCTTGGGCAAGAGCCAAGGTGGCTACAGAGGCTGCCCCTACCCCTTGACTGAGAGCAGAGGAAAATGAAGCTCTTCTCTCACCAGTCACTCTGCCTACTCCACTCAAAGAAGATGGCGAGGAATCAATACTTTTCAAGGATGGAGTTCAGTGCCTCACCTACCTCACTGACTCCATCAGACAGTGTAAAGCTGAAGGCATCTGAATGTTTCTCAGCCTCACTAGAATGGACATACTGAACATTTCGTGAAGTCAGATCAGCTTGAGTAAAGGAACTAATCTGGATACCTAGAAAAAGGGGAAAAGAGAAACAGAGACAGGATATTAAAATGCTAGCCATATATCTAAGGCTAGGGAAGTGTCATACTCTCACCAGATAGAGAGTCCTTTGTATTTTTCTTATAGCATTTATTTCCTCCACTTGAGGACCTTGTTGTTAGAGTTGTTTGTGGATACAACAGCATATATTCTGTGGGAACACATGTTAACTTAATTATGGTGGCTTCTATGCGCAAAGCCAACAGCAGGTGTTCAATCAATGTTACTCTTCTTTTTCTTGGGTTTTATGTATGTAGGTAAAATTTGTGAAAGGTAGAGCCATTGTCTTATTCTCCAAGCCCCTCTCTGTTCAGTTTTGTGTTCCCCCAAGCTTCACAGTCCTTTCTGAAGACCTACCCTCATTTTAAATATTGCATAATGGTTTAGCTTTTAAACTAACGTTACAGGGCTTGGCTACACACAGCCTTGTTTCTGTGATTGGTGAGCCATCCCTGGCTGCCATAATTTTATTGAATATTCTTCAAGGTTCTTTTTAACTCTCAGGTCTACGATTCTAGCTTCTCCCATCCCACTTTAGCCAGTCAGGCAGTAACAAAACTTACCGCCTGACTCTGGGGCATGAGCAATTATTCCACACCAAATCAAAAATGACCTGGAAAAACAATATCCTTTAATAACATAATAGAGAAAAAATCATTTTTTCTCTATTAATTTTTCTCTATTTATTTCATTCCAGTCATTTTTAAAACAAAAAATTTGAAAGAAATTTTAAACAATGGTAAACTATCCCACAAATGTGCAATATCTCTGCTTTAAATGCCTCACAACATTTAGCAAAACAACTTGAAATTGTTGCTTCTGTCTTAGGGCTGCTAGGGCTCATACCCAGGTGCCAATCAAGACTGAAACGAAAATGACATCTTTTAATCCTCCAGCACAAATTCTCTCTTTCTGATTCTGGGTTTTGAGGTATTAATCCATTTAATCTAGTCCTTTAGTTTGGCCCTGAAATTGATTTGCTGTTTTCTGGGTTTGGTGATTTGTCATTGTTAACCTACAAAGAAAATAAAGATTCTACATTGACTCATATATTTAAGGGTGACATCAGTATCACTGCTTTATCTTTAAGAAGTTAAAAAAAATCAACACACATGGTTTACATTTGCATCTCTCCTTATCATCTGAAATTTGTCACCCAGATACAAGAGCCTCCCGAATATGGGGGCATTAATTTTTTGATGAGGCATTTTATGTTTCTGTGCTTGCTACATCAGTTCTTGACAGGCAAGAAATGTTGCACCCTGTCTTATAGCTTTGTCTTTTGGCTCTGGACAGAAATCCATACCATTCTTTAAAAATTTAACAACTTCAGACTTGCTGCACTGAGAAATTTAAATCTCTTCCCCCTGCTGTGAATCCACTCTCACAGCTCACAGGAAAATCTCATCTGGATTCTCACCATCAACTGGTCACCTAATTCACTGTTCCCTTTATGGAAGTCTAAGACTGATTAAGAAAGGTGATAGATTTTGCCTTCCTCTTGAGATTGATTTTTTTAAACATTTTTTATTGAGGTAAAATTGACACATAATAAATTACATATATAGACAGTGTGCAATTTCTTTTTCTTTTCTTTTTCTTTTTTTTTGTTTTCTGAGACAGGGTCTCACTTTGTTGCCCAGGCTGGAGTGCAGTGACACAATCTTAGCTCACTGCAACCTTCACCTCCCAGGTTCAAGTGATTCTCCTGCCTCAGTCTCCCAAGTAGCTGGAATTACAGGCACACGCCACCATCCCTGCCTAATTTTTGTATTTTTAGTAGAGACTGGGTTTCGCCATGTTGGCCAGGCTAGGGTGGTCTCTAACTCCTGACCTCAGGTGATCCGCCTGCCTCGGCCTCCCAAAGTGCTAGAGGATTACAAGCATGAGCCTTTGCTTCCGGCGTAAAGTGTGCAATTTCATAAGCTTTGGTACACCCAGAAACCATCACCTCATTCAAAATAGTGAACCAATTCATCACCCCAAGTTTCCAACTTACGCTTCATAACCCTTCCATCCTTCCCTTTCCCGTCGCCTACCCCAACCCAAAGCGACCAATGAATCGCTTTCTGATGCTACAGATTAGCTGGCATTTTCTCTACTTTTTAATAAATAGAATTATATAGTATATACTATTTCATGTCTAGTTTCTTTCATTTAGCATGCCCCATATATAAAGCTGCTATGATTATTAGTGTGCAAATCTTTGTATGGACATAAGCTTTCATTCTTCTTGGTAAATCTCTAGGAGCGAAATACCTGGAATATATGTTAGGTGTATGCTTAATTTTTCAGGAAACTGCTAAACTGCTTTTCCAAGGTGGTAGTACCATTTTATATTCTCACTATATTGCACGAGAGAGCTGGGCTTGATCTTAGTGCGACTTTCCCAATTCAATCTAGCAAATATTGAGCACCTACTATGGATGGAACACAGTTTAAAGACTGCTTATTTATGTTGAATTTTATCTTTTAACAACTCTGGAAGGTTGAGGTTAGCATGTTACCCCCATTTTGTAGATCATGACACTATAATTTATGTAATTAAAAAGTTATGTGATGTACCCAATGTCACATAGCTAATAAGGGGGCAGTGATGAAATTGAAACCCGAGGCGGTCTAATTTCAAAGTTTATGCCTGCTAGGAGCACTTTTTGTAAAACTTATCTAGACAAGAAACCTCTTGGATTTCACTCTTCTTTAAAGTTTTTTCAATATGAAAGTAATATATGCCTATTAAAGAGAATGTGAAAAATCTAGACAAGTAGGAAAGAAAAATCATTCATAGACTTACCACTGAAAAAACAACACAATATTTTTGAGTAGTTCCTTCTAAAATGCTTTATTGGCTATATCCTCTTTCTTGTCTGAAATATTGATTTTGATGGGTTTTAATATTATCATTTAAATGACACCCATAAATATGTGCAGGGGCAACAAGTTGCATCTAGAACCTGAGTTTTAAGAGGACAAGGATTTTTTCTTGTTTCTTCACTGATGTGCACCTAGAATAATCCCTGGAACACAGTAGATGCTCAAACCATATTTGGTGAATTAATTTAGATTATCCACTATAATCTATACCTAAGAGGTTCTATTGAGCACATACAGTCATGCGTCACATAATGACATTTCAGTTTTGGTCAACTACAGACTGCATATAATGGTGATCCCATAAAATTATAATACTATACTTTTTCTATGTGTAGATATGTGCAGATACACAAATACTTACTATCATGTTACAATTGTCTACAGTATTCAGTACAGTAACATGTTGCACAGGTTTGTTGCCTAAGAGTAACAGGCTATATGCATATAGCCCAGGTGTGTAGCAGGCTATGCCATCTAGGTTTGTGTAAGCACACTCTGTGATGTTCACAAAATAATGAAACCGCCTGACAATGCATTTCTCAGAATTGTTACGCAATACATGACTATATTTTCAATCATCATCCACTTTTTATTTTTAAAATTTTAGCCTTTGCTAATTGGGTTTTGGAAGACTTCATCTGCTCATTTGCCAGCAAGGTGGTGTTTCTAATAACATATTGTCCCTACCGCTGTCACAGCAGGTAGTTGCTATTTGAAATATCTTGAAGGGTTTTAATCCCATTGAAGGTGTTTTCAATCACTAACCTGCTGGCTAAACTATGTATCTGGCAGTATTATGGAGACCCACATTAACCCTGTCAGTCTTTCCAATTCCCCTGGAGGGCCAGCACGCTAAAGAAAGCACAGTCCAGGTCAGGGAAATGGTGTGGAAATAAAGCATCTCTGAAGAAATTGCCTTCTTAACAGCGTGTTAGATGATGCCTCAGTCCTCCCACTTGCAGCCCAGCTGTGGGCAGTTCTATGCATGTTACCCATGTCCATGTCCTATCTCAAGCTCATCCTGTGGGAGACTCCCAGCCTTCTTGCTTCAGG
This sequence comes from Homo sapiens, assembly GCF_000001405.40. Lineage (NCBI taxonomy): Eukaryota > Metazoa > Chordata > Mammalia > Primates > Hominidae > Homo > Homo sapiens. The sequence continues at coordinate 78,460,063 of NC_000004.12, read as the reverse complement.
ATTTTTGAAAAGCCTCTTGTGATGGGTTGAATTGCACCCTTTCCCCACCACAAATTCATATGTTGAAGTCCCAAGCCCCAGTATTTCAGAATGTAACTTATCTGGAAATAGTGTAATTGTAGATGTAATTAGATCACATGAGGTCATTGGGGTGGGCTCTAATCGAATATGACTGGTGTCATAAAAAAGGGAAATTTGGATACAGACATATCCCAACAGGGAGAACACCACATGAACAAGAAGATGGCCATCTCCAAGCCAAGGAGAGAGGCCTGGGGCGGGTCCTTCCTTCACAGCCCTCAGAAGGAGCCAGTCCTACCAACACCTTGATCTCAAACTTGCAGCCTCCAGAACTGGCAATAGATTTCTGTTGTTTAAACTGCATATTCTGTGTAACTTTTTAATGGTAGCCCTAGCAAGCTAATATGCCTCTGCTCTCAGGGAGAACCCAAACCAAGACAATGGGTGCATCCTATTTTGGTTGGTCTCACAATACTGAAAGAGGTTGAAATAAAGAGGAAATGAAATAACACCATTGCTAAAGCATCACCTCTGAGAATTGTTTCCCAACTAACTCCCACCACTCTCTTAGGTGGAATCTGCCATGCATGCTTTGGGCTCCCCCTGTCCTCTGCCATGTTGCTACCAAACATGTGTGTGAATTATGTGTGTACCAAATTATGTGTACCTGGCTACTGAAACACATGTGCACATGTCTGTCTACATGTCTCCCACTTCCAAAATGTAAGTATTCTCTTGTAGCAGCTACTCAGTAAGTGTTTGTTGAAGGGAGAAAGGAAGGCAGGGAGGAAAAGAGGGAAGGAAGCAATTCTAACATGACAAGTACCATATACATGTAATTACAACTCAGCCTGTAAATAGAATTTCATTGGGGTCCTTTTAAAAGACACTCATATTCTAAGCCCCATCTCTAGGAGACTCTATTTATTGGTCTAGGTGGGGCCCAGGCATCATTATTTTTAAACACATGCCACTCACTCAGGTGATTCTAATGTGTAACATTCTAATCACTCAGGTGATTCTAATGTCCAAACAGAGCTGAGAACCCTTGATTTAACAGAAAAGTAGAAAGAATGATCAGAACACCTGCTTTGCTTTCTTTTTTTGTTGTTGTTAAATGCTTTCTTTCTGCTCTATATGAGTCACATAGGCCAGTAATACACTGCCTTATTTCATTGTATTTTTTTGTCATCTCTATAACTGGAACAGTCACAGCTCCCTCAGAGGTAGCAGATAAAATGGTGGATGACATTAAGATCAAGTATTTGATCTTATTCAATCTGTGCAGAGGTGGGGTGGTGGTTATGTCTGAAGTTACATGAATTCTGCAGGTTTAAAAAAATTATTTTAGATTCAGGGGTACATGTACAGGTTTGTTACAGGGTATATTGTGTGATGCTGAAGTTTGGGCTTCTGTTGATCCTGTCACCCACATAGTGAACACAATATCCAATAGTAAGTTTTTCAGCCTTTTCTCCCCACTCCCTCCCTCCCCAGTGTCTAAGGTTCCCATCTCTATGTCCAAGCATACCCAGTGTTAAGTTCTCACTTATAAGTGAGCATATGTGATATCTGGTTTTCTGTTTTAAATTCTGCAATATTTTTAATAAGAGAAATTGTGTGGGTTTACTGACAAGAGAACTATTTATATCTGGTGAATAAAAATAATGCTTCATATGACTGTTACTAAACTGGTAAGTGCTAAGGGTTGGCCCTTAAAGTGCAGTCATGACTAGGTAGCCTAAAGGGGGCTTAGTACTGTGATTTCTCCGTTAGTGAGGACATGATACAGACTAGCCTCCACAACGATAGAAAACTAGTGAGGAATGAGGATTATGAGTGGGCTGAGGATGCATGCACAACTGAAGAGGTTTAACTATCCTGCAGCTCACACATCCCTGGAGGCAGCCTGGACTCTAGGGTTGTCTGATTTATGGAGGTGGCTGAGTCAAAGCCCAGGACATTACCTGGAAGTTCTCGCTTTGACCTCTCTCTCTCTAACTGTGTATTCCCTAAGGACAATATTATCTGTCCAAGCCACACGGGCTGTCATGATGCTGTCCCTCCATTTTGAAATCTGGTTGAGATGATATTATGGCTTCTGGACAAAATGTCCACTTCCCTGAGAACTTTCAGAAGTGAGCTTAAAAGGCTAATTAGGGTAAGGAAGGGAAGAGATGCTTGTTTGAAAGGTGGCTTACCTTTTTTGGAGCTTTAATTTAGCTCCTTCAAGAAATGAGAACTTGGCAGTGAGTACAAAGTAGAAAGTGGAAAATTTGTGAGCGACACCTTGATAAGTTAACTCTTAGCAAGAAAGGGTTCCCTGAAGAGTTTTGTAACAGCCAAAGGGTTTAAGGATTTAAGACGTCTAGACTCGTCCTTGAGGGCACTCACTTTCGTGGGTACGTCGGTGATTAGTAAATAGCTGATGAAAGGATTTTCAATTTGATGAGGATAAAGCTCTTCATCTGCCTGATTTTAAGATTTAAGAGCAAGATAGGATCCTGAGAATGGTTAAAACAACAATAACAACACAGGGGTTGGTTCCACATTCCCAGAAGGGTGGGGAAATGCTCTGTGTAACCTGTGATTCACAGAGGCTGCATGAAGCTAAGTGCTGTACACAAGGCTTTTCTTCAAGCAGCATATTTTACAGAATTAAGAAGATTTGGGGGCTGACCAGCAAGGAGACCTACCTCTGGTACCCCCTGCCACTGCCCCCCTGTGGTGCAGAAGTCCTTCTCTGTTTGCCTTTGCTAAGCACTAACATCATCTGAAAAGTTTATTTCGGGCTCTGGTTCAGCTTCCGGTGGACTCCACAGTGGGAGGAAAGCAATTGTGGCTTTCCCCAGGTTGCCCATCAGCAAAGGGCCTTTTAATGGGTCTCTAAATGCCTTTAGGAATTCTGACAGATCAGAGAAGATCTTTTCTTCATCTAGCCAAGCAGCCATTATGTCACTTTAGGCTTTGAGGAAGGTGTGTTGTAACTGGTGAGGGGCATCCAGCACGAGGTAGGCCTCCTTGAAGTATTACAGAAGTAGCAACTACCTAACTTCTGAATGAAGCACGTGGGGTGAGACTGAAATGAGTAAGGTGTTGAGAGTTGTGTTGTGTTGAGAGCTGTCTCTTGGAGCTCTGCTGATTTCAATATGCTCTACCGGGAATAAAGTTAAAACTAAGAGCAAGGATTCAGACTTAGGATTAGATGCCACAGCCTACTATTTCTCACTAATCCACAACTGGCCTTTTAGACAGAACAATTATTTGGTTCAGGGCTTATCCCATTCATTGCTGGACATTTGTTAATAGCATCCCTATCTCTACCCTCTAAATGTTTGTTTAGCCACCATTACCCTTCAACCCCATCTGAATCAGTGTGACAACTTGTACCCTAAGGGTGACAACCAAACGCCCTATCCCTTGAAAACCAGTGTTGTCCTGGAAATTGCTATATTCCAATATTACTCCTCCCCTGCTTAAAAAAGATATGACTGCTATTAGTTAAGTAATTAGATGCCCAGTTAGAGTCTACATTCTCCAGCCACCTCACAGCTTTGCATGCATATGCTTTTGCCACTGGAAGGTGATATATGTTATTTGAGGCCTGGTACATGGCTCATGCCTGTAAACACAGCACTTTCGGATGCCAAAGCAGGCAGATCACTTGAGGTCAGGAGTTCAAGACCAACCTGGCCAACATGGCGAAACCCTGTCTCTACTAAAAATACGAAATTGAGCCAGGTGTGGGGGTGTGTGCCTGTAATCCCAGCCATTTGGGAGGCTGAGGCACAAGAATCACTTGATCTGGGAGGCGGAGGTTGCAATGAGCCAAGATCACACCGTTGCACTCCAGCCTGGGTGACAGAGTGAGACTCCGTCTCAAAAAAAAAAAAAAAAAAAAAAAGTGACATGTGTTCTTCAAGTAATGCTCCTAAAACCAAAATGGATGTGGGGCTTCCCTGGCCTTTTCTTTCTTCCTGCTGGCTGGAGGAGGACCACAGCTGCTGCATTCGCCTTGGGCCAGAGGTAGAAGCCTCACACTGAGGATCACTGAGCCACCTCACACCCCTGAGCCACCTGCCTTTGGATTACTCTGAGAGAAAACAAATGTCTTGTTGAAGTCATTATATTTTGGGGTCTCCTTGGTCCAGCAGCTTAGCTTCTATCCTAGTTAATATAACTCCTTACTCTAATATCCCAAGAAAAACAGGGTCTTTTGGGTCTACTGATAGAGGGAAACCCTGATGTGAGGGTGTGGCCTGCTCAATCTTGAAAAGACAGCGCATACAAGGACTGGACTCTCTTTGGTGACAGAAGGCTTAGGTCTGTCTTCTGCACAGTTCGCATAGGCAGATGGCTCCCTACATCTCCTATGGGGAAGAAGAGATTTCCCCACCTTTCCTGTCTACAGAGGACAATCAATTATAATCAGCTGACCAAGCAAGACAGCATGAAAATAAGTCTATTTCCCAGTTAACAATCAGGAGGGTGTCTGCAGCACCAGTGATTCATAATAATTCCAGGAGGTCTCTGGTCCCCAAATAAATATCTTGGTGCTCTGTACTACAGACACTGGCCTAGAAGTTGCTCTGCTCTTCTTGGAAATAACAGAACCCCCTCCCTCCTCAACTCCAACTTCTGGTAAACCCATCCTCACCCATTGAGACAAGTGGGGTGAGGTGCTGCTCCTTTTTGCTAAGCTGTAGCCAACTGCCTTCAGGGAGGCCAGTAAGTAATCAACATGTACTTCCTCCAAAGGGAGGCATGTAAAAACAATCACACTTGGCTAAATTTTGTATTTTTAGTAGAGCCGGGGAGGTAGGGAAGGAGACAGTCCTGGCTAACTGAAACAGAAGGGCTCAGTGTGGGGTTGGTGATGAGGAGGGCAGGGAAGTCCGTTTTATTAGCCACGGGGAGGGGCCCCTCAGAGCAAAGAGAAGAGGACTGGAGCCTTGTATCTGCTCTTCTCAGAGTTACTGGAAGCAGGCAGATTGAGAAAAACTGGTAGGGACTGGGAAAGGTGTGAATTAGGAAATAAAGCCCATTGGAAAAGGGCACCTGAAGGAACCATCCCAGGTAGACAGCATTCCTCCACTTTTGGAGGGTGCTGTTCCAGGAGGAGGGAGAAGCATGATCACCTACTGGCCTCTCCCGAACCACAGCTGGCTTGGTTTCAGTAACCAGATTTTAAGCCCAGGAAAGGCTGAGAGCTGTGAAAACAGAAAAAGCAAATTTGGAGCCCCTGCCTCCCTAACAGGACTCTTAACACAGCTGGGGTCAGGGAAGAGCTGGGGCTGCTACTGACCAGCAGGGAGGCAATGGCAGTGCCTTGAGGAAGCTCAGAGCTTTTGAAGGCTCTGCACGGTGTGGATGAGTTGCCTAACACAACAGCCAAGTCTGCCCTTTCATCTTTGGAGAGATACAATCAGCAGCCTCACAGAATTCTGGCGGAGACAATTAGCTCGTGAATTATTTATCTAATATCTCAGCAGCCAAGGTCTTGGGGGTGCTGCTCTGCAAACTTATCCCAGGAACTTACGGACAAAAAGGTAGGTGACTTGCTCTAATTCCCACTAGGGATTTTAGCCAATCTGTCCATCTCTCTGCATGCCCTCCTGCCATACACGTACTACATGCCCTCCTCCACCATTGCTCTGGACCCAGATGCAGTCTGCCTCCCTCACTTCCTCCATTTGATCACCCTCCACCATTTAAAGCTCATCTCTTCCAAGTCTCCCCTTCATTCACTCTGCTGCAGCCACCCTGGTCTCCTTGCTGCGTCTTGAACATGATTTGTCTGACGGAACCTGCCTCAGGATGTTGATGTTTGCTGATCCCTCTGTCTGGAATGTCCTTTTTTTTTTTTTTTATGTATCAGCGTGGCCAGCTACCTGGCTTTCTTCAGATGTCTGCTCAACTGTCATCTTATTATTACAGAGGGCTTCCCTCACCTGCTTGCTCTCTGTGTTCTCCCAGGAATACCCTTCCTTCTCCTAGACACTCATCACCATCTGACACAGCATATACGTGCTTGCTTGCTTGTTGTTGGAATCCTTGCATTAGAAAGTGAGTACAATCAGGGCAGGAACTTCCCCCATTTTTCCATTTGCCTGGTTGAATTAATGAAGACTGTATAACCTAAAATCTGAAAAGAATCCACGAAGCTCTAAAACTCCAATATGCTGTCACTGCCTCTATGTTCCAAGAAATAAAGATAATTCTACCTTTAGATTGTCTTTTTTTTTTGAGATAGGGTCTTGCTCTGTCACCAAGCTGCAGTGCAGTGTATGATCACAGATCACTGCGGCCTCAAATCCCAGGCTCAAGCAATCCTCCTGTCTCAGCCTCCCAAGTAGCTACAACTACAAATGTGCACCACCACATCTGGCCTTTAAAAAGAAAAGAAAATAAACGGGGTCTCACTATGTTGCCCAGGCTGGTCTCAAACTCCTGGACTCAAGGGAGATCTTCCCACCTCAACCTCCCAAAGTGCTGAGATTACAGGTGTGAGCCACTGCACCTGGCTCTAGATTGTTTATTCAGCAAATATCTCTTGTCACTCACATCCCTTCAGCTCCCAGCTTGTGTAGGTTCTCCCCTGAAATTCCTTCCTTTCTTCCATCCTTCATTCAACCAACAAATGTCTATTGAATGCTTACTAGGTACAGGAATTCTCTCTCGCATTATTCTCATCTTACTATTCTCATGGCTGCTGCTCTAGGTGAAATCCCACTACCTTCTACCTGGCCAAATGTGAAAGCTTTCTAACCCCTGCCACTGCCTCCTTTTTCTTTCCTTCAGTTCATCCTGTTAGACACTACCTGATGAGTTTCACTTTTCTTCCTTGCTCAAAATTCCACAGTGACTCACTATTGCCTATTAAATTAAATAGAGGTTACTTATCCCAGCTTTGAAGATCCTCCACAAACTCTCAATCTATCCATGAGCCCCATCTCCTACTATTTTTAGAATATGTGCTTCAGTTAAATTGACCTAATTGTTGTTTTTTGAATGTGCCTCCCATCTCTGGAAAGAATACAAATTCTGTATACCCAAACTCTGCCTTCCAAGGGCACTCTTAAATGCCACCTCTGTGCACTTTCTCACCCAATGTAGCCTCTCCCACTTTTAAACTCCTACAACACCATGTTTATATCTTTCTTAAAACACCTGCCATATTTTCCCCTGAGTTATGGTTATGTGCAGAGGTTCCTTATTTTACCCAATAGAGAACTCTGGAGGTCAAGGACTGTATCTCAATCATCTTCATTTCCTGAGCAGCAGCTAAACCAGAATCTTGCTCAGTACACTTGCTCACTCACTATTCACTGGATTGAATTTTTAAGCCATGCAGAATGCCTTGCACAGTGCCATGTGCTCAAGGGAGTATAGATGAAAAGCAGGATGCAGTGTTTGCCCTAAAGGAATTTACCATCTAGTTATGGAGACAAGATTGCATATAGAAAATTTTACATGTAACTTTTAATTTACCTTCAGTAAGTAATCATTAAGCACCTGCTGTGTGCTAAGTATAATACAAGCCAGTGTATAATGGTCAAAATTAGTGAGGCAGAAAATAAATATGAATTAAGGCAGATTCTAGGTATACATGATACATGATGTGGCTGCCCTCAATACTTACTAAGGTCTAAGTTTTGATTCAGTAAATCAAGAGATGATAGACTTACCTGGTGATGCTGCATGTTCCAAGTGGCCCAGCTGGGGCTGTCTGGTGATTCTGTAGATCAATTCTGTAGGCCCACTGTCCTGGTCAGTGGCAGACAGCTGCAGGGTGGTGATTTTCTTCACTGAGTTTTCATCCAAGACCAGTCCTTTATTGGTGGTGATGACTGGTGGGGATTTGTCTTCTGAAAATATCAGAAATAGTGATTTGAAATGGGATCTTCTCAGCCTCCTTTCTTTAATTCTAGGCCTGGTGCCAAGAAGTAAGGTCAGAGTCATCTCTAGGCCTGTGTGTTAGAGAGCACACCAAGGAGCCAGGGCTTCGTGCAATAAAGGGGGTATGATTTTCAGTTTCCACACCAGCTAGGTAAAGGGAAGGACTCGAGCCTCGAGGTGAACAAAGTGTAAACTATATAACCTCAGAACTGCTAAAATAGTTTTATATTAGAAAATCAAATGTCTCTTTACCTAGAATGCTGATGGAAAATGACTTGTCAATCAATCTGTTGCCTTCTCCATCAACCACATCAAATTTAAAAGCAAAGCTCCCTCCAGGTTCTCCTGTTCCATGACTATATTCTACGTGGCCTATAAAAAGGAAAAAAAATCAAGATTTGCTATTAGTGCTTTCTGCCCTTATTTCTGAAGCAAGAGGTGTGAATTCAATTGGTGTTCACACCAATGAATCAGTTCACACCTTCCTCGCTTTGACACTGCTTTTGACATTTTAATCTAAAGTTTTCATTTCCTCCTTTTCCTCTCCCACCATCTACTTTCTCATAACCAAAGACCTTCTCATAACAAAATCACCCCAAGTGACATTTCTCATGGTTAAGGCTGAGCCTTTTTGGAAGATCAGCTCAGCCTCTAAGGACACCTCATGAAAACGAGATCCACAAAACTGCCCATGTGTAAATGTGCACTGACCACACCCACATCACCTGGAGTGACCCTATTATATATTGGAATCACAAGGGCAAGAAGACACAGAGCTGCACCTCACATTCTCCCAGAACTCTTCACTTTTCATTGCCCAGTTCACGGAGCAACATGGGCTATAGCCAACCAACAAATAAACTCCACATAGAACTCAAAAGGATCTAAAAGGAGAAGTACAACAAAAATGTATTACATTTTTGTTAACCTACAGCATCACTTAAAAGCATCTTTCAATTTGGTTGTGTAAATATAACCAAATCTCTGGGAAGAGGGGGCTGGTCTTATCTTTTAAAAGTAGACACCGACATATGAAATAATTAAGGAATTACTTTCCTTTTGCCTCTTCCACTCCCCTTCACTAAAGCACAGCCAGTTCCAATGAGAATTCAGCTGTTGTCAATTTTAGGTGTTAGTGTGTGGGCGGGACACTTGTTTTTTATCCGCAGGGGTATATTTCCACTTCTAAACAGAATTGCACATAATCACAAGACTGTGGATTACGTTTTCCCCAATATATAACTTTTTTTCCCTTTTGTATCCCTGAAAGCACTGTACAGTAACTACGTAGCATTTAACATTTATGCCTTTACATTACATCAGCATTTCCTGATGGAGGGATGTGCCATGTAATTTCCCCTAGGCAGCTCCGATTTATGCCCTTCCATTTTGCTTAGTTCATTAACTTGTGCTCTTTGGGGAGCTGAAAAGAGATATAAATTGCTCACCTAAGGAAGGCATAATTTTCACCTTAATCCATCCCAACTCACTTCTTTTTTCCTTCTCTCTCTCTCATATATACTTTTTAGCATCACAGCAAGTCAAAATAACTTTTTCTCTCCAAAATAGCTGCAAATGCCACCAATGCTAAGTCAAAGCATGAACACATTTCAACCAAGAAAGATAGGGCTTTTTTAAAAACAAAAAGAAAAAAAAAATAAGAAAACAAGGAAGAGAACAAATGAAGCTCCTCAAAACAAAGAGTGCACAGTTTATTGCCATAGACTACCAGATATTTAATTCTCATTTTACTAGTGTAGGTGCAGTCCACGGAAGCCTGGTAGGCAGAAGAGAACTGGCTGACCTTGGCTAATGTCTGCCTGGGTGAAACTTCGGATGGGGCCTTTAATAGAAATTTGCTCCAGGTTGCCATGCTTCATCATCTGCAGGCGCCCTGCACCAGGATCTTCCTTCATGATGTACATAACCTGATGGTCATCTGAGTCAATATCTGTCACTTTCAAGTGCTGTTCTGTGATGCGTGCTACAGACCCTTGGAAGAGAACGGAAGAGAGTAGGTTATTCCCCAACATTTCCTTTGAACGGGATGTCAAATGATTTTAGGAGACTGGAGGCTAAATTATCACATATTCATTGGATCTAGGTACCAGGCACTTGCCCTTCTCAGTTTCCAGCTGAATAAATTATAATTTCCCTAGTGAAAGAGTACCGACATTTCAATTTACTAATTTTCCCTTGAGTCAACACCTAAGCACTTTTTTCCTTCTGATCCATTTTCATTCTCTCCTATGCTCCTCCGACTCAGTGACCTACCAGTTAATACCTAGATCTGTGGAATAACTCCCAGTTCTGTGACAAAAATAACTCCTAGATCTATGATGAAACCTGCTTGGATTTAGTTTACTTACTGTCTTGAGAATCACCAAATCAGAAAAATATAGCTTTACATAAACTCAAACATATCTTGTTGCCATGTCAGACAAAGTAGTGAAAATCAGCATCCTTCAGGACAGAGGATGTTAGGAGCAAGGAGATCTGAGCCTCTGGGCCCTGGACACTGCGCAGGTGTTGGGGATGAAGATAAGGCCCTGGCTAATGGCAAACTCCTCTTCTCAGGGTCTTGTCACTTGCTTTATTACCCAGCCGCTTTATCATGTTAAAAATAGTAAATCCCGGTAAAGTAGAGCCTAGTTATTCATGCATAATACATCCTGGTGTTTGGAGTGACATGTTCTTAGTGGGTAATACCAAGAACACAAGACCCTGACCATGCTTTACCCAGGCCGTTTCTCAGAGAGCAACCTTGAGGGATGAGGTAATGTCTTCCTCTCAGACAAAAATAAGACTTGCATTCTGCTGCTGTAACATGGAGAATTCCCCAAGCTCAGTATTCCCCTCTGTGATGCATCCTACTGCACACGAAAGTGTCTGTCTGGGCCCTCTACATCACCCCTATGGGACTGGGATGGCAGAGGGAGCCGATGCAAACCTGCTGATGCCCATGCTGCCTGCTGTGCTATAAGTAACAAGAGTGCCGTATTTCTGATGGAGGAATCTTGTATCTTCTACCAGCATCCATGAAACAGTAACAGGATAGTTTATTAGCTTATAAGTAGGATAAAGTCAAATCTCAGACTTGATATTTAAGACCTTTGAGAACTACCAAGTTTTCCAATACTATTATACCATACATTTTTCACTGCAAAATACACATGAAACTAAGAACAAACAAACAACAGAACTCTAGTAAGATGCAGACACCCTGGGCAAAAGGTCCACTTCTTAATTAAGTAACTTCCTACTGCAAACTGTTCAAGACTCACACTTGTCACAGGTCCTCCAATGTTGCTTAAACATGAGCAAAATTGTGAATGTTAAACCCTAGAATACCATATCTGATAATTCTCAATTATTTGTATAATCACTTTTAATGCATGATGGTTTCCCAGCTTACCCTCCATGCATTTTGTAAAAAAATAAGCGTCTTAAAAATTCTGCTATATTTCGTTATTTGTTTCCATGGGGTTTGTTGAATGGGAGTAATGTTAGAGGAAACCTGGGCCTAGGAGGAGTTGAATAAATTAAGATTTTTGAGGGCCCTGGAAATATTATAAACTCTTCTCAATCTTTTCTCTAATTCACAGACATAAGCATTTGGTCCAAAGAATTTTAGAGGTTCACATTTGTCACTAACAATTCTTAGTATCCCAAAAACAATAGTTTTCCAAGACTCCAATCTCCCCAAGTATGGAACAGGTACTTTAAGATGCACCCACATCACTAACATGGAAGAAAGTACTGCATACTGGACAAAGAAGAAATAAGGATAGAAAAACCATGGCCACTCTCCTTTATTTCTGTGGTACCTGCTGAGAGCTGTAGGCCTTGGTTTATAGCCAAGTGAGGTGTGTCACTTGCAGGCAGTTCTGTGTAGATCTTCATCCTCCCTGTGTCCACGTGGAGGCCATCAGTGAGGGAGAACTGGAACTCATCCACGACCATGCCAGGGACACTAGGCACATACCCAACCAGCCCAGCTAGGATATCCTGGTAGGTGAAGGTTGAGCCCTGGACTAAAACTCTCCCATTCTCCAGAGGCTCAGAAGCAGTTTGCCTCCAGAGTACATGACCTGAGGGAAGAGGTAAAGAAAAGCAAAACAATGGTAGAATACACATATATATATGATTCAAAACATTGTCTGATTTTTCCAAGTAGTATGAGTCTGGGTAGAATGTCAAGTGCCTCAGAGGCTCTTGGTGCCAACAGCTTAGCATTTTACATATAACCACAGGGTGCTGCTCTGTGGCCTCATACACAAATAAAGAAGACAAAGTCCCACTTATCCTAGCTAAAAAGTCTCTTAAGGAGACACAGATGGATGTGGTAATACAGTGACTTACAAATCATATCTCCCTCCATGAATTTAAACTCACTTCATTATCTAAATCTTATTTTTCCCTTTTGCAAAGTGAAAATAGCACTCACTGTCTTTCTCTTAGGGCATCTAGAGGCAGAGATGAGAATATGCTTTAAATTCCTTTTCAATTAAGAGAGACACTAAGCATCTTTAGATTGAAGCATATATTTCTGTTCTCAAGGGTCATGTACCGCAGTGGGACAGTCAAAGTGCTTCATTCAAGAAAGCGAAAGTGAATGGAAGCCAGCTAAAATACAATGCCCAACAGTTTTTTCTATTAACCCTTCATCTACTGCAACAATTTAATCTTTAAAAGACCAATGAGCATTACGATGAATTGAGACACACCACTTGCATTCCAGAACTTTAGCCAATAACTGGAGAGATGGCTCTTAAAAAAAAGAAGTAGGTAGAAGGTCCCAAAAGTGGCTTCTGCATCTGGTTTAAATGAGGAAAAGTGTTTTTTTTTTTTTTTTACAAAAGGAACAAGTTCATAAAGACATCTAGTATGCCTCTACAAGGGTACATAAAATGGCTCAAGATTATTAAACACTGATGTCTACCCTGAGAAGACAATATGGGAACTCTGAGAAGAGAATAGGCAAATTCTGAAAACTTTTTTGCTTAAGGTTACATAGAAAAGCAAAAAAACGGCTGAAATTTAACTTCAGAGACACCAATTAACTGGGATTGAGGCTTCTTAAACAACTGATGTCTACCAGGACTCCAAAAAAATATTAGCCAGCTGTGAATTTGATTACACTTTGATGCAAAGAATGTACCATATACAAGAAAAGAAATAGTCAACTGAAATATTTGTGTTTATTCTAACAGCCCATCGGGCATCTCAATTAAGAAGCTTTTCATAGCAGTTCGTGCCCTACCGTGGTCAGGCTTTTTTGTCAATACAAAAATGAGCTCATTATCTGGGGTGTCCAGGTCTTGCAGGCTCAAAGAAGAATTGCTTATCACCACTCCCGAGCTCAGCTGCACTCTGAGGGGCTGCAAGGTCATCCTGGGAGGCTCATCGTTCTTCCTCTGATTAAAGCATAAACTATTAGATCTCACACAGATATTTAAGAAGAAAGAAAATGCACATTATTCAGAGACAGTATCATTGCTACAGAAATGTTCACCTCAAAATAGCATTTAATGTGGCACCATCTTTACTTCCCAAGCAAAATAGTTAGTTTGAAAAGAGAGCAAGTCCAGGCAACAAAATGCCCCCTTCAAAAGAAGCTGATGGACATTTCATAAAAGTTTTCTCAGATATCTTCCGTAAGTACAATGACCATATTTTCTAGACCAAAAATATGGATATGTGCTTTGACAAGTACAAGTATTAACATACTTTGAAGATAAAAGACCATACTAATATAACTCAGAACTCTCTTAGAAAATGCTAAGCATACCACAGTACCTGTAGAAGGACACTATATTTGAAAGTGTGGGTCTCTAAAGCTGTCTCCCTGCCCTGGTGCCAGCCCCTTTCCACCACTGACCCTTAAGAGTGCAGAGGGTTCTTTACATTTTATTTTCCCAAGGCAGAGGGTATTTCATTCTGAGATTTATCTTTCCCCTCCCCTGTGTCTCTCTCTCGGTAGAGCAAGCCTGTGTAGTTGCTCAAATGAGAATAAATACAGCATCAAGGAACACATTTCTTTGATGTTACAATTAAATAAATAAATGCAGTAAAATAAGAAAAGGCAAATATGCATATAGAACCAAACACAATTTCAGAGAAACATAGACATATGTAAGTTTTCATTTATATATGAGACTGGCAAAGCATCTCTGACCTTCACAAACTGTTTTTCACACCGAACAAATAAATTCAATCCTGAAATGGAAATTTAGATTTCTAACTCAAGCCTTCCCCAAATGCCAACCTTAATTCTACAAGATTCCTGAAGGCTATATTTTAAGAACGACCTTCAATTTTGAAGGTCAAATCCAATCTTCTTTGCTTTTGAGTCCCTATAAAGAAAGCTCTCTAATGGTGTGAAATATTGTGGTCAAGGGCTCAACCTTTCCAACTTCCAAAGTCTTTACCTCAATGGTGATATTGATGCTGTGAATTTCTGAACGACTGGTTCCATCACTCACATAAAAACTAAAAATATCATGGGTTGGCTCAATGCTTTCATGAACACTCTGAAAGTAGTAAATGTAGTTTTCCAGGACGTCTTGAATAGGAAATGATGCCTCTAGGTCACTGGCAGTTTCAGGGCCAAAACGATCACCTGCATCAACATCAAGAGAGCATTTTTACCTTGATCTATCAATTCCTGCTTACTAGGCTGAACTAGAAAACAAGGTATCATTTTCGGCAAAAAAAAAGAAAATGTATTTGAGGATAAAGTTGGGAGAGTGGGATAAGCACAAGACCAGGAATTGGAAGGCCTGGGTCAGATCCGTTTCCTCACTGACTATTTCTCATCTATAAATGGATATACCTGCCCTGCCATTTCCAAAAGGAATCAAATGAGATAATATGCAAAAAAACTTACAATAATTTATATAACATAGAACCACTGGTTGTTTTATTAGGAGTCTCTGATCATAACTTCTGTTACTAGGGCAAGTGACAATACAGAAGCAGAGATTCTACCTTAAGCTCCAGCTAGTTTCAAAACCATTCTATCTGGCATATCCTGCATGAGGAACCCTCTTTCACTACATAAGAAAATGTTAAATGCATATCTTTTAATCTAAAAACATCTGTAGTGTTAACTGTGTATCTTTTAATCGAAGAAACATTTGCAGCATGTTTTCATTGGACCTCCCAGTTTCTTAAGGGAACCTCTGCATGGGTCAGAGCCCAGCCCCTGGGATAGAGCACCAGGGCTATTGTGATGCTCCAGGACCATTCAGAGCTCAGGTACCATTCAGATACTATGATGCTCAGGTGGGATTCAGGCACTGAGGCGCTTGGGTACCACCATTCAGGTACCGAGATGCCCAGTTACCATTCAGAGCTCCACAGAAAATGCTGGCTCAGATTACTCCTCTCATCCCAACCCCAAACACTGCAAAAGGCCCAGGGGAAGAGTAAGCAATATCTAAATGATAGATGTCTTGTTTTTTACTTGATTTTAATTTGAGTCTAACTGATTGATTTGAAATTGTCATCACAATGTTATTCTAGAGAGAGGAGACCAAGAAAACCCTTGTGTCTTCAAACATTGCCTGGATATACATCAACACAGAAAAGTGCAGCTAGCAGATCTGAAGGCAACAGGCTTTCCCCTTCCCTTCTCCATGACCCTTTGCAAAAATCAGATCCAAAATTAAAAGGCTATTAACTTCCTGAATTATAGACAGTGTCATATTTATTAGAATTCATTTGAAAGAAGAGCTCAACACCATTTTTTTTTCTTCAATAACATGAATTTTTTTAAATTTTACCCCTCAGATTTTATTCCTCTAGGCAACAGAAGCTGAGAGAGGTCTAAGCGGCCAGTGACCCAATAATCATTAGGCTATACAGTTCAGGGTTTCCAGAAGGAACGGCTAAAATTCCTTCCAATTTTTACTTTTTTCTTAAATTTATCACTCTAAACAGGAGAAATGTGGCTTCTTTATTTGAGTCAAAAATGGCCCAAGTAGTGACTGGGCATGGTGGCTCATGCCTGTAATCCCAACACTTTGGGAGGCCAAGGCAGGAGGATTGCTTGAGCCCAGGACTTCAAGACCAGACTAGGCAACTTAGTGAGACCCTGTCTCTACAAAAATTACCCCACCAAAAATTTGCCAGGCATGATGGCGGATGCCTGTAGTCCCAGGTACTTGGGAGGCTGAGGTAGGAGAATCACTTGAGCCTGGGAGGTCGAGGCTACAGTGAGTAGTGATTATGCCATTGCACTCTGACCTGGGCAATGAGGCGAGACCCTGTCTCAAAAAAATAAAAAGCCTAAGTAAAGTAAATGATGCCTAAAAATATACACAAATATAATAGTGCCTCATTTTAAATCACTGGAGAACAAGCTATTAAACAAGTGAATCTGTCACTGAAGCTTTAAGCTCCAATCCTTTACATTTAAAAAACATTACCTTCTATTTTTGACATAAATCATTCTTATTAATGTGCTACCTGCTTTCTTAAACAGAACATATGATGTGCAAATTAAATAGGTGTTGATGCGCACAGGCGATCATTGTGAACATCCATCACTGCATAGCACTGGAATATAGTGATACCCAGAGGGAATCAAGGTGGGTCCTGTCTTGTCTGTGCCAGTCCTGAATGAATTCAGGCTCCATGCCATTAGATTTCATACCTAACAAAACAATTATTCTTTCTTTTCTTGGTGAAAAGTAAAAGCTGGTTCTTTTAACAGTTTTTAAAAAGATGTTTTTCTGATCAGCTAGGTTCTGAATTTAGGTAGCTAGTTTCTTTTCTTTTTTGAGGTACGGTTTCCCTCTGCTGCCCAGGCTGGAGTGCAGTGGCATAATCACAGCTCACCACAGCCTCAAATTCCTGGGCTCAACTGATCCTCCTGCCTCAGCCTCCCAAGTAGCTGGGACTACAGGCATGTGCCACCACGTCTAGCTAATTTTTACATTTTTATCCTTTTCAGTGGAGACAAGGTCTTGCTATGTTGCCCAGACTGGTCTCAAATACATGGACTCAAGCGATCCTCCCACCTTGGCCTCCCAAAGTGCTGAAATGACAGGCTTGAGCCACTGTGCCCAGCTGCTAGTTTCTTATACATAAGTCACACTCAGCTCTAAACAGAGGCGGAGGAGCCTCTTCCATGGGGCAAGAGATGGGGTCTTTAGTTAATATACCTTGTGACAATTAT
Source organism: Homo sapiens (assembly GCF_000001405.40). Lineage (NCBI taxonomy): Eukaryota > Metazoa > Chordata > Mammalia > Primates > Hominidae > Homo > Homo sapiens. Next base: position 78,442,959 of record NC_000004.12, on the reverse strand, counting down.
TTTGCCCTCCTAAATGCTTTTTTGTTCCTTTCACATTTATACCAATATTATTGTAGAGCAGCAGTTCTCTAAGTGTGGTCCTTGGGCCAGCAGCAATGGCATCACCTGTGAGCTAATGAGAAATGCAGATTCACAGGCCCACACCAACCTCCTAAAACAGGAACTCTGGGGTTGCTGCTCCAGGAAACTGTTTCACAACACTTTCAACCCTCCAGGTGATTCCACTGCACCTTAAAGTTTGAGAACCACTTTTTAGAGAGGCTGAAGCTTGCCAGAAATTTGACTTCTTAGCCAGGGAATAGTCCTCTCTATGGAGTATCTCTGCACCTCCATGTATTCCAGGTTGACATAAAACCATGTTAGGAAGGCTTAATAAGAAACCACGCAGAGAGAAGGGGTGTTTGGGGTAGATATCCTTTCATTTCTCACCTTTGCCTATGAGCTTCCTTCTGCAAGAAAGGCCACTTTCCCTCTGCCCAGGGTGATTCCTACTAGCCCTTCAGGTTCCAACTCAAATGCCACTTTCTCAGACTTTTCTGCCTTCCCAGGCAAAAGCCATTGCTTTGTCCTACTTACTCTCTCAGTGCTTTGCTCCTTTCCCTGTCCTGGCATTTTGCATTTATTGTAATTTGTCAGTCTTCCTATCTGTCTCCCACTCAAGGCACATGAGTCTGTGTCTTATCCTTACATCCACTTTATCTAGCACAAACATTTGTTGAAATAAACCTAATTCTGCAATAAACAGATCTAAGGCACACATTGAAAGGAAAGATGGGAAAAGGATCCAAAACTTCTGTAGGAAAACATGACCACTGCTAAGTGAATTTCTGGTTACCAGGCTGAAATCCCAGGCCCCATGCTGGCCCCAGACACCTGCAGTCAATGGACTCTCCATGGGAGCTGCTAGCTGCACACCAATTAGAGCCCAGTGCTGGTGCTCAGGCAGCTCCGTGCAGGGAAAGCCGCACAGCAACCTGCCATGAGCTGTCTCAATTGCCAGTCACAGAAGGTCTCAGGGGGCCATGGACAGTACATCCCTTCTTGCCTTTCCTTCTCTGTGATAACCACCAGAGTGTTCAGGGCAGATGGTGGAGGGGAGGGCTGTGGAAGAGAGTGTCACAGATAGACAAGCTTGCATTTTAATTCATATCATATATGTAGAAGGAGCTGAGACAGAAGCTATGGTTCAGCTAAACTGCAGCTGCCTCACAATAAAAGGACAGGAATTTTTACTTCCTGGACACTCATTTCTGAGTGTAATCCACAAGCCCTTCTGCCCCATTGCTGGCATTCCAAATCCCCTTCCCCTGCTCTATTTTTTTCCATAATATTTATTCACCTTCTAACATCGTACTCAATCTTCTCATTTATTAGGTTTTTAATTTGTCTCTCACCCCCCCACCAGAATTGAAGGCACTGTGAAGGGAGGGGGTTTTGTCTGTTGATACATCCCTAGTGCTTAATTAAATAAGTTCCCCGCACACAGAAAATGCTCATTAAATTTTTGTTGAATGAATGAAACCTTCCTACCTTCCTTCCATTTCTTTGAAATGGTTCCCCTCCTCTGTAGTTCTCCATCTCCATCTTTAGCTGGAAGCAAGGTCCTCCTCCCTCTCCCCTCCCTTCTCTCAAGGTCCTTAACAGTTTTACAGGAAGTAGTACCTGTTCCTGTGTTCTCAATGCAGCCATATTTGGGCAGAGCACTTAGTTTAATGATGGCATCTCTCTGGAGGTTGTCATCATCATCAGTAGCAAAAAAATGGTGAAATGAGAGTGGTGCTCTCCCTCCCTCATCAACCTAAGAAAGAAAAGAACATAGAGAGTCCTTGGTGATTTCACATAACCACAGTAAAAAAAGAGCTGGATTGCAAAGTGCTGCCTGGGTGACCTTCTAGCACCAATTCTGCTTCTTTGAGGAGGCAGACCATCTACAGACGAGATGAGGAATGTGTATGCTGCTGAAGCCAGGCAATCTTTCAGTGCCTCTCAAAGCTACAGTCAGACATGATGACTTCTGTATCTCCCTTCAAAGTTGCACTCCATTCAATGATGGATCTGGTTATAAAGCAGCTCTAGCCCATTCTAATCACCCACCTCGGTTCAGCTGCCTGCCAGGATGGCTGCCTTCCTTCCACATCAACATTCAAAAGCCCACAGCTAGAGAATGATAGATCCAGTTCTCCTGCGGATACTGTGAGGGTGACTGTGTCCTATAGGCATTCTCATCCAGAATAAAAGTCCTGTTTATTCTCTTATATTATATATTTATAGGTGTGTAGCAAGAAAGGTTCACCATATCTGAAAGCTAGTGCTTATCTTAATGTCAAGGAAGAAAATAAATCACTATAAGTAAAAGCAGTTGCTCAAACTAATTTTTTTTCCTTTAGAGCTCTATTTTGTATGCTAACCCCACAATCTGAGCCTGGTGTTTTTCTCTAGCCTGCTGGAGATGGTCAAGCAATTTCACCCTGAACAACTCTTGGCTAACTGTAGGAAGATCTATAAATTACAAAGGGGAAGGTCACTCTGACTCTGGGAATGGGGACAGTCCAAATGGCTTTTCCAAGGTTTTATGTAAAAATGGAAAAATGGGAGGAATATCAGAACCACTTAGAAATGACTTAGTTTGGCCGGGCCCGGTGGCTCACGCCTGTAATCCCAGCACTTTGGGAGGCCGAGGCGGGTGGATCATGAGGTCAGGAGATCGAGACCATCCTGGCTAACAAGGTGAAACCCCGTCTCTACTAAAAATACAAAAAAAATTAGCCGGGCGCGGTGGCGGGCGCCTGTAGTCCCAGCTACTCGGGAGGCTGAGGCAGGAGAATGGCGTGAACCCGGGAAGCGGAGCTTGCAGTGAGCCGAGATTGCGCCACTGCAGTCCGCAGTCCCGCCTGGGCGACAGAGCGAGACTCCGTCTCAAAAAAAAAAAAAAAAAAAAAAAAGAAATGACTTAGTTTTATGAATTTTCAGTTGCTCAACAAAACCAGAAAAATTCCTGAGCTTTTGGCATTATGGTATGTACATAGAGCAGGGAGGAAAGTGAATTAACTTCTGTGGAATCCCTACCATGAACTGGGTACTGCACTAGGGGGTTTCCATACTATTTTATTAATCATTAGAGAAATTCTTTATGTAGTAGAAAATGATAATATTTTAAAGACAAGAGCCAGGTATGGGACTACAGGTCCATAGTCTCACTTACTAGGGAGGCTGAGCGGGGAGGATTGCTTGAGCCCAAGAGTTGCCAGTTCAGCCTGGGCAACACAGTGAAACCTCCTCTCTTAAAAATAAATAAAAATAAATAAGAGAATTAAAAAAGACAAGGAAACAAAACATAAAATAAATAAAAATATAAAAGACAAGGAAGCTGAGGCAAAGAAAGATTAAGTGTACGGCCCAAGGTCACTCAGCTGATGAGTCACAGAACTGGCACTTGAACTGATGTCTGGGTATTCAATGATCAGAATGCATTGTATTGCTCTGCCCACAAAGGAACCGTCAATATTGTTTACAGTGCTAAGTACTGACTTGATTTAAGGAGTGATTTGGGGTCATTGTCCAAGTTTTAGTTGCTGCCAATATTAGATTGTAAACTCCTCAAAGATATAATATTTTTCTATTTTTATTCCCAGTACTAACAACATTTAGCATGGTGGCTAGCACATAAATATTTGTTGACTAAATAATGCAGATATAATGATTTGATCTTCTGCATATTTATTTTCATACTTAAAAAAACACTCATGATTGAAAACCATGCATATCTTCATACCGCTGCCTGGATATTTTGGGGGAAATATTTGGCAGCCAATTTAGGCAGAAATCCTTCATTTACATTACTACGGATTCCAGCTCTCTATAGTACTCACTGTTTATTGATCTGAGAATTGTTTACCGTGATAAGGTCAGCAAAAGCAATGACTGGAGGTGGATTTTCAGCAGGAGTGATCATGATGGTAAATATCTGATTATCCAGATGGTTGTGGTCCATGTCAGAGACAGAGAAATAGAAGCTATCAGTAACCAGATGACCATCAGTTTCAAACACAGCTGAGTATCTATAAAAAAACAAAAAGAATCAAATGAATAAGCCACGATGACAAGCCAGGTAAGACAGCAGCATCTTTGTTTAAAAATGGGGCCAAACCAATATATTCTTTCAACAGAGCTACAACCAGTTGCTGAAATATTTTCATACAAGTTTTTAAGAATCTGTCAAATAATACAAAGTGATTATGTACCTGATTTTCTTGTTATTGATGTCTTCCATTGTGAAATTGGAAACTTCTGAGAGCTCTTCCACCTCAGATCCTGAGATTCTTAAGAGAGTACCATATGAGGGCAGATAATTTAACTGAATCCAGATCTCTGGGTCGGGGGAAGAATCATCCTAATGAGGCAAACATGAGGCAGGACATGAACGCACATTTGCAGGAATAAACACTTCCAGTAGCTAAAGATCTATGGGTGCTTCTCTCTCTGCTAATTGGAAAAGTCTCTTTCTCTTTGTCTTAAAGTCTCTTTCTCTTTGTATTTCAAACTACAATAAAAATCCCAGTGTTTATTCTTCCCCAAATTCCTCTTTGATAACATATTTTTCTAAGAGTAGCTCAAGGTAAGAGAAGGGAAATGCACTTTAGGTATGTGGCATAAAACAAAGAGATTCCCTGTTGTTATCAATACCATAAAAGCCATACAAGATTTCATTTTTAAGCTTTTAGTAAAAATAAAACTTGATCATCTATAAGTCATCAACCTGTAAACACAGATGTAGGATTTTTCTAGAGTTTCTAAGAATGTTTTGCTTTTAAGAAACAGGCAAAATTTCTTTATAACATATAATACGATAATAAAATTCCATGAAACAGAAAAGTTATTTAGCTTAGCCAATGGCTCACTTTAAGCAATGTTCAACGTGATAAAATTTTAGATTAACAAAAGAATGTATGAAGTCATGGATTTCATTTTATCAGCACCAAATCTATGAATGTTCACTTCCCAAGATGCCTAATCTTAACAAAGAACATTTCTCTTCCCTTCTACATTGTTTGTTGAGAAATAAAAATGACTTTCTCTGTTTCAACACAGACAATAACAATGTCCTGTTTCTTCAAGAATATTTTTGGAAATATCTGGGAGGCAGGCAACATCTTCTTATAAAGTTTCCCTGAGTCATTCATTTTTTAGGGCTGTTGATTGTGAAAATGGGGGCACTCTGCCCTTTACCACAGCAACAATGAAAATTAATGTTGCATGGTCACTTGTACTTTCAAAAGCAAATTTTCATGCTATGTTGTACAGTTAGTTGAGGTACAGGATCAGGAATGTGAGCACAGACACCAAGAGGGCGGGGGCCAACAGGTTTCAGTCTGTTCTCATTTCTATCCCCAGAGACCTATCAAAGTTAGTAGTTCAGAGTCTCAATTCAAGATCACTGAATTTTCCATATTTCCTCATATCACTTGACACTAGCAAGAAAGGAATCTAAAATTCATCAAAGCTGCAAGACTTCAGAAAGTTTTCCCTAAATTTATGTTCTTTTAAACTTTCTCCACTTGGATTATCAAATACAACATATAGACTCCAAAAGACTGCTTCTTAATATTACTGTGCGTTCTCTCTGAGAGAGACTTTTAAAAAGACAGCTGAGAGTTTTAAGGTGTTGTCTTCTGAATTGCTGATAAACTATAAGGACAGAGCTCCTGGCTCCTAGTTAGAATGAATAACTTCTAAATTTCACATTGACAAATTTGACCAAAACACTGCTTATTTCATGGCAGGCATATCTTACTATATATTTCAAATCTCATATAACTGCTAGGTTTGAAAAAGTAGGAAATCAGCTAGACTTTTTTCCTGAAAGTACTGTCATGATTTAAAGAAAATCACTATTTTAAGATATCCCAGATACTGGAGGTACAAAAAATGCATAAGAATACAGACCTTGTTCTCAGGTAACTTTTCTGCTCAAAGATCTTCTTATCCCTTTTGTATTAATTTATTTTTTCATTTTCTTTTCATTATTTTTACATCAATGAACCCATCATTCAACACGAGGACTAGAGCTTTGAGAATAACTAACATTTATGTATGTGGCCCTTCTTCCTGTCTCTGGGCCTCCCATCACCCTAAATCTTGTTTCTTATTTTCTTGAATTTTTAAAAATAGCTTGATATATTACTACAGAATACATATTTTTCATTTTTTTAACTTAGAAATATGAAAAAAAGAAATATGAAGTTGACTTTACTCTTTTGCAATTTTTTTTTTAACTCAACATTAGACTGCTAAGATCCATCTATACTGTTGGACGTCGCTATAATTCATCTGTCTTTAGGTTCGCTAATATTCTGTCAAGTTAGTAGACCACAAGTTATCCTATCTTGTGGTGGGCATTTGGTTTGTTTCAATATTTTCACTGTTACAAACAGTAGTGCTATGAACATTCTTGCACAAGTTCTTTGCTGTGCATGTGAAAGTTTCTTTTGGGTAGTAATCCAGGATTAGAATGGTTAGGGTATATGAATATTCATCTTCACGTGGCAATGCCAAATTCCTTCCCAAAGTGGTTGATCCAGTTTACGCTCCCACCAGCAAAGTAAAGAACATCCTGTGGATCCATTGTCTTCCTCACACTTGGTATAAAATGGTATATGGTTTTAATATGCTTTCCCTGACCACTAATGAAGGCGACTATCTCTTCATATGTTTATTGACCACCCGGGTTCCTCTTCTGTGGAATTCCTGTTCATGTCTCTTGCTTATTTTTCTACTTGATTATCTTTTTCTTCTTGATCTGCAGGAGTGTTATATTTTCTTTGTTATTTTTGGTTATATTTTTTGCAAATATCGTTTTCCCATTTGTAACTGGCCTGTTTGCTGCTTTGTGGTGTGTTTTGATGAGCACAAATTTAATTTTTAATATAGTCAAATTTACCAATCTTTTATAGTTAGACCTTTTTGTTTCTAGTTTAAGATGTTCCGCCCTTCCTTAATATCATAAAAAATATTAACTTATATTCTACAAAGATTTGTAAAATTTTACTTATGGTTTTTCAGTACTTGATCTGTCTGTAGTTAATATCTGCATAGGGTGTGAGGCAGTATACAAATTCCTTTTTTGTCATACATATAATCATTTTGTGCAGAACCATGTTTTAAAGAGTTTCTCCTATTTCCACTGCTCCGGCTTGCTATGACTGGTTGTTTTTTTTTTTTTCTTGAGACAGAGTCTCACTCTGTTGCCAAGACTGGAGTGCAGTGGTATGATCTTGGCTCACTGCAACTTCCACCTTTTGGGTTCAAGCTATTCTCATGCCTCAGCCTCCTGAGTACTGGGATTATAGTTGCACACCACCATGCTGGGTTAATTTTTGTATTTTCAGTAGAGACAGGGTTTCGCCATGTTGGCCAGGCTGATCTCAAACTCCTGACCTCAAATGATCTACATGCCTCGTCCTCCCAAAGTGCTGGGATTACAGGCATGAGCCACCGCACCCAGCTAGCATCTCTGTTTTATATTACAGTTCCATGTGTGAGTCTGCTTTTGGATTGTCTAATATATTCCTCTGCTACACTATTTTAAATGCTGTATATTTCATACATGTTGGTATCTGGTAAGGTAAATCCCCTTGCCCTCCTAATATTCTTTTTCAGAATGTTCATTGTTTGTTTTTGTTTGTTTGTTTGTTTTTGAGAAAGGGGCTTGCTCTGTCATCCACCCTGGAGCAAGTGCAGAGTGTAGTGGTCCAATCAAGGCTCACTGCAGCCTCAACCTCCTGGGCTCAAGCAATCCTCCCACCTCAGCCCCCAAGTAGCTGGGACTACAGGTATGAGCTAACATGCCTGGATGATTTTTGTATTTTTGTAGAGACAGGGTCTTGCCATGTTGTCCAGGCTGGTGTTCTTTCTTACATATTTTAGAATCAGCTTACTAAGTTCCATAAAAAGTCCATTAGGCTTTTGATTGGAACTGAATTGAATTGAAAGATCGTTTGGTAAGGGAACTGATGCCTTTTCAATACTAAATGTTCCTACTCATGAATATGGCATGTCTTTTCATTTATTTAATACGTTTTAAACATCTGTCAATTAAATGTTATAATTTTCCCTGTAAAAATACTGCCTGGTTTTTGCTAGATTTAGACCAGGGGACATGCTTTTTTCTTAATGCTATTATGGTAAGATCTTTTTAGTTATATTTACTGGCTTTTTTCTTTTTTTGCTTATATATAGAAATGCTATTGCTGTCTGTTGATCTCATATCTGGCTCCTTGATAAATTCTCCTTTTTTTCTAATACTTTTTGTCAAGAGATTATTTTCTACATAGTCAGTCATAGCATCAATTTTCCCTAGAAGTTACATAACTTTTGTTACATTTACTCATAGGTATGTAATATGTAATGTTATTATACACAGAATCATATTTCAAATAATTTTATTTTTGGCTGGTTCATAGAAATGCTATTACCGTTTTAAGATTAATTTTATCCTTCCCATATTACATATGGGAAAACCGAGGCCTAGAGAGTTTAAGTAACTTGCTAAGGGTCACAATGCTAGTAAGTGGTGAGCTTGGATTAAGATCCATCCATTTTAACTCCAGAACCCATGCTGTTCTTTTCCTGTTTACTCGCAGTGCATAGCAAACTGTGTATATAAGACCACTGCTAAGAAGCAAATTATACAAAATCCAACTTTTGCCTTTTTGTCTCCTCCAACATTGTATCACTCTCTTCCAGTTAATAACACTTAAACTAAGAACAGACTCATCTGTTCCTAAACCTTTATACTCTGCCCCATTTGTGACTAGGATTTCAGATGGCTTTTCCAATCTTTCTACATGTTCACTGAAAACTTTCTAACTATGCATATCTGGAAAAGTTTTTCCATGACTCTTAGTACAAAATCCTTCTACAACCCTTAGAGAAAGTTAGTGTATAACCTACCTAAGTCTTTAAAATGTATGCTATGCTTTCAGCAGGCTAGAATAGTTCTTTTGGAGTTTTTCTGCTCTGGTGGGTAAATTCACATTCAATCAATTTCTGAAAATACATATTCAGTTGCCAATGGGCTTGCATTTTGATATGCAGCTTATAATATGCAGTTAATGGGCAGGAACTGCTCCTGGAGCGCTATTTTGGACTGTGAAACATTTTTCAAGCTCTGGTGATCGTCTGATTAAATCTGAATTCATACATTTTTATGAATTCACGAGTTTCATAAGATTCAAAAAACCATAACTTACAGTAAAAATCACCTGTCAATTAAAAACAAAAAACAAAATCAAAGCTGTTCTGAAACTAGAATAGACCCGTGAGAAGAATTAGGGTGGAATGCAGTCTCCCATAACTGAAGAAAGGACCATTTGAGGGGAAAATCTGTGTAAAAGCAATTGTTCCCAGGCTAATGCTTGATCTTACATGCTGCTATTCAGGACTACATTTTATAGTGAGATTCTTCAGCCCAGAAAAGGGTTACTTAAAAGTATACGGCATTAAAAAAATAAAAGTCTAGGTCATTAGTTGGAACTTTAAGATTAGTAAAGGAAAAATTCAATATGATTAGCATTCAGATAATCATTCTTCCTTTCAAGGCATTGTAAAAACTAGTCATTATTATGTTTACATAGAGAGCACATATCTGCTTACAACATACATAACTGTAAAATAAAATTAATCATCCTCATTATCCTTAGCTCCTGAGGTAGAATCAAAGGAAGAAGATGAGTTTAATTACCCAGGATCACTTATAAAGTTAGGGCCAGACCAGGAAACAAACTCTAGTCCTTGATCCTCTCCTTGGCCTCCTAATTACACTGCTTCTTGTGGGGCAAAAGAAGGAGGGTGAGTCAGTGAACTGGCTGGGAAATCTGACAGAGAGGCACTGCTGCAGGGATTTTTCAGCATTCCATCTAGACTAGACCTGAGACAGAAACTGATGACAAGTGGGCTTTCTCTCAGGGGCTGTGAAACATCATTACCTACTAGTCATTGATCACATAAGCTCTAAAATGTTTTTTTCCTAAACTTCCCATTGGGAATATAATGAATGGAGCTTAAACAATGGGAACTTGGGCTTTTATGGCACTAGGCCCCTCTTCTGTTGACAAACACCCATCCCTACACATACTCATCGTGTTTTCTCATTCACTTGTCTGCTCATGAGACACTGGGAGAAGCAGGATAAACAGCATAACTACTCCTAACAGTAGAAGGTAGGGAAGCTGAGAAAAATGTTCTTTACGTGACCATATACCTGCTGCCCCAAATATTCAGCCATGGCATTGCTGCCCAGTCTGCCCCATCAGAAGATGCGGCGGTGGAGAACAAACACAGCAAATGGAAGAACTTACCACGTAAGCAAGGTGTGACCTAGTGATTATGGCTGTGCTTTTACTGGCAACAGTAATGCTCAGAGAGGAGCCAGCAGCCAGTCGAGGCCCTCGGTCTTCTGACAGGGACACCTCTACTCTCACCTCCAGCATTGTCACTGTGAGGCCATCTGTGACTGAGATCTCCATGCTGTCTTCCCGGGTAGAGGAACCATCATGTATATACTGTAGAGCATTTTTCTCAACATCCTCATAGGTGAAAGTGTCACCTTCCAAGAATAAAACAAATTGCAAACGAGTTGCTTCTGGGAATAATGCTTTTCATTATATAGCACCTTTGTTTTCAGGACTTTAAGGTTCATATAGGATCATAACTCAGGGAGTTACAGGCTAATCCAACCACTCACCTACTATAGGATTCCCTTTACACCACCGTTGAAAAAGGGTAATTAGTTTCTCCACTTTTCAAGGTGGGAGGATCATTGTTTTACAAGATAGCTAATTCCACTGAAGATAGCTCTAGGTTTGTTTTTAAGTTCTTAATCATATTGAGCTAAAATCTGCCTCTATAATATCTAGTCATTATTCCTAGTTCTAGAAAAATAAAGAACAAGCCTCTATTCTTTATGACAGCTCTTTTGGAATCTTATCTTGATACTGAAAATTTTTTGAAAAAGTTAAGAAAATAAATTATACTTGATGAACCTTTAAGAAGTTTTTGCTTTATTTGGAGTTTTTAAAATTAAAAATGAAAAAAATATACTTTAAGTTAGAAACCTAAACTGTGCAGTCTGGAGTACTAATTCATGAGAAATTTGATCGGCATTATGTAAAAAAAAATTTCAAGTTCACATACCTTTGTGGAAAATGTGAATAAATAAAATTTAAGATATTTTTTATACTGCAGGATTCATTTTAGTATATAAGTATTAAAGCTTCTCAAACTTGTCATGGAACCCTTTTTATGAGAAATGCCTCTTAGTGCCATGAGCCCTAATGATTTCACAGAACACAGTTGTGAAATTGCTCTTCTTGGATATTATATTCAACTCTATCTTTTGATAGATTATTAGTTCTAATAACTAGTGCTATGTATTGAGATTGAAGAATTTACTCATTCTGTCTATTCATCTTCTAAGCCTTCTGTCTCAACACTGTGTTAATGTATTTTACTGGTGCTCGTGGCATTATGCCTATGAAAACGTAATAAAACTAACTTTTTATCAACGCCTTTAGATTTTATATGTTAACTGCACATATACAGAGTAAATGCAATGTTAAAGAAATTAGACAATGACTGTTATGTTCCTAAAGTAGTCTCCTGGGAATGTTTCAAATCTATTCTAATGACATTTCTTTAGTTCAGTAAATTTTTGAGTCTACCTTTGTGACTCCCAAATGCTTACTGGTTGTTCTTTAAAATTCCATCTACCATCAGTAGCAAAGATTAGCCCACCAGTGATATTCAGAAGGATGGATTACTGCATCTCTAAAAGGAATCATACAAAGGTTTTGAGAAAGTAGAGATTGTTGGAAGAACATATAGCATCCAGAGGTGGGTACTTTGAAAAGGATAATATTCACTTCAATGAATAAGGGCTGACTATTAAAAAATTAGATTCACTTGTGTTCTTTGTGTTTTTCTGTACCTTCTAAATAATAAACATATATTATTTTTTATAATCAAAGGAAGCACAATAAGAGTTATTTTGGAAAGCCGATCACATTACCACACTGTTATATCACATAGATAATACTTCAAAAATGTGTTCCTTTTTTTAATGGATGAAGATAGATGTAGTTAACACTATCAGAGTCACAGCGCTAAAAATATTGTGAAGATTCACATACCAAATTAAGACCGATTCATCTCCATGAACAGTGCTAGGAAAGTGGCAGCTGATCCCTCATATGGTGTCATTCTGAATGCATTTACTCCAAGTTTCAGAAATCACCCATTTCACCTATAGTTTAAGGAACTGGTTTCACAGGGTTCAAGGTGGGGCCGGGGGCAGGTGTGGGGCAGGGATGGAAGTGGGAACACGAAGAAGTCTCAAATATCAAAGCCAATGAAACTACACACAAAATAGCTCCTCATAGTCTGTATCACAAAGACGCTTTGCTCTCGTCTGAGACACATAACAACTGATTGTAGAGCAAAAAATCCTCCAAGCAGGTCAGTGACAGAGTGTGTAGGTGTGTAGCTACCTGTGGCCATCGGCCTTCGGAACTCAGCTGTATGCTTAAGAAGCACACCATGCTGTGGAGGTCTCCGAAGCTCAAAGAAGAGTTCTTTGGGCGCTGTCTCAGCATCTCTTACTACCACCTGAAGTCCTGCAGCAAGGAGAAGGAAGCGTGGTGAGAGAGAAAGCGTATGTTAAAGACGATAGACTATATATTAAAACCGCAGGCCAGGCTAGGAGTCATGCTGTGGGTAATCTGATTGTTATCAGAAAGCACTGCTTCATTCCAATCAGGCACAAAAGAGTAAAAACAGATAATACAGTCAATTCCTACACTGCAAGTAGGTGCTTCCAAAAGTTCATGTAAGGTAGTTCTGAATTTAGAACACCTTTTTTCTTCCATACAAATGACAGCATGCACAGAGGAAGCCCACAGGTAGGTCAACCCTGACTAGCTGGGTTAGATTTTCTTCCAGAAAATCCTCCTATAAATTGTTTGGCATTTCATTGTTTTGTCCCTTCTTATTTTTCTAAAGCTACAAAGAGCCAAGTGAGCAATGATCACAAAGGTGAGGTGCAGGGTTAAAGTGACAGGCATCCTTGTACACATGGCTTATTTGTAAGTTTGGTAAAAATTAATTTTAGGCCAAACCCCATATGTAGAAACTGGATAAGGATCTCTAGAACACACCTAACAAAAATCACAATACCTACTGTTTATTAGTAAAATGTTCTTGATAAAAGAATACATTTCTAAAGATTAAATTCACTAATTAGTACATATAATTATATACAAAATAACTGGGTCAACTCTAGTTCTTCACAACTTCTGAAGCTTCTTGTGACCTGACATTTCTCCTGCTACTCTTCACTTTCTAAATAGAAACAAGAGCCGCCATTGAAATCCTGCTCCCCTCTATGTTCTTCTCGCCGCTCTATTACTTTATATTTTAGTGATGGCATCAAAGCAAACTCCCGGAAAATCAGTTCTGTGTTGTGTTCCACCACTGAACACTGGCCTCTGAAGGCTTCATTTCCTTCTCTCTGTGCGGCTTCTGTTTGCATAGAAATGGGCAGGAGGAAGGATACAGGTGAGAATGCAGGCAACTTCTGGAAGAAGAGTTTGCTTTTTTGGCAACCATCAAGAGGTTTGAAGAGGGGCAGCAATATGATCCCATTTCCAAAGCCATGTTTCTATCAGGCTCCCAGTTCTTACCTACAGAAGTGCTGCCTCCTGGGCTGACCGCCAGCCGTGGAGCTGTGACCTGGAACACTGGCAGTTGCTGATCACTGGGAAGTAAGTGAATGGTGAGGACCATCTCCGGACTTGTGTGTTCTCCATCTGAAACTAAAAAGGATAAATGCACACACACACAGAGACACACACACACACACAGAGACACGCACACACACACACGAATCAACTTGTAGTCTGGTCCTCTTCAGGCAGTTTCCACAAATATGTAGCTAGAAACTTTTTTGCACTACTTTAACCTTTGAAGAGATGCTTACAAATGAAGAAAGTAAGCAAGCAAGATACTGTGAGCTATTCTTTTTTCTATGGATAAGAAAAAAGATAAAGAACCATAATAACAAAATCATTCTAAGAGGCTACTTTCACAACAAAGGTGATCTTGATAAATGTTAGTGGAAAGGAAGGTAACACAAAATCTGCACCCATAGATGCTACTGGTAAAGGCTTTTGATTATGGAAATATTTCTTGATTCAATTCATTCCCTTATTATTCCAAATAAATATTTTCTTTCATGAACTCTTTTAGAAGTGGCAAGTCTATGTCTCATTAGAAAAGAATACTTTTGGCCGGGCACAGTGGCTCACACCTGTAATCCCAGCACTCTGGGAGGCCGAGGCAGGCGGATCACGAGGTCAGGAGATTGAGACCATCCTGGCTAACACGATGAAACCCCATCTCTACTAAAAAATACAAAAAATTAGCCAGGCATGTTGGCGGGCACCTGCAGTCCCAGCTACTCAGGAGGCTGAGGGAGGAGAATGGCGTGAACCTGGGAGGCGGAGCTTGCAGTGAGCCGAGATTGCACCACTGCACTCCAGCCTGGGCGATACAGCGAGACTTCGTCTCAAAAAAAAAAAGAATACTTTTTAAAAGGACAGACAATACCCATACCAATGTCTCTAATGTCATTAGTTTGGAAGTAAGCAGATCCATTTTTACTTGGTCATGATGCACAATGACATAAATAGTGAACAAAACAGTGACCTTAAGATTTTATTTCCCTGGATTTTTTGACATCCAAGTGAACATCCATCTCTGAGGAAAATACGAGAGCAGAATTGCCTCACCCTTGATGCTTATTTCCACTTTTCCATAACTTAACACCCTATCTTTTCCCCAAAAGCCAGTTTTGGAGGGATATTTGCATCATCAGCTCATCAATGTGTTTATCTGTAGTGGTCTTTAAGAAAACTGCACTGTTAATTATTTTAAATGTGTGATAAGCTTGTCTATGTGTTGGTTATGAGAAACTAGTTTCCTTCCTCACTTTCTTCTGGACTTACTAACAAGCCAGCAAGAATCTTGCTTAAGCAAAGTCAAGCATTGCTCAGCGACGTGTAGTAATGATTCTATTCAAGTTTTAGATTTGTCTTTCCCTTGAGACAGATCTGAAAGATATGGTTAAATTTTATAAGGTACACTCCATGTCTTGGAGATGTTCAGAAACAGCCCTATTGAAGGTAAGACGACATTATCCATGTGAGAATGAAGGTTTTATGGCTCTGGTCATTCAGACAAGTGTCAAAATTATTGTCATTGCTTCTTTACATTTGATCTCCTCTCTGGATCTTCAAAAATAGGCACAGATGGTTCTTAATTATTGGGGATTTGGTGACAAGCATACAAACTTTTTCATAAGTTTTAGTGGATTCAGGATGCTCTGATGTCTCTGTAATCTAAGATAAGAACTAGTTGCAAAATGCAATTTTATTTTACTTTATATTTTACATTAGTTTTATTTCTGAGTGGGAATGTCTTAGTCCATTTTTTGTTGCTTATAACAGAAAACCTAAAGCTGGGTAATTTATGAGAAGAGGAATTTATTTCTTTCACATATGAAGGCTGGGAAGTCCAAGGTTGAGGGGGTACATTTGGTGAGAGCCTCCTGGTGTTGGGGACTCTGTGAAGAGTCATGAGGCAGTGTAGGCAGTCACGTGGCGAGGGGGCTGAGCTTGTGATTTTAAGTCTCTTGTTCTCTTTTTAGAAAGCCACCAGCTCCCCTCCCATGATTAACCATTAATCCACTAATCCATTAATGATTAAACCATTCATGAGGGCAGAGCCTTCAGGTTTCAATTACCTTGTAAAAGCCCCACCTCTCAATACTGCCACATTGAGGATTAAGTTTCAACATGAGTTTGGGAAGGGACATTCAAACCATACCAGGGAGGAAGTCCAGGAAGCTTTCAACATCCTTATTTTACAGGAGGAGGGAAAAGGTACAAAATTAAAGAGCTTTGGTCACATCATACAGCTGTTTAGTGTGAACAAGGCATATTCTTGACTCTGTAAGTAAGTGGAAAAAAGCTATTTTCTGGTGCATATTACATAACTAGCTATCACTTGGGTGCAGGGTTTTGCAAGCAATCATATAAACTTCCAATCAAAATGTCAGCAACTGCATATTTATCCCTCTCTTTAAGGAATGTCTCTAATTTCTTTGAGAAACAGTCAAATGCCTTTTTGGGCTAAATGCCCCTGTGAGCACCACTTGCCTTAAGTGTGTTCCTTGCTCAGAACTGCTCTCCAGAGCTTCTGCATTTGTCCTAAAGTCAGTCAGGTCCCAGGAACATCAGCCTTCCTTCTCATCTTAGCTGATTCACCAAAATGGGTGGTTCTCCTTCATTCTACAAATTAATGTCAGCTCTTGGGCTTTTTCCTGCCTTATTCATTAACTGTCCAATTTAAAATTCTCTCTCACAAAACTCTCCAAAACGACATGGCTTTCTACTAGATACCAAGGGTTTTTCTTCTTTAAAATCAATAAAAAAGGAACATCTGGCAGAAGCAAGATAATTTAAGGTCAGCCCAAGGTCTAGGCCCATGGGACTGTATAATAGGTTCAAGATCATTTAACTTAAAGTCCTAGACAAGTTAATTGTTAACCCTTCACCTACTCAAGCTTTCAGGTAAGAGTTGAGGCTTGGAAACCAAAATGGCATACTACCATGACACTCACTTTTCATAACCAACACACATACATGTCAGACTAAACTAGCTATTCCATGCTCATGCTCTAAGTCAGAAACTTGTATTAAAATCCTGCTTCTACTGTCTACCTGCTGTGGAAATCTGAGCAGATCATCTACTTTTTTTTTGAGACAGGGTCTAACTCTGTCACCCAGCTAGAGTGCAATGGCACAATGATGTCTCACTGCAGCCTCAACCTCCCCAGTTCAAGCAATCCTCCCACCTCAGCCTTCTGAGTAGTTGAGACTACAAGGAATATTACTATGTGCGTGGGCTGGTCTTGAACTCCTGGGCTCAAGGAATCCTCCCTCCTCACACCTCCCAAAGTGCTGGGAGTACAGGTGTGAGCCACTGCACCTGGCCAGGTTATCTACTCTTAATGACTTGGTATCCTTAGGTTTAAAATGCTGAAAATAATATCCATCCTTAAAATATTGTTATAAGAATTAAATAGTACAATTTTTATTGTAAATTGTTTTATAAAATATAAAAATCTGCCATATATCATTACTGATTGTATGAATTATGTAGAGGCCTATGACTAGAAATGAGCTGATACTGGGTTCATATCAACAGTAACACAACACTGAAATTTACTATTGATTCAAGTGCGATTTTTAATCCTCATAGAAGAAAGGAAGAGCTGGGAGTTATAGAGAGGCAACTCTACTGCTAACATTTTTCCCTCCATGAAATGTAACAGTGCGCATGGATGGTTGATTCTAATGGAATAGTCAATCCCATCTAAACAGCAATTTAATGATGCTATTTATGGTCAATCATCCTCACTATAGACCTAAACAAGAAAGAAGCTTATCCTATGGTGGCCCAGCATAGATACCAGGTCTGACTCTGCTTTTGCTGATTGGCATCCTGCTTCTATTGCACTATGAGCTAAAACTAGGAAAGCAGAGGTCTTCCACACCCAAGTTTCTCAACTCGCCTCTGGGTAGTAAGCCTTTTCCCTCCAGTAACAAGGGATTCCATGAATGGCTCTATTCAAGACTTTTATACAACTACTGTTTATTAGCTAAGTATAATATAGTAATGATTATGTAGCAATAATCATTCTTGGAGCTTTATATTTATTATTATTATTATTATTATTATTATTATCCCCATTTAAGAATGAGGCATTCAGGCACAGAGATGTAAGAAACTTTCCCAGGGCAAGCTGAACCCCAGGTCATCTGGATGCAGGGCTTAGGATCTTAGTTACTATTAACTCTTTAATGGATATTAGGACATGTTGAAATTGGGCTTAAACATTAATTTCTTTTTTTTTTCTTGAGATAAGGTTTCACTATTGTCCAAGCTGCAGTGCAGTAGTGCAGTCATAGCTCACTCTAGCCTTGACCTCCTGGGCTCAAGGGATCCTCCTGAGTAGCTAGGACTCCAGGCATGTGCCACCATCATCCAGATAAGTTGTTTTTTTTTTTTATAGACAAGGTCTTGCATTGTTGTCCAGGCTGGTCTTGAACCCCTGGGCTTAAGTGATGCTCCCCCATCAGCCTTCCAAAGTGCTGGACTACAGGCATAAGCCACCATGCCTGGCTCTTAAACATTAACTTTTAGCATCATTGGTAGATTTTTTTCCTATGACTATAAAGTTAAGCTATTACTATTTAACTAACCATTTGTTTATTTTAGAAGAAATTTGTTTTAGAAGAAAAATTATATAATTTTTAAGTAGTTCTTAGAAAATAGCTAAAAATAATGATGATGGGAACAAAAAGAAAGAACTAATAAGGAAAGAAAAAATTTCACTTTCTAGTAAAATTTAGATGAATCTTTACCTGTGAAGTGGAATTTCACTGATTCTGGGAGACCTAAAAGAGTAAGAGAGACAATCAGTATATTAAACACTTTGGGATCAGAGAGAGATAGGAAAGGTACAAAACAAAGGGCAGAGGTTAGGAAGCTAAAGAATGTTTTAATCTAAATTATTCTTTTTTAAGGAAAGATCACCAGGTCATTTGCTAATGTTATGTTGAATTTAATGGTGTCAACATTAATTTTAAATAGCAAAAAGGACCACATAGTGGAATAATTTTATATCGCAGCAGTTAGCGTGATTTATAATACATTCATTCAGAACCCATTTTATCACAGTACATAAAATCCTACAAATCGGTGAATGCGGGTGAGTCGTATATCACTGACAGGGCTCTCAGGTGGGTCAATTCCATTGTAGAACTGAGTGATGCCGAGACATTGATTTACACACTGTAACCATGTGAGAGATTTATCTTGCAGCATTTATCCCATAGATAATACAGCATAGGACTCTGCTCTCTCTGAACAGGCTCTAGGAACTCGGGCGAGTTTAGTGGATGACTTCAACCACGGCTGACATGTTTTCTTTCCCTCTAATCCCAGGATATCCTGTGTTTCTTATGAAGTAGGACTTGTAACATAGGGGTTACAGACCCATAAACATTTTCATGGGCTATTAGTTATCCAGTTACTAAATACTGTGTACAGACACTAAAGAGGAAGCCTATACCCACCGTTAGAGATTTTCAATCTAATTGAGGAGTTAACTGTTTTCTGGGCGATTAAACTTATATTAAATAATGGCAAACATCATTTTAAATGTTTACCATAATCAAAAAAGTCTAAAATTACTTAAACCATGTTCAACTCACCATAAGAAATCACCACTTTTGTGTATGAATAAAGCTACTGTATAAAAAGAATACCCTATATCCATGGTGTTATGTAGTACATACACCTTAAAGATCATAAAGAAATAAGCACTAGTGGCTGGGAGCAGTGGCTCCCAGCACTTTGGGAGGCCAAGGCAGGTGGATCACGAGGTCAGGAGTTCAAGACCAGCCTGACCAATATGGTGAAACCCCGTCTCTACTAAAAATACAAAACTTAGCCGGGTGTGGTGGCACCCATCTGTAATCCCAGCTACTCGGGAGGCTGGGGCAGGAGAATTGCTTGAATCTGGGAGGCGGAAGTTGCAGTGAGCCAAGATCATGCCACTGCACTCCAGCCTGGGTGACAGAGTGAGACTCCATCTTAAAAAAAAAAAAGAAAAAGAAAAGAAAGAAATAGGCACTAATATTTTTGGAATAGTCAAAGGCATAAAAATATTTAAGGGTAGGGACATAAAACTCCTGCTTTCTGGTCAGCAACCTTGATGACTGGATCAAGGGAAGAGATAAGGTGGCAGGGATTAAGGGTATGCTGGGCTTTGTGGAAGGGCACACACTGGCTTTAATGAGAAACTTAGTTATTCTTCCACTCAGACTTTCCTTCCATTAAAAAGGTGTCTTCTGCCAAATTCTGGTTTTATCCTAAAAGGTTGCCTGCATGCCCATGGCTACATGAAACCTTCCCTGAGGTACTGCAGGACCCTCACTGGCCTCCCCTTACCCTAGTGCCATCCACTCTGGCCTCCTCATCAAGTCCATTGACATCACTGCAGTCAAAGAGTTTCTTTTGAAAAGCCATTCCCTAGTTCCCTATACCTGAAAACTTCCACTGGGTTCCTCTTGATGTTGGGATAACAACCCAAATCCTTACAGGCTTCGAGGGTCTGTCAGGTATGGCCTCTGTCTCTCCCACCAGATGCATCCCTGCTCTGCCTGACCCTTCACATTTCAGACACAAGGACACATTCTCTCCTTCCCCAGGCCTCTGTACCTGGAGCTAGTGCTCTTCCTTCAGGGACATTTTCCTGACCATCCAAATACATACACTTTTCCTCGTCAGCTTCTACCCATCCCTCCACTGCCAGTATCTTTACTGAGCTCTCAGTCTAGGTCAGTCTGATTATGTGTAATTCCACCGCTAATCTTTCTCCCTCTTCCTCAGAGCTCTTATCCCAGACTGCAATTAAATATTCATTCCTGGGGTTATTTATCAAATTATCTCTCTATACCTCCCTTAAACCACCAAGAGCAGAATCTATGCCTCTTTTTGCTTGCCACTGTATCTCCAAGGCCTCATTCAGTGATTGGCACATAGGAGGGACAAAATAAAGATTTACTGAAAGTATGCCTCAATGCATGAATAAATGGAAAAAAAAAAGATGGAACTGAGTTCAAGTTACATATTGGCTGACAGGTCTCAAGCTATTTTGAATAGCTAGAAAGCAGGGGCACCAAATGGTCCAGAGGACTGCAGGGAGAGTTAGGGCGAGCCTGTCATGTAGAGCCACAGAGAGCAGTTGGGTGCCTCAAAGCAGAGAGGAGAGCATTACCAGCGAACGAGAAGGCCATGAGCTCCTGGAGGTGGGGTGCTGCCGGGGGAGGGCGGTACATGACTTTGCCCTGGTTAATATCCTCTTGCGTGAAATACCGGATAGGAGAGTGAGGGTGGTCCCGGTGCTCGATGATACCTGGGAGGAAGAGATTTGGCCTCAGCATCAACAGTAATTCTCATCACTGACTGAATGACTAGAGCCATAGAGCCTGCTCTTCTTGTTGGTGGGAGTCTGACATTCTTCGGAAACTGACTGTTCTCAGGTTGCTCTTGGTATGCCACTCTCTGGTTATTTAAGGAAAGGGCAAATCTGAAACCCAAATGAGTATTGACTGAGATTCATGAAATACCAACCACAGTGTGATGGTTAATACTGACTATCAACTTGATTGGATTGAAGGATGCAAAGTATTGATCCTGGGTGTGTCTGTGAGGGTGTTGCCAAAAGAGATAAATATTTGAGTCAGTGGGCTGGGAAAGGCAGACCCACCCTCAATCTAGGCGGACACCATCGAATCAGCTGCCAGCATGGCTAGAATATAAGGCAGGGAGGCTGGGCGTGGTGGCTCATGCCCATAATCCCAACACTTTGGGAGGCTGAGGTGGGTGGATCACCTGAGGTCAGGAGTTCAAGACCAGCCTGGCCAACACGGTGAAACCCTGTATCTACTAAAAACACAAAAATTAGCCGGGTATGGTGGCACGCACCCGTAATCCCAGCTACCCGGGAGGCTGAGGCAGGAGAATCCCTTGAACCCAGGAGGTGGAGGTTGCAGTGAGCTGAGATTGCACCACTGCACTCCAGCCTGGGTGACAAGAGCGAAACTCCATCTCAAAAATAAATATATAAATTAAAAAACTAAAGCAGGTGTAAAAACATGAAAAGACTAGACTGGCTTAGCCTCCTAGCCTACATCTTTCTCCTGTGCTGGATGCTTCCTGCCCTTGAACATCGGACTCCAAGCTCTTCAGTTTTGGGAGTCAAACTGCCTGTCCTTGCTCCTCAGCTTGCAGATGGCCTATTGTGGGACCTTGTGATTGTGGGAGTTAATACTTAATAAACTCCCCTTTATATAAATATATATATATATATATATATATATATATATATATATATATGTCCTATTAGTTCTGTCCCTCTAGAGAACCTTGACTAATACACATAGTAAGATGCATATACTACTGCCCCTACCATAGCCTAGACCAGGTAATTTACCAAAAGTCACAGACTTGGTAATGTAATTATGAGATTCTCTCAGTTGAGTTTCAATTCAAAGGTCCTTGAGAAACTGGCACAGATTGGTCTGCTGGTAAGGCTATAAAAAGATTTTTCTCAATCTAACTTCTTTCCTTCAGAAACTCCTTAGACTCTGCAATAATCCTTGGCTACAGTAACATGGGTCTTGATTATTCTAAGAACTGAATTTGTAATTATCACTCTGCTTGTGATAAATGCTGTAGGGGCTGCAGATTTGCCTGTTGTTTCTAAATTTTTCAGGTATAGAACTAATGTTGTGATCATTTCTCATGTCCTATTCACTCCTTAAAAGGAGGGCACATGTCAGGCTTGATGTTGAACTAATTCACCTTCTGCAGGGCTGAGAGGGCAAAAACCATTCTCCAGAAGACAGCCCAGGCTGCTAGTTTGAAAGGGCTCCATCTCGACTCTGGCAATGTAGGGAGAACCGTTAGCTATGACTTAGCAGATTACAAAGGTGAGGGATGACTTTTAGACTTTTAATTTCTTTGGACTTTGTCAAAAGGATAATGGAATTTAATTTTTTGACTTTTCTCTCTGAGAATTTCATAATGTGACAGGATTACATTTGGGGCAGTGGTTAGTCTTGGGAGAACAGTCCCAGATGTGGGAGCAGAATTATCTTAATAGAACCTGATCTTCTTTCTGTGAGGAGCAGCTGCACCTCTACTGGACCTTGATGCCATTTGGATCTGTGTCCCCACCCAAATCTCATGTTCAATTGTAATCCTCAATGTTGGAGGCAGGGTCTGGTGGGAGGTGACTGGATCACAGGTGCAGTCTCTAATGGTTTAACACCATCCCCCTGGGTGCTGTCCTGGTGATAGTGAGTGAGTGAGTGAGTGAGATTTTAAACAAAATCTGGTCATTTAAAAGTGTGTGACATCTCCCCCACCCGCTTTCCTCCTGCTCTGGCCATGTAAGATGTACCTGCTTCCCCTTCACCTTCCGCCATGATTGTAAGTTTCCTGAGGCCTCCCCATCCATGCTTCCTGTACAGCCTGTGAAACCATGAGCCAATTAAACCTCTTTTCTTTATAAATTACCCAGTTTCAGCTATTTCTTTATACCAATATGAAAATGGACTAACACAGGCATAGGCTTATTAGTTAAGTCCAAAGTCAAGAGATCTAAAGGCTGGTGACTGATGGCAGGGCCCCAAATCTCCTCTGACTATAGTTCTACATTCTCATGTTCCCAGATAGGAGGAGGAGTAATGTATCCAATCGGGGAAGGAACTGAATATGTGTGGCTCAGCCCTCTTTGGGCTCCCTGGCAGAACTCCTTATCCTGAACATATGCTCATTTTTGTCCTTTCTCCTGTCATAACCTTACTAGGGCAGGCTCTGATCCTACAGAGACAATGGCTATGTGTCCAGTTCTGCCAGTACATGGGAGGGGAGCTCAACCCAGTAGCATGTACATTCTCCATCCAGCATGCTATGCTATGTCAGTGCCAAAGCCATCACATTCATTGCCTTCTGACCATAGTCTTTTTCTCTCTCAATTAGTTCTAAACTAGAAGACAGGAGCGAGAAATATGAATAATCATTATTCCTTGAAACCTCAACAAATATCTCTATGTATACAAGCAGACAAAACTCCAGAGATATTAAGACTGGTAAAAAACTAGAAGATAATAATATCACTCAAAAGATCATTTACTGCACATCTTACCTTGATTTGGATGCAGAGGTAGAGTGATGTTGTAGACAATCTTTCCACTTGGCTTCTCAGAGTTTATGAAGGAGAGGGAATGAGGCTGAATAACAGTCAGGCCATCTTCTCTAGCCTAAACAAAGTTTAAGAAGGAAGAGGAACACATGGTATGAAAAACAAAAGCCAGAGGCAAAAACAGACCTTATTAAGAAAAAAAAATTGCTCTGGGCTTTTAAATTAGTCACACTTAGTCAAATTTTCGAGAGTTCAAAAGAAGGATCTGGTCTCTTGCATTGCAGATTTTTCCTAAGCCTCCCCTCCTAGGTTTAGAGAGTCCTTTTCAGATTTTCTTGTACTCTAGTCTCCTCTCCCCCAACTGCCCGCAGGGTTACGCCAGTGCACGCGGTTGGGATTCTGCTATTACTTTTTTCCTAGGTGGAACACGTTTGCAAATGAGGCATCCCAGCTGGCTATTCTACTATCTTGCTACTCACAGCTGGCTCATTGTGTCTCTCCTCTAACTTTTTATTTTCTTTAAGAGACAGGGTCTGGCTCTGTCACAGGCTGGAGTGCAGTGGTCATAGCTCACTGCTGCTCCTCTGACTTAATGGGCTAAGTTGAATCTGGCTAGAAGTTCTAAGGACTCAGCTGAGATATTGAAGTCTCCGCCCCAAGAAGTTCTTCAGAGCATTGTCCCCCAGGTCCCCAGTTTTGCTAATGGAAACTGTGATGCCTTCTGGTAACAAAGGGCTAAAAGTGAACCCACCCCAAACACCAAAAAAGGCTCACCATTTGCATTCAGAGGTTTAAGAGGTATTTGTTTATTAAAGCACATACAATAGCCAGTATTTCCCTTTTTCTCCATTCTACTGGTCAAAAGAACTAGATACTGCTTTTTCTCTTCCAGCTTTCAGGACCCAGTGAATGAATGAGGCAATGTTAATCAGACGGCTGATGCGAATGTAGCTTTTACTATCCCTTCCCCTGTGTACATCCATAACTCACTAACAGTGGCAACACTTAAAAAACAAAAAGGAGAGCTTCAGACTCCCATTGCTAGGCATGGTGGTGGGTTGGGGACAGCAGCAAAAACAGTGTGGAGAGGAGAAAAGGGAAACTAGCCTGAGCTGGGGCCCCTCGCCTGGGTCAGGCATGCTGTTGTAAAACAGAACAAAAACATCCAGCTCATCATGGGCTCTTCCTAACTGACCCCTGAAGGTGGGTTAGAGTGTGACATGCTCTCCTGCTCTTTGAAGCCCTCCTTCTTTCAGATGGAATCTCCTCATTTAGAAAGGGATTAAGCAGGGCTCAGTAATGCTCATAGAGGAGGGTGTGGTGTTCTTCCTTTAACCATGAAAAGATTGTAGGTTGCAGTTGCTTTGTAATTGTCCCCAAGGCGTATTTGTCCTGGGGAGAGGCAGAATTTGCAGGTTAGAACAATCCCCCTATAGTAAAGAGTCATATTTCAGGCCCTTGCTCAGGTCTGGAATGTAATGAGCAAGGAAAATTAGAATTGCGAATAGCAGCTGGTCTCTCACCCTAATATAAAACAAGTAAGGACAACAAATTAAAACTATATGCCCTATATAAGGTGTTACTTTCCAATACATGTTTGTACACACCTATAAACATGTACACATGTGGGTACAACTAACAGACAAAAAAGTATAGGCTCTGTACCTTGTTTGGTACTGTTTGCTACCTTTTAATATCAAAACTATCATAATAACTGAACATTCTCAGAGTACCATGCGATATTCTGAAAATCTAGATGTCCTTAAAATAATAAAGTGATAAAAAGAGGGAATTATTGTGGACATGGCACTGTGGGAAGGGAAATATGTTCCAGCCAAGATAACAGTCTATTTTGAAATTTATTGATACTATTTTTCTCCTAATAGAAATAGATACTACATATAAAAAGGACTGATTCCATGAGGAAAGCAATATTGAGTTTGAGATATATCAAAGTATAATCAATTTTAATATTAGCTACTTAGAATGTTCAATATTTATCAATTAAACATAGTAAGAAATGAGAGATTAAACTTCATAGAAATCATTGCAAAAGACACTTTAAAAATAGTATATCTGTCAACAAAAGAAGATTACAGAATAATTCTTTTCATAATGGCCATGTTACCTCTGAATATATCCAGAGTCCAACTGTTTCGCCCACCCCACTGCCACCACTCTGCTGAGGGCCACAGTCTCTCCCCAGGATTAACCCAGTGGCCTCCCAATTGCTCTCTTGCCTCCCCTACACTCCCTTTCAGCACAACAGCCAGTGTGATCCTTTCACAAGGACATGAGGCCTCTGCTCAACACCCTGCAATGTCTTCCCATTTTAATCAGAAGAAAAGCTAAGTTCCTACAATGACCTATGAAATGCTGCGTGACCTGCCCCAGCCCACACACTTATCACATCTGTGAATTCACTCACTCTGCTCCAGCACACCCTTCACCAGCATATCCCAGACTCAACTTGTCATGCTTCCCACCAAAAGTCCTTGTACATTCCTGATCTTGAGGAATGGTACCTCTATATCCTCAGACACTGGGTGTTTCACCCGCCTCCCATATCTAGGAAGCCACTGTGTCTCTAAGTCTCTCTTAATGTATCCCTCTTTTTTTTTTTAACCATCATAACTATTTTTTCAGTGTACAGCTCTGTAGTGTTGACTATATGCATACAGTTGTGCAATGGATCTCTAGAACTCTCCCACCTTGCAAAGCTGAAATTCTATATCCATTGAACAACTCCCCCTTTCTCCCTCTCTCATCACATCACGCACTCTACCCCTGGTAACTACCATTCTACTTTCTACTTCTTTTGACTACATTCTACTTTATATCTTATATAAGCAGAATCATGCAGTTTTTGTTCCTTTGTGACTGGCTTATTTTACTTATCATAATGTCTTAAACATTCATCTATGTTGTAGCCTGTGACAGGATTTCCTTCTTTTGTAAGGTTGAATAATATTCCTCTCTCTCTGTGTGTGTACGTCTGTATCACATTTTCTTTATCCATTTCTCTGCTGATAGACATTTAGATTGCTTCCACATCTTGGCTATTGTGAATAATGCTACAATGAACATGCATGTGCAAATATCTTCAAGATCTCCTGAACTCTTAACCATGGGCTCATGCCACTAATTGTTCTTGCTCTAGATGACTGCAATAGCCTGTTTGTTTTCTGACTGGCCCCCATCTAGGATGTTTTCTACCCTGTAGCCAGAATGATCTTCCTAAATGTATCATTAAAAATCTGATCATGGCACTTCTTTGCTACAAATCCCTCAACACCTTATTTGCCTCAAAAGCCTTTCAGGACAAAATGGAAATTCTTATCTTATACTTAAGGTCTTCCATGATCTGACTCTCATTTCTTACTGCGTTTTCACTTAACAGATTTTATGCTCCAGCCAACTGAACAACCTGTAATGCTTCAAATATGTCGTGTTCTCCCATGTCTCCACCTTTTTTCACCTGTTGCTCCTCAAGACTGGGATACATTCCCCCCAGTTTAGTCTGGATCAATGGTTCTTCAAGTGTGGTGATCTGGGAAGCAGCAAACAGCATTACCTGGAAACTCTTTAGAAA
This sequence comes from Homo sapiens, assembly GCF_000001405.40. Lineage (NCBI taxonomy): Eukaryota > Metazoa > Chordata > Mammalia > Primates > Hominidae > Homo > Homo sapiens. Next base: position 78,415,474 of record NC_000004.12, on the reverse strand, counting down.
TGCAAATTCTTGACCCTACACCAGATCCACTGAATTAGAAAACACTGTGGTAGGTTCCAGCAATCTGTGTTTTATTTTTTTAATTTTTAATTTTTTTAATTTTTTATTTCCATAGATTTTTGGGGGGAACAGATGGTATTTGGTTACATGAGTAAGTTCCTTAGTTGTGATGCGTGAGATTTTGGTGCACCCATCACCAAAGCAGTATGCACTGAACTCAATTTGTAGTCTTTTATCCCTCACCTATTATTCTAAGTGAAGTAATTCAGGAATGGAAAACCAAACATTGTATGTTCTCACTCATAAGTGGGAGCTAAGCTATGAGGATGCAAAGGCATAAGAATGATACAATGGACTTTGGGGACTCAGAGGGAAGGAGTAGGAAGTGGGTGAGCGCAATCTGTGTTTTCATCAACTCTATAGTGATTCTAGTATAGGATTAAGTTTGAGAACCCTGATCTCTAGATAATTTACACTCACCCAGCTCTGTTCACCCCCAGAGGAAGCTTCTGTGACCCTCTCTCATGCTCTGCTGGATTTGGTGCCCTCCCATTTGCTCCCATATCATTGCTCTGCCATGGCATTTATTATTGTATTATCCCTGCTTATTTATTTGCTTGTCTCCTCTTTTAAACTCAAAGTTCCTTGAGAATAAAGACTGTGTTTTATGGTCATTGACTCTCCAATGTCTTCCACAGCACTTAACATACATTAGGAGCTCAAAAGTGTTTATGAATGAGAGACTGAATGAATGGAGAAGTAGATTCCTACCTTTAATCACATATACAAGTATACTAAATATGCCATATAGTTATTTACCATATGCATTCACAATATATTTACCAAATATCTGCAAAACTTATGTTATTAGATGAGACTAAATGACTAAATTGAGAATGCATTTTTATTACAGATCACAAGTATGTCCTATCATAATGGCCCTAATTAGTATCAAAAAATATATAAACTGTATATTTTAAGTAACGTACGAGTAGACTAATCACATTTAACAGTAAACTAACCTAAGTTTTAACTGGACAGACCTAATTCGCAAGTATGCAACCTAAGCGCCTAAAGGCTAAGTGACTTGAAAAGTCTCTTCAGAGGTCCACAGTGACAGCACAGGAAACAGCACTGTCTTCCTGGCTCCTGGCCCATTATTTCCTCCAAACTCAAAATAACACTGCATTAGCATTTGGCAAGACCTGTGTGTGCACATTTTTCTTAACAGTTTAGAGAAAATTCTGATCCAAGTTCCTCCAGTCAGAATGATGAATTACAGACTTTATAGGGCTGCTGAATTATGATTTCTTTAAATTACGGTTTATGGTGGAAATGCCGATACCAGCTATTCATTAAAAACTTTCTATTTTCCCCTTTATGTCTCTGTCATAACCCAGACCCATAATTTCTAAAACTATAGCTATTCTCTTTGTTGTGGCTCAAGGCTGATACAGTACTTTGGAGTGTAATTGTGTGGGTGCTAACTAAAATGTGGACCCATGATGATTAATTTACAAGGTCTTATATGCTTGCGGCTCTGTCTGGAAGAGGGGTTTTGGCATTACAGCACTCACCCTCTCCCCTCCCCAGACAGAGGGTCACGGAGGAGTTGCTAATTGTCTCAACTAAGCTTCATGTACCAATTTAGTTGACACCTTGCTTCACATTTTCCCATGACCCACACTCCTTCCCACCAGCATACGAGGCTTTCTGTGATAGCTTGATGACCTCCTTATCCTCATCACACATCCTTGCTGCCTTCCTGATTTCTCCAGTCTTGTTGAACTGTTTGCAATTTAGCAACAGTTCTATTCTCTCTCACCTGTGGGTCTTTCCATGTGCTCTTTTCACTTGTGGCAGTGCCCTTTGTCATCACCTCTCCATTCCTCCCAATGTGTCCCCAGATTTTCACTTGGATAACTGCTATTTATCTTTCTGGATTCAGCATTGACAGAACCTTCTCTAGGAAACTTTTACAGTGGAAAGCTTCTCATAGGGCTTCTAGAAGATGGAATAATAATTTCTCTGCTAGGTGGTGCCATAACTGGGGGACCAATGATACCCAAATATTGATTTCATGGACATAAGCCTGAAATTTCCTCCAAATTTTCAAGGAGGACCCCTGGAACATCTGGAATACTGTAGAAAGGACATCAGCGATGGATGGGAGGTCAATACGGATTCCGCATAACCTTCCTTTCACTCTGGGAATTTTAAGTTCCTTTTTCAAGTCAATGAGAAATGTGACCACTAGGCTTTTTGGCCCCCAAGTCTGTGATCTGGGCCAGGCACTTACTATATACAAAACCAGGACACTCTATCAAATCCCATCAGCGTGCTGTGTGCCTCCTCTAAGTGGAAACCACAAGCCTCCCACCCAACTCACAGTCATATGGAGAGATGCTTCCAGAGACACTTTAGGTGCTTCAGGTGTCTGTGGTAAGATCGCGATGTTGAACATGTGGCTCTCCAGGCGGGTCTGGGCATTGGAGGCACTGGACACCTGAAAAGAAAGTCATCCTGGTGAGCCTCTCATCTTCTATTGAGCAGAGCATGTTAGTACGTGGGTTTTTCCCTCTTTTAAGCCAGCTGTCTTTGAATTCTATATGCTCCTGCGTTACAACTCTCATTCTGCCCTTCATATTTTAATATTGATCTTTTACTGATTCATATTTTAATATTGATCTTTTACTGATTTCATTTTAAGCAAAGTTGAAAATGCAGGAAAGCATAAATAAGCAATAAAAAATCATCTAGAATTTCACTATCTAGAAATAGTGAATATTCATATGTTGATATTTAACTTATTTTATATGCACACATATCAATTACATATTATAATTTTTTACTTACAATACTATGATAGTTTGCTGTATCATGAAACATGCTAGAAAACATAATTTTTGAGAACTATATAATGTCTTATTATGAGTATGTAATATGATTTGTATTCCATTTCTTTCATTTTTAACCAGCACAGGTAAGTGATAGGTAAGTAATAAATCTCAGCCTCATCATTGCAGGGCAAGATTAGTAACATTCACAATTACTGTAATGGTCACAAAATCAACTTTTTCCTGCTGCAAAAACCTGAAGAATGTTGCTTTTTCTATGCAGCTTCTCCCTCCTCATCAGTTACTGGACCACCCTCTTAAACCTTCTTTCTCTCCATTGTTTGCTAAGCCATGTGTGACATGTGGAGTTGCATTAATTCCATATGGCAGGCGGCTGAGTTCTATCAATTCTGAGAAAAAGAGGCAGGGATAGCAGCCCTTTCCCTATGTCTTTAAAAGTTACTCCAACAGAAAGCCTGTCTTCTCTGTCTTTATCTTGATCACATCAGATGCCTGGGATCGAGTCTCAAAATACACGTTTTTAAGGAGATATAGCATCACTGTAAATTATCTTACCAACAATAACTATAATTCACTCATCATCTATTATGGGCTCAGCACTGCATTAGCTACTTTTCAAGGGTTCTCTTACTTAGTATCCACAGAGTAGATATTATTATCCCCTTTTTTACAGGTGAGGAAACTGAATGTCAGAAAATTTAAGCAATGTGTCAAAGTCACAAAGCCAACAAGTGGCAGTATTTAACCAGATCAGTCAGGTTTATGATCATTCCACTGACCAAGATGACTCACTTTGGTAGCTTTAGGAAATTAGAAAAGGGGTGGCGGAGGGGTGCGGTGGCGGAATATATTCTATCTTTTGAAGAAAAAGAACCAAACATTGAATAGGTAGTGAAATGTGGTCATATTACTGAGCAAGTGAATCAATCTAGTAAAGACACTGATGGGAGATGTGTTGGTCTGTTTTGAACCACATTTCCTAAGGCTGTGTCAAAGTGACCTGAATATACCCAAACCAGGGCTCCTTCCCACACCAAAAAATGACTCTGAATGTGCATGCTTTCTTTGCACTATGCCATGCTCTATTTTCTAATCCCACTGGCATTACATATGTCCCAAATCTTAGATGCAAAGTAACAGATGGGAGCCACTGATGGCTCATGACAGCACATCAACATTAAAATGGCATTAAATCCATGCAACTCGGCTGGACGGGGTGGCTCACGCCTGTAATCCCAGCACTTTGGGAGGCCGAGGTGGGCGGATCACTTGATGTCAGGAGTTCGAGACCAGCCTGGCCAACATGGTGAAATCCTGTCTCTACTAAAAATACAAAAAATTAGCTGGGCATGGTGGCGGGCACCTATAATCCCAGCTACTCGGGAGGCTGAGGTAGGAGAACTGCTTGAACCTGGGAGGTGGAGGTTGCAGTGAGCCAAGATCGCACCACTGTACTCCAGCCTGGGCAACTGAGTGAAACTCTGTCTCAGAAAAAAAAAGAAAAAAAATCCATGCAACTCATTATACTGCATTTCCTGCTTTAAAGAAAAAAAAGAAAAAAGGAAAAGAATTATTAGAAAAGGATTTGTTTAAAGTTTGAAATCCTTTAGGGACACTAAAATGATGAATGGGAAAATTTGCTAACCACTTACGTTAGCACCTAGCTCTAGTGTCTATCTCATTTCAAATCAAAATATTAGGTATGCCTATAAAACAATGAGACTTTAGAATAAACATGCCAAAACTTTTACATCAGGAGAACATAATCCCAGAGAGTTGTTTCATATTTGCAACAAAGATGCTGTCAGTGTTCAAAATGCATTTTTGGAATGCCTTCAGACAAAGTTTACAAATCACATAGGAACTCTGAGCCCATTATTCCATAATTACTCCCCACTTTAACCCAAAATAATCACCACTGTTTTTCTCACCAGACCTTAGTCTGACTTTTGACTATTTAGCTATATTTTTTAATCCACTTCCAAAAGATGATACACTGCCACTATGGAGGACATTCTAAAGAATATCTCACTTTGAAGGCAATTTCACACAGGAGTTCTAAACACATTTTGAGCAAAATGTGTGAAGACTCTGTAAAGGGAACCACTTTGTAAGTAATAATGTTCATTCAACTGGATGTCTTCATCCAGTGAGTTTTTTTTAAATCATTATTTTTTGTTATTTTATTTTTTATTTATTTATTTTTATTTTTTATTTTTTTCCATATATGGCCAATTTGTTTTCAATGAAAGTGCCAAATAACTCCAATGGACAGGGTAGTCTTTTTAATAATAATAATAATCATAAAGTATTTTTTATTATTTTTAAATCTTTATTTGCCTTATTTACTCAGTAACCAAATTACAAAAGCAATCAAATATTATTTTGAGCAGCTACTTAGATTCCCCTTCCAGGGAAGTGCTCCATATTGATAACATTCTCCTTCCTCACCCTACGAAGGCAAAGGCAGATCTGAGGATTCTAGTTTGCAGAGGTGACTTCTTTTGATTGAGGTCTTTGCCTTCATTCTGACTCATTCTTTGATGACTGCTGCAATCCCCAGGTGCTAAAAATGAAAAGTTAACTTGGGCAAAGGGCACCCAATGTTTGCTCACTCATTGGAAATTCAGTGTGCTCAGGATAATCTCATTTTAATGGTTTCCAAATTTATCTCAACCCGCTCTCTGGAAAAGCACATCTTTTACACAATATAAATTAGTCAGGCGATGAAGATGTACATGCCAGGCATCAGAAGCAGAATGGATGATCATTTTAACAAGGTGAGCTGGGTGAGTTCAGCCCCACCTGGATTCCTAGACAAAGGAAAAGACTCAGACTTTGAGAGGCCCTGACACCGCTTTGGCTGATCCCCATAAACATAGATATTTTCTCTGACACTTTACCAAATTCTTCTTGGTATCTGTGCTTAAACACCCTTTCTTATTCATAATTCCTTATTCTTTTGTATTTCTGTATGATTCTTTATTTCCAAATCATGCTCGCCAGAGGTCTGCCTAATTTTATTGATCTTCAAAGAATCAGGTTTTGTATTTGTTCATCATTTCTAGCATTTTATAATTAACCAATTCCTCTGCTTATCTCTACTAATTCCTTCCTTTTGCTTTCCTTAGGTTTCCCTTGCGGTTCTCTGGCTTCTTGAGTTAAATATTTTGTCCACGTATTTTAATGCTTTCTTGCTCAATAATAAGAGCTTAAGGCCATCAATTTTCTTCTGAGTACAATTTTGTCCATATGATTTAAGTTTTGATAGGTTATTTCCTCCTCATCAATATTTCTTAAGTGTTTGCTGTTTTGACTTTCTTTAAAGAATTTCCTAGTAATTATTTAAGAGACCATTTAAAATATTCCAAGTGGCCTGAATTTTTGTTTATCCTTTTATTATTAATTTATAATTTATAATTATATTTATAATAGCCAGAGAACATATGCAGTATAATTTTTCTTTTGTTTTCTTTTTGTCTTTTTTTTTTTTTTTTTGAGAGAGGGTCTCGCTCTGTCATCCAGGCTAGAGTGCAGTGGCGTGATCATGGCTCAGTGCAGCCTCCACCTCCCAGGCTCAAGTGATCCTCCACCTCCCAGGCTCAAGTGATCCTCCCGCCTAGCTGCCACCATGCCCAGCTAATTTTTGTATTTTTTGCGAGACAGGGTTTCACCATGTTGCCCAAGCTGGTCTCAAACTCCTGGACTGACGCAATCTGCCTGCCTTGGCCTCCCGAGGTGTTGAGATTACAAGTGTGAGCCACTATGCCCAGCCTATGCAGTATACTTCTTGTCCTTTAATCTACTGAAGGTCTCCTTATGGTCTGGTATTTGACCAATTTTTATAAATGGTAATAACAAACCCTTATATAATGCTACCTATCTGATATGCAGTATTCGAAGTACTCTATCTGTATTAACTCATTAAATCATCACAATAATCCTATTTGACAGACAAGGAAAATGAAGCACAGAAGTTTTTCTCAAGTAATTTGCCCAAAGTTGTGTAGCTAGTAAGTGGCAGAACTGACACCTAAACATGTTGAGTTTGGCTATAGGCCCATGATCTTATCACAAGATAGTAAGTGTTCCAAGAACATTCAAAACTAGAAGGTAAGATTTTTTTTTCTCCATATAGTATTTTTATATTTTAAAGACTTTTCTTCTGAACACTTTGGCCATTATCTAACCTAAACATCTTGGTTGTGGATAACTCTGCTTGTAAAGATACACATATATCTGAACTGACAAATTAAAAAAACTCCTAATGCTATGAATTATATTTTGTAGGGAATTCCACTGATATGGAATCCATATCAGTGTCCCCATCCAATTCTCGTCTTGAATCATAGCTCCCATAATTCCCATGTGTTGGAGGGACCCGGTGGGAGACAACAATCACGGGGGCAGTTTCCCCCATACTGTTCTCATGGTAGTGAGTAAGTCTCACAAGATCTTATGGTTTATAAGAAGTTTCCCTTTTCACTTGGCTCTCATTCTCTCTTGCCTCCCACCATGTAAGACATGTCTTTCGCTTTCCACTGTGATTGTGAGGCCTCTCCAGCCACATGGAACTGTGAGTCCATTAAACCTCTTTTTCTGTGTAAATTACCCAGTCTCGGGTATGTCTTTATCAGTAGCATGAAAATGAACTAACACGTCCCCCAAATGTGATTTCCTGTCAACTGCAGAAAATTACTCAAGTTGATTATAAATAAGAGCGATTGGATTATTGGATTCATCAGACTTCAGAAAAGTCAGGAAGCAGAGGGTACCTCGAAGCGGAAGGAGTCGCTCTGGGCTGGGGCTCCTGAGTGCCTGTACCATACGATGCCTTCATTGATGTCCTGCTGGGTGAAGGTGCTGGTGGGGGTAGCTGTCCTCCCATCAGGCAGGTGCTGCCCTTCATCTGCAGGGCTGTCTGCAGGCATATTCACTAGAAGGACCACCTCCCCTAGGAAGGCACAGGCCACATAGTTAGTGAGGGTCCCTAGGAAAAGTCAGAGCCCTTACCTCCTTTCCTACTACTCATTTTTTTTTTAACTAGAAAGAAATGATGTACTTCTTTATTTTTGTCTAAGGTGAAGGAGAGGATGTTAACACATAATTCAATGGACAGTATTGAATCCACCTTTAGAAACAAAATTCTCAGGCTTTCTGCTAAAAGAACTAAAAGTCATTCAAGGACAATTCATGTATGAAGTTACTGACTTATTATCTATTAAAAATTACATAAGGAGAGCCAGATAGTAGCAAATACTATAGACAAATACTCAAATACTGGGCATTGAATGGATTCATTTCTATGCACAACTTTCTATGTAACAGAAAATGTTTTCCAGCCAGGAAGTTTTTGCTGAAAACATAATGGGAAATTAGAAACAATTCAGTGGAAAATTTTCATGAGAGAATTCTGTCCAATGATAGTAATACAGGTTCAATTTCTCTTATCTGAAATTCTTAGGACCAGAAGTGTTTCAGATTTCTATTTTTGAATATTTGCATATACATAATGAGATATCTTGGATTCAGGACCCAAGTCTAAACATGAAACTCATTTATGTTTTATATACACTTTACACACATAGCCTGAAGGTAATTTTATATAATGTTTAAAAATAAATTTTGTGCATGAAACAAGTTTTGGCTGTAACCTTTCACGTGAGGTCAGGGTAGAATTTTCCACTTGTGGCATCATGTCAGTGCTTTCAACGTTATGGATTTTGGAGCATTTCAGATTTCAGATTTTTGGATTAGGGATGCTCAACTTGTAATAGCTAACAGTGGAAGACATACGGCAGGCACCCCACTATACCCTATGTGGTGATTCAAACCCAGCTCCATTGTTTCCAGCTGAGTGAGCTTCCTTAAGCTCCATAAGCCTTCATTCCTCATTCGTAAAAAGAAAATAATAGTATATGCTTTACAGGTGCTTAAAGATCATCTTTCTTGACATAGTTTGGCTGTGTCCCTACCCAAATCTCAACTTGAATTGTATCTCCAAGAATTCCCACATATTGTAGAAGGGACCCAGGGGAAGGTAATTGAATCATAGGGGCCGGTCTTTCCCATGCTATTCTCCTGATAATAAATAAGTCTCACGAGATCTGATGGGTTTATCAGGGGTTTCCGCTTTTGCCTCTTCCTCATTTTCTCTTGCTGCTGCCATGTAAGAAGTGCCTTTCTCCTCCTGCCATGATTCTGAGGCCTCCCCAGCCATGTGGAACTGTGAGTCCAATTAAACCTCTTTCTCTTCCCAGTCTTAGGTATGCCTTTATCAGCAGTGTGAAAACAGACTAATACACTTCTATTAATTCTATTTAATTATTCTGAATGATGCCATTATTGTCTTCATTTTACAGATGAAGGTCTTCAGGTTCAGAGTTTAATAACGTTAGAAGTTACACAAATGTTAAGTTGATGAGCTGGGATTTGAATCTGATCATGAAGCTGGTCATGAAGCTCTGTTACCAATCATCATTATTTTGTGAACATGTACCAGTATTTACACTGCTAAATAACTTATCATGTTTTCTCCTCCTTCATTCTTTAAACTTTATTGGAACTGAGGCAAGGAAATCTAAATCTAAACACCACCATCACCAGCAATCTGTTTGTACTGCTTGTTCTTCACCTAAAGCACCTTGACCTTCACCTACTATCTTCTTAAAGTGAGACTGAAAATACAGAGGTGTTATAGAAACAATTAAAATTTCACAGGAGACTATGCCTTCAATTGAAGACCAAACAGAAGAATGGATGAACTGCTGCAAGCAGAAGCTATATTCTCATGAAAATGCATCTAACAATAAATCTGAAAGAAGCCACCCTAACACTCTGATAGTGGGAGGGAGAGGGTGAGGAAGAGGGAGAGAGAAAGAGAGACAGAAAGATAGAGTGTCAATTTTTAAAATATTCTATAGGAGAATACTCGAATCTTAATACACTAGACACTAGACATATTGGGCAATTGATGGCATATTTGATTACCCTAGAGAAATTAGTTTTCTTACTCAATGCAGACACTCATTCTAATATTTATATGCACTAAATTCAAGTATAGAACAAGTATAATATTCTGGATGGTAATGAAATACCAAAATAAGAGAGAAACATGACTACACTACTCTTTATATAATCATATGTTGAGTCAACTCACTGTAGTTTTCTTTCTTGTATTATAACTTATTTGTACTCAAGTAGAAAAAAATTCCATTACCTTTCTCTCCCTGGTTCAACTTCCATTCCTAAGATGCTGTCAATAAACATAGATTTCTAGGATGTGGACTATTTATGAATGTGAGTACAGTTGCAAAATATTGTGAAAGAAAATTTCCACAATGAAAATGTGGACAGTAGAAAACATTCAAATGCTGATTTCCTAGTTATTCTGCTTTTATGATAAAAAAGCAAAGCAGAATTTTCCTAATAAGCCCTAATGAAACAAACCTAAATTTTTATGTAAAAAATCACTTTCATGTCATACAGATTAACAGGAATCGTAAGATATTTGCTAATCCCATTAATTTTAACTCAATAAATAGTCATTGAGTACCCATTAGGTACTAATGACTGTGGTAGGCCCTTCAGGAATGGAGGGATTCAAAGCTAGGCCACATGCAGCTCCTACCCCAAAGATTAGCCCCATAAGCAACTGGGAGTCACTGTTAGTTTTCCAGTAGGTGAATGACATGAATCGATTTAGAATACACAACATGTGGTCAGAATATAGAAAGCCTGTAAGAGTTGAAGGTCCTGTTAAAGGGGCTGGACTTCATTCTATAAAAGTGGTAACAACAGTAGCTAAGATTTATATAGATGGTTTGACCAATTATAAGACTACTGACAAATCCAGAGGAGAGATGGGAACCTGAACTAAGACAACAGAGGTGAGACTGTAAAGAAACACAGATGCAAGAGTAACTGAGGAAGTGGGAGCAATGGAACTTGACAAAGGTTTCTGTGAAGGATGACAGAGGAAGGCATCAACGAGAATCACCTATTGGGATAGATGACTGGATGCCACTACTGGCCATCAATCATACAGAAGGAGGAGGGGGTTGGAGGGAAGATGAAGGGTTCAGTACTGGACATGCTGAATACAGGTGCCTTTGTGACAAGTCCATGAGTGGACAAGGAGAAATATCAACCTATTGTGGGATTCTCTGCAGACGGGTGAGAGCTAACCTTCTTCTTTTTTTTTTTTTTTGTAGTACCTCACCTATGCTTTAATCGTAATATGACAACAAAAAGATAATATTTTAAACATGAAAACCCAAGTTTAAAAAACAGAAAATGATCTCTACTGGGGATTTCCTTTATACTGAAGTCTATATTTTAACCTATAATTTTGAAGGGAAGATTTAGTAGGTATTAAGAATTGGAATATCATTTGAATCTCCATGAATTATTTTGAGATTGAGATCATTCATATGAACGTATCTTACATTATGATAAATAATTTGGAATTGCCAATGCATTAGGTTAAATCAGATTCTCCTTCAAATGATTCTCAAGTTATTTATTAAAACCATCTCATCATATCTACTTTCAAATCTAAGTAAGTAGCTACAGATACAAGTATTAATCAAGTTGTCTAAATTTATACAGATACTCCTTGAGTTCCAGTGGTTTGACTTATAATTTTTTGAAGTTACAATGGTGCAAAACCATTGTTTTTCACTTTCAGTACAGTAGTTAATAAGTTACATGAGATATTTAACAGTTAATTATAAAACATGCTTTATGTTAGATGATTTACCTAACTCTAGGCTAATGCAAATATTCTGGGCACATTTAAGGTAGGCTAGGCTAAGCTATGATGTTCGGTAGGTTAGGTGTTTTAAGTGTATTTTCAATTAACGATAATTTCAACTTATGATGAGTTTAACAGGGTGTAAGTTGAGGAACATCTGTATCTGAAAACGGTGGTGAGTCTGCAAGTGGTTGAACTCAGGTCCTTCATGCACATACTATACAAGCAATTTACATTTGGTTCTGTTTCAAGGCGTCAGCTCTTCACAAAAAGCCCAAAGTCCAGCTTGAACTTTCTTAAGTGATGAGGGAGTACAAGGTAAAGTCTCCACAAATTTACGTAATTGGGACTGATAGATGCAAGCAGATTTGTGCTAAGTGGACTTTTAGTTCCCACCACCAATTTCACTCCTGAATGGTTTCTAGGTAACGTGATTTGATTATTACTAATAGGGGGCTCTGGATACACGGAAAGATCATGTTCATAGGAAGAAGTTAATTAAAAGAGTTACAGCAGGAAAGCATCACAATAAAGCATACGTGATATTTATCAAACTGAAATGGCAAAATTTTATCTGCTTAAAAAAACATTTAATTCAGCGTTGTTTTGTTTAAGACTTAATGGAATATTGGTTGTTTCTAGGAAATTTGGGGGCTTAATTTTTTGTCTTTTACTGATGAAGATAAAGGTAGAGAATTTAATACATCAAAAGAGTCATAGATTTTTAGAGATGAAAAGGACCTTAAAAATATCTAGCTTAAAATCAGTAGTTGAAAGTACGATGAGAACAGGAAACTTACTAATTACAAATGGAAAAATAGTAACTTTAGAGTGGAAAAATCTGGTAGACACCACTTTAACCAAGTGATCAAAGTTAACATCACCTGTCATAAGACGCAGTGAGATTATGTACCTCCTGATGATGCACTGAGAAAGGGGGAAAAGCACAACCTTAACCCAATCATGAGAAATCATCCTCAGACTAACAAATTGAGTGAGAGTCTACAAATATCTGACCAGCACTCTTCAAAAGAGTCAGTGTCATAAAAGACAAAGACGGAGGAAGTGTGTGTCGCAGATTGGAGGAAACCAAGAAGACGTGGCAAATAAGTGTAATTGAGATCCTGGATTGGGTCATAGAAAGGGCATTGGTGGGAAAACTGGCAAAATTTGAATAAGGCCTGTGAATTGATTAATAGTATCATATCAGTGTTAATTTCCTGGTTTCAATAATTGTTCTATAGTTATAAGACGTTAACATTAGGGGAGGATAAGGGTATTCAAGAGCTTTTATTCTGTTTTTGCAACTGTTTAGTCTAAATGTTTTTTTAAATTTTTTTAATGTTTACCCTAACTTCTCGAAGAAACCTATGGCACAAGACCTTATACCTGCCATTTTCAAGGTTACATAGCCATAATAAATGACATCTCAGCTAGACTGACCATTTTATAATTATAATACCAATTCTCGATTAGGTGGCTTTTCAATGTCTTTGTGGACATTGGAACTATTTTTAAATTAAATAAAAGTTAATTTTTTTCTCCCTACAGAAAATATATAATTAAAAAAATCTGACAGCCTAGAGGAAAAACAGATTATTCTTCCTCTGCTATTTAATATGCCAAGTGAGTTTTTACTTTTAATGGCTATAATTTTCATTTTCACATGATCAATTTAGTTATTTTAAAAAATCTACCTGTTCCTTTATTTTTCTATCATGTTGCTATTTCCACAGTTTTAATTCCTTCTTTTATGTCTTTAAATCATTTTAAATCTGCTTATTTCACAGTTTTTATAAGACTGTTACTTTATTTGAAATTCTTGGGGTTTTAGTCTTCTTGCTCGTTTTGGTTATGGTACTACAGATTATTTCCTCCCATATTCCATAATTTTAAATTCTGAGCTTCATTGGTTTCTTCTGAGAATCCCACGTAGCCTAGCAGAGAGTAGGCCTTCTGTGGTAGTTTCTATTAGTTTCAATAAAGAACTCAAGACATATCATTGGTCTGAGATTAATTTTCATAAAATACCTCAGCTTCAGGTTTCTTAGACAAGACACATGGTCTAATTTAACCTGAGATTTACCGGAAAAATAGGCCTAAAGTTCTGAATTTTCACCAGGCTTTTTTTTTTTTTCTACTCTGACTCCAAGAAAGAGGCAGATTTCTCTGCCATGTCTCTGTGCTGATAAGCTTCTTGTTTCTACTCTGTCCCTTTAATTGAAAGCATGTCCTTCCAGAGTCCTGGCTTTATGCAGCATCTTAATTCCAATGCTCTGTCTCCGCATGGACATTAAATCCCAAGCCCCTGGGTTATTGAGACATTCACAACCCCTTTTGGAGAAGCTATGCTATTAAGCTCATGCAATAACTGGCCTTCAGTGTCCTCTTTGTTGCTGGCACCTGGAGATTTCTCTCTATCCTTGGGAAGTCAGCTACGAACACCTTATAATTCTTGTTATATTTTATCCAGCATTTCTGGGTGATGATAATGGGAAATTTCTCAGGTTTTCTTATTTGACTACCTTGCTGGAAGTAGAAGTAACACTGGAGAACACTGAAAAATGTTTTCATGTTATTTTTTTTAAGTCTCATTAAGAAGAAGTCTAGTGATATCCTAAAAGGCATATAATACAGAGTTTGAGAGCCTGACCTTTGAAATTAAACTGACGTATATTAGTTAAGTGACTTGCAGCAAGCTACTTTACCCAGTATTTTTACCTGCAAAATGAAGTTGTTTTAAAACTTAAATTTTAGGTGTTACATATAACGTGTTTATAAACTTTAGTACACTACCTAGTAAATGTGTTGAGTGTGATAGCTATCATGATTATTCTGTTTTTAAAGGGGATTTGTAAGGTATTAGAAAGCTCAGTTCATTGGAATTGCAATCTTGCCACATGGCACTATACAGTAGCAAACCCTAGACTGCTGAATGCAACGATGAAACCACGCCAAAGGAAAAAATAGTTACCAAACTGGGGGTAGTCTTGTGTAATCTTGTAGATGATTTCTTCAGCACTGGCACCAGGAGCCTCGGCCTGTAAGATTCTGTTGGTGATCTGCAGCATCCCCCCTTCTGGAACCCACACCATCGAATTAGCCACAAGCTGAAGACCCCTGTCATTCTGAAATAAAAATAAAATGCAGAATTAGTTCCAAGCAAAGTAAGAATATATCAATCCTTAAACACATAAGTTATCCAGTTCTGTTGTTGTTAAAGATCGTCTAATAAGACAGAGAGATTCACAGCTTCAGAGTCACTCTATAGACTTTGTATTATGTGTAGACATGCATATTTATCTATATATTTACATATGTATATATCCTGCTTTTTCTTTTAGTTTATCATGAACCAACAACTTATTTAGAAAGACTAAGTCTCTCCATTTCTTTCTTTCATCTATCCATCAACCTGTCTTTCTATCCTCTCCACCCACCCATATTTAAGAATTATTCATTAAGCACCTATTATATGCCAGCTCCATTGCTAGAGGCCCGATATATACAAGATGTCTGAAGCAAAACCTTAACGTCAGAACTTACAGTCTAGTGGGAGAGACAGACACATAAATAATTAGGATGCTTCACGATTAATGCTCTATAAGAAGCTTGAGCAGGGAGCTGTGGGAGAATAGAGGAAGGAAGACTCGGGAAGATTTTCCTAAGAAAAATAATTTCATTTTGAATAACAAAAAAATTGGATTTCTAAGTAGAGACATGGTGAAACATATTCCAGACAGAGGGCCCAGCTTAAGTGAAAGCAAAGATGTGAGACAATGCACTGTATATTTCATAAAATGCCCAAGTGTCTGGTGCCAGTAGGGCTCAGGGAGCCAGGTTGGGGAGTGGATAAAAAGTGACACTGTCTTATGGAAGGTTAGTAGAAGATAGAAGCTATGCTAAAAGTCTCAATTCATCTCATAGGCACTGGAAAGTCAACACGAGTCTCCAGGGAAGAAAATGGGATGATCAGATCTAGGTTTTAGAAAGACAGGCTCCAATGGCAGGAGATGGAAATGACTAGCACTGAGATAAATCTAGAGCTGAAGATACCTTGTAATGGCTCAGGGGAGAGAAAATGAGGGCCTATGAGAGGGTAATCGCAGTGGTAAATCCAATGGTAAATTCATCGTAGACAGCAATAGATTCTAGAAGCACCACAGAAGCAGAACTGACAGGACCTGATGGCCGATTGAAAGTGAAGCAACAACAGTTAGGAGTAGCTGGCTGGAAGGAATCACCTATTCAGCACTCCTGAGAAGGCAATCATTTTAATTACTAAAGCTAATATCATTAAAAGTGCTGCCATTCCTGCTTTGCAAGGCACAAACCCTCTTCCAAAGCCTCATAATTGACATTTTCCACAGAAGGAGACTAGGGAGGCTGCCAGTGTTCAGTTTTCAAACTTCAAAAATTAACAAGTCTGATATTTTAACAAAGGGCATCTTAGAAGGGATGGTTTTCTATATTATTATTACTTTCAAATATGCCAATAAATGGAACAGAGCAAACACCACTCCCAGGAGAAGAATACTCTGAAAAGAAAACAACATCTATTCTTTTGCTCACTTGGCCCTTGAGCATCTCACCTCTCAGGAGTCAGTGATGGCTACTGTCATCATATATACACCAGGAAGCTGAGTCAAACAGTGCCCATGAGAACAGCAGCAACGGCACTTTCTAACCTGATTGGTGCTCAGGGCAAAATCCCAGAGAATATTCTCCTTTCTCAATTGACATAGCATATTATTTATAAAACATCAAAAACGTGTAAAAAAAACTTTATATATAATCACCAGAATTCTGAGGGAAAAGGCTCTATTAACTCCAGCAGTCTTGTATACCATGATATACTTGGGCCCAGGTTTTTTTTTTGAGACAGAATTTTGCTCTTGCTGCCCAGGCTGGAGTGCAATTGCACGAACTTGGCTCACCACAACCTCCGCCTCTCAGGTTCAAACAATTCCCCTGATTCAGCCTCCTGAGTAGCTGGGATTATAGGTGCCTACCACCATGCCTGGCTAATTTTTGTATTTTTAGTAAAGACTGGGTTTCACCATGTTGGCCAGGCTGGTCTCGAACTCCTGACCTTGTGATCTGCCTGCCTCGGCCTCCCAAAGTGTTGCGATTACAGGCGTGAGCCACCATGCCCGGCCCAGGTTTCTTAACTGTTAGAAATCTTTCTAATAGCAGCAGCCTACTGAACTTTGATTTTGGTTATGGAGACCAGTCATATGCCAACAACCACTTTATTAGACTGAGTAGGCAATGTGGTTTTTTCAGATTCTAAGCAAGTAGGCAGTGTGACATGAATGCATGTTCCCAGATGGCTTGCCCACTATATCTCCATCTTGGCTGTACTTATCAACACAATTCTCTATAATTCCTGTGTGAGTGTAACTTTTTAGACAATACACCTTGTGACTCAATGTGCAGAGACTAGCAGCACCTGGAAGCTCATTAAGATGTTCAGATTCTCAGGTCCCACCACAGACTTTCTGAATCAGAATCTGTACTTTGGAAAGATCCCAGAAGCTGTGCAGACATACTAACGCATGAAAAGCATGGTCCAAGGTAGAGGTCAAAATGGTTCTAGAGTGGGTCTCCTGAAGGTTCACAGCTGAGCCTTTTAGAATATTTATGTCTATAACAGGGTAATACATATGCCTCCATTTCTGAATGATTTTTTTGCAGTATATAAGGAGAAACAGATAACACTAAGAAAAAGAAGTATAATTCTTGGACATAAGCAAGATGGCAGAATAAGAGATTCCAGCTCTAAAACCTGTACAGAACACTAATTTTCACAACCATCTGCAGATGACAATACCTTCACAGAAGCCTGGGGTCTAGCTGAAAGTTTCCAGTACCCCAGTGGAGTAAAAGAAAAAAAAAATCAACAATAGATGCATTGAAGAGGGTAAGAAACACAGTTTCATTTTACCCTAATACTCTCCTCCAAGTACGCACAACTCAAGGCCAAGAGAGACCACTTCAGCCCATAATTTCTCCTACAGAGGAAAGTAAGATTGAAGTGAGTGCCCAGCTTCCCCAGCCTTGTGGGATGCTGCCTAAGAGATCCATTTCTGTCTCACTCCATCCAGAACACTGAAGGGATTAATATGTCTTCACAGCTGTCTAGGGACAGTAAGGAACAGGGAAGAGAAGCAGAGGCTTACAGTAACCATTGTGTGGATCTCAAAAAACAGCTGCAGATCATACTAACTGGCTAATGGGCTCCACCAAGAGCCTTGCTCACAAATTCTGTAAGATACCTCACCTGCAGATACACACACTAGCTAACAAGTACCCCATGACTCCATGCACCCCCTCCCATAGCCAGCACCCCACACTCCCCTGAAGAGAGTACATTCAGGCTCTTCGGATGGTGCACATGAGCCCATGCAGACAGCAAACACACACATCAACAGTCCCCTGACTCTGCTGAATTGGGTAGAAGGCACGCAACCTTGATTACTTCAGGGAACTAACATGAGGAAAATAAAGGCTCTCAGCACCCTGCTTGATGGTGCAGGATCAAGAGAAGACATACCATCATAAGACTGCCCCTGAAGGGGGAACAAGAGGAGTGAAACAGGCACATACAGAGAAAGTTTCAGAAAGCCTTCAGATCTTTAGTTTGGTTGACTAGTAAAGGTCTTTCTCTCCTGAAGCCAGGCAATAAAGGCTGGAGTAGGTAACCACTTTTTCAAATGCAAACACAGTGATGCAAGCCTTCAAGAAACATGAAAAGGAAACTAAGAAACATGATACCACCCAAGGAACAAAATAAAACTCCAGTGGCTGACCCCAAAGAAATGAAGATTTGTGAACTGCCTGACAAATAATTCAAAATAATCATCTTAAAGAAGCACCGTGGACATCTTAAAGAAGCACAACAATCTTAAAGAAAAGTAGATGACTAAACAAACTCAAGAAAACCACACATAAACAAAATTAAAGGTTTGACAAAAGACAGAAATCTTAAAAAGAACAACTCAAATTCCAGAGCTGAAGAATACAATGATTGAACTGAAAAATTCAATAGAACACTTCAACAGCAAACTCCATCAAAAAGAATGAATCCACGAACTCAAAAGACAGATCATTTGAAACTATCCAGTCAGAGGAGTAATAACAACAAAAATAAAAAAGAATGAACAAAGTTTACCGAACTTATGGGACACCATCAAATAAACCAGTATAACCTATTACGGAAATTCCAAATGAAGCAGAGAAAGAGCAAAGGGCAAAAAGCTATCAGTGGATTGCTCAGCAGAAACCTTGTTGTTTTCTGACAGAATGAGATGATATATTCGAAACACTTAGAGAAAAAAACTGCCAATCAAGAATAATTTACCAGGCAAAGCTGTCATTCAGAAATGAAGGAGAGAGAAAGCCTTTCCCAGACAAAGGCTGAGGGAGTTTGTTACCACTAAAGTCCTGTCTTACAAGAAATGCTAAAGGAAATTCTTCAAGTTGAAATGAAAGGACATTAATTAGCAACATGAAAACACATTAAAGTATAAAACTCACTGGAAAAGCTAAGAATATAATCAAAGTGAGAATAACACTGTAATGGTGATATGTAAGTCAGTTTTAACTCTAGTGTAAAAGTTAGAAGAAAATGTATTAAAAGTTACTATAACTACAAATTCTTTAAATGAATACATGATATAAAAAGATATAAATTGTGATGCCAGTAACATAAAATGATGAGGGTCAGGGAGAAGTAAACAGTTTTGTATGCAATTGGAGATAAGTTAGTCATCTTAAAATAGACCATTATAAGATATTTTATGTAACCCTCATGGCAATCATGATGAACAAACCTGCAGTAGATACACAAAAAATAAAGAGAAATAAATAAAAACATACCACTACAAAAAAAAATCATCAAATCACAAAGGCAAACAGCAAGAGAGACAGAAAGGAAGACAGGAACTACAAAACAGTCAGAAAACAACGAAATGGCAATAGGTAAGTTCTTACCTATCAACAATTAAATGTAAATGGATTAAATTCTCCAATCAAAAAACACAGAGTGGCTGAATGGACAGAAAGTATGATCCAACTATAAACTGCCTGTAAAGAGATTCACTTTAGCTTTAGGGAGACATATAGGCTGAAAGTGAAAGGATGGAAAAATATATACCATGCAAATAAAAACCAAAAGAGAACAGAGATGCCTATATTTATATCAGGCAAAATAGCTTTGAAGTCAAAAACATCACAAGAGACAAAGAAGATATTATATAATGAGAGGTTAATCCATCTAGCAGATATAATAATTGTAAATATATATGCACATAACATTAGCACACCTAGATACATCAAGCAAATGTTAACAGAACTGAAGGGAGAAATAAAAAGCATTGCAATAATGGTAGTGGACTTCAATACCCCACTTTTAACAATAAAGAGATCATCCAGATAGAAAATCAATAAAGAAATCGAGGACTTGAATAACACTATGGAACAAATGGACATAACAGACGTATATAGAATATTACATATAACAGCAGCAGAATTCATATTCTTCTCCAGCACATATGGAACATTCTCCAGGTTAGAACAAATGTTAAGCCACAAAAGATGTCTTAACAATTTAAGAACACTGAAATCATATCAAGTATCTTCTTTGGCCATCCCAGCCAGAGCAATTAGGCAACAGAAAGAAACAAAATGTATCCAAATTGGAAAGGAAGAAGTTAAATTGTCTGTATTTACAGACACCATGATCTTATATGTAGAAAACCCTAAAGATTCCACCAAAAGACTGTTAGGACTAATAAACAAATTCAGTAAAATAAAACCGACATGCAATATGTGTTTCCATATACTAGCAATAAACTCTTTGAAAAACAAATTAAAGAAAGCAATCTTATTTATAATAGCATCAAAAGAATAAAATAATTAGAAATAAATTTAACCAAGAAGGTGAAAGATATGCCAATGAAAGCTATAAAATATTGGTGAAAGAAATTGAATAAGACACAAATAAATGCAAAGATATCCCATGTTTATAAATTGGAAGAATTAATATTATTAAAATGTCCATACTACCCAAAGCAATCCACAGATTTCATGCCATCTCTGTCAAAATTCCAATGGCATTTTACACAGAAACAGAAAAACAAATCCTAAAATTCATATGGAACCACAAAAATCCCCAAATAGCCAAAGCAATCTTGAGCAAGAACAAAGCTGGTGGCCTCACACTTTCTAATTCCAAATTACATTACAAAGTTATAGTAATTAAAACATTACAGTTCTGGAATAAGAACAAATACATAGACCAGTGGAACAGAATAAGGAGCCCAGAAATAAATAAACACATTTATGACCAACTATTCTTCAACAAGAGTGCAAAGAATATAAAATAAGGAAAGGAGAAAAGAATAGTCTCTTCAATAAATAGTGTTGGGATAATTAGATATCCCATGCAAAGGGATGAAATTACATCATACACAAAAATCAACTCAAAATGGGTTAAAGACTTAAACAGAAGACCTGAAACTGTGAAAGACCTAGAAGAAAACATAGGGGAAATTCTCCTTGATATAGGTCTTGGCAACTATTTTTTGGATATGGCATTGAAATCACGGGAAATAAAAGCAAAAATAAACAAGCAGGATTATGTCAAACCAAAAAGCATCTGCACAGCAAGGGAAATAATCAACAAAATGAAAAGGCAACCTATGGAATGGGAGAAAATAATTGCAAAACCAATATCTCATAAGAGGTTAATATTCACAATATATAAGAAACTCCTACAACTCAAAAGCAAAAAAATTCAAATAATTTAAAAATGGGGAAAAAACCTAAATAGGTATTTCTCCAAAGAAGGCATATAAATGCCTAACAGGTATATGAAAAGCATACATAATCATGAGAAAAAGGCAAAGCAAAACTACCTCACACTTGTCAGGATGGCTAAAAAAAAGGTAAATGTTAGAGAGGATTTGGAGAAAAGGGAATCCTGGTACATTGGTGGGAGGAAAGTAAATTGTTACAGCTACTATGAAGGCTCCTCAAAAACTTAAAAACAAACTACCATATGATCAGCAATCACACTTCTGGATATACATCCAAAGTAAATGAAATCAGCATGTTGAAGAGCTATCTGCACTTCCACGTTCATTGTAGTATTATTCACAATAGACAAGATACAGAATCAACCTAAGTGTCAATCAATGGATAAATGAACATATAGTGGAATATTATTCAGCCTTAAAAGTGAAGGAAATCCTGCTATTTGCAACAATATGGAAGAAACTGGAAGACATTATGCCAGGCAAAATAAGCCAGACACAGAAAGACAGTAACTACATGATCTTGCTTATATGTGGAATCTGAAATAGCCAAACTCATAAAAGCAGATAGTAGAATGGCAGTTGCAAGGGGCTGGGAGAAAGGGGAAACGGGGAGATGGATGGTCAAAACGTAACTTTCAGTTAAAATAGACTATTATAAGATATTTTATGTAACCCTTATGGTAATCATGAAGAAAAACCTGCAGTAGATACACAAAGGATAAGTAAGTCCTGAAGACCTACTATATAGCATAGTGCCTATGACTATCAATACAATATAGTATATTTAAAATGTGCTAAGATAGTAGAGCTTATGTTACCACAAAAAATAAGTAAATAAATACATAAAATTAGTAAACAAAGCAGGAGAAAACTTTATGAGGTTAGGAAAATGTCAAAGACCTGGATAGTGGTGATGCTTCCATGCCTATATACTTATCCTCAAACTCAAGTTGTATACATTAAATATGTACGGCTTTTTACATGTCAATCATTCCTCAATAAAGTAGGGTTTTTTTTAAAAAAAAAAAAAAAGGAAGAAGCATGAATCTTCCCACTCATCATGATGAACATGTTTGTTTCTTATTGTTTTCTTTTGGAGAGGATCCAGGGAAGATTCAAGAAGAGATGGATAGAAGGGTATATATCATCTTTTCTACATTTAAGGTGTCCAAAAAGCCTAATTTTAACCTAATTTCCCCAATGGTTCTGACATTTTGAATTTTTTTATCTCCTCATATTTTTTTTTCTGTACATGATGTATATATCCCTGCCAGTTCAAGAAATTAGTTATATTACCAACTGAATGCCCAGTAATGTTTTATAGATCCTCCAGAGGACCACATTAGCAGGCAATAAAATCCCAAAAAGTAAAACTGGGGGCATGATTAAAACAGCGCTTTAAATTAAATAGTTCTTCTAATTCATTTCATAGAACAATAGGCATGCAGAAATGGTAATAAAGCTTAGCCATTCCATATCATATTACAAATAAAAATATTAATGTTACAAACCAGAAATAATGCCATAAGCCTCCATCTTTTGGAGAAAAAAAATCTCACAAACACAATGAAAACTTCCCCCCAAAATTAAAGGTTGAGTCATAAATGAAGAAACGTTAGCTGAAATGATAATGTACTCTAACCCCAGGCCAAAATATTCAAGATAAAAGTTTTAAACCTCACTAAATAGAAAATGACTAATGTTGAATGTAACAGTGACCTTATAATTTTACTTGTTCTGTAAAAATATACCTTAATTTGCAAGATCTCATTTATATCATAGCTATTAAAATTTAATCTCATAGGACACTGTGGAAAAAATCATGTGGGGTGGTGTGGTGAAATTTACCAGCATAAAGAAAGCAGGAAAGATAATTGGACTGTTTCTGTGTTTGTCAATGTGTATATGAGCCCCAGAAGCTTGCTTTCAGGTCAAGAATATAGAACCCTTGCTCCATGTAGATTTCAACCAGTATATGTATATTTAAGGAAACATTTTCTGATTATGCACCTTATGAGATACTGAATTGAACAAGCTAATCAAACCCCCCCAAAAGGTGAAACCCTCATATATGGCAAGGATTTAGTTATTTATGATATAGGCTCTTACTCATAAGAAATAGACATTTTATGCCATTGATATTTGTAACTCTCATAAATGTCACTATTATCAAACCAACTGTGTCCCTGAAAGACAACCAATGAGAGGTAGGCATTAATGAAATTGAGGGAAAACACCACAGGGCTATTTATCTGTACACAGGCCTTACTACAGATAAACAGCCAGAGAGGACTCTCAGCAATAGAATTTTCCATCCAGTTCCTAGCATGACACTTGGGGACTTTTGACATTAAAGGATTACCCAGTTGCAGAAAATACTGCTCAAAGAGTAACAAAGAAGTTCAGAAAGATCATCAGATGTATTGCCAGAGTGGAAAAAAAAGGCATGATTTCCAGAGGTATCTTAATTAATGAAAAAGAAGACAATTCCTTGAAACCCCAGTAGTAGACAGAAGCCCACCAGTAAGTATGATTTTCCCCTGTCCACATTTTAGCCCTCATTAAATGTCAAATTGCTTTAGAATCATATCTGCAGCAGGCTTGGGTTTAGTAATCCCCCCAATTAATGAAAGCCTGTTCAGCAACGCATTCTTTATTACCTTTTAATCTGTTTTAATTCTTTTGCCTCCTTCCCCCAACAGAACATGTTTCAACATCAGTCCTGGTTATATTTTCTCCTCAGCAACTCAGTATAAGGCTGGAGGTGGCAGTCAAGTTTATTCACTATCAGGCCAAAGATAAAAACTTAAGTTTGGGGGAAGTGATGTAGAACTTGGAAAACAAGGGTTGAACTGACAGCTCCTCTACCCATTCCCAGGTGGGCTATCACAGAGGTGCCCCAAGGGCTTCTCATCTGATGCAAGAGATGAATTGGAAGGCAGGAACACAGGCACCAGCCTCACTCAAGCCATTGCATCCATCCATTACCCATCCATCCAAAAAAAACCAAAAAAGGTACTGAACTCCTACGATGTGCTCTGCTCAGGGGAGTAAGACTGGAATAGTCCCTGTTCACACAAAGCTTCCTTTTTCTATCCCTCCCTAGTTACCTTGACAGGTTGTGTTTTCTGTTGAATATCAGGAGTAATTCGTACATTCATTCACTAGGAATTAAACACAAGCCACTTGGCCATTCCATTTAAACTATCAGCTCACTCCAGGTTTAATAACTAGGTAGCCACAGGGTAAGAACTTACATGCCCATCTTCACTAATGGCTGTTAGAATGAATCAGTCATGTCTGACAATGCATCTACAAGAAGCCATAAGAGTTGAGGCATTTTTTTCTTCTTGGGCCTGGAAGACTTAATGATTATAAATACTCTCACTTGTAACAAGATACAGTGAGTTCAGAGGAAAGATTACAGAAGGCTTGGGGCCCAGCTTGGATAGAACATTGAGAAAATGACTAAATTACTGTCTTTATTCTATCCATCAAGGGGATAAGAATATATATGACCAACACACTGAAAAACACTAGCTGGAATGAAAAGAGTCTCATGGTTAAATGTAGGAGGCAGACACACTTGAGATGAAATCATAGCTCCAGCACTAAGTATCTTTATGAAAATGAATGTTTTTGAACCTCTTTGTGCTTCAGTTTCCTCTTTTGGAAAATTATGGATAATAACTGTACAAACATCACAGAGTGATCATGAAGATCAAATGGAATAATTCCCATCAAGCTTTAGTGCCTAACATCAAAAACAAAACAAAAAACTTCCACCCATAATAGAATCTCCATTAGAAAAATTAAGGTCCCATAGCCTCTACTCTAACCTTCTTCCCCAAGACATTGTAAAGATCAGTAAAAGAGATATAAGGAAAAAATATTTTGAATTCCTAAGAGGAAAAATAGTACACATTTGTATAATGTTGCCAGTATTGCAGTCAGATGTATTATTAGTACATCCTGATGAATGCTGAGGCTCTGGTCATGGGTTTCATTATTCCAATCCATGGGCAGGTAATCACAGCAATACAGGAGAGAGGGATGAAAAGGGGCCCAGAGCACAACTTAAATTCACTTTTCAGGTATCACAGACAGACATAGAAAATACCTACATGACTCACAAGTCACAAGGATCCCAAAACTCTGTGTCTTGTGCTTTATTTATGAATTAAATTTCCATTTTTCTTGGTTTTGTTCTGGTAGTCAAAGCAGCTAAAACCCTAGAAATGTCCTTCCATCTTGGGCCATTCCACACAAAATGGTTGTGCAACACACTGAACTGAGCTCCAAACGTGGAGATGGAAGCCACAATAGGAAAGGCAGCTGCTAGGGTGGCACTGAAATCCTCTAACAACCTTTAGAAAGAAACCAAGAACGAAGAAACAAAAACTTCTCTCTGTCTAGACTTCATCTGTCCAGAACTAAACCTCATCTCCCAGGGCCATCGCAAGAGTGATAATTAGGATGAGTTGCAAGGTGGCTATCTGCCAACTCCATCTCATCATCAGCTTTCACTCACTCCCATCTCTCCTATGCCACCTTCACTGCTTTCAGCAGCTGAAAATAACGAGACAGGAAACTGAGAAATTACCTAGCAGATCATATTAGATTCAGCTGTTCACCTTCATGAGGCTCAATCGGATCAATCGCAAATTTTGAGTGATCACTGATGAGAAAGTGACAAGTGGTTTTAAACTGTCCTCAACAAACCAGTCTCTCTAGCTAGTCATTAATGACACCTCAGTAGGCAGTGATATTTGAAATAAAAGGTTGTTTAAGATTTATGTTTCCCAATCTACTACCATGAGAAAGAGCCATTCTTGATGCAACTGAGTAAAGGGCATCCAGTGAAACATCAACTAGTTTTGAAAATGTTTTTCGTGTCCCTTTGGTCTAGCAATGGCTCAGCCTAGTATTTCCTAAAGTGTGAGAGCCATCTCATTTGCAGTGTCCAAGAACATTTTCAGTAGCATATGGACAAAATGTTGTAGAATGGTTATGTATTATTTTTCATATTTTAGAAAAAAAGTATAATTCTACATTAAGCCCATGATTTCATAAGTATTATTTATTAAGATGAGGCTACAATAAAAAGTAAGTTGATACAAAGAAAAATATTAAGTAAATAATAGTACAGGTGCTTGTGGATATGGCGAAAACATAAAAAGGTGGCATGTCAATGACTCAGGCTGAGCAAAAATGCTATTTATTTATTTATTTAGAGATAGGGCCTTGCTCTGTCATCCACGCTGGAGTACAGTAGTGTGATCATGGCTCACTGCAACCTGGAACTTCTGGGTTAAAGTGATCCTCCCACCTCAGCCTTCTGAGTAGTGGAGACTATAGGTGCATGCCATTGCACCCAGCTAATTTAAAAAAAAAAAAAAAACTTTAGTAGAGACAAGATTTCTCCACGTTGCTCACGCTGGTCTCAAACTCCTGAGCTCAAGTGATCCCCTTACCTCAACCTCCCAAAGTGCTGAGATTACAGGCATGAGCCACTGCACCTGGCCCAATGCTCTTTATTGGCTCCTACTCCCTAGGGCAAAGATCCCTAGGATTACCAAAAGAGTTTGCTCATCCTACTTTAGTTGAGCTAACAGAATGGCTGAACTCAACGTTTTTGAGTCATTCAGATTATCTGACTATGAACTTCACATTTGATGAGCTGGGTTTTTTTTGTTTTTTTTTTTTTTTGGTTTTTGAGACGGAGTCTCTCTCTGTCACCCAGGCTGGAGTGCAGTGGCGCGATCTCGGCTCACTGCAAGCTCTGCCTCCTGGGTTCACGCCATTCTCCTGCCTCAGCCTCCCGAGTAGCTAGGACTACAGGCACCCGCCACCACGCCCAGCGAATTTTTTGTATTTTCAGTAGAGACGGGGTTTCACCGTGTTAGCCAGGATGGTCTTGATCTCCTGACCTCGTGATCCACCCACCTCAGCCTCCCAAAGTGCTGGGATTAGAGGCGTGAGCCACCACACCTGGCCTCATGAGCTGTTTTTGAGGGGCAGATAAAAACAGAAATATCTTGATTCTTATGGTTATGCTCAGGCAGGAGACAAAAGGATTAGTGGATAATAACACGTTCTTATGGCAGTACCTCAACAAAAAAGGTTCAAAAGTGTCCCAATTTGTAGAGAACATGGGGACAGGTCTTTCAGATCAAGGGTGCTCCTAACTAGATATATAGTGCCCTCTATATAATAGGTTATATTTGAATAAGTGAATGACTACCCATATCTTAACTTTGTGAGTATCATAAAATAATATCAACCGTAGAAGTTCACATCTAGGTGCAAAGAAACTGTAACTCTAGGAATGACACCTACCTGAGGCACGGTCTTCACTTGGAACAGTATATTATGGAAGGAGTGTCCATCATTGGCCTGCAAGACTGCAACATCGGATGTGCTGTCTGAACCATCATGAGCATAGTGGAGAAGGCCTCTAGAGAGTTCATCCAGCTGGAATTGATAGATAGGGGTTGCCGGGGACTGAAGTGTCTGAAGCAATTGGCCATGAAGTGGAGGATCGATTATTTCAATGACCACATCCTGTGGGTTGTCATCATCTCGGATGTCAAGCATCTGGGTGGTGATGGTTGCCCTCTCTCCTCTGCTAATGTGGAGAACTTCATTTCTCAGCACATAGGGGGCCTGTGGAGTTGAAGGGAAGAAGAGTCAGTTAAGAGGGAAAGAAAGGACAATCCAGTGGACTAGATACCTGATTGTTATTCCTATACTTTTTGAGAAACTCTAAGTGTTCTAGCAAAGCACCAAACTGTTCTATGGTGAACACATTCGTCAGAGGTGTGGTCACTCACAGGAACACAACAACTAAGGTTACTTCACACCTCTGGGTTCTAGAGGTTTATCAAGCTACTTCAAGACTTGAGAGACAACTGGTGAGAGCTGCTAGCTTCTAAATCTCTAATTTCTCTGCTATCCTGACTTAAATTTATCCCAAAAGAGACTAATAAGAGGTATGAAATTTTTGGACTTGCCTTTGGGAGGACACACTTCACTCCAGGCCATGTTGTGGTATACTGACTCTGAGGAAGCTACTTTTGCATCCTGAGCTCATGCTGTTTCTAGTCCCTCCCAGTAATTTTCTTCAGTTTTCTCATCCAAATCTTGACAGAGCCCCACCCCAACTCAGGTTATAAAGTGTGCCAAGATTATGGTCTAGGTGAGTAAGGCAACCACCTGGCTAATTCATGTGACAAGGCTAATATATTATAGTAAAATTTAATATCTTTTTCTTAGGATTGTCAGGTTACCTCCCACCAAGTTGAGTAAGCAAATAAAATGTTATTTCATAAAGATAAAAGCTAATGAACCACAACAGAAAAAAAACTCACCCAAAAAAATTGAGGCCAGAAGCCAAAGAAAATATTATTTCAGTTTTTAAAAAAATATCATTTGAAGTGGAACCATCTAGGACTTTTCTCAACACACTGCTTTCTTTAATCCAAATGGCTTTCTTTTAAAACTACCCAAGCACCCTCCTGGCCTCCTGGAAATTACAATCTCTATTAAAGGAATGTCTAATACATCACTATAATAGTTACATAGTGGGAAATTAGATGATAGTTAGTCTTTAGAATTCTCAAGTGAGAATTCTACAGCTGTGATTCTATACATGGGAAAGAGTGACCCCTCCTACTCTGAAAGAGGAAAAGTCAAAGATGATGTCAAAATTCACAAATGGAAAAGACGAAATTAACTTGCATGAGAAAATTTCAGAGAGGCTCAAGACCATATTGCAATGTCACAGAAATTTAAAGGAATGAAAATAAGTTAAAATGATTTTCTAAAATTCCATTTTAAAGACTTAAAATGATAAAAGTTTCTCATATAATAAATAAAATTAAATGTTCTCCTTATTTACTCACTTGATTGTGGAAAAACACACAAGCCACACTTGGGGAACCATGGGAACTCACCATGTCAGATTAGGAAGACTTGCCAATATCTACCTTTGATCTTTCACTGGAGTAACTTTATTAGCTCAAACAAAAAGAACGAAACAAAGTTTCTGAGTGTAAGGACTGAGAAACATCTAAACCAGTAAGTTGTAAGACTGGATGTAGCCCTCTGTCCTAAATTTACAGAGATCACCTGTTTCAGCTTTTTTTTTTTTTTTTTAGACAGAGTCTCACTCTGTTGCCCAGGCTGGAGTGCAGTGGCACGATCTCAGCTCACTGCAACCTCTGCCTCCCGGGTTCAAGCGAGTCTCCTGCCTCAGCCTCCCGAGTAGCTGGGATTACAGGTGTCCACCACCATGCCCGGCTAATTTTTGTATTTTCAGTAGAGACGCGGTTTCACCATGTTTGCCAGGCTGGTCTCGAACTTCTGACCTCAGGTGACCATGCATTTCAGCCTCCCAAATTGCTGGGATTACAGGCATAAGCCACTGAGCCCAGCCTGTTTTAGTTTTAATTAAAACAAAATTTATATATTTTGCCCACCCATGAGATCAAATTAACTTAGGATCATTTTCAAATCATTAAACTCCAATTTATCCCTGATGTGATAATACCATCAAGAAGAGGTGAACTGGGCTATTAATACCATTTTGCAGCCACCACTGGTTCAAGTCTATGTTGTTATCCATGATCCTTTCATTTTTGGACCAAAGATATAAAAACATCAGATGAAAAACAATCATCTAGTGTCCTTCCTTGAATCATGAATAACATGATACTGAGATCTGGATATTTAGCTAGTCTTGGTTCCCCAGGAGAATATTCCACTCTCTTGCTTTTCATAACATATGAATATACCTATTTCCCTATTCTTCATACATTTCGGCTCTTCAATCCCTCAAGCCCAGTTTCTAGAGCAGCTACAACTATATGTATTCTGGACCCGTAAGTACAACTTGATGGAGATGAATGATGAGAGGTGAGTTTGAAGGGCCATCACACTGAGCTTTATAGCATCTACCATGACTTCCTTATGTCTGTGTTTTGTTGATGGCCACACTGGCACACTAGAGCCTCATTTAAGTAGATCCTTAATAATATTCTCTAACTGCTGCAAATTCCACATACTAGAGAGAGATAAAACAAACTCCTTTACCTAAAGATAAAGACAGTCTTTTTTTTTTTTTTTTTTTTTTGAGACAGGGTCTCACTGTGTTGCTCAGGCTGGGGCACGGTGGCATGATCGTCATTCATTGCAGCCTCAACCTCCCTGAGCTCAGGTGATCCTCCCACCTCAGCTCCCCAAGTAGCTGGGACTATAGGAATGCATCACTGGGCCCAGATAATTTTTTGTATTTTTTTTTTTTGTTTCGGTATAGACGGGGTTTCGCCATGTTGCCCAGGCTGGCCTCAAACTCCTGGGCCCAAGCAATCCACCTGCCTCAGCCTCCCAAAGTGCTGAGATTATAGGCATGAGCCACTGCACCCTGCCAACTATTTGGAAGGGCTGGTAGCAGATTTAGTATAGTAAAGTTATGCGTCATAATATAACGGTTAAGAACACCGCCTCTGTAGCCAGATTTACTGGGCACAAACATTGACTCCCTATTTATTAGCTATATTACCACAGACATGTTATGTCGCCTTCTTGTGACTTTGTTTCCTTGTCTGTAAATTGGAGACAATAATACCTCATAATATTGGCATAAGGATTAACTGAGTTACTTACGTGAAACACTAAGACTATAACACTAAGTACTAGAGAAGTATTAGTAATTTTGGTTGCTGCTGTTGTTATTACCCAGAAGTCCTAAAAATTACTCCAGTGGCATCTCAAGAGGAAACCAAGACTAGATTAATTTAATGCAATAATTTTCATTAAATCCACAGGAAACCTAGATTTCGTGCTTGAGAACTAGTAGTCATGTAAAATTATTAATTACGTGGCCATTTTTATTACCTGTGTTGAAAATGCTTGTATGTTGATCAGCTGTGGCTCAGAGAAGAACTGCTGGTCACTAATTTTCAGGAAAAGGTAACCTTTCCTAAAGAAGTCCCAAAGAAAGGAATAAGAAAATACAATCATTACATTAGACTTTACACAGAAAAGGCTTAAAAACATTTTCAGGTTATGTGTAGGTAAGAATTTGGATCAAACTGCTGCAGTAATGTCACACTCATACTATAAAGAAAAAACTACCAGATAAAGATGAACATAGTAAGATTCAGGTAAAAATACTGTGTGTTCTTAAATCTCCTTATAACAATAATAATAATTATGTAAACATTTTGTTTCCTATCTTTCTAAACTGAATAAAGGGTGAAAAATTAGTTGTCAGGCCAAGGCAGATTAGTAATATATTGTAGGCTAATGGTTAAATTGAAGAATTGAAAGGAATCTTTTATAGTCTCTGACCAGTTCTCCACGATTCCCTCTTCCCAACAAATGCTCTTCCTAACTCCTGCCCAATTCATGTGAGTGGGCCCCTAGTAACAACATTTGCAATGTCTGTATTACACGGCTGTTCATCTCCCCTCACTCCCCACCAGCCTACTCATAGTCATTGTGGACAGACTAGGGAAGGATGGCTGATTCTTCCCTGGCGATTTGCAACTGGCCCGAGAGCCAGCAGTCAGTCTCAGCATCTGACTACAGGACAACCAGAGTCTATTATGTAGAACAAGCCTGAGTGTAATAGAGAAATGAATGAAGCCTATAAGCAAATATAAGCAAAGAGACACAGGGATGAGAGAAGAATTGATTCCTGCTTCCCCTTCCCAGTCCTTGCTTCCAGACTGTCCTGGAGCACAATTGCCCTTGGTGCCTTTGAGATCTGAGCCACCCCTGCAATGTTATAACAAGTCTTACATTTTTGCTAATCTACTTCAAGTTTACTTCCATTACTTGCAACCAAAAAGTCCCAATTAGTAATAAAATAAGCCGTTGTTCAAGCAGCTTCAGAGACTGCTAGGAGGGAAGGTAAGACTTACCCACCTTCAATGCCAAACCAAGCACAGAACTCGCTGCTGAATGGTAAGATATAGGACTACTGCATTATGGGGATTTTTGAATTCTAGTCTACTAGAGGGACCATTGTTTTAAAAGTTCTTTAGAAGTTATTCTTGGAACTACTATTTATACATGAAAGAATGTGGATGGATCTGAAAAGCATTATGGCAAAAGACAGAAACAAAAGGCTACATATTGTTTGATTCCATTCACCTAACATTTTAAAAAGCACAAAACTCAGCAGTAAAAATGGATCAGTGGTCACCAGTGACTAGGGGTAAAGGAGCAACTATAAAAAGACTTTTGGGGTTACGGAACTATTTTACATATTGACTATGGTTGTGGTCACAAGACTGCGAAACTGTATACAGTTATTAAAATTTATAGAACAACACACTTCAAAATGGAGGATTTTATTGAATGCAAATTATACCTCAATAAACGTGATTGCTTTTTAAAAAATGATTCTTGTCTTCCCTTCTCTTCTATCTTCCCTTCATTTTCTGTCCCATTTAAGTCCTGTCCCTCTCCACCACCACCTCAGGCTTCAAGAGAATGTAACTGATGGATTGTCTTCCAGGACAGAAGAGAAGGGAAGACAAAAATAGTTTTTTAAAAATGATTTTTGGTGGCACTGAGGTTCCAATAACAGTGTTCAGTATATCACTGTTATTTGATTGAAAGTACCACCCCTTCCTTGTTCAGGGGTGGTACTTCCATCAATTAATAAAATACAGCATTATAAATAAAATACAGCATTATAAATAAAATACATTATTTATCATTTTTAAAAATTATTTTATTTTATTAAATAATGCCTTATTTTATTAACTGATGAGAGTACCACCCCTGAAAAAAGAAAGGGTGGTACTTCCTATCAAATAAGGGTAAGTGATTTTTGGTGGCACTGAGGTTCCAATAACAGTGTTCAGTATATCAGCAATGCCATTTTGTTCCAGTGATGGCAACTACACTTATAAGTTGTCTTTTACTCCACAGAAGCATTCTAATCCCAAAGGAATCCAATCCTAAAGAATCACGGTCAGTGTCTTCATGGTTAAAAACAAAACAAAACACAAACTGATGTGGCAGGTTGCCCTTTTGTTTTGCATTATTCAGAGACTTCAATAATTTTATTTTCCATGGGTTTCTACCAACCTCGTTTTATTATTCTTCTCATTCTTTCTTTTGCTGAATTTTTATTATACCTCTCATTCTTTCTTTTGTTGGATAAAGAAAATCCAGTATTAAAATGGGTACCCCAAAAAGAGTACTGTGAGGATTTCCTAAACTGCCATTCTTTGTCCCATTTAGGGGTACAAAGCTATGATTCCACAAAAAAACAGGTGATGAGAGGTTAAAGATGTTAAATAGACAAGAGGGTTGATCTCGGTTGTCTACGAAGCTTTACGCTTTTCATAAGTGACTGCAAGAAAAGTGACTACTATACAGAGTTGTATAGCTCTGTGTTTCTGTGTCTGTGTGATAGAAATACTTAAGAATAGGCCAGGTGTTGCAGCTCACACATGTAATTGCAGCACTTTGGGAGGCCAAGGCAGGCAGATCACTTGCAGTCAGGAGTTCGAGACCAGCCTGGCAAATACAGTGAAACTCTGTCTCTTCTAAAAATACAAAAATTAGCTGGGTATGGTGGCATGTGCCTGTAGTCCCAGCTACTCAGGAGGCTGAGGCAACCCAAGAGGCAGAGGTTGCAGTGAGCCAAGATCGTGCCACTGTACTCCAGCCTGAGTGACAGAGTGAGATTCTGTCTCAAATAACAATAATAATACTTATAGTAAAAATGAATGCAGAATATAGAGTAGGAATTTGAAGAGTCTATGGCATCAAACACCAGAGTTTTAAGCTCCATCTCTGTAGCAATACTTCTCTATGAAGTGACCTTTTGTCCTTCGAGGATGGAAGCATGCCTATTGTTCCTAGTATATTAGGGAGGCAGAAATCATTGTGGCTAAAGGCATGCATTGTGGAATCAGTCTTGGCTTGGAGTCTCAGCTCTGCACACACATGTTGAGAGGTCTTGGGCAAGATAACCTATACTCTCAAGGCCTCAGTTTCCTTATCTGTAGACTAGCAACATGAGATACATAGTTCATGTAAAGTGCCTAACATGATGCCTGGCTCAAAGTTAGCATTCCATAAATGCTAGTTGTTCTTATTCCTATAATATGATCTTCCAAGGTCACTGGCATCATCACCTCTGAATTACAATAGAGACAGTGCCATCTACTTTTCTCCTCACCTATCTCCCAGCCCAAACCTCAAAACCAACCAACCCTCAAGGTTAGTGTTGACAGTAAAAATACTCACTGTGTCCTTGTCACTGTTTCAGCGTTTCAACTCCTTGTTTATACATAGAGTCTATGCTGAATTATCTGCACTAATGAAGCAGAGCAGGATGAAGGATAATCCAAGAGGCTAATCTTTGGGGGGCACCCTCTGACTTCTGTGGAGTAGATTTACCCTGCTAATTATATAGCTGTATTTGCTTGGGTTGGTGTTAACATTCAACTGCATTCCTGAAGCATATGTCAGCTGGGGTGGGGAAGGCAGCCAGAAGTGTGCTAAGCATCAGGGGAAAACTGGATCAGGCTTAAAAATTAACCACAATTAATTCCATAATGTGGATAATAAAAAGTTCACTGTGATTCTAAGTTTCCTTTCAACTCTAAAATCCCAGAGACCATACAACACCTTGAAAAGAATGTGCTCCATCCTCTCTCTCTGTCGCCAGTACATTGCCCCAATGTTGAAGAAGCAGCTGTAACATCTAGTTATATGACCAGTTTTGTTTCTGCTGGGCCAAAAATCTGGGTAATTGTATCAGGACTTTTCTGTCGCATCAGAGAATTACCCACAATTATGTGAGAAAACGAAAATGTCTCTAACAGATGCACGCTCTTTGAGCAATCACAGGGAAATGATGACAGGCAGCTGAGAGTATTTGGGCTTGTGGAGTATTGATCTTCCCCAGATGAGAAGGGTTAGCTATTGAGACAGAGAGGCTGGGACAGGGTGGAGGAGTGGAAAAGCAATGATGGAAAGGAGGCAGGAAGAAAACAACAGAACACAGAGTCACCTGAGTTTTTCTTTGCTGTGCACAAAACGCACTTTCTTCTCGTTCACATCTTTCCAGCTAAAACGGCCAGCCTTGTCCAGCTGAACCTCTTTTCCATTTCTTGAGAGCACTAGCTGACCATTGGTGGGAGTGCTCACAACATGAAATAGGAGATCTTCGACCCTACCCTCCTGGTCTTGGACATTCAGGAGGGAAAAATCCAGTGGCTTTATTGAACCAATTGGGAGGATCAGGGAACCATTCACATGAAGACTAGGGGTGTGTATTTTGCCTGAAAAACATATGAATCCAAAGGTCAAGCTTATGGTACCTTCACTAATTAGGTCACTTTCCCCTTATTTTGTTTATTTTTTCAGACCACCTCCTTACAATTTCCAGAGAATAAACACAAAATAAGAAACAGAGTTGATTTCACTGCATAAACAGTGTGCTGGAGTTTATAGCATTACATTGTTACAAAAGACCACAACCGTCAGCTCGCTCTAGGGAACTTCGGTATTCCTGAAGAATACACATGATGTCTCTTTGCCTGCCAGTGGGAGGTCCTCAGGTGTGAGTAACTGCTCCTGTTCTTTGACACACGTTCCATATAGAAGACATGGAGCCTGGAAACTATGCCGATGGCTGGAGTAGGCCATTCCTAATTCCATGCCAAACTAAAGGCTAATGGCTACTTTCTTCTTTTAAAGAAGCTTAGGTGAGAAAACAATTCCTAATTCCAAACCAGTACCTATCTTTACCACCGCATCTGCCAAACACCACTCTCACTTCCTGCTGAGCTGTGGCTCTGACTCAGACATGTTCCCCTCTTACAGGCAGCTCCAGCTTTCCTTTCAGCTGCCCTCCGTGTGCCAACCTTTTCTTAAAAATGTTAAATAAGCTTGTAATGTTGTAAATTCAGAGCTGCACAGATGAAATTCTGGGCTATGGTATACAATAAGCCTCCCAGTGGTTACCACACTGGATGCACGGCAAGAGCATAGGACTTCAATGTAATCGTTAAACTATAAAACTCTTAGAAGAAAATATAGGAGTACATTTTTACGATTTTGAAGTAGACAATGCTTTCTTAGATAAGACACAAAAAGCACATGTGACAAAAGAAAAAATAAATGGACATCATCAAAATGTAAATTTTTTATATTCAAAGGACACCCATGAGAAAGTGAAAAGACAACCCACAGAATGGGAGTAAACATGCAAATCATATATCTACAAAGGGACTTGTGTCAAGAATATATAAAGAACTCCTATAACTCAACAATAGAAAATGAAAAACCCAATTTTTAAAATGGGTGAAGAATTTGAATAGGCATTTCTTCAAAGAAGATACACAAAAGGCCAATAAGCACATGAGCAGGTGCAAAATCATAAACACAATAAGATATCACTTCACTTCCACTAGGAAAGACAATGAAAATTGTTAGGTCGTGGAGAAATCAAAACCTCATGGATTACTGATGGGAGTGTAAAATGGTGTAGTCACTTGGGAAAACAGTTGGACAGTTCCTCAATTAAATACAGTTACCAAAGGACACAGCAATTCCACTCCTGGGTATATAAACCCAAGAGAATTGAAAACATTTGTCCACACAAAACTTGTACACAAATGTTCATAGCAGCATTACTCATAATAGTCAAAAAGTGAAATCAACTCAAAAGTCCATTCATTGTTTAATGGATAAATAAAATGTGGTATGTCACAAAATGTAATATTACTCATCTACAGAAAGAAAAAGGAATGATGTGCTGATTCATGATATCATATGGATGAACCTTGAAAATATTATGCTAAGTAAAAGCAGCCATACATAAAAGGCCATATATTGTAAGTTCCATTTATGTGAGATGTCTAGAATAGGCAAATACCTAGAGACAGAAGGAGATTAGTGGTTTCCAGGGACTGGGTTGAGACAGGAGCGGAGAGAAACTGCTAATATTATGGGATTTCCTTTTAGAGTGATGAAAATGTTTTGGAAATAGGTAGTGGTGATAGTTGCACAACTTTGTGAATACACTAAAAACCACTGAATTGTATACTTTAAAGCATGAATTTTATGGTATGTAAATTACATCTCAATAATAATAAGAATCATATAGGGATCTTTTAAAACAATACTGACAGTTGGGCTCCACTGCCAGAGCTTCTGACTTGGATGTTCTTGGGTAGGACCTCGGGAATTTTACAAACTCAGCAGGTAATCCTAGCGGGCTGCTGGCTTTGAGAACCACAGTCCTATCCTGATGCACCTGCCACATCAGACCTGCCAAGGGCAAGTAAAGAGGCTGGTGTTTGCTACCATTTCCTAGAATAGCACCAGTTAATTTACACTGGAGTAGGATTATCAGGGGCTCATACTTAGAATTCATGTGAAATACACATACCTTGTCTTACAATTTTATAATCTTTGTCCACATGAAACATCTGATGGACAAAAAGGGATTTCTTAACATGCTGTAG
The DNA here is from genome assembly GCF_000001405.40 of Homo sapiens. Lineage (NCBI taxonomy): Eukaryota > Metazoa > Chordata > Mammalia > Primates > Hominidae > Homo > Homo sapiens. The sequence goes on along the minus strand of NC_000004.12, from coordinate 78,377,535 downwards.
AATTTATCCCGTCTCCTGCAAGTTGTTTTTGCCTGGACTTTAGTTGGTAGTGCTCCTTTTTACAACTAGGTCAGACAGGACAGTTTGGAAATGCCAAGTTTCAGTGGGACTACTTCGACTGTAAGATCGCTCTAATGAGAGTGGCACTCATTTTCACAAGTGGACTTATATCCCAGAGAGAAGTAAGCTGGCTCTCAAGTACTTAGGGTTTTCAGAAAGATTCCCCAAAAATAAGCCAAAAATATTTTTTCCCATGGGGAAGTCTTAATATCTTTAAAGGCCAGAAATATAGAGACAGAAAATATGATTGAATATGAGTGTTAAAAAATGCCTCATGTTTTTGACGAACGACTCTCAAAAGCCAACAAACACTCAGAGTAATGTCCCTCCCAAGCTTTACTCACCATAAAGGTTTTGGGATTCAAAATTAAGACTGAATTTAAATTCACTTCTCTTTGTTATTTAAGGTAACGTGTCCACTAATGTGTTGGAAGAGAATGGCTTCATTTCTTAACATGTTACCTATTATTATTATTATTTTTGAGACAGAGTCTCACTCTGTCACCCAGGCTGGAGTGCAGTGGCATGATCTCGGCTCACCACAACCTCCACCTCCTGGGTTCAAGAAGCGATTCTCCTGCCTTAGCCTCCTGAGTAGCTGGGATTACAGGCGTTCATTACTGTGCCTGGCTAATTTTTGTATTTTTAGTAGAGACGGGGTTTTGCCATGTTGACCAGGCTGGTCTTGAACTCCTGACCTCAGATGATCTGCCTGCCTCGGCCTCCCAATGTGCTGGGATTACAGGCGTGAGCCACCATGCCCGGCCGATGTTACATATTTTTAAGGGCAAACGGGGTAGCCTGAAATCCATCCACTAGAAACATGTGAACCTCATGAAGCAGACTCCTCATACTATTTGTTATTTATTTATAATTTATCTCTACTGTGTGAAAAAGGGTGTACCACTGCACTTTGACATAATTAGCTATACAAATTTATATAAATATAAATAAATTATATGTAAATACAGTCATGTGCTATATAACATTTCAGTCAACAACAGACCACTTATATGATGGTGGTCCCATAAAATTATGCTGTACCTTTTCTATTTTAGATATGTTTAGAAACACAAATACTTACTATTGTGTTACGATTGCCTACAGTATTCAGTACACTCACATGCTGTACAGGTTTGTAGCCTATATTTTTATAGCCTTGGTGTGTAGTAGGCTATACCATCTAGGTTTGTGTAAGTACACTCCATGGAGTTCAAACAATGATGAAACTGCTTAATGATGCATTTCTCAGAATGTATCCCCATCATTAAGCAAAGTGTGACTGTATATATGTAATTTTCTATAACATGGCTGTAGTTCAGGAACTTAGCTAAGTTTTATGCCAATTTCTTATCTGATAGCTGTGACTTTTAAGGCACAGATTGCTTCTTTTCCTTTCCAATGATTACAGAAGTTGCGATTTCCCAATTTTCCATATTCTATAAAGAGTCCCTTACTCCTTAGTAGCACCATGGGTTTTCCCAAATTGGGAATGCTGCATTTTATATCACATAAGTCAATTATGTCTGCAAACTCAGCCTTCACATAGAGAAATTATTGGTAAATTCACCAGACCATCTGAGGAGAAGCACTTACCAGAACATGTTTCATTAGAGGTGTGGACAGAAAAGCCAGGAACACAGTTGTAAACACAGAGGCCACTCTTCAGAAAGAACCCATGGTCACAGAGGTGACAACGGTCCCTGTGGCTGCACTGCAAGCACCCCTGAGGGCAGGCTATTAAAAAAGGAAACACTAAATGAGGCTCAATCAAGGCAACACCAGCGACAAAGAAATAAAGGGCTTGCAACCAGAAGAGTCAGAGCACATGCAACAAATGAGCCCCAACTGTAACAAAAGAGAATACTGACAGTTTCCCTACAGAATATATAGGGAGCTGATCTACAGAGAGGAACACTCCTCACGTTCCACAATGAGATCTAAAAATGTTACACAAAAATGAATTGTTTAAAAAGTTAACCATATTGACTTGTAAGAAAAGACCTTTGTAGTGATTAAGAGCACAGACTCTTTCTAGGTACGCTTCCTCCTCTAACCTTCCCAGCTGTTGACCTTGGGCAAGTTCTGTTTAACAATCGGTGTCATAAATTTCTTGTCTTAAAAATGGGAACATTAATAGCACCTAGTGCAAATAATTGTTGGGAGGATTACATGTGTTATAATGTGCAATGACGAAAACAGTGCCTGGTACACAGGAAGGGCTCAATTTTTCTACTACCACCATTGTATCTCTTATTATTATTGTTTTTAGTAGTAGTATTTAATAGTATTTTAAATACTGGAGGGGAGCAGCTATTAATAGGACATAGGATTACTTATTCAGGTCAAGTTAACAATTTTCAATGAAGCATTTTTACTGCCTAATTTTCCTGCTTTCTTAGTTGAGATTTTGTTATAGAGAGGCTATACGGTATAGTTTAAAGGGCCCCGGATTAGAATCAGAAAACCTGGGCTTAACATCTGATCTTAAGCTGCTGTGATTAACACTTTTAAGTCTCTTATTTTTCTTTCACTTGTAAGACAGGATTCATAGTGTCTGTGATATTTTATCAAGCCATTGTGAATATTAAATTAGATAATGCAAATGGGGTAAATTTAGTGATATGTAAATGCTATGCCGGGTTAATAGCATTATTAAATGTCAAGTATTACAGTGGGGCATACGAACCAAGTTTTGATAGATATGATGAGAACAAACTGATAAAACTCTCTTAGCTAATCCAGTGGACAAGGAGATTAAGACTTGGGGTTCAACTTGAGTTTCATAAAAGCTCCAGTGTGTTTCACTGAATTGTCCCCAAAAATCCCATTCTTTAAGGATTTATGCCAATGTCAGAATCATGGGCATTTAGTCTAAACACTAAAAATTCTATGTCTATATCAACAGGGCTGATCCACTCTTAATGGATCCCTCACTGTAGATCAATAGAAGCGTTACATTCCATAAAATATTGGCTTTGTTTCCATAAAGACCTTTGGGGACAATATTGATTTGTGTAAGAGAATATTGGCTTACACTCCTATATCCTAATTAACCAACATACGGCAGATATGCATGGGAAGCCATCAATTACTTAGGCTAAGCCCTCTGGGCTTTCATTCTGCTTTCTAATTTAAGTATTCTTGGATACCTGAGAGTCAGCACATGTGACTTACTTGCTGCCCTCACTTCTTTCCAGAATAATCAGCAGTCTCCAAGTTACCTGTGCATTTGTGCTTTGCATGATCTGCAAAGTACCCCTTCCCACATTCCTGGACACACTGGGCTTCCAAGAGGAGAAATGGCCCTTTGCAGCGGGTACACTCATGGGGACCTTGGCACTGGAGACAGTAGCTGTCACAGTCTGAAAGACAAAAGTCAAGTCATCAGGAATCTGTGTGGCTTTCCAGGGGCTCCAGGCCTTTGTGGAAAGGCAGCATGAGATGTCCAGCAGCAGTACAGCCTAGTGTACTGGGCAAAGGACCATATGAAGAGTCAAGGAGTCTGGGTTCTGGTTGTCACTATGATACTTACCAGCTGGGACACTTAGGATTAGTCACTCTACCTCACTGAGCCTGTGTTCTTCTCTATAAAATGGGGGTTGATATACTGTCCTACCCACCCATGGAAAATGCTAGATAAACTATAAAGTGAATGACAGATATCAGCAGCTATTACTATTATTATTATTATTATTATTTAAGACGGAGTTTTGCTTGTTGCCCAGGCTGGAGTGCAGTGGCACAATCTCGGCTCACCGCAACCTCTGCCTCCCGGGTTCAAGCGATTCTGGCTTAGCCTTCCTGAGTAGCTGGGATTACAGACATGTGCCACCATGCTCGGCTAATTTTGTATTTTTAGTAGAGATGGGGTTTCTCCATGTTAGTCAGGCTGGTCTTGAACTCACGACCTCAGGTGATCTGTCTGCCTCCGCCTCCCAAACTGTTGGGATTACAGACGTGAGCCACCATTCCTGGCCTAAGCAACTATTATTATTATTATTATTATTATTATTATTATTATTATTAGTCCTTGGCTCTCAGTACTGTTTTGCTGAAATGTCAACCTTTCGTGGTTCATCAAGTCAGTTTTCAGTCCCCCAGGAATACTCCTAGGAATGCTCTCTGTGCACTTTTGATGGGAATTTCAGGGTCTGAGAATTTTGTAGTGTTCAGTTGAGGCTAAAAGGGATACTAGGCCAGAGACAGATGATTGTGAGCTATATGGTATACAGAGGGTTGAAGGGGGCAGATAGTGAAATAATCGGGTCTTCCTATGTGCCCAAATGCCCAGGGTACAAACACCTTCCCACCTGGAGGACCTGACTGTTCAATTTTTAAGAAAATCTGAAAGTAACAGCTAACACATACCTGTTTGTGTGGTCCTATATGCCCAAGATTCCCATATTGCCCTCAAATTTTAGCAAATGTCTTATTAAGGCATGGAAGATGAAAAGGGGAAATTTTCATGATAACAAAGATAGCTCTTAGGAAAGAAACCAGAAATGGGGTAAAAAGCCAGAAGGGGAAACTTGCCACTGTTTCCTTCTGAGAACAGTACAAATCAGAGGTGGCCAAGGTATGGCTGAGCACAGAGCAGGGCCTCTACACACTTACTCTTGCAGAGGCCCGAGTCCTGGTAAAATGATGACAAGCACTGCTCCACGCAGGCCCCATCCTGGAGAACATAGCCATCCATGCACTGCAGGCAGTCTGTTTTCAGGGGCCCACTGCATGCACTGCAGCTCCAATCACACTCTAAAAAGAAAGTCTGCATTAGATTATCTTCCTTTCTGTCCACCCTCAGACCCAGCAGTTCATTTATGAGGACTCTGTCTGCAGCTGCAAGGAGTAAAATAAGGACAACGTAAGAGATGTCAGATAAGTAGGCTCAAATGAGGTTTCCACTTGTAGTAGCCTGAATGCTTCTCTGAGGTTTAAGTGTTCCCTAATTATGTTAGACACGGACATGTACAAGGAGCACTCTATGCTTGTGCTGAGCCTGCTTGTTGGCAGGGCTGCTGAGAAACCAGATCACTCTGGTCTTAGTTCTTTATCCCTGTGCCATATCAAGTCTTCATGCAAAACCTGCCGCAGGGAGTGGCCAACTTGCCCCACAAACCTAACCCTGACTTCTTCCAAATACTCAATGCTCAATAGGTAAAGAGATGTCAGACACTCAACTAAGAATGCATCTGCTGCCACCAATAACACCAGCTGCATGGGTTTCTATCTCTCAAAACCAGGCATTGACCAAAGTGACAGAAAGAACCAATGATGTCAGAATTATATGGGGCATAAAGGTGCTGTCCAGAAAGAAAGAGGTTGCTAAAACAATAGAAGGTCTCATTTAGGCATTAGAACGGACTCAATTACATGTTAATTTGCTCCATAAGCACCTATGGGATAGTCACTGAACAGCAGGAGGGGGCAATATAAAGGTGGTAGGTGTAGAACTTGTCATCAAGGAGCTTATGTTCTAGAGGGGTCTAACCTTGAATGTGCATGCAAATAATCCAGGGGGGTTGTTAAAAAATATGGATTAGGCTCAGCATCAGATTTATCAAATCAGAGTCTCAGGGGTTGGGTTGGGGCACAGGAAAACATGTTGCTGCTGTACTTGTTATTGTGAATATTATAGTTGTTGCTGTTGCTGTTGTTTTTAATGGCCCAGGCAATTCTGACGCAGTCAGAAAACTCATGTTTGAAAGCCAGTGTTGTAGCTGGTAAGGGAAGTGCTACCTGCATGGAAGATGGGATGGGATAGCACAGTTAAGTGCATGGGTTTTGAAGAAAGGTAAGTCTGTATTCAAGTCATGGCTTTGCTACTTTTTCTCTATATTATCCTACAATCATGTTTTTATCTATATTATCCTGGTTTCTCACCTGTAAAACATGGGTGAGAATAGTACCCATTTCATAATGTTAAGAAGAATAAAATGTGAAGAATAAAATGAAATAATGAATTTAAATAATTTAGCACAGTGCCTGGCATATAGTAACAACTCAATAAATGTTTGCTGCTGAACTGTTTCTCTTAGAGAACCTATCTCCATTCAGGGCCACCCTCGATCTCACCTTCCATTCCTGCTAAGAAACTGGAGAAACCTCTCATTAGTTACCTTTTCTCTTCCTTGGTAGAATATTTCTAAGTCCCAAAGAAATCAGGTAAATGTGCAAGACAGTACACGTGCTTCCAAGATTTACAAAGTTAATCCTATTCCTTTATTTAGCTGAATCAGTCCTGAGGGAAAATGACTAAAACAGAGCCTTGAAAACTGCCAGCACAGTTATGAAATCATTTATAATGGAGTGGATTTGTGATAATCTTGTTTTTCACCACAAACTGACAGCTACTGGTTAGAAGGCAAAAAAAAAAAAAAACAAAAAAACAGAAAAAAAATTCTGTGGTCTCGAGCACAGCAGACCACCTAAGTTGACAACGAAGTAGAATTTCTTGGAATGGAAAGTGTGCAATTTTGCAGAGCCTTAAAGCATCCTAAGTTTACTTGACAGATGTTTGACCACCATATCCAAGCTCTAGCTTCTCTGCCAGAATCAGAGGGATAGAGAGAAATGTGGAAGGAGTCAGGAATGAGGAAATGGACAGGAGCAAGTAAAACCTGTTCTTTACCTTTGCTTTCCTGTTGCTGAGCACTACCATTCAAAGTGTGTAAGCCCCGAGAATTCCAACTACTGGAGAGCAAAGAAAAAGGCACTTGGCATTTGACATTATCTCCTTATAAATTTCCTTGAAGACAGGGACTACGTCTTCACTCATTTAAGTATGTTAAGCAGAGATGAACACATCAGACACGACTCCTGACCTTATCAAGCTTGGAGGTAGCAATCTCAAGTTGTAAATGCAAACACCTACAGCCCAGGAAAGTAATGTATCTTCAGAATAGGCCTTGTGTGATAGAAAGGGAATGGTGGGGACTGCTGAACTGAAGAGATCCTGTTCCATCCAGCAGGGACGACAGCTACACCGTTTCAACCTACGGTTGCACTGTCAGGATACATATCCAACATTACTAGAGCTTCACTGTCAGGATACATATCCAACATTACCAGAGCTTCTGGTTAAGAAAAAACCAACAACACTTGAAAATCTCAATTTTTGTATGTGAAATCTTCTGATTTTTAAAAGGCAAATAATTAAAGATTTTAAAGCATTGAAACATTAAGTAGACAAAGAAAACATGTCTATGGGCCATATATAACCTGAGGATTTACAATTTGCCACCTCTGGTCTTGTTATCAAGACGTGGCACAACATCTGACACAAATAGGTGCTCAAAAATATATGCTTAATAAGTAAATAAAGGAGTGAATTAATGAATATATACATACACACACAATTGTTGCTATCATCAGAGACAGTCAAAATATATGATGACTGGTGTTTTCCCAATATGGAAAACTAGACATCAGTAGTAAAGTGGTATCACTGTGTAAAAGAATCTTTACACAATTCAGGAAGAGCTTTACCTTTGCACGTGTTGGTGGAGAAGTCAAGATAGTACTGTGGGGCGCAGCTCTCGTATTGACATTCCCCAAAGAGCAGAACCTTGTTTGGATCTCGGCAGGAGGTACAGCTGGCCTGTGAATCACAGCTTCCACAGTGTGTGTTGCATGCTGAGCAGACAGGAAAAGAAAATGACCAGATGATTACAATTGCAAATACTGAAGCACTGATCAAACCTAGACAGATGTTGCATAGGAACAAAGCCTTGTTCCAACCTGCTCTACATTTCATTATGGCTCATAGCCCTCCCCTGTGATCAACAAAAACAGAAAATATTAGTTTCCGAAATAGAAAAGGGTAATCTTATTTTACAAAGAATATAAAGTGCAAACCCAATAATGGAAATCCCATATCCAAATTGCTCTGTGATTCAGCAACAGAATTTATGCTTACTCTAAGATCCCTGGAATTATAGTTCAGAACTTAAACCTTACTTCTTCAGGAATCAAGCCCCCTTAAGTTCATAATGTAGATTCAGGTTTTTGTGTGATGGCAACATTAAAATTAGGCACCAACTTTATTGGGGAGCTTGGGAAATCCCATACTTTAAGATACAAAGGACTTGAAGGTGAACTGGTTTATTGATTTGCCTAGTTACAACTCTTAGAACCCAGCCACATAACTCTGACATTCAGGGATGATCCCCCAATCTGGTCATGCTTCCATCTTCCCTTATTTAACAACTGGCATTTCTCCATCTACACAGTTGTTCATGCCAGAAACCTCCAAGTCTATCTTGACACCTCTCTTTCCCTGACTCCTAATCCAGTTACTCACTGGATCCTATTTATTCAAACTCTCCGATATAACTCTCAGAACTTTTTGCTTTTTTCCATATCCACAAATGCCAATATTTCTAAGCCATCATCATCCCCTGCTGAACTACTATCACAGCCTCCTAATTGGTTTCCCCATCTCCGCTCTGACCCCCTTGCAATCCATTTTCCATGCATCCACCAGAGTGGGTTTTAAAATTCATACAGCTCAGGTTTCAGAGTACACTTTCGCCTTCAAACTCAATGTCATTTTTCAATCCTGGAAAATTTCCAGCCATCATTTCTGCAAATATTGCTCCCCTACCATTCCCTCCATTCTCTCCACCTGGAAATCCTATTATAACATGCATATTTGAATCCTCTTAATATAATCTCCGAGTCTTTAACTCTTAACTCATTCTTCAGTCTCTTCTTCTGGGACCTTTGTTAACTTTCTATTCTAAAACAGGCCTTGCATTATAGCATGCTCTACATGTTTTTCATGCCATGTATAGCAATTTCCATTTGAGTGATTATTTGATTAACATTTGTATCTTTTAGGCTGCAAACTTCATGAAAGCAAATAACAGGTCTGTTTTGTTCCTTGTAATGTTAGTCAGCACCTAGCTGGTTATCTGTCATATTGTAGGTGTTCAATGAACACTTGCTACATAAAAGAAATAAAGCCAGATATTGCATAAGGTATATACAAGCACCAGCATTTCTGTCTCATTCTGAAATCTTCTCTAAGTACGTGTCAGAGGAAAAGTACAGAGAGAAACCCAGTGAGTTTTAGATCTATATGATATCAAAGTATATGGCACAGTGCAGGAAAATTACCTCCCTGAAAAAAAAAAAGAATGCTATTGTTTCACCTACAAAGAAAGACATTGTTATAAAACATTCATTAGAATATGCATATTGATAATTTAAGGTCCTGGGAAAATTCTAGACTGGATTTTCAGTTCTAATTATTTTCAATAATTAGAAAAGAATATTTTAACTGTTGTAAGCTTAGATGAGACCAAATTTTTATCCCTTTTTTTTTGCTAGAATTTTTATGCATGGTGTATCTTAATTTTGGCAAAGTGTTTGATAGAGATTCCAAAAATAAACTTGTGAATACAAAAATGAAGTGAGACCTACTAGTTGTAAGTGGATTTGAAGGTGGTTGAAAAGCATACTCAAAATATGATCAGCAAATCTTTATAATTGATAAAAATAGGTCCACAGCAGAGTATCACATTAATTAGGCCTTAATTTCTTACTTGATCAATATTTTTATCCATGACTTTAATAGAAACAAAGAAACCATGTCAATAATATTTAAATATGCCACATGCACCTATATAGAAAACATACATAGTTAAGTTTCACCAGCTGGAAGAACAACAGTTCAGTTACCTTAACCAGTTGAAATAATGAACCTACAGTAACCAAGTGAAATAAGCAGAACTCTAAGAAAAGTCCCGCATTTATGTTCTAAAACCAACTGTACAAATACAGGATGAAGAAGACCTGCTTAGATAGCAGTTCCTATAGAAAAAAAAAAATCTAAGATTTTTAGTCAGTAACAGTCTTGATAGTAACTAAAAATGTGATGATATGCAACATAAGGGTCAGCTGGTCCTCTTTTCTTGACATAGAGCTGCAAAATGAGGTCCCCGAATGCCAGTTCCCCAGCCAGGGGTCAAGGCCAATTTCTTGCCCTAGTGTCTGAGGGTTTCTTATGACTTACTTCCACCTGCCGCTGTGTTCCTGAATCTTCTTTTTTTTTTTTTTTTGAGACAGTTCTCACTCTGTCACCCTGTCACCCAGGCTGGAGTATAGTGGCATGAACACAGCTCACTGTAGCCTCCACCTCCCGGGCTCAAGCAAACCTGCTTCAGATTCCCATATAGCTGGGTCCACAGGCACATGCCACCATGCCCAGCTTATTTTTTAATTTTTTCTAGAGACAGGATCTCACTTTTTTGCCCAGGCTGGTCTCAAACTCCTGGCCTCAAATGATCCTCCCACCTTGCTCTCCCTAAGTGGTGGGATTACAGGTGTGAGCCACTGTGCCAGGCCTGAATCTTTCTACAAAGTACTCATTCCCCCGTGGAACCGTGATGTATACCTCAGCACCTTCACTCACTTCTAAAAGAAATGGATTCATGCTGAGCATTTTGAATTGCTGGAAGACTTTATGGAGGATTTGGAGGGACACAGTAGTGTCACACTGAGAAACAGGTGGCTTCCATGACTTCTTCCTCTTATCCCTTTCCAAAGTAATGAGTAAATGGCTGACCCTGTCTGACACAGAGCAGTTCTGTAGGTACCAACGTCCCTCGGGTTCTCAGCTTCCGTGGTATTACATTCAGACCCCACAAAGTACTTACTAGTACTGACGCAGACATCTTGGTGTGGCCACACCTGGAGTAGCAGGGGCAGTTCTCTGAGGTCAGTGACCCCCACAGCAAGTGCAGGAGGACAGTGAAAAAGTGGCAGAGTCGACCAGAAACCACTGAGGGAAGCTGGGATGTGCTGTAACCATCACATCTGTGATGTGCTGAAAGGGCAGAGGGACCTCACAGTGTGGGGGTTCAATCACCTTCTTAAACAGACTTGTTTTCTGCTGTAGGTCTAAGAAATGGTCATCCACTCCTACTTCAATACTCCATTGGCTCTGGGTCTACATGGCACAGAGATGTCAAGGTGGGGAATGACAGTAATTGTGTGAATGAAGGAGGAAGCTTATTCTATACCACTTTGGAGGCAAGTTCTAGGGCCAATTAAAAACAACTTTCCAACTACTCTAGCTCCCCAGCAGTGGAACCGGCTTTCTTCCGTGGAAGTCTGTGGGGGTGAGTGAAAAAGAGTCTCTGCACTGGTGCAAGATTGGCTTGAGTAACTCTGGAATTCTCCTCCAATACCAAAGCACTATGGTTTCAAGTACTCAGAACCTTACATATCATCTCTTTTTTAAAGTTCCTACCTCAACTGGTGACCCTTAGATTTTTTAATTCAGTTAATAGTACATCCTCTCGAAAGATTCCTATAACTAGAATATCTGGAAAGCTCTCCAGTCCTTACTTCCTTCAATAATTTGGTTATGACTGCCTCCCTTAATACTGATTACATTTCCTCAAAAGCCCTTATTGCAGAATTTCTAAAATTGGCAGGCCTATAATTGTCTATAATTATGAGTATTAGAATAGAGCGTGTTGAATCTTTTTTTTTTTTTCTGAGACAGACTCTTGCTCTGTCACCCAGGCTGGAGTGCAATGGCGTGATCTCAGCTCACTGCAGCCTCCGCCTCCCAGGTTCAAGCGATTCACCTGCCTCAGCACCCCCGAGTAGCTGGAATTACAGGTGTGCACCACCATGCCCTGCTAGTTCTTTTTGTATTTTTGGTAGAGATGAGGTTTCACCATGTTGGTCAGGCTGTTTTTTTTTTTTGTTTTTTTTTTTTTAATGTACTAGAAACTCAAATATCCCAACTTAGGAGCGTATTTTTTCAATCTCAGAATGAAATTTAAGGACTAAACTTAGGAAATTCTTAATCCAACTGAAATATTCTATGAAATTCTATTTACATGGGATCATAGCAAATGTGTTTGTGCAGAGGCCACCCTGCCCCAAGACAAAAACTTCCCAGAAGAGAAATAATTCAATGCAATGTATTTTTGTCACCTATACTTCATACAATGGATTCTATTTTTTCTTTTGAACTTTTATTTCTGTGATTCCACTGCTGTGAAGAGCCTAATAAATCTAAGTCACTATTTCTCCACCAGCACTCTCTTGCTCCTGAATAGAAGATGGAAGTATTTCATTCCTGTCTCTTATATTACAGAATCTACAGATTCTGGCAGACAGTTGATATACACAAAGCAAGGTTTTTGTTACAAAAGCAATCTTCCCACTAGCCCAAAAAAGTTTGTTTTTAGATCTCCAGTACCTCCACAGATGATGCAAAAGGGTGAGTTTCATATAACTAATGCAAATCTTTGCAAGGATCTCAATAAACTAACAGTAATATCTATCTTCCTATCTATAAAATAGAAATATCTTTACTACTTTATTTGCCTCTCATTTTAGATGATGATGATAAAAACAAAATAATCGTTAATCAATACTGACAACTTATTCTCCACTATGGTCTGTATTAAATGTAATAACATTAGAATGTAGGTATTGTTATTATCTTCCTTTTACAAAAAAAAGAAACTGAGGCCTAGTGGTTAATTGGCTTGCTCAAGGTCATAAAGCTCTAAGTAGCAGTTAGGATTTGAACTTCAATTCTCTGACTCTAGAGCCCACTCTCCTAACCACTACTCCACAATTCCTTCAGCATGGTACCCCTAGAACACACAACTGAAATACTACCACTATATTTGTTAACCATCATTTTCAAAAGTATAACAATTTTTTGTTTTTGCAAATGACACTTTGGTGACTGAGATAAAATAAGTGGCATCAGCCTATCATAAATGTTCCTTCATCTGTGAAGTATATCTTAATTTTTTTTCAGGCAAATTTACCCATTCCCTAATTTATCCTAACCCTTTGTGCCTGACTCAAGGTAATTAATCATATTCTGACTTACTTGAGAAATAAGACATCTATATAAGTAACTCCCATACAAGTCCAAATAACTACTGTTTGGGCAGAAATGGAATATTTCCAGCATGCAAAACCTTGTACACTGTCAATATTCACAAACACATGTAGAAAACAAATTAAATCCAGAGACGTGCTTAGTCCACTGATTGCATACTAGAGCAAGCTCCACTCTCTGCCTAGGGTCATAGAATGGGATTGCTGAGAAAAACTATAAAGATGAAACAAACTAACACTTTTATTTTTTAAATGAGATAACCTGGACAGAGAAGTTAAATAACCTGCCCAAGATCATACAGCTGGCATTTACAGAGGAGACCCCACCGCCAAGCCCAGCACTTTTGATTAGGCTGATATCTGAGCCATAATCTGCTAATGGCAACCTTACTGCCTTTGTAGATTGGTTTTCTTCCTTTTATAAAAATAAAGGCTACCAGGTGAGAAGATGGAAGTAAGAACCTCGCATTTCTTTCAATGGCTCCAGAAAGGCAGGAAAAGAAGGAAAGGAGAGAAGGTTCATTGGAAAAACCTACGCTGGCAAACATGATTGTCATCAAGATAGTGCCCAGGGAAGCAGGTGGTGCTGCAGGTGCCAGTGTGGGACAGCACGAGGTTGGTGTCACATGAGGAGCAGGAGAAAGGTCCTCTGCCCTGGCAGGTTCTGCAGGAGGAGTGGCATTCTGCAGAGGAAAAAGAGACACAACAGAAACCATGATGTCAGATTCTCTTCCAAAGCAGCACCCCAAGTGTGGGTAATAAAGTCCCAACACTGAGAACATTGGCAAGTCTGGTTTACAGTCCCATGGAAGTGGTTTACACTTCCTGCCTCCACTCTCTCTTAGGAAAGGTTGATCCTTCCCAGCTACTGCCCCAAGAGAACCTCAGGTGGCAGCTCCAGCTCCTGAGTCCAGCACTTACTCACTTTTACAAGCTCCTCTCTCTGCATAGTATCCTGAAGGGCAGTCAGGAACACAGTGGTCCCCGAGCAGCAGGTAGTGGGCATTCTGGCACCTGAGGCAGATGCTCCCAGTGTTGTGGAGATCAGCTGCACAGTGCTGGCACAGGTGATGGCAGTCTGGAGGGGGAAGGGGAGCACAGAGAAGGCACGGGTGCTCATGAGCACAAAGTCTCATCACTGCACAGAAGGGCAGAAGAGATTTCAATTACAAACACTGCAGCTGACAGCTGGAGAGTAGCCCAAAGGCAGTGTATATCAGTAAAGTAGAAGCTTGGGACCTGTACAAATTGTGTGTTTGAGGTTTTTAGCAAATGGCCAGGCCCAGCACAGTGATTGAGTTTTCATCCCTTTCCAACGGAATGACCTTTAGATACGAGGGTGTCACGTGATAGATACTTGCTAGGAGTATAGAGAGAACTTCCTGACTAACAGAAGCAGTAAGATAATACTATCAACATCTCCCCTGGGGGTCTGAGACTGGAGTGCAGCTTCCCCCAACCCCTTCACGGTAATAGAGGCAGGAGGCAGAGAAATTCTAGGTGGACAGGGCGGGTGAGTCCCTGGTGAAACCCCACCTTCACCATAAAACAACAACAAAAAACAGCCTGAAACCCATGGCCAAAAGTCCAAAGTAAGTACTTATATTCCTGTTTGCCTGCCCTCTCCCAATTGGTTCTTTCTGAATCATGCCTTTTTACCAATTGAATGTTGCTTTTTCCAAAACTACCTATGGTATGCCCCACCCCTATCCTGTGCCTATAAAGATCCCAGACTCAGTCAGTAGAGGGGAGACAGCCTGACTTTGGGGAAGAGACAACCTGATTTTGGGGAAAGACGACCTGTCCTTCTCGTCCCCTCTCCAGCTCCACTCTCTTCTGAGAAATGTTTTCATCACTCAACAAAATTCTCCACTTTCACCATCATTCAATTTTCTGTGTAACCCCATTCTTCTCAGACACCGGACAAGAGCTTGGGACCCACCAAGCGCCAGTACCCAGAAAAGGCTGTCACACCAGCCCTTTGCCCTCACCAGCGGAGGGAAACCACCCCAGCAACAAGGCAACACACCACCTGGGTGCCACCATGTTTCCCTTGAGGCAACATGCCTGGTTTGGCTGCAGGCCCCCCATGGAGCTTGCTCTTGTGTCAATGCCCGGAGTGGCCAGCCAGATCCTGCACTCACTAACATACATGCTTTCTCCTACAAGGGGTTGAGCACAGCAGGCTGAGTAAATGAGGTGCCGCTGCCATGAGTCCGGCAAACAAGCTGAGAAAAATCCTGCATCAACAGGGCTCCTGAGCCCTCTGCAAAGCTCCTTCTCACAGATTTGGCCTTCCAGAGTCAGTATACCAGTCTCAGCCTTCAGTATGAATGGACTGAGGTTAGTAAATAATTGGATTGAGTTGCTGGAAAATTTTGGTCTTTAACTGGAGATAAAGTTATGAAGAAGAGTTGTGAGTTGAAAAGTCATTTTTATGACCCAATACATAGTGCACAGTAGCTCTGTAATACCAGTTGGGATTAAAGCTATAAAACAAATTATTTTGTCCAGACAGCCCTGTCTCTTGTTCTCACTCACATAATAGTCATTCTTTAATAAAGAACTTGATTGTGTTCAGCTTCCTTTGTAGGTGAAAACTTCCTGCTTTCAAGTGGTAATTACCCTTTAAGTCCCATTTATCATCCTTTAACCCAAAGGCAGGAGAAAACCCACGAATCTCAATTTACCCACCTCAAATGAAAAAGGAGTAAGATCTAGAAAAGAGAAAAGAAAGAGTTCTGGTTACGGGGCCTTCCCACCTTCCCCTGTAGGATTCAAAGCATTTGTTTGTACTCGCTAATGCACCACCCATGGCCCCAAAATGTCTTGTTTCATCTCAACGCTTGTAGTAGAGATTGTGATTTCTAGAAAATCCATGTTGGTAAAACAGATTCCTGCCCCTGGAATCTGTTAAAAACAGGTCTTTCTCTGTACACTGTTGGTGATCCTAACTGTTGATCATCTGGATGTGTTCCCTGTACACGAAGCAGATCTCCCTTTCATGTCCAGTGCCCACTCATCCACATGAGAACCCTTCAGAGGACCTTCATAGCCACCCCAGAAGTTAAGCCACAAGAGTCTGCCTCAAAAATGCTGATTGTTTTGGCAACATACAAACTAACAGTCTCAAACCTTTCTGTGAACTTTGGGAGTTACAAATTACAAGCAGCCTTTTGCTAATATTAGGAACAATTCATGATATCCTGAGACCCAAATTAATCCTCATTTCAGTCCTTCAGTAAACTACAAAGGAAATTATGACTGCATTGAGGGAAATATGAGAAGGAGACTACTTTCCCCAGATTTGGTGTATGGTTTCCACATAATGCCAAGCCCTTTGTTCTCTCTTCCCTATGCCTTCCTTACAGTGCCAGGAGCACAATCCCAGCTGTGTGAAGGGAAATTTAAAAAGCTTCAAAAGTTGCAAGAGCAAATGAAGGTGATAGTGTTTTATGACTACCTTAACAAGTGGGTAAATGTTAGGATTGGAAACCTAGGAAACACTACAGATTCAAGGCTCCGTTATCTGAAAAGCCATGGCCTATCCTCTTTAAAGCAACTTCTTTCAGAGCTTTCTGAACTTGGGCATGCATCACCAAGATCTGCAGGTGTTCAGTGGTCTAAAGACTAGTTGCATCTAACAGATGCTTTCTCTAGCATGCAATTAGAGAAACATAAAAGAATAATTACCAAGGGGATGCTTTCAAGAGAAAGTAAGCAGACCCCTATAGTATTTTGTGGGTACAACAAATAAGTAATTATGGATTTATCTGATCTTGGGATCTCTGTTTAAATAAGGAGTGTAACGTGTGTTAATTATTCTAAAGGAAGCTGGAGCCAGGTTATGGACATTCCTTCCCCCTCACCCAGCAGTGCTTTTCAACCCTTATTACTCTTCTGAAGTCACTACCCCACTCTGCCCGCCCATTCATGCCTTCCCAGGTGATCTCATCTACATCACTAAACAGAGCATGCTGGATTCATTCCTTTCACCTCAAAACGTCTATCTATTCCTGTTTTTATTTCATTTCCTCCCTTCTCCCAGGATAAAATGGCTAATGCCTACACCTATATTCTTGATCCAATTTTCAATATTATTCCACCTGTTTTCCCCTATCTCTCTTTTCAACCTTAACTTCCAACTATGCTCTCCATTGCCTACTGTCCTAAAAACTTTTCTCTACAAACAACTCATCTCTTGCCTTCCCTTAACTACCCAACTTCCTTGCCTCTCTAACTCCTCACTTCATTGTAAATCTGTCTTCAAAATATTTTACTGTGGTATTGCTCTTGAAAAGGTCTCTGATGGCCTCTTAAGGACCAGATTTAATGGCCTCCTCTAATTCCTTATCCTACCTGAAATCTCTGCAACACAAGGCACTGTTGACTGAGCAGCCCTCCTTCTCAAAACTCTCTCCTCTCAGCATGAGTGACACAGGTGCTCTTCTTGGCTGGGTTCTCTTTCTGTGCCTCCAACCGACTTATAAATATATGGGTTCCTCACAGCCTTTAACTTTTTCTATCCTCCTAATCAAGTCTCTGGAGTTCTCAAACCAGACATGGCGGTTTGGCAGATTTGGGTACACAGATGCCAGAAATCAATGGAAAGGTCTGAAGAGTTGGAGAGACTCTGAAATTACTCAGGGCCTCTGCTTCCTTCCACAGCTCCATGTTAAGCCATAAGAAGGCATCAGATCAGTCCCCAAACATATACTGCATGATGGAGTGAGTGCCCAGAGTCAAAGGAGAAATCAGTACATGACACCTGAAAATATAAAATGATCAACTCCAAGTTGCCCAATACATCACATTTATCCAAGTTAGTTTATAGTTCTACCTCACACAGGAGATTACAAATACTCGAGTGTGCAAAGTTCAACTCTCTAACTCTTTTTGTTCACTACCTGTATTCATTCTACGGTTTAAAAAGTCATGCTGAACACCCACTCCTGTGAATAGACTCATTCCAAAGCAACAACCTGAGTGGGACCCATGTTAATCCACTCATGCAAACTTTCCTTCCCAGCTCCATCATATGCAATCCCCCAACAGAAGACCAATTATATCATTAGGCTCTCAAGGTTGGTTGACTGATTTTTATTAAATCAAGCCAAAAAGAATAATAAGTCCCCAAAACCTAGGGAACACTTTTGTCTTCAGAGGCTTGAAGTCAAAATCTCTTTGTAGGAGAGAGTTTCTTGGGAGACCTCAAAATGAGTAACGATCTCCACGGAAAGAAGCCAGAAATCAGAGCAACAAGGGCTTGAGGATTAATACCAATGTTCTGACTTATAACAGAAAAGTATAGTTCCCTAGGGCAGACTACAAAACTCAGGCAAGACAGGCTACGAGTAGCCGACCCCACAGGGCACCACCTGTGAGCAGGCTTCAGGTACAAGCCCGGGGATGCTGTGATCTACACAGAAGGGCTGAGCAGGTTCAGACAGGGATCTAGAGGTTTTATTTTTCTGACTACAAAGTAAGCCATGGAAGAGAAGGAAACATGAAAAATATTTTTACAAAGTATAAATAAGCATAAAAATCACCCTCAGCATGGTAGTTCGGGGTCAATAACTACTAACGATGACATTTTTTCTTTTAGTGCTTTTTCTATACAATTTTACATATAGAGATTTTTACATAGATTAGATTAAATTAAATGTGGACACTATAGTACCTTTTTTACTCAATATCATCAGCATTCCCACATGTCATTAGGGACTCCTGTAAACATCATTTTTAGCAGCGACATCATATTCCAGTATTAAGTAAGCAAACAAAAAAACTGCCATTTTTCTTACAGTTTGAATATTTACTTATAATTTGTCTCCATTTTTATAACTAAGGCTATGATAACACTTTTGTGCATAAATCTTTGTCTGCATCTCAGATTATTTCCTAAAGGACTATGTTGAAAGGGTACAATTCATATTATTATTATAGTTTACATTTACTGAGCTCTGAATATACATTGGGCAAAATATTAATTATTATAAACACATAATTTCATTTGAAGAGAAAAAGTAGGCACTGTTATTATCCCCATTTTATAAATGAGGAAACTGAGACTCTGAAAGGTTAAGTCATTTGCTTACACATATCATATATAGACTAAGTCCAGAGCATAACATTTTAACCACTACAAGCATGAAAAAAATGTAAAATTCTTAATTGATATTATAAATTTCATTCCAGAAAGTTCCTATCGACTTGTATTTCAAGAGCCATTTATGAGACTGTTTCATCATAATTTTACCAGCACTAAGAAATTTAAAAACAGTAAACCAACCTTGGCTAATTTGGTTGGTGAAAATCGGAGTTGTCATTGTTTTACTTTGTGTTTCTTTTATTATAAGTGAGGTTAAGTATGAAAAGAGTTTTTTTTTCATTGAAACAACAAAAACATTCAAATGGCTACTATACTCCTATAATTTTCAGCATGGTGGGGGAAATGATTCTGGATGTATCATTTTAATTGAGTATTTAATATGCACAATCAAATAATAAACTGAGGTGTCAATCAGTGAGTTCCTTCCTCATCCACTGTCACCATCCCCCATTGGACCAGGAAGCATGGGGTCATCATGTGTTCCCAAAGCTATCAAAATCAGACCTACAAAGACACTATACTTATAGAACCCAGGGCACAGGAGATAGAAAGAAAAAAAATTGTCTTTTTTGTTTGGTAAGACAAAGTGTCCCTCTGTTGCCCACACTGGAGTACAGAGGCAAAATCATATCTCACTGAAACCTTGAACTCGGGGCTCCAGGATCCTCCTGCTTCATTCTCTTGAGTAGCTGGACCTATAGGTGTGTACCACCGGGTCCGCCTAATTCTTTTATTTTTCATACAGACAGGAGTCTCACTATATTGCCCAGGCTGGTGTCAAACTCCTGGCCTCAAGCAATCTTCCCTCCTTGGTTTCCCAAAGTGATGGGATTACAGGTATAAGCCACCTCACCCGGCCGAAAAAGTTCTTTAATGTGCATTGGAACTAACAGACCCAGGCCCCCCACCAACACAACCCCTACACTCTCCATCTCCCTACCCCAACCTAAAAAACCTTCAAACTGAAGGGGAAGAAAAAGCAGAGGAACCATTCCCTTTGCTCCTGCCTGCCCCTCTTATGGAACAGGTTGGAAGTAACCCAGTAGAATGTTCAAGATTCCAATAGTAGAGTGGGCTTGGGCTATGTTTCTTGCCTTCAAGAGGGCTGTCTCCAAATTTTGTCATGGGGACACAGTGTGCTGAGCAACCTGAAAACATGGTGGACACTGAGGTGGAGGACTGGCATGAGACTGTTACAAACGTCCTGTAGAATGCTACAGGGATAATGATAGGGTGCCATGAAAGTACATAACAGGGGTACCAACTTAGTCCAAGGGCCAGGAAAGACCTCCCAGAGGAGGCTGAGACAAGAACACTGGTGGCAGTTAGCTGCAACAGGAGCAGGGCAGGGGGAGAATGTTTGGAAAGGGTTCCAAGAGGAGGGAAAGCTTAGGCAACCCAGAAGTTGAACAGAACAGGATGCCTTCAAGGAACTGAGAAAAGTTCAACATGGCTGGATCTTAAAGAACACACAAAAGAGCCTCTCGGTACCTGGGTAGGCCAGTTTTGCAAGACATTGTAAGTCAAGAAAAGAAGTCTGGATTTTATGGTAAAGGCAATTGGGAATCTCTCTCTCTCTGTCTGTGTGTGTATGCGTGTGTGTGTGTGTCTTTTTTCAGTTTATTTACCAAGGTCTCTGTGTTTTTGTTATAGATTTAAATGAGAATTTTTTTTATATGAAAGGCAACTCATGTTAGGAGAAGACATCAAACCAAAGCAGAAAACTAACAATCTAAGAAAACTCTGACATACAACAGCTCTTGCCATGAAACCCTTGCTGGAGGAGGAAAGCAGGCTCCTAACTGTTCTCTCCCCTCCTCCCCTCCATTGCATCTGCAGAAGCCCCTTTTCTGCCAAAAACATCCCTCTGCTGAATTGTTCTCAAGGGGCTTATGCTGGAGTAGGCATATTAAGAATATTATGATGCAAATACATGAAAACTATTGTGACCAGGAATGGAGATCCTTGAGAAGGAAGAAAAACACACTTGTGGTTTCTCTTTGCATGACTGGGGAAGACCTTTTCACTCATGGTCAGTTCTCAGAACTCCTTTTAAAAGGAAAACAAAGTGGAATTTGGCCAAATCAGTGGTACCGAGTAGGTAGCTCCCACACAGTTGTTAGAGGGGGGAAAAGGTTATTGGAGTAAAAATACTAGGAAATCATGGAGAATTTGAAGGCCCACGAAAAAGGTCAATATGGGTTGCATCACCTGGTTTTCAAAATCCACTTCAGGCCAGGAGAAAAAGGGTGCTACTCGGCTGCATGTGTGACAATTTCCAACTGTCTCGTCAGTTACAATTGGAGATAATAAAGAGACAGAACTACCCCCGTGGCCAGCCAAATGTATTAATTATACAATCTAAACATAATTAAGAGGTGGTATGAGCCCCACATGTAGGCACCGTGGGAGGTAACTATGTGACCCAATAAACTGCTATGACACCAGTCATTTTACTCACAGTAAAGTCTATGGGCATATTTTCTACAAACTAATCTGATTGGGAGGCAACTCGTGAATTCTTCTTATTTGGTGGTAACCGTCTGATGAGCCCTCTAATTCAGATCTTTGATGGGCCCACACCATAGAAGCACATCTGTCAGAAACTGTGTCCTTAAAATGGCAGCATCCTCAGAGAGACCAACAAATTCCAGGGTGAATTCCCCCTAAAATACTCCAGTCTGCCTTCCATGCCTGTTCCTGCCCACAGGTGATACTGAAAACAATTTCACAGGACACAGTAGAGGAAGTGTATACGGTCACTGTTTAACTTGTATCAGACTGCAATTACTAAAATAAGGGAATTGAATTTCCAACCCACCACTCTAGCAGCTTCTGCAAGGATTAATGTCCCATCCAAAAAGCCCCATCTGTGCAGTAAGGCATCTGCATCTGACCTTCCTGCCTGTAATCAAAAAAAGGCAGGCTGACCTCAAATATGTTTAAATAGGGAGCGTGTATCCGTTAATTCCTTAAAAACAGTGCCTATTCTGGAGCCTGTCTCTCAGATTCCTCCCGCTACTACTCAGCAAGTAAATTCTTGTTTGTCACTATTGCAATTACAGTAGAGTCTTTAAATATAAGACTCATTAAGAGTCACAAGGAAAGAAGAGAGGCCCAGGATACATTTATGCTTTGGCTGTTTCAGATTACTGATGTATAATAAGTATGTGGGGGGAGCACAGATGGAATTCCAGTTGTTTGTATATGTACCTCCTTGCTAATAAATGCAGTAAATTAGCACTGTAAACAAGCAAATTAATAAACACATTACAAGGTAGCCCGAAAATGGAGTATTAGCTCCAGCTGAAATAAATGCATTTATTGTTTTTAAGCAAGCAGAAGATTCCAATTGTTTTCTAAATATGCACAGCACGTAGACATGCTAGAAATTTAAACAGATAAAAATATTAATATTTTGACTCAGCAGCTGTAGAATCCTCTAATATGTCACCCTGCAGCTGTGAGGAAATTGCATGTGGTCATCAATATGTGATGCTTTCTTCAAATCACAAAGGCTCTGCTTCAAGGATCAGTGAGGATTACCCACAATCATGACGGATGGAAGCACATGGCAGTGAAATAATTTATTTCACATCTTTGGATCAAAATCAAAAAAGCTTGAAGATATTAAAGTAAATGTGTACTGTCGACGCAATGGCTTTGGATGTTGGTTTTATGGAGCAGTGACTCCTTAGCTGATAAATAATGACCTATAAAGACAAATTTAGACACACAGTGAGATTTTTAATAATGTCCTGTCAGTCCATTAGGTTCTTAATGCAACGACATTAAGTGTATTTGGAAGTGGTCAAAATAATCAGCACTTGTAGCTGTTCTTCGTCAGGTGAAAAAGAAATGATTTCATGCCAAAACTCAGGGCCTTTAAAGGGCATAGAATTTGAATTCTAATGCCACTTTTAAAATTGATGGGTTTCTGCTTGTGAGATAAGTATGGCAGGAATCCAGAAAATAACATACAGATGACAGAAGAAAAAGAAGCATCCTATCTCTTTCCCTTTTGATCATTACTTTGTGCTCAGCCCACCCGTAAGCTGTTACAAATCATGTA
Source organism: Homo sapiens (assembly GCF_000001405.40). Lineage (NCBI taxonomy): Eukaryota > Metazoa > Chordata > Mammalia > Primates > Hominidae > Homo > Homo sapiens. Next base: position 78,354,406 of record NC_000004.12, on the reverse strand, counting down.
TTCTCTTTAGAGGCTTTGAATTAGTACAAAAGCTACAAAACAAAACAAAACCAACCAACCAAATGAGACTTCTTTCTTCAGTGTCTGTGGCTATTGTTTTACTCTTAAAAAACTAACCAAATAAAACACGACAACAGAATGACCTTCATGTTATAGGGCAGTGATTTCTACCCAGTGTAGACAAACTCACCAATGTGTTGGGAAGGCTGCCGTAGGAGCCGAGGAAACAGCTTGAAGTGGGGAGGGTAAGGGGAGGTGGCGAGTGGCAGTGTCAAATGTAAAAGCAAAGCTCTAGGTTTTGGTGCCAGCTTGCACTGCCAACAACACGTCATGAGCATCACTCTTACCATGTATCTTGAAGCTTTTTTTTTTTTTTTTTTTTTATTTTATTTTTTTTTTAATTTTTTTGTTATACTCTAAGTTTTAGGGTACATGTGCACATTGTGCAGGTTAGTTACATATGTATACATGTGCCATGCTGGTGCGCTGCACCCACTAATGTGTCATCTAGCATTAGGTATATCTCCCAATGCTATCCCTCCCCCCTCCCCTGACCCCACCACAGTCCCCAGAGTGTGATATTCCCCTTCCTGTGTCCATGTGATCTCATTGTTCAATTCCCACCTATGAGTGAGAATATGCGGTGTTTGGTTTTTTGTTCTTGAGATAGTTTACTGAGAATGATGGTTTCCAATTTCATCCATGTCCCTACAAAGGACATGAACTCATCATTTTTTATGGCTGCATAGTATTCCATGGTGTATATGTGCCACATTTTCTTAATCCAGTCTATCATTGTTGGACATTTGGGTTGGTTCCAAGTCTTTGCTATTGTGAATAGTGCCGCAATAAACATACGTGTGCATGTGTCTTTATAGCAGCATGATTTATAGTCCTTTGGGTATATACCCAGTAATGGGATGGCTGGGTCAAATGGTATTTCTAGTTCTAGATCCCTGAGGAATCGCCACACTGACTTCCACAATGGTTGAACTAGTTTACAGTCCCACCAACAGTGTAAAAGTGTTCCTATTTCTCCACATCCTCTCCAGCACCTGTTGTTTCCTGACTTTTTAATGATTGCCATTCTAACTGGTGTGAGATGATATCTCATAGTGGTTTTGATTTGCATTTCTCTGATGGCCAGTGATGATGAGCATTTCTTCATGTGTTTTTTGGCTGCATAAATGTCTTCTTTTGAGAAGTGTCTGTTCATGTCCTTCGCCCACTTTTTGATGGGGTTGTTTGTTTTTTTCTTGTAAATTTGTTTGAGTTCATTGTAGATTCTGGATATTAGCCCTTTGTCAGATGAGTAGGTTGCGAAAATTTTCTCCCATGTTGTAGGTTGCCTGTTCACTCTGATGGTAGTTTCTTTTGCTGTGCAGAAGCTCTTGAGTTTAATTAGATCCCATTTGTCAATTTTGGCTTTTGTTGCCATTGCTTTTGGTGTTTTGGACATGAAGTCCTTGCCCACGCCTATGTCCTGAATGGTAATGCCTAGGTTTTCTTCTAGGGTTTTTATGGTTTTAGGTCTAACGTTTAAATCTTTAATCCATCTTGAATTGATTTTTGTATAAGGTGTAAGGAAGGGATCCAGTTTCAGCTTTCTACATATGGCTAGCCAGTTTTCCCAGCACCATTTATTAAATAGGGAATCCTTTCCCCATTGCTTGTTTTTCTCAGGTTTGTCAAAGATCAGATAGTTGTAGATATGCGGCATTATTTCTGAGGGCTCTGTTCTGTTCCATTGATCTATATCTCTGTTTTGGTACCAGTACCATGCTGTTTTGGTTACTGTAGCCTTGTAGTATAGTTTGAAGTCAGGTAGTGTGATGCCTCCAGCTTTGTTCTTTTGGCTTAGGATTGACTTGGCGATGCGGGCTCTTTTTTGGTTCCATATGAACTTTAAAGTAGTTTTTTCCAATTCTGTGAAGAAAGTCATTGGTAGCTTGATGGGGATGGCATTGAATCTGTAAATTACCTTGGGCAGTATGGCCATTTTCACGATATTGATTCTTCCTACCCATGAGCATGGAATGTTCTTCCATTTGTTTGTGTCCTCTTTTATTTCCTTGAGCAGTGGTTTGTAGTTCTCCTTGAAGAGGTCCTTCACATCCCTTGTAAGTTGGATTCCTAGGTATTTTATTCTCTTTGAAGCAATTGTGAATGGGAGTTCACTCATGATTTGGCTCTCTGTTTGTCTGTTGTTGGTGTATAAGAATGCTTGTGATTTTTGTACATTGATTTTGTATCCTGAGACTTTGCTGAAGTTACTTATCAGCTTAAGGAGATTTTGGGCTGAGACGATGGGGTTTTCTAGATAAACAATCATGTCGTCTGCAAACAGGGACAATTTGACTTCCTCTTTTCCTAATTGAATACCCTTTATTTCCTTCTCCTGCCTGATTGCCCTGGCCAGAACTTCCAACACTATGTTGAATAGGAGCGGTGAGAGAGGGCATCCCTGTCTTGTGCCAGTTTTCAAAGGGAATGCTTCCAGTTTTTGCCCATTCAGTATGATATTGGCTGTGGGTTTGTCATAGATAGCTCTTATTATTTTGAAATACGTCCCATCAATACCTAATTTATTGAGAGTTTTTAGCATGAAGGGTTGTTGAATTTTGTCAAAGGCTTTTTCTGCATCTATTGAGATAATCATGTGGTTTTTGTCTTTGGCTCTGTTTATATGCTGGATTACATTTATTGATTTGCGTATATTGAACCAGCCTTGCATCCCAGGGATGAAGCCCACTTGATCATGGTGGATAAGCTTTTTGATGTGCTGCTGGATTCGGTTTGCCAGTATTTTATTGAGGATTTTTGCATCAATGTTCATCAAGGATATTGGTCTAAAATTCTCTTTTTTGGTTGTGTCTCTGCCCGGCTTTGGTATCAGAATGATGCTGGCCTCATAAAATGAGTTAGGGAGGATTCCCTCTTTTTCTATTGATTGGAATAGTTTCAGAAGGAATGGTACCAGTTCCTCCTTGTACCTCTGGTAGAATTCGGCTGTGAATCCATCTGGTCCTGGACTCTTTTTGGTTGGTAAACTATTGATTATTGCCACAATTTCAGAGCCTGTTATTGGTCTATTCAGAGATTCAACTTCTTCCTGGTTTAGTCTTGGGAGAGTGTATGTGTCGAGGAATGTATCCATTTCTTCTAGATTTTCTAGTTTATTTGCGTAGAGGTGTTTGTAGTATTCTCTGATGGTAGTTTGTATTTCTGTGGGATCGGTGGTGATATCCCCTTTATCATTTTTTATTGTGTCTATTTGATTCTTCTCTCTTTTTTTCTTTATTAGTCTTGCTAGCGGTCTATCAATTTTGTTGATCCTTTCAAAAAACCAGCTCCTGGATTCATTGATTTTTTGAAGGGTTTTTTGTGTCTCTATTTCCTTCAGTTCTGCTCTGATTTTAGTTATTTCTTGCCTTCTGCTAGCTTTTGAATGTGTTTGCTCTTGCTTTTCTAGTTCTTTTAATTGTGATGTTAGGGTGTCAATTTTGGATCTTTCCTGCTTTCTCTTGTAGGCATTTAGTGCTATAAATTTCCCTCTACACACTGCTTTGAATGCGTCCCAGAGATTCTGGTATGTGGTGTCTTTGTTCTCGTTGGTTTCAAAGAACATCTTTATTTCTGCCTTCATTTCGTTCTGTACCCAGTAGTCATTCAGGAGCAGGTTGTTCAGTTTCCATGTAGTTGAGTGGCTTTGAGTGAGATTCTTAATCCTGAGTTCTAGTTTGATTGCACTGTGGTCTGAGAGATAGTTTGTTATAATTTCTGTTCTTTTACATTTGCTGAGGAGAGCTTTACTTCCAACTATGTGGTCAATTTTGGAATAGGTGTGGTGTGGTGCTGAAAAAAATGTATATTCTGTTGATTTGGGGTGGAGAGTTCTGTAGATGTCTATTAGGTCCGCTTGGTGCAGAGCTGAGTTCAATTCCTGGGTATCCTTGTTGACTTTCTGTCTTGTTGATCTGTCTAATGTTGACAGTGGGGTGTTAAAGTCTCCCATTATTAATGTGTGGGAGTCTAAGTCTCTTTGTAGGTCACTCAGGACTTGCTTTATGAATCTGGGTGCTCCTGTATTGGGTGCATAAATATTTAGGATAGTTAGCTCCTCTTGTTGAATTGATCCCTTTACCATTATGTAATGGCCTTCTTTGTCTCTTTTGATCTTTGTTGGTTTAAAGTCTGTTTTATCAGAGACTAGGATTGCAACCCCTGCCTTTTTTTGTTTTCCATTGGCTTGGTAGATCTTCCTCCATCCTTTTATTTTGAGCCTATGTGTGTCTCTGCACATGAGATGGGTTTCCTGACTACAGCACACTGATGGGTCTTGACTCTTTATCCAACTTGCCAGTCTGTGTCTTTTAATTGCAGAATTTAGTCCATTTATATTTAAAGTTAATATTGTTATGTGTGAATTTGATCCTGTCATTATGATGTTAGCTGGTGATTTTGCTCATTAGTTGATGCAGTTTCTTCCTAGTCTCGATGGTCTTTACATTTTGGCATGACTTTGCAGCGGCTGGTACCGGTTGTTCCTTTCCATGTTTAGTGCTTCCTTCAGGAGCTCTTTTAGGGCAGGCCTGGTGGTGACAAAATCTCTCAGCATTTGCTTGTCTATAAAGTATTTTATTTCTCCTTCACTTATGAAGCTTAGTTTGGCTGGATATGAAATTCTGGGTTGAAAATTCTTTCCTTTAAGAATGTTGAATATTGGCCCCCACTCTCTTCTGGCTTGTAGGGTTTCTGCCGAGAGATCCGCTGTTAGTCTGATGGGCTTTCCTTTGAGGGTAACCCGACCTTTCTCTCTGGCTGCCCTTAACATTTTTTCCTTCATTTCAACTTTGGTGAATCTGACAATTATGTGTCTTGGAGTTGCTCTTCTCGAGGAGTATCTTTGTGGCGTTCTCTGTGTTTCCTGAATCTGAACGTTGGCCTGCCTTGCTAGATTGGGGAAGTTCTCCTGGATAATATCCTGCAGAGTGTTTTCCAACTTGGTTCCATTCTCCACATCACTTTCAGGTACACCAATCAGACGTAGATTTGGTCTTTTCACATAGTCCCATATTTCTTGGAGGCTTTGCTCATTTCTTTTTATTCTTTTTTCTCTAAACTTCCCTTCTCGCTTCATTTCATTCATTTCATCTTCCATTGCTGATACCCTTTCTTCCAGTTGATCGCATCGGCTCCTGAGGCTTCTGCATTCTTCACGTAGTTCTCGAGCCTTGGTTTTCAGCTCCATCAGCTCCTTTAAGCACTTCTCTGTATTGGTTATTCTAGTTATACATTCTTCTAAATTTTTTTCAAAGTTTTCAACTTCTTTGCCTTTGGTTTGAATGTCCTCCCGTAGCTCAGAGTAATTTGATCGTCTGAAGCCTTCTTCTCTCAGCTCGTCAAAATCATTCTCCATCCAGCTTTGTTCTGTTGCTGGTGAGGAACTGCGTTCCTTTGGAGGAGGAGAGGCGCTCTGCGTTTTAGAGTTTCCAGTTTTTCTGTTCTGTTTTTTCCCCATCTTTGTGGTTTTATCTACTTTTGGTCTTTGATGATGGTGATGTACAGATGGGTTTTCGGTGTAGATGTCCTTTCTGGTTGTTAGTTTTCCTTCTAACAGACAGGACCCTCAGATGCAGGTCTGTTGGAATACCCTGCTGTGTGAGGTGTCAGTGTGCCCCTGCTGGGGGGTGCCTCCCAGTTAGGCTGCTCGGGGGTCAGGGGTCAGGGACCCACTTGAGGAGGCAGTCTGCCCGTTCTCAGATCTCCAGCTGCGTGCTGGGAGAACCACTGCTCTCTTCAAAGCTGTCAGACAGGGACACTTAAGTCTGCAGAGGTTACTGCTGTCTTTTTGTTTGTCTGTGCCCTGCCCCCAGAGGTGGAGCCTACAGAGGCAGGCAGGCCTCCTTGAGCTGTGGTGGGCTCCACCCAGTTCGAGCTTCCTGGCTGCTTTGTTTACCTAAGCAAGCCTGGGCAATGGCGGGCGCCCCTCCCCCAGCCTCGTTGCCGCCTTGCAGTTTGGTCTCAGACTGCTGTGCTAGCAATCAGCGAGATTCCGTGGGCGTAGGACCCTCCGAGCCAGGTGTGGGATATAGTCTCGTGGTGCGCCGTTTCTTAAGCCGGTCTGAAAAGCGCAATATTCGGGTGGGAGTGACCCGATTTTCCAGGTGCGTCCGTCACCCCTTTCTTTGACTCAGAAAGGGAACTCCCTGACCCCTTGCGCTTCCCAGGTGAGGCAATGCCTCGCCCTGCTTCGGCTCGCGCACAGTGCGCACACACACTGGCCTGCGCCCACTGTCTGGCACTCCCTAGTGAGATGAACCCGGTACCTCAGATGGAAATGCAGAAATCACCCGTCTTCTGCGTCGCTCACGCTGGGAGCTGTAGACCGGAGCTGTTCCTATTCGGCCATCTTGGCTCCTCCCCTATCTTGAAGCTTTGTATCCAATTTATGTTTTACTCAGTTTAGCTCCACAAAAGAAAACAGTTCACTTCAATTAACATTTATGGCAAGTCAGCTGAGTATGAGGCACTGTGGAAGGTAATATAGGATTGAATCAGACTTCAATCCTTCTCTCAAGATGCTTAGGAAGGGATGACCAAAAAAAAAAAAAAAAAACACACACACACACGCACACACATACACACACACACATACACATCCCAAATGCAACAGGTGTCAAAGAAGGATCAGAGAATATTTTATCCAAAGTGAATAAGAGGAACTTGAACTTGAGTGCTTATTTGATGTTTGCAGATGGTGCCAGTTGAGGACACCCTTGTTAGAAGGGAAGAGCATGTAACAGCACAGAGGCACACAGGAACAGAGCAGTGTGGCGTGGGGAAGAGAACCAGCATGGCTGGAGCTTTGGACGTTCACTCAGAAACCAAGGAAATCAGGGACCTTGAAAATCAGGGTGAAGGATTTACAGCTAATGCAATGGGCAATGGGAAGGCATCGACAAGTTTTCAGTGTCAAAGAGTGTTTTATAAACCAAAGTTGATATTCAAGAAAAGTTCTCCTCCCTCGTCTTGGGAAGGACTAGGAGAGCTTTAGTGAGGAAGACCCTCTAGCAGAAAGAGAAAAACGAGGCTGTCATCTAAGAAAGAAGCACTTAGGGTTTTTGCAGCAGAAACAGAGATATGCAGTATCTATGAGATATGGCAGTGATTGCAATATGGAAGAGGGGTTGTCAAGAAGCAAAGGTAACTAAATGGTTTTGAATTGTGCCAATTGAAAAATCAGTAGTGGGTGGACAAGGAAGTCAAGAGAAGGAAGAAAAGCACCTGTGGAGGTGGGAGGGATGAAGATGAAGGGTTTTCTTTGCAGTTTTCCTGTGATCAGATGTCCAGCAGGAAGAGAGAAATGAGGATCTGGAGGGGATTATCACATGCACTTGGGATGAAATCTAAGGAGAAAATAGAAATGAAGATTTAAGCTGTGAAAGACACAAGGGCCCTGGAGGAAAGAAGATGGGAGAGGAAGAGGAGCAGGAAAAATGAAGAGAAAAGGAGGGAGATGAATCTGTAAGCAGAAGAGGAAACACCTGAGTGGAGAGATCAGCTCAGGAAGGCAGATGGGCTCTGGGACACTGGGGGAGGAGCTCCCCAGGGCAGAATGAGGGAGCTCCTTTCTCAAAGGAAGGAAAAAGAGGTAATAGAAGAGAAAGATTTGAGGAGAAAAGATGAGGTTTGTTTGTTTTGTTTTATCAGATAATATAAATCTTCTAAACAAAAAAGAAAGCAGAGTTGTAGACTGAGAGTGAAGAGAGTGTGTAGGGAGTGCGTGGGAAGGCCATGAGGGTCAAAACCACAAAGCATCAAAAGGAAGTGAATAAAATGATGTCGAGAAGCAAGAGAGGGTCTTATGGAAACTAGATCAGTGATGAAGGCTGATGACACAGTGATCATATATGTGCCCTCTGAAGTGCGCTCCTTGGATTCAGAGCCCAGCTCCAGGACTTACTAACTGTGACACGTTGGGTAAGTGGGTTAACATCTCTAATCTCATCCTTAATCTTATCTTGGCCTGTAAAATGCAGATGGTACTAATCACAGGACCAACTTCCTGTGCTTGCAACCAGAATTAAATGACATAATATATGTGATGAACTGGCACACAATGAGTGTTCAATAAACATGAGTTATTAGTGGGCCCAATCAGAATCAACATTGACGCTGATGCTCATGTTTGCAATCAATTCACTGTTTTTACCTATTAAAAGTAAGCCACAGAAATTCACAGGTGTGTAAAAGCAGGTAAATGTAGCCTTAGCAGTTTTGCTACCTTCAGTACTGAAGAGGATAACCTGTAAGTCTCAATTCAGCTGTGTTCTTTCAACATACACCCACAAAAACTTTCTCTGCAATTCAAGCCCTGACCTATAGTTGTTAGGAAGAAACAGCAATACTGACTTTGTTGGGAGGTTTTACAAGCTGAAAGCTTACAAGTAAGGTCCTTCTCTCATTATGAAAGCTAGAGAAGGTATTGTTTGGTAAATGTCACATGAAGGAGAAAATACAAGATTTTTTTTTTTTTTTTAATTTAGGAAGGACTCAATTTAAGCATAGGTCATGTTCTTTTTTCCTAAAAGGAAAAGCTCAAAAACATAATAAATGCCTTGAAATATTCAATCACCCCTTTGCAGAGAGATTGATCTCTTAAATAAAACAAAATTTGAGAGAGCAAGAAAGACAATCATTGAAAGTTCTGTAGAGAGGGTGGATATGCAATTCATGATTCAAGCAATAAGAGATAGGGTGACAAGATGAGAAATAAGAAAAGAAAGTGCATTACAAAACACAAAAAAAGAAGATAAGGAAAATAAAGAAGCAAGTGTTAAAAAAATAGAAGACACGAGCAAATTGAAAAAAAATACAGAGATAGAAGAACAGGACTAGAAGGAATAAAGAGGAAGTTGAAAAAGAGGAGATAAGAACCAAAATATGACTCACACTAAGAAGAAAGATCCTTGTCATAATTATCATATGAGGCATCAGAAGAGGATTAGATATGAGGACAGCTGATTCAAGTCCTTAATTCTACCCAACAGTTCTTGAGGACCATCCAAGTGCTAGCTTGGTACTCTACTGAGTCTTAATTCACCAGTCAACAAAATGGGAATTACCAGCATTTCCAATTCTTCAGGGGGGCTTCCGGGGATGATTAAAGGAGATCCATAAGAAAATGCTTTGAAAATTATAAAACTTTATAAACACACCATTACTAGTATTAATAATGACATGAAACACATATCTAATCATAGCTGTAGCCTTGGAAGTCATGGACCAACAAGTAAAACTATCTCCTGCTTTTAACGGCCCAGATCCACAACAGGAAAATGGCCAAATTAAGTTACCCAAACACAACGGAATATGACTTAGGCATTAAAAATGACAATTATGTAGATTCTTCCAATATTTGCCAACATATGGAAATACGTCATTTAAAGTGATATTTTAGAGAACAGAACAAAGAAATACCATAGCTGTTGACTACAACTGAAAACAATGCACGTATGTATGTATTGGAAAAGATTAAAGTAAATGTGGAGTGAAATAAATTATTAAAATGTAGTATGCATTAACGTTTTTCTTTGAAGTTTATTCATTTAATAAGGATCAAATACAATGGAAACGCATGTACATGTGGCAGTCTAAATCAGCTTCCTTAGCATTTAAAACAGACCAGCAAGTTCGTGCAATGTTTCCCAACAGTGCCTCTCCGAGCCACTCTATTTATCACACTGACTTTTAATCCACCAATCAAGTAATCCACCTACCAATGCACTTTTTAATTCACCAACCAAAAAAAAAAAAATCATTCTTGAGCCCCGATTGTGTGCAAGCAATTGTACTTGCATCATGGAGTACAAAATGGTTGAGTACTCTGGAATCACATTCCAGACTCTGGAATCACATTCCAGACTCTGGAATCACATTCTCTGGGTTCAAATCTCGGATCAATCATTCCTGACTTTTATCATTTGGAGTCGGTACTTAACCTCTGTTAGACAGTTTCAGTCTCCTTACATGTAAAAATGGGGATAAAATTAGTACCTACCTTCGAGGATCATTGCGAATGTTAAATGGTAAAATGCATTCAAAGCAATTAGCACAGCACTTTTCATATAATAAGCCCTCAGAACTGGCACCTATTATTAGATACCCATGAAAAGATCACTCACAGAGAACGTGAGCTGATCAAAGCCCAAGTGCTAGGTAAATGGTAGAAATAATCAGCATACTAGAAATTCTAACAGGGGAGATGCCAAGCAGAAGCTGGTCCTGGAGGGGAAGGAATCTGAACCAGGCATTGAGGGATGGATGGGTAGGATTTGGTGATCAGGGGAAGGAATCTGAACCAGGCATTGAGGGATGGATGGGTAGGATTTGGTGATCAAAATAAGGCAACAACAGCTACATGTTTAAAGTTTATGGCTCTTTTCTTCCTTTCCATTTATAACTGCAGAAGCAGCCACAGCAAGATATAGGGCGGTGCCAACCCACCTCCCCCGCACAGTAGAAGCTGCTTTAAAACAGAACTGGCTCTCACTTCTCTGGCTTCCAGTCACTGTGTCTGGAGGGGAGACAGAGAGCTGGTGCCCTGGCTCGTACCAGGCTCCCTCCAGGGTTCTTAATTATGTTCAACTTAAACTGGGTTTTCCCCCCTGTTATTCAGTGCTGCAGTTGTATCAGCTTATTCCAAAATAAAGATGTGTTGCTCTTTAAATTTGAGCAATTTTACTTTTTCACCACATTTTTAGTGCCCTTCTTTCAGAAATGGTGACAATAAATGGGAAAAATCATGGAAAGGACTCAAAAGTGTTTATTTATGATGTGGAAGAAAAATGTTAACAGCAATGCTCTTCAGCAGGCAAAAGGGTGGCAAACCCGCACCTCCTTGCGTGACCTCTCTGCCTGCCCACAGAGAAAAGAAAGAAGGTAGGGTAGAAGAGAGAGAGAGAGGGAGGGAGGGAGGGAGGGAGGGAGGGAAGTCAGTTGGTCTACAACCTGCATACAGGTTCATGATTTTCTTTTACCTTTATGGGGTGCAAACCAATTGTTCAAAGTATAAATATCAGTTAGTTAAGGACTCCAAAATATTGTTCTGCATATCACTGGCTAACCCTGTAAGAGGCTATAATAAAGGGAAGGGGTCTTCAATTCAGTGCTCGGGAAATGATGTTTGGCCATCTTCATCTTAAAGATTCACAGCACACATATGCATTTTTAAGGTTCTCAGAAATCCTGCAATAAAGAAAGTTGCTTACCTTTATGTAACCGAGTCAATCCCAAATTTATCTGGCCAGGAGGTTTTTTTGTTTTTGTTTTTGTTGCATGCAACACCTATTAACCATTGTTTAGAATTTGAGTTCTGTGGAATAGGAATACAGTATGAAAATACTCAAAGTATATTTCTTTACTGATATTTGTCTTCTTTTGCTCACATTCTCACACAGATTTGTGGAAAGAGCAAACCTGCATTTAAAAAAATACTTCATAAACAATAACAAATTTTTAATCCCCCAGACTTTCACTACCCAAAAAAAACTATTTTAATTTTTCAGGTCTTCCCCTCTGCAATATTACCCTTGATATTATCTTCTTTCTACATAAGAACTCAAAAACATAGCCATCCCATCAGGCAGTCCACAAAACTCAAAGCATTGTTTAAAAAATGCATCTGCATGTGGACATTCCCCCGCCCCCAGGTGTTTATCTGTTTTCCTTTTAATTCTTACCCTATTCTATGAACAAGAGGAAGCTTTTAGCTGAGAAAGAGAAATGCAGAAAGCACCTCAGGCTTTGGAGTTTTCTGTTAATGTTGTTGAGATGTGGGCAAAAAAAAAATTTTTTCTAATCTATGACAAAAGAAAACCTGGCTTTCCATATAGAAAGTAACTGTGTCTCCCGCAATTATGCACAGCTGCCTCTCACCTCAGTTCATTTATCTTTGTTGAAAACCTGCAGCTCTGGCCTAAATCTCACATACTTTATATTTGCTTTGATAGACTTGGAGGAAGAAACCCCACACATATGACATCTCCATATGTGAGACACACTGAGGTTACTGGACCTGCTCCCAGGATGGGTTTACTCTTGGCGGTGTGCTGGATTTGATGTCATTTTCTTTTTTAAACAGCTAAGTACAATTAAGAGGTCTCCAAGTCAAATAGAGAATGCATCCTGAGAGGAAACCCTACCACCCTGGAGGCGCTTGGACATACACGAAAGAGCAGGCAGAGAGGGTCCTTCTCCGGGACTTCCCATGAGCTAGGACTTCCCAAGGACACGGAGAGGATATTACATTGCCAGCCCCGCACAAGGTAGATTATCCTCGGCTTTGCCTGTCATCACATGGTTTCTCCTAACACCTTCCTGAGTTTAGATAAAAGTCACCTAAACATTCTATGAGGTTAACTATGACCTGACTGAGGCAATACTTTAGTTAAAAACAACTCCAGGACTTTAGGTTCAGGGCAACACTGAGAGAGGAGACAAGCTCCTAGTAGCTAGAGTAAGAAACCTGTCAATTTATACGTTTAACCTCCTGCTGGAGAGACACTCTGGGATGTCCAACTCTCACCCCAAATTGAGCTTGGCCAAATTCAAGCACACTGTTTTCCTCACTGCCTCCTAGATCTATTCCTACCCTTGGTAAATGGTATTCCCACCCCTCGAATTTCTGTGACCAGAAACCTGGAAACTATCTGCAAAGCTCCTTCTCCCTTACCCCCCAGGGCTGAGGGAGCACCAACCTCTGTTGCTTCTATTATGTTAAATCATATGAAATTGCCACTCAGACCATTTTTGCAGACAAAACAGCAATCTGAGATGAGCCAACCTAACATACTATTAATACCTGGTGAAATCGTGACCCCTTCTCTTTATCCCCTCAGCAACGTTCTCATTAGAGGATTTCTCTCATCTGGATTTCTGCAGCTACCTCCTAAAGAACTTTCTGCCTCAGTGTTTTCTTCCAAGCCATCTTCCGCAGATCTTTCTCTTCACAGAAATGCAGTCGCGACACTTCCCAGAATCTTCAAGGCATCCCCACGGGTGTACCAAGGCCCTACAGACCAGTCCTGCTCCCTCCCACTTCAAGTCTCACCACTGTCACAGGACTCAACTCTTTATGGGTGTCTCAATAAATAATCCTCTTTGGCCCATTTTCTGAAATGTTCTGCCTCCAAAGCTCCAAATTCCTCTAATTCTCACTCACCTTTAAAATCATCTCAGTTGTGACATCCTCCGGAAAGCTTTCATACCCACTCCACACACTCACATACACACACTCCAGTGTGGGTCAGGGTCCTGTTCCATGGGCTCATCTCATATCCTGCACTATGCACAGAGTACCACAGCAATATCATACTAAACACCCACTCCCTTCTGTTGTGGGCTGAATTCATTCTCTGAAAATTCATGTGTTGAGGCCATATCCCAGTACCTCAGAATATCTGTAGTTGGATATAGGGCCTTTAAAGAGGTAATTAAGTTAAAATAAGGATATTAAAGGATGGGTCCTGATCCAATGTGACCAATATAGTTATAAGAAGAGAAGATTAGGACATGCGGAGGGAAACAGGGGCACATGTGCAAAGAGGAGGCAGCAAGAGGGCCACCATCTACAAGCTAAGGAGAGTGGCCTCCGAGTAAGCCAAGCCTGCGGGCACCTTGATCTTGGACTTCCAGCCTCCAAAACTTGGAGAAAATAAATTTCCATTGTTTGAGCCACCCAGTCTGTGGTATTTTGTTATGGCAGCCCTAGCAAACTAACACTTTCATTCACTAAAGAGTCCATTTCTTGTAGGCAAGCTCCATATTTGATTTGTCTTTATATCCCCAGAGCCCAGTACAATGCCTGGCACAGAGCAAAGGCTTCATAAATGTTTGATGAATCTGTACATGAGTGAATGCATTGCAATGCTACAGAGAAAAGTAGAGGTGTTAGATAAGTCATACATTTAGTGAAAAAGTAAACTTTGGGGTCAGCACAGTTCTCTGAAAGTTCAATAACTGAAATTACTGATCAAACTTTTTTATAATAAATACTATTACACCAGTCTTTAATCAATAAATGATTTCTAAGCACCAGACAATGGTTACCTCATTTAAAACCATTACTTAATACACCTAATTCCCAGGACAGCCAAGATTTTCCTTTTCAGCTTATTTTGGTAGGACCTTCTCTTCTAGGGTTGGGGGCTTCCAGAGTTGTTTAGCTCAGTCCCGTGATTCTCCTTCTAAAGGTTCCCTATTAGCCTTAAAAAATTAATGCAAGTCCTAATCACCTAATTTACTATCAAAGAACACTCTGGACATTAGAACAGAGCTCATTAAAAATTAAATTTTTCTAATCTCCTTATATAAACATGTATTTTTTAAATATGCCCTAGCATAAAATTTTTAGGGCCCACATTCAGAGTTACATTTTAAATAAAAAAGCCATCATGAAGGATATAATTCAGGTCCTACCTTCTAACTCTTCTCCCTGACTCTAATCTCTCCTTATGTTAGTCCATTTTCCATACAAGTTGCAGATTTCTTGCCTTAAGACACCCTTAGTCAAGCTACAGTCCTCTCCAAAACTCTCATGGCCCTATTGCTCACAAAATCTAGTCAAAACTTTTTGGCCTGAAACTTTGAACTTTCTATACTCTGGTTTGAATCTAAATTTCCCAACCATTTTAACTAATATGCTTTAATACCAACCATGTTTGTCACCCAGGTTAGAGGACTCACTAGTCATGAATGGCCCACGTGCTATACCTGCTGGGCCTGTCTCCTGGTGAAACCATGCTCAGAAAGCCCACCAGATCTCCCTCTGTCTCACAGGATCCTGGTTATTCTTCTGGAAATATTTTGGGTTCCACCCCCCCGCATAATGCCTTCCATATCTTGTTACTTCTCCCTACCTTGAACTCCTACAGCCCTTATTACTGGTTGGTGTTACTGTCCCTAAATTGCTTTGTACCATTTGTTAACTACACTTGTGTCTTTGGTTCACCTCCTTAAGTAGCCTGGAAGACCTCTGTATCCCCCTCAAACATCAACTTGGCACCTTGTGCTCAGTGAGTTCTCAGTAAATATCCACCAATACGCTTTAGCCACGTAGGGAGCAATTTAATTCTCAGAGTAGCTGCTCCTCCATATCTTAAAGTGATAATAAGTAGCTAAACTCAAACATGCAAACTGTAATAACAGCCCCTTCCATCCCCAGATTCTCTTTCAGGGATGGGCACTACTATCTCCCATTTTTCCCACTTTCCAAGACAGTCCTGACTACGACTAACATCACTAGCAATAGACTCACATCCTACAGCTGATAGGAATTCTGATTAGTCCAAATCCTGGACTCTGAATTTCCACTTTTTGTTGCACCTAAAAGGCTTGCACAGTCTCTACACTTGGGCTTCCGCTCCGAATCCAGCATTCTGGGCTGCAGCCCTGTGCTTGACAGTTTGGTTTTCTTAGGATATAGACCTTAATACCAAAATGTCTAGTCTTTAATGTCATATGCAAAAATAAATGGGTCACCTGGACCATGGCACCACCAGCCACAGGGAGCACAGCCACTGACTTGCTGTGCCCCGCCCCACCCTCAATCCACCAGACCGAACAGCCGAGATGTCAGCGCCATCCCAGACTGAATGTGCCTGCTGGATACTGTGATCTAGACAACTGGCCATGCCTCTTCCCTGCTCCAGAACAAGCCTGACAGCCTGGTCAACCTCTCAGCACACTTTCTCACCTTTCCCATTTGCCCAGTAGCATCCCAGGATCTCCCCAGTTCAGCCCTTCTGAGCTGAGGCAACAGCTAATAAAGGAGAAGCTCTGCAAGTTTTTCCCAGAGTTTGAAAAAGTGGATCAAGAAATATACAATAACCCATTACCCAGTAAATTCCCCTCCCCAGTCTATAGGCTCTTTGGTGGTGGAGTCATTGTCTCCTTCATCGTTTTCCTGTATTCTGAGCATCTGACCATTAGTAGGCACTCAAAAATGCACATTTGTTGTCTGAATAGATAGATGAACATAAATGATGTCTGGTTCCAACATTATTCAAATTTCAGACTGCTTTCCTAATTTTTTTTTTTAGATCTGAGTTCTAAAATGAGGAAGAAAAAAAAAATCCCATCTCCTAAGGCAACTGATCTACTTTTAGGTTAATCTCTCTAAAATTTTGTGTCTGGGGCTGATGGCAAAGATTCTCCACAACAAGAAGCAGGACAAAATGCAGACAAGAGAAAGGAAGGCTTGGAGTGACTTATTTTCAGAACACTTTTTGCTATCTTAAGAAGTTTTGAATGCATATAAAGGTGCTATTATCATCACTTCATTCTTCATTAATATGAGAGTCTGAGATTTTCAGGATTTGCAAGAGTATTATTAGAAGTTCTATTTAAATCCACAAGTATTTACTAAATGCCCAAGGAGAAGCAGTAACATGAGTTTCCAGACATGAAACAAATGTCTCCTATAAAAGAGCTCATAAACTGAGGACAAAGAGCCCCCTTAAGCCTGGTATGAAGAGCCCCGGCAGCTGCCCAGTGATTTCCGAGGAGTCCACAGGAGTTTCACTCACCAGCACAGTATCCCACGAGGTTGAGGAACTGCTCTTCCCTGCAGCTGGTCCTGCAGTTACCATTGGTAAGAGAGATGTGAGGGTAACAGGAGATGCAGTCAGACTCCAACGGCCCATGACACTGCCTGCAGGTTGGGTGACACTCTGGCAGGGGGACGAAAACCAGGATTGGAATTAGCAGCTCAGCATGTATATGCGTGAAGTATTTAATGCATTCCACAAATTACATTAAAAGCAGACCTCCAACTCTAATCATCTTTAGAAGATTCCTGAGCAAGCCGGGCACACCCTTGGACCTGACCTAGAGACTGCATTTCTGATGTCAAGGGCAGTACTGTCCATGAACACAATATGGAATCTAGAACTATAAATATGTGAGAAATCGGCCACACATTCCAGAGAGACCAGCATGATCATCTCCATCTGTGTAAGTAAGGAAGTTCAAATCATAGTCACAGAGCAGAAACACGAGTGGTAGGACTCCCTGACCCTAACATACCATGACTCAAAGAATGAGTGGGACAGGGAGAAGAAGGGGACATTTTGCTTCTCAGAAATTTCTAGCAGATGAGGGGGGAATCCACACACAGCAAACTATACTGCAACTTCTCTCTAGAGTCAGGCACCATCCAGACACTCCCTTCAAGCCACTACCACTGGGATGCTTATTTTATCAGCAATACTTAATTAAAATACAAAGAACAGAAAAAGTCCTCTTTCTGGAGGTTATCGTGAGCTGCCTCTGAAGTTCAATTCCTTAGAGACAAAGTTATGCCAAAGCTATGTCTTCTCCAAAAAAACCACCAAATTAACAAGAGATACAACACTGAAACAAACCAAGAGAGTCACGGTAAGGTGTAAGCAATAAGGATAAGGGTGGCAAAGAATCAGAGGCGGCTGCAGCTGCAGCTGCATTGACGCTGCCAAGGGAGCAGCAGGAGCAAGCACATGGAAGCAGATTTAAGAACTTCTCTGCCAAGGACAAGGAGGTCTAAGCAGGTCTGAGTCCAAGAGGAGGGGATGTGAAGGGCTGGAGCTGGGTAGATTTTGCAGGAACTGATGAATTCCCTCCTGGCACGTGGCTGGTGGGAAGCAAAGGCACAGATTTCAAGTAAAGCCTCTGGATTCTGGCAAGAGGCCAAGAGAAGATAAGGAGTTATTTAAGAAAAAAAAAAAGCAAGCAAGCAAGAAAATAAACTGCTGATTAGAAGGATAGCACTCTCACCCCTCCTACATTCCTGAGGCTCTCAATGTTGAAAGCACCTATCCAAAAGACATAGCATTCTCTGGATGATTTCCAACACCCAGTTCTTCCTCCCTATCAGAATATTTCCAGTGACCTGGGTGCCCTGCTGCTTATGGTACCATCCATCTGCTGGCTCCCAGCGGAAAGAGGCATGGACAGAGAAGAGCTAGATCTACCCAGACTTTCCTCCCCTAAACAATTTTATACATACAAAAACCAGCTGGGCTAGGATGAAAGCACCTAAGGATAGAAACAGCTCTCAAGGGCAATCCTAATGACAAAGAAACCAGGAACATTCCCCCACTGAGCTTGACAGAGTATTTAAAGTAAAGCAACTCACCAGGGGACTGCAGAGATTAAAAAGACAGTTAGAAAAAGGCAAAGAATTCCAGAACAAATATAATATTGATCTTCAATCATCTAAATTTGTGTTCATTCTAAATCACTTCTTTGAAGTTTAAGGCTAGATGAATGTAACAGATATTAATTTATTTTAAAAACATGTCATAAGTTTATTACATTTACTGACTCCAGAAATTCATGTAATATAATTTCATATCAGTTGGCTTTTTCCTATCAGCAGGCCCCAACTGTCTATTTTTTAGAAATAAAAGAGAAATCATGATAGAATGTTTTTTTTCCTGTATATACCAAAAAAAAAAAAAAAACCACCACACACGGTGCTACAATAAAGTCCTTAAATTTTAGTACTGTGTCAATTCCAACAAAATTCTGTACTAATCCCAACTAGTGATTTTCAAAATCTCTGTCACTAAAACATAAAGGTGATCTTAAAAAACATACTGGACTGACATGTTAAAGAAGGAAATAAATACCTCCATCTCCTTTTGCTCTATTCTGCTGTAGCCCGGGGAAAGTGGGGCTGGGAAGTGCACAGTTACCTGTGCCAAATTCTTGATTCCATACAAGTGCATTAACACCCAAGGTAGCTTGTCTCCATGATGAAGATAATCAAATCCATCCCTAACTGTGTGCATAAGCCATTCCTCCACTGAGAGGTGTATTCTGTTCCTTCACCCGCTCAAATATGGGTTATCTTGCTTTGACCAACAGAATATAGCAGAAGTGACAGTGAGACTTCTTAGGTTAGGTGATAGGCAGCTTGCAGTTTCTGCTTAGGTCTCTTGAAATACTCATTCCAGGAGAAGACAGCTGACACATTAGAAGACTGACTAGCTGAGATTGCCATGCCATGAGGAAGTACAATTAGCCACGAGAAGAGGCCTCATAGAGTAAGAGATTGTTGACCAACCCAGGTGACAGACGTCAATGAAGAGCCCACCTGCAGGATCTGAAGAAAGAGCTGCCCAGCAATCCTCAGAACTGGGAAATATAACAATTGTTGTCTTAAGCCACAAATTTAGGGTGGTTTATTAGGCAATAATTGACAACCAGAGCAGTACCTCATTAAGAGGGAGAAAGTAAAAGATCGCCCTAGTGTCCTCAAGTGTCCCAGTTGCCAAATTTCATTTCTTATGTGAAAAGAAATGGAGCCAGATACAGTGACTCACACCTGTAATCCCGCGATTTGGGATGCTGAAGAGGGAGGATTGCTTGAGGCCAGGAGTTCAGGACAAGCCTGATAACAAGGTGAGACCCTGTCTCTACAAAAAATTTAAAAAAAATTACTTGGGCATGGTGGTGTATGCCTATAGTTCCAGCTACTTGAGAGGCTAAGGTAGGAGGATAACTAGAGCCCAGGAGTTCAAGGCTGCAGTGAGCTATGATCATGCCACTGCACTCCATCCTGGGTGACAGAGTGAGAATCCATCTCTTAAAAAAAAGAAAAAGAAATAGAATAATATGCAGCCATGAAAACGATAAATATACACACACGTATCTGTACATATAACATTTTATCACATAGAAAATTGCTTATGACAGCTGGGCATGGTGGCTCATGCCTGTAATCCCAGCACTTTGGGAGGCTGAGGCGGGTGGATCACGAGGTCACGAGATCACGACCAGCCTGATCAACATGGTGAAACCCTGTCTCTACTAAAAATAGAGGAGTTAGCTGGGTGTGGTGGCACGCACTTGTAATCCCAGCTACTCGGGAGGCTGAGGCAGAAGAATTGCTTGAACCTGGGAAGCGGAGGTTGCAGTGAGCTGAGATCGTGCCACTGCACTCCAGCCTGGTGACGGAGCAAGACTCCGTCTCAAAAAAAAAAAAAAAAAAAAAAAAAAGAAAATTGGTTATGACTTTATGTTTTGAAAAAAATATTAAAAAGTATAGCTCTAATTTATTCTCAATTATGTAACAACATGCATAAAAAGTAGATCAAAAAGGAATCTATCACCAGGGTAATATTTGTTGCTTCTAAGATGTGGCATAATCAGTTATCTTTATCCCCAAACCCCCATTTATTTTTCCTATTCTGAACTTTCAATCCTTCCACAATGAGCACATATCTTTTTAATAATCAGAAACATAAACTTTTAAACTTTTTTAAAAAGCCACAGGCTGGGTACAGTAGCTCACATCTGTAATCTCAGCACTTTGGGAGGCCAAGGTGGGAGGATCACTTGAGCCCAGGAGTTCATGTCTAGCCTGGGCAACACTTTTTCCACAATAAAAAATTAGCCAAGCATGGTGGCACATATGTATGGTTTCAGCTACTCATGAGGCTGAGGTGGGAGGACTGCTTGAGCCCAGGAGGCCGAGGTGAGGTTGCAGTGAGCTGTGATCACACCACTGCACTCCAGCTTGGCAACAGCAGAACCCTATCTCTCTCTCTCTGTCTCTCTCTCTCTCTTTAAGCCATAGCAACAAAGACTTATGCTGAACTAAGTTCTAGTTCTTTTAGGAAATAAAGGTCATTATTTAGTCCACGACAGGATTTATTTATTCAGATCATTGTCTTCCAGGCAAGAGAAAACCAAGTTCAGAGTTTATTCAAATATTATAGTTTCTAGGGTAAAGCTGATTCTAATGTTTTATTTCCATGCTTCCTTACTGGAAGAGCTAAATTTCACTTGTTCCCCTCCCTCTATACTTTGAATCTGCAAGTTCAAGACAAGGATTTACAGCTGAATCTTAGTCCCCGGTATGACAAGGTTTCTAATTACAGTGTCTGGCTATGCTCTGAAGACAAAACATGGTCATAGGCAATGTGCCTCAGCACATTACATACTCACCTGTGCAACTACCTTCCTGGTGAAAGTAGCCATCTGGGCACTGGGAGAGGCACTGCCCATCCAACAGCACATGGGAAGGCCCACAGTCTGTGCAGTTATGTGGGCTTTTCCCTGCACATCTGAAACAGGACTGGTGGCAAGCTGGGGGAAAGATAAAGCAAAGGAGACAATCAGGAAAGCCCCACGTGACACAGACAGTAACTCTATCTCTCCCATTAACATTCCTGGGTCAGAGTATGTTCTGTACATTCACTTGGTTTTCCCAATGACAGGCTGCACATCTCACACACTTCCCTCTAAAGGCAGTCTCCTGCAAAGCAAGCATTTGTGGAACTCAGATTAAGTAAAGCACATGTGCCTCAAAACAGAAATAAACATTTACAGAATCATACATTTCTTGCTTCCCAAGTTCCCATTCTCAGAGAATGTCAAATAAAAAACAGGAAGCCAGAAAACAGTTCTCCCTCCCTTGGGACAGCTGTCTATCACTAGATACTCTGCTGCTTATCGGGTTGCTCAAATCAAAGGGAAAAGCTGGTGAGAGCTTCACTTATTGATTTCACATAGGTTTATAAAGTGCCTACGCTATGATGGAGACTGGGCATACACAGATGAGAATTGCCCAACATGTTGAGCTGCTCAAACTAGTTGCTACAACAGACACCCAAGCAAGCTACTGAAATAGAATGAATGAAAGAGTATAGCACAGAGAATAAGAGCATCACAGCATAGCTCTATGTGACTTTGACTAACTCATTTCTCAAGGCTCCTGCTTCCTCATCTATAAAACAAAAATCCAAACAGAACATACTGCATGGGGTGTTGTGGACACTAATTGGGCTGATGCATGTGAATTCTTAGGATAGTGCTGGACACGTAGTAAGGGCTTAATAAATCTTGGCTATAAGCATTAGCATTAAGTGCTATGTTAGAACAACCCACAGGTGAAAAGAGACTAAAGGCAAAGAGAAAGAAAACATCTCTGCTAGCTTTCATCAGACCTTTAATGATAAAGGGGATAGTTGCATGACTTCTCAAGGGTAGCCATTGTCTTAATCATGCCTTTTTATTTTCTATATTTTTGATTCTTTGACATCTGAAACCAAGCAGATTTTGGAGAGACTGGCCCTCCCGGGGCTACATTCCTGGAGATAGTAAATGATTTCCTTGGGAGCATGCCTTTCATATGCAAACTAACTAGTCCAGAACTCACACTCCCACCACCTCCCTTATCATACGCTTACACTCCAGGCTACTATTCTTCTGCCTTGGGGCCAGGTACTAGACAACTAGAGACAGTCTCCATACCTCACAGACCGCTGTAATTATCCCAACTAGCCAATCCTAAGCCTGCTTACCCTACTTCACCCATTCCTTTCTACTGACGTTAGAATAAAGTCTCTTGCCCATGTTCCCCCCATCACCTCTGCCTCCTGACTGACCCTCGTGCTCCCCTTTGTGGCCTTTTATGCTATGAGGTGCCCCTTCCTCTTCGAAGCTGTAACAAACTTTTCAATGGCAACAGTCTCCTGATCTTCTGGCCTCAACACATCGGAATAATAAAAACTACATGTTAAAACAACCAGCCATTTATCTCCAATCATTCATTTGTCATTGAGCCTCAAGTAGCTTCAAGTACTGGGGATACAATAATGAGTAAGACAAAGACCTGGTTCTTCATGCAGATAACCCCATGCATTTCAGGCCATCTTCTGCCCAATGGACAAGATCCACCAGACTGCAGAGACACCCTCTGAGTACATTCACTGTGCCTCAGCTGGCTTGGAAGGACCAGAAGTGATTTTTCACCACTGAGATCTCCATTGCCACCAACCCCTAATAAGATGTAACATAGAATCTTTAATATATATATGGAGCTAATGTTCAGCTGGAATGTCCTGGTTCGTCAGTACTGGTGGTTAAAGTATTGAACTACTTCCATGCAGGTTGGTATATGACTGTTGCCCTAAGCCTTCCAGTGCTCTGCTGCAGCCTTGACCCCACCCCTAGCACCCTGCCCCACTCATAGCCTGACACCTACAGGCTAATACCCATACCAGGAGATTCCCAGGACTCTGCTCCTGAACTGAGGTCAATGCCATTCTCACTGGGCAGTGCCCCTGCCTTACTGGTTAATAAATATTTGATCATCATCCCCGGATATACTACAGAGCTTTATTCAAGAGTATTTTTTACTATATGATAAACAGAACCTAGAGACCCATATTTTTAATTAACGTTCTTTTTCTTAAATTAAATTTTATTTTTTAAGATTATAAAACAGCCCTATTATCGGGGAATCTGCCCCGATATTCACATAGGTTCTTTTCTATTTTCCTTAAGCATCGGCCAGCTTGAGAAATAAAGGGACAGAGTACAAAAGAGAGAAATTTTAAAGCTGGGCTTCCAGGGGAGACATCACATGTCGGTAGGTTCCGTGATGCCCCACAAACCGTAAAACCAGCAAGTTTTTATTAGGGAGTTTCAAAAGGGGAAGGAGGATACGAATAGGGTGTGGGTCACAGACATCAAGTACTTCACAAAGTAATAGAATATCACAAGGCAAGTGGAGGCAGGGCGAGGTCACAGGACCACAGGACCGAGGCGAAATTAAAATTGCTAATGAAGTTTCTGGCACCATTGTCATTGATAACATCTTATCAGGAGACAGGGTTTTGCAATCAACCAGTCTGACCAAAATTTATTAGGTGGGAATTTCCTCTTCCTAATAAGCCTGGGAGTGCTATGGGAGACTGGGGTCTATTTCACCCCTGCAGTCTCGACCATAAGAGATGCACACGCCCAGGGGGGCCAGTTCAGAGACCCCCCAGGCGCGCATTCTCTTTCCCAGGGATGTTCCTTGCTGAGAAAAAGAATTCAGCGATATTTCTCCCATTTGCTTTTGAAAGAAGAGAAATATGGCTCTGTTCTGCATGGCTCACCAGTGGTCAGAGTTTAAGGTTATCTCTCTTATTCCCTAAACAATTGCTGTTATCCTGTTCTTTTTTCAAGGTGCCCAGATTTCATATTGCTCAAACACACATGCTGTATAATTTGTGCAGTTAATGCAATTATTACAGGGTCCTTAGGCAACATACATCCTCCTCAGCTGACAGGATTAAGAGATTAAAGTAAAGACAGGCATAGGAAATCACAAGGGTATTGATTGGGGAAGTGATGAGTGTCCATGAAATCTTCACAATTTATGTTTAGAGATTGCAATAAAGACAGGCATAAGAAATTACAAAAGTATTAATTTGGGGAACTAATAAATGTCCATGAAATCTTCACAATCCACGTTCTTCTGCCATGGCTTCAGCCGGTCCCTCTGTTTGGGGTCCCTGACTTCCCACAACATCTCTCCCCTTCTTTTTATATAAATGTGCCATGGCGATGAAGGCTTGTTCATTCTCTCAATTTTGACACAGGATTCTTTGACTGTTCCGGCACACTAAAAACAAGCTGATTAAACAGAGAAACATAATTCCAAAATTTACTACAGTGGAGCCCCCAATAGACTTAATCCAAGTCATGGGGTTTAATCCATAAAGATTTTCTGCCACCTGATCTAATGCCTCAGCTCCAGGCACAAAGGATAAGTGAGCTTGAGAGGCTTCAAAAATTTGTTTCTTTAATTTAGTTATGTCCAATGATAAATTATCTTCCCTACCTAGAAGGTGTCCTTTGACCATTTCCCATGAATGGTCAGTCTCGTTATAGGAATAGGTGATACAGAAATCCGAAGTATTCCAATAGCACTGCATTTGCATGTGGTACTCGAGACTCACTACCCCATCTCCAAGCCACATAACAGACTGTCTTAAATCATTAATTAGATTTGCCAATTTCTGATCGATGCCTTGTTGAGAATTCCACATTTGGGTGAAATTGGCTTGCCAATCATTAACAAAATGAGCCGTTTGAATGGATTAGTGTAATGCCATTCCGGCAGTGGTGGCCATTGCAGTGACTGTAATTAGGCCCATGATAACAGCGATTAAAGTGAAAACAAATCTCTTAGATCTCTTTAGAATTCGCTGTAGCACTTCATTAATTAAATGCATTGAGGGGGAGGATTTCCAAGGTCTAGGTAAAGTTACCGGAATCCAGATTCCTTCTCGAGCTCGAACCAACATTACACTTTTCCTGGAGTCAAAATGGGAGTTAATACAAGTGTATAGATGACAATTAATGCATTGGACAATTTGGTTATTTGTCCAAATTTTGATATTTCCTACTAACAGCATGTAAGGAGGCTTAACACAACTCTGGATGGGAACAGTCAGGTTGGAGGTAAGTAAAGCAGAATGTCTGGGTCTACGTTGATACTGAGAGAGTGGGATGGTAGTGGGAACAACAGTCAGAATAGTTTTTCCTTCCCATACTCGCAGTTCAGACATGGCAATAGCCAATTTCCAAAGTTCTGGGTGTTCTGGGCTCAGAATGGGGAGTATCATACGAGGCCTGGTGGGGGTAATGCCTTTATCTTCCCATTTTAAGGGAAAGAATGAGCTGATCCTCCTATGCAAAGTAGAATGATGATTCTCATTCTCCTGATAAGAAATAAAATAAGTAGCCTCCAGGCATTCCCTTCAGCCAGAGGAGCAATTATTTTTTAAGTAGCCCTTTGGTGCCCAGTCTATTACTAAACCGTATGAGTCATTTTTTAAAATTACTGCATGTGAGTTAACACAATCTTCCCAAATTAAAGTTTTAGATGGGCCCTCAAAATTTTTAGGGCATGGTTTCACAGTTAGGAATTTTTTCCCAAATATTTTCAGACTCCTTTTACAAAATGAATGAACTGATGTTTAAGAAAATATTATTATAAAAGAAGGATATACTTTAGCACCTTATTTAAGACATGTTTAACACAAAATAAAACAGTATGTAAAGGAAAGTGAGGTGGCAATGCTTTAAAACACAGCTAAATAATATTGTTAACACAAAGCTTTGCAGAATAATATGGGGGAAGCATCTTGAAGCAACAGATTTTTGCACACCTAAATATATGTCTGATGATACCATTAGGTTTATATCAGACTTTACAAGATTGCTAAAATCCCTAGCTCTTCCTGTTATACCTCCTTAATAAATAGGAAATCAAAGTGTATCACTGTGGAATTAAAAACTAGAGAAAGATTAATTAGTGCATTATGAGTACAAACATTTCATTTCATTTGGTCACAAAACGAATGTAATAGCCTTACTCAATGTGCACAAAGGTTATTTTTCAATTATATACAACAGGAAAGTAAAGAAGACAAACAAGTTGAAAGGCTTGTGGGCCAAGAAGTCCAGAAGAAAGTCCCTTTGCATCCACTAGATTTTAGAAATAAGCTCAATGAACGTTGCCATGACAGTCTTCAGAAGACTTCATTGGAAATGTTTAAGAACTAACTAGATAATGAACTAGTTAGTTGCTGTGGGTACAGAGGGAAAAGAATACGCTGGATGACAATCCTCTTAAAGTATCTTTTTTCTCTATAATGCTCTGTTTCTGCAAGTACAGGTGTTAACATCTGCATCCTTTAAAAAAAAGTCATGAAATTTCAATTCCGTGCTGGTTTTGGAAATATCGACACTATTTCAGTGACTTATATGAGGCTTAATCATTCTGTGGAAGCTGATTTCATAGCAGGAGTTCTGTCTGAAGTCTAAGATCCTTCAAGGAAGACTGAACCCATTACAGAGCATATATGGGAGATATCTGAAAGAAGTTCTATGAATAATTCCTCCATGCAATACTACATTTTTAGAGACTGCCTTTCCAGTTGATGGCTAAGTACATATATTTCTGAAAAAGCATAAGTGAGCTGCTTAAGCACTAAAAAGTGTCCTTAGATGACTATAAAGTCCAGCCAACCTGACTTCAGCAAAAACTGTACCTAAAATAATTAAACTTATCAATTTTTATTCATTCTATTTTCCATGTATATTTCAAACAACCGATACTACTATTGTTTTTCTTTTTAATGATACAACAAAAGTGATAAAGTGTCCCTACTTTCATATCATACAAAATTTCCTGGCTTTTCATGTCAAAAACAAATTTTGAGTGGGCTTCTCTCAAAATATGATGTAGATATCAAAATCCTCTAGACTCACAACGGGAGTACGGTGATAAGGGCTAAAAATTGAAATGAGTACCCTCCTTTTCCTTCTTCTCGTTACTTTTTGTTTTCTTCTTGGTGAAAGGGTCTTGCTCTGGCACGCAGGCTGGAGTTCAGCAGCATGATCACAGATTTCTGAAGCCTCAAACTTCAGGCCTCCAGCAATCCTTCCACCTCAGCCTCCCAAACCACTGGGATTGTAGGTGTCAGCCACTGTGCTCAGTCTTTTTGTGTTTTCTTTTTTTAAATGAACATGATTCAACATCCCCAATCTCTCATTCTGACTAGATTAGAAATTCTTTAAGAGTAAAAATCACATCTTTTTCATCTCTATGATCCCTGCAGTGCCTATCACAGTCCCTTTTCCCTGTCATGTCATAAATTCTCAATAAATGAATTTCTGCTGACTAAATGGGTGGCCAGGTAGTGTGTGTGGGGGTGGATAGATGGATGAAAGCATTGGCATCATACTTATCTACTTCTTCTGTCTTTGAAAATTTCTTTCAGCCTCTTTCTCTAACCACCTCATAAATATTGAAGCTTCCCCCAGTTCCACCCTTTATCCTTCCTTTTCTTACTCTTGGGCAAACTTTTCCATAGATTTAATGATGACTTCCAAGCTAGTAAGTCCTAAATTTATGTGTACAGCTTTGGCCTTTAATCCTGAACTCTGATCACATAAATCTACTACCTAGGAGATATCTTTTCTGGGTGTTTCAAAAGTATCTCATATTCCTCACTTCCAAAATACTACTCTGCATCTACTTCTAAGCTCATCCTATATGCACTTAATGTAAATTGTGGACATCAGTCCAAAACTTTACTCACTATCTATCCCCAACCCCACATCCTACTCCCCTACCTGCTATTTCTTTTCTATTCCCTATCTCACTTGGTAGCTCCACCTTTCACCAAGTTACTCATGCTGAAACCTTGGAGTTATCCTAATCTTCTACTTTTCTATCACCACAACCCATTTAAGCTCTGTTGATTTTACTTCCTAAATCTCTGTTAAATCTATCCCACCTTCCCACAGCCCCTTAATAAGGATCTTCAACATCATTCATGACTTGGGTTAGTGCAGCAGCTTCCTAACCAGCCCTACCCTGTTTCTGCCTATTTATCTGCCACACATCCACCAGACGATCTTTATAAAATGTGAATTGACCAAATTTTTTCCCTACTTAAAATCTTTTAATAGTTTACCAGTAACAACAGTGTGAACTCTAAACTCCTTAGCACAGCACATAAAGTACGTCATGTAATGTCCCACACACACCCTGCATCTCCAGCGTCATTCTGCACAATTCTCCTCTTTGGACTTTATACTATAAGAATACCAAACACGCTGTACTTCTCCAAACCCGCCTTTGCACTTACTGTTTTCTTGGCCTAGAATGCCCTTTCTCACCTTCTTCACCTGGTGAACTCCCATTAATCCTTCAAAGGCTTAATCATAGAAAGTTTTCCCTCTACAAATCTTTCCTCACTACCTTCCCTCCTAGACAGAGCCCGTCTACTTTGTGCTATTTCAGTCCCTTGTGACTACTGCTATTATGGCATGTGTCATGCTCTTTTCATTGTTTGCTTAGACATCAGTCTCTCCTAGTTGATGATGCTTTCCTTCAGGCATGGCCTGTATTTTTTTCATCTTTCTATCCCCAAAGCCTGGCACACCCATGCTATAAAAGCAAGAAGGGGAAAGTGAAGAAGACTGAACATTACCAGAAGGCACCTATTTGTACAGCGCATGTCAGCACTCTAGGGACTACATTAAAAGGCATTGCTTAATATAGATTCCATATGCTTAATCCAATTAATGCAAGAGAATTCCAACTTCATAAACGGTAACATACTCTTAAGCTGTACAGGCAGATTCCTGCCCACGTATTTTTTTAATTAAAACTCTTTGCCTTGAGGCCTTTGGTGAGTCTTAGCAACAACTAAATGATCAAAATACACAGAGCATGCTTTATTTCTTCCCATTCACCTAAACCAAGTTAATTAATTGACCAAAATAACTGGTGAATTATTTTTTTAAAAACTGATACTAAACCTGTAGCAATTTTGTGCAATTTTGCTCTGTGCAGTAAGACCCAGCCCTAGGAGGCTGGAAATATTTAGTTGCTGAAATTCCCCTGATAAATCCCTGACCAAAGTTCCATCACCAATCTAAGTACAATGAAAAGGCAGGGATGGGACTGCTGGGATGTTTATTATCTCTGCATTCTTTTTTAAAACACTGTGTTTCTTCTGAGATAATAAATTAGACAATGTGTAAGTAAAACTCATTATTGTTGTACAGAGTTCATTTTTAAAATAAAAACTTGTAATGTCTTCAAAATTATATCATATTTAATCCTCATGCTGAACTGCATGGAAATTGAAAGACTCCATTATTAATTTACCATGGAATGGGGGTAATTACATGGCTAATCTAATCATTCTGACCATGTTCATATCCAGTCCCAGTCACCACTGCCAAATTGTTTAATGGCGACAGAGCTGCATTATTAATTGGATGGCCTGGCCTGGAATTAAATTGTAAAGCTCTAGTGTGACATGCAGAAAAAAAAAAAAAAAAAAAAAAAGGAATCTGAGCTTAATAAAAAGAAAGTAAGTAAATTAGTTCTGGGCAACTATGTCCTATATTAGAACCCAGGATCCCTCATTGCTAAATCATTCTTTACTTGGTTCCTTCTAAGCATCACTTTTTTCATCTATAAAGTAGGAGTAGATATATGCAAACTTTCAAGATTTTCAACAAAATTATTGGTTGTGATGACTTTCTAAACTACAAAGGGATATATACCCACATGTATGTGTGTTCGTGTGTGTGTGTTATATAAACAACTGTCAGAATTTATGCCATAAGATTAAAAGTAGTAATCTCAAAATGAAAGGGTTATAGGTAGTGTTGCCAGATAAACACAAGACGCTCAGTTAAATATGAATTTCAGATAAACGACAAATAATATTTTAGAATATCTTATGCAATATTAGGGATATGCTTATACTATAAAAATTATTCATTTTTTAAAACTTGCTAAAGCCTGAATTTTTATTTGCTAAATCAAATTTAGTAATAGGTATTATTTTTCTTTTTCCCTTATTTATACTTTTTAAAGTTTCTGTAATATGTATAATGCATGCAGTGAGAAAAAACAAAAACGAGGATGTTTTACTAACTCTTTAAGAGAGAAAGAAGTATGCCAGTGCTGAAGTGATATGCTGCTTCTTCTTTGATTAGAAGCTTTGCTTCTCCAAACTGTGGTCCAGGGATCAGCAGCATCAGCCTCACCTAGGAGCATGTTATAAATGCAGCAACTCAGACCTCACCCCCACCCGACTGAATCTTTAACAAGATTCCCAGGAGAGTCCTATGAGAAATTCTGTTCTAGAGGGACCTCAAATAAAAGCTAAGTCTTCAAAATAATTAAACCTTTTAGAAGAAAAAAAAAATCCTTCAACCATAGTAGAAGAAGAATCAGAGGCTGAGCTGAGCAATTTAAATAGATCCAAGGAACATCAGTAGCAAAGGCCTCCAGGAGACATACAGTTCTAGATCCTTTGCTCTGTCTGTCCATCCCTGGGCTGCCACGTACTGCCACACTGGTTGTCACTAGTGACTCCGGGAGGAGCCAGGCACAAAGGTAGCTATGAGAATAGCGCCCTTGGGGGTGTGCAGCAGAGAAACCCCTCCCCCTACAGACCTCATCTAGATTGACACCCACAGAGGCATGGGAATCAGTGAAGGAAGACTGATAAAAAAGTAAAAAATGTTTT
This sequence comes from Homo sapiens, assembly GCF_000001405.40. Lineage (NCBI taxonomy): Eukaryota > Metazoa > Chordata > Mammalia > Primates > Hominidae > Homo > Homo sapiens. The sequence goes on along the minus strand of NC_000004.12, from coordinate 78,323,513 downwards.
CTGATGTTGTTTTGGGGGATGCAGGTTTTTATTAATTTGTTGTAATTTGTTTAGTTTTTTTGTGCAAGGGGCTGATGTGTATTTCTTGGGTTTGGGTTTGCTTTTTTATGAAGTCACTTGAATCTATCAGTGCTAGCAAACACTCAGCTAAACTGGTGAGATCAACTTGATGAAATTACTACAATTACTACAATTCTTTTTGCTAATACTCAGTAGTAATATTTAATAAATGTGCACAATTCGGACTGATTATTGAAAATGTCTCCAATCTTTTACAATTAGCAACAAACCCTCTTTTGTGCCAGCAATTCTAGCCACACTTTGGAAACATAGAGGCCTTGTGAAAAAGAAACATGAAGTCAAAGTTCTGCCTTGTGAAGCACCCAGTTCATTTTTTTTGAAGAGCCAAAGCACAGGACAAATGCATACAAGTGGCCATCGCCATATTACCAGAGCTCTTCTGCTTTCTAGCCACAACAGCCCATTCCTCTCTCCTCCATTACCTTGCTGGGGGCTTCTGGGCACAGACCAGCATCCATGGGTTTTGTTGCTGCTACTGTTACTCATTCATTCATTCATTATTTATTATCTATTTCTCTCACTAAAATATAAGTTCCATGAGAAAAGGACTTTTCATTTGACTCGTTTGCTAGTATATTCACAGTGCCTAGAAATGCCTGGCACCCGGGAGACACTCAACAAACATTTGCCGGAGGAATGAATAAAGACAGACTGTCCTCCAGCTTCCAATAAGTAGTGTTCCTTTTGATCACTGTTAATTTTAAATTTTTTTGTCCTCTCATCACAGACTTGGATTTTAGTTAAATATCTGTAGTATTGTTTTTTCATCCTGCACTAGGGTTTGTTGTGTGGCTCAAAGTAAAAACTGTTACGATAACTGCTGACACCACTTCAGTGTCTAAGTAAATTGCTTCTTCCTATAAAGAATCTGTCTCTTGCTTTTATTAGCTGCAGTAATATTCTAATCACTCTGTGCTGTAGTCTCAAAGAAAGGAAGGAGAGTTCTAGAAAACAGTTGTTTTTCTCTTCCTTACAGAAAGCATTTGAAACTAAAGGTGCTATAAAAGAAACCCTCAATAGTGCATATGTGCGCACACACTCACACGCACACACATACACACAACACCCATCTAACCTTTTTAACATTCTGCAGAGAGGCAAAGATATTTCTGGGAAGATGTGGGAAGAAGAGCCCAGTGCAATCTCATAGGACTCCCAGGCCTGATTCATAGACAGCACTTCAGCAGAATTGAAAACGGAACAGATTATGGGAAGGCAGAAAGGTTTCCAGAGATACGGGATGACTGACAGGAAATACATCAATCAGCACACATAACACTCAGGTAAGGTTGGAAACAATTGGTAGTTGTGCTCGGTTTCCCAATGGAATCTTAGGCAACTCAATTAACCTCTTTCTGCCACATTCTCATCACTTGTAAATTGAGTACAACAACCTACCTAGTGAGACTGCACAGGGATTTGCTAATAAACATGAGTAGAGAGCTATATGTATGATATCTAATAATATTATGTTAACGAGCATAAAGTCACAGGGCTACAAGGGACTCAAGAGGTCAATTCAGTCCTTTCACATGGGACCACAATGAAACCATTCTGGCAGGATTAGATTCTAACCTTTTTTTTTTTTTTTTTTGACGAAGTTTTGTTAACTCCAGGCTGGAGAGCAATGGTGTGATCTCAGCTCACTGTAACCCCCGCCCCCGAGTTCAAGCTATTCTCCTGCCTCACCCTCCCAAGTAGCTGGGACTACAGGCACGTGCCACCATGCCCAGCTAATTTTTTGTATTTTTAGTAGAGATGGGGTTTCACCATGTTGGCCAAGCTGGTGTCGAACTCCAGACCTCAGGTGATCCACCTGCCTCGGCCTCCCAAAGTGCTGGGATTACAGGCGTGAGCCACCGAACCCAGTCAGATTCTAATCTTTTTAAAGGTGCCTGTATAAAGGGCTTCCCAGAAACCTTCCCTTTGTCAAGGATGTTTTCTTAAATTTAAGATGCTCTAACCCTGAAGCATTAGTATGCTGTGCTTCTCTCCTGTATGGAATGGAGACTAGGAGCTGTACCACCTTGAACTCTTCAGCCACTGGAATACAGTAGCGTGATGGTTTATAGCACGGATACTGGATACTGGACTTAGATTCCCACGGGATTCTACTCTGTGCTGGCTACATGACTTTGAGCACATCACAACCTCAACTTCCTCAAGCCTCAGTTTCTGCTCCTGGACAACAGTTGTCCTACTGACCCCATAAGGCTGGCATTGAGACTAAGTGAGCAAAACTAGTAAGGCACTTCTCACAGTGCCTGGCTCATGGTGGGTATCAAATAAATGGTCATATTATTTTCTGGGCTGAAAAACCCTGGTCACTCTAATTTTTATTTATTTACAATTCTAACTATTTCTGAACCCACTCCGAATTCCCCATTTTTGAATGTTTAATGTGGTGCTCAAAATTGTAAGAAGCACCTAACTGCGCTGAGTGGTCTAGGAAGATGTCACTTTGTTTTTTCATGGGAGCACTGTACCAATGGGAAAACCAGAATCATCAGGCTACAGTGAGGAATTTCTTGTGGGCTTTTCTAGCTCCTCCACTTTCAACCTGTGTGTCACAAAAGCCAGGGGTCTCACTTGGCATCTCTCTGAATTCTTGGAAAGACTGGTGTTCCTGGAGGTCTAATTCCTCTGTGGTTTCCACTAAAAACCTCAGGGTGCACAGTTCAAGGCTGTGTAAAACTATGCAGACTAGTTTCACAGATTCCATCAAACAAAAACCACTTCTGTAAAATGCGGGAGAGAGAGAGAGAGAGAGACAGAAGGAGGGAGGGAGAGAGAAGTTATGCTTTCTCTTTCTATTTTCTCCTTGTACTTTCCTCACATCAAGCAGGGCTAGGCACTATAATAATTTTCTTTAGGGGACATAGGTTTTGCCAGAAAGCGGAAGTGACTGGAGGAAGCTTGTCTGGCAAACCTAAACCCACGGAAGAGAATGGAGAAGCAATTAAACAGAGGAGAAAAATGCTTTTTTCCGCCACTTGCTCCCCAGCACCTCTCCTCCCACCAGAGTCTGTGGGGTCCCTAAGGAAAGAGCCACATCACCCTCCACTTTGGCACCTGGAAGTAACCAGACCACAGGGGAAGGCTGTGTGGCATGTGCCTTGGGACAGCACTGGGACTAGGCAGCAACAATGATGCCCATATTCCACAAGTGGTTATAAAAACAGAGCCACAGGAGTTTAAATGGCCACAGAGAGGTTGGGCAATGCATACATGGGTAGAAACCAGGATGTCTGGAGAGTGGTGACCTTCCCTTCAATTTCTGGGCACCATGAAAATCCTCTGGAGTCTGGAGCCTCCCAGGGAGCAGGGGATTCCCCATCATGTTCCAGGACACCTGAGTACATGGATGGAGGTTTGCACCCACGGAGCAGGAGGGCTTTATAATTTACCGGCCACTTTGACACTCTTAACCATCTTTGAGCCTAGCAAAAAGGCTACATGTCAGCCTATTCTAACACTGTGAATGCAAACACTTAGAGAGGTTAAGTGTCTGGCCCTGGGCCTCTGCATTTCAATTCTGCATCCTTCCTGCTGTGCCATATGACACCTTGTGCCTGAAATCTTTTAACCTAGTCTTGAAACCCACATTTCACTGGGAGGGTATATTGAATTGGAGGCCACTTCAGTGAGTAGACTTGTAGGATACAAAACTGAATTTGCAGCATGCTTACTGTTATGTTACAAATATAAACACACAAAGCTATGAATATGAAAAAAGACTCAGATATTATAACAAAATGGAAAAGGCAATTGGGTTTAGGTAGTGGGTGTATTATAAAATTTTTTTAATGAACATATGTTTACAATGAAAAATACAAACTAATGATTTTTTTTTCACGTAGCTTTAGAGTCAAACTATTCACCCAACAGCAAGGCTACTTGTGGGAACAGAAAGGAAACTATAATACTTCCCTTTCATCTCCTCAACCACTCATAGATGGCCTGGCTATTGAGTCAAATTATTTATTCAGGATGTCATCAATTCTCTGTAGATGATATGCCAAGGCAAACAGCAGAAATCACTTCTAAATTCTGACAGAAGTCCAGATTTTGCCCTGAAGGGACCAATTCATATTCAGAGTAGCAAATTAGAAGGAATAATAAATGAAATTCTACAATGAGCTCTGAGTCTTTTGTAACTACACATAGTGGTCCCTGAAAGAATTTCTGTCTGGGACTCCTGCGAATGGAACCTTGGAAAAGGTGGAGTGGAAGGGATTAGCTCTTTAAGATCATCTATGGTTCACAAAGGGAGGGAGGCTATTGGTGGGGGCTACTCTTTTGCACGTTGGTCTCCTGCTTTATTCACAAGCATCTAGGAACCATTCTAAAATTAAACATCGGTCTTCCTGGCTTTGGTCCCACCTCACAGGATCTCTCAAGAGATAAGCCCAGAGGCTACCTAACACTTTCTCAAATCATGCTTACCTTCACATATGCCAGTGCTCTCCAAGTAAAAATGGGCTCTACACTGGGCTAGACACTCGCCAGAGGGGATGCCCACGTCAGACAGCTGCTCCACTTGCAGTCCTTCCTCTGGCTTCTTACACCCAGTACAGTGAGAGGGTGCGGGACCCATACAAGCCAGGCAGGAGGAGTGACAGGCTGCAAATGGAAATAAAATGCAGAAAATAATCCAAGGATCAAATATATGTTGCAAATCTTTCATTAAATCAAACCCACTTAGAAAAGTTCACCAAATGCAGCCTTTCAGCATATTATTTTTCTAATGTTCTATACAAAGCACAGAGTGATAATAATGTTTGTGAAAGGAACAGTGAGGGGTGGTGTTAACCAGTCACATCTCCCAGGTCCCATAAGGGCTGTCGGGCTAGACAACAACAACAACAAACAAACAAATGAGCAAAAACAGCAAACTGGACAATATTGGCTTGGTTCTCCAGAGAAACACACTCACTAAATGATGATTTAACATTATGCCCTTGGTTTTTATTGCAGATTTTTAGAACCATTCATAGGGAGGCCATTACTGTATCTTTTGCAAAAATGGTGGTTGTGTTATTACCCATGAGTCATCCAACACCCACTACATAGGGGTCCAGGCAACAAATTCCTCTTAGAATTTTTCTGGCTAAAGCCTGCTTTTCTAGACAGTATTTTGCTTACCCTGGCTACTGGTGAAAAGCAAAGCCAAATAAGGTAGTCAAACTATCTGGTGCCCACATTTGAATACAATTAACTCTCCCGTTCTTTAAAAGATTCTGTAAATTTTCTCTTCTGAAACAGTTGTTGCAGCTTTCCTGTTTCAAATACATTGTTCTTGTAACTATTCTCAAACTCTGTTCTAAGGTGCCTGATATACAAATAAATATACATTGATTTCACTTAATTCTGATGTATAAATAAATATACATTTATTTCACTTAATTAAAGTGTTTGTTCCCAATATTCTAGTTTCAAAATGCTTAAATGATATTGCCCTCCCAAGCAGCCCAAAGCCTTTATGGTAAACAGCTATTTAAGATTTTTCCATTTCACTCAGCCCAGAGGCATCGCTAGTGACTCTCAGTTTGCTCAGCAGTGTCATTACCAAAAAGAAATTCTTTAGGGAAAAACAAAATGAAGTCTAAGAAAAACATTAGCAAAGGTAAGAGAGCAGAGAAAGGAGGAAATAAGAGTTCTAGTTTGTTTAATTTAATATTCCCCCTAAAAACAGCCAGAAAAAAAAATCATAACACTTTGAGTGTCTTCACAAATTTTCAAATAAAATTTTTTCAGATTAACCCTTTGCAAAACTACTGTAATGAAAAATGCATATAATGTATGGATAGCCATAAAAGATACACTAGAAGAAAAGTTACACTGGAAAGTTATATTATTGGAAAAAAGTAAATCTATGTTCTTGTGGGATAGCCTCTCAAGAATGATGGTGACACCAACGATACCTTTGCAGACTCCATGGTCAGAGTAGAAACCCTCTCCACAGCGGGGCAGACAGTGGCCTTGACGCAGAGCCTTGGGGGGGCTGCAGGCTGTACAGTGAGAGGGTGTGGGCCCAGAGCAGCTGGCACATGAGTTATGACAAACTGAGGAAGAGAGTGAGAGGGAGAACGCCATGGGACATGGGTGAATAAAGTGCCCACTTCCTGGCTGGGCTTCACGGGCCTGGGACTCTTAGTCCCCTGTGGATGTCACACCAAACCAAGGGGAAAATGTGTTAGGAGGTGGTTACACTGCCAGAACTGCCCACATGGCCGTTTACCCACCATTTAGCCATGCTCTACATATTGCTTATTAGCTACCCTTTATTTAGTGTTTGTACTAAGCACTTTCTACACATTGTCACTTTTAATTTTCCTAACAACATTATGAGGTAGGCATTATTAACTACATTTTATAGATGAGGAGACTGAGGTCTTGGAAGTTCAAAAATTTACCCACGGTGACATGCTTTATTCATAGCAGGGCTGGGATTTAGCCCTAGGTCTGTCTGGACCTAAACCTCACACTGCCTAAATGAATTAGAGTGGAAAGGCCATGGGTCAGAGTGTTGGAAGCACTGGCATTTTGAGCAGTTTCTCCACCAATTCTTCAATGCCCTCAGTCAAGCCTGGGTCTCTCCTGGCCTAGTTTTCTTGGCATGAGCACAGTGAAAGGTTGGACTAAATGATCATTTAAGATACTTCCAGCTTTGACATTCTAGGATTTTAAGTAACAATTACAGTAATGACTCTGACCACAACATATGACAATGTCAGGAACACATGTCCCCTGCTTTGACCCTGGTGTTAATGGGGACATCTCTGACTCTAAGGGACAGGTACTGGTGGCATGGCCTGGCTGAGCCTCTAGCAGGGCTGGGGTCAGGAGTGAGATATGGGAAGAAGACTCTGCAGGACCATGGTCAGGAGTTGGGGGTGGTGGGTAGAGATGGGATGAGAACGTGGGGGCAGGACACAGAGGAAAGGTGGTGAACACCAGGTGAGTAAAGAGGTTGGCAGGCAAAGGGGAGGCTGCTAAGGAGAGATGTTGAGATGGGTCTAAACACCCTGCACTAACAGACAGTAGGTAGACGTGAGGATGTGGGCATATGTTTCAGAGAGGAGGGGAGATCAAGATGTCCCAGGCAACAAGAAGTTCTCAGAGTTACCTGTGAGGAAAGACACAAGTCAGGCATACATAAGGTAGAAATTTATAAAGTCTCAAATGGGTATGTTTCATAGTTTAGGCTGCATAAGTCTGAAAGAAACAATATATAAGTAGCACACAAAAACAAGTTTCCAGTAGATACAGACTTTAGCTTTACTAGCTATCAAACTTGGTTTAACTTTTTAATTTTATTTTTGTGGTGTGTTGTAGTTGCCAATATATGACCTATGTCATAAAAGAAATGATTCTGTTACATCTGCAACCTAAGTTAGTGATGGTTTACAAGTAAACAAGGACTGTATGTTGGGCATTTCAAAAGGACCAAATGAACTCTAATGATGATTAATATGCGTAAGTCCTTCATGAAAGCACTCTAGTCCCCCAGCATCCACCCATATCTCCCACTCCCATATCAAATACACATTGGCTTCATAATGAAAAAAGCTATCTTTTAAAGTTATGCTTTCCCATCATACACTCGAGTTCCCAAATTAGCAACATATAACACCAAGTATAGTCAAACATGTACTCAATACTTTTTGATGATGATGATGGTGACCCATCTCTTACCTTTGCACCTGCCAGTGGCATCAGCATAGTACCCGCCAGGGCATTCAGACATGCATTTCCCATCATGCAGCACTGTCTTCTCAGTACAGGTAAGACACCTGGGGCTACTGGGGCCACAACTGTCACAGGATTGGTCACAAGCTAAGGGGAGGCAAAAAACCCATCAGAGAAAGGCAATAGTGAGCAAAAGAAGCAGTGAAGTCTATTCTTTACAATATCCACAATGGGTATCAATATCATAATCTCATTTTCTGGCTGCTCAGCAAAATTCTGTTTCCTTGATTCCAACATTTCATCGGACTCTGTGCTTTTTGTTTTCACAGTTGAAAGAGAATTGAAGAATTACTCATTGAACTAAGCATAGCAAAAACTCTCAGGCACACCCACCAGTGTAACCAACTTAATATGAGGTTTAAAGTTAAAATGGCCTTAGAGGTGCGGTTGCCAGGTTTATCAAATAAAAATATCAGATGCTCCATAAAATTTGAATTTCAGATAAATAATAAAGTTTTTTAGCATAAGTATGTACCAAATATTTTATCCTTTATTCTACCCTACTTGGAGAGAGAATTCAGAAAGTCAAGATTCTACTAAGCAAGGTCATGCTACTAAAATTATGTTAAAATTGCTGAACTTCACACAGTCTTTCAGGATCTCATTCACTTATTCATTTACCACCTAAAACATATGCTAAGGTCTGTGTCAGGTCTTGTGCCGGGGTTAGAAACACAAAAACAAAATCAACTTAGTTTTCACTTTAAGTAGCTTAGTAGTCTAATACAGGAAAAGAAATAGACAATATTGGAAATATTTAAAATATCACTCAGATCAATCTATATAGGCACAATGAAAATTCAAAAAAAAATGTGAGGGTGGGGGTAAGAGGTGGAAAAGTCAAGAAAGCATTCATAGAGGAGCAACCGTTGAGCATTGTCTTAGGAAGCAGTAGGACCATGTCAGGCTGAAGGGAATGTACTCCAGGCTGAGGCAGCAAAGTAAGCCAAGGCTCAGAACCTGGGAGGAGACTAGGCTGCCCAGGAAAACAGTAGTTTCATTTGGCTGGAAAAATGGGAAGTCCAGATTATAGAAACCTATGGCCTGACTCTGTTGTCTAGATTTTCATCCTAGGAAAGGCAATGAGATTGAACCCCTGCAATTCTAAACACAGTAGAAACACGGCTGTATTTGTATCTAAGAAAGATCATTTTGGCCTCAGTTTGGAGGGTAAAGAGGAGAGTTGGAAACCGCATTGGAAGACCATGGCAAGGAGCATGAATCAAGATGATTAAGGGTTGAATTAGAGCCGTGGAGGTTGTGAGAGATTTGAGAGCAGTGAAGAAAAAACCATCTCACATGGCTTCCAGGGGCCTGTCTTGGGGGACAAGTGATGTCGCTCACAGAGTACAAGAAAGAATAGGTGTGGGGGAGTGCCATGAGCTCAGTTTGGAACATGCACAATCCAGGGAGTAATGTAACTTACAGTTCTGGAGCTCGTGGGAGAGGTATGGGGTCATCATATACAAGCAATTGTTGAAACTAAAAATTAGTTGAGTGATTCAGGAAAAGTATGCAGGATAAGACAGAAGTGGGCAAGGACCTGGGTAGCATCAGCATTTAAGAAAAGAAGAAGAAGAAGAAAAAAAAACTAGTACAGGTGACCAAGAAGAAATGATCCAAAGATAAGGGAGAGAAAAAAGAGCATGGTGACTGAGAAGTCAAAGGAGGAAAAAGGTTTCCAAAAGAAAGTCATGACAGGTGCAGAGAGGACAAATAACATCTGAAAAGTTTCACTATACTTAGGAACCAGGCTGTGGGTGTCCTGTGCCACACATTTCAGTGGAGTCATTAGACCAAATGAAAGTGAAGGCTATGATTATAAACTGTTCCTTTAAAGGACTCAGGCTGAGAACAGAAGGCAACAGGGAAACAAATAATTGAAAGGGGAAAAGGTTGTTTTGTCTTTCTTATATTGTAAAAAATCAAGGCAATTATAGAAACTGGAAAGAATTTTTAAAAAGAAAAGTTTGAATGATTGCTGAAAGAATATCTAAGAGAAAAGAGGGATGCATATTCAAAAATACAGTTGAGAGACTGGCTTTGAACAGAGCAGAGAAAGGCCTCCTTATGAAGGGTGGAAGGAGGTGAGGGAGAGTGCAGTCACAGGCAAGTCTGTGACTCAATCTTTTCTATGCTGGTTGGCTAATGTCTTTAAAAATAAAAAAAGCAAACCTTCCTGCTACAGAGAATCAATGTTTCAAAAATAGAGAACTGCTGAGATTTATTCTGTCTGTTCCCTTAATCCATCTACACCCTGCTAACCTCCTGAAAAATATTTTGAGAACATAAGAAAAAAGACGCTAAATGATGGGGCCAAATGTCCCATCTCGCATCCTGGAGAATCCAGCATCTGTTCACAGGCAAATGTGTAGAGTAAGAGAATGGGCTATGGCAATGGCCTTAATATCAGGGAAAAAGAAAATCACCCCTGAACTCAGGACTGGAACAAAGAAATGAAAATGAATCTGAAAAGCATTCTTCCCTCCCACATGCCACAAAACCTCCTGAGGTTTCCAATTCTAGAACTGACATCTCAACAGAAGTGAGTAATCTAAAAGCTAAATGCAATTTCCAAGAAATGAAAAATTGCAGCAATTTTTGGAAATTAGAATTGACCAACAATAAAAGCATTGCATATCAAACATTTTAAGACACACCTAAAGTTACACCCAGAGGGAAATTTGTAAATCTAAATAAAATTATTAGGAAGATGTAATTTCTTCCCAAACTAATCTATAACTCCAATGTAATATCAATAAAAATTCCAGTTGATGAGCTTTCTTTCTTTCTTTCTTTCTCTCTCTCTCTCTCTCTCTCTTTCTTTCTTTCTTTCTTTTTCTTTCTTTCAGACAGGGTCTCACTCTGTCACCCAAGCTGGAGTGCAGCAGCACGATCATGGCTCACTGCTGCTTCAATCTCTCAGGCTCAAGTGATTCTCCTGCCTCAGCTTCCAGAGGAACTAGGACTACAGGCACACATCACCACACCTGGCTAATTTTTTTTTTTTATTTTTAGTAGAGATGAGGTCTCACTATATTGCCCAGCCTGGTCTCGAACTCCTGAGCTCAAGAGATCCTCTTGCCTTGGCCTTTTCAAAGTGCTGGGATTATAGGTGTGAGCCACCACATCCAGACCCAGTTGAGTTTTCTTAAGAATTCAGTAAATGTGCTCTAAAGCTTATGAATAGCTAAGTCAACTTTGAAAAGGAAAGAAAGGGAATTTTCCCAATCAGATATTGAGACATACTACAAAGCCATAGAAATTAATGAAAAAAAGTTTGATAGTGGTACAAGAACAGAAATTTAGACTATGGAAATTTAGAAATTTCTATATCTTATAGCTCAGACAGAACTATGTGTATATGGAAATTTAATATACAATAAAGAGAAATAAGGAAGGCTAGGCTGAATTACTAAACAATGTTGGGAAAACTGGATCGTGAAATGGAAAAAAATCAAATGGGACCCTACTTAAACCCATATATATATATATATATATGGACTTCAGATGGCTCGACAACCTAAGTTAAGATAAAACATCAAATTAATAGAAGAGAGATTAATTTATTTTTGAACCTTAGCAAAGGTCTTATTAAAAATTCAAAAGCAAAACCTTAAAGCAAAAAATAATGAATCAAAGATTATTGTTTAACAAAGGCATTATATTCAAAGTTAAAAGACAACAGAGTGAGAAAATTTGCATATTTAAAACTGAAAAAAGGCTACTATCTATAACATACAAGGAAACTCCATAAAATGAACTCCATAAAAGGAGGCAAGGCCAATAGAGCAATGGGAAAAGCACATTTAAAAAGAAATCTATAGAATAGGAAACTTCAAGACCAACAGGAGTTGAAGATATACTCAAACTCATTAATCATCAGAAATAGGCAAATTTAATGGGTTGACTCTTTACACCTCTTGACCAGAAAAAATCAGAATCTTGATCATGCCAAGTGGTGGCAAGGATGTGGAGATGAGTGAACCCTTATGCTTGGGAATATAGATTGCACAGCCATTCTGGCAAGTAACCCGGCACTACTTGGTCAAATGAAGAATATGCAGAGTCAAAAAACCAGCCATTCTGCTCCTGGGTATAAATCCCAGGAAACTCCCTCTAGAGCTTTACAAAGGAACACATTTGAGGCTGTTCCCTGGTGCTCTCTAGTGATGCAGATGGAGAAAAAGGAGGGAGTCCAACACTGGGAGCGTGGATGGGTAATATGACGGGGGCACACCAGGGAGTGCTACATAGCAGTGAGAAGTGAAGGGCTAGGAGAGAGAACAACGTGGTGCATGTTAAAAATGTACTGCTGAGTGAGAAAAGAAGGAAACAGCATGCACTTTGTAACATCTCAAGAAAATTAAATACATATGCGCTCAAAATAAAAATACCCAGTTAGATAAGCTCATAAAAATAAAAAGATTTTAAAAAATGGTTGCATGGGTGCAAAAGAGAAATGAAGATTAAAAAAAGGGAGAAAGAAAAAAGGAGGGAAGAAAGAGAAAGGAAAAAAAAGAGAGGGAATGACTAACAGAAACCTCTGATTTATTATGCTTTGATTTATTATGTTAGCTGCAGCCCGAAAAGCCCTTCATAATGGCATAAATACTTAAAAGAATGAGGAGGTTTCCTCCTTTGAATTGCCCCACTCTTTATATCTAATATTTGTTGAACGCAATACACGTACCACAGGTGAACCTGGTTACTGTAAGATCTTTCAGCCAGGGCATACCACCCTTCATAACAGGCTATGCTGGTTTTTTCTAAGTACTTGACTTTGAGATTTCTACAGATACAGGCTGGTAGGTTATAAATTGTTAAACCCACACCAGCCGGTCTTTATCTTGAATAGTATTAATCTGAAATGGAAATAAGTCAGCATTATCAGCATCTGACGTCTTAATTAACATTCCGATACCAATCAGTGAGTTGGTTCACTGTTGTTTTAGAACATATTTCTGTGAACATTTCTGAAGTCATTTTGAAACAAACTTGGAGAATAGTAACAATTTTATAAAACGCGTAAGCTCCAGTTTTGTGTATTAAAAGGCCTGTTGGTCAACACCAGTGGCATCACCAACTCTTGCATCAGGCTAAGCACATGACGTGTTTAGTAATTACTTGTAGATCTGTTGATTCATTGGTTGACTAATGTCAGCTATGATCCATCCTCCTGCCTGGAAGTTTCTTTGAGATGTTTTTCAAAATGTGTACAGATAAAGCAGATTCCCACCTCTTACAGCCTCCAGTCTCGCATTAACTATTCCTCTTTTTAAATACACCACTTCTCCAGCAAAAGTTGTCTTCTCAATCCAGATAATGTAGAGTCTCAGTGGCAGGTCAGGGTCACCGTTCCTCCATCAGTGACAGTAACCAGCATCCCAGGGGACTTAAAGGGTAAATGCCTTTAGGCCCTTGGATTAGTGCAAATTTGACATCTGTCGACCTTTAGAGAATACATCTGGCTTAACTGAGCAGGAAAGTGATGCTGGCAGAAAAAGATTAACATGCTCAGGCTAATGGCAGCCTGGCCTTTCTTTCCTTATTCTCTCCTGAATCCACACAAAAGCCACCTGTGACTCATTGATACCAAGAGAGATTTTTCATACTGGCAATACTGATGGATCCCTGCACAGTTTTAAGCAAGCAGCTCCCAAGGGCTAGCTCTCTTCTCTAAGACAAGTGGATTTGTCAAGTCCCTAAAATCATCTCATTTTTGCTGTTGCCCTGCTCAGTGAACAAAATGAGGACGATAACTCAAGAAAGTTTTATGAGCTACACATTTTTATTGATTTGGTGGACTTAGCTATGAAAAAAAAAGTCCTCCTGGCCTCTCTATAGGTATGACCATCAAAGTAAACTCAATTCAAACCTTTCATTTACTGTCAGGATGCCTGCAGACCTGGCAATGTCCACAGGGGTAGCCAGCTCATCTAAAGGCTGACAGAAGACACAGAAGAAGGTGAAGAAGTGGAAAGGGGGAAAGGATAATGAAAAGGAAAATAAAAAAAAATAGGCAGAGGTGCATAAGGAAATACCACATTATAATGAGCAGTAGAGTGGTTCACAGGCAGTTAAGGCCCAGAGCCAGAAGATCTAAGCTGGAATCCCAACTCTGCCCCTTATTAGCTGTGTGACCTTAAGCAAGTTTCTTACCCTCTCTGTTTCCTATCTGGAAAATGAGAATGGTTATATCTACCTCATGAAATTGTGAGGATTAAACACCAAACACTGATAGAATGCTTACTATGTCCCAGGCAGTATCCTAAGTGCTTTGCGTATCTTAACTCGATCTCTCAACAGCCTTCTGAGTTGGGGGTGTATTCATTTTCTATTGCTGCTGTAGCAAATTACCATAAACTCTTTGGCTTAAAACAACACAGACTTATCATCTTATAGTTCTAGAAGTTAGAAGTTCTAGAATCAAAGTTCCTTCTGGAAGCTTTAGGGGTAGAATCTGTTCCTTGCCTGGACGCTCCAGGGGTGGAATCTGTTTCCTTGCCTTTTCCCAGATTCTAAAAGTCACCTGCATGCTTATGGCATTTTCCTTGCTTCACTCTATCACTCCGACCTCTGGTCCATCCTCGATTCTACTTTTCTGACTCGACTCTGTTGCCTCCCTCATATAAGGACTCTTGTGATTGATTGCATGGGGCTTACCCAGATAATCCAGGATAATATCCTCACATCAAGATCCTTAACTTAATCACACCTACAGAGTCCTCTTTGCCATTCAAGGGAACACATGACAGTTCCACGGATTAGGACAAGGGCATCATTGGGAGCCCATTATTGTGTCTTCCACAGGTGCTACTATTATCCCCGTTTCACAAGTGGGAATTGACATGCACAGAGATTGACTAATGTGCCGAAAGCCATGCTTTTCCTCCTGACTTTTCTGCCTCTCAGTGGGTTAATATTTATAAAGCACTTGGAACCGTGCCTGGTTCAAGGAAGTGCTAAGCTGGGTTAACTCTCATTGTTATGGCCATGGGTGTTAAGGTAGAATGGATAATAACTGCTCAGCTTTAAGTCAGTGGCACCAACACCAAAGGCGGGTCTGCCCTCAGCTGGCCTAATAGTCTCTTTGTCCCCATGTACATTTGGAAGGCAGTCTGGTGTTGGTAGAGAGTTTGGGATCTGGGGAAAGGAAAGCCTGGGTGGGAGCCCAGCTCCTTTCCCTCCAGCTGTGGGTCTTGAGCAGGCCACCTGGGCCTCACTATCTTCATCTGCGGGACAAGGCTAGAATGAGCACCCCAACCCTAGCAGACTGGTGGGGCAATTAAGAGGAATACCACTGATGGAAAGTGTGTTATGCACATCTAAATCAAAGATTAATCTCAGCAGCTATTCACATATATGTTGAGTAAAAGAAACATTGGTAATGTGCTATGATTTGAATACAACAAGAGATGCTGGAAAAGAAAAAGGAAAGGACACGTCAGCATCGCAACCCAGCACTCACCGCTACAGGTGCCCTGCCTGTTGTAGAAGCCTTTTCCACAGCTGCTCTCACAGCCGCCATCTCTCAGCACGTGGAGGGGATCTCTGCAGGCCAAGCAGTGCTTCTCCGTTGGGCCCCAGCAACCTG
Organism: Homo sapiens; assembly: GCF_000001405.40. Classification (NCBI taxonomy): domain Eukaryota; kingdom Metazoa; phylum Chordata; class Mammalia; order Primates; family Hominidae; genus Homo; species Homo sapiens. The sequence goes on along the minus strand of NC_000004.12, from coordinate 78,308,083 downwards.
CACAGGACTCATGGCAGACTGCAGACGAATAGCAAAATCAGTGAGTAATCTACGGCAGAAAGGACTGGTCATCATTTTTCTTTTAAATATTTTAGAATACACAAGGAGGATGTCAGTTGGTTCCTTAGTTCCTAAACTGCTATTGACACATGTACACCTCAGGACAAACACAACACCCTCTTCTTCAAGAAACCGTTTCTAGGGGGAGGAGCCAAGATGGCCGAATAGGAACAGCTCCGGCCTACAGCTCCCAACGTGAGCAACGCAGAAGACGGGTGATTTCTGCATTTCCATCTGAGGTACCGGGTTGATCTCACTAAGGAATGCCAGACAGTGGGCGCAGGTCAGTGGGTGCATGCACCATGCGCCAGCCGAAGCAGGGCGAGGCATTGCCTCACCTGGGAAGCGCAAGGGGTCAGGGAGTTCCCCTTCCTAGTGAAAGACAGGGGTGACAGACGGCACCTGGAAAATCGGGTCACTCCCACCCGAATACTGCGCTTTTCCGACGGGCTTAAAAAACGGCGCACCAGGAGATTAAATCCGGCACCTGGCTCGGAGAGTCCTACGCCCACGGAGTCTCGCTGATTGCTAGCTGAGATCAAACTGCAAGGCGGCAGCAAGGCTGGGGGAGGGGCGCCCGCCATTGCCCAGGCTTGCTTAGGTAAACAAAGCAGCCAGGAAGCTCCAACTGGGTGGACCCCACCACAGTTCAAGGAGGCCTGCCTGCCTCTATAGGCTCCACCTCTGGGGGCAGGGCACAGACAAACAAAAGACAGCAATAACCTCTGCAGACTTAAATGTCCCTGTCTGACAGCTTTGAAGACAGCAGTGGTTCTCCCAGCACGCAGCTTGAGATCTGAAAACTGGCAGACTGCCTCCTCAAGTGGGTCCCTGACCTCTGACCCCCGAGCAGCCTAACTAGGAGGCACCCCCCAGCAGGGGCAGACTGACACCTCACAGTGCCGGGTACTCCAACAGACCTGAAGCTGAGGGTCCTGTCTGTTAGAAGGAAAACTAACAAACAGAAAGGACATCCACACCAAAAACCCATCTGTTCATCACCATCATCAAAGACCAAAAGTAGATAAAACCACGAAGATGGGGAAAAAACAGAGCAGAAAAACTGGAAACTCTAAAAAGCAGAGTGCCTCTCCTCCTCCAAAGGAACGCAGTTCCTCACCAGCAACGGAACAAAGCTGGATGGAGAATGACTTTGACGAGCTGAAAGAAGAAGGCTTCAGACAATCAAATTACTCCAAGCTACAGGAGGACATTCAAACCAAACGCAAAGAAGTTGAAAACTTTGAAAAAAAAATTTAGAAGAATGTATAACTAGAATAACCAATACAGAGAAGTGCTTAAAGGAGCTGATGGAGCTGAAAACCAAGGCTCGAGAACTACGTGAAGAATGCAGAAGCCTCAGGAGCCGATGCGATCAACTGGAAGAAAGGGTATCAGCGATGGAAGATGAAATGAATGAAATGAAGCGAGAAGGGAAGTTTAGAGAAAAAAGAATAAAAAGAAATGAGCAAAGCCTCCAAGAAATATGGGACTATGTGAAAAGACCAAATCTACGTCTGATTGGTGTACCTGAAAGTGATGTGGAGAATGGAACCAAGTTGGAAAACACTCTGCAGGATATTATCCAGGAGAACTTCCCCAATCTAGCAAGGCAGGCCAACATTCAGATTCAGGAAACACAGAGAACGCCACAAAGATACTCCTCGAGAAGAGCAACTCCAAGACGCATAATTGTCAGATTCACCAAAGTTGAAATGAAGGAAAAAATGTTAAGGGCAGCCAGAGAGAAAGGTCGGGTTACCCTCAAAGGGAAGCCCATCAGACTAACAGCGGATCTCTTGGCCGAAACTCTACAAGCCAGAAGAGAGTGGGGGCCAATATTCAACATTCTTAAAGAAAAGAATTTTCAACCCAGAATTTCATATCTAGCCAAACTAACCTTCATAAGTGAAGAAGAAATAAAATCCTTTAGAGACAAGCAAATGCTGAGAGATTTTGTCACCACCAGGCCTACCATAAAAGAGCTCCTGAAGGAAGCGCTAAACATGGAAAGGAACAACCGGTACCAGCCACTGCAAAATCATGCCAAAATGTAAAGACCATCGAGACTAAGAGGAAACTGCATCAACTAATGAGCAAAATAAGCAGCTAACATCATAATGACAGGATCAAATTCACACATAACAATATTAACTTTAAATGTAAATGGACTAAATGCTCCAATTAAAAGACACAGACTGGCAAATTGGATAAAGAGTCAGGACCCATCAGTGTGCTATATTCAGGAAACCCATCTCATGTGCAGAGACACACATAGGCTCAATATAAAAGGATAGAGAAAGATCTACCAAGCAAATGGAAAACAAAAAAAGGCAGGGGTTGCAATCCTAGTCTCTGACAAAACAGACTTTAAACCAACAAACATCAAAAGAGACAAAGAAGGCCATTACATAATGGTAAAGGGATCAATTCAACAAGAAGAGCTAACTATCCTGAATATATATGCACCCAATACAGCAGCACCCAGATTCATAAAGCAAGTCCTTAGCGACCTACAAAGAGACTTAGACTCCCACACAATAATAATGGGAGACTTTAACACCCCACTGTCAACATTAGACAGATCAACGAGACAGAAAGTCAACAAGGATACCCAGGAATTGAACTCAGCTCTGCACCAAGCAGACCTAATAGACATCTACAGAACTCTCCACCCCAAATCAACAGAATATACATTCTTTTCAGCACCACACCACACCTATTCCAAAACTGACCACATACTTGGAAGTAAAGCTCTCCTCAGCAAATGTAAAAGAACAGAAATTATAACAAACTATCTCTCAGACCACAGTGCAATCAAACTAGAACTCAGGATTAAGAATCTCACTCAAAACCACTCAACTACATGGAAACTGAACAACCTGCTCCTGAATGACTACTGGGTACATAACAAAATGAAGGCAGAAATAAAGATGTTCTTTGAAACCAATGAGAACAAAGACATAACATACCAGAATCTCTGGGACACATTCAAAGCAGTGTGTAGAGGGAAATTTACAGCACTAAATGCCCACAAGAGAAAGCAGGAAAGATCCAAAATTGACACCCTGACATCACAATTAAAAGAACTAGAAAAGCAAGTGCAAACACATTCAAAAGCTAGCAGAAGGCAAGAAATAACTAAAATCAGAGCAGAACTGAAGGAAATAGAGACACAAAAAACCCTTCAAAAAATTAATGAATCCAGGAGCTGGTTTTTTGAAAGGATCAACAAAATTGATAGACCACTTTTTTTTCTAATAAAGAAAAAAAGAAGAATCAAATAGATGCAATAAAAAATGATAAAGGGGATATCACCACCTATCCCACAGAAATACAAACTACCATCAGAGAATACTACAAACACCTCTACGCAAATAAACTAGAAAATCTAGAAGAAATGGGTAAATTCCTCGACACATACACTCTCCCAAGACTAAACCAGGAAGAAGTTGAATCTCTGAATAGACCAATAACAGGAGCTGAAATTGTGGCAATAATCAATAGCTTACCAAACAAAAAGAGTCCAGAACCAGATGGATTCACAGCCGAATGCTACCAGAGGTACAAGGAGGAACTGGTACCATTGGTACCATTCCTTCTGAAACTATTCCAATCAATAGAAAAAGAGGAAATTCTCCCTAACTCATTTTATGAGGCCAGCATCATTCTGATACTAAAGCCTGGCAGAGACACAACCAAAAAAGAGAATTTTAGACCAATATCCTTGATGAACATTGATGCAAAAATACTCAATAAAATACTGGCAAACCAAATCCAGCAGCACATCAAAAAGGTTATCCACCATGATCAAGTGGGCTTCATCCCTGGGATGCAAGGCTGGTTCAATATAAGCAAATCAATAAATGTAATCCAGCATATAAACAGAACCAAAGACAAAAACCACATGATTATCTTAATAGATGCAGAAAAGGCCTTTGACAAAATTCAACAACACTTCATGCTAAAAACTCTCAATAAATTAGGTATTGATGGGACATATTTCAAAATAATAAGAGCTATCTATGACAAACCCACAGCCAATATCATACTGAATGTGCAAAAACTGGAAGCATTCCCTTTGAAAACTGGCACAAGACAGGGATGCCCTCTCTCACCACTCCTATTCAACATAGTGTTGGAAGTTCTGGCCAGGGCAATTAGGCAGGAGAAGGAAATAAAGGGTATTCAATTAGGAAAAGAGGAAGTCAAATTGTACCTGTTTGCAGATGACATGATTGTATATCTAGAAAACCCCACTGTCTCAGCCCAAAATCTCCTTAGGCTGATAAGCAACTTCAGCAAAGTCTCAGGATACAAAATCAATGTACAAAAATCACAAGCATTCTTATACACCAACAACAGACAAACAGAGAGCCAAATAATGGGTGAACTCCCATTCACAATTGCTTCAAAGAGAATAAAATACCTAGGAATCCAACTTACAAGGGACGTGAAGGACCTCTTCAAGAACTACAAACCACTGCTCAAGGAAGTCAAAGAGGATACAAACAAATGGAAGAACATTCCATGCTCATGGGTAGGAAGAATCAATATCGTGAAAATAGCCATACTGCCCAACGTAATTTACAGATTCAATGCCATCCCCATCAAGCTACCAATGACTTTCTTCACAGAATTGGAAAAAACTACTTTAAAGTTCATATGGAACCAAAAAAGAGCCTCCATCGCCAAGTCAATCCTCAGCCAAAAGAACAAAGCTGGAGGCATCACACTACCTGACTTCAAACTATACTACAAGGCTACAGTAACCAAAACAGCATGGTACTGGTACCAAAACAGAGATATAGATCAATGGAACAGAACAGAGCCCTCAGAAATAATGCCGCATATCTACAACTATCTTATCTTTGGCAACCCTGAGAAAAACAAGCAATGGGGAAAGGATTCCCTATTTAATAAATGGTGCTGGGAAAACTGGCTAGCCATATGTAGAAAGCTGAAACTGGATCCCTTCCTTACACCTTATACAAAAATCAATTCAAGATGGATTAAAGACTTAAACGTTAGTCCTAAAACCATAAAAACCCTAGAAGAAAACCTAGGCATTACCATTCAGGACATAGGCATGGGCAAGGACTTCATGTCTAAAACACCAAAAGCAATGGCAACAAAAGTCAAAGTTGACAAATAGGATCTAATTAAACTAAAGAGCCTCTGCACAGCAAAAGAAACTACCATCAGAGTGAACAGGCAACCTACAAAATGGGAGAAGATTTTCGCAGCCTACTCATCTGACAAAGGACTAATATCCAGAATGTACAATGAACTCAAACAAATTTACAAGAAAAAAAAACAAACAACCCCATCAAAAAGTGGGTGAAGGACATGAACAGACATTTCTCAAAAGAAGACATTTATGCAGCCAAAAGACACATGAAAAAATGCTCATCATCACTGGCCATCAGAGAAATGCAAATCAAAACCACAATGAGATACCATCTCACACCAGTTAGAATGGCAATCATTAAAAGTCAGGAAACAACAGGTGCTGGAGAGGATGTGGAGAAACAGGAACACTTTTACACTGTTGGTGGGACTGTAAACTAGTTCACCCATTGTGGAAGTCAGTGTGGCGATTCCTCAGGGATCTAGAACTAGAAATACCATTTGACCCAGCCATCCCATTACTGGGTATATACCCAAAGGACTATAAATCATGCTGCTATAAAGACACATGCACACGTATGTTTATTGCGGCATTATTCATAATAGCAAAGACTTGGAACCAACCCAAATGTCCAACAATGATAGACTGGATTAAGAAAATGTGGCACATATACACCATGGAATACTATGCAGCCATAAAAAAATGATGAGTTCATGTCCTTTGTAGGGACATGGATGAAATTGGAAATCATCATTCTCAGTAAACTATCTCAAGAACAAAAAACCAAACACCGCATATTCTCACTCATAGGTGGGAATTGAACAATGAGAACACATGGACACAGGAAGGGGAACATCACACTCTGGTGACTGTTGTGGGGTGGGGGGAGTGGGGAGGGATAGCATTGGGAGATATACCTAATGCTAAATGATGAGTTAGAGGGTGCAGCGCACCAGCATTGCACATGTATACGTATGTAACTAACCAGCACATTGTGCACATGTACCCTAAAACTTAAAGTATAAAAAAAAAAAAAAAAAAAAAAACTGTTTCTGTGGGCCAGAAGTACAACTTCAGTAAAGAATCACTAAGAGATTCAGAAGAGGAGATCAGAAGCTTTTGAGAAATGGGATTTACAGAGAAGGAAATCATAACTTTCTAGAGAAAGAAGGACTGCTTAATGAAATCAGATGGTCCTCCACCCCCTTGCCTTTTGTACACACACCACAGAGTGTCCACAGGATCACCACCTCCCACCTGCAGCACCATCAGAATCAGCTGAGGAGGGATTCCCTGGACTCTAGTCCCAGATTCAACCTTCTGAGGACCCAGTCCTACTTGACATCTATCGTTCTTTGCCTTTTTATCTCTTTCCCCCCAGTATTATCTGTCCTACACATGTGTCTTAAGAACTCACAAAGCTTGCTTTTCTCTTATACCTTGAATTTCTTACTATAACTTGCTCCTTTAAGATTTTAAAATATTCTCCTCTTCAGCATTTGCTTTTTTTTTTTTTACTCTTCAAGCTCACTCTTCACTTTAGCACTTTTGCAGAATGACCTATTCTGAATAACTGAATTTTTTCGAATTTGGCTAGCTGTATGGCTAACCCCTACCTATGCTTTTGTTAATACATCCTAATTCTTAAAAGGTTTCTTTCACAGTGGAGCACCAGCTAGTTTGCAGAGGCATTGATTCTGACCAAAATTGGTAGGTAGAATGAATGCCTTGCTGCTTGCAAGCAGCTTGGTAACCCTACCTTAGTAATTCAAGTAGGCATCCCTTTGGAGGCAGAAGGAAGGATATCTGCCTTGCAAACCTCAAGATCCAATTCTCTCTTCTCAGTTCTAAATTGCACAAGCAAGTCCTAATTTCAGACACTTTTTCTCCCCAAAAAAGGTAGGGATGATTACGAATTGCAATAAGTGCTAAAAAGGGCTCTGCAATAAAGAGTAACAGTGGTGGGGGTGGTGGGGACTAACTATAGATCAAAAGGATGAAAGGCAGCCAGTCACAGGGAGTTGGACCATCACGAGCAGCTCTAGAGGAGGGAAGGGGTACGTGTATTTGGGGAAACTGAGGGCTGCCCCTGTGGCTGGAGTTGGTGAGGCACAGTGGGGGGCCATGGCATGAATCATGGCTGCAGCCATAGGCAGAGGCCTGGTCAAATTTGACCTTGGAGACCAAGGAAAGAAATTAGGATTTTTATCCTAATTACCATGTGAAGTCATAAATGAGCTCATGCAAGACAGACACAAGATCTGATTGACATGTTTCAAATCACTCTCTGGCTGCCATGTAGAGAGGGTTTAAGGACCTGCTAGCAAGCAGGAGACCAGCACAGAGTCTACTGCATGACCCAGGTGAGAGGGGACTTGGACTAGTTGGGTGGGAAGCAAAGACAAAGGAAAGTTTCCTTATTTATCATCTGGTTCCCTTGTGAGACCGTAAGCTCCATGAGGGCAGGGCCCATTTCTATTTTGTTAACTGTACAAGGCACACTGCTTCTGCTTTACAAATGTCTCTCAAGTGACTTCATTTATATTTAACTCCTTATTTATATTTTATAAATGTAGAACATGAGAATACTGTCCATATGCAGGATAAGTTTAAGGATAAACTTACCCTTAAGCTTTGGATAAGTTTTAGTTATAATTTACTTGGTACTAAATTATAGTTAAAGATGTGGATGCAAAGATCTCAGTAACAAATTCTACCCTTAACATGCATGAAATCTGCCTGACATTCATGTATTCTACCACCCTTTCATTACTGACTGTAGTCATCATCTGAAGAGTCAACGACTGTTCATGCCTTTGCCTCACTCACTCTGGAGTTGATCTAAAGTCATTACCAAAACAAACAAACAAAAAATCCACTCTCATTTCTAAAAAGTTATGCCAAGCTGATATATCAACATTCAACAGAAGCACACAAAGACACATGTAAGGCACGTTCTCAGCTGGCCACAGGTAAGCCACAGGTTATCTGAGGTCTGCTGCAGGAACACTTAGAACACTCTGTTGCCTAGGTGCACTGGTGACATTGTGCAAACTGCACTGGGGCATAAGTGCCAAGGAAATGATGAATGGAAAGTGAGGCTGAAAAGACAACAGGGGTCAGACTTCCAACTTCAGATGGGCCAGAGTACGGACCTTGGACTTCATGCCATGGAAAGTTTTAATCAGGGCAGTGGAATGATCACTTCTGCTTTTTAGAGAGTTCATTCTGGCAGTGGGGAGAAAAGAAAGTAACTCAAGACATCTGTAGGGGATGAAATCATCTTTGTCCAGAGGTATAGAGGAGATAAGAAATTAAAGCACAGCTCCCTAGCTTTCTTCAGTGACTGGCTGAATAGCAGCGCAGACATGCAGTTATACTGGTTGTTAAAATAGTAAAATACTTTCAAACTGGTTGATAAATGGCTGTCACCCCGAGTTTCATCCCCGGAATCTCCACCCGACACCATGCTCCACAAACAAAAGGTCTGACACAGGAGAAGGTCTGGGGTCCCCCTCCTTCTCTCTGATGTGCATCTGTGCCATACAGCTTGTTAGATATTTTTACTACACCCTCGGTGTTACCAATCAGGACAGGGACCAAAGAATGAGCAGGATGGCCTCAATCGACAGACTTAGGGATGGCATTCAGGCCCCCCACAAACTGAGCTCTCCTTAACTTTCCTGCTCCATCTTCCACTATCTCCCCTTGCACACCAATTCTGTGAAGCAGGGCACCCTACATGTGCCATGTGCCCATCTATGAGTTCTGATGCCCCACACAGGATTCGCCCAGCCCACAACGTCGCTGGCTCCTTCCTTAGCCCCTAAAATCCTGTTTATATATAATTTCCTGTTTATATTTCCTAAGTTGTCACTACTTCTGTGAAGCTTTGCTAAACTTGTCTGATAACCTTTCTCTATGTTCCTGCAGCATGTTGCATATGCCTCTCTTATCATATTTATCCTACTGTACTAACTTACTCAGTTATGAATCAATCTCAATGGAATTCAGTCTTCAGTGAAATTCAATACCCTCCCAAATGGGGACCATGTTTTAGTCATTGCAAACCCCCAGTATCCAGACTGATGTCTGGCACCTAGTCAGTACTCATTAAATGTAGGCTAAATGAATGCACAGCAGATTTTTAAAATGGGTTATGGGGAATTCATCCTTTCAGTTACCTTCTACATGGAAACAACTCACCACTAGGTCATAGTCTTAAGATATAACTTAAGAGAAACTTGAAGCTGTAATACATACTTAATAAATGCTGAAGTCCAAATCTGCTTATGATGATAAATACTGACGCTGCATCTATATAGAGTACCAAACATGACAGTGGTCCTGCTGTTTTTTTATATATTACACAAAAGACATGTTCCATGGCCAGACACAACAGCAGAAAGAATTTTTATTTCAACACAGGAATATGCTGAGCTTTCATCTCTTATAATGATATACTTCCACTGTGGTTTCTTTAAAATAAATTGTATTGTGTATATTTAAGGTATACAACATGATATTATAAGGTGTGTGTATTTATATTTATATACACATCACTATAAAAAGGTGTGTGTGCATATATATATATACACCTTATAATATCACATTGTATACCTTAAATATGTACCTTATATATTTAATAATATACATTTATGTTTAATACACCTTATATTTTATAAGGCTAAGTATATATCTGTACCTTATATTTTATATTTTATATAAGGTATATATATATGCACCTTATAATATGTTATATACCTTAAATATATATACACATACCTTATAATATCATGTCATATACCTTAAAATATATATATATAAAGAGGATTAGTAATATATATATATATATATATATAGAGAGAGAGAGAGAGAGAGAGAGAGAGGAACAAATTAACATACCCATCTTCCCATATAGTTACCCATTTTCCCTTGAGTGGCAAGAACAGCTATAATCTACTGATTTAGCAAAAATCCCACTGTGTTTGCAATTGATTTCTAATTTCTAACACTGAACATATGCTACCACAGCTTATCTCTCACATATGGCTTTTATTATATTTGGGTTATTATAAAAAATAAGAGGTCACTCCCTGACTTTTCACCATAATTTCTCTTAGTGATACATTTCAGATCACACAGGGCTTAAATTATATATTGTGAACATTGTGGCAATAAATGTTAAAAGAGGGTGAATAAGAGAAAGCTATCTTTTTATCTCACATGTAACAGATAATTTATTTGGTAAGGTCCCTGACTTTTCTGGAGCATAACCAGACATGTGGTTGGCTTCTTGAGCAACTCATTTCGAAAATGAAAAGGAACAAATTACTTTTCTTTTGGCAATTCTTTACTAAAACCCTACTCTAAAAATAACACACATCTTTTTGTATTTGATACTTTTGAAATAGAAGATTGCTTTAAAAATGTTTTAAGCTATGTCTCTCTAAGAATAAAATGCAGCCCTTTTCCAGGGAAACATTAAAAGCACTTCGTGTAAGCACCTTATTTTCCACAAAGCCTTCCCAGACCCAGAGCAGTGGACACCGACACCCATTTCCTCTTTTCTGTGGCTGTTTGGAGTAAGTTTCCAGAGAATTAGCACAATTGATCTGTAGTTCCTCTGAGATTCATCAGTGAGGCTGCAGTTCATATTTTCAAACTGCCAAGATGTTTTTACTCACAACTGCACAGAAAAAGCCCTAACTTCAGGCACAAGCAGGTGTGATATATGCAAATCAAATTCCTTCATTCTGTTATTATCCAGTTTGTGGCAACTGCCAGCTTTCATTCTCATCTCACAAATGACTAGGTAGTACTCGCCAAGTTTTGAAGTATTATCAGGAGACAGTGGGTAAATTTTCAATAAGAAGCTCTTGTTGAATGAAAAATTTTTTCTGTCTTGAACTCAACTTCACTGTTCCTTGGTTTCCTAATTTGTAAAGTGGAAATAATAATATTTGTTGTACCTAGTTCACGAGGACATGGAGAGATGGCAAGTTTGGAAAAGCAGAGAATTTTGTGTGTGATCACATGAATGGCATGGGGAGAGCTGCAGTTTGTCTCAACTGCTGTCAAAATCAAAGTAATTTTAAAGGGAGCAAATTAAAGTGCAACACAAGACAGAAGGGGGAAGGATGGAAAAGACTACAGGAAAGGTTGGCTCACTTAGAAAGGAAGGGAAGGGAAGAATTACAGCCTGCAGGGATTTGGCCAGCAGCTATACGAATGGGCTCCAGCCTCGCCCAGGGGCTTCACACTTAGCAGTTCTTTCCTTGCAACCTCTACAAAACAACAGCAAAAGCTCTTTGAAAGTGATTGGAAATACCTTGGTGAGGCTCTGATTCCTGAAAGACCACTTCCTCCTCCCCAGTCACAGCCCCACAAGAGGCCAAGGCTGGTTGCCTGAGACGCTAAAACTCCAGGCTAATTTAAAAGAAGTTCCAAAGAGATCTGAGCCATCACCATTTTTGATCCTTTTACTCCAATCTTCTGTCCCTTCCCAGACTGGGCCTCTGCCTGCTACTGCCTCCCTTTGCCAATTGAAGGCTTTACACCTGAAATGGGAATGTCTGGTCTCCACATATTCTGAAAACTCGTAAGTGCTTGAGGAACTTCATAATAGAAAAAAGTACAAACACGTAAAAAAAATCTTCAGCATCATCAAAAGCTGGAGATATGCAAACCAAACAGGAGAGCAGCAACTAGATGCACTGGATGAGACATGCACATTATATTTTTAAACTGCAATTACTTTTGCACCACCTAATAACATGTATGCATCCTAGAAACACTGCTTAGTGAGAAAAAAAAAAGTCAAGAAAGAAGGAAATATCTGGCTGAGTTTGGTGGCTTGTGCCTGTAATCCCAGCAGTTTGGGAGGCCAACGCGGGTGGATCACTAGAGGTCACGAGTTCAAGACCAGCCTGGCCAACATGGTGAAATCCTGTCTCTACTAAAAATACAAAAAAATAAAATTAGCCAGGTGTGGTGGCACACCCCTGTAGTCCCAGCTACTCAGAAGGCTGAGGCAGGAGAATCGTTCGAACCTGGGCAGGCGGAGGTTACAGTGAGCCAAGATTGCGCCACTGTACTACAGCCTGGGTGACAGAGTGAGACTCCATCTAAAAAAAAAAAAAAAGAAGGAAATATCTACTCAGGCATACAAAACAATAAGAGAATATACATACAAAAAGTACACACTAAATCACATTAGTGTAGTTATTTAAAAGGGGAGCTGGGAAGAAGGAGAATGGGAATAGGGCATGATAACAAAAGGAATAGACAGGCAGATGGATGGGCAGACAAATAAGCAAGAGAATAGCTTGGCCCAGACCAATGATGAAAATGGGCCATCAACTGACAAGCATGATTAACTCCACATGCTTCATAAGAATCCCCAAAATAGGTAAAAGATAAAAATTAAACAAGATTTCATTTTACATCAATCAAATTGACAATTTAAGAAGGCTTGTAATACCTAGTGTTGACAAGAGTGCTGGCAAGTAGGCACCCTTATACATTTCTGGTAAGAGTACAAATTAGTACAACTTTCTTAAAAGAGTATAATATGTTACTCTGTGTCAAAAAGCTTAAACACTGTACATAAACCTTTGGACCCGGTAGTCACATGTCTAAAAATTGATTCAAAAATATTTACCACAATTTCTACTAAAAATGTTTACATCATGGTTACATATAATTAAAAAAATTGGGAACAAATATCAAACCATAGAGGATTGGCTAAATGAATGATTGCATAGCCAGAGATGGAAAATTATACAACAGGTTTAAAAAGATGTTGTAGAAGGATAAGTAATAACATAAAGCAAGCAAGCAATAAAACTGTAAATAGAGTATGATTTTAGTTTTGAAAAAAAAAGTGTATGTGTATAGACACACAAAAAGATATCTTTATAAATTAGGAAGACATACACCAAAATACTAACAGTAGTGATTTAGGGGAGTTTGAGTTAGAAATTTTAGCTGACTTTTTATTATACCTTATATTTTATTGACTTTAATTATTTTTTTTTGGAATAAACATAAATTCATTTGGTATTTGGGGGGAATTTTGGTAATTTTCCTAATGATGGAGGGAGGAAAGCTATAGTCCTTTTCCCTAAGGTACATGCTAGGTAAATAACTTGTTAACCTATTAACCATGATTGTGATACAGCTGAATGATTTACCCGTCTTGAGTAATATATTTGAATTTTTAGCAGGGTCTTTGGTAGACACAGAACTTGAACCAAAGGAAATTACTTCCCAGCCAATGAAGGCTTTGGCAGGTCCACATGGACCTTTCATTGCTTCATAAGTCAGAGGACAAAGCAAGACATTCAGCTCATCAGGAGTATCTGGTAAAGTTATCTCTTCTATTTCCTGCCCCTCTACCTATATTCCTAAATCGACAACATAGGTATAATCCAAGGGTTTTCAAGACCACCAGCTTCTCAGCTTCTACTCATCCTCTGTGACCACTGAAAATCCACAGCTGCTAGGACTCCCTGTGTTCCCTCCCCAATCCTACACCCAGTGGCCCCTGTTAATTAAATGCCTATTGTCTACTCCAGTGATGTCTACTGAAACTGAAGAGCCAAAGGCGGGACCGCAAACCAAAACAACCTTTTGATGGGGAGAGTTTTCAGACCTCCTGGCTGCACTAACACAGCTGCTCAGATCTCAGCAGCAACAACAAGGAGGTGCTGTTAGCTCTGTGAGCAGCATAGAAGCAGGGGAGGGCAGAACAGGGACAGTGCTTGGGTGGGGAATGGAGAAGAGAAAGAACGTATGCCATACAGTCTAGCTAAAATAACTGAGAACCTTCCAAACTGGGCAGAAAGCCAGAAGACTTGTCACTAGTTTGTAATCCATAGCTGAAATACTTTGGGGTTCAGATTTGTCGGGAAGAATGGGATCTGTCTGAAAGATAAACTCTGTGGCATCTGTGGCAGGCTTTCTCTGCTGGTATGTGATACTTTTGTTCTGTCATTTGTCTTCTGGCATACACAGCAAGGGTCTAGAAGTGGCAAAGACAAATGCCAAACACAGCCAGCTTCCTGCCAAAGCAAAGGTCCCAGACACAACACCACCAGCTGTTTTCCCCTCTTCTCTCCATTTTTTCTGCATATGAATATAATATCCAAAGAGAGAGGGGCCTTGGAACACTGTTGTCACCTGCCTCATTGGGTCTTGTTTACTCAAAAAAACTTACATTCTAGGAAGGCAATCCTATTGTCTTCCCTTCTGAATGGCCTGAAATACTCCATGGACACGACCCAAGTTTTGAAGACAGTTGATTTTATAAGTCACATTCCCAACTCTAATAAAGCCCACAACTATGTTAAACATGAGGAAAAGAGAAGAAAAAGAGGGGTGAGAAAAATAGAGAGTCTGTAATTATCCTGAGGCCACCACTAGCCAGAAATTGCTGACAAGGAGCAAATAGTGGAAGCCAAATGGAAGATAGGTCATCTGTAAGCCAAAGTTTAGTCATGCCTGTACATTTCTGTTGATTGCTCTCTATGCAATGGTTTATCACATTTTTTCTATCAAAAATTATTCCAGAGGGCCACAGATATACTTAGCACCATGTGAAATTCAGAAGTATACGGCATGTCCCTGCCCCAATGACTGATCATTTCCTATCATATTCCCCTGTAAGGTATCTTTATAGCACTGATAATAATAATTTCATATAATGATAACTATCTAAGTATTTAATATTATCTTGTTTATTTGTTTAGAGGCACTCTCCTCCCATTGAGGAAGTTAAGTTCCTTAACTAGAGGGAAGTTTTCTGTCTGCTTCACTCTGTATCTCTGGTGTCTGGGACAGGGCGTGGTACATAGAAGAGGCTCCACAAATATTTATGCATGAACAGAATCGAAGAGACAGGAGATACCACTTGAAGCAACAAGTCACCTTTATGAGACAGTCAGCAATTTAGTAAGGGACCATAATTGCTGTAGAATGCCAAAGAAGTTCTGAACAATGCATAGGATTTAAAGAGTAGAACAAAATGAGTGAAGGCAGTGGTAGAAACATGCAGGGCCCCTAAACTGAGTATGTGACCCGGCAATGAAACTGAGACTAACCCTCCAATCCTGGGGTATGTTGCAAGGGCCATGGAGGTGACACCAGCTTGGCCATGACTATCCCAACAGAGAAAGGGGGGCCCCTGTCTTGCGAGGAGGGCTCCTGGATTTCAGAACAGTAGTTTCATAGGTGCCATTGTCAAGAGGTCCACCCAGGGCACAGCCAGGCTGGGATAAGTCATGTGTTGGAACACAACACCAAGACCCATTAAATCCCTGCTGCTTTGGACCTGGCTTTGCAAGGTCAGTGCTTCATTTCTGCAAATGACTGGCTGCTCCAGTCAACCATCGTTCCAACAAATAATTAACTTCAGAAGGTCCTCTGCTCAGGCCACAGCTTTTAAATCTCAACTAGGTCAACATCCTAGTTGTAAATTTTATAGGTTTTTTTATTATAAACTTTTCCTCTAAATATGTCACAATATTGGCTAAGAAACAAATAATCATAGATTCTCATTGTTTAATCTGAGCACTTAAAATTTTCTTTCCTTTTTAAAAGAAAAAGGGATTTTAATTTGCTATAAAGAATACAGTATACTGTTCTCTATATATTTACTTCTCCATAACATATAAAAGCAGATTTTATTTAGATGAGACATTAATGGCAGAAAGCTTTTTGTTACTTAATGAAAGCTATTTGGTTTTTATCTCTATAGGTTGAAAAATAAAGGAATGGTTTCAATAATATCAATAGCTGCCTTTTACAGTCCACATACTAAGGCCAGGCATAATGTATTTATACATTTCAAACAGCTTTTCTAACCTTCATAATAATGGTTTAAAGTAGATAATATCGTCCCCATTTTGCAGTTGAAAAAATTGAAGTTCAGAGAGGTTAAATGGTTTGCCAAAGCCCTCTTGCAGCAAGTGGTAGAGGTGCCATTCAAAATAATCCTATCCCTTATAATCCTGTAAAATGTTCAGTTGTTTGATTCTTTACGTCTCAAAATCTGAGACCATACAGCACTCAGATATAGAATAAACTTCAAAGGCTTTTGGATTTTGTTTTTGTTTGTTTTGTTTTATTTTACATCTCTATAAGCAACAACTAACCTGCCTTGACTGTGAGCTCACTATAGGCAAAGACTGAATCTTATTTACTTTATACACTTCATGTACTCAGGACCTAGAACAATGGTCAAAAAAGAATGAAAGGGGAAATGAAATAAAAGGAACAAGGAAGAAGGACAATAGAAAGCAGAACCCAAGTCTCTAAACTTATATGAAGGGCTTTCTAGACACCAGGTACCATCTCCTAAACCAGCGGTCCCCAACCCCCAGGCACAGATCAGTTTCAGTGTGTGGCCTGTTAGAAACTGGGCCACACAACAGGAGGCAAGCAGTGGGTGAGGCAGCATTGTCACCAAGCTCTGCCTCATAGGAGTGAGTGCAAACCCTATTGTGAACTGCCTATGTGAGGGATCTAGGTTGCAGCTGCTTATGAGAATCTAACTAATGCCTGATGATCTGAGCTGGAACAGTTTCATCCCGAAGCCACCCCCAGCTCCCCGGTCCATGGAAAAATTGTCTTCCATGAAACCAGTACCTCGTGCCAAAAAGGTTGGGGACTGCTGCCCTAAATGGAATATGTGAATTCACTCATTCATCTTCATAGCAGTGCAATGTGGCAGATATTATGTCCCTGTTTTACCCATAAGGCAATTGAAGAGTGGAGTTAAAGAATAGGTAAGTGACAGAGGCAAGATTAGAAACCAGGTGGTTTAGGCCGGGCGCAGTGGCTCACGCCTGTAATCCCAGCACTTTGGGAGGCCAAGGCGGGCGGATCACCTGAGGTCAGGAGTTTGAGACTAGCCTGGCCAACATGGTGAAACCCTGTCTCTATTAAAAATACAAAATTAGCTGGGCATGGTGGCAAATATCTGTAATGCTAGTTACTTGGAAGGCTGAGGCAGGAGAATCACTTGAATCCAGGAGCCAAGATCGTGACAAGAGCAAAACTCTGTCTTAAAAAAAAAAAAAAAAAAAGGCAATAAATAACAGAAACCATGAACCAATTCAAACAAACAAACAAAAAAATGAGGCCAGGTGTGGTGGCTCACCCCTGTAATCCCAGCACTTTGGGAGGCCAAGGCGGGCAGATCACTTGAGGTCAGGAGTTCGACACCAGCCTGGCTAATATGGTGAAACCCAGTTTCTACTAAAATACAAAAATTAGCCAGGCATGGTGGTGAGCACCTGTAATCCCAGCTGCTCAGGAAGCAGGAGAATCGCTTGAACCCAGGAGGCAGAGGTTGCAGTGAGCTGAGATTGTGCCACTGTACTCCAGCCTGGATGACAGAGCGCGACTCCCTCTCAAAAAAAAAAAAAGAAAGAAAGAAAGAAAGAAAAAAAGAAACCAGGTGGTCCAGGTGGTTTAGCTCCAGGGTCCAAGCTCTTAACCACTGGGGCCAGGCTCCCCATAACATCTGCGCCTGCAGAATGAAGGCAGCATTTGCCCTGCAGTACACATGGCTCTATCCTCAGGCCTTTGTGAATAAAATAAGTTTTAAGTAGACAAACAAAACATTGATACACGTATAAAAATGGGCTAAATCGTACTCTTTCTCTTTTCAAAGATTACAACCTTATGAGTTGTAACCTTATAATTTTAACCTTACGTTAAAATTACTCATTTTAACATAATCTTACATGGTGCGTGTTGTTGGTTGTTTTAGCTTTTTTTCTTATGGACTCTCGTATCTAAGATTTGTGTGCACAGTTCAGTGGTCCCACCAGAGTGGAACAGAGGCTGATTGAACAGAGGGGCAAGACAAGCAAGAAAGAATGTTCTCAGGACCTGGCGAGTTCCACCTGGATCCAGTTTAGATTTAATACCTGAGTTTTTAAGATGACTCAATGGAACCACTGTTCTGGTGAGGGAACAGAGTAAATCCAAGGCAAGTGATACCAAAGAGACAGGCAGGAAGAGTGCAAGGTCAAGTATTGTGGTGGGGAAGGTGGGGAGGGGGAGCAAGGAGCATCCATACATGGATAAAGCCTGGCCATCAGTCTCCAGGTAATTAAGCAGTGGGCTATTAATTCCTGGAAATGGGTGAGAGCAGGGCAAGCGGCAGGAACCAAAGTACAAGGCCAATGCTAGGACTGCAGAGTCAAGAAGAGTGGGGTAGGATGGGCAAGAGGGGATGTTAATCAGATCCAGGTGTTGGCAAAGGACACATAGGGGTTAAAGCAGAAGTCTGAGTGCCAGAACTAAAATGTGAGCTTTGGGTACTAACAGGGTGATCACTCTATGGCCCTACCTGCTGTGAAAAAAGGCAACCTACATCTGTCTCCGGTTTAGGTTCATATAAAAACAGGCTAGTGCTAAGCCTTAATGTACAGTGGTCAAAGCATCAAACTCTGGAGTTGTAAAGGCAGGGGAAATGAAGCAGGGACTGGTATGGAGTGCATCATGTGGCCTATAATTACAACATTATTCAGTTTAATCATGCAAAATATGTAACAATAGTATTAACATATGCACATGTGTTTATATGCATGTTTGTGTTTGTGCATATACCCCTAAACTCAAGAGAAAAGAGAAAATGATAAGGGCCCCTATGGGTAAGATTCTCAGGCAGGACTAAGTGTTTTCCTTTACTCCCTCTGGTTTACCTGCTTGTACTCTTTTGTTGAAGAGCCATGTTTAACTGCTACTTTTTTTCAACTCTGCCCTTTATTCAACATAGTGAACATGAATATTAATCAGGTGATTTCTGGTAATTAGTTTCCTCAGCACAGCACTCAGTTTCTTTGGGTTTTAATGGGCCAATAAAGTGGCAACTTATCCCAATCATCACATAAATGACCCTGCCAAGAGGAATCAATCCAGAAAAACCTGTTGTTACCATAAAATGGCAGGCTTCTTTTTGAAAAGTTTAGCACGTATTGGAAGAGCACCAGCTGAGTGACTGACTTCCAAGGTCAGTGGTGAAAAGTCACCAACAGTGGTACAAGCATGAATATTGCAAAAAATTCCAAAGCTGAGAAAGCTTATCTGGAAAGATAATCTTAGTGCCAAGACAGTATATGAAAATTGATCACAACTTTGGCTTTAATTTTTAAGATCCACTCTCTCTCTCTCCTTTTGCTCTGTTTTTTTTTTCTCCTTATTTTATGCATAAAAATGCAACCAGCCTGAACTAAAGCAAATTGGTTTAATTCCCTGGAGGGAGCATGAACAAATTTTCCCAGCAACTTTCTACTAGAGGCATTTGTGTGTAGATATGTGGATGGAATGTGAAGCAGTGAGCTACGTAAACCACTAATCAAATGAAACATTACCCATTTCAAAATGCCCTAAACTAGCATTAGCATCACCAATTAAAACAACGGGCATGGGAGAAAGGAAAATGCCCTCCCCCCAGAAAAGTCATATGTATGTGGTATGTGTGTATTTCAGGGGATGGAGGTGGTACAGAGGAAGGAGTAAAACCTAGGGGAAATTAGTTGCCTTTTAAAGGCAAATCTGTCACGAGCACTAGCAGGAGATCTCTTTGATGGGATAAAAGAAAGGAGTAAAGACATTCAATAATTTCATCAAATTAAAATTTCAGCAGTTTACCTAAATTGCCCAACCATTAGACACTTATAAAGGTATTTGTATGTTCCCACTTTGAACCTGTTTTAAAGTAACAGGTAAACTGAACATGATAAGCTATAAACACTAAGGGTTCTTTTCTGTTTTATGGCTGAGACTTCTATTGAAACACTGGTCTTTGAAGGACCACCAACTGGTAGTATTCTCATTCATTCATTCATCACACACTTGTTCAACAATGCTCAGAACTTTGTGCAGCCCTTGATGCTGAGGATATAGACATGCAGGTGATATTTCTGTAGACACCAAAGAGCCTCCAAGCCAAACTCGGAAGCTATTCTGCCTTCCATATTCTATAACATGGCTGATCACAAAACAGGCTCTGCTACACTCATATCTCTGTGGCATAAACAGTATTAGTGTTTCCTTTCAACATGGTTTCCACAACCCCATGAGCTCCGCTTCTGACCATTACCTGGAATGGAGACGACCATCAGCCTCCTCCACATAGGACCTGCATATGGCCCGAGTGCTCATTTAGCCTGCACATCTGATTAATACCATGAACTTAGCCTTTTTAACCTCAATCATTTTCCTGCAAATGATTTTACTGAAAGTCTAACCAAGGGTGTGAAAGAAAGGAGCATATCAGCTGCCCCTCAGATTGGCTCACCTTCTGATTCTCATCACTGACCCCCCGTTATGTTTAGCTGCAGAGAGTAGCTATCACATCTCCCTGGCATGACATCCAAGACCTTCCCCTGGTCTATCTGCCTTTTCAGATTTCCCTGCCACTACACACCCTGCCTTAGTTTCTGGGCACATCTAATTATCTATTCTCCTGAAGACAAACTCATATCTCTGTCCCTTGTCTTTGTTTTCATCATTAACCCTGATATGATTTGGCTCTGTGTCCTGACTCAAATCTAATGTCAAATTGTAATCCCCACGTGTCGAGGGAGGGACCTGGTGGGAGGTGATTGGATCATGGGGGCAGTTTCCCCCATGCTGTTCTCATGATAGTGAGTGAGTTCTCATGAGATCTGATGGTTTAAAAGTGGCACTTCCCCCTTCATTATCTCTCTCTCTCACTCTCTCTCTCTCCAGACACCATGTAAGACGTATCTTGCTTCCCCTTTGCCTTCTGCCATGATTGTAAGTTTCCTGAGGCCTCTCCAGCCACGCAGAACTGTGAGTCAATGAAACCTCTTTTCTTCATAAATTATCCAGTCTCAGGTAGTTCTATATGGCAGTGTGAAAACAGACTAATACAACTCCCATCTTCCATTTCTGCATTTAAAAAAATTATTTAGACATTTACTTTTTAAACTTATAATCTCTATTGAAAAAATGGCCAAGTATAAACAAACAAATTAAATTATATTATGACTACTCCCACCTCAAGAGACTATTATGATATTAAGAATTTCAACTAGATCTCAATTAAAAATATAAAATAAAAGTAGGCATATAAGTCCACTAAACCATATTGATAAGAACCGAATAACCTAATAAGGTTATTAAAACATCTCAACATGTATCATTTCTCTAACACACTGTTCTCCTCATCCCATCAGAAGTCTTGTTTAGAGTTTCTTCTCTTATTTGAAAAAGTGCTTCCAGCTCCTGGTGTCCCCAGATCACTTGGTGGGGTCAGGGTTGGGGAGCTGTCTTGGTAGCTGGCCCAACTGTGGCCCAGCCAGAGATTACCTGCACAGGAATGGCGATCTTGGTAGAAGCCGTCCCCACAGGTAGGCACACACTGCCCGTGCCGCATCAGCAGGGGAGGCTGGCAGGATGAGCACTCCAGCCCACTGGTACACGTGGAGCACTGGGGCTGGCAGGCTGACTCCAGATAATGTTGAAGAAAGAGAAAGGAACCATTTGATTAGCTGAAAGACACCACCCCCATGCCAGTGCTTACACAGCCCAATCTTGAGGCTCCAGGTCCCAAACAGAAAATGCAGAAAAATAATTTTAACAGCCATCATCTGTATAGCACACAGTTCATGTCAGCCACTGTTTGAAGTGCTTTACGTATATGAATTCATTTAATTCTCACAACCACCCTAGGAGGTAGATATTATTAATCCCAACTTTACAGATGAGGAACAGACTCAGGGAGATTAAACAACTTGCCCATGGTCACATGAGGCTGGCATTTGAAACCAAGCAGTTTGGCTCAGGAGTCTATGTTCTTTTCCTCTTATCCAATAGCCCCCAATATCTTTGTCACTCAAACTTTTAGCAAGAAGATCTCTTGCCCCTTTTCCAATACTGTATGAAAGAGATATAAGTAACTTTCAAAAAGGTTGAAGATTATATGAATTAGGAAAGAAAGTATGGAGGAGTGAATAATTACAAAAATAATAAAAGCAGCTAACTCTTATTAATCCTTCACTGTATCCTAGACATCAGGCTAGGCACCTAACCTGTATCAAAACACTTGATCCTTATAACCACCCTCTGAGGAAGGTACTGGAATTACTCTCACTTTATAGATAAGAATGTGGAAGATACCAGGTGGCAGTGGCTCACACCTGTAATCCCAGCACTTTGGGAGGCATAGGTGGGTGGATCACTTGAGTCCAGGAGTTTGAGACCAGCCTGGCCAACACGGCAAAACCCTATCTCTACTAAAAATATGAAAATTAGCTGGTGTGGTGGCAGATGCCTGTAATCTCAGCTACTCAGGAGGCTGAGGCAAGGAGAATCGCTTGAACCCGGGAGGTGGAAGTTGCAGTGAGCCGAGACCATGCCACCACACTCCAGCCTGGGTGACAGAGTGAGACTCCATCTCAAATAAAAAAAAAAAGAATATGGAAGCAGAGAGAGGTTAAATATTCACAGCCAGGTATGAACCTACACACTTTTTTTTTCTTTTTTTTTTGAGACGGAGTCTCACTATGTTACCCAGGCTGGAGTGCAGTGGCACAATCTCGGCTCACTGCAACCTCCACCTCCAGGGTTCAAGAGATTCTCCTGCCTCAGCCTCCTGAGTAGCTGGGACTACAGGCGTGCGCCACCACACCTGGCTAATTACACACTTTAAAATGGATAATTAACATCATAAGTCAGAAATAAGGGGAATAGTAACTAGGATTTGACATCAACCAAGTCAACTCTCCCAAGTAAGTTCTTCTCAGATGTAGCATCCAGAAATGCACATAAACCCATTCTGGATCCTCTGGTAGCCCATAAGAGATAAGCTCTATTACCAACTATCTGTTTGATATTGAGCAAGTTGGTTAATTTCTCTGGCCTACAGATTCCCCATTTGCAAAATTAGAAAGTTGCAGTAAATGATCTTGAAGGTCTATGTCAATTCTAAGTTTCTATCCCGGATTAATTGAGTGCTTTAAGAAATGAGCCCAGGTATCCTGATATTACTATCCTTGAAAGTCTTCAAAAATAAAAATATTTAACTATGACTACCTAACAACCTCCACATCACCTGTCTTCCAATAAGCACCAAAATACCTATAAAATGTCAGAAAAAAAGACCTGCAGGTAGAGAGGGCAAGTAACCTATAGATGACATTACTACCTTCTAGAGGTTTTTAGACGTTGTGCATCTCAAAAACATGCTGCATGCATGACCCCCTCCTTGACAATACTGAGCCTCAGTTTAAGAATCACAACCTTTGATGAGTCTATCTCCCACACACCACCACCTCTGGGTTGTCCACTTGGAGCCATACCTAAACAGAGACTGCCAGCTTGGTAAAAACCCAGTCCACAGCTGTGCACACACCATCCATTCTGCAGTAACTTGGTAGGATCTTGGCAGAGGTCACAGTGGTCTGGAGACTGAGAGCATGTCAAACAATCTGGATGGCAATGAACTGAAATCAAGGACAAAGAAGGGGAGAACTCTGTGAACTCCATCTATTATTTCTCTTACATCCTTCAGAAAAGAATCTACAAAGTATGTAGCATTACATAGAACATGAAGAACAGAAAACTGTGGGACTTAGGAAAAAGCCTCCTAAATAGCAAAAAAAAAAAAAAAAAAAAAAATACATTCCAATGCAAGATTGCAAGGAAGTTTTCCTTGTCTGAAATTCATCACTGTCTCCCATAGCCCCAGCATGAAGATACTAAAAGAACAGCCTCTACCTGCTGGAATACTTCAAGAAACAGGAATGACTACTTCCATAATGTATTATTTAAACAGATTCAATAATTTATGATACCTCCGATGTTCTTCTTAAGCTTCAACATGTACAAACAGTTCAGACATAAAACCCACAATGTTGAAAAATAGTTATTTTTATCTAAGAAAAATGCACCCCATTTTCTTCTTTTTCTCCAAAATTTCAAATCTCATTTTCAGTAATTGGGGTTATCACTGAATTTAGTGGTAATTATCAGCAAGGGACTTCTTTTTTCAGGTTTTGAAGTTGTCAAGGACCTGATTTTCAATATATATAGTGCATAATAATATGCTAAATGTTTGTTTTGGAAAGCCCAGAGAGCCACTTTGGTGTAGGTAACATAATTAAGCCATAAAGTTGCTTTGCTTTTTCCTTGATAAACTCTTCACAAAAATACTGCAATTAGCCAAAATAAGCTGAGTGCAACAAGAGCAACTGCCAATATGAAAATTATGGCCCATGAATGAAAACAATTAATTATGAAATATGAATGGAAGAAAATGCCACTTCTCCAAGAGAGACTAAACTTATAGGCAAACTACTACTCAACCAGAGCAACTCCAGTGCCTGCCAACAATTATTAACTGGAACTAATTCAACCCCAGGTGATTTGAAAGCAGAATTGCAGAACAAGTAGACAAAATTATCTTTTGGAAAAAACTAATGAGTCTTTACACTTTAAAAACCCATTTGAGAACTCCAAAAGGAACCATCTGTTCAATAGCTCACCTTAAGAACAAAGAACACCCATAACAAATGTTGAGAAATTATTCTTATATTTTGAACAATGGAAGACAGATTTACCTTTACAAGTCTTCAAACATGTTGCTTGATTTTCACAATAATTTTGCAAGATACATAAGGCATATTTTATCAACAAGAAAATTAAGGTTTAAAGAGGGTCAATGACTTGCCCAAGGTCACATGCTCATAATCTGTTGAGTTTGGCAATTACACAGACAAAGATTAATTAGCATCATTTGTTAGAAAAATTATGAAGAAACAAACAAACCCATTGGTTAACTAAAAATAAAAATGAAAAGAAGCAAGGGGGTGGGGAAGAGGATCTCTGAGCTTTTTGGCAGTAAAACTATCTCAGTAGAAACAGAGGAGACATGGACCCACCTGATGTGCAGTCTGGACAGCACTGTCCCTTCACCTCTAAGGCCAGTGTGCCCACTGGACATGGTGGGCAAGAGGGCTCGTAGCAAGTTACCTGAGCCCCTCGGCACTCACACACCTTGCAAGGGCCATCTTCCCACTTCTCTCCCTCCTACGCAAAAAAGTGAAGAACAGCATTGTCATCAGGATGCAGTAATTCAGAAGAGAGCTTGCTGCTGAAGAACTTACAATTTCCATAAGAACAAAGTGAAGGCAGCTAATCAGTACTCTGCCAAATCTAACTCTGAAACAGAACAATAGCAAAAGAGTCCTAAATTTAAAACACAGAATTTATCTTTCTTTGTTCATAATGGGTTTTACTTCAATGTAGAGAACCAGCCGAAAGATTTTAGGCACACTCAGAGATAAGCTGTGAAAGTATTCTAGGACTAACAGAATATGTAAAAGGCATTTAAAACTTGTTTCTCAACCTCTTTCACCAAAAACATCAAAGGAGATTACTGTGTAGCTGGTGATTAGCAGGTGAGTTAAATACAATCTCTAAAATAACAGTGGGACACTTGGCTAAAAACCTGAATTTCCCTATGGTTACCACAGTAAGAGTTAACAGTTGAGTCATTGTATTCTAAAAATTAAGACTTTTGCA
This sequence comes from Homo sapiens, assembly GCF_000001405.40. Taxonomy (NCBI): domain Eukaryota; kingdom Metazoa; phylum Chordata; class Mammalia; order Primates; family Hominidae; genus Homo; species Homo sapiens. Next base: position 78,282,324 of record NC_000004.12, on the reverse strand, counting down.
GGCCTACTTTTAATGGGCTGTAGATGTGCCCTAAGCTTTCACACACTAAAATACCTTTTTCAGCCAAGCAAATTACGAAAATAAACATTAGTAGTCGGCAGAGAACCCAAATTGAATTGTAAAGAACAATTCATTTTTGCTAACAGGAAAGAGACAGAGGTTCTTACCCGAAGGTATTGGGGTGATGAGGGAGGTGAAACAGGAGAAAACAGGAGAGCAGATTTTAAAGTAACAATTTTATAAAACGCTTATTAAGCCAACAGACATTAAACATTTCAAACAATTAATGTGACGGTATTTAGCAGAATGAACATTAAGTGTTAGAAAAGTGAGCAATACTATCTTGAGAAGGCAGAAGTGCTTTTCTTCCATTTGAAAGCGGACCCGTCTTGAGATCAGACCCCTTATTGTAAGATTGCTGTGTTAAACGCTTGCATTTTCCCTTTGAAAGAAACCATATAACATTGTCCTGTAGACAACCTGGAGAGAATAAACTTGAGATTGTTTGGGGAATGAATGCTTGCAAACCCAAGAAGCTCTTTCTTCAGCACTTTGCAGTACATAAAACTCTACTGATGGTTAAACTGAGTTTTCTAGGCCAGAAAAGAATCAGGGAGAGAAAAACATCACAAGAAAGGGAAAGAATCTATGTAGGAGCTTGTGGTTAGAGAAGTATTAATTATCAACTGCATAAAACAACTGGCTAAAGAGCAAAAGTTCAATGCATCAAAGTCTGAGTTATCATTAAGATTCTTAATTCCTGATCATAGTGCCATCAAATGTGGCTGTTAAAAATACTAAGGTCCTAAGTTTCCCCATGATATTTCATGCAGATCATTACATAAAACAATTTTATAATGATCTACGTGCAAGTTAAAAAGCTATACTTACTGGAATACGTTTAACTTCACTAGCATTTGATGACATCTAGGAACAAAGAGAAATGTCTTTATTATGCCACTAAAAACACCATTAGGCTGATTATTTTATTTTTTCATTAGGAGTTATCCATTTTTCCCAAGGAACATGCAACTTTATTCACTGGTTATGAATAGAGATGAAATCTATCTTATAAAAAACAAGAAAAGCATACTAATCTGAGGTGAAATCAACGTGCCTAGGAAATATTTCTGAATTCTCACTTTGTGCCTGAGTACTTGGTTTCAATTCCCCTCAATACTAAGGACTTTATGCTCAAGGGACCTAAACTTGCAAGGGCAAATTCTTGAATTTTGCATGGTGCCAGAGCATGATGGAGATTTGTACTTATTTAAAATAACTTTGTTTTCTTTAATTTCACTGAGTTTATCTCCAAAAATGAGTAGGAAAATTGATACTATGATTGAGAAAATATAAATTCAATATTTATAGGGAGGCTTTAAAACCTCCTAAATTCTTAAGAAATGAGGATGACTAAAGTGTGATCTACCACTAGGAAACAATGCCAACAGCAAAATAATAATAATGCCAATGTTCTCAGCTTTTTAAAAAAATGTGCCAAGAAAGCACTGTTCTAAGTGCTTCACACATAACATCTCTACAGCCTCATGCGGTAAGTCCTATTGTTATCGCTAGTTTACACTGAGGATTAAGTAACTTGCCGAAGATTACAGTACACAGCAAAGTAGAGATTTGAACCTAGAGTCTGCACTGTTAACACTACACAATACTGCCTCCCCAGAATGTACAGAAACACTGGAAGGTTGACAGATGTAATTTACCCAAATCAAAAAAAAAAAAAAAAGTATGGAGGAATCAGTTTACCAGTCAAACTCCTTATCCCTAATTCATATACATGTTTCACTTCCTGCAGTTTCAGTTAACCCCAGTCAACTATGTTGGGAAAATACTAAATGGAAAATTCAAGAAATAAAAAATTCATCAGTTTTTAATTGCATGCCATTCTAAGTAGGGTGAAAAAAATCTCAAGTTGTCCTGCTCCATCTTGCCCAGGACCTGGAGTCCTTCCTTTGTCCAGCATATCCATGCTGTAGATGCCACCCGCCAGTTATTCAGTAGCCATCTTGGTTATCAGAGCCACTGTCTCAGTATCACAGTGCTTATGTTCAAGTAACTCTTATTTTACTTAATAATGCCCAAAATCCAAGAGTACTGATGCTGGCAACTTGAATATGCCAAAGAGAAGCTGCAAAGTACTTCCTTTAAGTGAAGAGATGAAAGTTCTTGACTTAATAAGAAAAGAAAAAAATTATGTGAGGTTGTTAAGGTCTAAGGTGAGAATAAATCTTTCTATGAAACTGTGAAGAAGTAAAAACAAATGTGTGCTAGTTCTGCTGTTGCATCTCAAACTGTGAAAGTTACAGCCACAGTGTGTGATAAGTGGCTAGTTAAGATGGAAAAGGCATTAACTGTGTCGGTGGAAAACATGAACAGAAATTTGTTTCAACTGATGCCAATCAGGATCAGTACTATTCACAGTTTCAAGCATCCACTGGGGGCCTTGGCACATATTCTGTGGTAAGTGGGGACTACTGTAATCCTATTCTGACTGGTCAAAGAAGCAGTTGTTTTTATGATCAACTGGCATATTTTTAAAAACATAATGAATTTATCAACATTCCAATACCCAACATGAAAAATATGGGCTACATAAATAGGGAAAATTTGAAAAGATTAAGATAAATATATTTCCTTTAGGTAATAAAAAAGTGCAGACACAGGGCAAAATAAAACCTTAGTAAATAGAGTTTTGCCCCTCATCTAATCAAACAAAATCCAGTCACTGCTACCTGCAGAATAAATCTAGAGCCTGTTCACTTTTTACCAAATGTGCCACTTCCTGCCTAGACCAAGCCACCATTGCCCTTTGCCAGGACCATTACAAAACCCCACCAACCAGGTTGCCTACCTCCAGTCTCATTTCCTTCTGTCACTCACCCATGCAGCAGCCAAAGTGGTCCTGTCATGAGTTAAGCGAGAGCCCAGCGCTCTTCTGCTCAAAACTCCCCAGCAGCTCCCATTTGCCTCAGGGTAAAAGACTGTGGCCTCCAGGCTACTTACTAGACCTCATGGCCAATGCCTTTCTCCCTCATTCACTAAGTTCCTACCAGACTCCAATTTCTTGAACGTGCCAAACACACTTGCGTCTCAGTGCCTTTGCATTTCCTGATCCCTATTCCTGGTATGTTTCCTCCTAGACATTCATGCGGCTCCCTCCCTTCAGGCTCTGCTCAAAGTTTTCTGTAAGAGAAACCTCCTCACCATTTTATGTAAAGGAACACATCCCCCACACCCCACCATCCTGTGCAGCTACTGTCTAGCCCACTTGCACTGTTTTATTCTTCTATGTAGTGCTCCTCAGCACCTGATGTGTAGTATGTGTGGGAGATGTGTGTGTGTGTTTTCTGTGTCCCTATACTACAAAGTATGCCCTACCAAGACAGCAGGAACTCTGCCTGTTGTATTCCCTTCTGTGTCCCCAGAGCCTGTTGTACAGTAGGTGCACAATAACATTTGTTGAACAAATGAATGGGCAAAAGAAACAAGAAGGTAATGTTCCCTCATTAGATTAATTTTGAATTAATTTGAAATCATCTTCGGTTATAAGCCTGATACTCACAAATTCTCCAGTTTCTTCATAAACACAATAACCATTCCTTGAAATGCATTCAGGACAACACTTTCCATCTAAGTGAATTAATTCTTCATCCTGTAGAAATAAGGGTTGCAGTGGCACATATCAAATTAACATCTCCAGGTAGCAGGGCTAAATTGAGAAGCAGTTGGGTTCCCTGACTGGAATAAGAAACGCTGGCACACTGTTGGCTCTGGCCCTCTGCCTGTTTCATCTCCCCCTGTCCTGTCTTCCAATAGGAAGTGTAGTCCACACAGCACACTCCTCCATGTGCTTTTTCTTTCCTGTTATGATCTGTTATGCTCTGATCCCTCCATAATTTTCTACCCATGACCAGGAGCTCACATGAATAAGAAGGAAGACCAAGGTTAATGTTATAGTCTAGGAAAGTTATGAGTTTCAGAAAAGGATCACACTACCTTAAACACACAATTTGTGACTTTAGTTTCATTAACAGTGCTCAAATCAAACCACCACTTTTCCCTGAATACAAAATCAGATGCATCCCTGTATGTACAGATGTAGTCTTAAGCATAAATTAAGCAGTAGAAAACTAAATTTTACTCAGTATTCTGAAACTCTTACTGTTAGCCAACTCATATCAAAACTATTCTTAAAATAATAAGAGGATGGCCAGTCGTGGTGGATCACGCCTGTAATCCCAGCACTTTGGGAGGCCGAGGCGGGCGGATCACGAGGTCAGGAGATCGAGACCACAGTGAAACCCTGTCTCTACTAAAAATACAAAAAATTTGCTGGGGGCAGTGGAGGGTGCCTGTAGTCCCAGCTACTCAGGAGGCTGAGGCAGGAGAATGGTGTGAACCAGGGAGGCGGAGCTTGCAGTGAGCCGAGATCACGCCACTGCACTCCAGCCTGGGTGACAGTGAGACTCCGTCTCAAAAAAAAAAAAATTATAAGTGGAATACTTTTAATTTATCTACCCTGCCACGTTTGCAGGGTAGATATTTAACTTTCCAAGTCTTATCATTTTCATTTCCCAATATCAATAATTTTAAAATTTTTATTTTTTTACAAAATAATAAATGCTTGCTGTAAAAATGTAAATAATTTGCAATTCTATAATTTAGAAAGTGTAATTCCACTGAAGTCCCATCTCCCAGAAAATCTGCTGTTTTTCATGTGTATACACTAACATCTGATCTATATGTTAGTATTCTATACTAACATATAATATCTGTAGCCTAAAGAGTATTCTTTAAAGTACTTTTCACTTTCAAAAGACATATCTACTTTCTAAAGAATGGGGGGGGCGGTTCCAAGATGGCAGAATAGGAACAGGTCCAGTCTACAGCTACCAGCATGAGTGATGCAGAAGACAGGTGATTTCTGCATTTCCAACTGAGGTACTGGGTATATCTCACTGGGGCTTGTCGGACAGTGGGTGCAGGACAGTGGATGCAGCCCACTGAGTGTGAGCCGAAGCAGGGCAAGGCATTGCCTCACCAGGGAAGTGCAAGGGGTCAGGGAATTCCCTTTCCTAGCCAAGGGAAGCTGTGACAGACGGCACCTGGAAAATTGGGTTACTCCCACCCTAATACTGCGCTTTTCCAATGGTCTTAGCAAATGGCACACCAGGAGATTATATCCCACGCCTGGCTCGGAGGGTCCCATGCTCACGGAGCCTCACTCATTGCTAGCACAGCAGTCTGAGATTGAACTGCAAGGTGGCAGTGAGGCTGGGGGAGGGGTGCATGCCATTGCTGAGGCTTGAGTGGGTAAACAAAGAGGCTGGGAAGCTCGAACTGGGTAGAGCCCACTGCAGCTCAAGGAGGCCTGCCTACCTCTGTAGACTCCACCTCTGGGGGCAGGGCATAGCCAAACAAAAGGCAGCAGAAACCTCTGCATAGTTAAATGTCCCTGTCTGACAGCTTTGAAGAGAAAAGTGGTCCTCCAAGCACAGAATTTGAGATCTGAGAATGGACAGACTGCCTCCTCAAGTGGGTCCCTGACCCCCAAGTAGCCTAACTGGGAGGCACCCTCCAGTAGGGGCAGACTGACACCTCACACGGCCGGGTGCCCCTCTGAGACAAAGCTTCCAGAGGAATGATCAGGCAGCAACATTTACTGTTCTGCAATATTCACTGTTCTGCAGCCTCCGCTGCTGATACCCAGGCAAACAGGGTCTAGAGTGGATGTCCAGCAAACTCCAACAGACCTGCAGCTGAAGGTCCTGACTGTTAGAAGGAAAACTAATAAACGCAAAGGACATCCACACCAAAACCCCATCTGAATGTCACCATCATCAAAGACCAAAGGTAAATAAAACCACAAAGATGGGGAAAAAACAGAGCAGTAAAGCTGAAAATTTTAAAAATCAGAGCACCTCTACCCCTCCAAAGGAACACAGCTCCTCGCCAGCAATGGAACAAAGGTGGATTGAGAATGACTTTGACGAGCTGAGAGAAGAAGGCTTCAGATGATCAAACTTCTCCAAGCTAAAGGAGGGAGTTCAAATCCATGGCAAAGAAGATAAAAACCTTGAAAAAAGATTAGACAAATGGCTAACCAGAACAACCAGTGTAGAGAAGTCCTTAAATGACCTGATGGAGCTGAAAACCATGGCATGAGAACTACGTGATGAATGCACAAGCTTCAGTAGCTGATTTGATCAACTGGAAGAAAGAGTATCAGTGATTGAAGATCAAATGAATGAAATGAAGCGAGAAGGGAAGTTTAGAGAAAAAAGAATAAAAAGAAATGAACAAAGCCTCCAAGAAATAAGGGACTATGTGAAAAGACCAAATCTATGTCTGATTGGTGTACCTAAAAGTGACGGGGAGAATGGAACCAACTTGGAAAACACTCTGCAGTATATTATCCAGGAGAACTTCCCCAATCTAGCAAAGCAGGCCAACATTCAAATTGAGGAAATACAGAGAACGCCACAAAGATACTCCTCAAGAAGAGCAACCCCAAGACACATAATTGTCAGATTCACCAAAGTTGAAATGAAGGAAAAAATGTTAAGGGCGGTCAGAGAGAAAGGTCAGGTTGCCCACAAAGGGAAGCCCATCAGACTAACAGCTGATCTCTTGGCAGAAACTATACAAGCCAGAAGAGAGTGGGGGCCAATTTTCAACATTCTTAAAGAAAAGAATTCTCAACCCAGAATTTCATATCCAGCCAAACTAAGCTTCGTAAGTTAAGGAGAAATAAAATCCTTTAGAGACAAGCAAATGCTGAGAGATTTTGTCACCACCAGGCCTGCCCTAAAAGAGCTCCTGAAGGAAGCACTAAACATGGAAAGGAACAACCGGTGCCAGCCACTGCAAAAACATGCCAAATTGTAAAAATCATCAAGGCTAGGAAGAAACCGCATCAACTAACAAGCAAAATAACCAGCTAACATCATAATGACAGGATCAAATTCACACATAACAATATTAACCTTAAATGTAAATGGGCTAAATGCTCCAATTAAAAAACACAGACTGGCAAACTGGATAAAGAGTCAAGACCAATCAGTGTGCTGTATTCAGGAGACCCATCTCATGTGCAGAGACACACATAGTCTCAAAATAAAGGGATGGAGGAAGATCTACCAAGCAAATGGAAAACAAAAAAAGGCAGAGGTTGCAATCTAGTCTCTGATAAAACAGACTTTAAACCAAGAAAGATTAAAAAGAGACAAAGAAGGCCATTACATAATGGTAAAGGGATCAATTCAACAAGAAGAGCTAACTATCCTAAATATATATGAACCCAATACAGGAGCACCCAGATTCATAAAGCAAGTCCTTAGAGACCTACAAAGAGACTTAGACTCCCACACAATAATAATGGGAGACTTTAACACCCCACTGTCAACATTAGACAGATCAACGAGACAGAAAGTTAACAAGAATATCCAGGAATTGAACTCAGCTCTGCACCAAGCAGACCTAATAGACATCTACAGAACTCTCCACCCCAAATCAACAGAATATACATTCTTTTCAGCACCACACCACACCTATTCCAAAATTAACCACATAGTTGGAAGTAAAGCACTCATCAGCAATGAAAAAGAACAGAAATGATAACAAACTGTCTCTCAGACCACAGTGCAATCAAACTAGAACTCAGGATTAAGAAACTCACTCCAAACTGCTCAACTACATGGAAAATGAACAACCTGCTCCTGAATGACTACAGGGTACATAACAAAATGAAGGCAGAAATAAAGATGTTCTTCGAAACCAACGAGAACAAAGACACAACATACCAGAATCTCTGGGACACATGTAAAGCAGTGTGTAGAGGGAAATTTATAGCACTAAATGCCCACAAGAGAAAGCAGGAAAGATCTAAAATTGACACTCTAACATCACAATGAAAGGAACTAGAGAAGCAAGAGCAAACACATTCAAAAGCTAGCAGAAGGCAAGAAATAACTAAGATCACAGCAGAACTGAAGGAGATAGAGACACAAAAAACCCTTCAAAAAATCAATGAATCCAGGAGCTAGTTTTTTGAAAAGATCAACAAAATTGATAGACTGATAGCAAGACTAATACAGAAGAAAAGAGAGAAGAATCAGATAGACGCAATAAAAAATGATAAAGGGGATATCAACACCTATCCCACAGAAATACAAACTACCATCAGAGAATACTATAAACACCTCTATGCAAATAAACTAGAAAATCTAAAGGAAATGGATAAATTCCTGGACACATACACCCTCCCAAGACTAAACTAGGAAGAAGTTGAATCCCTGAATTGAACAATAACGGGTTCTGAAATGGAGGCAATAATTAATAGCCTACCAACCAAAAAAAGTCCAGGACCAGATGGATTCACAGCCGAATTCTACCAGAGGTACAAGGAGGAGCTGGTACCATTCCTTCTGAAACTATTCCATTCAATAGAAAAAGAGGGAATCCTCCCTAACTCATTTTATGAGGCCAGCATCATTCTGATACCAAAGCCTGGCAGAGACACTACAAAAAAAGAGAATTTTAGACCAATATCCATGAGGAACATCAATGAAAAAATCCTCAATAAAATACTGGCAAACCAAATCCAGCAGCACATCAAAAAGCTTATCCACCATGATCAAGTGGGCTTCATCCCTGGGATGCAAGGTTGGTTCAACATATGCAAAACAATAAACGTAATCCAGCATATAAACAGAACCAAAAACAAAAACCACATGATTATCTCAATAGATGCAGAAAACGCCTTTGACAAAATTCAACAGCCCTTCATGCTAAAAATTCTCAATAAATTAGGTATTGATGGTATGTATCTGAGAATATTAAGAGCTATTTACGAGAAACCCACAGCCAATATCATACTGAATGGGCAAAAACTGGAAGCATTCCCTTTGAAAACTGGCACAAGACAGGGATGCCCTCTCTCACCACTCCTATTCAACATAGTGTTGGAAGTTCTGACCAGGGCAATCATGCAGGAGAAAGAAATAAAGGGTGTTCAATTAGGAAAAGAGGAAGTCAAATTGTCCCTATTTGCAGAGGACATGGTTGTATATTTAGAAAACCCCATCGTCTCAGCCCAAAATCTCCTTAAGCTCATAAGCAAATTCAGCAAAGTCTCAGGATACAAAATCGATATGCAAAAATCACAAGCATTCTTATACACCAATAACAGATAAACAGAGAGCCAAATCATGCATGAACTCCCATTCACAATTGCTTCAAAGAGAATAAAATACCTAGGAATCCAACTTACAAGGGATATGAAGGACCTCTTCAAGGAGAACTACAAACCACTGATCGATGAAATAAAAGAGGACACAAACAAATGGAAGAACATTCCATGCTCATGGATAGGAAGAATCAACATCATGAAAATGGCCATACTGCCCAAGGTAATTTATAGATTCAATGCCAGCCCCATCAAGCTACCAATGACTTTCTTCACAGAATTGGAAAAAACTACTTTAAAGTTCATATGGAACCAAAAAAAGAGCCTGCATTGCCAAGTCAATCCTAAGTCAAAAGAACAAAGCTGGAGGCATCACGCTACCTGACTTCAAACTATACTACAAGGCTATAGTAACCAAAACAGCATAGTACTGGTACCAAAACAGAGATATAGACCAATGGAACAGAACAGAGCCCTCAGAAATAATGCCGCATATCTACAACCATCTGATATTTGACAAACGTGACAAAAACAAGAAACGGGGAAATGATTCCCTATTTAACAAATGGTACTGGGAAAACTGGCTAGCCATATGTAGAAGGCTGAAACTGGATCCCTTCCTTACACCTTATACAAAAATTAATTCAAGATGGATTAAAGACTTAAATGGCAGACCTAAAACCATAAAAATCCTAGAACAAAACCTAGGCAATACCATTCAGGACATAGGCATGGGCAAGGACTTCATGTCTAAAACACCAAAAGCAATGGCAACAAAAGCCAAAATTGACAAATGGGATCTCATTAAACTAAAGAGCTTCTGCACAGCAAAAGTAACTACCATCAGAGTGAACAGGCAACCTACAGAATGAGAGAAAATTTTTGCAATCTACTCATCTGACAAAGGGCTAATATCCAGAATCTACATAGAACTCAAACAAATTTACAAGAAAAAAACAACCCCATCAAAAAGTGGGTGAAGGATATGAACAGACATTTCTCAAAAGAAGACATTTATGCAGCCAACAGACACATGAAAAAATGCTCATCGTCACTGGTCATCAGAGAAATGCAAATCAAAACCACAGTGAGATACCGTCTCACACCAGTTAGAATGGCAATCTTTAAAAAGTCAGGAAAGAACAGGTGCTGGAGAGGATGTGGAGAAATAGGAACACTTTTACACTGTTGGTGGGACGGTAAACTAGTTCAACCATTGTGGAAGACAGTGTGCCAATTCCTCAGGGATCTAGAACTAGAAATACCATTTGATCCAGCCATCCCATTACTGGGTGTATACCCAAAGGATTATAAATCATGCTGCTATAAAGACACATGCACACGTATGTTTATTGCGGCACTATTCACAATAGCAAAGACTCAGAACCAACCCAAATGCCCATCAATGATAGACTGGATTAAGAAAATGTGGCACATATACACCATGGAATACTATGCAGCCATAAAAAATGATGAGCTCATGTCCATTGTAGGGACATGGATGAAGCTGGAAACCATCATTCTCAGCAAACCATCACAAGGACAAAAAAATAAACACTGCATGTTCTCACTCATAGGTGGGAATTGAACAATGAGAACACCTGGACACAGGAAGGGGAACATCACACACCAGGCCCTGTTGTGGGTTGGGGGTAGGGGGGAGGGATAGCATTAGGAGATATACCTAATGCTAAATGACGAGTTAATGGGTGCAGCACACCAACATGGCACATGTATACATATGTAACAAACCTGCACGTTGTGCACATGCACCCCAGAACTTAAAGTATAATAAAAAAAATTAATGGAGAAAACAATTGAAAATGTTTGTGATAAAAAAAAAAGAATGGTAATGTTTCTCTAAATATTTAATATTTAATTTGGGGCCTGTATTATATTTAAAAGTGTAGAAACCATGTTAAATGAAAATGAATAATATAAATTTGCATAAACAGAATAATCATAATGATATTTTGTTTAAAAACACTATACTAATGACAAATATTATGGAAGCATTGGTTGTCTCTGGATGCACTGGATGTCTTTGGTAGCATTATAGATGGATTTTTAAGTCTCTTTTCTACTTTTCTTGAGCCTTCAAAATTTTCTAGAATGAATATGTGTTATTTTACTGAGAGAAAATCTAAACGCTTAGAGGAAACACAAAAATACATAAATGATTATAATTATTTTGGAGTTATATAGATTACTGTCCATCAAAATTTCATGTCAGTCAGAGGCCAATAGGCAGCAGTGGGTACTATAGAAAGCAGATGCATTTACATATAAATTATTTTGCAGAAATGTGACAAATCAGTTGGTAGTGAAGGCATAACCCAGAAACACTGAATTTGGCTTTCAAAGCATATAAAAGAGTTGATATGCATGTAATGTAAGTCACTTAAAACAATGTTTTGAAACAAGACTGACTATGCATACTTCTGTAAAAGACAAAACACATGAGAGATTCTTGAGTGTCCACTAAAATACATACAGACAAAACTGAAAAGTGACTCCCTATCACCTAAATGAGGCAAAGAAAGTGGCTGGGGTGGTGGTGGTGGCGGGGGGGCGGGGTGGCGGGGGGCGGTGGCTGGTATTGAAAAAATTGTGGGAGGGAAATTAAAGCTTATAGCAAAATACACAGAAGAGGGTAGGCACTCCATAAATGTGAGCTGCCTTGCCCTGCTCCACTGGAGGCAAATATCCTCAAAAGAGTGTTTCCTTTTTCTGATGAGCAGGTTAGTTAGTCCAATCTCAGTCTTTGGACTGGTGGATGTAGGTATGATTAGGTAGGGAAGGTATAGAAACAGTAAGGCCTGTGCAACAGAAAGGCTGTTGACCTTCAAACATCATTGTAAGTAACAGCAAGCGCTGCTCCTGGGGCACAAGGATTCAGTTTTGGTGAGGTGGGAAGTTTCAAATAGCTTTTCTATTTACAGAAGCAGCCTCAATGCCCCAAACCACATCAGTTCACTGCAGTGGGGAGTTCACTCCAATTAGTATTTGACTTTTGACTAAAATTGCTTTCAGAAACAAACAAATTCTTTCCTTTTTAAGAGGATTCTGTTGCATAGGCCAGACAGAATCTCTACCCTTTCCCCACCTAATCATACCTACAGCCACCAGACCAACGACTAAGACTGGGCTAACTTGCTCATTGGAAAAGGAAACACTCTTTTGAGGGAAACTGCCTCCACTGGAGCAGGGAATGGCAGCTCACATTTACCACGCGCCTACCCTCTCCTATGCATTTTGCTCCAAGCTTCAATTTTCCCCATTCCATTTTATGCTCCAGATGTGAATGCTAGGTCCTCTTCTTCAAAAGGTAATTTGACTTCTTCACCTGAATTAAGGTTCAAAGACATCATTAAATCTAGAAATATGAAAATCATTATATTGTGCTAGCCTATCATTGATTTGTTTATGTTTCAATGTTTAGAGATTTGGTGGAATATAGCAAAGACAAAGACCAGGCCATTTTCTTCTTTTTTAACAACAACAAAAACTGTATGCTGATTTTAATGCTATTCAGAACATTGCTGTTGATAACCAGTGTGATAATGAAGACAACGATGAAGCTGCACACCTTTGCCTCTTCTTTTAAAAATTAACTTCTCTGTGGCTTTCTGATGTGCATTGCACTTACACTTAATCCATCCTTGGTATCCAAGATCAGAAATCAAAATGACCTTGATATTTTAGAGAAGGAGGCAGGCAGAAAGTGGGGTAGAACTGAATAAAAATATCAAAAGGGCACTTCCACTGTGCCCCTTGGCAGACATAGTCATTTCCTCCGGGAGCTCCTAATATATTTAACTCATATTTCCATTGGTGCCACACTGTGTTATAATTTTTGCTTACATATCTGACTTCCCAAAAAGCCTGGAAACTCTTAAGGTCATAACGAGCCTTATTCATCTTTTTATCACCAGGGATACAAGCTAAGCCGAAGTTAGGAAGTTAGTACATCCAGGCTTTAACAAGGTCAACAGAAGTATGGCATATAAAGAAGGCTAAGAGATATGTTTCATCAGAGTCAATGTTGGTTAAAATTTCAATTCTGGTAGAGTTTCTAGTTTAGAACCCAGGGCTTTAAACAAAACTTGGGAAACATGGAAGTAATATGGAAGAAAACAATTTAGCTGGTTAAAGATCTGGAGAAATAGGTGAGGCATCAGAACTCCTCAATTCATAAAAGAAAAGATGGCAGTGGAGTGGAAGTAACTAGAAAGGAATGAGACGGTGTTATGGGGTGACTTGAATACTGAAGTGCTCTCCACTTTGGCAGCTAATCCCCATATTCCCTAAGAATAGCCAAGAATGCCTGGCTCATGCCATGATAGCCAGGTGTCACAGCCGACAGCAGCAGACAGGCACATGGAAATGCAGAAATGCTAGGGATATGTGCTAAACAATTTTCTGTGACTGAGACTCTTTGTTCAGATCTGACTGAAATTAGGTGGTTAAAGGGCCCACCCTACCAGAATCTCCTCTCCCACATTTTTTCATAAATTCTAGGATGTTAGATAAATTAAGTCCTTAATAAAATGAGATCCTCTGGGCAGACTGCCGAGGCAGGGAAGCCCAGCCTCAGCCCGACAGAGACAACAAAAAAGGGCCCTGATTAGGTTTTCTTCTCATCTTCATCCAATCACCCTGATTCCTCTAACATAAAGAAAATAAATGAAAAGGCATCTAAGGGGAAATAAATCTGCAAAAAGCAAGACCCTCTTTACCTAAATATGTCTCAACTCTGTCAAGACCTACAAGTAGGAGGCAAGTTGAAAAATAACCCTGCCGATGACAGCCATGTCTGAAAGGTTGTTCCTCCTTAGGCTCAGGGTTAAGAGGAGCTGAGAAGTGGGGGAGAAGAACTAGAAAGAAAAATACCTTCACAGAAACCCAGGGCTCCAGATCTTTCTAATTTCCCTCATCTACTCAAGTTCACGGCCCACAGGGAAATTGGTGGGGCGGAAGGGAGCAGTGAGAGAGACGGAGACAACTTTAAAAGCAATTTGTTTTGTAATGGGTCAAAATCAAGTTCAAAGAGGAAAAAAAAAGTCATTTCCCTCCAACATACAGTACATCTATAGTCCAAACAGAGGCTGCTTTGTTAGAAGCTTCTAGAAATTCTGCAGACAGCAGAGGTTAACAGAGGTCAATGGAGTTAATTGTTTATAAGGTCCCCTTTGCTCTCTCTTAAAAACAAAAAGCATGTTATGTTTTTTCCTGATCCACGGAAGCGGCCCCTCTGTGCTGGCTCTCGTTCTGCTAAATGCTGTCAGTGGGGCCTACAGCAAGAGCCCGGCCACCAGCACACCTGTGGACCCTGTTTCACAGCCGGGGAGAACTGGGCAGGCCATCAGCAATGAGATCCAGCTGCGCTGCCTGATAGGCTAATGTCCCATATCATGTCCTTCCCTTTCATGTCTCTGGCTCGGGGCTTCCAATTTGACCAGATGTACTGAGAGCTAAAAGATCCAGGGGGCTGTTCTGAGCTAGTCTGAACAAACAGTGACATTCATTTTATACCACGGAAGCTTTACACTAGAAGGTCCTATGAAGTGTGAGAAGTCAATGTGGACATCCCTGCTGCTGCCAAGAAGTAAAGAACAGGCAGGACCCCTCACTATCCCGTTGGAAAGAGCTGCAACGTTCCAAATGGAAATGCCCCTGCTTCTTACCCGGGCACACTCCACTTTGGCACACTCTCCAGTCTGGCAGGTCACTTGGCCATGATCACACATGCAGAACTCACAGGCCGAGCCCTTCCACATTTCGTCCTGGTACCGCACAACTCCATCATAGGAGCAGCTCCCGGCAGGAGACACACATTCCTCACAGCATTGCCCATGACGCCGAGCCCTGCTCTGACCCTAGGACACAGAGAGGAAGGTGAGGGGCAGTCCTCAGGAGACGGTGAAACACCCAAGCCAACAGAGGCAGGAGGACCCAAAATACCAAAGCTCTACATGGCTCTTTCTCTGGCCCGACCCACGATGGGCAGGGTCCCTTGCACCTCAACCCTTCTTCCTAGGAAGCAGAGCCTTCATATCTTTATGTAACTTTGCAAACATTATAAAACTTTTGATTCCCCCAAAGGACACACCGGAATAAGAAGTGCATTCCTTAAATGACCCAGAAAAGAGCTTAAACAAGTAAGGTACACACTCTCAAATACCTTTCCGCATCTCAGGGGCAGGCAGGCCTGCTTGTGACACCTGACCTCACCCCGGTCACATATACACGTGGTGCAGGCATTTTCGCTCCACTGCTCACCATGCTGCATGAAGACAGGAAAGAAGAACATGGAAAATCAAATGTCCCATACATCAAATAGAAGCACTGTCACATAAGACACCCAATTTTCATTACATTTGTAAGATGAGCCACATTGAATGTACTCTTGAGAAATGAAAACATTTAGATAGGAATAGCCTCTATGAAAACAGTCAATAAATGTCCAAAGGAGACTTTAATTTTCATTCACCTATATTCATTCTACAGGTGTGTTGAGGGCCCACTCTGTGCCAGGCACATAGAGACCCGAGACATTGAGATGGGTAGAAAGACCTTGTTGACTGGCTCATCCATGGCATTCTTTAGCTCTTGCCTTTGCCAGGAGACCCAGCCCTCACTGCCATATACTCACTTTGCCAGCTTCCCTTGCAGCTAGGGCATGGACACTGTCCAACCGGAGGGGACCTCACGGGAAATTTGCTAGAGTGGTGGAGGTCAAAGTAAAAATTCTCCTCCCACATGAAACAAAATCCCACCCCTCTCTTCTACCAACCTTTAGTAATAGCTGTGTGAGGATGAGCTGCCCAGGGCTGAGGAGGTCTCCTTGGGGATGGGAGGGGACAAGATGAAGGGCAAATGCCAACATGTTAAGGGTGGCAGGTGGAAAGATCAAAAGAGCTTAGATCCTTGAAGGCATCATTGAGACCTGAATTGAGAAACCCTGCAGCTGCCCCATCCCACCTCTAGATGACATAATTAATGTTAGCATTTTAGGCACTTTTAGAGTGGGATTTCTGTTCCTTGTAGTTGAAGATGCCATTACAGATATAAAGCCTGTCTCTTCAAAGAAAAACTCAGTCTAACAATCCTGTCCAATAAAAATATAATGCAAGCCACATATGTGGCCACTGTGTCAGGCAGCACAGATCTAGCACATATAAAAATCCTTCCCAATTAGTTATTTTCATTCAGATTTCAAGTGACCTGCCTAGAATTTGTGAGGCACCTATCCCCTAATACTTAGTTTCAGATTTTCTACTGAGAGTCATGACCCCAATTTCTATTTAGTCTTTTTTAGAGTGGCTGGCGAGTAAGGGAAGTAATTGAGTTTATTTTTTTATGTGTTCTTTGCTTTTGAGTAATGTAACCTTTTTCTGGACCAGCTAGGCACTCCCAAGACAGAACATTCACTCATTCATTCATCCATTCATTCAATTTGTTAAACTCATCTTTATTTGATGCTTACTACATGTTAGGCACATCGTTATCCAGGCTATCCAATAGTACTTTTGAGTTTGCAGGTTCTACCACCAACAGCCTCTCGCCTCCCTTCCCTCTGTCTTCTACCACCGCCAGGTTTTCCCCAGTGTAAGATGGCAGGGGTGTGAGGGGACGGTCTCCAGATGTCAATGCATAAAATCCAACCAAAGCAGAAAAACATCCACAGAGCCTCAAAGCTAAATGTAAACTGATGGTAATCAATAATAGCCCTTTTTTTCCCCCTCAAGACATGTGAACAGTAAGTTCACCAAGGTTCTTAAACTAGGTTCTGCTTGCCAGCACATTCCTTTATATTTCTAATCCTCTTCAACTTAATTTTTTCCTACAAGTTTTCTGTGAAGAGAAGAGAAAAGCTGTTTATGTACTGAGTTACTATTCCTGGCAGAGTCAGACATGAGGGTGGTGACTTATGGTGGCTGGAGTGGGTGGAGGGCAGATGTGTGAGAACGGATGTCAAAACACCTACATGGGGAGCATGAAAGCTTACCTCGTATACTTGGCCAGCTGCAGAGCAGGATCTTGCAGAGCACTGCGGGCAACATTTTCCAGGGACTCGGACTACAGTCTCATCCTTAACACGCAGAACAGGAACAATCCATCACAAAGTGATATTAATAAGATCCACAACAGCAGGAAAATTTCATTCACAGCCAACTAAATCATGCCCCCAAGCATCTATAACAGCACTTGCCTCTCATTTAACATTTCTTAGTCACCTGGGACTCTGATAAGAATGAACAATTCCAAGGTCAGTGTGCCCTTAAGAAGTTTGCACATGCCTCAAGTCCTGTCTTATTTTAAAAACAAAGAAAAGCACAAATAACAATAATAATGGTTCTTGGTGTCTTCCAGGCACTGTTCTAAGTGCTTCACATGACCCTATGAGTAGATGCTCTTATCCTTGCTTTACAAAAGAGAATAGTAAAGACCAGAGAGGTGTGTAACTTGCCCAAGGTCACACAGCTAACTTGGTAATGGTAACTGGTTGGCAGCAGGACTTCTGAGTACCAACCATACCAACATTTAAGAACATTGATACTCCTGCTGAATCATCCTGAAACTCAAAAGTGAAGGTATCCTTCCTTTGATAAGCTACTTCACTATTATTTTGCATATATAAATGTATAAATTTATTTACATGAATGGACACATATTTATATGTGCATTGGAGAGGTCTTTCACATGAAAAAAAATCACTCATATCTCTAGGTATCTGGGAATAAGCCAGTGCAGAGAAATGTGGGTGACAGATTAAATGCCCAAAGAACCCTTTCCCAGCTACTCTATGTCCCTACATTCTCACCTCTGCCACAACCACCACTCCCAGAATATCAGACTATTTGTCTCTGCTGCCCTAAGAAGAATTTTCTTTCTTTAATTTTCATTAATGCCAAAGAGTCAGCCTCTCACTTTGACTTATCACTACAGCCTTCTTCAATGTCAGGAAAGGAGACATGAAAGGCAGAGGAAATGGTGAGAACAAACCAAGTGTCAATAACTAAGAAGTGGTAGATCTTATACAGAAGATAAATCTGGAACAGTTGTCTTCACTTTCTCTTATGAGGAGTAGAAAACACAATTTTATTGTCATTGTTACTCTGGTATTCATGCTGCAAGAACAAGAAGGCCAGTCTACTTGGGAGGGGTGGAGTCACAGAACTTTTAATTTTTCGTGGAAAACCCCAGTCATACCTCAGCAATTCTTTAACCCCATTATATATGATCAGTTGTATTCATGTATTACTACCTAACTGGGATTTATTTCAAATGCCTGAACCACTAGAATTAAATTGACAACTATTTTCTCTGTTTTAGGTTGTTTTATTTCTTTATTTTTCTATATGCAAAGTATTATGACCACTGATTGTTTAATGGAATATGTGGAAATTGAACTTGCACTGAAATCATTTAGTGTTTCTTGACTACAGACAGATCTCTTCAGCTTAATAAGCTTTCAGTGAGAAAATGAAGGTTAGCTGATGTTACACTATTCAGCAACTTTATTATAATAAACAAATGAACTAAGCCTTACACAATGTCAGACAAACAGGAAACAAATGTCAAAATCACAAATCTTGAATAGGCATAGAGTTAGCATCAATCTATCTTAAGCAACGTGGAGTAGACTCAAGAACTGTAGCAGAGTCCCCGTGAGCGTATGCAGGGAGGGAGGTATTACCTGTATGGTGGTTGATATAGGGCAAATTGTGCTTTCCAAATCTTATTGGCAACATCTAATTATACATTGTATTGATCAAAACAGAATCTTTCTTCAAAAATATAAACCAACAAGAGCAGGAAGGAAAAGCATTAAAGAAAAAATTTTCAGGAAACAAGAGAACTACACGATTGAGAGCTGAGATCCATCTGGGCTGGTGCTTTACAGCCAGAACTGGAGAGGAAGTAAGAAGAAGCTGAGTAGGGAGGTGGAGCAGAGATAGGAAAGGCTTTTTGACAGTATACTTTTGTTGTTACCATACACCTGAATTCTATCATTCTGACCACCATATACATGCCCTTCTAACCACAGAGTCTAATACACGGGCCAACAAACAATGGTCTGTGGGCTAAATCCAGCCCACTGCCTGTTTTTGTAAATAAAGCTTTACTGGAACATAGCTATGCCCATTCATTTACATATTGTCTATGGCTGGTTTTGTGCTACGATGGTATAATTGAGTAAGTTGTTCCAACTGTATGGCACACAAGGCTAAAAATGTTTGTTATCTGGTTCTTTATGGAAAAAGTTTGCCAACCCTAGGTCTAATATGGTGCCCTCAGTAAACAGGAGTTTAGTACTAAAACATATTACTAATGCCACTACAATTTGGGGTAGGACTATCACTAAAGATGTATTCGGCTATGGTTTTCAGTATTCCTTAAATAAAAATACTTATGATAAAGAAGTTTATAGTGTATTATGGATGAAAGCTCTTGACAAAATTTCTCCCCAGCACAATACTCTTGAAAATATAGAAAGAGATTAAAACCCCACCACCAAAGAGTAAGACAAACAGTCCACCTCCTGCCATTGCCAGGAGGAAATCCCACTGACCCTAAGACATTCTATGGCCTGCCATTGCAAGCCTAAATAAAAATAAGAACCATCATCTCTTCCCAACTTTCCACCTTCCTAGCTCTAACAGAATATGGCCTTCCTCCCTCCAATGTGTGGCCACTGCTGTTTGAGGCAAAGAGTTAGCCCTAGCCTTTCACCTCCCTTAATATCTTTCTTTCTGCATCTAGTCAGAGCCCATGATGTCAAACAATAAAACATGAGTGGGAAGTATGTGTGCTGGGGAAGAAGAGGGAGTGATGAAAAGCAGTGAGGAAGGAGAGTGCCCCGGTGTAAAGAATCACAGTCAGAGAGAGACATGGAAAGAGCCTTCAAAGCAGTGCAGGCTGAGGATCTGAGTTTTTTGTTCCATGTGATCAGAAGATAAGAGGGCTGGGCAGTGGAGAAAGAAAAAGAAATGATCTCAGTCAATGTAACTACACTAAGTGAAAACTTGCCAGACCCTTGGATTAGGTGGCATGCTTATTTCCTAGCATCTGGCTATAAATCTACTTACCCTTGCAGCTTTCAAGCAGTGACTATAGTCTGATTTTTCTTGATGAAGGATGAGTAAATAGAAAGAAGGGAACTTGGGAGAAAACTCTGAAGAATGATAGGTAGGAAAGGAAAAATATCTTCTACTCATCCTAAGTTCATAGCTGAGGCAGATTAACAAGAGAAAAGCATAAAAACTTATTTAAGTTTTATGTGACACAGGAACCTTCATAAGGAAATGAAGACCCAAAGAAACACTTAAACCTGAGTGTTTTTTTAGAGTAGCTGTGACAAAGAATGGATAGTCATTCCATTGGGCAAAAAGCATGATCTAATGATAACATACTGGGGAAAAATTTGCAAGGTGTATTTGTTCAGATTTTTTCTGTGTCCCTGTGTCTTCGGAGATAAGGGTGTTTCTTTTGTATGGGTGTAAGGACAGCATCTCTCACATGAGAGTCTTAAAACCTGCTTTAGGGAAAGATCTGAAAATGCTTCCTAAGCTTCATGACCTGCTTCAAGGTAGAAGCGCAGGGGGAAGGTCAAAGTGATTTTCCTGCTACTCCCGTTTACTCAAATTCCTTCTGCTTAAAATATTCAATATGCCAAGATGCTATATTTGGGGATAGCATGTCCAGAATCCCATCAAAGACAAAGGAGTAACACTCTAAAGATTCAGAGAAACAGCAGACTTCTGAAAACTATTTACTACAGGATCTAAACAAAAATGTTTAAAAGCCATTTTGTAAGTTCAGTAAGATGCAAGAATATTCAGACTTTATCAAACAGAAGCAGGAAGCAATAAAAAATCAACAGGATAAAAAAGTAGATGAACCAATGATAGTAGAAATAAAAAAGACTTAATTAAAGCAAAATTATCAAATTAAAATCAGTATTAGAGATACTAGATATAAACTTAAGAAAATCTCGCCATGCAGAGGAAAGGCACAGTGAAAAATGATGAGAGAGAACATGATTTATAAAGAGAAGGAAACAGAGAGGAGCAATCTAAGAGTCATAGATATTTCTGGAGAAGTGAGAATAATTGGAACAGATATGATTAATCAAAGCCATCACTGAAGAAAACATTTCAAAAACTGGAATACAGTCTAAAAGAGCTCCATAATATTCCAGACAAAAATATATAAAAAGATACCTCACCTAGAAATATTCTGAAAGACGTTTGAATTATAAAGGTAAAGAAACATCCACAACCAATATCATACTGAATGGGCAAAAACTGGAAGCATTCCCTTTGAAAACTGGCACAAGACAGGGATGCCCTCTCTCACCACTCCTATTCAACATAGTGTTGGAAGTTCTGGCCAGGGTAATTAGGCAGGAGAAGGAAATAAAGGGTATTCAGTTAGGAAAAGAGGAAGTCAAATTGTCCCTGTTTGCAGATGACATGATTGTATATCTAGAAAACCCCATTGTCTCAGCCCAAAATCTCCTTAAGCTGATAAGCAACTTCAGCAAAGTCTCAGGATACAAAATCAATGTACAAAAATCACAAGCATTCTTATACACCAACAACAGACAAACAGAGAGCCAAATCATGAGTGAACTCCCGTTCACAATTGCTTCAAAGAGAATAAAATACCTAGGAATCCAACTTACAAGGGATATGAAGGACCTCTTCAAGGAGAACTACAAACCACTGATCGATGAAATAAAAGAGGACACAAACAAATGGAAGAACATTCCATGCTCATGGGTAGGAAGAATCAATATGGTGAAAATGGCCATACTGCCCAAGGTAATTTACAGATTCAATGCCATCCCCATCAAGCTACCAATGACTTTCTTCACAGAATTGGAAAAAACTACTTTAAAGTTCATATGGAACCAAAAAAGAGCCCGCATTGCCAAGTCAATCCTAAGCCAAAAGAATAAAGCTGGAGGCATCACACTACCTGACTTCAAACTATACTACAAGGCTACAGTAACCAAAACAGCATGCTACTGGTACCAAAACAGAGATATAGATCAATGGAACAGAGCCCTCAGAAATAACTCCGCATATCTACAACTATCTGATCTTTGACAAACCTGAGAAAAACAAGCAATGGGGAAAGGATTCCCTATTTAATAAATGATGCTGGGAAAACTGGCTAGCCATAGGTAGAAAGCTGAAATCGGATCCCTTCCTTACACCTTATACAAAAATCAATTCAAGATGGATTAAAGACTTAAACGTTCAACCTAAAACCATAAAAACCCTAGAAGAAAACCTAGGCATTACCATTCAGGACAGAGGCATGGGCAAGGACTTCATGTCTAAAACACTAAAAGCAACGGCAACAAAAGCCAAAATTGACAAATGGGATCTCATTAAACTAAAGAGCTTCTGCACAGCAAAAGAAACTACCATCAGAGTGAACAGGCAACCTACAAAATGGGAGAAAATTTTCGCAACCTACTCATCTGACAAAGGGCTAATATCCAGAATCTACAATGAACTCAAACAAATTTACAAGAAAAAAACAAACAACCCTATCAAAAAGTGAGCGAAGGACATGAACAGACACTTCTCAAAAGAAGACATTTATGCAGCCAAAAAACACATGAAAAAATGCTCACCATCACTGGCCATCAGAGAAATGCAAATCAAAACCACAATGAGATACCATCTCACACCAGTCAGAATGGCAATCATTAAAAAGTCAGGAAACAACAGGTGCTGGAGAGGAGGTGGAGAAATAGGAACACTTTTACACTGTTGGTGGGACTGTAAACTACTTCAACCATTGTGGAAGTCAGTGTGGTGATTCCTCAGGGATCTAGAACTAGAAATACCATTTGACCCAGCCATCCCATTACTGGGTATATACCCAAAGGACTATAAATCATGCTGCTATAAAGACACATGCACACGTATGTTTATTGCAGCATTATTCATAATAGCAAAGACTTGGAACCAACACAAATGTCCAACAATGATAGACTGGATTAAGAAAATGTGGCACATATACACCATGGAATACTATGCAGCCATAAAAAATGATGAGTTCATGTCCTTTGTAGGGGCATGGATGAAATTGGAAATCATCATTATCAGTAAACTATCGCAAGAACAAAAAACCAAACACTGCATATTCTCACTCATAGGTGGGAATTGAACAATGAGAACACATGGACACAGGAAGGGGAACATCACACTCTGGGGACTGTTGTGGGGTGGGGGGAGGGGGGAGGGATAGCATTGGGAGATATACCTAATGCTAGATGACGAGTTAGTGGGTGCAGCGCACCAGCATGGCACATGTATACATATGTAACTAACCTGCACATTGTGCACATGTACCCTAAAACTTAAAGTATAATAATAATAATAGATAAATAAATAAAAATAAAAATAAATAAAAGTTAAAAAAGGATGAAAAAAATAAAAATTTAAAGAATATCTAAAAAAAAAAAAAGAAAAGAAACATCCCACAAGAATGCAATAGAGTAAAATTAGCTGCATGTAATACAATAGAAAGCAGACAAACCTCAGATTTCTCCTCCATGGCACTAAATTCCAAAATTCAGTGGAAAGGAGTCCATAGGGTCAGGATGGGAAGAGATTATAGTCCTTCCAAATTTTAGATACCCCCAATTGTCTTTCATGTATGACAGCAACAAGAAAATCATACTCAAATGCGTAAAGGCTCAGAAGACTTACCAATCATTTATCTTTCTTTTTTCTTTTTTTTTTTTTTTTGATACAGGTCTTGCTCTGCCACCCAGGCTGGAGTGCAGTGACATGATCACGGCTCACTGCAGCCTCAACCTCCCAGGCTCAAGAGATCCTCCCACCTCAGCCTCCCAAGTAGCTGGGACTACAGGCATGAACCATCATGTCCGGCTAAGTTTTGCATTTTTTGTAGACACAGGGTTTTGCCACATTGCCCAGGATGGTCTCGAACTCCTGGGCTCAAGCAATTCACCCCTGTAGGCTTCCCAAAGTGCTGGGATCACAAGCATGAACCACCATGCCTGGCTCATCTATCTTTCTTGAAAAAACATCCAAAGATGAAGTTCAAACTACTCGGATTAATTAATATTAGATCTGGTAAAAGTAGGTATTAAAAATCTCTCAAGAACTCTCATCAGACTGAACAAACAATTTCAGTGAGCCTACAGAAATGTGGAAGGGTTATGGTTATGGCTCTGTTTACAAAGAATCTGGACAAAAGTTGAAAGCAGGCAATTTCAGTATGAATTTACATCCTTCGTTAGAAGAATAACCCCTTATATGAACACAAGGAATTTCTCCTCTTGTCAAGGATTATCACCAATTTTTAAAATGTGATTATAACTATGCTAACAAACATATCTACATTTTCTTACCAAAAGACTGGAATGAATTCTCCTCCCCTCTCCACCACCAAATCTATCTTGGTCTTTTTGAATGGTGGAAATATGGGTGATTGTTTTCCTTTCAGCTTGTCCACCCTTGCCAAACTTTCCTTAATGATTACAAAATTCCTTTTGAAACTTAAAAAATAAAAATAAAAACCTTACATTAAAAATCATGAAAATCCTTGAAGACAGGTTGCAAATTTTTCCAGAATTCAAGACCTGAAAATACATTTGTACTGATAAACTTGTGTTTCCCTTATATTTAATGATGTAATGTATATAACATTCTTGGAAGGCTTGATGTTAGCAAACATCATTATTATGGTTATTATTAGGCAGGTGCAAAAGTAATCATGGCCTTGGTAATGGCCATTACTTTTGCACCAGCCAGTATTATATATAAATGTGTAACTCATTATTCTGGGAGTAGTAGCATACTGATTAAAAATATAAGTCACATATAGTCTTCTGAGATTGCAATGTAGAACAGTTTAGGTTAAAAGTGCTGACACTTTGAGCAAGTTACTTACACTCTCTGGACCTCAGTTTTATCAGCTATAGAATAGAAATCATAATAATAGCTCCTACTCTGTAGGACTGTTATAAGAATTTACAAGCTCTTATAATTAATGGCTGACACATAGTAAACACCCAAAATGGTGGTAGTGATGGTGGTGGTGGTAGGTATGGTAGAGGTGGGGTGATATTTTCCAACAATAGCGCTAATTTGATAGCACCCCTTTGGATCATCAGAACATCCAGTGTATTTGTTAACAAACTATCATCAGGTATGATAAACATCCAAAATTTAATAATGATAATAAATCAAGAAAAATGGTTCTAAATGATCTCACAGTTGAGTTTTTTTATGTATGTAATGGCAAGAATATAGACTTAATGATACAACAGTGATTAAAATAAATCTATTTCCAAGTCTTCAGAATTGCTTGCATATTAATTAGCTCTAAAGTATGGTACCAAATTTCATCTTTTTACATTAATTATGTATATCAATACAAACTGTAAGTGAATATTGTGCATGAAGCTAGAGTTTATGTTTAATGATTTTAAATATGAGAAACAGTACTTTCAATTATTCCAGTAGCTGGTCCCCTAATATGCAGTCTGAGGTTACATTTTTGAGGATTTAAAGCAGAAGGTTTCCAATGGAGTCTTCTTTCCATTCCTCCTTCCCACCTCCCTTATTGTTATGGTGGCAAACTGCTTAATTATCCTTCCTACCCCAAGGGACTAGGCCCCAAAATGGGCTTAATCAGAATGCCTCAACACTAGAGTGTCCTCCAAATGTAAGAGCATTAGAGCAAGACACTGTGCAACTCTATGAACAAGCTCATCTGCCATCTTAAAGCAAGGATATGGCTTTGTGATGAATTGGGAGATGAGACATGAGCACAGTAGTTGGTGTGGTGTGGATAATACAATCTAGTCTTTCAATTAGATACATTTCTCCTTTATTTGGCATTTAGCATTTCTTGTCTAATTGCCTTTTGTCACCTTTAAAAATATTGCCCAATTGTCACAATATGCTATGTTATTGATTTTGTTTCATTTGACACAAAGTACTGCTTTGTATCAACTGAATGTTGGCTTCCAGCTTTTCCTTAGATCAAAAAATGAGCTATTTTTTGACTGGAGGCAAACTCCTTTCATGGTTACCTATCAACTGCCATGGAATAGCCATTCGAGCCTCTGGAAGAGTAAAAAACTATAATATAAAATACCACGTATACCACATTTATTTACAATTGATTTTCTCTTCTAAATTTGTGTGAAGAGTCTAATGTTTTGAGAATCAGATCAGCTTTAAATGAACAACAAAATCCCACTATCTTAAACGTCCTCAGAGAAAATCCTTTCATAATTTGAATCATTATCCTATAAGAATTAAATTGTGTACATCTGGATAATCATGTTCAAAGATATGCATTATGTCTTAAAAAAGCAGACTATACCTATGCAATGAAAAACAATAACAAATCTAATCACATTATTGAATTTTGCAGATGTTTAGCTTGACATTTTTGGAGCATCTGCCATTAGAGCTGGAGGCTTCCTTGTGTGAATCCTCAAGGCTCAGTTGCATTATATAACAATTAGCCTAAGTGGCTGGTAATTAGACCTATCTGTAGTTTCTAAGGGTAAAAGAAATGTCTCAGAGGTGGTCTCCAAAAGTATGAGGAAAACAAAAAGGGCTTTGCTTCTTGTTTCTAGTGCTTCTGAGGCCTGCCTGCCATAATCTCAGAAGAGACTCCAAGTTCTTCAATAGCCCGTGAAGGCTGCATGCTGAGGTTGTCTTCCTTACCTGGTTACAAAATAGAGGCTGACACTGAGCTGTGAAGCACTGGGCAACCCCATTTCTACACAGACATTTGGCACACCGGCTCAGCCGCCAGTCCTCCCCATCCTGAAACACATGGCCTTCATAGGAACAGGGTTCTGGAAGGTCAAAGAAACAAGGATTACTAGGGGGATGGCATTTGTTGATCCCAGGGCTGACTGCATGGGCGTGCAGCCAGTGCAGTTGGTCAGAAGCCCAGTGCACAGAAGGAGGTCCTGCATTTGGTGTTCAATGCTCTGCAGTCACTACCTTGAAATCTCTGAATTTGTGTTTTATAGGTGAAGTTTTGAGGCTCAGCTCATGTGTGGTCCCACCTGCTGCTGGCTTCCTGGGATGAGTTCTCAGCTACCAGCTCCTCCACTCCATCCCAATGAATGCTGTCATCCCCAACCCTCGTGGGGGCTGGTGCCAGGAGGTTGCATGCGCCCTATGCACCAAGTCACAGGGTAGAGCCTGGGGTGTCTGTGAGGGTATCCTCCCACCCTTCATTCCCAGGCCCAAAGGAGGAAAACATTAAATAGCAACTAAAAAACATGCCAAATATGACAGGTTGAGAGAAAGAGATCACAGAGGCAAACAAAAAAACAACAAAAAAGCTTTTTCTCCTCTTTCTTTTTGAACAAGAGACCCTACATTTTTGCAAATTATGTTGTTGGCCCCAGTTGATCCTCCAATCTTTCCAGGAAATATACGT
Organism: Homo sapiens; assembly: GCF_000001405.40. Lineage (NCBI taxonomy): Eukaryota > Metazoa > Chordata > Mammalia > Primates > Hominidae > Homo > Homo sapiens. The sequence continues at coordinate 78,254,645 of NC_000004.12, read as the reverse complement.
CCAAAGTCTTTCTCATGGAGAGTCAATGAGAAGGCCTCTTAGGACTTAAGAAAGAATCCCACAAACTCAGACAACCTACTCCCCACACCACCCCCAACTCTGTTGTTCCAAGTATTTTCACTTGTAGGGTTGGTTTTTTAGCCCAAAATGTCTGTCAGTCCTTTTCTGGTAGGTGACATCTGAAATGCATCAGGCAAGCATTTTCCTTTCATCAATTCTTGGGCATATTTTTTCATCCCTGGAATTCTCCAGTGTAAATAAAGGATTGCTGGAAATGGAATAACTGGGGATCAGAAAGAAATGAGGTATCCTTTTAATGAGAAAAAGCAAGAATAGAGTGTACCTTCCAGTTGCTGTTAAATAAAAGTATTCTGGCTATTACATGTTGTGAGAGTGCCTAATACAGCAATGACAATAATTCCTATTTATTATACGGTATACACTACCTAGTTATAAAAATGGAAGGGGACACAGATCCACAAAGTGTAATAAAAAGAGTATGGGAACAAGCGTGGATTCTGAGGAGAGGGCCTAAAAGTCTGACTCTGGCTTGCTGAACAAAATCTGGGTGTCTTGGTTTCTAGGTGGGCATAATTTCTTCAGTGACACCTACATGGGGAGCATGTCTTTATTTCATAAATAAAGACAAATAAGTAAAGACAAATAAAAGGCATGCTTCCTGTTGTGTGTGTCTTGGAGAAAGATGTTATGTCATCTCAAAGACAAGCCAACAGAAATAGTGTTGATGATACTACACAGACAGAGAACTGAGTTATTCCTTTTTCTGTCCACTAAGGAGGCAAAAGGAACCACCTTAGCCTTATGGAATCATATCAAAGGATCTTTTCCCTATTCCCTTGCTTCTCAGGAGCTGTGAATGCAGAACTGTAAATCAGAAACTCACAGAATCTCAAATTTGGAAGGGCGCTTAAGGATTTGTTCCAATCTCACTCTCTGGGACACTGCGCCCTTCCAAGTGCAAGGTGTTGCACTTGATTCCAATACGGAATGGGGTTAGGAAATCTTTGAGCCACACTGAGCAAGAAAGAGAAGAGTTGGGGTGTCGCCATGTGTTGCGGGAAGTCAGGGACCCCAAACGGAGGGACCAGCTGGAACCAAGGCAGAAGAACACAAACTGTGAAGATTTCATGGACATTTATCACCTCTCTAATAATACTCTTACAATTTCTTATGCCTGTCTTTAATCTTTTAATCCCGTTATCTTCACAAGCTGAGAATGTATGTCACCTCAGGACAACTATTGTACAAATTGATTGTAAAACGTGTGTTTGAACAATATGAAATCAGTACACCTTGAAAAAGAACAGAATAAGCAATTTTCAGGGAATAAGGGAAGATAATCAGGGAATAAGGGAAGGTAACCATAAGGTCTGACTGCCTGTGGGGTCGGGTAGAATAGAGCCATATTTTTTCTTCTTGCAGACAGCCTATAAATGGACGTGCAAGTAAGAGAGATATCGCTGAATTATTTTCCCAGCAAGGAATACCCTGAGGAAGGAATGCATTCCTGGGGGGAGGTCTATAAACGGCCACTCTGGGAGTTCTGTCTTATGTGGTTGCGATAAGGACTGAAATACACCCTGGTCTCCTGCAGTACCCTCAGGCTTACTAGGATTGGGAAATTCCAGCCCGGTAAATTTTGGTCAGACCAGTTCTTTGCTCTCAAACCCTGTTTTCCGTTAAGATGTTTATCAAGACAATACGTGCACAGCGGGACACAGACCCTCATCAGTAATTCTAATTTTGCCTTTGCCTTGTGATCTTTATTGCCCTTTGAAGCATGTGGTCTTTGTGACCTACTCCCTGTTCGTACACCCCCTCTCCTTTTAAAATCTCTAATAAAAACTTGCTGGTTTTGTGGCTCAGAGGGCATCACGGTCCTACTGATATGTGATGTCATCCCTGGAGGCCCAGCTGTAAAATTCCTCTCTTTGTACTCTTTCTATTTCTCAGACCAGCCAACATTTAGGGAAAATAGAAAGAACCTATGTTGAAATATTGAGGGCTGGTTCCCCCGATAGCCATGTGAACCTCCCAAGCAAAGAGGGTCCCCTTCTACAAGCTCATACTCACTCCCAAGGCCCACACAAACTGGGCAGCAGCTTCCTTCAGGGATGAATGCCAGCTCCTGGTGTCCACATGACAGCGGTGGGCATGGTTGGGGGGTACATCGGACTTCCCCATGATTGCAAGAGCACACACTACATGGAGAAGAGGCCCATTCTGTCCCATGCTGTGTGTTAGGGAGACAGAAAAAAAAAAAGGTTAGTGCCAAAACACAGGCTTTCATTCAGCCAAATAGAAACAAATCTTCTCTTATCCAAATTAAGGATGGAGCTCAGGGAAAGGTGGAATAAAGCTATGAGCTTGCAAGGTTGAGAGTGGAATTTGCAAGGCTTCAAGTCAAAGGCCAGTTTAAACATGGACTTCTCCTTCTATTACCGCGAAGATTTTTTATTTACAAATTTCAGAAAATTTGTAAATACAAAATACAAAAAGAAAATAAAAATAACCTAATCTCCTACCATTTAAAACATTCTATAAAGCCCCAATTCAAATACACATATGTTTACTGTGTTCTTCATAATGACTATATCCTTTTCAGTAGCTCTCTCTGATCCTGTTTCCTTTCTTTGACTTTACTTTTTATCCTGATTAGTTCCCATATTCCACTCCCCCCTTTCTGTCTCTCTCTCTCTCTCTCTCAACTGTTCCAGTGATCTCATGGCCCTGAAGAAAGTGTGATAGCCAACAGGGAGGACAAGCAGGAAATGATGTACCCAAGCACTGAGTTGCACAGACCAAGGATTTACTTGGCCACATGCACATTCACAGATCCCAGCTCAGCCCTTCCTGCCTTGGAAACTATAGGTAAGTGACTTAATCTTTTTCACTCTCAGTTTCTTGATCTATAATAATAAAATGGTATGACAACATTCCCTTCACCAGTGGGCTCTTCTGAGGGTTAAATGAGCTAGCCTGCTAAAGAGCCACCCAGGTGTGCAGTGTACTGGTGCTCAATCCAGAGTAGAACAGTGTTACCCAGGGCTAGGGAGATGTTGGCCAAGGCTACAAACTTCCAGCTATAAGATGAACAAGTTCTGAGGATCTAAGGTACAGCATGGGGGGTGATGGATGAGTTAATTAATTTGATTGTGGTAATTATTACACAATATATATGCATATCCAACCGTGTTGTACACCTTGACTATATTTGATCTTCATTTGTCAATTAAACATCTTAAAATAGAAAGATGCTCAAACTTCTCCCATTTCTATTGCATGATTTCCTGAACTTCCTCCCTTCTTCCACACCTTGTTTTGACTGTAAGTAGCAGGAATGGACACAGATACAAAGGTCAAGTCCTCTCCCATCCATTCTTACTTCTGCTACAATTATATATAAGTTTCAAATTTAGTACAGCATAGAAATGGGCAAGTCCACAAACTGTGGGCCAATAAAAGACAGGGCAATTGACCTTTATGCTTGAAAAGGCCTACACATGAAAGCAAAGAAAGAACTTAAAAGAAAATTGATAGGATTTAATGAGTTAAAATTTTTAAATCTGCCAAAAACACATCATAAAATATATAAAATAAAATTAAAAGGCAAAGGACAAACTGATCTTAAAAATTGCAGATTATATTAATTAGAACTAAACTCTAATATATAAAAGCATTTATAAGAAGTAAGAAAAAGACATTTCAAATTTTCAAAATAGCAAAAACTTACAGAATGTTCAAATGTATTAATTGTAAAAAATACTAATTATAAAATTATAACGTTTTAAATATCTGATATGAAAAGACTTTAACATTCATGGTACCTAGACTTGGTGAAGCTACAGTGAAGGGAAAGAAATTCTCTCACACACAAAGCCTTCCCTCACGATAACACCTGGAATCACTCAACCAGGGGATGCCTCCCCAGTATAATCACACTTGAAAAGAGGATGCAGTATCTGTGGTATTTCCCCTGGGCTTATCACTAGACACAGAAGACTTAAAATTAAATTTTAATGACTAAAGATGTCACAGCTTCAATACTCAAACTCTTTAGATGCCTTGACCTACTAATTTCACTTTTTATATGTTATCTGAAGAAAATGATTAATGACACACAAAAGGCTTAAATACAAGAAATGCCATCTATTGTTCTTTATAGTGAAATTGAAAATATTTTAGTGAAAATTGGAAGCTACACAAATATCTAATAACAGGAAATCATGTTCTCCAAGAGTACACTAAGGAACTATTTACAATATAATGTTATATAAAAAGGCAAGACATAAAACACAGCATAATTCCAATTATGTTAAAACATAGATCTGTATGTATTATCTATCTCCACTGCCAACCCCTCCACCAAAACTGAAAGAACATTAACAGTGGTTTTCAGAGTATTCGGATTACTAGTGATATTTTTTCTGCTTGTATACTTTTCTCTTTTCCAAATTTTCCCCAAGAAAATATTTTTTGTCATCAGAAAGCAAATTATTGTTTAAAATATCTAATGAGTCATTTATATATCTTAAAGTCAAAATTAATGTCTTAATTTAAAGACTATAGTCTTTAAATTATATATATTTGACTACATATATTTAAAGTAAAATCTTAAAGTCTTAATTTAAAGACTATATAGAACAACTTGAAGTAAACTTCATTTTATTAAAAATTAGAAGACTGCTCTAAACATCTAGACATTTCACTTCATAAAACAAGAACTTTTGTTACTACCAAGAAACACCACTGTTGTTTCCAAAACATTGCAGTCACACTACCTTTCAGACAGAGACCAGAAAAATTAATTATAACAACAGCCTGCCAATCACCAAAGTTGTCGTTCATCTGTAAAATAAGAGGGCTATATTAGCTGATCTCTTCAGTACCCACTCTCTCTGATCATGTAAATTTATTATCTAACTCAAAAGACATAAAATTAAGCAATGGGTTCTCCCTTCCCAAAAGCCTGAGAATTGTGGGAATTAAGAAAAACATTCAGGCTGGACAACGGTGGCTCATGCTTGTAATCCCAGCACTTTGGGAGGCCAAGGCGAGTGGATCACTTGAGGTCAGGAGTTCAAGACCAGCCTGGTCAGCATGGTGAAACCCCATCTCCACTAAAAATACAAAAATTAGCTGGGTGTGGTGGCGGTTGCCAGTAGTCCCAGCTACTTGGGAGGCTGAGGCACGAGAATCACTTGAACTTGAGAGGTAGGGGTTCCAGTGAGCCAAGATCATACCACTGCAACTGGGAGACAGAGTGAGACTCCATCTCAAAAAAAAAAAAAAAAAAAAAAAGGCTCCACTGCTTGATGTCAAAGCCACAGAAGAAAGTCCAGACAGTGATCCAAAGTGTGCAGCATGATGAAAAGAATTCCCTCTCACATCTCTCCAGGAGACAAGTCACCTAAGTTTACTCCATTTTTGTGTCTTTTGACTTTGAAACAGTGACACCTCCTTCCCCAGAGTGAGTGTTCTGAGGATTGATTATGCATGCAACACACCCAGCCTAGAGATCAAGGCATCAGCACATGCATATATATATATATATATATATGCATATATATATATATCAGTAGTTCTTCATACACGTTTATGAAAGCATTATTTTTTATAAACACTGTAGTAGCAAAGAGAGCTCTGTAAAATGAAGGAATAATAGATACACAAAGCAATGCTCCCACAGGACCCGGTTTTACCTGTGCCATCTTAACCTCATTAATACTGTTTCGAAAACATGACATCTTGACACTGGGCAGAAGCAAACTCTGCAGACAACATCTTAAATATATTCTCCTGCATAGTCAACTAACAAGTTGGCTTGGCTGTTGACATAAGTCCAAAAGAAAGATAAGGTCAAAAAGCATTTGCCTGGCTTACTGACAGAACAAAAATACAATTTTTCTTCATATAATTTGTTCCTGTTATGGAGTTATAGATCCAGAATACTAAATATCTGGGAATGTTCAGTGCATATTATAATTACATCCTCTACTTTGAGGAGAACAAGGCTGAAGAACTCAATACTTATTTCTTGCCTCATACACATAAATTAGTTATCCTTTTAGCCTCACAAACAAAGTGAGCAGGCCTGTCCCTTCCTACTCCCCATTCAATCAGGCTGGGCACTAGAAGCCATTTCATTTTTCAGTAAACCTTCAAGCCCCATCTACTCAGATTTGACATTATCTGGTGCTGAGGTTAGATTAGTAAACAGGAAAAGAAAGGGGATTCATGGTCCTTTCCCCTCCCTTTCACAAAGTAATTTGTGGGGAAAGCACAGAAAAAAAAGTATTCAAACAACTCTAAAACGCATTTGAGGCTTGCCTCCCTGGCTGGTTGGCATGGCGAGGCACAAATCCAAAAGTTAATTTCAAAGTATAGCTTTGCGAAGGTCATAGATGAAATGATCCCCCAAATCCTGGCTATAATAAACCCTTGCAACACTCTCAAATAACCTGGAGTCAGCCAAAATGTTCAAGTGTTTTCCTCACTCCAGGAAAGATCTTGAGACTAGTCTTGACTTGCTGAAATGCCAGTTGTATAAGACGCTGCCACCTCTGCAAGCAAAGGAGGTCCTCCCCCAAGGCTCCGCTGTTTTATTAAGGGGTAGTCTTCTCACGCAGCCCTTAGCTCAGCCAGTCCTTCACTTTCCTTTATTTGAACCATATTCTCCGGGGACAGTATCACTTCAACTGCCTCCCCTCCTGCCACACCGAATCTATCCTAAATCCTCTTCTCAATCTGTCTTAGGGGAAAGCTTCCACTTCAGATCACCATTCCAAAGTTCTTAAAATGCCAGGCTATTTTATAGCTACTGGGAGTCTCCATTACCCGCCCTAGGGGAGGCAAGCCAGAGGCCAAAGAGAGAAGATCACTGCTATTCAGCAGGAGGGAAAAGTACCCTGGAAACTGCTCCCCAAACAAGCAAGAAAGGAAATGCTACAAGAGTCAAAAATAAACAAACAAAACTAGTGATGCAAGTGATGAGGTGAGACCCAGACCAGACCAGACAAGCATTTAACCCACTCAAGAAAATTAATGCACTAAGGAGTGTTTGGTAAGAACCTAGAGGAAGTGAAGAAAGAAAGAGAGGAAGGACAGAAAGACAAGAAACATAATTATTTTAACTTTATTAAGACTAAAATTAGAAGATTTTGTCTCGCCTTAAAAAAAATCCATCTTCTAGCTCTATTTGAAGAAGCAATCCACTAGAGATTTTTTCCCCAAAAAACTATAGTTTTGAAATTCATCCTTTTGCTCAGTTACATCAAATACCAGAAATATAACATTTTCAGAGGGAGTAAATTTTGAAAGACACATATGGAAAAGCAACACATGGGTATATTCTTACCCAGTTTAGAGCTTTCTACATGGTGTATTATTGCAGAGGGATGAACCACAAGGGAAGTGGGGAGAAGAAAGACCAGCGGGAGAACTTTCTGAACTCTCCCTGCAAAAGTGGGAGGCTAGGAGGATTTCTAACTAACCCAAGGCAGATCTGTGGTCCCAGAGCTAACCAGCCACACTGGTTAATGACCAACATGCCCTTAAGATGAGGTCATAGAGAAGTTGGAGAAAAGATTTACTAATTTTTTGAATCTTTTATTCACCTGTGTTTATTGAGCACCTACTCTGGGAAAAGTTCAGTGCTAAGTGCCAGGTAAGTGAGAGGCAGGAAAGATAATTGTAAAAATATAGAAAATATTGTCAATATTCTCAGGCATCTTAAATTAAGAAGACTGCACATGTGCACACACATGACATGAGAGAGCATATGATGTCATTAGTGTGGTCCATGCAAAGATTTACTGAATTCTGATCTCCCATGTCCCTGGTACCACCTCTTATTTGATATGTCTGGTTTTTTTTTTCCCCCAGATCCTGGACTTATTTTGGCTCCTAACAACTCCTTCACTTGAAAGATTCAGGTTGAACCATGCACTTATCATTCACCTTGAACCATGCACTTATCATAATCATTCGGAACTGGCATTATTTTCATCACCACTCTGCCCTGAGGCACTTTTCAGTTCATAGGGATTTTCTTCTGTGACATTTAAAGACAACACCACCCTACATAACACAGGCTGAATCGAGCAGCACATAGTGATACGTGGTCTGAAGACATTCTCAGTGTAGATCCTGCTTGGATGTCTTTCAGCAACACATTGTGCAGAAGTGAAAGAGTGGCTTCCTTGTGTAATTAGGAAACAGTGGCTCGAGTAAGATAATCCTGCCCCACAGGGAAATGAGCACTGTGCTTTCTGAGTTTTAGGTCCCCACACTGAATAGCAGCCTCAAGTAGATATATCAAATCCTACTAACCTATGCTCTCTCCTGAATAAAGAGACACTAACTTGGGGAAAGTTTTGTATCAGGTGGAAGATGAGGATTAAAGCAAAGTCTCTTTCCATCATATTCAACCGTACCTACTACCTCAGGTAACATTTACATATCAATGAAGATAAACTGTCTATTTTCATAATTTCTATTATAGACTTTGCAGTTGGTACTTTTTAATCATATTTAATATTTCTAAATTAATCCTGAATGATCTGAAATGAGAAAGTGTAATTTTAAGAACTTGAGAAAAGATTTCTAGTCCTGTAGTTCTCAAAAGGGGGAAGGTGAGCATTTTGCCCCCAAGGGAAATTTGGCCATGTCTGCAAAGATTTCTGGTTGACATGACTGAGGGATGCTACTAGCATCTAGTGGGAAAAGACCAGGGATGCAGCTAAATGTCCTACAATGCAAAGCACAGCTCCCACAACAAAGCTTAAAATGCCAAGGCTGCTAAGTTGAAAATTTCTACTATAGTAAAAAGAGCCCTGAATTAGGAGTCAGAAGACCAGGGTTCTAGACCAGGTTATACCATTTATTAGTAATATGACATTGGGCAAGTACCTAAGCTCTTTGCAATTAAATTTTTTCGTATTTAACATGGGAGTAATAACATCTGCTCTACTCACCAGCTCAGGATTGTTTGTAACTATCAAATTTAAAATGTATGTAGTACATAAAAGGAGGGAGGTACTTTTACTATTCAGCATCACAACTTCTTCAACATCAACATTCTCAGACACAAATTCAATCTACAAATATTTATGTAGAGCCTACAGAATGTTTTACTCTTATACAAGAAACCTAAATGCTCACAGAAAGTCAAATGGGCTTCAGATCCTCCACAATCCAGGCAAAGAAAAAAACTCTCATCAACACAAGTTTAACATTCAGCTTTTCCCTTGTCAGAGATCTGCAGACACAGAATCAACCGTGAGTCAGAAAACACTTACCTCATGGATTTTCTTTTCATGATGGCAAGATCCTGGAGTCCTCAAAACACACTCAGGACAGCATTGGTTGGCAGCTATTTGAAGCACTTCTCCCTGAGCATTTAAAAGCAGCTCAAAGTAAAACAGCAGCAGCACACACCAAGTCACAATAGTTCATCAGACCCTAAGTCATCTTACATTCACTAAATCTCATGCGTTTCTGAGGTGACAACAACAGATGGGATAAAATGAATAGACTGAAAAAAAGGTTCTGTGTCCAGATAAGCTTCGCTCAAAGATAAAATGAACCCCCTCTGTAAAAGTAATTTCCTTGAAAAAAAAACTCTACATCTTTTCACATGTGATGAACTTGAGACTTTGTTTCACTAGAAACCCTAGGAGATTTACACAAGATAAGCAGTTTTCTCCTGCTGGGAAGAGGCAGAAGACTCAGGTGGGGGATGGCCACAGAGCTGGCAGGTCTTCCAGCTGTCTGGTATCTTACACAGCCTAGTGCAGCCAGTGAAGCAGCTGAAGTTCTCATAGGTAACTTTTACCTGGGACAGGAGGTTGCAGGACAAAGTTCTGAGAGGAAGTAATATCTCTGCAGAGGTATCATATATACACACTGTGGTAAGCTGAGTAGAATTCCTAAGCTCTAGTAAAGATCTACATTGTTCCCAGAGCTTCTATAATTGCAATTGTGTTTCTTGATACTATCAAGAGAATAGGCCACCACCTGATACCCCAAGATTTACTGGGGAGGTGTCACATGTCAACCATCCAATCACCACTGTAAATAATCTGTTTATCTAAGAGTTGTTAAAAATATGGAGTGAAGAGCATTAGCTTGTCTTTGAGGCCCACGACTCTCATATTAGATCTTCCTACTCATGCTGCTCCTCTACTTAGGATTTTCTCAAGCCTAGTGATGTGGCAGAACAGGCAATTAGTGATTTTGACCAAAAATGGTAGGAGATCCTACATTAGCCAGGAAATCATGACTTATCCACAGGATAAAAGTCTACCAAGAATTCAACCAGTAGAATAAAAAGAAAAAAGTTTGTGTGTGTGTGTGTGCGTGTGTGTTAATGTTATTAATATTTATTATTTATTTTTGGTTGCTTCATTTTTAAAAAAATTGTACCTACAAGAGAATTCTAACATCATATATCTACAAGAGTGGATGGGAAATAGGACTAAGTTTTTACAACCATTAACCCACTAAACAGATAAATACATCAATAAAGTGATCATCAAATTCCTATTTTTTTGATAAAGGATAAAACTTATATGACATGGGATTTTATGAAATTATACATACTATGCAATATTAATCACTTTTCAGAAAAGTGTCCTCTGAACCCCAAGATAAAACTACACTTGTCTGATTTCCACTAAAACAATTAGAGAAACTACATTAGCCTAATTTCCACTAAGAATTTCATACAGATTGAAAATAACATGATCTAAGTGTTGATAGTCTAACATGGAAGCCGGGAGCAAGGGAGAAAGGCAGGTAGAATGGAAGACTTCAAGGAATGTTTCATGCCCCCAGATTAGTTTTCTTTGTTTTACATAAAAGCTAACTTTCAGATTTAGCCCTCAAAGCTCATTTTATAAATATAATAATATGTATGTGTGTGTGTATATATGTGTATGTGTTTGTGTGTATATATATATATATATATTTGCTAGTGGCAGTAGCGGGAGGGGAGAGGATGGTTCCCAACTTGGTCTATCTATTGAATTTCTGGTGGAACATAAAAGAGTTGAGTTAAAGGAGGAATAAAAATTTTGCATGTGGGTGCTTGAAGAATGAGAATCAAGGAGTTCCTGCCACCTAACCATGTAACCCTGAATGGCTTGGTGAGCTGTGGGCTGCATGGAACACAAAGGAGTCCTTCTCCAGGCTTTGCAGTGTTGTGGTTTAGAAAGTGGTTGCAGGGGCAAAAAACATCAGTGAAGATCGCTGGGGGCAAGATTACTTGCTTAGGACCTAGGAGAACCACCAACAATAATGATAATTTGATCATTATAGCTAACACTTATTGAGTGCTTACAATAGTGGGGTACTCCTCCACACATTTATATGCATATGTACATATATGCATACTACATATATGCATACATATAGATATATACATATATATATATAGAGAGAGTTAATTTTCACAACAACTTTATTAAGTAAATGTCATTATTATCTGCATTGAGGTTTGCAGCCAAAACCTTACCACGTAATGCCGTGCTCCTTTGAATGGCATTGTCTTTTGTGCAGACATATTCTCCAGAAATCCTTAGACAGGATAGCTTCTGACAGAACTGGGTTAACTATTCAAGGTTCTAAATACCTTTGTGTTCTTTCTCTCAATCTTTTTCTGTCTGTCTGTCTTTCTGTCCCTATCCAGCTAGCTATTCTATATGAATATAAGATACGGATATAGAATCCACGACCTGTGATTATAGAATGGATAAATGACAGATGATAAAATATGTCTTTCAGCATTGCCATTGACACTAGGTTATTTCTAGTCAATCCATAGCCAAAACAAATTGCTTCAAAAAGGTAAAAAATGATAAAAAGAAAAACAAGTTATTAACAGTAACAAGCCAAGCATGGTGGCTCACACCTATAATCCCAGCACTTTGGGAGGCTGAGGTGGTTGGATCACTTGAGGTCAGGAGTTAGAGACCAGCCTGGCCATCATGGTGAAACCCCGTCTCTCCTAAAAAATACAAAATTAGCTGGATGTGGTGGCACATGCCTGTAATCCCAGCTACTTGGGAGGCTGAGGCAGGAGAATCACTTGAACCCGAGAGGCAGAGGTTACAGTGAGCAGAGATCACACCACTGCACTCCAGCCTGGACAGCAGAGTGAAACTCTGTCTAAAATAAAATAATAATTTAATTTAGGAACAGTGGTGATTCATGAACTTGTGCCACATACTAATGTAAGGGTACCACAGCAGGTCTGAATAACAGCAACACATGCTGTTGAAAGCCCAGAGGAAAACTTAAAAGCAACATGGTAGAGTAAAAATCACACTGGGACATGAGCCAAGGCCCAAGGTTCTTGACATGACCATACCACCTCCTAGCTCTGGATAAGTGACTAAACCACTAAAAATCAGTTTCTTTATTTACAGACTGAGGAAGTCTGACTAAGTGATTTCTAAAGATCCCTTCTAGTTCTTCCATTCTATGATCCTATTTCATTACTTGAAATAAAGAGCCCAAAAGCTCTGTGGAATATTTACATGATCTTAGAGTTGAAAAAGTTTCTTATGGTTGGATCATCTGGTACAAGCCTCTCATTTTACAGATAAGGAACCTCCTTCCTTAGAGTTCATGCTCTCTGATTCCTATGTTGCCTTCATCCACAAATTTGCTGATCACTCTCTCACTTTCACTCAGTAAAGACTTGACACCTGGATCTCTGTTTTTTTTTCTACCTGTGTCTAGATCATTCTAGACAACTTCAATGCCCATTAAAATGATATTCTATCTTTGTACACTCTCAACCACCTCAGTTCAAGCGATTTTCATCTCTATTTCACACAGTTATAGCCAACCTTAAAATCTGTCCACACTCCAATGAACCTGGGCCTCCTGGTTTTTAGCACCCTCTCACCCTTATTTCCTCCAGGGAGATCCTTGAGCACTTCTTTACCTTCCAGTCTTTCAACCCCCAGCTGGCCTCCCATTCTCCTATTCATGTTATCCTCAATGTCCAGCAACCACTCCTAATTCACTTACTCAGTCTCTCCTCCCCTCTAACTCCCATCTCTTCAATTTCTCTCTCTAGTCTGGGCTATTACCATTTCCCTCCTAAGGTGATTATATGTCTTTCATGGTAATATCAAAAACTAAAAAGTAAAACAAAACAAAACCCTCTCCTTTCCCTTATGAGATCATTACAAAAATGTTGACTAGGTGCCTTCTGTGTGCTGCGTACTATGCTGTTTGACGGGCTGCAATAGTGAAGATGGCAAGATTCCTGCTCTCAAGGAGCTAAGAGTCTGGAGGAAGAAGCAGATAAGTAAACAGGCATTGCAGTCTAGTCAAGGGGTATGAATAGGGCAAGCACAAAGTGCCGTGGAAGCACACCGAAGGGCTTGATGGTTGGGGATGGGAGATTCAGAGAAACCTCTCAGATGTAATGTTGCCTACCTAAGGCCCCACTTCTCTCCTTCCACCCCTCAGTCAAGCTCCTGAAAGGATGGCCTTTATTCAGCCTTCCTTTCCCCACTTTCCATTCACTCCTTATGCCTCTGCAATACAGTCTCCGCTCCCCCCACTCCATTGAGATCAACCTCAGCGTGGCCACCGGTGGCCTACATGCTGCCAGATCTGAAGGGCCATATTAAGTTCTCCTCCCACTTACTCCTTTAACTGTGCTCAACACGGTTAATACAAACTTTCTGGGCATCTTCTACTCTCCTTGGTGACTATAATATTACTCTCTTCTTTGACCATTTCTTTCCTTTCACCCCTCTGACCATGGCTTCTCAATCTTCTTAAGCACTTTCTCTTATGCTCACCTCCCCTTAAATGACTGTGCTCCCCAAATTCCATCCTTCATCTTGTACCCTTTTCTCACACAATCTCTTTGGATGAGTTCTTTAATTCTACATGTTTGCAATACGATCTATGTGCTGATGACAGCTACATTATATCTCCAGCCCCATCGTCTCCTCTGAGCCTTAGACTTACATATCCAGCTACCATTCTGACATATCCACCTGGGTCTTTCCCAGACATTTCAAACCAATTTGTCCCAAACTGAAATTGCCATTTTTCCCAGATGGGCTGTTTTTCTTAATCCTCCTGTATTCTCAATATCAGCTGGTGACTCAGCTAACCAACTAGTCATTAAGCCATAAATATGGCAGTCGTTTCTCCTTTTCCTTTCTGTCACCCTCCTACCTTCAGCCAGTTCTGCTGATTTATCCCCTAAATACTTGTCACACCTGCCCTTATCTCTTGATCCCTACACTATCAGTGCTCCAGTTGTGCAACTCATCCTCTCTGGGTGATTCTCTCAGCCTCTGAACTGATCTCCTCATTTCTAATATTATGCATTATCTTTGAAAAACCAGAGATACTTTTTTTCTAAAAAAGCCAGACATTCCACCCTTACACCTAAAACCTTTGTTAGTATTCCATAACCTTAAAAATAAAATTCCAAACTCCATACTACAGCATACAAGGCTCTGCATAACCTCAAACTTACCAACTTTCTAGCCTCATCTCTCATTAATTCATTCATTCAGTCAGTAAAAAAAAAAATTATTGAGTGCCTACCATGTGTCAGGTGTTACTGTAGATGCTGTGGATATACAGAGAATAAAAGAGACAGTAAACGAAAAATACCATTAAAATAGATAGTAGTTAGTATCAAAAAGAAAAATAAAGTCTGGAAGAGGAATACAAAATGTGTGGTAGGGGGCAGAGATTTGCAATTTTACACAGAATGGCATCCAGGCAAGACTTGAAGTAAAAGATCAAGTAATATATGTATACATATATGTATATAAACACACATCTCTCTCATATATATATGCATACCAGGCACACTTCTGCCATAGAGCCTTTGCACTTTGCTGTTCCCTCTGAAATTGTTCTCTCAGATATATACATATATATTCAGGGAACAGCAAGGAGGCTTGGTGTCTGAAGCAGTGAGCAAGGGAGAAAACAGTAGAATATTAATTAGAGGGGTATAGTAGTACCTTAAAGGACATTGGGAAATGTTACTTTGAGTAAGAAGAGAAGCCACTGGAAGCCATTGGAGGGGTTTAAGGAGAGAAGCAACATGATCTGAGTTCAATTATATTAGGATCACTGTGGCTACTATATCAAAATTACAGTGAAAAAGGCAAGTATAGAAACAGCAAAACCAGTTAAGAGGCTATTGTGAGAATACAGACAAAAGGATGATAATAATGGAACCAGACTGACAGCAAAGAAGTCACATTTGGAATTTACTGTTTCATGAAGGAAGAGCTGGGAGGGGGTTGTTAATGTACTAGATATGGGATGTGGGAGAAAGTGGGGAGTCAAAAGTGATGTTAAGTTTTTGGGCCAAAGCAACTGGGAGAATGGGGTTGCCATTTACCAAGATGAGAAAAATTAGGAGAGCAAATTAGGAAGAGATGAAATCACAAGTTTGATATATAACAAAGATGGGAGACTTTTTCTGTGAAGGGCCAGATAGTAAATATTTAGCTTTTGAGAGTCACACATGGTCTACATGGCAACTATACAATGCTATTGTTGCAGCCAAGGTCTATACATAAACAAATAAGTGAGCCCGTGTTTCCATAAAATTTTATTTATCAATGGTGAAATTTGATTTCACATAATTTTCACATTATAAAATACTATTTTTTATTTTTTCAATCATTTCAAAATGTAAAAGCCACTCTTAGATCATAAGCTGCACAAAAACAGGCAGTGGGCCAGATTTAGTCTGCTAACCCCTGATATAGAGCATGTTTAGATTTCAGCAATGCAATCTATGTCTTCTAACATGTGATTCAGGGCTTCTTCCATGATAACACAATTCTTCACATGAAGTGGGGAAGGGCATTTTTCATGGCGTTTTTGCCACCAGCTCAGATTCTGACATGACTTGCTTAGCAAGCCAAATAATGATTTTTTTAGGAATATTTACCCTATAAACATAAAGCTCCATAATATACAATAAAAATCTTATCAAATTTGCCAATACTTAAAGTACTCCCAGCTTCTCAGGAATACACTCATGCAGAAATGAAGGAATACTCTTAAAGGCATACCTTCACTTCAGTGTCTGGTACAAACAGAACCTTATTAGCATTAGATGGCATAAAGACTCAAGATTAATTATTGGAGGAAGCCAAAAACTAGAAAAATAAACTTTTTAAATTGACAGAATGCTTTATGAATACAATAATTGGTCTTGTCCTGGGAGTTTCAGAAGTTCAAATTTAAAGCTTAAGCTTTTTTAAAAAATAGATTCACTTTAAAAAGAAAAGAGTCAGCAACTAGAAAAAGTATTATTCTAACAGAATAGATGTGTAGTCAGAAGAAAACTGAAAATTTTTAACAGAAGGGAAGGGAGGAAATACCAATCATAGACTTGGTCAAATACAAGGAGATTTATTGAGTCAAAGACTTGCTTATGTTCCTAGGGAGCCCAATAGTAGCACAATAATACAATCAGTGGCAGACCCAAATGATATTTTTAGAAAATCTTTTTCAATAAGTCAGTTCTGACTTTCAATCCATTCGATGGTTCATGCATGTTGAAGTTAATGTCAGTAGCTTTGGCATCAGTCAGACTTCAGGTAAAATCTCTGGGCAGCAGTTTATTAATTGCATGATCATGGTTAAGTTGCTTAAAATCTCCAGGCTTCACATTCCTCATCTATAAAGTGGGGATAAAGATACCTAACCCACATAATATTAAATGGGATAACATTATTAAGACCTTAAGCCAAGTCCCTGGTCCAGAGTAAATGCCCAATAAATGGAAATTGGGATGTTCTTTGATATGATATGTTAAAATTCTGGAAAATAGGATATTCTTAGATGCAATACGTTAAAATTCTCTTCTGCATTTCATTAAGCTCCCAGGTAGAGATTAGAATAAATGTCAAAAACAGATGTCTGAAATGATCCAAAAACCTGACCCTTCACTGACTTTACCAATACATTTAGGACACAATTAGGATACCGTACCTTCTCAAAGGCACATTGAGGGTTTCTGCAAACAGCAGGTTTGCAGATAACAATATCACCATGGCAACGGCAGCTCTGGCATGAATCGGGCTTCCAAATTGTGGCATCCTGTAAAGAGGCATAAGCTCTGATTTAAAAACTGATCAGTCAAGGTATGAGCACACAAAAGCTGCACCATCAATAGTCCCACATCCTGGACAATTACAAGACAAAGAAAAGTCACAGGCACACCACACACAGTACTTGCTGGGCACTGATTAAACCCCACAAGGCAATATAATCAGTATAATCCATTTCACAATAGTCAATCCACGTAGCCAAAGACAAGGGGATGCGGCAGAGAGCTGTCAATACCCAGAGTAAAAATCATCGATTGGCCTGAAACCACAGGAGGACAAGTTGCTCCCTGACTTGAAGTTTCACTTTGCTGTTAACTAGCAGAAACCACTGGAGCACGTTTAAAGGAAAATGACACTTTTGACTAGCACTAACCAGCATCCTAAAAGCAGTATTCGCCACTAGATACTATAAGCACCACAGGCTTCATTTTTCAGCTCTTTGCTACTTCATCGTCTAACATTCATCAGAAACAAGGATTTGAGTAAGTAGTTGGATTTTTAAAGACAGATGCACCAACATATGTATGAGTGACTATTTTGTGCCTGGCTGGGTGCTGGGCATATTGAGGTATAAATGAAGCATAAGTGTGGGCAGTATCCATAAGGATCTCACAAATTATTTGGGGTCATGAACATGAGAGAATTAAATAAACATAACTTAATGTTACTATGTTATTACTCCACAAATTGGAAAGGAAAACAATGGTCACAAACAGAAAAGTGAACCCTGGCTCAGTTAAGGGTCTCAGAAATTCCTTCCCTATTTCTCACCTTTCCTCATGCTGAATCCACATTTCAGTTGTGCCCATTTTGAAGTAACTTTGAAACCAACTATCTCATAGCTTCCACAGATACCTGTTTCTGTCCATTGAAAGGCTGCTCTCATGACTTCAGATTGAAACACTAAAGATCCCATGGGCTGTACTGAGATTCATTTTCCCAGAGATTTCCTAGCCCAAATTCCTATTAGAGTTGAAAGCAGCCATACTGTTTGGCTAAATTTCAAACACTAAATCTTTTTGAAGAGTGCTGTCCATGTTATTCTCTGGTTTAAAAGTGTACACTGCTCAGGTGATGGGTGCACCAAAATCTCAGAAATCATCACTAAAGTATTTCTCCATGTAAACACCACCTGTTCCCAAAAAATCTATTGAAATAAAAAATTTTAAAAAAACCTCAAAGCCAAAAAATAAATAAATAAATAAATAAATGCAACTATTTCATGGCTCATCTTTATCTCCAATGAGATAAAATGCAGACCCCATAATCTGATCCTCACCTATCTCCCTGGCCTTGACAACTTGGTCAACACTATTGGACAACCCCAGCCTCCTCTTTCCTGTTCTCATATCTCATTCTCCCCTGGATTTCTACTCTTCTCTGACTTTTCCTGAGAAGCATTTGCAAC
This sequence comes from Homo sapiens, assembly GCF_000001405.40. Taxonomy (NCBI): domain Eukaryota; kingdom Metazoa; phylum Chordata; class Mammalia; order Primates; family Hominidae; genus Homo; species Homo sapiens. The sequence goes on along the minus strand of NC_000004.12, from coordinate 78,236,090 downwards.
CAAGAAGCTTCTTCTAAGTCTCAGCACCTCAGAGATGAATCATTCCTAACCTTTAACTGCCATTCAGGTATAGCTCTTCACTATCCCTCTGTGACCTCACTTTTTCCTGCATGCACTGTTACACTGTTGTTTTGTTTTGTTTTGTAACAGGGTCTCACTGTGTCACCAGGCTGAAGTGCAGTGGCATGATCACAGCTCACTGCAGCCTCAACTTCCCAGGCTCAACTGATCCTCCCACCTCAGCCTCCCAAGTAGGTGGGACTACTGGCATGCACCACCACACTCAGATAATTTCTGTATTTTTTGTAAAGACAGGGTTTCACCATGTTGACCAGGCTGGTGACCAACTCCTAGGCTTAAGCAATCTGCCTGCCTTAGCTTTCCAAAGTGCTGGGCCTACAGGCATGAGCCACTGAGCCTGGCTCTGTCACACTTTATTGCACTCATTTATATTCCTGTTAGCCTTGCTGGACCAGACTGTGGGTGCCTGAAGTGGGAACTATCCTTGGCCTGGCACACTATAGATCCTTAGGAAGCAAGAGTTCATAGTTCCTAAGTTGCTTAATGAAGGCCTGTTCCCTCCTTTCTAAACTTTCTCACCCTGTTTTCCTTAGTCAACAAGTAGTTGGAGTCCTACTAAAATACTTTAGGGAAGAGTAAGATAAGTTTCCAAGCTCCTGACAGAGTCCTTAGAACACCAACATCCAATTAGAGCTGAGATGAGCTAGGAAACTGGTGGATGCTAGCAATGGACATTTTCACACAAAATGGCAGAAACCAAATGTGATGGTTAATTTCATGTGCCAGCTTAGCTAGGCTATGGTGCCCACTTGTTTGGTCAAACACTAGTCTCAATGTCGCTGTGGAGGTACTTTGTAGAGGAGAGTACCATGAACAATCAGTTGACTTTTAAGCAAAGGAGATGACCCTCTGTAATATGGGTGGACTCATCCAATCAGTTAGTGACCTTAACCACAAAAACTGAGGTTTCCTGGAAAAAAAGGGAATTCAGCCTCAAGACTAAAATATAGCATTTCTGCCCAAGTTCCCAGACTGCTGACCTGCTCTATAATACAGTTTGAACTTGCCAGTCGCAATGATCGCATGAGCCAATCCCTTAAAATAAATCTCTCTGCCTCTGTCTTAGAGAGATATCCAATAGGACGTATATGAATATATTGTTGATTCTCTGGAGAACCTAGACTAATATACCAACATTGGTGTAGATTTACATGGATATATACACAACATTTCCAAGCAAAAAATAAAATCACCCTTTAAAGTCAAGAAATGCTAAATTCATAACCTCTCAGGGAATGTGCTTCAAACTCTGTGGCCTCTCCAAAGTCATTTAGGAAATATAAAGTCTATCTGAGGTGAGATTACATTCCCAGTGTCTGATTTACAAAAATACTGAATCAAAGCAGAAGAGCACCAGAACTTTGCTTAGAATACCTCTGAATTTCTTTCTTTTTATTGCTATAGCACATTACTCAAAATTGGCAATAGTGTAACTATTACAGTCTACTCCTAACCCAAAGAGCAATGACAAGAAGGTGAGGAAAAGGCCAGGTGCGGCAGCTCACGCCTGTAATCCCAGCACTTTCGGGGGCCGAGGCGGGTGGATCACGAGGTCAGGAGATCGAGATCATCCTGGCTAACACAGCGAAACCCCGTCTCTACTAAAAATACAAAAAATTAGCCGGGCGCAGTGGCGGGTGCCTGTAGTCCCAGCTACTCGGGAGGCAGAGGCAGGAGAATGGCGTGAACCCGGGAGGCGGAGCTTGCAGTGAGCCAAGATCGCGCCACTGCACTCCAGCCTGGGTGACAGAGCGAGACTCTGTCTCAAAAAAATAAATAAAAATAAATAAAATAAAACAAGAAGGTGAGGAAAAACAAGTTTATTCCCAAGCACAATGTAGTACGTTTCCTGCTGATTTCAAGAAAACAATCTTGGTTTCAGGATACAGATTAAATAAAAATGACTGCTTCACAAAGCCAGCAGCTACTATTTATTGATCACTTACTTACGCTCCCCACTCTGGGAGCAGGAAGTGCTGACCACAGGGACAATTGTGGAATAGAGGGAGGGTGGCTTTTCCCACCTCTGCCATCTTCCTGCAAGGCTGGAGAAAGTATCTGTAGTCAATGCTACACAAAGCCCTTACATACATGTCAACCCTATGAAACTGGCACTATTATTATGATTTCGATTTTACAGATGAGAAAACAGGATGAGTGAGATTGAACCAGTTGCCCAAGTTCACAGAGTTGTTAGGAGACCTAAGGACTCAGGCTCTGGAGACAGACTGACTAGGTTTGAATCCTGGTGACACCATTTATTAACTGAGTTTGTTATTGAGTTAACATGTCTATGCCCAGTTTCTTCATCTGTAAAATAGAAATGAGAAAGTACTTATTCAATAAGTTTATTGAAAGCATCAAAGGAGATGCTGTATTTAAAGATATGTGAACAGTGTCTGGCACTTATTAAGGGACCATTAAATGTAATTTATTTTTAATCCGAATGTTTTATATTATGTCACAGGCATTCAGCAAATGTCTTCTAACTATTTCATTTTCTCAAAGGGAAAACAGTCCTATAAGTACTTTGACTTTCCCATCTTCTCATTCCAGTCTACACAAGTAAAACCTAGCAGAGTGAAATTATTACTTAATTAGGACCCTAGCATTTAGAGGATCCAGAACATTGTTGAATAAGGGAGAAATGAAACTATAGGTTGAGTTTTCAAGACAACTTGGGAAATTCAAAAAGTCTCTATCTCACTAAGCTGGTATAATCATGGGCCATGTCTTTGAGCCAGACATTGGTTGGCCACGCCAGCTTTTATGTGCTCCCTTAAGCTTGGTATGACTCTAAGTGCCAGCCATATTTATTCTCTCCAGATGCAACATTCTTACTTCTTGAGGTGAGTTCTTCTCTGCACTTCAATTATTTTGACAGTGACCTCCAAACTTGAAAGCAGTCCATTATACTTTTAAGCAGCCCTCAGTCGCTGGACTTGGCTTACTAAACTGTAAACAGTATCTTCTAAGAACATGGAGTAGGTTATTCACTTTCATTCTTTCATTCACAAAACCATAGTTTTTCTTTATGTTAATTCAAAGTTTAAATGTATCTGGGCTTAGGAAGCCTTCCTGATATGTTTACCTATCTGTCTTCCCAGCAGACTATGACTCTTCAAACAAGGAGATCTCATTTGATTCCTCTTTGTATATCTCAAAATTCACTTAGCACAGTTTCTGTATGTTGACTGAATTAATTAATAATCAACCCTGAGTTTGTTTACCCACACAAAAATATCTATTCATAAGAATTGAGATACTCCAGATAGGTTGTGAGAGCTTGAGAAAACAATGTTTAAATGATGTCACTACAAAATCTTTATAATGTTGAATGTCATTACTACATTAATGTCAAACTATGTTTACAGAAAAATTTTCTTCATCTAGGTATTGGACCTATCAAAAATCTTCCTTGTACCAGCCAGGCACGGTGGCTCACGCCTGTAATCCCAGCACTTTGGGAGGCTGAGGCAGGCAGATCACGAGGTCAGGAGATTGAAACCATACTGGCTAACACGGTGAAACCCTGTCTCTACTAAAAACACAAAAAATTAGCTGGGCATGGTGGCGGGCGCCTGTAGTCCCAGCTACTTGGGAGGCTGAGGCAGGAGAATGGCATGAACCCGGGAGGCGGAGCTTGCAGTGAGCCGAGATCGCACCACTGCACTCCAGCCTGGAAGACAGAGTGAGACATTGTCTCAAAAAAAAAAAAAAATCTTCCTTGTATTAATATCTCTATGGAACTAAATAATGTGTTATGGTTAATTTTAAGTAAAATGAGTCCTTTACCAAGGCCTGGACAGATGGCCATGTTTTTCAGGTCTTAATCTTTACAAATCAATTATATGGTCACATAAAGTTGCTTTATGAAAGCAGGGAAGCTAGAGTTCTTCAATAGCTAGAACTTTGGATAAAGCCATAAAATCCAAAGTAATAACATTGTAAACTAAGTTTTACAGATTTTCCATGTTGCTATTGCAATTCCGACACTTTAAAATCCTCCTTTCCAATCTAACACATTCAGCAAAAGAAATACTCTTAAAATAGCTTTTCACTAGAAAATAGATTAAAGGATTAGATTATGACAAGCCTAAAAAGCAATCAAAATATCTTTGTAAACAGCTTTTAATATTTTTAATAATATATGAATAAAATGTTCTTGCAAATAATATAATGCCTCCATCCCCAAATACTTCAAAGTAATAGCAAGGTGCTTTAAAAAAAAAACAACTTGTTTCACTTGGGAAAGTATTTACTGAATATTTGATTAATGCTAATAATAAACAATAAATATATCTTTAATAAGTGCTCAAATTTCTGGGGGGGATTATTTATAGAATTCTAAAGAGCAGTATATCAACTGTCAACATAAATTTTCTTTCATCTAAATGGTGTAATAACCCTACTTTAATTATTGATTAATTCATCTCATTTTAAATTCCCTTGGCTTCTTAGACCAAAAGTGAGAAAGAAAGAATAAAGCTCCCCAAAAGCTGTGTTTTCAAGTTACAAAACAGTATGTAGATATAATATTTTTGTAATAAAAATATATCTATGTGCATAGAAACAAACTGTGGAATTATATAAACCAGTAAGTGAGGGGTAGATAATTCTGTGTGTGAGTTCCAGATGATTTTTTGTTTTCCTTTATCCTTATCTGTATTTTCCGTTTTTCAACAACAAAGATATATAATTTATATATATATATAATTTATGTGATCTTTTGAAGTTACTTTTAAAATATAAGGTGCCCAGGCACAGTGGCTCACGCCTGTAATCCCAGCACTTTGGGAGACCAAGGAGGGTGAATCACGAGGTCAGGAGTTTGAGACCAGCCTGGCCAACATGGTGAAGCCCCATCGCTACTAAAAATAGAAAAAAAATTGCTGGGCATGGTGGCAGGCGCCTGTAATCCCAGCTACTCAAGAGGCTGAGGCAGGAGAATCGTTTGAACCCGGGAGGCGGAGGTTGCAGTGAGCCGAGTTCGTGCCACTGCACTCCAGCACCGGCAACAGTGTGAGACTCCGTCTCAAAAAAATAATAACAATAAAATAAAATATAAGGTAAAAAAACAAAAAATGTTATGCTTTTTCCCCAGTCTACTATATGTAGATAGACCCTGGACTACAGAGTTGAAATGTCATGGGGGAGGGAATTTAAATAAAAAGCACTTAGCAAATACATAACAGTAGCAATTTATCTAAATTTCCTGAGCTATCCCCAAACCTTCTTGTACTCAGTAAAATTTTTAAAAATTAACAGTGTTTCCTACTTGCCCTTCAAAGCAGCGAACAGGACGCAATATTCAATTAAGTCTCATGTCTTCATTTCTGGAGGTTCATTTTCCTGACAAGTCTGGTTTTCAGGAAAGATAATCTATAAAAAAGGATTCTTTGACCCAGCTCCCATTCGGACACAGAAATAATGGTCCTTGTTTGTCAGGGAACCATGAAGAAACGAATCAATAACTTTCATAAGGTTATTTTAGAGTGCAATTCTTTCCCCAAGTGCCCTTCTTCAGACAGCTTAGATAAACAATACCTTTTCTATTGGTTCTCAATTTAAAGTTCATGTAAAGCTCCTCATCCTGTCCCAAATAAAAAGGAGCAGAGGACACTTACCGCTAAGAAAAGATGTGAGACTTTGTATTTACATTAAATTATCTCCTTTCAGGAGGAGCAAATACAGGTTAATTAAAAAACAAAATTGTGATCCACTTCCTGTTTGAGACCTATTTCAAAGGCTTGTTTCATATAATACCCCCTTAAGGAGTTTCTTGTTTTACACATCAAAAACCTAAGCAGTTTCCCATTTCAGCATCCTGGCATGATTAGCTTGTACCTGATCTCCTCCTCCAGCTGTCTTAAAATGATAAACCTGAAGACATAGCTATAAGAGTATCAACTTGTATACAGAAACAACAGCATGAATCACAGATGAAAAGATTGCTGCTAATTATAGCTTAAAAATGTCTTTGTGCAAGAGACCCTCAACAACATAGTAAGTTAGCATCATGCTTTGGTACAGAAGTCTTAGAATAGTGTGGTGCCAAGGGTGGAGGTAGGGAGACGGAAAGAAAGGGACAAGCTGCCTCCAAGTGCTTCCCAGGTCCTCCACATACTCATGATGGTACAACTTCTCACAGCGTCCTGTGAAACTGACATCATGACTCTGATTTTATAAATGAGGGAATAAGGTGTGAAAAGGCAGAGTGAATTGTCCAGAGCTCAGCTATTAGGAGCTAATAGGAGCGGCTAGATCTGGGATTCAAACCCTGACTTTTTTTTTTTTTATTCTGTGCTGTTATCATATAATATCAATAACAATGCCTTATATTGTACAGCAGTCTTACCATTTCAAATCTCTCTTACTTCTACTCTCTGACTTTAACAGACTACCCAGGCAGGACACACTAGGGCAGTGCTGCCTACATTTACAGATAAAGGGACTGTGAAGCTTAAGGGACTTACTTGCCCAATATGTTTGCATGCCTGCAACAGCATACTCCCACCCTTCTTAATCTAACTTCCACACATCCTCCAGGTCTCAGCTGAAATATCACTTCCTCAGATTAGCCTTTTCTGCCTCCTTAACCAAGTAAATATTCCACTACCTCATGTCTCAAAGCTCCACCTGCTTCCACAAAGCCAGGCTTAGTCCTCTAAGTTTTGTTTTACAAAGAAAAAAAAAAAAAAAACAAGGACAAAGAGGGCACCTCTGGGTCCCAAATTCTTTGGCATTTTCACCTTTTTATTTCTTCCTAAAACCTTTGAGATAGATTTTATCATCTCCATTTTACAGATAAGGAAACCAAAGTTCAGAGAGGTTAAGTAATGTCCCAAAGTTTGTAACTGATGGTATTAATGCCTATATTTCAACCAGTGTCCATCTGATTTCAAAGCTTATGTTTTTCCCACCAAACCCACCTCCATACCCACAGGCTTGGTTTATGAACATAGGTCATATACCACACTAAGTCAGGTAGCAATGCTAAAATGGTACAATAGGCAAACTTGAGTTCAAACACAAGTTCATTTACTTCTTAGCTTTAGGACTCCGCACAAATCTCTTAGCTTTTCTGAGTCTCTGTTTCCTAATATGCAAACTAAGGATAAGATTGGACTCAATCAGGTGACAGTAAAGATGAAATAAGTTAATGTACTTGTATTACCACAGTGACTTGTCCTTAGAAAGTACTCGATAAATGTTAGCTATGAGCTCGGACACTTGCCACAATCTAAGCCTGTTGATCACGATATTTTCGGTGACAGAGGGAGTAGGTGTAGCATTTAGAGCTATAGAAAATCCCTGCTGGAATTTCCAGCTTCCAAGATAAGAAGAAGATAACTTTTCCATTGCTTAAATGTTTGTACATATTCCACTACTGAGTGCTATAGAAACTATACTTCTAGAGTAGTACACACACATACACACACAAAATAGGATATCTTCAAAATATAGAATAAAATAAAATACCCAGAAAATGTGCTCCTCTTCATTCCAAATTCTGAAGCAATAGAAATACAGGCTGAGTTCTGTAACTGTCTGTTGTTTACACCCAGTTTTCCACTTGTTCTAACATAATCCTGTAATAGTGAGAGCCTGATCTAAGAGAACCCCTATGATAGATTAACCATTATAAATTCCTAGAGATGTTAACCACAGAAATTCCATTATGAGTAAAACATGTGCCTCATCTTTCCACTTTAAGTAATCCAGATATTAGGGAGACTTTACTGTAGCTTAAGCTTATAATTTCTTTCTTTCTCTATTAATTCAGCTCCCAGAGACTTCATTTCATATTCCTAAGGGAAATGGGGGAAAAAAGTAAACATTCAAAATGTTTGCACATGAAATTAAATTATAGCTACACCATTATCTCTCATATTAAAATTATTTATTTTCTTGTCAACTTCCTCCACTAGATCATTATCATTCATTTTATAATTAGTTTTTGACTTTTCTCTCTCCCTTCCCAAGAGTAGGGACAATTTCTTTATATATAGGTAGCCTTGTATTCTTGTAGTGACTAAAACATAGCAGGCACTTAATGTTTTTGAATGAGTTGATGGATGGATAGATGGGCATATATTCTCAAATTTGGAGAATTGCTAACTATTTTATGATGTCATTGCTGAAAAGTTGGATACACGGATGACAGCATTAAGTTCAACATGCTGCCCTTGAAAATCCTTGCTGCTGCAGTAGCCACCTTCAATCTATGCTGTTTGAGATCTTGCCTTCTAGATTAATACATCAGTCAAGACCTTTGCTCTAAAAGTGCTTCTCTACTTCTGACTGAATGCCAGGCCAATTCTATTGTGATCTGGCATGCCACAGCTGTGTCATATCTTTTAAAGCTCTGCTGCATGTTCTCAATCCCTAACTCTTCCTCTAGCCAGCCCCTTGGCCATTTAAACTGGCCATCCACTAAATGGCTGAGTTGTACTAACACTCACATTCAATTAGGTAAAGCCACATCCTACTAAGTGTGTTTCTAAACCTGGCAGAGGCCCTGAGTTCAAGGTTTCATTGCCAGTGACTCAGCCTCATGATGTTAACCAGGTCTCCTACATGAGGCCATACCATCTCAAGAGGCATTTAAAAATTTGCTTTGAAGGCTGCTGGTTTAGAGGTGATTCTAGCATTTAATGAATAGGGGTCCTAAATTCTAGATGTCATATAATGAGTGAGACATAACTGCACCAAGAAAAAGTGTCCCACTTTCACATGACTTTCAAATGTCCAGACATTCATGTCAGTGAAAAATCTGATTATATATCCTAACTCTATTTTACACATAAACCCAAAGTACTTTATCATGATGTAATAATATACACTGAATTATCCAGGGACTTAACTAGTCAAGGAAAGGCTGTACTGTATTTTATTCAGAAATTAATGAAGATAATGAAAGACAATAGATACATATCTTGAAACATGTTAAATAACTACTAATATTTCCACAGATAACCAGTATCTACAAACGCAATTAAATGGAAATCCTAGAACACAAAAAGTCAAACAAATAAAATTAATTTTGCTTAACGGCAGACTGGCTATACCTAAAGAAAACAAGAATATAAGTCAATACAAAATATCTAAACTGAAGCAGAAAAAACCAAAAGGATAAAAAACACAGAAAAGAGCATTAGTGACACATGGAACATATTACAAAGTTCAACAAATGGGTGATTGAGTTCTAAAGACAAAATGACAGAAATGGGCGGAAACAAAATTTTTTTAAAATATGGCCAAGAATTTTCCAAAACTGAAGAAAAATACCAAGCCACAAATTCAAGAATTGCTATGAATATTGATCAGAATAATAAAGAAAACAACACCTAAGCACTTCAGAATAAGACTGCTAAAAATGAACAGCAAAGAGAAAACTCTTTTAAGCCACAGAGGGGTAGGAAATTATTTTCAAATAAAAATGCCAAAACTGATAGCTAACTTCTCCACACATTAAAAAAAAAAAGATGGAACTCAGAAGACAAATCTTTAAATTGCTGAATGAAAACAGTCACTAAGAATTCTATACCCAGCAAAAATACCTTTCAAGAATGAAAATGAAATAAAAATGTTTTAAATTAATAAAACTAGTGAGAATTTGTCACCTTCAGATCCAAACTAAAACAATACTAAAGGAAGTTCTCCAGGCAATAAGAAAATGACTCTAAATAGAAACACAGTAATGTAGGAAGAAATTTAGAATAATAGGGTAAATATATAGGTAGATCTAAATAATAACTATATAAAACAAAAATAATAACATCTGGTGGGATTTAACACATGTGTAAATACAAAATGCACAAAAACATGCAAGATAGGAGATGGATGAAAAAACGGAGAATTCAAAGGTTATAGTAATGGCTGAGAAGAGGTAAATACAATGTTTAACACAATGATTAACACATTGTAATATCTAGGGTAACCACTAAAGGAATAGTAAAAGTGTGTTTAACTAACAAACTAAGAATAATGAACTGAAATATTTAAAACATAATGGATTGATTCAAAGACAAAAAGAAGGGGAAAAATATACAGAATGGGAGTAACAAATAGAAAGCAAATAGTAAGGTAGATATAAACCTAATCAATAATTATAATGCAGGAACATGTTAAAAGATAAAAATTGTCAGACTGGATAAAGGCAAAGCAGTGGATCCAATAACATTGAGAGCCATTATTATCAAGTATGAACTGAATGTCTTAAAGAATAAATCCCAATATGTGTATTTATATATATTTATGCCTCATTCAAAATAGAATTTTAGACTGTAAATTCTTGAAGAATTCAAGGCATCAAGAATTTACTGAGGATCTATCACATGGTAAGCAATGTGGAAGATATAGATGAATACAGTCTAACCCAGATACGGAAGACTACAGCCTGGTCCTTTACATCTGCTCTTGAGCTGGAAATATAGTTAAAGAAGCAAGACTTCTGAAACAATTAGGGAACAAAGCAAAATAAATAATTAGAGAGGGAACATACTATAGAAAAAGAGCCGTGGACTGGGAGTCAGAACCTGGATTCTGGCCCAGACTTGGCCTTTACCAAGCTGGGTAAACCAGACAAACCGCCTCCCTGGGCCTCTGGTTCCTCCTCCATGAAACTTAGAGATTAGCCCACATGGTCCATAATCTTGAGATGGATTGCAAACTCAGGTAACTCTGAGTTCAAATGTAGTTCCCTAACTTAACAATTCCAGAACCATAAGCAAGGTAAGTATCTTGACCAAGCCTCCATTTTCTTTTTCTTAAAAAGAACAAAAATAACAAAATCAATCCTAGAGGAATGTCAGGGGGATATATCAGATAACACATCTGAGATTCCTTAGCACCATGCTCAGCACTCAAAGGGTAGAACAGAGGCTCTCAGACATCCATCCTCAGACCTTTCCTGTGCTCCAGACACATCCTATATGACCTGTTTCTCAGAGAGGTCATCAATGTACACCCCTGCATGGAATTTGTAAAGCAATTTATCATGCACTGGATTTCTTCCTTTGCATGCATTTCAGTATATGACCACTACTAATGCGCAAACAAGTTAGAAAGGGTACCTTTCAAAATATGATATCCATAGAGACACTGCTTTTTAAAAATCAAACACAAAAATCTCCCAAGCCACATTTTAAAATGTCATTACAAAAGTTATATGCCAGCCAGACACAGTGGCTTATGTCTGTAATCTCAGCACTTTGGGACGCTGAGGGAGGAGGATCACTTGGGCCCAGGAGTTTGAAACCAGCCTGGGCAACATAGTGAGACCCTATCTCAACAAAAAATAAATAATTAGCTGGGTGCCGTGGTGCGCACCTGTGGACCCAGCTACATGGGAAGCTGAGGTGGGGGGATTGCTTGAGACTGGGAAGTCGAGGCTGCAGTGAGCCATGATCACAGTACTGCACTCCAATCTGGGCAACAAAGTGGGACTCTGCCTCAAAAAACAAAAGTTATATGCCCACACACATCCTCATAGCTACTATTTACTGAGCAATTATTACATACACATATATACACATGTATATTATTGGTATAATATACATATTACATACATAGACATATTGCATACATACGTATGTATATTTATATGTGACATTGAATCCTCATAAAAATACTATGAAGTAGTTATTACCACTACTGTTTTATAAAACAAGAACATAAAGAACGTCTGGTCAGTTATCACACAACTGGTGAAGCCAGGATTTGAAAGTAGGACTGACTGGCGTCAAGGACCACGATCTTTCAAATGAAAAGTGATTCTGGTTTCAGGAAGAACAGCTTTCACCAGTTTTGAGCCACTGATCAATAGATCTAATTGACTTTGGCTGCCACTATTACCTATAGCCTGTCTTTTTTCAGCTGGTAAGGATTTCTGGGAGGGAGGGAATCAGGGATCCTCAAGGGCGGCCAGCCCTGTCTCAGCAGCCTGACTCTCAATATCTTCCTAAGATCTTAAGTTTCTAAGGAAATAAAAACAGTTTCTCCACTGGAAATGTTTTAGGAAGCTTTCCATAAAGGCACATGACATAAAATAATAATAATAATATAGTAACAAAACTGTACTACACAACACTGTTCAAATCAACCTCTTTCATTTTGGCAAATAGGAAGTGTATAAGAATTGCTTAGCTGCTTCTATTTCCATTTCTTGGGTTCAAAGTAGAAATATTATGGAAATATAATATTAAATGTAATATTATAGAAATCTAATTTCTAAGTCAGAGATAATAAATAGGCTTTATCACACATGCCAGCCCTGGAAATAGTTATCTGAAGTGCTATGTTGAGGAGGATTCTGAAGCTCTGTTTGGCAAGTGAAATGGGAAAGATTACCATTGTCTGTGCAGGCTCAGGGTTAAGCTGAGAAGAGGAATGGAAGTACCTATACCATATGTTCCCATGTACTAAGCCAACATAATCTACCCTAAAGTGTTGTTCACTACTGTCATTAGATTAATGAATTAAAGTAGAAAGAAAAGAAAGCTGCCTGGGCCAAAACCACCAAGATGATCAAATTAAATGGTAAACTAATCATTGACATTTTACTTTCCTTATTTTTCCATTAAGCTATTCAACTCTTTACAGACATGTAAACCTTTCCTCATTCATAACTAGTTTACAAAATGGGCTTCTGTTCTGCATCAACTATTTTTCCAAGAACACCCTGGCATGATGGGCCACAACTGGCATGTGAATTCAGCATCTTCACCCCCAGGGATGTGGATCCCATCCCCATTCCAAACCAAGAGGAAATTAACTGCCAGGGATGCGGAGCCCATCCCCATTCCAAACCAAGAGGAAATTAACTGACAGTTCTGATGGGAATGACATACTGACTCAGTACTCAGACCAAGCAATCCACTCCCGCAGTCAGCAAAATACACACCGGTTGTATTCTCTAACAACACAAAAATGCTTCACTCGATTTGCTTCCAGCCTCACTGTTTGCCAGGAAGCCACCGAAAAGAAGCAGGTATCAAGTGTCTCAGAGGAAGACCCTCCCAGGGTTCATTGTTAAATCCAGAGGCAGAACCCAGAGCAATTACACTTCTGGTACAATTACCAGCATCACCCACTCCCTGCCAAGTGAGGAGGCTTGGCAGCTGAATAATACAGCTTTCATTTTACATTTCCAATCCAATTAGCTGACAGTACTAGTCAATTGGCTGAATAAAACAAAATGCAGCGGAAGTTGAAAGGCCTCTATGTGGTTTGCAGAGCTGTGCCTTTGAGAACAATGATAAGATGAAAGGGACTGAAAAGCAAATTAGGAGACCCACCGCAACAAAAGAGCAGGCTGCAGACAACCCACAGGTGGGATGGATGGTTTAAATGGCGCGTCAGAGATATTTAAGCTTACCACCCATCCCACCTACTGTTTGTTTTACTAATAGCAAGAAAATTAAATTGCCACCCCTGAACTTACTCACTGCCAGGTCTAGCTGGGACTTATTAGCATCGCCAGCATATACATGCAAAGGCAAACATTCTCCTAAGAACTTTTAGCCTTTCTTTCTGCCCTGCAGTCAACATTTACGGAGAAGTCGCTGTGTGCAAAGCCCGACTAGTGGTTAGGAGCTGTTACGGAAATAGAAGACAATGAGTTTCTGGGGAAGTTCATGGGCTCATCGGTGAGATGAAATGCACACGCATGAAATAAGCAGGAGACCACACAGTGGACAGCAACGGGAGAGGGGGGCAGCAAGCAACTTTGAATAACTGGACCATGAAAACTTGCTGACCAGTGCCAGAATCCTAGTGAATCCCACTGTGGTGTTCCAATAGATTCCACAGGAGTCCTCCCAAATTCTGGCTTGATAACTCCGTAACTCTTCCAGAGCTGAGCAGAATCAACCAGTGCCTTGAGCCCATTAATACATAGTCCAGATTGAACCAGGGCAGAGCTCCAGGGGGGCAGAGCTCCACGGCTCTGCCCTGCTCACCTGTATTCTTCCAGACCTTATACGAGGCTAATGACACCCACTGTTAACAGGGAAAGTTCTATCTGGTCACACTGAGGATAAACCTGAGACTTCCAGTACGGTTGAGGAATGATTCCATTAAAGACAGAGTGAACACTATAATTTGTTTCCTAGGCTTCATCCAAAATATACTATTTCAGTCTTTATTCATTTTTGGCCCCATGACTGACATACAATATGGGACTTACAGGGGTGTTGTGACCTTGTCCAAAAGCCTCATGTCAAATGTAGGAAAGAGGAAGTATTCATTAGCAAAGCAGGGTTTGCTGCAAAACTCTTTGTAGGACAATATGTCCCTGAATCACACTGTTCAACACACACAAGGTGGTTTAATAAGAGCCCCTTCTAAAAATGGGAGGACGGTGAGCCACACAATGCAAAGAATGAAATGAAGCTTGGCAAGGATCCATGTATATTTGTAGAAAATAACAGTATTTGGAGAATGAGGGTCCCTTCTAAGGCATACCAACTGGTTTATTTCTGAGATAACAGTTAGATCTTATAAACATGGAAAATGGCATCTTACTTAGATGATCTGCATAAATAAAGACAGAACATATGCAAATTTTTTAAAGTTTCTAATACATATGCCAAAAAACCCTCGGGTAATTCTACTTCAACTATCAATTAATCAGCCCAGAAGTTGTTTACCATCAAGTTAGCTTTGTGTACGTACAGTATTTATAATAAGTAAAGATGTTTTACAGAGGAGGAAAAAAATCTTACAATACTAATGGAGAACATGAAAGAAATTTGATATATTTAGCCTTTATAATAAATTCTATATTACCATTTCTTGAGTTAAAAAACATAACTGGTTATGTATTATTATTATTATTTTGAGAGAGTCTGGCTATGTCGCCCAGGCTGGAGTGCAGTGGCGTGATCTCAGCTCACGGCAATCTCTGCCTCCTGGGCTCAAGCCATCCTCCCACTTCAGCCTCCCAAGTAGCTGAGACTACAGGTGCACACCACCACATCTGGCTAATTTTTGTATTTTTTGTAGAGACAGGGTTTTGCCATGTCACCCAGACTGGTCTCAAATGCCTAAGCTCAAGCCATCTGCCCGCCTCAGCCTCCCAAAGTCAGTTGTGAGCCACCATGCCCAGCCTGTATTATTTTTTAATAAACGTGTTAATTTCTTTAAAAAGAAAGAAAAAGAAAAAAATGCTACTAGTATTCTTGAAATTTTCATAGTAACATTGATAAGAAATGTCTGTATTCTTGAGATGAGCTGCTAAATAAAATGGCTAGAGAGAGAGTAGGTACAATCAAAGGCTGCTCTAGTCTCACACCTTCAGATTAGAAGATTTACTGTCTGAATGGACTGTAATATTTTGTTGCTTTGATTGTTCTATTAATGAAATTAGATTATACAGAACATGAGAAATTTTCTCCATTTGGTTCCTTTTCCACAATACAGAAAAATCGCCACTACAGGTAAGAACAAGACTGTAGCTATACTCATAGTAGACAACATATTTTTTTAGAACTGCCTGGACTTGTCTCAACCTCGACATTGTGGGCCATTTGGTCTCTTGTAACTACTCAACTATGTAAACTCAACTTTGTCAACGTTGTAGAGAAAAAGCCACAGACAGTATGTAAATAAATCAGCAGGTCTATGTTCCAATAAACCTTTACTTGGGGGAACTGACATATCATTTTCATGTGTCACAAAATACTTTTATGATTTTTTAAGCCATTTAAAAATGTAAAATCCATTCTTGGCTGAATTTGACCAGCCATAGACTGAATTTGGCCCACAAGCTATAGTCCATGAACGTCTAATCTACTGCATCAGAAAAAGCAGAAGAAAATGTGAATCAACAAAATAGATTGTGTCTGTATCATTCAAAGGGATAAATGAGGGAACAGTGTTAAAGATTCTGGTCAATTTGGAGATGATAAAATGAGAGGAGTCTTCAAAGAGTTAATCATCTACTCCAATCCACATCACTACTGCCCTCTGACTCTTGAGCCTGCTGATAAAATTCCAGCTCCTGTTCCTGTCCTTGAGCTGTACTAGAGGATATGGGATGAGCAAGACTGTCATCTCCTCTGTCGGTGAGAATGATGGGCCTTCATTACCTGATTCTAGACTGAAAAGAAAAGTATTAGTACTTGGATACCTGCCTATCACAGAGCAAAACAAGTTTTTTTCTGCAGAGAAAACAAAAGGAACTAACTTCTGCCAATGAAAAAAACCTTCATGAAATATATTATCTATGGAGTGGCAGCAAAAATAGGCCCAACAAAATGTTAAGTTCCAAATTTGTAGCAGCAAGGCAATTACTTATCCTGACATCTTAAGTAAACTCTGGAGAAAACTCAACCTTCTCAACAAAGTTTATTATTGTTTCTCAAGGATGAAACAGGTATCTTACACAAATATATTTTAAATTCAACATGTTATTTAGATGCTTAATCAATCTGGTCTGGCAGGTGGCTCTTTTCAAAGCTTTTTTAAAATACACTTTTGTTTAGTAATATATACTATCTGTCCTAGAAACTGGCTGATATCTACATTACACATGATCAATTGTTGCTATGTCTAAAAGAAAAAGCAATTAGGAAATATATTATTTGTGGTTCTACTTCCACTGTTTATAAGCAGATAATACATTTTTTGTTGTCTTAAAAAAGTTTTAATATTTTTATTTTCTAAAATAATAGGTCTTTGGTGTGAAATAAAACATACTCATGAAAATTCAAATAGAATTCATTTGCTAAAAGACAAAAATGGCCTTAAATGAGGTAGAACTTCATTCTTAAGCAAATAAGTAATTCAGTCTGATAATAGATGTATAAGTAGGGCTGCAATTCACTGATATATTAATAGATCTTCCCTAATAAGAACATTAAATAGCATTTGGTTTATAGCATGAAAAAATAAAATTATCTCCAAGATGAGAAAGAAAAAAACCAGCAAAAGAATGTAATTACCATAGAAGCATTTCCTGAATTATACTGGAGCTGAAATCCTCTATTAGGGAAAATGAACCCTAAAATACACCATGTTCCCTCTATAAGAATAGAAAGAAATGTGTCTTTTGTAAACTTCAAGGTCATCTTTTGTGAATTGAAAGGATAAAGAATTTGTTTTAATGATCATTTTCTAAGAAATATCACATTTTATATTTGGAAAATCACACAGAGAAGGCAGACTCAGAATATTTGGATGCAAGCAAACTACATGTGTCACCTTCTCACTAATCTCCCAAACAAATTGGTTTCTTGTCCTCTCCCACAGGTGACAAGTGGGTGGCTCTGGGTTTGGAACAGTGCTGGATCAACATTTGTTTCAGTACCTCTGGGAAGACTGGTTTGACTGATTCTGGGGCTAACTCTCTGCAATCTCAAGAGTAGGGCCAGAATGACAGTGGATCCAAACATTCTACAGAGTAATTCTCTCAGATCTGCCATTAGACAAGATCCAGGAGCTAGGTCAGAACCTAGGTTTCAATCAGATATCATACGACAAACAGTATGCACTTGATGATCCATGTCCACACAGTCTGCAACTGTCCACTCCTGGCTTGGTGATGCAATGCTCACGTAATGAACTGTATTGAACTTGGGAAATGCATAGTCTACTCTTCTCCAATTCAGAATAGGTTGAACAAATCACAGCACATGTGAGCATATTTCCAGATATACCCCAAACTTTCTACCCTCTATGCACAAAAAGAGAGCTTTAGGGTAGCCTAGTGTGCTGTATTTCAAGCATAGACCCTTCTGAGATAGTTCCCCTCTCTCTGTGTGTGTATTCTCCAAAATCAATCAGATTTCTTAAGAGTCCAAGAGAGGAGAAACCAGGATGGACAGAATTATCATACTTCATTTGGTAAAATATTAACATAAATACAACTTGTGTGTGTGTGTGTGTGTGTGTGTGTGTGTGTGTGAGAGAGAGTGAGAGAGAGAGAGAAGGGAGAGAGAGAGGAAGAGAAGAGAGGAGAGGAGGGGGGAGGGGAGGGGAAGGGGAGGGGAAGAGAGGGGAGGGGAAGGGGAGGGGAAGAGAGGGGAGGGGAAGGGGAGGGGAAGAGAGGGGAGGGGAAGGGAGGAGAGGGGAAGGGGAGGGCAAGAGAGGAGAGGGGGAGGGGAAGAGAGGAGAGGGGAAGGGGAGGGCAAGAGAGGAGAGGGGAAGGGGAGGGGAAGAGAGGAGAGGGGAAGGGGAGGGGAGGGGAGGAGAGGGGAGGGGAGAGAAGGGAGGGGGAGATATCTTGTAGGTTCATGAGTTAGAGGGAATAGGAGTTTGCCATAGCTACCGTCCATTGAATGAATGCTGAAAATCTGGCACAGTACTGGGGAAAATTATTCATAAAAATTGCAGTGAGCGACAACTGCCAACAACAGATTTTGCAGGCCTTGAGGAAGTGACTTAAGAGCTAACAAAATAAAAATAGGTATAAGCAGACTAAACATGGGAGATGAGGAAAGCAATCTCTTATCTCCAAAATGAATCTTTAAGCTGTCCACATCTCTTGGGCTCCTCTGACACCTCTGGTCCAGGGCACTCTCACCTCTTAGCTGGGCTGAAGCTCTGGCAGTCCCGCACAGAACAGTCCTCTTCCAGACATGCCCCCCAACAACTTTGCCTACAGCAACCAGATCATACCATTCTCATATGTCATGGTTAATTTTATGTGTCAATGTGACTGGGCTAAGGGATGCCCAGATACCTGGAAAGTATTCTTTTTGGGTGTATCTGTTAGGATGTTTCTAGAAGAAATTAGCATTTGAATGAGTACACAGTAAACAAGATCAATGAGGGAGGGCATCATCCAATCCTTGGAGGGCCTGAATAGAACAAAAAGGCAGAGGAAGGGCAAATTCTCTCTCTCTCTCCTTCAGCTGGGACATCCAGCTTCTGCCCATACCAACCAACTCCATAATAAATCTCCTATCTATCTATCTATCTAGTTATCTAGCTATCTTTTATTGGTTCTGTTTCTCTGGAGAACCCTGACTAACACATCATCCTAAAAACACATCAGTGTAATCTCACTGACTAAAAAAACTTAAATTTCTCATCAGGTCTGCCAGGCCCCTGACTTTGCTCCAGTCTTATCCCCTACGTGTCCTTAGTCATATTGGTCTTCTAGCATCTCCTTGAAAATACTCTCCTGTGGCCATAAAGGTTTCTTTTCTCTGACACAGTCTCTCCCTTCTTCTCCTGACCCACTTCCTCTCACTCTTAAGATTCCACCTCCTCATCCAAGTCTTCCCTGACTACTCTATCCAATGTAGGCCCATATTATTCTCTATCATGGCTTTCCATTTCGCTTCATGGCACTAAAAACAACTGGAAACCATTCTGTTTACATCTGCTTCACTCCCTGGAAGATAAG
Organism: Homo sapiens; assembly: GCF_000001405.40. Classification (NCBI taxonomy): domain Eukaryota; kingdom Metazoa; phylum Chordata; class Mammalia; order Primates; family Hominidae; genus Homo; species Homo sapiens. The sequence goes on along the minus strand of NC_000004.12, from coordinate 78,216,652 downwards.
GCCCTAAAAGTAAGAACGGTTTACTGCTGAACTGCCAGGGCCCACAACTGCAGATATCTGTGGAATGAGAAAATAAACTATGACCTGTTCCCCTCTGCTTCTCTATTATCCCTATTATCTATAACAGTGAGGGTTTCCAAGAAATAGATCACTCACCAAAGAATATATTCTTAGTTGGCTCATTCATGAAATCATTCCCTTATGCATGTATTTATGCACTGATTTAATCATTTATAGTGAATATATGTTGAGCCACTACTAAGTTCAAACTATGGAAAGAAATGCAGCAAAAGAGATATGGGTTGTGCATCTTGACCAAAAATACAAAGAATAATAGTTATATTCATCCATACTGAGTTAATTTAGGTGGGTACATGGGCCAGATATTTGCAAGAGAAGCATTCTAGGGCAAATCTAGACAAGCCTGACGTCTAAACCATTTCATGGGAAAGAACAACTTTTTGTTTCCCTTCCATTTAATTTTACTGTGTTCATTCATTCACTGATTAATAAGTATCCACTAAGCACATTCGATGTCCCAAGCACTGTGCCAAGTGGTGGCCACAGATGTCAGGGAAAGAAAAAGCCCAGGATCTGTAAGAAATGACATAGTATTACAGGTTCTACAATAACAGGCTAGGAGAGGACTCAACCAATGAAAGATGCCAAAAATAAGAAGAAGCACTAAATTCCAGAATAGGGAAATCAGTTTTCACTAAAAAATATTTTATGCACACCCACATTCATAGCAGCATTATTCACAATAGCCAAAAGGTGGAAGCAACCCAAGTGTCTGTCGACAGATGAATGGATAAACAAAATGTAGTCAATACATACAATGGAATATCAATCAGCTTAGGAAGGAAAACTCTGATATATGCTCCAAATTGGATGAACCTTGAGGATATTAAGCTGAGTGAAATAAGCCAGTCACAAAATGACAAATGCTGTATGGTTCCACTTATATGAGATACCCACAGTAGTAAAATTCATAAAGCGAGAATAGAATGGAGGTTGCCAAGGGATTGGGGAAGAAGGAAATAGGGAGTTGTCTAAAGGATACAGAGTTTCCATTTTGCAAAATGAAGAGTTCTGTGGATTGGTTGTACAACAATGTGGATACACTTAACACTGCTGACCTGTACAGTTAAAAATAATTGGCCGGGTGCGGTGGCTCATGCCTATAATCCCAGCACTTTGGGAGGCCAAGGCAGGCAGATCACGAGGTCAAGAGATCAAGACCATCCTGGCCAACATGGTAAAACCCCATCTCTACTAAAAATACAAAAATTAGCTGTGCGTGGTGGCATGCACCTGTAGTCCCAGCTACTTGGGAGGCTGAGGCAGAAGAATTCGTTGAACCCAGGAGGCAGAGGTTGCAGAGAGCAGAGATCACACCATTGCACTCCAGCCTGGCGACAGAGCAAGACTCCATCTCAAAATAATAATAATAATAATAATAATAATAAAGATGGTAAATTTTATGTCATACGTATTTTACCACAATTAAAATTTTTTTAAAACAAACATTTTATAGACCAGCGTCAAGTTACACAGTATGGCTGAGATAGCCATCAGGTGTACCCCAAACCTCATTTCTCTCTGCATCTTGACACTTAGCATCCAGAAAGGCAGGTTTACTGATTGGCCCCTGATTGACTGCTTTAGAGATCGGGGGAAAGACACCTTTGACATAGTCATTAATCTGCAGGAACACAGACTATGGTCCTAGATCATAACAACTGGGAGGACAGCCTTGGTGCAAAGAAGGCTGGTTTTTGTCCCCTAATTCCATGACAAGGGCCCCTCAGTTCATCCAAGGTTGTCAAGATAGGACTGGCTAGTAATGTTCTGTGCATGGAGACAAATTAAAATAAACAGCCAGCAACAGCCAGGTAAAGCTGCACAACTCACTTGCCCACAGTACAGGGCTGTTTTTCTCAGTTATGAATGAGTAAATTAATTGGCTTTGGCACAAGCAACCTATTGGCTTGAGGGAAATTTCTGCTGTAAAATCAAAAACACTTTTCACAGGCAGATCTCAATAAATCTGAGAGGTACCCACAAACTGTGCTGTTTTTATCAAGATGTATGTAGGATGTTCAGATACAATGAAGGATTTGCTTTAAAAATTTCCAGCTAAAAAATTAAAAATGGGAAAGGCAGATGAAGGAAGACTGGCAAATGTTAACAGTTCTTGAAGCCAGATGAAGGTTACATGAGGTTCATTATACCATTCTCTCAACTTCTGTGTTTGCTTAAACATTTTTCAAAAGTTGATTTATGTGTTAAATGTGCATGTGGCAAAACAATTTATGACAGGCTTGTTGATAACTTCAAGACAGATACAGAATTTAGATTATTCCTAATCCAACCACATACTATCAAGTTAAGCAAGAAGATTTATGACAGATAGAACATAACAGTACCTTTGCCTAAACAAGTCATAGAACACAAGTGTACTGGCTAGGAGATGGAGCAAGATTTAAGAAAGGAGACATTTTTACCCTTTTACTACTCTGCTGTTTTCAGCTACATCAATCCAGTCTATAAAAGGAGCCACAGCAGAAAAGTCAGCTCCTCCCACCAAATTCCCCAGAACCAACTACTTTCCCGAAGATGCACAGACCTTATTCCCGAGTTCCAGCTCCGTGCTAAATTCAGCGGCAACCATAAATAATGAACCCACCACCTATTAAAGTTATCTGTGCACATTTGAGACCCAAGAATTATACACATGAGTGTTTCTAACTTGAAAAAGCACCCTACTTGTAGGTGACTAACTTTTGATCTTGGGAAGTTACAGAGGTGATGACCAATGAAAACTGAACAAAAGCAATAGAGGAAATGGTTTCCTGCCCAAGAAGAGCGCTCAGTTAGTGTTTGCAGAGTTAATGAATTTAAAAAATTATTTAAAGCCATTTTGGGCAACTGTCTATCAACTTCTTCCTCTCTGTAGTCTCCATATTTGATACAGAATCCAGTAAAAAAAAAATCACCCTTTAAGGGTCCATATTCTCCTAGCAGTCAAGTATATCTGTTATACATTTTAATAATATTTATCCAGATTACAAAAGCTCTATGTGCTTACTCCAGAAAACATGGAAAATAAGACATGAAAAAAGACCCCAAAGAACTACTGTTATAATTTGGTTTCCTCCACTTGTGTTTTATAGAGACAGACAAGAAAGAAATGATGTCCCAGCCTCTTTTGCTGCAAGTGTGTTTACCTGACTGCATTTTGGCCAACGGCCAAGTCAATGGAAATATCGTGTGTAACCTTTGGGTCATGCCCAAGTGGAAAGCACTTGAAGGAACGACAGAAGGAGGAGAAATATGTTCATGTTCTGCCCTTTCCCTTGCAATGCAAATGGGGGGACAAACCTTATTGATCATGCAACCTTGAGGGATGTATGGATCTACAAAACAGAAGGAACTTGGATCTCCAAAATTGTGGAGCCACATTCTAATCATGGTAGGCCACTTAGATCTCTCCCTTCAGGATGGAAATACTCCTTCTTCTCCCAGCTGCCAGGATTGTGGGGTAGGAATTGCTCTTGGCTGAAGGGGTCTGTGTCCCACGATATTATTTCTCCCTGGATCAGCCTGCATCCAGAGACTAGTCCATAAGGAGGTGCAAAACCCTGGCTCCCTTGCCTAGATGCACGGCCAACTAGGAATCACCGTCCCAACTCCAGAGCTCCCATGGGATTGGCTGAAGCCTCTGTTGTGACTGTGTCACAATGCACCTTCTCTCTCTGCTCAACTTTGCTTCCCTGATACTCATAGTGTTTTCCCCAAGAACACTCTCCAATAAAACACTTATATATCAATTTCCATTCCAGAACTTATTTCTCAGGGAATTCAACCTTAGCACATAAGCCACTGTTATTTGCTCAGTCACAGTAAGTAGAATCAATATTTCAGTGAATTCAAGTACTCATTAGGTGCTAAGCTCAGTGTTGGAAATTCTAAGTTGACATCATACATTTGACCCTGTGAGTGTGTGAAATGTGGTATAGTAAAAGGTATGAACATAAGGAATAAATAAGTGCATTTATGGAGACATTTCTATCCCTAGGTTTGCTCCACACCACTTTCAAAGAAGTAAAAGTCAGGTTTGCTCCCAAATCCTAATATCCTTGAATTCCTATTCTCTGCTTGCCTTAGGACAGACCTTTATTGCCTTTGTGCAGATGATCTCTTCAGACTCACTTCTTTGATTTACCAGCCTCTCCCTTTCTTAAGCTCCTTTGACTTGGTTTTGGGGGTACATGCATAGTCCACATCTTCAGACAAGAGGCACTACTACCCTCAGGCCTACAGAAAGGGAAGACGATGCACAAAATGCAGCGAATGCAAGAGGAAGGAGGTCACAGTAGGTTCCACAGAGAAGGTAACATTTTAGATGAGACTTGAAGGACAAACAAGAATTTGCAAAGGTGACAATTTTCAAATTTTACATACTTTTTATAAGTATTACTTAGCCAGTATTCACTGCAAAATTATTCACAATGGCCAAAATGTGGAAACAACCCAAGTTTCTTCAACAGATGAAAGATGAATGAATGTGTATATATATACATACATATGCATCCAATGGAATATTAGTCATAAAAAGAAATGAAGTTCTGATACATGCTACAACACAGATGAACCTTGAAAACATACCAAATGAGATAAGCCAAACACAAAATGGCAGATCTTGTATGATTCCATTTCTAAAATATCTACAATAGGCAAACTTTGAGAGAGAGAAAGTAGATGAGGGGTTACCAGAGGCAGAGGGAGGGAGAGTGGAAAGTTACTGCTTAATGGTTACAGGGATTCTGTTTGGGATTATTTAAAAAATTGAGAAACATATAATGGTGATGGTTGCACAACACCATGAATGTGATTAATGCCACTGAATTACACAGTTAAAATGGCAAATTTTATGCTGTACATATATTACAACAATTTTTTTTAAAAGAGGGGATTACTTAATGTCAGAACTTTACTTGAGCTCAAGTCCAAGGAAAAATTTGATGAAGTGAAACAATTTCCCAAGCCCCTGGGCCCATGCTGGGTAGTCCAGGTGAAGAGCCCTTGGAAGGCAGCTAGAGGGTACAGGTGCTCAGACAAATGCTTGCCACAACATGGCTTTCCCCATGCCTTCTCCATGGATCTGTGTTAGCCCAATGAGCACATAAGTTCAAAGGCAGTATTTTAGTCATAGCCCCTTCTATTAGGGTGTCAGAATCAGCCTCCTGCCTCCCTGCTTTTTCAATGACAGTATATAAACTTTCACAAGTTGACTTCTTTTTAAAAATACATCGAAAGATGGCATTTCTCCATAAGGTAGATAGGTGCGCCTGTCTTCAGTGCATGGCTCAACAATACTTTTACACATTTAGACAGTGATGCAACCACCACCCAGGTTTCCATAGATAAACTTATCAACACCCAGAAGTTTCCTTCATGTCCTTTCCCTGTCTATAACCCACTCCCTTCTGAAATAACCCTTGCCCCGACATCTATAAATATTTATTAGTTATGTCATGCAATTACTTTCAAATGAAACTTCTCACTATAATTTAAGCACTTAGATATCCACACTGCCTTTCTTTGCCAACAATTACCATCCTTCCCTATGGGGAGGCCATGCTGTCCAACACCATACGCGCACCAGGAGGAGAATGCTCACACCTCAGTGAAGGGAAATGAAGCCTTGGTGGGTGCGGACATGGGGTGCCCATAAACTCCCCACATTGCACAACCAGGAAGAAAGTAGCTTACTGCTTCTTTGGAGGCACTGCCACCTAACAGGCCCTGTGATTTTATAACCTAACAACCATTGATTTCTGCCAGGAGCTCCAACACCTACAATTCCCCTGCTCTGTGATGATTGTATAGATATAGATAATTCACTTACCTTCTCTGTCTCAGATGCTGCCATACCAGGCAAACCTATTTTCCATAATTGTATCATCCTTCTCGTAGACAAGGGCAGGACAATGACACATGAGCCATCCCTATGGCCCCAACTTCTCAGGGCATGCAAGTATCCCTGAGATATGAAAAGCCTGGGGCAGAGGAAGGCAAAGCAAAAGCTGACACTCTGTGGAAGTCAAGAAAGCCCGAAAATATAACTGTCATTTATTACAAATCAGGGCACCTTCGTAAGAGATATGTGTCTACTCACTATGCACCAGACACTGTATTTGGTGCTGAGACTCCAAGTGATATAGACCTAGGCCTGATAGAGTCTGTTGGGAGAATGAACAGTACATTTAAACACAAAGCTTATCACAGTGGCTAATTTACATGCAAGGTGATTCATGCTATCACCAAGGTATGAGTGGCTTAGAATGAGAACACAGAGACCAGGGCCTTCAGCCCAGCTTTGGAGAAAAAGGCTTCTGGGAGGTGGTCCCAGATTAAGTCTTGGAAGCTATTAGATAGATTAAATAAAAGAGAGTTGTGAGGGCTAGGGAAGGGGGAAGGAGGGAGAAGCAGCTGTTCCAGGAAGAGGAAGTGCAGGAACACAGGTCCTGGGGTGTGAAGTGGAATAGCACAGTGTGCTGTGTGCTACCATCACATGAAGGATGAAGGGGACTAGCAAGAGATGAGGCAGGTAAGGAGCTCAGCAGAGGCTGGGTCAACAAGGATAAAGAGCTTAGGCAACTCTGCTATTTGAACCCCAGACAGGACACAGCCTGAGAACCGCAGGAACTCTGGCACAGGGAGCTAAAGAGCACAGAGTCAACGGGCTGTTCTGGCTTTGTCAGTTCATTTGAGAGGCAGGTCAACAGTAAAGAAGGTGAATGAAATTAGCCTCCTTGACGATTTACTTGGGATCAAATACTCCTTTTAATTAAGAGCAGTTATTTTCAAAGGTCAGTTTCAATATGATCCTGCTGCTATGACCCTTTCAATAATAGATAAGTTAGCCAGGGAGATCCTGACAGTTTAAGGATCTGCCCTCAGAACCACAGAACTGCACAAACCTCAGAGAAAAGGGCAGAAAATAGATGGCTCACTCCAACTGGGGACCCAAGGAAAGTATAAGATATAGACTATTGACAGAGGTGTGGGTAGGGTAAAGGAAGCCCCAGGCAAACAGAGATAGCCATTAGCACCACCAGGTCTGAACAGACATAAAGGAGAACAGTTCCAGAACCCAAAAGAGCTGTGGTCTTTTGGGGACAGAGGAAGCCACCCAACAGAGGGAGGGAGCTGGAGGAATAAATATCCCTACCTCATTCTCCTGCCACCCCCTAGTCTCCTGTGGTGTCTTCCATTGCTTACACCCAACAGGAAGCCAGAAGGGAAGGGGCCCACCAGTGCATGCAACCTCCAGGGTTAACTACTGAAGAGAGCAAACTCTATGTGGTGCTTTTGGAGCATGGACGTACATATATAATGGGTATAAAAACTACAATTCACTTTCCTCTTTTCAGTACGACCTAAACTAGGTATGGCTTTTCTGTAAAAAGAATCATACTTTGTTTTTTTTTTGTTTTTTTTACATGGGGTCTTGCTCTGCTGCCCAGGCTGGAGTGTCATGGCACGACCACAGCTCACTGCAGCCTTGACCTCCCTGGCTCAAGAAATCCTCCCACCTCAGCCTCCCATGTAGCTGGGACCACAGGCATGTGCCACTACACCTGGCTAATTTTTTTATTTTTTATTTTTTTGTAGAGACAGGGTCTCACTTTGTTGTCCAGGCTGGTCTCGAACTCCTGGGCTCAAGTGATCCACTCACCTTGGTCTCCCAAAGTGCTGGGATTACAGGTGTGATCTGATGCGCCCAACCCCTAGAATTCTATATTGTATGAACTTAGGAAAAGTTATGGAAGAATATGCTAAGTTTTAACGTCATCTTGAATACTTATTACAATAAGCATGTATTACTTGTGTGATAAATTATAATGTAGAAAAAGTTTAATATAAGTAAATAAACAATGAAGTTTTGAAAACCAGTTCTATTTATTTAATAATAAATAAAAATTTATTATTCCTGAGACTTTCCAAAACATTTTGCATTTCTCTAAATGTGTCCTTTATTTCCTGAAGTTTTGATTGTTTTTTATTTATGCTATTTCACTGAAGATTTCTCCCCTCATTTCTTGTATCATTTTTTTATTTCCTTAAATTCCACTTCACCTTTCTCTGTTGCCTCCTTGATAACTGACATTCTGAATTCTTTTTCTGGCGATTCACAGATTTCTTCTGGTTTGGATCCATTGCTGGTGAGCTAGTGTGATTTTGCGGGGGTGTTAAAGCACCTTGCTTTGTCATATTCCCAGATTTGTTTTTCTGATTCCTTCTTAATGGGTTGGCTATGTCAGAGGGAAGATCTAGAGCTCAAGGCTGCAGTTCAGATTCTTTTGTTCCAGGAGATGTTCCTTTGATGTAGTACTCTCCCCCTTTTTCTAAGGATGTAGCTTCCTGAGACACGAGCTGTAGTGATTGTTATCTCTCTTCTGGGTCTACCCGCCCAGTTGGTCTATCAGGCTCCGGGCTGTTAGTGGGGGTTGTCTGCACAGAATCCTGTGATATGAACCGTCTGTAGGTCTCTCAGCTGTGGATACCAGCACAGTATTTGCGGTGTCTCCTGGGTCCTGCAGGAGCTATCCACTTCCTTCAGAGGGTATGTGGGTTCCCTCGGCTTTTCTGGTTTATTCCTGCAGTAGTTCTGGAGCAAAGGTTCACAATGCGAGTCTCCACACACTGCTCTGTCTGTCCAAGTGGGAGCTGCAATCTAGTCCTGCCTGCCGTCTGCCATGATCAAAAATGTATCCATGAAGTCATGTCTTCATTCTAAAAGACCTGAATTGAGAAGGCTTGATGGTGCATTTTGCCTCATGTATTTACTCACCCTGCAAAGGACCTTGAACGCAGAGGAAAGAACACCAGATTGGAAGAAGTTATAGGAGCTTGATTTCTCAATCTCTAGTCCCGAGACCTGGATTCTTTTCAAACTGCTCCCTGTAACTTTGCTAATCACTTTAGCTCACTGACCTATTATAGTTTCTTGACAAGTGAAATAAAATAATAATATTTGCCTCACAGATGACTGGGAGGATTATGGAGCCTACTAGAAGCAAGTATCTATCATTACTACATCTCCCTCTTCCCCTTTAAAAACAAGAAATTTTAGATCAGTATTTCTACACTATTTTTGAAATATGTAGAGGTACCATGATTATACTTTTCTCATCTAAATGGAAAAAAGTACTTTGCTTTAAAAGCTTCCCTATATCTGTAGCCCTAAATATTCCTTATGAACTTTAATTTATCTGAGACAGCAATTTAAAAGTAATCACAGGTTCTAATTTAGTCTCAGATTTGGGAGTATTATAATCACTTTGGCAAGCCTGACTTCTGCTGCATTCTTATTCTCCTTGGATTAGTCTCCAAAAGAAAACAACAAAAGAAGAAGAAAAAGTTTTAATTGAAGTAGTGTAGGACATTCCATTTCATTTCCAGACTTTGCAAGGATTGTATTACAAGGCTTAATGGGTGGCTTCAGAAAAAAGTCCTTCCATTTCTCAATGAAGGTTTTAAACATCACAGTATTCACTGCAGTCCTTTGGTGATAACTATGCAGTTGGTCTAATTTTTCAAAGTAGCTTTATCTCAACTGATGCCTATTTTAGAAAGGGCTCCACCTGAGCACACCTCAGGATAACTAGGCCCTATTGCCCCCAGCCAGAATCTTTCAGAAAGGTCACAATCACCTGTGGCAGCAACTGATAAGGGTGGAACCATTTCCACAAAGGAAGCAGGAAATTCCCAAGAGCAGAAAGAGGGACAGCAGGTCCCAGGCTTTGTCTTCTACCCTATTAGGCTGGAAGTCAGGAGGCCAAGACTTTGCACCCAGTTAAGTCATCTATAAAATGGGTTCAACTAAAATTTCCCCAGGCCCCCCTGAATGCCACAATTTTTAGGATTCTTCCCAGCCATTCCTCTTAAAACGCTTAAATAAGTTCATTGTTCAGTTACCCTGATAAAGAAAAGATGAAATGTGAGGGAACATTTGCACAAGAGGTGTATTCCCACAAATATTACGTGAACTAATTTTTCTAAAGGGAAATAATATAACAACAATATTATAAAAACACCCTTAGGGATGGTACGGTTGTTTCCTAAGGCAGCTGTAATATATTACCACAAATGCAGTGGCTGAAAACACCAAAAAATGTATTATTTTATGGTCCTGGAAGTGAGAAGTTTGAAATTGGTTTAGCTGGGCTAAAGTCAAGGTGTCAGCTGGGCAGCTTCTTTCTTAAGGCTCCGAGGGGAGAACCTGTCTCCTTGCCCTTCCAGTTCCAAAGTGGCCCCCTCTATTCCTTGGCTCACGGCCCCTTCCTCCACCTTCATGGCACATTATTCCCGTCACTACCTCTATCATCACATCATCTTCTCCTCTGTAGTATAACTCCCTCTGCCACCCTCCCAAAAGGACCCTAATGATTACATGACTGGGCCCATCTGACTATCTAGGACACTCTAACTCCTATCTCAAGATCCTTATCTTAATTTCATCTGCAAAGTCCCTTTTGCCACATAAGAATTATACATGGTTCTATGTGATTGAGATATGAACAACTTGGGGCCGTTACTCACCCTGTCACAGGTAGCATGTTTGTGATTTTCAGTTTGAAAATATTAAGTTGTCCACTAACTACTGCCTTTAGAATTCTGCATACAGTGGATGAAAGGTCTGTCCAAGAACCCAACAGACCCTTTTCCTCTTCCTTCCTCAGGCTTCCTCTCAAGCAGGAGGGGCAGAGACTGCCCTGGGGAAACAGGCGTCATTCAGTTACAGTGAGAGGCCAGACTGCGGTGATGTAGTCTTAGCTGTCTGAGCCAGACCTGCCACAGCAAAGGCAGCAAAATGTGCCTTTGTTCTCTCCCCTCCCCTCTTCCTGCTGCTGCTCCCAGAGCCCCCTCTCAGAAAGGAAGCTTAGGTTTTAATCATCACCAGTTCTCCAGGCCACTGGGCCAGCTTTCTGCACTATTTTAAAATTTCTCTTTTCTACTCCCAACCTGATAGTTCAGCAGTAACTAGATTACACATTGGGTAGAGCTGCTGATTCGAGTAATTCACATAGAGATTTGAAAGAACATTTCTCTTTCAGAGAGATGTTTTATCACACTGAAAGAGTCTAGGCTGGACGCAGTTGCTCATGCCTGTAATCCCAGCACTTTGGGAGGTCAAGGCAGGTGGATCACTAGAGCCCAGGAGTTCAAGATGAGCCTTGGCAACAAAGTGAGATCCTCCCTCTACAAAAAATTAGCTGGGTGTAGTGGCACATGCCTGTGGTCTCAGCTACACAGGAGGCTGAAGCAGGAGGATTGCTTGAGCCTATGAACTCCAAGCTGCAGTGAGCCAAGATCACAGCACTGCACTCCAGCCTGAGCAACAGAGAAAGATCCTGTCTCAAAAAAACAAAACAAAAAAAAAAAAAAAGGAAGGAAAGAAAGAGGAAGAATCCAACTGGTTGGGATAACCACCCTTTTAACTGCTCTTCTCTTTTCAGTGGCGCTCCACCCCTTATCATTTATGGACTCAACATTACATCTGACTATTGTCAGAGACTCCTATTCCCACCTCAAGCTCCACCACCCAGCAAGTCCCCTGGAGCTTAGGAAACAGAGCAAAATGCAGATGCCCTTCATCGTGCATTTGGGGACTTCCTGAGCAGAGTCTCCTTAACAACTATGCCCTGCTGGAAACTAGTATCTTTTACTGATCCCCAAAAATATACGAAAAAAAGTGAAAAATGTAAGGAAGAAGACGTGGTTCAAAACATATCAAGTTGTGCTTAGAAGTTTCCCAAAATTTGCTTTCATTGTAGTGATGTCTTTTATTCTTTTCACTTAGAAACTCTAAATCAGACATAACATTTTGAATTTTAAAGAATACACAATCCAAATAGTTCAGAGTTAGTCAATGTAAATGGTCTTCTCCATATGGTGCACTTTGTGGACTATGAAAAGGAGGAAAAAATCGCTGGTAAAAGCCAGGGCGAGATTTATAAAGCTTCATGATAATGATCCCAAAAATCAGTCCAGACACTCACATTGGTTCTTGAAAATGAACCAAATAGCCCTTAAATCTCTTTGATAATTACGCCTTTAAAAGAGAAAGTTTTACTGTAATTTATTCCTTTAGTTAGCACTTATCTCACTCTATAATTGCAATCTCTGTATGAATGGAGATTAGCTACATTTACTTTGGGAAAGCACCACTCATTTTCTCTCAGGCAAAATGAAAGTCTTTCCCTGACAGTTCTATAACATGACTGCACAGTACTCCATTGTACAGATGTTTAGCTAGTCCATATAGAGCTGATTCTCATTATTCATGGTAGTTTCGTTCTAAAACATCACCACAAACACTGAATTAATAAATATTGAACCACTGCTCTTAGGGGAAATATAGGCTTGGGATTCCATGAGCCTCTGATCACAACATTTTCATCAACTGATCAATATATAACCTTGTTTTATGTGTGTTTCTACTTAAAGAACCTTATTTAATATATATTCTTAATTCATTAACTTTGAACTCATGGCCAACAGCACTATAATTCATGCCTAAATGAAGCTTACCTAACACAAGTGTTTGTAGGGCATATCACAGCCTTTTTGTACTCAGGAACACTAGACAGCCCTCTAGCACTATGTTTAGGGACAATTTTAAACAGTAAGATCACTAACAAAGATGTGAAAAGTTAGAGCACAAAATGGACCACAGAAAGGGCACTTGTTTACAGTAGGAAACAAGAGGAGGCCAGGTGTGGTGGCTCACGCCTGTAATCCCAGCACTTTGGGAGCCCGAGGCGGGCGGATCACCTGAGGTCAGGAGTTCGAGACCAGCCTGGCTAACATTGTGAAACCCTGTTTCTACTAAAAATATGAAAAATTATCTGGGCGTGGTGGCAGCCGCCTGTAATCCCAGCTACTCAGGAGGCTGAAGCAGGAGAATAGCTTGAACCCAGGAGGTGGAGGTTGCAGTGAGCTGAGATCACACCATTGCACTCCAGCTTGGGTAAAAAGAACGAAACTCCATCTAAAAATAAAATAAAATAAAAAAATAAAATAAAATAGAGAGAGAGAGAAGAGCTGAAACAAGAAGAAACAATGTCACTTTGTTAGACCTCAATTGAGAACGAGTGTTTCAAGAGACTCAAATTTTTCACCATGTTGAATATGACCAAAAATGGCCACAAAAGTGCCATGAGTATTGATTTGGGGGTTACAAACAAATTTTAGTTGAGTAGGTAAATTTGCAAATACAGAATCCACAAATAATGAGGATTGGCTGTACTTTTATCCCTCAGTTTCTTTATCCCTCAGTTACCTTTCAGTCCCTTGCTGATTCATTGAGAGGGCTCCCAGATCCTAACATGCACCCACACTTACCCCATTTTATCACACTTATTGCCTGGAAATAGTGTGATGAAATTCCCAATAGCTACAGAAGAAGCACTCAATTAACATTTGTTAAACAAATCGAACCAGTCTGAATTACCCTGTGGGAAGTTTTAGTCATTACTCCCAAAATTGGCATTATGAAATGGTCCTATTATTATTTTCAATACCCCAAGTACCAAGCAACACTTTTAATTTTTTTAAATGATAGCTTGGTTCATCCAGTATGTTCTGGAACATTCACATCCACAAATAAGAAAGCCCAGCTCACCACCCCATGCACAGTCAGAAGAGGGGGAGATGTGATGATCAAGAGGAGGGAAACCACAGCAAAGCAGAAGTATCCAAATCCTAGATCCTGGCCACAGGGCCAGTCAGTGCATAGATAGTGACCCCTTTACCTGAGGCAGTGCTTAACACGTGGGTGTGGGAGCTTGGGAGCTTGATAAAACATGTGGGTTCCGTGTTCCACACCAGACCAATTAAAACAGAATCCCAGAGGTGGATCCAGAAAACTGATTTTTTTTTTCTTTTGAGATGGAGTCTTGCTCTGTCACCCAGGTTGAAGTACAGTGGCACCATCTTGGCTCACTGCAACCTCTGCTTGCTGGGTTCATGAGATTATCCTGCCTCAGCCTCCCGAGTAGCTGGGATTAGAAGCGTGTACCTCCTTCCTCTACTAATTTTTGTATTTTTAGTAGAGATGGGGTTTCACCATGTTGCTCAGGCTGGTCTCGAACTCCTAACCTCAAGTTATCCACCCACCTCAGCCTCCAGAAGTGCTGGGATTACAGGCATGAGCCATGGCACCCAGCCCAGAAAACTGACTTTTAAAGAACTGAATTTTAAGAAGCTCCCTGTCGATGCTTATGCAAATCCAGGTTTGGGAGTCACTGCTCCATCCAGAGAGTGGGCTTAATGAGGGGGCACGAATTTGGAAAAGTTGAGAAATCAGGGGTTAAAAGTTCAATCCACTCATGAGCCAGGTAATGCCAAACCTCCATTTTCTCATCTATAAATATGAAGACAATATGATATTTAGTTTACAGGGTTAATCTACCATGACACTATTGACATTTGGGGCTGGATAACTGTCTGTGGTGGGGGCTGTCCTGTGCACAGTAATGTGTATGGCAGCATCCATTGCTTCTACCCACTAGATGCCAAAAGTAACACCCCAGTTGTGACAACCAAAAATGTTTGCAGACATTGTCCAAAAGTCTTGGAGGCTGGAGGGTGGGGTGGATAGTCTATCCCTGCTTGAGACCCTCTGGTTTAAAGGATTGTTTACCTAATAAACGCAACAAGGCATGGATATGTGGTCATGCCCCCTAACATGACCTATAAATAAATATTTATTTTCTTTTCTTCTTCCCCCTTTTCTCCCAACTCACACTGAATCCTCAGAAGAGAGGCCCTGGAAGTTTGCAAAAATATCTTCAATGCTGTTTGCATTTTTGACACCTTTTTTCCTCATCAGCGACATCTTAAATCCTGGCTTTGCAGTCAGTTAAAATGAGCAGGCATTATGCTACAAAACTAACTTTATTTTGTCTTTAATATTACAAATTTCAGAAGCAATTGGTTGAGTCAGAACGTCAGAATTCATGCACATCCTATGTAGAGGGGTGGATATGGGGTGAGAGCTCAGAGCCCTTATAAACCTCTGAGAATTAATTTGACAACAGGTCTCTCATAGGCCAATTCCTCAGCTCTCTAGTCAAAGCACTGAAAGATGGGAGGGCATGACCCATGGGTTTCTTATCCAAAGCAAGTCAAGATTCCCCATCTGTGAAACAAAGGTTAGGCTAAAGTTTCGAGTTCCTCTAAAATTCCATACACTTTTTGAAATCTTGTGATTCCAATTAACTAGTATTTTGTTCTTTACCTAACTTCTAATTCATCAAAAACTTCATGCTTTTGGAATTGGTACTTAATAAAATAACTATAGTATCTTCATATTTACTAAATAAGCATTTCATCAAAGTAACAGTTCTTGAGTGTTGACTTTGTGAAAAGCACCGGTGTTCCCACCAACACCAGAAAAGGATAAGACATGATCCCTGACCCCAGGGAGGAGAGGCAGACACAAAGGCAAATAATAAAAGCCACAGTGAAATATGTGCCCTGTGCAAATGCAATAAGAATACATCTGAGATCAGAAAAGTATGAACAAAGTTCAAATCATTACTGAGAACTCATTATGTTGAAGAGAAAGGAAGGCTTGAAAACAGAATATTTGGGGAAGACAGAAAAAGATTTTCACTTTGGCCTTCCATATTTGAAGATAAATATATATATTTAACATATATATATATATACGTATTTATATATATACATATATATATATATATTCAAGGCATGCTGAAAACCAAGTTACAACATTCTCATCACTTTCTCCATAAGCAGAGGCATCTCCCCTTGAAGTACAGCTACTTTGAGTGATGAAAATATAACTATGCAGGTAAATATACTGAATAATTATAAATGACAATTTACTAGCAGACATTTCATTAAACTGATGCCACACTGACTTCTTTGGTAGCTACTAGTCTGGAAAAAAAAAATGCAATACAGGGCCCAGAACAAACTTGGATATTTTACTTTCTTGAATAGATCGATCACATCAGTGTTGCATCAATCCCTTTACCCGCTTCAAAATAACACAGAGAAAAAGGTGAAAGACAGCCTCCAAGTACGTGTTAGAAGTTGCTCTCTATTTTCTTTCAACTGAAGCATATCCTTTCTTCACTCAAGCTTGCCCTGCTTTCATAATAATCAGCAGCGCTGCTTTGGGAGAAATATGTCAGCAATAACATATGACAGGGGTGTGGCCTTATCTGTCAGGAGCTCCATATCATGCATGTGTTAAAATTTAAGGCACAGGCTCATATATCCCAGAAGCTTACAGGGAACTGTTTGTGGTTCAACACATGCTGTGATCAGGAAAAGAGATCTTTTCATTTTTGGTTAACTTGACATCTATTTACAGTAGTAACAACTACAGCAAAAATAAGGTTCTGACAAGGGCTAGAAACCTACTGTCGACAGTAACATTTCATCATCCAGTATCAGATCCACATGACTCCAGCCATTAGACAAGACCTGTGTTCAACTGCTTCACATTGAATGAGCAGGCAGTTAGGGTGGTGATGGTGGTTGTTATTACCTATACCTACTTCTGTACAGAAATCATATTTCACAAAGGCAGGGAACTATTTTTGCCTATCCTTATCATATCTTCTACCCTATAATCCCAAATAAAGTACAAGTTTAAAGTATTAGAGCTATTTCCCCACTACTTTTATGATTTTTATTCATCCATCATCATTAGGGCTAACTTTACTGAGTACTGACTCACCATGTTCCAAGACACAATTCTAAGCACTTTCCATTCATTAAATTATTAAAACAGTCCCCATGTTTGTTACCTCATGGGCCTGGTTACACACGGCCCATCATTGATCCTAATGCACTACTTATTTTCTTAATCAAATCAATGTTAGCATAATTCTCTTAGGAGGTGGAAGTCTGGACACCATGCCAGTCAGCAGGTCTTCTCACGAATCTCTTTTGAGAGAATATGAGTTAAGGCCAAAAAAGATAAATTGACATTTTGGAAATACTAATTGTTTCAAAATACTGATTGGTTTTACTTTATTTTGACCATTTTTACTGATTTGTTTAATTACTAATTTGGAAAAATTGCTTTCATGCTCTGTAGACAAATGCCTTACATTAGTATCCCCCAACCCCCAAAGAATTCATTTCTTTCTCATAAAAATAGATCGAAAACAGCCAAGAAACTTCACTCTTACATGAAGGCTCATCAAGAAAAGGAGCAGCCCACAGAGGTAATCATCTCTGGAGAGATAACTACTTGCAGAGGCCACAGTTGTTCTTCAGCTACAAAGATCACTTGAGCCACTGTTCTTAAAAACTTAAATCCCCAAACTAATAGAACTCATTTGTCATTTTCCACTGTCTCTCTGCTGGTAAAACTAGATTACCGTAAACTGCAGTCCCAAGAGGAATGAGATTCAACTAGAAAACCAATCTATCAACAAATATGCCTACTACCTAGTGACAGGAGGTGGGGAACATAAAATACATGTAAAAATTGTTCCTGCTCTCAATAAAGTTTCAATACACATTTGACCCTCGAACAACACAGCAGTTAGGGGTGCCAACACCTGCACTGTCAAAAATCCACGTATAACTCTTGATTCCCCCAAACTATAACTACTAATTGCCTACTGTTGACTGGACATCTTACTGATAATATAAACAGTCAATTAACACATGTTTTGTATGTTATATGTATTATATACTGTATACTTAGAATAAAGTAAGCCAGAGAAAATAAAGTGGTATTCAGAAAATCATAAGCGAGAGAAAATATATTTACTATTTACTGAGTGGAAATGGATTATCATAAAGGTCCTCATCTTCATCATCTTCATGTTGAATAGGTGAGGAAGTGAAGAAGGAAGAGGAGGGGTTGGCCTTGTTGTCTCAGGGGTGGCGGAGGTGGAAGAGAATCCATGATAACATAGAGCCACTCAGTTGAAACCCATGTTGTTCAAGGGTCAACTGTAGTGGAAACAAGTTAAGATACTTCAATATCTCCAAGGTATTTCAGCAGCAAGCTATGAACCAGAGAGAGCAGCAAAAGCATTCCAATTGAATGCTGACCTATCAAGTTCCTACACTCTTTCTTTCTTTTTCTTTTCGTTTAGGTTCCTCTCAAAGCAGGGCCTGAGACAAGGTCAAGGACTTAATTCATTTGGGAAGATGTCTCAGAAAGCATGAGTAAGTGGAAGAGAAGAATGAGATCAAGACAGAGGAAATGCTAATGCAAAGGTTTGTCATAAAAAATAATAGTCGACTGGGCTGTATGCCCACGGGACCTCTAAAAGGAAAAAAGGATGCTTCCCAGAATGTTCATCTGCAGGGCTAGAGGCTGGAGTTACTGACTGAAGGCTGTCAGGGGGGACTCACTCCTCCTACACTTGTAAGCCATCCTTGCCCACTGGCCAGTCTGACTTCAGTGGTGTCTGAGGAGGTCCTGAGATTGAAAGTGAAAAGAGGCCGCCTTGTGGTTAAGATGGGGGCTCGGTCAGAGAGTCTGGCCTCTCATGGAACTGTCACTCTCCTGCAACCCCCAAAATAAAGAGCTGAAATCAGAGGTGGGTGGAGGAGATATGAAGGAAAGCATAAAAAGCATCTGCTACATAGTCCTGCTATAAAAGTGTTGCATTCAGTCCACTCTTTTTTTTTTTTTGAGAGGGAGTCTCACTCTGTCACCCAGGCTGGAGTGCAGTGGCTCAATCTCGGCTCACTGCAAGCTCCACCTCCTGGGTTCACGCCATTCTCCTGCCTCAGCCTCCAGAGTAGCTGGGACTACAGGCGCCCACCACCACGCCCAGCTAATTTTTTGTATTTTTAGTAGAGATGGGGTTTCACCGTGTTAGCCAGGATGGTCTCGATCTCCTGACCTCATGATCCACCCGCCTTAGCCTCCCAAAGTGCTGGGATTACAGGCATGAGCCACCACTCCCAGCCCAGTCCACTCTTTACGCTCACCTCTTTCCCTTGTCTCAATACTTTTTCCTTGCCCAACCTTCTCTATGTATCTGAAACAAGCTACATTTTCTATCCAACAAATTGCCCGACTTTTGGGCTTTTCTACATTAGAATCCTTTCATAAGGCCATGCATCCCTTGAGAAGATAATTCAATTAATAAAATATTGACATTCTAGTCTCCCTCAGAGAAATAAAGATGATGAGGATGAAGATGATGATTAAAAAAACTAATTGTGACATCTTATTGTATGCCAGTCATTTACATGAATAAACTCATTTAATCCCCATGACAATCCTTTGAACTGTTTGTCCCGCTTTACAGATGTGTCTTTACTTCTTTGAGGCATACAGAAATTTAGTTAATTTGCCCAAAGGCACAGAAATGTTAAGTGGTAGAACCAGGATTTCAACCCCAGCAGTGTGACTTCAGAGCCCAGACTAATTTTACAGGAAGTGTGGGGTAAGAGTAGACCCAAAATAACTATAGTTAAATGATAAGCATCATTGTTGAGGTATAAAAAAAAGAATTGCCTGTACAAGCAAAAGGATGAAAGGAATTTTTACAAATGTTTACAAAACTTCATCTCAAGCTTCCAGCACATAATAGCCCTGTAATCTCACCCATATTTCTGTTCTACTTTGTCCCAATCTCCCCTCCACTTCTCTCTCTTGTTTTTCATACTTCCCTGCATTGCAACCAATTTTTGCTCATTCTCAACTTCAGTTTCAAAAGTTCTATAAACAACGGCACTTATGGAATCCCATGATTCTCATTAAAACTCTACAGAGGAAAAAAATCTCATTCAAGCCCCACAAATTGAAGTTGGCGTTTCTCAAGTCTCTTATATGATAAAGAGGACATTATTCCAAATACTTCACATACGTTTTTCTTTTCAATACTTCTGAGGAACAGAGAATATATGAAATCTTAAAGTGAAAACAATACTCAATCACTATCAGAAATACTGTGGAATATATGCCCACAGACACCATTACAATCAAGTTAGAGACACCAATTCAGGAAAAAAAAAAAGTTATCTAAATTTAGTTCATGGCTTTAATTTTGAACAACAAGATGAAGAATAAAAAACAGGCAAAATAAGAGTAAATAAGGATTATTCTAAAGTATATAATTTAATCTTTCCAAAGACCTCTAGTAAGGTTTTATACCAAAGACTTAAGAACAAATTAGCATGGGTCCAGAAAAAATTCATTATTTACCCAGTAAAATTTTTAAGCCAATATTATGTTCTAGAATAGATGTTTTACTGTACCAGATGCTAGAGATACTACAATCAATAAGATATGATCTTGTTATAAATAAGAAATCTGGCTGGGCAAGGTGGATCACACCTGTAACCCCAGCACTTTGGGAGGCCAAGGCAGGCGGATCACAAGGTCAGGAGATCAAGACCATCCTGGCTAACACGGTGAAACCCCATCTCTACTAAAAATTCAAAAAATTAGCCGGGTGTGGTGGCGGGTGCCTGTAGACCCAGCTACTCAGGAGGCTGAGGCAGGAGAATGGCATGAACCCGGGAGGCGGAGCTTGCAATGAGCCGAGATCTTGCCACTGCACTCCAGCCTGGGTGACAGAGCAAGACTCCATCTCAAACAAAAATTAAAACATAATAAATAAATAAATAAGAAATCTGCCTTCAGGTTAAAAAAAAGTAAAAAAAAAAAAAAAGTAATAAGAATAACAACATGCCAGGGAGAGGGGAGCCAAGATGGCCGAATAGGAACAGGTCCAGTCTACAGTTCCCAGCGTGAGTGATGCAGAAGATGGGTGATTTATGCATTTCCAACTAAGGTACCAGGTGCATCTCACTGGGGAGTGTCAGAAAGTGGGTGCAGGACAGTGGGTGCAGCGCACTGAGTGTGAGCCGAAGCAGGGTGAGGCATTGCCTCATCCGGGGAAGCGCAAGGGGTCAGGGGAATCCCTTTCCTAGTCAAAGAAAGGGGTGACAAGACAGCACCTGGAAAATCGGGTCACTCCCACCCTAATACTACACTTTTCCAAGGATCATAGCAAATGGCACACCAGGAGATTATATCCCACGCCTGGCTCGAAGGGTCCTACGCCCACAGAGCCTTGCTCATTGCTAGCACAGCAGTCTGAGATCAAACTGCAAGGTGGCAGCGAGGCTGGAGGAGGGGCGCCCGCCATTGCCCAGGCTTGAGTAGGTAAACAAAGCAGCCAGGAAGCTCGAACTGGGTGAAGCCCACTGCAGCTCAAGGAGTCCTGCCTGCCTCTGCAGACTCCACCTCTGGGGGCAGGGCAATGCCAAACAAAAGGCAGCAGAATCCTCTGCAGACTTAAATGTCCCTGGCTGACAGCTTTGAGGAGAGCAGTGGTTCTCCCAGCACGCAGCTGGACATCTGAGAACGGACAGACTGCCTCCTCAAGTGGGTCCCTGACCCCCGAGTAGCCTAACTGCGAGGCACCCCCTAGTAGGGGCAGACTGACACCTCACACGGCCGGGTACTCCTCTGAGACAAAACTTCCGGAGGAACGATCAGGCAGCAACATTTGCTGTTCACCAATATCCACTGTTCTGCAGCCTCTGCTTCTGATACCCAGGCAAACAGGGTCTGGAGTGGACCTCCAGCAAACTCCAACAGACCTGCAGCTGAGGGACCTGACTGTTAGAAGGAAAACTAACCAACAGAAAGGACATCCACACGAAAACCCCATCTGTACATCACCACCATCAAAGACCAAAGGTAGATAAAACCACAAAGATGGGGAAAAAACAGAGCAGAAAAACAGAAAACCGTAAAAATCAGAGTGTCTCTCCTCCTCCAAAGGAACGCAGCTCCTCACCAGCAACGGAACAAAGCTGGATGGAGAGTGACTTTGACAAGTTGAGAGAAGAAGACTTCAGATGGTCAAACTACTCCGAGCTAAAGGAGGAAGTTTGAACCCATGGCAAAGAAGTTAAAAACCTTGAAAAAAAACTAGATGAATGGCTAACCAGAATAACCAATTCAGAGAAGTCCTTAAAGGACCTGATGGAGCTGAAAACCAAAGCACAAGAAATACGTGATGAATGCACAAGCCTCAGTCGCCAATTCGATCAACTGGAAGAAAGGGTATCAGTGATGGAAGATCAAATGAATGAAATGAAGCGAGAAGAGAAGTTTAGAGAAAAAAGAATAAAAAGAAACGAGCAAAGCCTCCAAGAAATATGAGACTATGTGAAAAGACCAAATCTACATCTGATTGGTGTACCTGAAAGTGACGGGGAGAATGGAACCAAGTTGTAAAACACTCTGCAGGATATTAGCCAGGAGAACTTCCCCAATCTAGCAAGGCAGGCCAACATTCACATTCAGGAAATATAGAGAATGCCACAAAGATATTCCTCGAGAAGAGCAACTCCAAGATACCTAACTGTCAGATTCACCAAAGTTGAAATGAAGGAAAAAATCTTAAGGGCAGCCAGAGAGAAAGGTCGGGTTACCCACAAAGGGAAGCCCATCAGACTAACAGCTGATCTCTCGGCAGAAACTCTACAAGCCAGAAGAGAGTGGGGGCCAATATTCAACATTCTTAAAGAAAAGAATTTCCAACCCAGAATTTCATATCCAGACAAACTAAGCTTCATAAGTGAAGGAGAAATAAAATCCTTTAGAGACAAGCAAATGCTGAGAGATTTTGTCACCACCAGGCCTGCCCTAAAGGAGCTCCTGAAGGAAGCGCTAAACATGGAAAGGAACAACCAGTACCAGCCACTGCAAAAACATGCCAAATTGTAAAGACCATCGAGGCTAGGAAGAAACTGCATCAACTAACAAGCAAAATAACCAGCTAACATCATAATGACAGGATCAAATTCACACATAACAATATTAACCTTAAATGTAAATGGGCTAAATGCTCCAATTAAAAGACACAGACTGGCAAATTGGATAAAGAGTCAAGACCCATCAGTGTGCTGTATTCAGGTAACCCATCTCACGTGCAGGGACACACATAGGCTCAAAATAAAGGGATGGAGGAAGATCTACCAAACAAATGGAAAACAAAAAAAGACAGGGGTTGCAATCCTAGTCTCTGATAAAACAGACTTTAAACCAAGAAAGATCAAAAGAGACACAGAAGGCCACTACATAATGGTAAAGGGATCAATTCAACAAGCAGAGCTAATTATCCTAAATATATATGAACCCAATACAGGAGCACCCAGATTCATAAAGCAAGTCCTTAGAGACCTACAAAGAGACTTAGACTCCCACACAATAATAATGGGAAACTTTAACACCCCACTGTCAACATTAGACAGATCAACGAGACAGAAAGTTAACAAGCATATCCAGGAATTGAACTCAGCTCTGCACCAAGCAGACCTAATAGACATCTGCAGAACTCTCCACCCCAAATCAACAGAATATACACTTTTCAGCACCACACCACACCTATTCCAAAATTGACCACATACTTGGAAGTAAAGCACTCCTTGGCAAGTGTAAAAGAACAGAAATGATAACAAACTGTCTCTCAGACCACAGTGCAATCAAACTAGAACTCAGGATTAAGACACTCACTCAAAACCGCTCAACTACATGGAAAATAAATAACCTGCTCCTGAATGACTGCTGGGTACATAACGAAATGAAGGCAGAAATAAAGATGTTCTTTGAAACCAATGAGAACAAAGACACAACATACCAGAATCTCTGGGACACATTCAAAGCAGTGTGTAGAGGGAAATTTATAGTACCAAATGCCCACAAGAGAAAGCAGGAAAGATCTAAAATTGACACCCTAACATTGCAATTCAAAGAACTAGAGAAGCAAGAGCAAACACATTCAAAAGCTATTAGAAGGCAAGAAGTAACTAAGATCGTAGCAGAACTGAAGGAAATAGAGACACAAAAAACCCCTCAAAAAATCAATGAATCCAGGAGCTGGTTTTTTGAAAAGATCAACAAAACTGATAGACCACTAGCAAGACTAATAAAGAAGAAAAGAGAGAAGAATCAAATAGGCGTACTAAAAAATGACAAAGGGGATATCACCACCTATCCCACAGAAATACAAACTACCATCAGAGAATACTATAAACACCTCTACGCAAATAAACTAGAAAATCTAGAGGAAATGGATAAATTCTTCGACACATACACTCTCCCAAAACTAAACCAGGAAGAAGTTGAATCTCTGAATAGACCAATAACAGGCTCTGAAATTGAGGCAATAATTAATAGCTTACTATCCAAAAAAGGTCCAGGATTCACAGCCGAATTCTACCAGAGGTACAAGAAGGAGCTGGTACCATTCCTTCTGAAACTATTCCTATCAATAGAAAAAGGGGGAATCCTCCCTAACTCATTTTATGAGGCCAGCATCATCCTGATACTAAAGCCTGGCAGAGACACAACCAAAAAAGACAATTTTAGACCAATATCCGTGATGAACATCAAAGCAAAAATCCTCAATAAAATACTGGCAAACTGAATCCAGCAGCACATCAAAAAGCTTATCCACCATGATCAAGTGGGCTTCATTCCTGGGATGCAAGGCTGGTTCAACATACGAAAATCAATAAACGTAATCCAGCATATAAACAGAACCAAAAACATACCCAAAGGATTATAAATCATGCTGCTGTAAAGACACATGCACACGTATGTTTATTGCAGCACTATTCACAGTAGCAAAGACATGGAACCAACCCAAATGTCCAACAATGATAGACTGGATTAAGAAAATGTGGCACATATACACTATGGAATACTATACAGCCATAAAAAATGATGAGTTCATGTCCTTTGTAGGGACATGGATGAAGCTGGAAACCATCATTCTCAGCAAATTATCACAAGGACAAGAAACCAAATACCGCATGTTCTCACTCATAGGTGGGAATTGAACAATGAGAACACATGGACACAGGAAGGGGAACATCACACACCGGGGCCTGTTGTGGGGTGGGGGGAGCGGGGAGGGATAGCATTAGGAGATATACCTAATGCTAAATGATGAGTTAATGGGTGCAGCACACCAACATGGCACATGTATACATGTGTAACAAACCTGCACGTTGTGCACACGAACCCTAAAACTTAAAGTATAATAATTAAAAAAAAAAAAAAAGAAAATAATACAAACAAATCCCGAGGATTTGGTAGTGCGAACAGATTTCTTTAAACATTTTTTCACGTTACTGTAATATATTTTAACATATTGATGAATTTCTAATTCATAAAATAACAATAATTCCCTAGAGCAATAAAATGCCGGTTTAACTGATGATCCAAAAAGCTAGATGACAAGGCCAACAATTGGTACATCTTTTTAAATGAGAGAATGTTACCACATTTAAGAGAATTCCACCTAAATTACAGGTGAAAGGTGAGAAGATCCAGACATGTGCTAAGACCTACAAAAGCAACCTGACAGTCACTGTAGATCACCCTTTGTCTTGTCTTAGTTTGCTGAGGGTGCTATAACAATATACGTAGACTGGGTGGCTTAAGCAACAGAAATTTCTTCTCACAGTTCTGGAGGCTGAAAAGTCCAAGAGCAAGCTGCCAGCCAATTCATTTTCTGGTGAGGAGTCTTCCCGGCTTGCAGATGGCCACCCTCTCACTGAGTGTTTTTCAGTGTGCACGTATGGAGACAGCAAGTGAGCTCTGGTCTCTCTTCCTTTTCTTATAATCACACTAAGTCTATGGGATCAAGATCCCACTCTTATGACCTCATTTAACCCTAATTACATCTTTTGTTGTTTTATCTTAATTACTTCTGTAAAGGCCCTATCTCCAAATATACTCACATTGGATGTTAGGTCTTAAACATATGAATTTGGCAGTGTAAACAATTCAGTCCATGGAACCCCTTGAAACTGTCAGCCTAGTACATTGCTACACAACAGAAGCACAATAAAACAAACAACCATTTGTGTAACCATTCAAATAACATGTACTAAGCAAATTCTCTGTGTCAGGTACTATCTTGTGCTATGGGAAACTGGGAAGGGAAGGGAAGGGAAGGGAATGGAAGGGAAGGGAAGGGGTGTGGTGGGGGGATGGGGGATGGAAGGAGGGAAAGAAAGAAGGAAAGAAGGGAGAGAAGGAGGAAAAGAGGATAGGTGGGTGGGAAGACTTTGCCTTCACAATAGTACATTCTAGCAGATGATGATAAACAGTAAATAACCAAACAATGGGAAGAAAAAAAAAAGCAGTGAATGGGGGAAATGAAGAAGGGAGGTGGGAGAAATGACCAGTTCAGAGAGCATAGACAGGGAAGGCCTCTCTGAGGAAGTGATTTTACAATGAGATCTGAAGAAGGAGGGGGAGCCAGTCATGTGGGGTTTCTGAGGGAGTATTCCAGGGAGAAAGACTAAACAGTGCAAAAGCTTGGGCTAGTAACAAATTTGACTGACATGTGAGGAAAGGAAGTCACAGCGGCTGTACTGTAGTGGGTCATAAGGTGAAGAATCTGAGCTGAGGTCTGAGGGGGAGGCAGGAAGATGCAGACCAAGGTAAAGAGTGTGCACTAAGTGCACCAGAAAAGCATCAGAAGAAATTATACAAAAGAAAGGGCCTGATCTGAATTTAATATATTTAGCTGAGGTTTTCTGCGGCCAGGAAAGGATGTAGCTGGCCAACAGTAGAAACAACAGAACCAGGTTAGATGGCTAATGCATCAGTGCAGGCAAAAGATGAAAAATTTTTGGAATAGGTTTGAGGGTCTACTTTAGGAAGTAGAATTTATATGCATTGGATGTGGAGGGTAGAATTAGAAACAACTATGAGACATTTGGCTTTAGCCAAAAATTATATGAGGTAAAGGGAAATTGGAAGAAATTGATTGGGAAGGAAATATGGAATAAAGAGTTCTTTTTTGAACTTGTGAAATCTGAGGATTATTATATATGCAAATAGAGAAGTAAAATAGAGACTTGCCATCTGTGTCTGCCATGGGAGAGGTCAGGGCTAGAGGGAAGAATTTTTAAGTCAGTACAGACATATTTGAACCATAGAGCCGAATGAGAACACTTGGAAAGAGACTACAGCAAGAGAAGAAGGCCTACATCCCTAAAAGTTTGGGACACATCAACTTTTAAAGGAGAAAGATCCAGCAAAAACATCCTTGGGATGATAGAAACACATCCTTATCTTCTGCTCATATCATGTTCTGAACCTGAAGAACTGAGTACATGTTTCCAGCCTCAGTATTCCAAGAACAATGCAAGAAGACACAGGGAAGTTCAACGAAAGTGATCAAGAAAGTGAAAGCTCATTATAGGAATATCAGAGAAAATGATTATGGCAGTCCAGTCTGAACTGAAGGAAACCAAGTGGGATGCACTACCTCGTCCATTCATCTCCAATGCAGCTAAGCAGGGAGTATTTCTTTTATCCTCCAGTTTTGAGAAGTCAAAACTAAGTTTAATGAAAATATTATCCACAATTGTGCATTTAAATGAGACATGATATAATCATACATGTGGTCAGATAAGTCAGGAGAGGCAAAGCTTACAGGTAAATATGTCAGAACTAGAAGCAGATGATGTATATCCCCAGGCAGTCCTCCAATGACTTACTGTATCCTTTAACATGAGCAAACCTTTTGCCTTAGTCTGGGTCTCACCTACAGTTCGGCAGTAATACCACATGCCTCTTCACCTGGACATAATTAATTAGATAATAGCTGGAAATAAAACCGCATCTGTAGGGCACATACTTTGAGCTGTTTTTCACCCATAATGGTGTTTTTATGACTGTCCATCCATACCGCTGCCCTTTTATAGTCATTTATAGCATGAGGACGGGGACAGAGTAATGCCAACTGTCTATGCAAGGACTAAACCAGTGATTATGGTATTGGTGACCCTTCATTAGAAAAATACAGAATGTTTCCCTTTACAGAGTCCATATAAAATCTGGAGCTCAATGTGCAAAAACCCTTATGTGATGGTCAGTTTTATGTGTCAACTTGGCTAAGCTACAGTCCCCAGTTATTCAATCAAATGCTAATCTAGGCATTACTGTGAAGGTAATTTTATAGATGTGATCAACATCTATAATCAGTTGACTTTAAGTAAAAGCAATGTTCCTTTATATTCTTGTTGGGCCTGATCCAAACAGTTGAAAGGCCTTATAAGTAGAGCTGAAGTTTCCCTGAGGAGGAAAAAATTTCACCTGTGGACTGCAAGGTCCAGTGGCCTAGCCAGCCTCCATCATCAGATGAGCCAATTCCCTGAAATATTAGGTTGATGCAAAAGTAATTGCAGTTTTTGACATTAAAAGTAATGGTCAAAACCTCAATTACCTTTGCACCAACCTAAATATAGATAGATAGATTAGATAGATAGATAGATAGATAGATAGATAGATAGATAGACAGACAGATAGACTGTCCTACTGGTTCTGTTTCTCTGGTAGAACCCTGGCTGATAAGACACCTTCCTTTTCTCCACAGAGGAAGGAATCAAGTTTATGTAAATGCATACCACTACAGCTATAGAGTATTTGTTTCCATAGAAAGAAAGGGGAAAAGGCAAAGGAAGGATAACTGTTGACAGGTGACCAAGACCCCACTCAGACAAATTCTACCTCTCGTTAATCATATGCACCCTACACTTGGTGAATTTAAACTTTAGTACCAGATTCTTAAGGTCTTGTTTAATTGCATCACCAACAGCACCTCTGTTGATCCTGATGTACTGAAACAGACGCATAAAATCAAATGCTGATGCTGTCTTTAAGAATAGCAACAGGAGCCAGGCGTGGTGGCTCATGCCTGCAATCCTAGCACTTTGGGAGGCCAAGTCGGGCAGATCACAAGGTCAGGAGATCAAGACCATCCTGGCTAACACGGTGAAACTCTGTCTCTACTAAAAATACAAAAAATTAGCCGGGTGTGATAGCACATACCTGTAGTCCCAGTTACTAGGGAGGCTGAGGCAGGAGAATCGCTTGAACCTGAGAGGCGGAGGTTGCAGTGAGCTGAGATCTTGCCACTGCACTCCAGCCTGGGCAACAGAATAAGACTCCATCTCAGAAAAAAGAAAAGAAAAAAAAAGGATAGCAACAGCATTTATAGGCTATGTCTCACCATGAGGACAGATATCTTTCTGAGGGGCAATAGTCTTAATTTTAGCTATGACTTTAGTTCCTTGACTTCTCCCCCAGAAATGCCTGGGGAGACAGTAGGACACCTGAGGCCTGAGGCTGCCAACTATGGGGACAAAGTTTGAGGAATAACTTCTACAAAGGGCAAAAGTCAGCTATCACCCCTCCACACCTTTGTAAATGGGGTCTATGAATCATCATCTCGCCCAATTAGAAAAGCAGGTGTGGGGGTGATGTCATCCTTCTGCTTGTCCAGCTGATGAGGACAAAGCTAAGGGCCCTCTCCCCTTTCATCACTCCATGGGTGCCTCTTCTAAAACATCACGCTTGATTAAAAGATTCATTTTCTCCAACAAAGTAACACAGTGAAGAACATACAAGTAGCTTTGCAGCTCTGTTTGAACCTTCAAACACCAGGAAAGGAAACTGGACTCTAGAATATGTCCCTTCCACCTCTCGTTTCTACCATTTGTATAGAGAGTTGACCACAGTTTCTCTTTAAATGAGGCAACACTTTCATTCTCATCCATGCATGCATTCCCTCAAAAATATTTATTGTGTGCTTTGGAAAAAACTAAAGTAAATCAGACCAGATTTTAGGCTCAAAGATTTGGAGAGAAGCTAAGTACATATATTACTATAATACATGTTGGCATAAAATACACAAATAAAACTTCTGCTGGAGTTTAGGCATAATTAGACATAGCAGAGCAGCAGAATGAAAAGAAGACAAAACACTGAAAAGCAATAGCATGACCCATTAAGGGTTTTTACCCCGGGAAACTCCCATCACATTACGATCTTCTTGTTATTTATATATTTAGTTGCCACTAGAAAATAACTAATCAGAACACAATTTTGATGTTGTCTACTGGGAAATCATTGAAGAATACAGCTGCAACCGTTTGTACAGTGATTTGTGTCACATTGCATATTCCTGCTGTGGTCTGGGTGACAAGCTTTACATGAAAAAAACCAGTAAGTTTGTCTTAAAACTATATCTATATAAAACAATGGGGTGAGAATCCAAGCAGGTCCTGACCTGGCAAATGCTAATAAGCCTCATGTGATTCAAACTTAATACGGTGGCTCCAAATTAATACACACTTCCACATAGTTCACAAGTGACAGGCTTTATGATAAATAGAGTACTTCAGCAAAATATGCTATTAAATATATGTGAAGCCTTGAACAGATGGCATTTATAATAGATATCCCTGATAACTGATCACCATTTAGTATTCTCTGGCCCAGGCTCCTATCAAGGTTTCATGATTCTTGGAGGAAAAAAAAAAAAGTATGAGCAAGATCTTAATTTCCCAAGCAGTCTATCAAACAGCTGTTTCTCAACTCTCTAAAAAAATCAGACATTCATCAAAGCTGTTTGTGGAAAAAGTAAAATATGAATCTTCTGCAAGTTTAACCATAGGTTATCAATTTCCTGACCTATGTATGTTGAAAACCCCAAGTTTCTGATGTTACCAAACAGCTATATGTCTTACACACAGCACTTTTCCCATGACAACTGTGGAATATTCAACCTTAAGGTTAAGTGTTTTTTGGAGTCATGAGGCACAAGAAAGCAACGAGACTCAGCAGGTTTATAGGAAAGGGTCAGCAAAGAGGATAGCCTCAAAAAGAACCACAAAAGCATTTTGAATAGAAAATGCCAAATTAAGCCTTGATTGAAACATAGGTTATTAGGATAGGACAAGAGAGTCTGAGAACAAAGACACAGAAATCACAAACAGACAAGAGTCAAAGCCAAGGTTGATGATTTTCAAGAAGTAGGCAAATTGCACTTATTAGCTGTCTACAGTTCAAAGATTTTGCTTGTTCTGATCTGCATCAAGTATAGATATTTTTACATGCTAACCAAAATACTGCATGTTCTCAAAATAAAACTGTATGACAATCAACCAGTCAGGAATGCAAGGCGTCTGGTCACAACTTGCTGGAGTTTTTTTCTAACAATCAAGAAAAGCAAATAACTTTATTAGATTAAAAAAATACTCATATTCAAATCTTCTCTAAAGCTAATAACCTAAGCTTACAAACAGCCTCTAAAGTGAAAAACAATCCCGTGAGCATAGGGATTCAAATACCATCTGCAGTTTTATCTGAAAAGGCTAACAACTAACCTGCAATCTATAAACTCTGGCACAAATACATTCCATCTAAATTCTGCAAGACAATAATCTTGATAAATCAAGTTTACTTTAACAAAGCTGAAGCCAATAAAACAGCTACATGCCATAAACCCCTTCAGTCAGTTGACTTGCCTTTCACTCTATTTGCTTTCAACTAAATCACACTCACAAAGTGCCTACCTACCACAGGCTCCTACACAAGATACAACAGGAGCTTTGCAAATAATTTTTGATCAACTGACACGCAGCATTAATTCTACAAGTACTGGTCTCATCAACACATCTTGAAAAGTGATAATACTTCTAGAAGCATCATGGTAGACAGTCCTGGGGTTGAATGCCAGGGCACCACTTACTAGGCCTATGACCCAAGGGCACCACTTACTAGGCCTATGACATCTGTTTGCTGAAAAATGAAGATGTGATGGTTTTTCATGTCAACAGGGCTAGGCTAAACTATGAGCACAGAAGGAAGGACAGAGCCATTGGTAGCATACATAAACTTTTTCCCAGTTATTTAGTCAAACACTAATCTAGATGCTGCTGTGAGATTTCACAGATGTTAACAAAATCCCTAATCAGTTGACTTTAAGCTACAGACATCATCTTTGATGGGCCTGACCTAATCAGGTGGGCCTTTATAAGGGATTGGGCTCTTCCTTGTCAATGAGGCTCCAAACAGCACCTGGGTCCACAATTGCTCTCCCTTCACTGAATCATCCCTTCCTGACTTCCCTGTGGAGAACAGCTTCAGCTCATGCCCAGGGGTTGCAGACTGCCCACAATCTTCCTGGCTGCCTGTCCTATAGATGTGGACTAGTCAGAATTTAGTTGATATTTGCAGTTAAGTACCCAAGTACATATTATAGATCAAGGTCTGACAGACTATAGCCTGTGGGCCAAATACAATGCACTGCCTATACTTGTCTTGCCCACAAGCTAAGAACAGTTTTTACAAGTTTAAATAGTTAGGGGAAAAAAAAATATTTTGTATCACATGAGAATTTTATGTAATTCAAATTTCAGTGTATTTTATGAGAACCCAGCTCACTCATTCATTTACATATCATCCATGACAGTTTTCCCACTGTAGTGGCAGAGTAGTTGCAGTAAAAGACTTGCTTAGCCAACCCCTACAGTCATGTATGCCAATTCCTTGTAATAAATCTTTTAATATTATCTACTGCTGGTTCTGTTTCT
Source organism: Homo sapiens (assembly GCF_000001405.40). NCBI lineage: Eukaryota > Metazoa > Chordata > Mammalia > Primates > Hominidae > Homo > Homo sapiens. The sequence continues at coordinate 78,184,198 of NC_000004.12, read as the reverse complement.
CCAGTGACCCTGACTGATCTGGGGTATAATTACCTGTACTTCACGGCTTTGCTATGAGGAATAAATGGGACAATTTATAATCAACCCAGAGCAGTGTTTCTCAAACTCTAGTGTGTGCACAATCATACGGGACGTAGATTCTGAGTAGGTGGCTCTGAGTGGGGCTTACAGTGTACATTTCTGACAAGCTCCCAATTGATACTAACGTCACTGGTCAATGGACACAGTTTGACCAGGAAGAGCTGTCTTAGAGCATAATAAGCACTAAATAAATGCTACTTCCCTTTCCCCAACACTATCTCTTTGTCCTTAAAATTTTCAGGTTTCTTTTGTTGTTATTTATTTTGAACTTTTCAATTAATTAATTAAATATATAATGTGTTGACCACCTTCTAGAACTCTGTATGGCTATAATATATTTAAACACACACACACACACACACACACACACACACACACACACACAAAGAGAATGAAAACAGGGAGAAAAAAGATAAATCCTAAATAATGCCCTGCCATACCTCATGCCCAGAACTATGGACTACTCACAGAAGCCTGCACTTCTTTAGCCCAGTTGGTAGAAGACACACTTTAAAACCAAGACTAAAGAGATAATTTGACAGGAAAGTAAGGCAAGGTCACTCTTTATTATGTCCAAAACAGTCAAATGCCAACATAGAAACAATACAATACATTTTCTGGACACTGTGAGCACATTCCTGAGCAGGGCTGCTGAAAGATGGACCACCAATCTGCATAGGTGGTGTGGTTTCCGGGGACGCCAAAACAACTCCTGTGCAGAGACTAGCAATCCCCACTCTGCCTCACCTGGTGACTGTTAATATTTCATAACAGCTTTGTTCTTGTGGTTGGAGACTTTGCTTTCCTGGGAATTAAAATACCTGCCCTAGAGATGTAGACTTCAGAAACTAGGATGTTTGTTTCCATGTCCATACCCATCATTCCACCTACTACTCTCATCAGCCCATGAAACTGCACCTGTGGAAGATGCCAACAGCCTTCCCATGCCAACCCAAGAATTATGCAAGTCCATATCTGGCTTGACCCACTACAACTCTGGACACTCTCGACCCTGTCTCAACATCAGAGACTTCTGCGGCATTGCTCTCTCCTGGTTTTCCTCCTGTCTTAAGCTGCTCCTTCTATCTCTTTTTCCAGCTTCTCTGCTGTGTACCTCTTCTCAGCCTGAGTTCCTGTTTTTCTCCCTCTCTCATCCATTCTCATCTTTGTGCTGAACTCCAGACTCACACAGTTCTCTGTCCTCTGGGCATTTTTTTTTTTCTTTTTTTCTTTTTTTTGAGACAGGGTCTCCCTCTGCCACCCAGGCTGGAGTGCAGTGGCACGATCTTGGCTCACTGCAACCTCTGCCTCCTGGGTTCCAGCAATTCTCGTGCCTCAGCCTCCCAAGTAACTGAGATTACAGGCACGTGCCACCATGTCCAGCTAATTTTTTTGTATCCTTAGTAGAGACGGGGTTTCACCACGTTGGCCAGGCTGGTCTCGGACTCCTAACCTCAAATGATCCGCCTGCCTCGGCCTCCCAAAGTGCTGGGATTACAGGTGTGAGCCACTGCGCCTGGCCCCTCTGGGCATTTTAACTTAGATTTCCTCAAGTATCTCAGACTTAAACTGACCCAAATCAAACTCACTGTCACTATCCCTAAACCTACTTTTCTCCTGCACTCTGCTTTGCTGAATAGCATCATCATCCACCCAGGAAAATAGTGGAAACCTGGGAGCCCACCCTTCTTCTTTGCCTGGTTACCTCTTACTTGTCTTCTAAGATCCAGACTCTGCTTCTCTTAGGAACCCTTCCTTATCTGGCCTCAGTATGGGTGAAGCTCCCCTTCCAGGCCCCCAGGTGCTCCCCGTGTACATTTCCACTGCAGCACATATGACATGGTACATCATATAACCACAACACGGTTGCCCCTGTTCTATACTTTCATGGCATCCTGAGCTTTTGCTTTATAGCATTTCTTACAAATATAATTCTATGGTCATTTGTGAAATTATTAAATACCTGCTTCCATCTTGGCCCGGCCATCTTGTGGGAAGAGCTGAAGCAGGCGCTCTTGGCTCGGCGCGGCCCGCTGCAATCCGTAGAGGAACCCGCCGCCGAGCCACCATCATGCCTGGGCACTTACAGGAAGGCTTCGGCTGTGTGGTCACCAACCGATTCGACCAGTTATTTGACGACGAATCGGACCCCTTCGAGGTGCTGAAGGCAGCGGAGAACAAGAAAAAAGAAGCCGGCAGGGGTGGCGTTGGGGGCCCTGGGGCCAAGAGCGCAGCTCAGGCGGCGGCCCAGACCAACTCCAACGCGGCAGGCAAACAGCTGCGCAAGGAGTCCCAGAAAGACCGCAAGAACCCGCTGCCCCGCAGCGTTGGCGTGGTTGACAAGAAAGAGGAGACGCAGCCGCCCGTGGCGCTTAAGAAAGAAGGAATAAGACGAGTTGGAAGAAGACCTGATCAACAACTTCAGGGTGAGGGGAAAATAATTGATAGAAGACCAGAAAGGCAACCACCTTGTGAACGAAGATTCGAAAAGCCACTTGAAGAAAAGGGTGAAGGAGGCTAATTTTCAGTTGATAGACCGATTATTGACCGACCTATTCGAGGTCGTGGTGGTCTTGGAAGAGGTCGAGGGGGCCGTGGACGTGGAATGGGCCGAGGAGATGGATTTGATTCTCGTGGCAAACGTGAATTTGATAGGCATAGTGGAAGTGATAGATCTTCTTTTTCACATTACAGTGGCCTGAAGCACGAGGACAAACGTGGAGGTAGCGGATCTCACAACTGGGGAACTGTCAAAGACGAATTAACTGACTTGGATCAATCAAATGTGACTGACGAAACACCTGAAGGTGAAGAACATCATCCAGTGGCAGACACTGAAAATAAGGAGAATGATGTTGAAGAGGTAAAAGAGGAGGGTCCAAAAGAGATGACTTTGGATGAGTGGAAGGCTATTCAAAATAAGGACCGGGCAAAAGTAGAATTTAATATCTGAAAACCAAATGAAGGTGCTGATGGGCAGTGGAAGAAGGGATTTGTTTTCATAAATCAAAGAGTGAAGAGGCTTATGCTGAGGATTCAGTTATGGACCATCATTTCCAGAAGCCAGCAAATGATATAACGTCTCAGCTGGAGATCAATTTTGGAGACCTTGGCCGCCCAGGACGTGGCGGCAGGGGAGGACAAGGTGGACATGGGCGTGGTGGGCGCCCAAACCGTGGCAGCAGGACCGACAAGTCAAGTACTTCTGCTCCTGATGTGGATGACCCAGAGGCATTCCCAGTTCTGGCTTAACTGGATGCCATAAGACAACCCTGGTTCCTTCGTGAACCCTTCTGTTCAAAGCTTTTGCATGCTTAAGGATTCCAAATGACAAATTAAAAAAAAAAAAAGACTGTCATTCATACCATTCACACCTAAAGACTGAATTTTATCTGTTTCAAAAATGAACTTATCTCGCTACACAGAAGTAACAAATATGGTAGTCAGTTTTGTATTTAGAAATGTATTGGTAGCAGGGATGTTTTCATAATTTTCAGAGATTATGCATTCTTCATGAATACTTTTGTATTGCTGCTTGCAAATATGCATTTCCAAACTTGAAATATAGGTGTGAACAGTGTGTACCAGTTTAAAGCTTTCACTTCATTTGTGTTTTTTAATTAAGGATTTAGAAGTTCCCCCAATTACAAACTGGTTTTAAATATTGGACATACTGGCTTTAATACATGCTTTGCATATTCACACATGATCAACTGGGACATGTTAAACTTTGATTTGTCAAATTTTATTCTGTGTGGAATACTAACTATATGTATTTTAACTTAGTTTTAATATTTTCATTTTTGGGGAAAAATCTTTTTTCACTTCTCATGATAGCTGTTATATATATATGCTAAATCTTTATATACAGAAATATCAGTACTTGAAGAAAAAAAAAATCTGCTTCCCCCACTAGATCAAAGCTTTCATACCATTAGGCACCATCTATCCTGTTCACCACATCCAGCACACCCAGAGCCTGAGACACTGTATATGCTCAATTTGTTGTTGAATGAATGAATGTTTACCTGTGTATCTCTTCCACTAGACTAGGAACCTCGTAGGAGTAGGAACTGACTTTTATCCTAGTGCCTAGTACACAGTGAGAGCATGCTAAGTGTCGGTTGGCTGAATAAGTTAATGTAAGTATAGTGATATCATTAGTAGTCAAAAAGCAAGCTTCATATATATAAGAGTGTTTGTTAACCAAACCTTTTCAGCCACTTCTCTCCATGGCTCCCACTGATTGCCACAGCATCCTTGCACCAACTGCCCAACTCCCTGCATTTCCCTGGGTAGCTCCTATGCCCTGGGTAGCTCCTATGTCAGTGGGACAGTCATATTCATTTGTCTCACAAGTGGCTGCCAGTTCCATTCCTTAAATGCCTAGAGACATATAACAGATGTCTCTTAATCATATATGGTTTTATTCCACCTCCAGATGAAAGTCAATTCCCTTAGATAAATTATTTGGATGAAATAAGTACCTGGAATCCCTCCTTTATTCACCTTCTTTGGATTTCTGTACAAACAACACATTCAAAGTTTATAGAGATGTCATTTTGAATATATTTTCTGGAGCAGGGAAGGAATGGCTTTTCAAAGCTCCACATTTTAGAGAGTTTTATACAACTCACATTTTTAATGAAACACTTCCTGCTAATTCAGGGGAATTCCACTTTCTTTCATCCAAGGCCTGAGGAGATTGTGAGCCATGTCTTGGCATAACTTGCCTGCCTACCTGCTGGCACGTGATATTAAAAAGAAGAGGCCACCACAGGTGCTTTTTCTGTGGAGAGCCAGATGTCAAGAAAAGGCCCCAAGGCTGAAAGAATGAGAAAAATGTAAATGATCCAACAGGGCCTCAACTGAAGATACACTTCCAGTCGGTGAGAACAATGGCATTTTCCCATTCCATTCCATTTTCTGGTTCTAAGTTGCATTCTCAAGAAGTTTTCCTTTGCTATATCCACAACTGCAACACCAGAATGAGAAACAAAAGGAATACTTCATCATTCTCTGTGTTCCTATACACTTTCCTGATACGTGAGTAGCCCTATTGTGTAGGTGGGAACAGTGAGATACTGAAGAGTCCTGAAGATCAAACCACAGGCAATTCCAAGAGGAATGTATAGTCATGGCTGCCCTTCGCTCCCCTCGAACATCTGTGCATCAGCGGTAGTTAGGGGGTGGGAACTACCCTTTATTGAATACCTACTCTATACCTCACCCTATGTAGGTACTCCACATACAGTATCCTATTTGAAGCCCAAAATAATCCTGTAGTGGGTTTAATAGTGTCTCCCCAAATTTTATGTGCACCTGGAACCTCAAAATGTGCCCTCATTTGGAAATAGGGTCTTTGTAGAGGTAATTAGTTTAATCCCCAGTCACTGGCTGAGAGCAGGGGCAAATGGAAATGTCCAGCACAAGGGCTCTCAAGCATATGACACCATTACACCCCTGAGAGATGCTAGCTTGCTGTTTCTTGGTGAGTGTCATTTTGCAAATCAATTGGATTAAGATCTCAGCTGCTCAGACATTAGTGAATTGAATGTCAAATACTACACTGACTATCAGGGGAATTTTTATGTTGATGCCCACCAAATTAATACTTGTTGGTTATACCCTGGTTCAGAAATGAAGTAATTTTTCTTTTGCAGGTAGCTTCTTCTTATATGTGAGATATCACTACTTCATGTATCAACATCTATACAAATTGGTAATTTAAGAAAAAGGACTGAAAACTACGAAGCCTAGAATGTCATGGAATCTTGGACCTGGAATAGAACATCCCACTTATTCTCCTACTTAGAGCAGAAATCCCTTTTAAGGTGCCTGCAGTAATCATTCTTTCGATAAAAATGCCAATCATTGGGTAAAGTGCCTCTACCCAATGACTGGTATCTTTATTTTTTTAAAAAAAGGAGAGAACACACATACACATAGAAAGAAAAACAGCCACAAGAAGACAGAGACAGAGATTAAAGTGATGCTGCCACAAGCCTAGGAGGCCAGGAGCTGCCTGAAGCTGGAAGAGGCGAGGAAGGAATCTCCCTTAGAGCTTTGGGAGGGAGCATGGCCTTGACAACACCTTGATTTCAGACTGTGGCCTCCAGAGACAGAAAAAATTTCTTTGAGAGAATAACTTTCTAATTTTTTTAAGTCACCCAGTTTGCGGAAATTTGCTATGGCAGCCCAGGAAACTAATACAAATCCTAAGAGGTTAGGTATCATTACTGCCATTGTACTGACACAGAAACTGAGGATCAACAGCGTTCAGTAACTTCCAGGAAGTAATACACAGTGTTCAATCCAATCCGTATGTAAGGGGAGGGAAGGTAAAAGGTGGTGAGGCACCTGAAAGGAAGAAGGTGTATGAGATAGAGGCAGGGCTGCAATTTTCAGCCTTAGTGTTGATGGTGATGAACCAGGAGTTACAGGTGCTGGAAGCATAATCTCAAGTAGAGCTGGCAGACCCGCCTTCCCTACGGCCACCCCTGCCAGCAGTGATTCAGGACCCAGAGACTCCCAACTGACCTCACCCAGAGATGGCTGTTTATTTTGCTTTAACTCAATGAGAGAACAATTTTAACAATGAAACTGAACAGGTACAACAAGAGAATGCTAACCATAGACCAATGTCCCCAACCACTTGTCTCAGCAGCTCATGAGTTGCCCATGGCCATACTCCACCATTAAGGTTCCACTATGGACCAAGGCAGTGTTTATTTCCTCCTTCCATAAACATTGAGGTATTTCAAAAATACCATTTAGAATAACATAAAGAATACCTATGTACTACCATTTAGCTTTCATAATTTTTAACACTTAAGTATAATTATTTGTTTCTCAACTATATTTCAAGCCATGTCCCCCTCTTCTGGTGAATATAAAACATTTCCAGGAGGCTGAGGCAGGAGAATGGCATGAACCCAGGAGGCGGAGCTTGCAGTGAGCCGAGATAGCGCCACTGCACTCCAGCCTGGGCAACAGAGCAAGACTCTGTCTCAAAAAAAAAAAAAAAAAACTCACATCACTCTCTCTCTCCCTCCCATTGAGGTTCTAACGCACTCCCACTATGGAGGTGTGTAACCTGCCTATTGGCAATTGTTGGGACAGACATAATGAATTTTGGTTTCAGCAATACAAGACAAAGGTCCCTGTGATGTTTTGATGGGACAGATAAGATGACCAAAGCCAAGAGTAGGTTGAATGGTAGTACCCATTGATGTGAGTTAGCTAATTGGTCTCAACCTAAAGAAGGCTCTTTCTTGACATGCTACAAGGCCCCTTCCTTGTTTCTTTCCTATTAACATTTTTACCAACAACTTGTATGAAAACTTAGAAGTATGTGAGTTAAACTTCTACTCAACACATTCCATTCTATCTTGTATTGCATAAGTGTTTACATTCCTCTCCCCAGCCACACTGTAAGCTTCATAGGTGTGCCTGCCTGGAGCCTTGCCAATAGCTGTGGGCTCAAAAAATGTTGGTTGAATTAAATTGTACTTATGAGGACAGGTTGCAGAAACTGGGAATGTTTCGCCTGGAAATGAGAAGGTGTCAGGGAGAAATGATGGCTGTCTTCACATATTTGAAGGATGATGAGATTTAAGCAATGTAGCTCTTCAGGGAAAAATCAGAACAACTGGTGAAAGGAACAGTGAGTTGATTTCTGCCCAGTGTAAGGAAACTCTTTATAACATTTACACCTGATGGCAATGGGAATGGGTGGAATTGCGAGTCCTCATACTCACAATGGGAGGGGCGCAATGATTACTGCAGGCACTTTAAAAGGGATTTCTGCTCTAAGTAGGAGAACAAATGGGATGCTGTATTCCAAGTCCAAGATTCTATGACATTCTAGCCTTCCTAGTTTTCAGTCCTTTTTCTTAAATTGCCAATTTGCATAGATGTTGATACATGAAGTAATGCTATCTCACATATAATAGGAAGCTAACTGCAAAAGAAAAATTACTTCATTTCTGAACCAGGGTATAACCAACTACAGGTATTATTACCCTTAATTTCGTGGGCATCAACATAAAAATTCCCCTGATAGTCAAAGTAGTATTTGACATTCAATTCACTAATGTCTGAGCAACTGAGATCTTAATCCAATTGATTTGCAAAATGGCACTCACCAAGAGACGGCAACCTAGTGTCTCTTAGGGATGTAATGGTGTCACATGCTTGAGAGCCCTTGTGCTGGACATTTCCATCTACCCATGCTCTCAGCCAAGGCATGCTGGCCTGCATGGACCACGTCAGCAGGCTTCCAGAAGGATTTGGCCAAAGAGGAGGACTGGCAGAAGATCAGAGGGAGGGTGGAAAGGGTGGCCATTTCCTTCCTGCCTCCCTTCCTACTGTGCATCATGATCTGGCCAGGTCTCTCATCTGAAGCCACAATTCCTGTAAGATGACCCTCTCCACAGAGCTGGCTCTGCTTCCAGGTTCCCAGAAATGCTCTTCTTCCTTTCCCTTTCAGATGTAGAATTAATATTGGCTCCCTGCTGTAACTACCCCTAGGATATTGCACTATTCCTGTGGTTTCCCTATACAATGCCCTGCCCTCACCTCTGAAAAGAGTCCCCTTATTGAACTCTCCTCAAATCACCCAGTTCAGGTCTGTAGACCTTCCTGCTGGAGCATTAGCTGACACAGCCAGACCAGAGTCAAGGCCAATAAACTGAGGGTGCATTCAATGGCAGAGTAAGTGTGTCCCTCCTTACCGGGGCACACAGATGGGAGATGTTGCCACCCAGAGAAACTCCTGGGAGTCTCTCCAGTAGTGCTGGTCTGACCAAGAAAAGAACAGTAAAAGCAATTAGACAGTAACAGGAGATCACAGTCAATTCATTAGAAAATGTGTTAATTAATGGGAGCCAGAAGTATAAATACTGAAAGAGCCCAAATGTAAATCTTGCTCCCCGCCCCAACAAAAAGTAGCCTCCAGGCGATGGGATAAGAAGCCAGGAGCCTGATGGGCAGTGTCCGGATGGGGCCGGTGGAGAGCAGCCAGCCTGCATTTGCAGGAAGTAGCAAAGGCTGATTTCACCCACTTCATCTTTCTGCCTAGAACCAAGCCTGCTGAGATGCAATAATGAAAATCTTCACAGCACATTACTGAATACAGTAATGCCTTTCTGCCTCAATAATACCGCAGCCTGTGCATGAATGTAATGCATTATTCTGATGCTGCTAGAAGAAAATTCAGTGATTTACATTTAGGGTTTATGTTTTGTTTCCAAATGAAAACATTCATCCCAACAACTATTCCTACACAGGTATTCCCAAAGCAAATGGCTCAAGATTTAGACTGTGTTCTGTTGCCTAAGACTTCTGACCTAATTCAGCTTCCCATCTTACCAGATTTTTAAAAGCCTGGTTAAAGATTTATAATCCTGTCATTTTATCCCCAGGACAAATTATATTCCAGGTGACTTTAATGCATGAAGATGACCAGTGCTAGTCAGCCAAATACTTGGCTTATCTTAATTGTTAGACAGTTGGTATGCTCAGCATTTTTGAGAGAGCTGAGTGAGTGCACCCCTTCTATCTTTTCCCTCCCTTCCATACTGGTTATATCCCAGGTAGATAACTATGCCTGGTTACAGGAAAACAAAGGATCTTGTAGAGCGGGATGGGAGTTTGGAGCTTGTATTTGCACTGCCATCATTGGTAGGAAGTGTTACATCTCATTATCTTCTTCTCAGACACATAATCCTCTTGTATATTCAAATGGCATTCAAGTCTTCATTAAGCAGGTTCCATGATCCTACCAAATATGGAAGAGATCCATGGACATAGGTATGTTTGCCAAGCGCTAAATTAATAGTAAGGTTTTTTATGTGACCTAAGTGGACTGTGATTTCTTGTAGTCAAGAACATGAGCCAACACATTTCCAAGTTAAAGCAGTAAACACAGCAAAATTTAATTTACAGAGAGCTCCTGGGAAACATGAGGCTCATTCAGAGAGTCAAAGCATCAGAGACTGGTCCTAAAAATAAAAGAAGCTGCTATTCTGATCTCCCGGATTCAGCTGTGTGTTCAGTTGAAACACGGGAGACAGAGGAGACACCAAGGGACGTGGCAATCAAGAGTTAGTCACGTAGCACCCAGTTACACCATCTGTACAGTGAAGCTGAATGCACACAGTAACTGATGATAAGCATTAGTAAGAAATATTAAGCACCTTGAGAATAACAGTGTAATGCATATAGAAATGTTTTCTATTACTTCAACCAGCCTTGTCATTTTTACCCATGATGGTTTTCTAAAATTGTGTTTTAAATGAGGAGCACTTTCTCCATAGCCTCCCAGTAAGAAATTAGAATGTCTTAAAAAATCACATAGTGCCGCCTGTTAAGATTTGTTAGTGCTTAACACTAATCAGTAAACACAACCCCAACTTTATGCACCTTATAGAAAGACGTGAGTTGAGTAAGAATGAGTGAAGCACTCAAGTGAAGTCAAAATACCTGTATGAAATAACTGGAAAAGATATTTTGCTTCTCAGTTTCAATTCCAAGATGCCTCTCATGTGTAGAAGGCAGGATGCCTCTTGGGAATGGGACTGGGAATGGGGGAGCTTCCCAGTAATTGTAAAGAGGGAGGAGATGCAAGTGAGGGAGTCTCAAGAGTAAAGGGCATCTGGAGAGTAAAGGACCTCCTCCGGGAGGTGACAAGACTCCTCCATTTCATGTCCATAGCACCCTAGGGAGGGAACAACAGTGTCAGGAGACAACAGCATCAGGATAGATCCCAATGTTTCAAGGTTGGAGCAGAAGTAGCAGATTCCTAAACCCAAGAGGCTTGGGGTATGGGACAAAGGTATCTGCTGGGAACTGGCTTGCGCTCAAGAGAGAGATGAGCCACCTCCTTAAAGACCTAGAAGACCTCACATTGTGTAAGACCTCAGACTGTGACAAAACCCCAGGAAGACTAAAGGATACATCAGAAAGACTGAGGGTATTGTTCTGCACATCTGACAGCATGGAGACACAAAGTCAGAAACTGAGCAGAGTTGTAAAACCGAAGTCAGCCTTTCGAGCACACCTGAGCTGTGGACAAAGATTCGCACCCATCTTCTAAAATAACATTTCACAGTGTGTTTCTCTTTTTTGGGTGTCATGGATAAAATACTCCTGCCAACACAGAGACCGCAAGGGCACTATTTTTATCATATGATCACCTCTAAATTCAATCCAAAATAATAAGACTTTGAGGAAAAGTGCAGTTTTAAAATATAAAGGGGCCCCAAAGAGCTCTTCAATCAAGAACTCCACAAAAGACTCTCAATAGACTAATGTTCTTCAGGCTAATAAAATTAATGGAAAGAGGTGATGTAAAAAAAAAATGGTGACTTTTAAAAATTAGATAAGCTTAGTATTATTGTAAAATAATATTAAAAAATAAAACTGAAAGAAAACTAATTTATTCATGCACTAAAAAAATCTTACTTTTTAAAATTAGTTGTTTAGTGTCAGAGTGAAATATGACAATCCATCTTCTTTGGATCCTGACATTGTTATATTTTAATTTTTAGTTTTCAAAATTCAGCTTATCTACCAAGATTAGAAACTAACTAAAAACAAATTTCCAAAGTGTTAACAGGTATGGCTAGGTCAGAAAAAAAGTGTTTGTCAGTCACTTAGCCAGAAATTACAAAGCCTATGCTGTTTCATTAAATGAAAATTTCTGGTTAAACACAAACACTGTTCATGTCATATCTTACTGCAAATGTTTCTAAAAATGTATTTGTCTGTTTTTTCCCATCTTGGTAAATAACATATGTTAAATAGAACAACTTTTCCTAGATGATTCTATCTCATTAAAACCAATAACTACACATACAGCTTTCACTATCGTTGGTGCACTAAGCCAGGAGATGAAATCTGTAACCAGAAGGGCAAGGAATGTGCAGTCTGCAACAGGCCTAATACAAGCACGCAGATACAGACACTACAGGGAAACAGTGAGGCAGGAAACACACAGGGGGATGCTGTGGAAGGGGAGAGAGAAGGTCAGAGGGAGCAGGAGATCACCTAAATGAGAGGTCAGAAGTCAAGGCCCATCTTAAATACTGGAAAAGGCATTTAAGGTAAAGACGGAAGGAAGCTATTCTTGACTTGAGAAATGACATGAGGAAAGAAATGGTCATGTAAAAGCATAGAGAAGCTTTTAGGGTAAGTGTAGATACAGCTAGCAAGATGGGATGGGGCTGCATGATGGTGCTCTTAAGGGCCGGGTCAACGAGCCTGTATTGAAGTGGATAGGAAACAGGGAGCCACAGTATTATGTGAGGAGGGAGGAAAGAAGGCTGAAGTCAGACTGTGAGAAAAGGCTACAGCGATGTGCTGGAGAGCACAGCCAGCAGCAGGAGAGGGTGGCTTCATAGCAGGTGCTAATTTTATTTTTTCCAGCCAGGAGGCGACACTCACAGGCTAGGCAAAGAACCTGAGGATGGTGGCGGCCCCAGCCATGGAAAGAGTGGTAAGAGAAGCTACAAAGGGAGTCCCCGTGGAAGCTGTAAAGCATTGAATGTGGCAAGAAGTGGTGGTAGGTGTGGGGGTGGAGGTGGGAGTTAACAGTAACTCCAGCTCCAAAATGTTTTGTTGCATGAAAAAGAGCAAGTTGAAGAATTCTAAGCATAGTATATGATATTTATGTAAAAGAAAATCATTAAAACATTATACTATATATTTTGTGTGGGCACATGTAAAACACATAAAGAGGCAGTAGAGAATGGTGATTAAGGGACTCTGGAGCTACAGGGCCCAGGTTCAAATCTCCATTCTGGCAGATATAGGCCTGTGGCCTTGGGCAAATTACTGAACCACCCTGAGAGGGACAGGGAGGGTGAGCTCGAGGAAAGCAGAATTGATGTGAAATTGCAGTTATTTTATTTTTTTTAATTAACAAAAGATTGCTTACCAGCAGTGAAGGTCCAGCTGAAGTTAGAGTTCATAGTTTTTGAGGCATCAATTCAGAGCAAAAAGAGAACCAATCACAGACAAGCTACCTCATAGGTAAGGAAGGCCCGCAAAGAGATTCGTGAGCCCTAAAATTGCTGGTTCATTGTGAACTTGACTGTGCCTAAGACTGGTAAATAAAGACAGACATTAAAAATGAAAATGAGAACTGAGAGAGAGAGAGTGGAATGGGATGCCAGAAGCCAAAGGAAGAAAAAAGAGCAGCTCCTCATGAGAGAGGAGGGAGGTGGCCTGAGAAAGGAATTCAAAGGCAGAGCAATTTCACCTGAGGATGCAGTGTGACTGTGGGGCCACCCGTGACATGAAGCTAGAGCTACTCAGATGGCATATAAAGAATAATGAGGATGGTATCAGAGGTGATCCTGACCTTCCATCTCATCTCTCTGATCATCAGTTATCACTATTACAACATAATAGATGAAAACGACAATGAGAGTGTTCTGAATGCATTCGGGCATTTCCTCAAAGTTTAATCCTTGGTGAAATCCCCAGGATGCATTTTTTTCCTTTCCTTTGCTGGTTCATTTATTCAACAAATAATTACTATGCAAAGCACTGTACAATCTGTGAGAGATGCAGATCTCATCTATGGCGGCAGCACTTAAGGGGCTTACAACCTATTGGAGGGTATATGAAAATAATTAGCCATTTTACAAGAGCTAATTAACAAGACAACAGGTGATGCTAAAATGCAACATGAAATGAAGTGACAAGTAAATTATATGTGCTTACAGAGGAGAAATATCACTACCGGTTGTTGGCTAACCTTTCATACATTCATTTAGCAAAGATTTACTAAGCACCAACTATATGTCAAACTCTTTGTAGCTATTTATATAATGGTGAACAAAACAGACACAAACCCAGCCTTTAACATAGGGGGAGAAGATAAATAGTAAACAAACGTACAAATAAGGGTATGAAGGCAAATTGTGACTAAGTGCTAGGAAAGAAACGAATTAGTTGCTTTAAAAACAGAATAACAGGAGACCCAATTGAGGGATCTTGGAAGCTCAAAATGACATTTAAAAACACCCTCAGAAAGCATGTGGCAACATTTTGTCATGTTCTATTAGTTAATCACATATTATGTGCAGGACTTTATTAACTTTATATATTAGCTCAAATTCTCAAAATAAGCCTTACTTAGATCAATATTACTATCTCATCCCCATTTTAGGGAACAAGTAAACTGAGGCTTGGAGAAGTTAATTAACTTTTTCAAGAGCATAGTTAGTAAATGGCAGCACCAGAATTCAAAGCTAGATCTGTGTAACTCCTGAACCTATGCCTTTCCACTGCATTACACTGTCAACTCAGATGGTGTCCCAAGTTTTGTTTCAGTTGTGAAAATAATCCTCTGAAGAAAACATTTGACGCTAATATAACAATTACTACTGCATTGAAAAATGGTGCTGTTAAGTAGCAATGGTCAAGATATTTTCACAAAAGAACATTCCTTGCACCTCTGTTGATATTTTGCTAGCATCTCATCCATTTGAGGGCTTGATAATAATAAAATACAATAATAATTATAATTTAATGGGCACCTACTATGTGCTATACGTTGTGGTTAGTGATGTTCATGCAATACCTTATTTAATCCTTGCCACAACCCTGTGAGGTGCACGTTACTGTCTCCATTTGAGAAGTGGCATCTAAAGCTGAGAGGTTAAGCAACTTGACAAAGGCGACACCAGGTAAGCGGCAGAGTCGAGATTCAAACTCCATTACAGCACACTAACAATGCCATCCCCTGCGCCAGCCCATGAACTCCATGAGCCATAATTAGCTTTGTTGTAGGGAGAGAGAACAGAGGTAAAACAATTTGCCAGAAGTAATATGGTTAATGAAAAGTAGACCCAGTCAGGGAAATTGAAATTCCTGCTCCCCATTTACTACCAGACCTCAGGAACATTGTTGGAGCAAATATGATGAATGCATGATGGCTGAAAAAATTACTTAACTCATTCTGAATGGCTCAAGTCAATTGTACTCAAGGAACAAGAGGGCAGCCTGCAATTTACAACTCCCCCTTGTTCGGCTGGTTGGAGTCTTAAAACCCTCTTTGTACTGGATGCAGCAATCCCAGCCCGGATCACAATCTGCACCTAAATTTCCCAGTGAAGACTTCCCAACTTCAGTAAACTGACACTGCCCAGTTCCTTCTTTTCTTCTGTCTTGTCAGACATCTTGCACACAAAGCACCCTCATACGATTCAACAAGGTTGAGAATTAACCAGATACAATGGCCCCAAGAAGAAAGCATCTCCAAGAATCTTTTAGCACCTGCCTAGCCTCTTTATTAAAGAGCTGGCTCAAAATCCAGAGGCATTCCACAAGCAACTGATAGAATGTTTAGAAGCTACTCCCATCCACCATCTTTTAATTTTTCTTCTCTATAGGGAAAAAAATTATCACAGGTGAGGGAGAAAAGTAGGACAACAGTCACAATATTTTAAGAAAAACTAAAATTATCCCCACTAGAAAACTAACATGGTATAAGCCTCAAAGGATCCAATGCTCTGATAAAAGGAGAAAAGGTAGTAGACAGTAATAAAAATGGCATTTCCCACATTCTGACTGTGCCTACTCAAGGAAAAAAAAAATTTGAAGTTTTAGATTAGGTTTATATTTGCCAAACCATCCTGTGTGACTATTACAGGGGTGCTGCAGGGAAGTGGGGGGAAGCAAAAATGCTACGCTAAAAAAAAAGAAAAAACAAAAAACAAAAAAAAACATCTTTTGTCCTCTTTGGTAAATCCAGCCTTCTTCAAGGAGCAGCTGAGGGAAAGGAACCTTCAGACATTGTCTTGGTCTGAGTAAGAGCAGCAGGGCAAACGCAGGGGACAAGAAGAACCATACGCTATGTGTCTCATGGGAGTTCAAGAGAGAGGAGCTCTACAAAGGGCATTAGTCTATATTTGCTCAGCAAGAAGCCACTTAACAAGCACTTAGTGTGGGCTAGTGTCAGTATTACACATTCTAAGTAAGTTGAAGACCCACAAAAAGCCAGCTTGGGAGGATAACACATGTGAACAGTTATCACTGATTTTTTTTTTTGAACTGGTACTCCCTTTATTGAATACAGAAGAAAATAGAGACACACAAAAATTAGGAGAATTGCTTCAATGAATCTTGATACATATAGAACATAAAATTATATAAGAAGGCAATGGAGCCTTCCCACAAGCACCAAGTACACTAATATCACCTTAGTTTATGAGCTAAAAGAACTTAGTTTAAAGGTATCAAATGTCCACCCAGATCTGCAAATCAGTGATATTCCTATACCAACCATGACTACCCACTGTGTCAACTGGCTTATCTAAGTATAGCATGGTGGTTAACAGCATAGGTTCAGATCGCTGGGGTTCAAAGCCCAGCTGAGTCACTTCCTAGCTATGTGAACTTGGGTAAATGACTTAACCAATCTGTGCCTCAGTTTTCCTATCTCTAAAATGGGGAAACAGTGCCTTAAAAATGTGGCTTTTGTAATAATTAAAAGAGTTATTATACCTGAGGACTTGAAACTGAGCTTATCACATAGTAAGTGCCAGTTAATGCTACCTATAATAATAATCAATATTATTATCAATGATAATCACTCTCATTAGTAGCTTTCTAGAGTAGAGCTGCCTACCCATCCTGGATTGCTCACCTACCTCTGCACTGTTACAGAAAAAGAATGTTCTATCTTTTTTGACCCACTGAATATTGGGGTCTCTATGACACATTTAACCTTCATCTCAAGAATGGTTTGCTATACTCTATGGCAATAATCTGTTTACATATTTGTTTGTCTGTTAACAGACTGTGAGCTCCCAGAAGTAGGAATCGTTTTATTCCTCTCTAGCTTCAGCAATAAGTTCAGCCTTTGGTACATGGAAGAAAGTCAGTAACTGCTGAAAGATAATTTGCACCAAGATTAATGGCTGTGTACAGAAAAGAAAATCTAGGAAACTCTTTAATTGTGCTCTCCTACCTTGATTTTTCAAGCCAATGTATAATTGGTATTATTAGTTAGGGCAACTATACTGATGAAACAAATAAATGCACTACGCAATGGGCTAAACACAATAGCATTTATGTCTTGCTCAGTTAATAATACAGGGCAGATGCTCTTGTTTGAAAGAGGAGTTGTGCTCCAGGCAGTCATTTAGGAACACAGGTTGACAACAGCTCTTGCAAAGACAATCTATGGCTCCCAGGATCACCCTGGGTGTGGCCAAACCAGTCTGCCAGAAAAGGGAATGAGCATAGAGGAGCATGTACTAGGGGTTTACTGGAACAAGCCAGAGAGTATCACACATTTTTTTTCTCACAGTCCATTAGAGGGAACTTGGTCAAATGATACATCTAACCACAAGAGAGGCTGGGAGGTATGGCACAGGAAATAGATTTTGGTGAACCACCAGCACTTTACTAGTGGTTGAAATTAATTCTATTTGCTATATTCAAAGGAACCACTGCCTAAAAATATTTGGTGACTCTTGAGAAAACTAAACATTCTTGAGAGAATAGTTTTTATTTACTAAACGTCTATAGTAAAGATACAATTTCTCTCCTAAGCAAAATACAAGTTTTGAGATTATTCACCAGCAAACTGCTTATTTAAATTAAATGTTTACTAATTAAAATAACTTTTTCTGTCTTCATATGTATAAATATAAGGATGACCAAAAAGAAAAGTCTTATTAGTCCAGATCTAACTACTGACACCTCGTTCTTCAAGGCTTGGTAAATAATTCCAGACCATATTTGTCTCTTACTATTCTATGTCCTATAGTTCTTACAAGTCTGCAACCCCCAAGAAAAATGGTCTTGAAATGTTTTCTATTTTTTAATATATGAGCCTTATTTGCTTTAACCATGTTGCCAGCTCCTCAAGGGTGTCTTTATTTTATGTTTCTCTCAAAAGTGAAAATGGTTTTATAAAATACAAAGTGCCTTCAATATAGTCAAAGGTTATTTTCCTCTACTGTATTTCTTTCAATGCCAAAGTACACTGGTAGGTATTTAAATAACCAATTAGATTACTCACAGGTTTAACAGAAAGCACTGAGAGGGGCCTGTAGTAAATAAACTGTAAAACATGCTGCAATTCTTCACCCTTCCCTGTTTCCATGACCTTTCAATGAGACTTTGGACTCTATTTCCCCATCTTTCGAATCTGAGCTGGGCTTGAGATTTGCTTCCACCAAACAGAATGTGGTAGAAATGACAGGCTCCAAGAGGCCTCGTATGTGTCTGCTCACTCTTTGGGGATACATGTGTTGGCCATGAGAATAAGCCCACTCTAGCCTGCTGGATAATAAAAAACATGTAATGCTCTCATCTTGTTGTCCAGTCAACAGCCAGTCATCTCCTAGACATGCAAGCAGGCAGTTCCACAGGAGCCAACCCCTAGCCAACTTGCTAGGGGACTGCAGAATGGCCAAGCCCAATCAAGATCACACAAGCCTGGTCCATATAGGCAGTTCTGCCCAAATGACCCATAGATGCCTCCAGAGTAATAATAAGTGCTTATTGTTTTTAGATACTGATGTTTGGGGGTGGTCGGTTACACGAAAATTACTATCTTAATTGTTATCTATCTCAGCCCTGCATTTTACAGAAGAGTAAGTGGAAGCCTTGAGCAGTAAAGTGATAAAACTAGATACTCTTAAAGCTAAAATTCAAACTCAAGTCTTCTAATTTAGCAGTTTGATGTGCCATCCACGAAATCATATTGTTTCACTTGCAAGATCCTCGGGTTTTTCAAGTCAACACAAACACAATGGGACGCTGAAGAATACCAGATGTAAATTCGTTCGACCTTTTCATGAGATTAGATTGTTTGGAACACACTGTAAGGCACTATTTTAAAAGGCAAGGTGTCCTACTACATGAAAGAGGCAATGATGAAAGTGTTTTATAAACTTTTGTATTGTTAAACAAAGGTCACTGGGTCAGCTCTATCATACCTTTAGCTCAGAAAGCTCTCAGTTTTACCTGGACATTAACCAGTCTTTGAAAAAAAGTGCGGGACTGAATTCTAGCATAATTCATGCTCATTTGTAGGGAAACAAGAGAATCATTCTAAATTTATCTTTTTAATTTGTAATCTGACTTAAAGGACTAAAGGCTGAAGGGCAAAAACCATGAAATTTTTTAATCACTATATTCCCACAGCCTAGCATTGAATCTGAATGAATGAAAAAATAACAGTATGGATGCTAAACAGAGTTGGATCTTCAGGAAAACTTTAGGAATAGATTCAAGAAGATGGAAGTTTTGAGAAAGAACTTTAGACTGTGTTTAGGCTAGTGACGCCAGAAAGTAAGATGTTACTTTTTAAAGGACGTTCATGAAAACGATGATGAAAGGAATAAAGAAAATATTATAAAGCTTTTTAAAAAGGAAAAAGATATTAACTAAGTTGTACCTATATCTAAGTACAACCCCATTAAAATAATCAACATATTTTTAAAAACGTTTTTAACATGCCTTTAAACTTTAGGTTCTTTCCATAGGGAAGCTGTTATATAGTAATGACTTACATTTATATAAGACATTATCTCAGGTAAGATTTTTTCCCTTTAGAAGAATTTTAGTGTTTTATATAAGTACTAAATTTACATCAGCATTTTATAAAATGATAAATTTTCTAAATATTTTCTTATATTTTCTTAACATTTCATGAAATTTTAAAAAGATCTTTATTAATTGATCATAAATGTGGTTTCCATTCCTTATATTATATTCCTTAATCTGTACTGATTCCATTTTTTTATTACTCCAAAGCATTATGGGTAGCTCTGGACTTAACAAGTACACCACTTTAAAAATATCCTTTTCACAGAGGTCCAAGCATCGCATACTACCCCTCCCTTTCCAATGGAAACTCCTGAGCATCCCACACAAACGGTTCCCTTCCTGCCTACGGTTGGACCCCATTTCTGCCTAATACCAAGCTATTTGCTCTGCAACATCTATCACAAACCATTTGACTTAATGCTTGTCTTCAGGGACTCTGACTTGACCTGCCTTCTAGCTTTCTGTGCCTAGTGCAGGAACCTAGCTATCGCCAGCTTATTGAACCCAACTGTTGTTCAGGCCAGGTGGCCAATGTGATCCTCACTATCAGGGCCAGTGGGTGGGGCAGTGGGCATGGGAGGTTGGACAAGCAGAGCAAAAAATCTCTTTCTGCTACCATCTTTGTCAGATGTGGCCATGCCCAACTCCTTTCATGTCCCTGCACTGAAAAGAGAAAAATGAATAAGAACTCCTTATACTGCTTCTGTTCGAGCAGAAGGAGAGAAAAACTTCTAACAGTCCAAGGCAAAGGGAAAACAAAATATTATTTTTTCAACACTGGAGCTATGAAGGAAGTCATATGTCACGTTGTGACTTGGCATTAATTTTTCCAAAGAAGCAAAAAGAAACCACAGCACTATAGATCAGCCCCAGTATGGGTTACAAAGATTTGTGGATTAGGATGGAAAACTAATTTTCATTTATCATAATTTAAACTATTGTTTTCTTTGTGGGGTAGGGCAGGGGATGGCATTCCGAGTCCCAAACAACTTTTGGAAAGTGCTCATAACTTAGAAGGAAACCAGTTCCTAAGTTGTGGATCTCCACTAATAAAACCATTTTAAATATTACCCACTCTTGGAATAATTAGGTAATTCAATTAACTGGTCCCGAGAATATGTGAAATCTTTGACCCCAACATTTAATTAAAACAGAGGATTTTTTTCTCTTTAACACTGAGAAATATTACAGAGACTTTTCTTACAATAGGGAGAAAAAGCCAAAATTTTCAAAGAATGAGAAATAAATTAAGTGGAGTTGTATATCTACAATCTATACATGTAAATTTACTCATAAAAAGGTGAATAAAAATGGAATGTGAAAATGTGGAATAAAATGCTTTTTATAAGAGTTTGGCAATGTTCCAACAGCCTCCACTAAAAGACCAATGTCTTTACTTCTCTTTTGTCATCTGAGGTTTGGGTGTATTTTTCTAGAGAACAGCAATACATGAAATGTTGACAACTGTGTGTCATCTGCCTGTTGCATCTTGTTTAATACCACTTCAAACACTGAAGGCGTCTAGCCCCGCATGGTCAGGTCTAGAAAAGGTTAGAGAGAAAGAAACGGGCTCATCCCACAAATTGTTTTCTAGTAGTTAGCAACAAAAACAATTGGAATGACTTTCTGAACTTTCCTGTCTTAGATAATTCCACCTTATTGTTTTCCCCAGTACAGGATGGTTTACACTGACACAGCAGGGAATTAAAACCATGTCTAACAACTTACCTTCTTTTCAGGAAAAACAGCTTCATGCTTCACAACGAACCAGCTCCTGAAAGACACTCCTGCCTTACAGCCTCAGGAGAAATAACTCCCGTTTCTGAAGTTATCAGATAAAAGCAAAACATTCACCTAACAGGCAGTGACAGAAATGGAATAAATGTAGCAACAATGACAATGGCAGCCAGACAAAATTTACAAGAGTCTCTACAGTGAAAACTCTACAGCTGAGATAGATTTGTGTTTTTGCAAACATTTAAAAGGACATTTTCCTCAAATGTAACCCATCACACTCAATCTTCATTTACAACAGTGAATTACTGCTTTCTGTTTCCTCAGAAAGGACAGTGGTTGCTCAGCAATGTGGGAGTCCTGCAGTGCAAGAAAACAGCAATTTCAAATCAAAGAAATAATTCTTATGGTACCGTTTCTATCCCTTCCCACTTAAAACCAAATTTTTTTGGGAGACCGAACAACAAGATGGAAACACATAATCATAAATTCCTATTGATGAGCAGTATCTTCCCCAAGTTAGTGCTATATCCCACGTATACTGGTTTAAAAACCTTTTTCTTGTGGATCCTTTCAGGTATAGGAATAAAATCTATGTTTCCTCCCTTCTTCCAGCAAGAAGTCAACATGAACACAAGGAAAAATCATGTTAAAATTACAAGACAAGACACACATCAAGGACAAAGTATATTTTCATATCAATAAATTAGCAGTTTGCATAACATTTGGCCACAATTTTATACTTATGCTTTTTTATATTCTATTACCAAAGCTTGAAAAATGCATGGAGTTAGGAATTGGAAAGTGGGTGACTAAATTCATCTTCATCAAATTTATTTATGGAAGGCAAAGTCTTTATAACAGCTTTCTATGAATAGCCTCAATTTTCAATACAAAATTTCTACTTTGCCTTATGCTACAAGGTGGATGGCGAAGAGAAGTCTCCTCATTTTGCAGATGAAGGCATAAGGCACTAGATGAAATTTCAGAAGTTAGGATTTTGTAGGAGAGCACTTTCTTTTCTTTTCTTTTCTTTTTTTTTTTTTTTTTTTTTTTTTTTTTTGAGACAGAGTTTTGCTCTTGTTGCCCAGGCTGGAGCACAGTGGCACAATAAAGCACAGTATTACACCCTTGCTGCTGACAGAAGATGCAGGCATGCCCAACACACTCCCAATATTGCACCAAGATTTTGGCAACTAATAATAAAAGATGTAATAAAGTAGATAACATGAAGACTTTATCTAGAAATAATAAGACTGAACATTTATTGAATTCTTATTCTGAATCAACTGCCCTGTCTAGATTATTCCATTTAATCACCAAAACAATCATCCAAGGGAGGTGCTATAATGATTCCCACATCACGAGTGAGAAAATCAAGGCATAGAGAAGCTCTAACTGCCCAGGCCACACAGCTTGCATGTGACAGAGTAGTATCCAAACCCGACGTCTTTACCATGAGCCTAAATTCTATGTATTGTCATACAAAACAATAAAGTAGGGTTTATATATGCAAACTAGCTCACACTGCTAATATAACCTATGGATTAGAGATCTGAAAAATATAAATTCTCATTAAAAATAATGTGATTATTTCTTTTAATTAAAATAATCCTATTACTTTCCTTTTCTTTATAAAGCTTCTTTTTATAGATTTTTTTTTTCCTGAGAAAGAGTCTCACTCTGTCTCCCAGGCTGGAGTGCAGTGACACGATCTCAGCTCACTATAACATCTGCTTTCTGGGTTCCAGCAATTCACCTGCCTCAACCTTCCATAGTAGCTGGGATTACAGGCACCTGCCACCATGTCTGGCTAATTTTGTATTTTTAGTAGACACAGGGTTTCACCATGTTGGCCACCCTGGTCTCAAACTCCTAACCTTCAGTGATCCACCCACCTCAGCCTCCCAAAGTGCTGGGATTAACAGGCATGAGCCACTGTGCCCAGCCCATCTTTTTATAGATCTTTAAATGGCTTATGTCATTTTATGCTTGCATCTGGGTAGCACAATAAGTCATTGAAAGATCTCAAAAATGAGGCTTTATAAGAAAATAAAGTATTCTAATTATGGAAATACATTCTACCTTATTGTTTTTAAAATTATAATACATAGCATGTTCAGGTGTTTAACATTATTAGTATTAACAGTATTATTATAAACATTAAAATTCTACCACTTTGTCTACCTTTAATTTAGTGATCTAGTTAGGAATCATACACTCCAATGCCTACATAAACAAAGCAGCCTGTACTTACAAAAACAGCATTGTAGGGGCACCAGCAAACAAAGGTGCATATGCCCCATCCAATGAGCAAAACTACTAAACACATCCAGTTGATGGGAATACAGGCTAACGTTTCCAAACGTTCCCACTATTCAAGAGAAATCAGAAAGTCGGATTTTCCTATGAAGTCTGCATATTTGATATGTTGGCAATAGATTCAAAATTTTTTAAACACTATGAGGGCCCAATTAAACCTGACTGCAGGCTACATTTGACACGCTTGACCTGTAGTCCTCCAGTTTGTAACTTATGGAACTCTTGCATTCTTACTGAGAGAAACATTTAAAACGTATTTCTTTTTCATGTTCCATGGATATATAAACACATTACTTAGGCTTTTTTCATTTATTCTTGCCTTTTTCCTCATTAAAAATTTACTTATGGGTAAATTAAAAACTATAAAATCACAAATCACAGGCACTATAAATAAATGATAATTGCCACACTGATTCATAGCAATAGATACCCACTCTGACTTGTAGCACGGATAAGAGGTTGGAGATGATCTACATTCCCTGGAACACCCTTTCTCTCCCATGGAGGGAAAACACTCTAAATGTTTATGAATGAGAGTAATAAGATATAGGAATAATCGTGAAATTAGTTCTAGGCTTTGGTTTGTTTTTGTTTTGTTTTTTTGAGATGGAGTCTCACTCTGTCACCCATGCTGGAGTGCAATGACATGATCTCAGCTCACCACAACCTCTGCCTCCCGGGTTCAAGTGATTCTCCTGCCTCAGCCTCCCAAGTAGCTGGGATTATAGGCACATACCACCATGCCTGGCCAATTTTTGTATTTTTAGTAGAAATGGGGTTTCACCATGTTGGCCAGGCTGGTCTCGAATTCCTGACCTCAAGTGATCTACCCTCCTTGGCCTCCCAAAGTGCTGGGATTACAGGTGTGAGCCACCATGCTTGGCCAGTTCTAGGTCATTTTTAAAGGTAAATCATATCAAGCTTTTGGAATCATTACTGCAAACTTTACAAAGTCATGACTCACATGGTCAAGAACAATGTCACAATTACAAGAATTTCCATTTTCTCTAGCATCCCCTACAATTGTTCCAAGGAGTTCCAGAATACAGTCCATAGCAACATGAAAGCCCTATCTTATATTGTTCTCAAACAATGCACAATGCACAGGAGCCACTCATGTTCTTACTCCAGAAATACTCACTCTTGTATCCACACCATCCCACTTTTTCTATTTGCTTTCCTTGGTCACTTCCTCTATATTTTCCATGCCCATCCTTCATATTCCCAGTACATCAAGTTCCCCTCCAGTGGCGCTTCAAAGGAGTTAGTTTATATTCCAATTTGATAGCTTTTCTCTGAAGAATTCATCCATTGAGTGCTGTACTTTCTTTCTTCAGAGGGTGGAGGGCCCAGAGTCTGTGCACAACCACATACTAATGAGTTCTGCCCAATCACACAAGCATCAAATATATGTGACACATGGCACTGCTGCCTGAATGCCATGAAACATGATTGAGGGGGCTGCCCCTGATATCAAAGATTTCCTGCTACTGTCTAATTGACAATGAGGTACAGTAAAGATCCCAGGCAATGTCTATTGATTCCAATCATGGCATGTGGCTACTCTTCATCACTACTGAACACCCACACCAAAAACATCATGTCAATGCAACAGCCATGCTCCAACGGGAGATGTAAAGACGGAACGGCAGCGGCATAAATAGACCAGAGAATCCAAGATCAGCCTACTTTGGGTAAAGAGGTCATAGGAGATAAAATAAATGAAAACTTAGTTTTGCTACAAAAAAACTGAAATCAAAAGAACCCAAGTGCCATTTGCTTGGAGGCTATTTATTGCAGTAAGCTGAAAAGTATAACACACACTATAATTTCAAGGCAAAATAGAAATATTTTGCTTCTTGACTGCAACGTAGTCATGAGAAGTTAATTTATCGAATGTTCCTGAAGCACCATAACTAGTGATCACTCTTTTTTTTCAGCATATATCAGTACTTTATTCTTTTTATGACTAAACATTTCTATACACCATAACATTCAAGCTGAGAGTCAAATCGAGAATGCAATTGCATTTATAATAGTCACAAAAGTAATAAAATACCTAGAAATACATCTAACCAAGGAGGTGAAAGATCTCTACAAGGAAAACTAGTTAAAACAAAATATTGCTTAAAGAAATCATATATGACACAAACAAATGGAAAAACATTTTATACTCATGGATTAGAAGAATCAAAATCATTAAAATGGCCATACTGCGCAAAGCAAGCCACAGATTGAATGCTATTTCTATCAAACCACCAATTATCATTTTTAGCAGAATTAGAAAAAGTATTTCTAAAATTCATATGGAATCAAAAAAGAACCCAAATAGCAAAAGCAATCTTAAGCAAAAGGAGTAAAGCCAGAAGCATCCACATTACCTAACTTCAAAGTATACTACAAGGGTATAGTAACTAACCAGTACCATGCTGGTACTGGTGCAAAAACAGGCACATAGATCAGTGGAACCAAACAGAGAATTTGGAAATACATCTGCACACCCAAAACCAACTTATATTCAACAAAGTCAACAAAAATAAGCAATTGGGTAAGGATTTCCCATTCAGTAATGGTGCTGGGATAACTGGCCATCCATATACAGAATAATAAAACTGAACCCTCAAAAGCAATTGCAACAAAAACAAAAATTGATAAATGGGACCTAATTAAACTAAAGACTTTCTGCACAGCAAAAAAAGAAACTATTAAACTAAACAGACAACCTGCAGAATGGGAGAAAATATTTGCAAACTATACATCCTACAAAGGGCAAACACTCAGAATCTATAAGTAACTTAAATAATTCAACAAGCAAAAAACAACCAAATTAAAAAGTGGGCAAATGACATGAACAGTCACTTCTTAAAAAGAAGACATACAAGCAGCCAACAAACATGAAAAATGCTTAGTATCACTAATTGTCAGGAAAATGTAAACCAAAACCAAATGAGATATCATCTCACACCAGTCAGAATGGCTATTACTAAAAAGTCAAAAAATAGATGTTGGTGAGAATGCATACAAAGGGAACACTTATACACTGTTGGTGGAAAAGTAAATTAGCTCAGTCCCTATGGAAAGCATTTGGAAATTTCTAAAGAACTAAAAATAAAACTACCACTTGACCCAGCAATCCCATTACTGCATATACCCCCGAAGGAAAATAAATCATTTTACCAAAAAGACATATGCATGTACATGTTCATCACAGCACTATTCACAATAGCAAGGACATGGGATAAACCCAGGTGCCCATCAATGGTGAACTGGGTAAAGAAAATGTGATATATGTATATACCATGGAACTACACAGCCATAAAAAAGAGTGAAATCATGTCATTTGCAGCAGTATGGATGCAGCTGGAGGCCATTGTCCTAGGTGAATTAACGCAGAAACAGAAAACAAAATGCCAATGGGGTTGTGATCACTCTTTTCACTCAACAGAGCTTAAACGAGAAACTTCCACAGAGCAAACAAAGAGTGAAGCTGCAAAGGCGACCTAGAAGGGGAGACTGAGACTCAGAAGCTGGGCGCAGGAGTGTGTGGGCATCCTGACCCTGAGCAGCAGAGGAGACAGTGCACTGGAAAGGACATGGAACAGCACTGCTGGCCACAACAGGGGTCTTCCATCCCCCGCTTCTGGAACTGACGTAGTAGGAGAGAGTCACCACAGAGGTATTCTGACAGGAACACAGTTGAACTGGGACCACACTTGTTCCGGATCCCCAAAGTGATTGTTAGACATCTTTTGCTAATTGCGTAACACTTAGAATCATTCAATTCAGTCATCTGAAAGGCCCCAAGAAAGAGGTCATTTTTTAGACCCAAAGTTACCTGGGAACAGTATCTTATTTAGGTCACAGAAAAACAACAGCTTCTTTAAGGAATCTTACACACAAGACAAATTCGAGTACTCACAACTAAAATAACCTCCATTGACCAGGTGGGCATCATTGTTTCCTCTGGTCCAGAGGGCTGGCTCTGGCCACCAAGAGATAATCACAAAATAAAGCAGATGAAATCAAGTTGTGTTAATTGGATTGTTTCATACTAGCCCTGCCAAAGATCTGGAAAGCAAAAAAGAAAGACCACATTTAGGTTTTAAGCCACCACTATAGATCCTGTCAAAGAGATAGGCAGAGATCTAAAAAAAAAAAAAAATGAGGACTTTCGATTAAAAGAGCACACATGTTCAGATATGGACATTAAAGCTTTGTAAATGTTCTACATGTGCTAAGCTCACAAAAGTAAACCTGAGAAATCTTTCATGAATTTCAATAGTTTTCCAATTTAGTCCCACCTTACAAAAAGAGAGTCTTGCACCTCCGCCCTTTGAATACTGTCAGTGGACAATTATTTGGGATCAAGCTGTGAGACTAAGTGTCTAAGAGCCCAGAAACAGCCAAAGGCTTGAACCCATGGACTCTATTTTAGAACTGGTCAGCGATCATCAAGCATGATGAGCACAAAGGAGAGAATGCCACATGAAAGAATTATGTTGTTTGCGGTTTTTGTGTATTTTTTTTAACTCTAGCTGCTTGGCAACTCTCCTAGATCACAGCTTTGGGAAAGAAATGTATCTCCCTGATGAAAAATGAGCTAACAGAGATCCCATTGATGGCCCACTCACCAACTCTGTACGAGTCCATGGATTTCACCCTACACAAGAAATTCAACCAAATTGATTTCCTGAACAGAGAAAAAAGAGAGGGGGAAGTTGGGGAAAGTAAGCCAGGTATGTTTGCTCAGACGTAAAAGATACCACAGTGCAAGCAGAATAACATTTCATCTGACCACACGAAGCACAGTGTTTAAAATGCATAATGAAGCTTTCTTCCTTACTGCCTGCTCCTCGCAGGGGGTTATAAATAAGCTCCTAGAATGCCACGGGTTTCTGTATTAGAAAAAGCAACTCACTGTGTATTATCAGTTAACTTGAAGAAAAGGTCACAACAGAAATAATAGTTCTAAAAAATAACTTTGCTTTCTAGCTGTAATGTTTCTCTCCCTTTAGATTTTGTTTCCTTTCCTTCCCATTTCAGCACAATTTACACTATTTACATTATTTTTGGCAATGTGTCTGGAGCAAAACTACATCTGTTTAATGGTTTTCAGTTTTCAGTTTGTTTTCAAAATAATAACAATCTTTTTTCTTACATTACATGCATGCCAAAAAAAATATTGTTTAGATCATATTAACCCAGCTTAAAAATTAAGCAGTCCACTTGTAGGCTCTTAACCAATAACATATCATCTTAGGGTGGTTCTGTTCCAGCCAACAAACATGACCGAAAACCCACTGGAAGTCAGGCCCTGTCCTAGGTGCTAGGACTACAAACATGGCCAAGCCATGGGCCTAGAATTTTATAGTTTAAAGCAGCTATCTGAATCAATGTTTTATTATCTGTGTGAAGATAATAGAGAAGTGGTGTGAATAACCAAAAGCAATCCTATGCCTGACTCAAAAATAATATCAATCATTAAAGGAGACTGTCACATGGAGTCATTCATGCTACTCCACTGCCTCTATTCCTCACTGGGCCAGGAAAATGGTAGAAGGAAGTGCAGGAGACCACAGAGTGGAGAAGGTCCAGAGACAAAATCAATTATCTGCTGCTAGATTGTCAAGAACTGGGTATACTTCATCTCCCACTTTTAGTACATGGAACTGCGCATACTAACTCTTGGATAATTCTGCTTTGTTTGTTTTTAACTACCCAACTGCTAAGATTTCCAGTTTGCTTATTTTTGCATTTTTTCCCTCAAGGGATTAAAAATGGATTTTCTTAGTTTTGTGGGTTTTAAAAATAATCACAATAAGAATGATTTTAAATGGTTACATGAATCCAATTAAAGCGAGCCTAAAAAGAAACGTAACACTTTCTGACCTCCCCAGTGTCAACTGAGTTTCTTTAGAACCTGTTAGGTGTAAAGAGAGTACAGTGATGAAGACTGGGCCTTAAAACATGCAAACATTAATAGCTTTAAAAGGTGGGTGGTGGGTATATGACAGTTCCTTAAAATGTTATTTTTCCTTTTAAGAACAAAATTCCATGGTAAAAATATTTTAAATGGGTTTTAAACAAATAGACCAAGGTTATCCTGAGCAAGTTACTTAAATCCATTAAACCTCAATGTCCTATTTTCTACACAGAGGCAATACAATTACCTCCAAAGTGTGCACCATTAGTTCCAAGAGAATGAGATCAACAGAGACTGTAGGTAACAAATTACCTGTGTGTGTCCATGAAACACAACTCAAGACACCAACCCCGATAGTGAGTAGGGTTATTTCTGAATATAAAGAACATGCCATATATTAGCTTCTCATCTGCATGCAGTCTCTTAGCCTCATGAAATAGCAAAAAGAAAAAAAAAACTATAAATTACAAGTGGCTGTAAAGATAGCAAATCATACCGAATAATCTGCAATCCAAATTTTGTTAGAAATAAAAATTTCTGCTGAACAAAAATTTTCGACAGAAAAAAAATTCTGCTGAACAAAAGACTCTGAAAAAAATTGTAGAGTAAAGAATTTTATCTAGTTGGGCAAGAGACATCTTGAAATAAGACTGAATCCATCCACTTTGGTTAAACATCACTGGATAAATGCTAAAATCAATGTTATAAAGAACATGAAAAGATTCACAGAATATGACAAGGGAAGAATTATGAAAATGTAAAGCAGATTCAAGAAACACTGAAAAATCTGCTAAATTATTTCGTTTCCTGTTCTCAAGATAGCCAAAAGGCAAAAGATACTTTGAAGAACACAGTGTAGGAGACTCTCTTGGATTGCTTTACTCTGCCTTTCTACTATTTTTAGAAATTAATACCACCTCCTCATATCAGATGAGGAGGAGGACAGCCTTATGAAATATACAGACAGTCTTTAACACTCCTCAAGTGCTAAATGTTCTAAATATACTTCTGGAGGTTTGTTGAGCAGTCAGAGGAAAGAGCCGTCTATTTTCCATTTCACAGGGTGCTTCGACAAACAATGCTGAATCCATCAAATAAGAATTTAGTGTTTAGACAGAAGGAGGTATAATCTGGTTTGTTAACAAGCTAAAATCTTGTTAGTTTCAGAAGGTGTACAAATTTCAATTCAATTCCACAGAAGTTTTTACCACCCCACCATATTCCCGGCCCCATTCTGGATCCCAGAATTTCAAAGAGGTACATGTATGAATGGATCCTGTCCTCATAGAGCTCATAGTCTGGTAGATATTGATGCTGGACACTCCCAGACACAAAGTAGGCAGAGGGTGAGGGGTGGGGGGAATGAAGGCTGGAAGGCTATCAAAAAGTCTTGTATGCCATGGACAAAATCCTCTAGGGATAAGATAAGTCTTTAAGTTAGGAAGATCATTGCAGCATCAGTGTGGAAGAGCCTAGAAAATGGGTATGGGTGGGACAGGAACACAAATTGATATAAAGAGAGCTGTTACACTACAGCAACAATCCAGGCAAACAATCATAAAAGCTCAAGCTCAGGCCAGGTCGCTGAGGATAGGAAAAAAGGGAGAGCTCTGTGCTACATTTAGGCAGTAAACTGAGTAGGACGAGGGCTGATGGAACATGACTGCAGGTAATGAGACCGATTTTCCAGGGAAATGCTTATCAATTTATAATCATATCATATGCAATACATTACTGCTGACAGACAGATTTAGATCCAACCAAAGGAGCAAATTATTTATTCCCACTGGTGCTTCAGCACACAGTGAGACCTCAACAAGTGTCTGGGGAATCAGTCAATGAATTCTCCAAAACTGAATCTGTCATGATCTACAAGTTATTAGCTCTGGGCCATTCTCAATCAATCAGCAAATATCGCATTACATACCACAAAAAAAAAAAAAAAAAAAAAAAGCAGCCTACATGAAATGAAGAACACACAAAACAGTGCAAAAGAAGAGTCTTTTCTTGAATTGAAAATGTTTGCCTCTAGTTGGGGAGGAAATACATGTACACAACTTGATGCAGCAATTAGGTCTGAATTAAAGCCTGTACCGATTTAAAATCAGCAAGTACATTAGTCTCTTTGAGAGCCCAGAATAAGCAGACAGTGGCCCTAAACAAAGGCATGCTGGTGAGAAATTCAACCTGACCCCCATATGTTTGGCTGCCTTAAGCCACTCAGTCTCCTACCTGCACCTCAATCTTTCCTGTAAACAGGGCAGGAAAAGTGCCTTAAGACACACCCTGCCTTTCTAAAAACCACACAGAAGATAGCACTCCAAATACATGAATCCACAAGGAAAGACACCAATTCAAATTTATTCACAGATGTCAACCTTTCTTAATGGCAACACTGACATTTATTTTCCTAAAATACAGCATAATAATATGACAAATTATAGCACGACATGACACAGAATAGAACCAGGCAAATACTGACTTAGCATCTGAGCTGTCACTTAGAATCAGTCCTGGTTCAGAACAGTAGTTGACCAAGTCTGATTCCTTCCATCTACAGACTAATACGATTATTGCAAAAGAAAGCAAAGGCACGCACTGCCTTAAAAATTAAAATATCTCCCCAAGGAAGAGTAAGAATTCTTGACTACTCAGGTCAGCTGTTAGGCCTTAGCACTCTGCTGGTTATAATAGAAAGATAAGAAAGATGAAGGCTCTAGAAATCCACAGCTCCAGGGAGCCAAGGAAAGCATCTCCTCATCAGCTACTCTTCCGATCTCTTGACATTCTCTATTATGAGAGAATTGCAACCGAATGCTTTTTCTTTTGTAAGTCTGCATTACACCTAGAGGAACTTGTATATTTAAGAAAATGTCTTACTTTTCCACCTGCAAGTAGATAATAGCACATTCTGAGAACTTGTGTGTTACTATCTTATACTCAGGGCAAGACCATGATCTTCGACTTCCATTAGCCTTAACTTGAACGCACAGAAAATGAAATTCCCTACCAAAATGATGGGTTTCATTACCCTGAAACATACTGCCTCCCTCAGACAACATATTTTGTGGATAGTGGGGCAAGTGACTTTTCACCAGATTGTTTAACAACTAACTACTAATGATGAGACAGAGGGTCCACTGAGGGCAGGAATTGTGTCTGCTCTGTTTACTATCAATATCTCAATGACCAAGAACCATGACTGGCACATGGTAGATGCTTAATAAACATTTTGGAACAAAGTATCCTATCTCAACTTGGGGAAATGGGAGCTTTTCATCCACAATAAAACTTTAAGGTATAACTGAGGTGTAAAAAAAAAGCTCCATGAAAGTTGGCTCCAGCTTTGACCAACATACATTTCATTTTTAAAATCCCAAATAAATACAGTATAATTCAGTGTTTGTGAGCACGGTATATCTTTAGTTAGAAAAACTGATTAATCATAAAACCAACTATCTCATTAGTGGTGGTGAAAAATTTCAGAGCAATCTTCACTTTAGACAGCTTGAAGCATTCTTCTCTTCCACAGACTCAGTGGAATCCCCTAGAAAGTCCTGACCGACCAAACTTAATAAATATTATAAGGTTGGCCTTGGCCTCTGGCATAAGACAATAAAATGCAAAATGAAATAAAAATTCTGTAAGCAGAGGGTGTCCCCAAGATCAACAATGTTTAAAAGACCTCAATAAGAAATCCAATGATTACATGCAAACATCTTTCTGCACTCAGAGCATAAATCATTTCTTATACGGGTTCAGTGTCAGGGTTCTAGTTAATCATTCGGCTGTAGCAAACACTAAAAGCAATCAATCTCACAGGCTTTGGAATTTGTATAAAGACTTGCTGTCTTTACAAGCTAGTTTCCCCCAGTCTGGATACTATTAACTTTTCCTTCTGTAGCTAAAAGTTAACCAAAGTGATCCGTCCTATCTTCAACTAACAGGCTGCCCTTTGATTTAGTAAAGTAAAAGCAGGCCCTTTTAAACAGGACAAATGGAATGTATTTCCGCTTTGAAATTATATGCCAAGGAGAAACCCTTCATAATGTCTAAATTCTATTTAAAGACAAAAAAAGATAACATCTTAACATCACTGTTGAAAAGATATGCTGTCTAGACTGTTGTTTTCCAATCTGTGTTCCGAGAAGATGCCAAGTGATTAGAATTGTTGGGTAAAGACCAAAAGCGGACCAAAAAGCTCCACTTTTATCTCCTTTATATACAGGGAATAGTAAGAGATTTCATTGGAAAAATAGGTTCCCCTTCTAAAAGAAGTTTGAAAACTACTTATCTTGTCCAAAATTTAGCACTCTTGCTTAAAAGCAGGCTAAAACTGACATTTCAATTTCCTTTGGGAGTCTGCAGGCTCTTCCTGAGATGGGCTTTACAAGCTCTGGGGCCTTCCTCCTGCCTGAGAAAACAGGCAAAGCTGCTGGAATCACCTCCTGTGCTAACTTGACGTAAAAAGAGAACGAGCAGCATTATTGACCTTGAAAATTCTGACAGTGCAGTATCTTGATTTTCTGCTTCATTATGTCCAATCTAAGGATTCGCCACTGATGTACCCAACCTCCCACTCACTTGTCCACGCTCCACTGCCTCTTGGAGCCACCACTGCAGCTCTGGCTTTGGTGAACACAAAAACACATATCACCCCTCACAGCCAAGAGGTTGAAGGGAGGTGCAGATCGTGCAGATGATGACAGGCAACTGCATTCCCAGGCTCTCACCAGCCTGCTTTCCCAGGGCAAAACTGAGCCTCCTCCAGGCAACATCAGCTGAAGTGTGAGATTGACTAAATGCCTGTCTTGAGGAATGCTGTCTGAGAAAGAGAGGAAAGTATATGAGAAAATCAATGAAGAATGGAATATTCCTAAGATGGAATCCCACTTAGCCGTTTAAAGGAATGAGTTAATTGTATATAGTGATGCAAAAAGATCTCCAAAATAGATTAGCAAGTGAAAAGGCTAAAATATACACATACTATACTCCCATTCAAGAAAAAAATATATGCATGTATACATATATGGATGTGTTCACATGGAAAATGTCTAGAGGGAGACTCAAGAATCAATAGGTGGTGTTTCCTGTGAAGAATGAGACTGGTGCTGGTGGGACAGTCTACAGTGCACTGTATAACTTTTTGTTCCACTGGAATTTTTTACTATGAGTATGTATTGGCCTTATAATAATTTTTATAATACAACCAGAGGATTGAGAAAAGCCAAGTCCTCAGCAAATACAACTTAACATAGAGAAGAAACCAATAAATACACACACAAAAGTCAGATATTAAGCCCACTGCACATTCACTGCCAAGAATGCTCAGGCCCTGGGTCTAGTAACCAAAACATGGCACTCACTGTGGGCCTTTCACTCTGTGGGTACAGCCCCAGCTCTGCCATTTCCAGGATCATGCTATTACCAGTGACTATCTCCTAAAGGGATTGTGGGGAAAGCCAAAATACAAAAAAAAGGGCAATAGAGTTCCAAGTCTGTTGCTTTATTCAGCACATAAAGAAACAGCAATATTGAAATAGCTCTCCCCAAAGAAAGACTATGAATTACACTCTTTGTCCAAAAGTTTTTTAAAAAAATACTATTTCTTGGGGTCCTTCTGCTGCCAATCAGGAAATTGCCTCATTTTCACTTGATAAGACAAAAGTCACATGGATTCTGCTGGTGTATGCCTCTCTGCAACTTCACAGTACTTTCAGAAACCTTGTATATTCACAGTCACTATAATTCACAATAATAAACGCTACTGAGAAAAGCAGGATGGATCCACTTAAAAGTGGTACCTACCAAAAGACCTTGAGAAGTTGATCAGGTTATTGAATATCAATGACTCTGGTCCACAATAAGAAGCAATGATCACCCAAATTCTTAAAACATGGGGAACTTGGTGCTTTAGATATATTTTGACATAAGTAATTAAGATCAGATACATAATTAATAGCACTGTAGCATATAAAAATTGAAGTGTTAATTTAGAAGCTCAAGAACGCTTACTAAATCTCAATTCACTGATGAAGTTAATTTTCTTACATAATTTCAACAAACTTGTTTAAAAATCCCTTTGGATCTTCCCTACCCTAAGTTGCCACTGACTAGAAAGAGTTTAAACTATTCTGTTGTAATGTTATGTTGAGTTATTTTATTATACAATGTAGTTTCAGCTGAAATTTGAGCAGAGAACTGGCTGTTTTCTCAAGCTTCAATAGTTAATACTTCTGTGATCTTGGACAAGTAACAGCCTTTCTTGAGCTTAATTTCTTCATCAATAAAACTTAAAATTTTAATCAGATGGTCCTTAAGCTACTTTCCAGGTCCAAAAGTATATGATTCTACGAGTCTTTGTAGCATATTACTCACCAATGAAAAAATTAGTCATTTCTCTACTCCTCTAAAAAAAAAATCAACAATCCCAAATAACTCCTCATTTCTAGAAGCTGTTCTCATGTTTTGTAGAAGGGAAGACCTTGAGATTTGGAGTGAACAAGTGACATTTTCTTCACATACTATTCCAGACAACAAAGCTGCTTTTAATTTTTAATTATTTCCAAGGTCACTTCCAGATTGAACTACCTCCACATGTCAGAAAAATTCTCATAATAAGCAATTTGATTTAAGTTTTCCAGAAACTCACAACCCAGAAAGCATCACAATAATCAGGTTACTGAGCACAAATGTTCCAACTAATGCTCAGCCTTTCTTGGACACACTCTCACCCTGCAATCTAGTCCCCAGGGGATCCCTAACATCTTCATAATAATGTTTATCTAAAACACATCTAGTGACAAGAGTTGCTCGCTCACATTATCCCATTCCACACAATCCTTGCAACAACTCAATAGGACAGACATAATGTCCTAGTTTTAAACATAAGAAAACATAGCTAGAAAGTGCAGAACTGAAGGATGAACTCATTTCCTTGTTGGACAGTCTCCACTCTCCTTACAGGCTTCCACTTGCCCTTAATTGGTCCCTTCTTCAGAGGCAGGTCTAAAGCTAAGGCCTTTTACGTGTGTCACTACATTTAAACCAATATGTGATAAGTGCTATAATTATACCTATTTTATAGATGGGAAAACTGAGACTCAGAGAGGATACATGGCTTCCCCTCAAAAACTACTAACAGCAAAGCTAGAATTAAAGCCAAGTTTAACTGATTCTGAAGCCTATGTGATTTCATTAGGGAAGATGACCTCCCTATCAGGAACTCAGCTCCGTAACTGTTCATTCCCTGTACATGCAAAATTGCTTTGTCAATGCATCATACCTTTCTTTCTTTGAAGTGGGAATCTGAGAGAGTGTAAACTCATTGCACCTTTATTCAGAAGGCAAGTAGAGAATATGGCTCCACTAAAATTAGGGAGTAAACAAAAAAAGATGAAAACAAAAGATTCCAGACTCTGGGAATTTAATACAGGAGAACACATAATATAAGACAGGGCAACAGCTGTGTCATTAGCCTATAAAACATCCAGGAAAGGGGCAGGGTTTTGGATAACTGCTGTGTAGATGTCTACTGGGGGCAAAAAAATATGAAGCTGACAGATTACCTAATGTTTTTAATCATACTGAAGTCAACATTAAAGTCTGGGGTCAACATTAGAGTCTTGTCAGGGTGTTTAGGAATAAATTATGAAAACACATAGAAAACTAAACAAACAAAAAACATGTAATTATCAATTCACAAAAAAAACCTAAAAGTGATACAAGAAATCAATGAAATTATAATGTACAATGTGATACATCTATGATCAATATTTATGTGGCCATAATAAGGTCAACACTAAAAACTCATTTAACAGAAAACTGTGATATAACTATATTGGGAGCATTTGCTTACTGAAATATTTTTAGAGGAAATGATAAGATATGTGGAATTTGCTTCAAAATATCTAGTATAGGGAAATGTGAGGGATGGGAAGGTAGTGGACATAGACGAAATAAGTTTGACCATAACTGAAATCATTGTTGAAGCTAGAGAATGGACACACTGGAGTTCACTGTACTATTCTCGCTATGTTTTGGGGTATAATTTTCTATAATAAAAAGCTCTAAAAAGTAATCTTGGGAGGATAGGAAGAGGAGGCAGGAAGGTGTTATGGAATATAAAGGAAGAGACAAAAAAGATGCATGGGGTATGTGCATACAGTTTATACAAGGACTATGCCATCTATGAAAATCAATATATATCTGTAACTAAAAAGATCAAGAAATAGCAGTATAAGTAAGCATGTTATTTTGCAATGTGGAAGAAAATTCCCAAAGGAAGAGCTAAAAGTATTAAAAGTAGTTGCTTCTGGAGAGTGGGTGAACTTGTATAGGGGACTGCTGTTTTTCACTACAAGACTTATTTTACTATTTGAAATTTAAGACTCTGTACATTATTCCTTTGATTTAAAAAGATGAACATAGCAATTAAAAAAACAGTATGCTACAATGTTCGGGTTCTGGGTACTTGTAGTAGTCCATTCTCATGCTGCCATAAAGAAATACCTGAGACTGGGTAATTTATAAAGAAAAGAGTTTTAACTGACTCACAGTTCTGCATGGCTGGGGAGACCTCAGGAAACTTAACAATTATGGCGGAAGGCACCTCTTCTCAGGGCGGCGGGAAAGAGAACGAGCACCAGCAGGGGAAAAGCCAGATGTTTATAAAATCATCAGACCTCGTGAGAACTCACTTACTATCACAAGAACAGAATGGGGGAAACCGCCCCCGTGATTCAGTGACCTCCCACTGGGTGCTTCCCACAACACGTAGGAATTATAAAGATTACAATTCACGACGAGATTTCAGTGGGGACACAGCCAAACCATATCAGTACTTTTTAAGAATCTCTTGATGTAGTTCTTATATAGTTTTTTCAATAAGAAAAAAATTAAAAGTTTTGTAAACTTGAAAGTATTTTATAAATTGTGTTTGCTGAGCTCATTGAGGCTATGTGTATGTAGCCACAGTGTGCATTCCGAGCTTCTCATAGCTCAGTTAGGTTCTCTAACCCTTCCTTCAATGAGCTCACCTCAGAGTTGTTCTCTCAGATAAATAATTTTGAAGTATCTTTGTGAACATAAAAACTAAAATTAAATAAAAATAATAATCATGATAAAATAATAATATGAAGAAGAAAAGTAGTGAAAAACAACAACCATGCTTCCACCGCTCTTGGCTTGTATATGTATACATATATCCTGACTATGAAAACATCTTAGAAATTAACTGTGGAAATCACTGAACATAAACACCCTTACTCCAATCACTGCCCCTTCTGTGAGTGGCCTACCTAGAGTAAGGCGTACTGCAAAGTCCTCACTTCGAAAGCCCTGATTAGTACCCTGTTGTAAACTGACTCAGCGCTTTCAGAACAGGTTAAGATGATTTAGATGAAGCTTATTTTAAAAGATTACACCTAATGTTGGAGGAAGTATTGGAAATGAACACTCTCATACACTGTTGTTGATGATGAGATTATAAGTTGGCACAATCTTTCTAAAGGGAAATTTAAAAATAATATAGGAAGCATTAGAAATGAATATTGTTTCCTTCCAGCAATTTCATTTCCAGGTATTTATCCTAAGAAAATAAATCAGTGATTTACACAAAAATTTGGTTATAAGAATGTTTGTTATAGCACTATTTATAATTGCAAAAAAGTCACAAAAACACTAAATATCCACTTGGTAACTGGTACACTGGAATAAATTTAGGAACATGCATACAACAAAATACTATGTGGTTGTTAAAATAATTCTATAGAAAGATATTCAATGACAAGGAAAAATATTCGTAGTGTTAAGTGAACAAAAATTACTGAACAGAATACACACTGATCAAGTTTTTGTACATATAAGTGAATCTATAAGCAAAGAAAGAGGCTCAAAAACATAGAACAATAACAATTGTTATCTGGGATTTAATTTTTTCAAGCAAATCTTATTTTCTTCTTTTTGCATATTTATATTTTCTTCAATAAATGTATATCACTTTACAATAAAAAATGTAAACAAATACAGGAGCTACAAAAGTACTTGTATCTTTTTAAATACATTAAAATTAATACAAACAAAACACACACACACACACACACACACACTTATTTTAAAATAAGAAAAATGAGAAGGCAGGAAAAGAAAAGATGATGGTTTAACAGCAATGTTGACCTTGAAATATGTTTTTTGGTCCAAACAGTAATTCTCCAAAGTCACATAACAGAGTCTCATCAGAATTTAATCAACTGAATGTTTCCAAAACATTAACTTTTGACATTGATGCTCTGTATTATGTTTTTATTCAATCAATATATATTCCTATATTATTTTCTTCCTTCATTTTTCTCTGAGTTGCATTTATCATTCTTTTTTTCTTCTTGAGTTTTTTTGTCTTTATTTTTTATTTATATGTATATTTTAAAGTTATAAATGTCCCTCTAGTCAATGCTTTAGCTGCAGTTTATAGTATTTTTATCACTCTGCTCAAAATGTTTCTCTTGTGATTTCCTTTTTGATGATTAAGAAAAATACTTATTTTTTTCTAAAATATTTGGAAATTTTTTAAGTATTTTTTGTGATTGATTTCTAGCTTAATTTCTCAGTGCTCAGAGGTGTACTTCCTAGACTTCAACTTTTTTTTTTTTTTTTTTTTGAGACAGGGTCTCACTGTATCACCCAGGCTGGAGTGCAGTGGCGCTATCTTGAGTCACTTCAACCTTTGTCCCCTGGGCTCAAGCAATCCTCCCACCTCAGCCTCCCAAGTAGCTGGGACCACAGGCCCGCAACATCATACTTAGCTATTTTTTTTTTTTTATTATTTTTAGTAGAGACAGGGTCTCATCATGTTGCCCAGGATGGTCTCTAACTCCTGAGCTCAAGTGATCTGCCAGCCTTGGCCTCCCAAAGTGCTGGGACCACAGGCTTCAGCTACTGAACCTAGCTAGAGTTAAATCTTTGGAAATTAAAAGTTGCTTTATGCCTGACATACATTCATTTTTGGCAACAGTACAACATGCACTTGAAAGAAATGTGTGTTTTGCAGTTGTCAAATGCACTATTTTATGAACTATACATCAATGAGATCAAGTTGATTAATTTGTCCAAATTTTCTATATCCTCTGATTGTCTACTTATCTATAAATAACCGAGAAATATACATTAAAATCCACCTTGTAATTGTGTTTGTCTATTTCTCCTTGTAGTTCTGTTACTTTTTGCTTTATATATTTTAAAGCCATGTTATTAGGTATATACATATTTAAAAGTAGTACATCTTCTTAGTGGATTGACTCTTACATTATTATGAAATACCACTCTTAATAATTCTTCTTGCCTTAAGATATCATAGCTATATTGGCTTTCTTCTGATTAGTGTTTGCATGGTATTTCATTTGCCAACCTTTTATTTTCATCATTTCTGAATACTTATTTTTAATATATGTTTCTTTTAAGCACCATATAGTTAGGTTTTGTTTGTTTTTCCAATCTGATAAACTTTGTCTTTTGAAAGGAAGCTTGACTATTTTATATGTAATGGAATTAAATATGTATTCAAGTTTAAATCTTCTATGTTACTGTTTGCTTTATACTTGTTTCTTTTTCTCTCCTTCTTGTCTTATTTTGGATTTATCACTAATTTTTATTATTCTATTTTCCCCCTCTATTTGCTTGTTAGTTGCACATTCCTTAACTATTCTTTTAGTTATTACTCCAGCCATTAAAACATGCATCTTTGACTAATATAAATCCAATCTAAATTCATATTTTTACTACTTCTTAGACAATGCATGGAACATAGAACACTTTTCCTCCATTTAACCCCCTCCCAAATTATGAACTATTTTTGTTGTGTATTTTAATGTTGCATATATTTTGAATTATTTTTGGATAGCCAACAATCATTTAACTTTACCTACATATTTACACTTTTTATTGCTCTTCGTCCTTTCCTGTATCTCTGAGCCTCCATCTGAGAGCTTGAACATATTAATCATAGTTATTTTAAAGACTATATCTGATAACTCCGTTCATTATCTGCAACCCTGACGGATCTTTTTGTATCACCTATTTCTTCTTTTGGTTTTCAGTTACATCTTGTCTACTCATATGCCTAGTTATTTCTGCTTGAGTACAGAATATTTTAAATGAAAAGGTATCAGAGATAATTAGAGGCTCTGGATGATGCTATTTTCCTCCAGAGAGGAAAAATTTTGCTTCTGGCAGGTAGCTGAAGGGCACCAGTAATTCCAAACTATCTTAATCCAACTGGATTGACCTAACTGATAGCTCAGCTTCAGTCTTTATGGGGCTAGTCTATTTCCTGCTCACTCTTACTCATAGGATGCAGCCCTTCAAGTTCTCAAACGAAAGTCTAGAGCATTTACCAGCCCCTCTCCCAAGTAAGCCGTAGTCCCATTTTTTTTTCCATAAGTTATTGAGGTACAGGTGGTATTTGGTTATATGAGTAAGTTCTTTAGTGGTGATTTGTGAGATTTTGGTGCACCCAACACCCCAACAGTATACACTGCACCATATTTGTAGTCTTTTATCCCTCATCCCCCTCCCATGCTTCTCCCCAGTCCCCAAAGTCCATTGTATCATTCTTAGGCCTTTACATCCTCATAGCTTAGCTCCCACGTACCAGTGAGAACATATGATGTTTGGTGTTCCATTCCTGAGTTACATCACTTAGAATAATAGTCTCCAATCTCATCCAGGTCACTAAAAATGCTGTTAATTCATTCCTTTTTATGGCTGTGTAGTATTCCATCGTGTATATATATACCACACTTTCTTTATCCATTCATTGATTGATGGGCATTTGGGTTGGTTCCACGATTTTGCAATTGTGAATTGTGCTGCTATAAACATGAGTGTGCAAGTATCTTTTTTGAATAATACCTAGCCCCATTATGATCCTCCATCAGCCCCATTATTGTACTAAAAGCTATGCTCAGTTTCTGAGCCTCTCAACCACTGCTTTTGGACCTTTCCTCTCCTGGATCTTGATCCAGTGATTTCTTACTACCTTAATAACTTTCTTATGCCTTTAAGCAGAAGATTTTTCATATTTTCTCCATATTTTCTAGTTGTTTTTAGTGGGAGAGTTGGTTCAAAATAACATAGTCTGCCATTGTCAAAAGAGAACTCCCCCACTTAACAAGTATTTAAAATGAAATCTCAAATAAACATTCTTTTCATAACCCACTTCAATTTATCCCTAGACCATATTCAGTTAAAATAA
Organism: Homo sapiens; assembly: GCF_000001405.40. Taxonomy (NCBI): domain Eukaryota; kingdom Metazoa; phylum Chordata; class Mammalia; order Primates; family Hominidae; genus Homo; species Homo sapiens. The sequence continues at coordinate 78,141,311 of NC_000004.12, read as the reverse complement.
AGGTGACAAGGATAGTTTGTGTATGCTAGGAGTAATAAGCCAAAGTTGAACAATGAGAACACATGGACACAGGGAGGGGAACATCACACACTGGCGCCTGTCAGGGGGTTGGGGGCTAGGGGAGAGATAGCATTAGGAGAAATACCTAATGTAGATGACGGGTTGATGGGTGCAGCAAACCACCATGGCACATGTATACCTATGTAACAAACCTGCACATTCTGCACATGTACCCCAGAATTTAAAGTATAATAAAAAAGAAGTAATAAGCCAAATTTCAACTTCTATGAGAGTAGAATGTCTTCCAAAAAAGTCAGAAAGAATCTCCCAGCCCATCACCCACCTTTTATCATTGGTTCTGACTTGTGACTCTTCTAAAAGCCATTTCCTCTCTCAAAAGAAAAATGTCAAAATATCCTCTTTTTTGCTAGTAGTTTATATCACCACAAAATTTGGGTCACTGAAAATGCTGTTAATTCATTCCTTTTTATGGCTGAGTAGTATTCCATCATATATATACATGAGATATATATACACACACGTATATACATATACACACACGTATATACATATACACACACGTATATACATATACACACACGTATATGCATATACACATATGTATATGCATATACATATACACATATGTATATACGTATATACATATACACATATGTATATGCGTATACACATATATATACCACAGTTTCTTTATCCACTCATTGATTGATGGGCACTTGGGTTGGTTCCACGATTTTGCAATTGTAGATGATTTTAAAGATCTTCTAGCTCAGCATTATCATTTTACAAATTAAGAAACTGTGGTTCAGAGGTGAAATAATTTGCACATGGTCATACAACAAGTTCCTGGAGGAACTAGAAAACTAATCCAGTTCACATTCAGGGCATCTGAACTAGAGATCTAAAATAAAAGTGCAACTTCAGAAAGAAGTTTATTAGACATAAATAAAATGGAACCAATCCTTACAAACAAACTAAGAAAAAAACAGACAGTTAGAAATTTGAATGTGACTAAATATATGTGGTTATTAAGGAAAGATTAATTATTTGTTAGATGTAATAATGTTCTCTTGGGTATATTTTTAAGGTCACTATCATTTATGTATACATACTAAAATGTTTACTGATGAAGTGATATTATTAGGATTTATTTCAAAGAAAGTACGTGTGCAGATTAAATAAACTGGCCATGAATTGATAGATAGTGATAATTCATGGGGGTTCATTACACTATTCTTTTATATTTGTTTGAAATTTCCCATAATAAAAAGGAAACATTTAAAAGGAAATGTAATGCACAAAAAGTTCAGCTAAGTTGGGGCTTTTCCCTTAATCAAAAAAAAAGTTACCAAATAAATGAATTAAAGGGGGCTGAAGGTCAAATCCAATTATAACAATATAGTTCACCAATATCTCTAGATAGCAAGTCTCAGCCAGTAGCCCAAATAATTTAAGTAATAACTTCTGACAACCAGGTAAGCTAAACGGAGGCAGGAGAATTGATGCACTATTTAGCATAATTCAACCTTCTGTTTTATATTTTTTCACACAAATGCTAATAATATTGTTCACAGTCTTTTTTTAAATCTTAAAGAAATTATCCTATTTATGCTAATGCAAAATTCAGTGCTTAGCACATTCTCAATATTCTATAACCCAGACTCTTTTCCACTAATGAAGTATCCCACTGTGGAGTACTGGCTATATTTGGGGTATTTCAGATTCTAAGAAAGAGTTATTAGAGAGAAAAGGGTAAACCGGTGGAAGTAAGAGTTGAAAGATAAAAAGGAGTCCCAAAGATGAAAACGAATCAATGTTCTTAGGTCTCCTGCAAATTGCTGTTTTATACTTAACAATAGCTAAAAAGTCATAATTTGTAGGAGGGAAAGCCCAAATATAACATTGGAGAAAAACTTTGGAGAATGATTTTATCATATACCCCATCAAATTTTCCCTGCTCAATCAATAGTCTGCTAAGGTTCATTTTTTGGCTATGCCCCAGTTTCTTTATTCCTCTGTATCCTTGCTTCTTATACTGTCACATCCCAAGGTCCTGTTCCTCAGCCCATAATGTCAAAAGCTGCCTGTCAGCCTGCCCAAGGCTGGCGCTGTACTACCCCACCATTAGTGACTGCCTGACTGAGTTCAGGCAGCATATTATTTCAGAAGGGGCTGAACACTTACCTCCAAATAATGTGATAGGATATTCCCAAATGAGGCAAGTCTATGAGCCCAAAGTTGTGAGCTCTCAGTAAGCTGGATCATTCTAATTTAAATACACAGATGTGCAGATCTGCATTGCACATGCTTGTGAGCACATGTACACACACGCAAGAGAAGTGCTTATTAATCCCAGGTGCCAGAACTTAGAGAGATCTTCAGGATTCAATAAATGTTCACTAATTTAAGACTAAGGAAGATCAACTTTAAAAAAAATTAAAGCTACAGTATAATAGCAACTTATATAATGTCAGCTAACATTTGTCAAATGCTTACTCTGATAGAAGGCAAGCATTGTGCTAAGTGAGGGGCCCACCTTATCTCATATGCATTCATGTTCTCATGCACAGATTTATCTCATTTAATTCTCAAACAACCCTAGGGGAGAGATACTGAAGTACCTATCATTTATAGTCACAGAAACTGAGACTGAGAGATTAAGTCACTTGTCCAGGAACACACAATGGTAAGTGGCAGGGAATTATTATATAATAGTTGTGATCTTCTTATCAAGGCTGGAAAAGCCGTCGCTATTATGAAAACAAGCAGCAATAATATATAGTTAAGAGAAATTGCATAACCCTCCAGATATATTTCTCTACACATATCCTGGATGAAAGTCCAGGCTTATCAGTAATATCGCTGATCCCTAGGTTACTTTTCCCTGATCTTCTGACCACATCCTCACCAGATATTGGCATTAGGCCTAGTCCTCCAGAAACAACTGAGTTCTCACCCTGGACCTAAATGCTTCTATGGCCTTCCTTACTTTTCTTAGCTAAGCTCCACATTTGGGTGAAATAGGACTATGAACTAAAGTACTGTTTACTAGATGATCACTATCACTACTCAAAATGAGAGCAACTGCAAAAATTACGTGATGGGCAATTTGGCACCAGAGCCTCCAATGCCACTGGATATGAAGCTTTCTGCAGGCAAGGGATTGGAGGCAGACCCACCCTTCGGCCTGAAACCACCTGCAGAAGAAAGACAAGCTCCTGGTAGGGGAGTCCAGAGTTGGAAGCTCGCATCTCAGATTAAACCAGTGCACACTGGGTGCACCCGACCACTAATAACATGAACCTATTGCCCACTTGCTACTACCAATAAATACCATTCATCCGGCCTTCTGTATGTGCCAGGCACTGCACTAAGCATTTCATACTATTGCCTATATTAACTCTTAAAGCAATCTGGCAAGCTCCATGTTAACATCCCCATTTAACAGATAAGAATTCAGAAGCATAGAGAGCCTTAGTAATGTGTCCAAGGTGACACAGAGACAGGCTTAGAACCCAGTGCATCCTAACTCCAAAGCACGTACTATTAACCATGACTCACATTGCCACACACACACACCCAAATTCAGATGCTCAAATTCATCTCTCCTTCACAGAGTAAGTGAAGAGACACCCAACAATGCCAAGATGACTTACCAGATGTGGGGCCCCTTTGGGGCTCAATCCAGCCTCCCCAGACAGTACTTGAACCTTCCCTTGTCAATCACATCCATTTCTGAGAGACAGCACTATTATCATTCATAAATGAATAATCTATGATATTATTAACATAATTAAGATGGCATTTTTTAAAAAATAAAAAATCTATAATCTTCAACAGAAAAGTGATACAATCATTCTCTTTCCTTCATTATGCCTAAGAGAAAAAATATATATGTATACATATTTATATACACACACCAACACAGAAATATACATATATGATTAAAGAAGTTACTTTACTTAACATTTAACAAGAATTATTCAAATAATTCCCTGGAACCAACAGAGTCTATAAAGAGCCTCTGGACAATTGACTATGATCATGTAGGAGCTGGCATTAGACTCTTATAAGGTTTGCATCTTTTCCTTACCTGAAGGAAAAAACTGAATCAAAGGACTATGAAAGCCATGTAAGTATTGCCCAGCCCTGTTTAGGTTCAGTAAAAAACACACCCAGGTGGGTGATTCTTAGGTCAGGATTTTGAGATGTAGCATTAAATCTATTTCCTTTCCAGAGCTTTTCTTGCTGAGGAGGGATTTGTTTCAGATGGTGCAGTGCCAGTGGCCTCAGGCCCTGTGTGTGCTGGTGCCCACTCCACTGTGAAGACTTCTCATGAAGTCTCATTCACCCCTGTATCCCAAAACCGAGCACGGTGCTGGCGCACAGTAGGTATGCCAAAAGTACTTCTGGCATGAGGAATTAAACTGATAGGGTGGGGAAGCTCACACTGGAAGAGCTATTTAGTGTCATCATCTCCACTGTGCTTCAGTGTCAGCACAGCAGCTCTAAGAAGTCCTGTGGGAACTCTCCCAATGGCACACAAAAGAGCAAGACATCAGGGTGGTATGTCCAAGACTTGGGTTCTCCTGAACTCTGGCTCAAACATCTGCTCTGTCATTCATTAACTGTGTGGCCTTCGACATGTCCCATAATCTCTTTGAGCCTCTTCCTCATTCAAGAACTGGAGAGATTAGACTGCGTGCTGTCTAAAGTTGCTTCCAACTCTAAAGTGTTATAATCCTATTTTCCTTATTATCAGTCTCAGCCCAATACCTCCCCTTGCATGCCCCAAGTTATTAGTTTAAAAAGTATACAGTTGATCCTCATTATGCATGGATTCCGTAATTGAGAATTCTCCTAGTGGCCACAATTTATTTGTAAGCCCCAAATTAATATTTATAATGCTTTCACGGTCATTGATGGACATGCACAGAGCAGCAAAATCGTTGAGTCACCCAAATGCACACATTCCCAGCAGAGGTCAAACAAGGCAACACTCTGTTCTCCTGTTTCAGCTCCCATACTGTAGACAAGTGTCCTTTTCACAGTCTATTTAGTGTCCTGTTTTTCACAATGTTGTGCTTTTTGTGTGACTTCACTCTTAAAATGACCCATGCACACAGTGCTGCAGTGCTGTCTACTGTTCCTAAGTGCAAAGCTGTGATATGTCTTACAGAAAAAACACATGTGTTAGATATGCTTCACTCAGCCATGAGTTATAGTGCTGTTAGCCATGAGTTCAAAGGTGTGAATCAACAATATATATTAAGTAAGGTGTCTTAAAGCAAAAGCACACATAAAACACAGTTAGGTATCGATCAGCTGATGGAAATGTTGAGATCAGAGGCTCACAGGAGGATCCTAAACTTATATTTCCCTTAGGAGCAACAGTTCGGTATTTGTTAATTCAGTGTTCGTGGCAACTTTATAGAACATGACTATTGCAAATAATGAGAATTGACGGTATACCCTCAGTCCGGACTTCCACATACAGTTGTGTGGAAATGTAAATGACACCCCCTAGAGTTGTACAGTGTACAATCTGCCCAACCATGTGCAGTAGTGCTGTACTTGAGATATTATCTTGTTGGAATGGACAATATGGAGAAAAACAAAATGGAAACTTCTATCCTTAGCATACTCCAAATAAAAAACTCTTCTAGCACTCATGATGAAATTATTGCACATGACCTAGACTCCTGACATGAGTGAACCCATTTAGGAATGTGAGTGTCTCCTGAAATGCCTTTCCTCCATCCCTCTTATGCTTACATAAATATCCTGAATTTTGCAAGAAACAGCCCAAGTATTTCCATGCTTTCTCTGCAGATCAGTTTGTAACTGTCATTAATAATTTCAAATGATGTCCCTATGAGAAAGTTCTCCACAAATCCACTGCAGAAACACAGGCCAGTAGCAATAAATAATTCATGCATGCACCTGAAACTCCTACTAGGAGGATATACTGGGAGATTTTCTGAAAGGAGAAGGAACACAGAGGCAGGAAAAAGAGAAAATTAAAAGGAGAAAAAGAAAAGATGCAAGAAGGAAAGAGGAAGACTGACTATGACGGCAAGAGTTTTAGAAATAAATACTACTTCAGAAAGGCATCAGCAAGGTCAATCAAAATTTCTTTTTAATTTGCAAGTGCAGGGGGAAGTTTTTGGCTTATCTCTCTTTTGTAATATGGTTTGTTACTGTATATCTCAAATACACAGTCAGCCCCATGACATTGCTGATGATATAACAATTTCCTACAATTAAACCCTACCAGCATGCAATTGTCCTTTGAGACTGTCAGGATTCGGATTTTAAAAAAATAATAAAATAAAATAAAATAAGAACATTATTGTTAGACTTCTGAGCTTAGTCAGGCATGAGGGTTCAAATCTCACCCACATCACTTAAGGATAGATGGCTGCCAGTAAGTAGTTTAACTTTCAAACCTCAGACTTTTTGTTTGTAAAGTAGGGATAAATAACAGCACCTACTGCATCAGGCTGTTTTGAAAATTAAATGAGATAATGCATATATAGTACCTAATACCATACCTAGGATATTAAAATTATTATTTACCAATATGATATTATAATTGATAAATTACACACAGATCCAGGTTACTGGAAGCTTTAAATCCATAGGTAAAACCACAGCACAGAAAACATCTCACAGAAACACTTTTTGGGTTATCTATCATGAAAGGAGTGATTCAGGCAGGAGAAAGAAAAGAGAACAGCAATTTTCTTTTGAGTTTCTCAGGCTTTCCACTTTTCTTCTCTCATTGCCAGATAATGGATCAATGACTTTCCAGAAACCAAAACTAATCCTACAAGTAAAAATGATGTGATTACAGGCCCAGTACTTAGAAGCCACAGTGATATCTCATTGACATGAGAGGAAGAGACAAGTGACAGGAAAATAAACTTGAGTAAATGGACAGCAGATGAAGAAAAAAAACCTCTACGGCCAAAATCTGCACCAAGAGGAGGTCCTGAGGCACATTTAAAGAGATGCAGAAGAAGTGTCAGATGAACACAAATCCCGATAAGGCTCAAAACAGTGGGAGGAAGCAGAGTTGGCCTTCTCTGACCCATTTCATGTTTTTGTATACTACTGTTAATAGCCCGTCTCGAAACCCCACCTCTACAAAAATACAAAAAAATTAGCCAGGCATGGTGGTGGGCGCCTGAAGTCCCAGCTACTCGGGAGGCTGAGGCAGGAGAATGGCATGACCCGGGAGGTGGAGCTTGCAGTGAGCCGAGATCAGGCCACTGCACACCAGCCTGGGCGACAGTGCGAGAGTCCATCTCAAAAAAAAAAACAAAAAAAAAAAACCTAGTCCATCTCAGCTCCCTCACCTTTCTTAAAACCATAGGTATATACTGAGGATTCACAGTCAAGTAAAATGTTTGGATTAGGTGATGACCCAAAAGATCCTTTCAAAGCCCGTGATTCCTTTGTGCTTTAAAAGAAAGAGCAAAATTAAGTGACTCACTTGATCAGTGATGACAACAGAAACATATGTGTCTTCAGACCTTTAGCCCTAGGTTGGCCTCGTCATTTTGTTTACGTTGCTTATCTTGCACAGGCATATTTTTTAGGAAAATACACATTAAAAACATTTTGTGGGTATATAGTAGGTATATATATTTATGGGGTACATGAGATGTTTTGATACAGGCAGGCAATGTGTAATAATCACAGCATGGAAAATGGGGTATCTGTTCCCTCAAACATTTATCCTTTATATTACACACAATCTAATTTTTTTTTTTAGTTATTTTAAGATGCACAATTAAATTATTATAAACCATAGTGACTCTATTGTGCTAACAAATACCAGGCCTTATTCATTCATTCTAACTTTTTGTACTCATTAACCTTCCCTACCTCCCTCCCACCCCACTACCCTTCCCAGCCTCTGGTAAACATCCTTCTACTTTCTATCTCCATGAGTTCAATTGTTTTGATTTGATTTTTAGGTCCCAGAAATAAGTGAGAACATGCAATGTTTGTCTTTCTGTGCCTAGATTATTTTACACCGCATAATGACCTCCAGTTCCATACATGTTGTTGCAAATGACCGAATCTCATTCTTATGGCCAAATAGTTAGTACTCCACTTTGTATAAGTACCAATTTTATGTATCCATTCATCTGTTGATGGACACTTAGATTGCTTCCAAATCTGGGCATGCATTTCTTTTCTTTTTTGAGGCAGAGTCTCGCTCTGTTGCCCAGGCTGGAGTGCAGTGGCGTGATCTCAGCTCACTGCAACTTCCGCCTCCTGGGTTCAAGTTTGGCTGAACTTATATATGAAAGGAGGGCTGAGAAGTCAGAAACTGAGGAGCTAGAGAGAACCAAGTGTGGCGTGGGCCAGCAGACAGCTCCTCTAAACATGTAAACACGCAGAACCATTCCTTCCATGCAGGCCCTAGTATCTCCCCTAGGTGAGCCAAACCACACTAGAAACCCTCCCACTCCACTGAGTGGCCCTTCCCATCTTCAGTAACCCTCTACAAACTTTTCAGGGTCATGTGAAAAACACCCAAACTCTTCTGAACCTACCACCATCCTTTCTTTGTTCTTTCTTAGTGAAAAGGACATTCCTCCTCCTGTCCCAGGAAAATCTCTCTGCATCTGCTCTCCATCTATCCCCTCCTGTCTCCTGAACAACCAGAGTGATCTGCCATTACTCCTCTCCCTTGCATCTCCTGACACTCCTTTTCCTCCAGTTGTGTGTCTCCTTGACTTAGTCAAAAAAGGTGCTTACAATTCTGTAATATTTAAATTGAGATGTCATTCATGCATTCATTTTGTAACTATTCACTATGGGCTTATGATGAGCACTGCATTGCTGGACTGAAAGCTCTGAATATGTGGTGCTATTGCTTAGATTGCTAGAGATAGTTTTTTGGTTTTGTTTTTGCTTTTTCTTTTAAGAAAGGGCATATTATGGACCACCAAACAATGACCTGATTCCTTGTATAAACACTAAGCTAATTCTCAATTGAAATAGGAATGTGGTTATTTTTTTAGCCAAACCTGAAGTAAAAGTCAATAGTACTGGCTGCCCTTCCTGACTTCTAAATCCTCTGCAGGGGGGCCCTGGTTTATACAAGAACCAGGTTCCTGGCAAAAAATAAAAATAAAACACCAAAAAACACAAATCAGCACTGACAGGACACCAGCCTTACAGACCTCAACCACACACAGTAAGAGAAAACAAAGGAATTTTAACATTTACAGGCTAAGACTGGGACCATACTGAAATAAAGAAGGGTTTTAACAGCTTGTTTAGTGAGTTCATTTAATGAAACAAACTATCCCCATGGAGATGGTCCCAGGTACCTACTTATCAGCAACTACTTAAATCCATGCAGACGCTATTACCCAGATCTTGATTTAGAACTCTAGTTAATGCTGGCAAAAATAATTTCAGATTTTCCCAGTCTTGTAGGATACATGCCTGAATAATTCATTAATAACTGACTTCTTTTTTCTTCCCACTTGATTGTATGCTACCAGTCACTTAACACCACTGGGCTACCTGGCACGATGCTCAAATGCTCCAGTGTTCTTTGCACAGCCATAGATTACAGCCCTGTAAAATCACTCGGAGAGACACACACCCTCCTAACACTAACATATCATCTTCTTCTCCAAGTGGCACAAATTGAGGTTTCAACAATGTGGAGCAGTTTTGGCTTCTGCCCACGCTGCTTTTATTATGAAGACTTAGCACAGGCATTTTTAACACAATAGTCATTCCTCCCACTGGACTACATAATTCCTCTATAATCATAAAGAAGCAAACACATTCCTCACTTGCTATCCAAAGAAATAGTATAACTCTATAGTTATGGGTGAGAATCAAGAGGAGGAGGACAAAAGAAGAATAAAGAGTTTAGATGGGGTGGAGGAGTCTCAAGGAAAGCTGTGCTGAAAGGAAAAGACTAATACTGTAGATCTGTGCCTGCCTGGATCAAATATATCTAGTCGACAAGAGGTTTCCTATAAATTTAAACTTCTATATCAAATCTCAAATCACATGTGATTAAATATACATATATGTGCATATATACATATGTGTGTATATATCTCTCAGAACCAGAATTTTAATGCTGAGAAGAATTATTTTCCTCTGAAAAAATATTTCCCCCAAGGCACAATGAAAGCAGATGAGAATGTGGCAAATCTTTCAAAATGTTCATATCTTAAGAAAAAATATAATTTTTAGTTCATGTGTTAATAATACCTGAAAGAAGTCAGAAAATATCAGAACCAAGAACTTGGTTTATTTGGTGCTACAGCTTGATGGCTAGTGGAAATAATAGCTATTAACAGTAAAGCATCAGGCAAACTCTTTCTCAAGTTTGCTCTTTTTCCAATTTTATATTTGGGCTTTCCCTGCTACAAGTTATGACTTTTTAGCTATAGTTAAATAAAAGAGCAATTTCTAGGAGACCTAAGAACACTGATTTGTTTTTATCTTTGGGACTGCTTTTTACCTTTCAACTCTTAGTTCCATGACTTTACCCTTTTCTCTCTAATAACTCTTTCTTAGAAACTTAGAGTGTTTCTCTATAAGCTTCATGAGGATAGGGCCAAGTCTGTCCCCAAATCCTTAGTGCCTGGATTGGGGTAGACATTCAATAACTGACTATGCATGAATGGGGTTAATGAATAATTGAATATTAAGTTGAACCGGCTTTTGAAGGTGGTTACAACTCGCACAATTTCAACTTTTTGAGAAAGAAAAATGGGGGGAAAAAGTTGATTCTGGAGGCAAGGGCGCCTAAAAAGTGTGCACGTTCTGATCTGACTAGACTCAATTAATATCAGTATTGCTAGCAATAAGTATGTGGTGCTGACTTTGTGATCAGTACTATTAAAGCCATTAAACACACACAAATGCAGTTGTTAGTTCCTATATTCCTATAATCTACCCTATATTTATACCTGAAGTTTAAAGTAGTCATTCCAGCTCAGAATTTACTAAGCATTTTGTATGTGCCAAACGCTATATCAGATACTGAGTACATAATTTTTAAAAAATCACCGTTAATAAGGAGCTTAAAACCGGAAGGTATGACAGAAACAGAAACAAAAAAACCAGCATTACATGCAGTCACAGAAGTAAGTACAAGGTAGAGAGGAAGAGCAAGGAGAGATTGATGCTATCTTTAAGGGTGGGGGAAAAGTACTGCATGGAAAACAACCTGGGCAAAGTTTTGTTTGAAGATCAATCAGAGCTGCCAGTCAGACACAGTAAGGATGAGCAGGCCAGCAATCTAGTGCAGGAGCCAAGTAGCAACAGACACTGAGGAAGAAGCAGCCTCAAATTGGGGCCAGGGGCAGCAACAACAAGAAGCTGCCAGACTGGAAAATTAGAGAGAGGAAAGAGTGGGAAGTGAGAGCTGAGAAAATGGAGAGTTGGAGAGTTGGGAAGAAACTAGATTAGAATGGGTCTTGGCAAACAAGCTAAGGAATTTGGACCTCGGCCTCAGATCAATGAGGGACCACTGAGAGTTTTAGGCAGGAGAAGGTGAGGAGGTCAATTTTAGAAGGATCATATTGGTTGAAAATACCCTTGATTGCCTCAGGGTTCTGAATTTTCCTTCTCTAGACTCTGGAAGTCTTTACTGCATCACTCAAGCTGGCCCTCAGCTACCCTGTTCTGTGCATGTGCAAGTCTTAGTTCTCTAATTCAGTTTCACAAATCAGGGGGCCATGGCCACTACCCTGTTCTGTGCATGTGCAAGTCTTAGTTCTCTAATTCAATTTCACATATCAGGGGGCCATGGCCACTTCTCAAATAGTTTCTGTATTGCCCATGGATTTACCACAATATACCCAATTCAGTACCTGCATCTAAGACCATTTTCCTCAACTGTTTACCCCAAAATGCAATCGCCTAATCAACATATTCTCTAGGCTTTCTCACAGATACCACAAAAGCAGCTTTTCAAAAACTTACTTCATAACAATGACTTTCTTCACAGAATTGGAAAAAACTACTTTAAAGTTCATATGGAACCAAAAAAGAGCCCACATCGCCAAGTCAATCCTAAGCCAAAAGAACAAAGCTGGAGGCATCACGCTACCTGACTTCAAACTATTCTACAAGGCTACAGTAACCAAAACAGCATGCTACTGGTACCAAAACAGAGATATAGACCGATGGAATAGAACAGAGCCCTCAGAAATAATGCCGCATATCTACAACTATCTGATCTTTGACAAACCTGAGAAAAACAAGCAATGGGGAAAGGATTCCCTATTTAATAAATGGTGCTGGGAAAACTGGCTAGCCATATGGAGAAAGTTGAAACTGGATCCCTTCCTTACACCTTATACAAAAATTAATTCAAGATGGATTAAAGACTTAAATGGTAGACCTAAAACCATAAAAACCCTAGAAGAAAACCTAGGCAATACCATTCAGGACATAGGCATGGGCAAGGACTTCATGTCTAATACACCAAAAGCAACAGCAACAAAAGCCAAAATTGACAAATGGGATCTCATTAAACTAAAGAATTTCTGCACAGCAAAAGAAACTACCATCAGAGCGAACAGGCAACCTACAGAAGGGGAGGAAATTTTTGCAATCTACTCATCTGACAAAGGGCTAATATCCAGAATCTACAATGAACTCAAACAAATTTACAAGAAAAAAACAAACAACCCCATCAACAAGTGGGTGAAGGATATGAACAGACACTTCTCAAAAAGAAGACATTTATGCAGCCAAAAAACACATGAAAAAATGCTCATCATCACTGGCTATCAGAGAAATGCAAACCAAAACCACAATGAGATACCATCTCACACCAGTTAGAATGGCGATCATTAAAAAGTCAGGAAACAACAGGTGCTGGAGAGGATGTGGAGAAATAGGAACATGTTTACACTGTTGGTGGGACTGTAAACTAGTTCAACCATTGTGGAAGTCAGTGTGGCGATTCCTCAGAGATCTAGAACTAGAAATACCATTTGACCCAGCAATCCCATTACTGGGTATATACCCAAAGGATTATAAATCATGCTGCTATAAAGACACATGCACACGTATGTTTATTGTGGCACTATTCACAATAGCAAAGACTTGGAACCAACCCAAATGTCCAACAATGATAGACTGGATTAAGAAAATGTGGCACATATACACCACGGAATACTATGCAGCCATAAAAAATGATGAGTTCATGTCCTTTGTAGGGACATGGATGAAACTGGAAACCATCATCCTCAGCAAACTATCTCAAGGACAAAAAACCAAACACCTCATGTTCTCACTCATAGGTGGGAATCGAACAATGAGAACACATGGACACAGGAAAGGGAACATCACACACCAGGGCCTGTTGTGGGGTGGGGGGAGGGGGAAGGGATAGCATTAGGAGATATACCTAATGCTAAATGACGAGTTATTGGGTGCAGCACACCAACATGGCACATGAGGTATACATATGTAACAAACCTGCACGTTGCGCACATGTACCCTAAAACTTAAAGTATAATAATAATAAAATTAAAAAAATAAATAAATAAAAAAAACTTACTTCATCATCCTTCCTCTAAACGATCCTCTTCCTGTGTTCCATTTTGTTGTTGTTGTTGTTGTTTGTTTGTTTGTTTGTTTGTTTGTAAATGGTATCACTATTCACCCAGTTGGCCCAAGTCCAGAACTGAAAGTCATCCTTGATTCCTCTTCAATTATCTACCAAGTCTTAATGACCTTACTTCTTAAATATCTCCCAAATCCCTCCTCTTCTCCACCCCAGTGCTACCTCTTGGTTAACACCACTATCATTCACTCTTGTCCCATCCAATCTGTTATCCAGGCTATGGCCAGAACACTGATATCTTTATAAACCCACAAATCTAATCACATCTCTCCCCAGAGCAAAACTCTACAGTAATTCCTATTTCCATGAGATAGAGTCCAAAGCCCTTAAAAGGGCTTCAATCCTTCATTAGCAAGCCTAGGATTATCGTTTTAGGCTCATGTCTTACCATCCCTGCTCCTCCCACTCCACATTCAGGCCATTCTGAAATCCTTCCAGTTCCTCCAATATGTTCTTCATTCCTCTCTTTCTCTCCCCAGCTCACCCCACCCCCACCCATTCCTTACCCATTGTCTTTAATAATTGTTTTTTGAATCATGTCTCCATTATTAAGATTCTTGTTTCCATGAACATAGGATTACATATGTCTGGTTCACTAGACTAAAGAACAAGAGCATCAAAGTTCTATCCTGGTGCCTAGTACAAAGCTGGGCACATACTAGAGGCTTAATAAATATTTTCTAAATTCACAAATGAATAAATGGTTGGGGCTTATTCTGAGTGACTTCATTATCTTCAGGCTATCACATCAAGGTTCCACTAATCTGCTTGTAATTGGAACAAAAACTGACTAAAACAAAATAAATCTATTCTAGAGGTACACATATACACACAAAGTTGGTTAATGGTACTCTATATCAATAACACTTTCTTCCTTTGTCCTCTCACTTATTACATGATCTATGATTAGACACGTGATGTGATTAAAAATATAAATACTTAAATTGTACAATATGCTGGATTAAAAATAAAACAAAAGATTAGAATGAGATTTGAGGAAGGGAGCATGGGCTGGTCTAGCACTCATAGACAAAACCAAGAATTTTCAATACAAAGAATATCAAGAATTTCCTGTACCATACACTTAATATTCTGCTAAAACAGTTGCTATATGTTCGCTTCCAAGATAGCCATATAGGAACAGCTCTGGTCTACAGCTCCTAGTGAGATTGACGCAGAAGATGGGTGATTTCTGCATTTCCAACTGAGGAACCTGGTTCATCTCACTGGGACTAGTTGGACAGTGGGTGCAGCCCACAGAGGGCAAGCCGATGCAGGGTGGGGTGTTGCCTCACCCAGGAACTGCAAGGGGTCAGGGGATTTCCCTTTCCTAGCCAAGGGAAGCCATGAGTGACTGTACCTGGAGGAGAGGTACACTCCTGCCCAAATACTGTGCCTTGCCCATGGTCTTTGCAACTGGCAGACCAGGAGATCCCCTCCTGTGCCTGGCTCGGTGGGTCCCATGCTCACGGAGCCTTGCTCACTGCTAGTGCAGCAGTCTGAGATCAACCTGGGATGCTGGAGCTTGGCAGGCAGAGGGGCATCTGCCATTGCTGAAGCTTGAGTAGGCAGTTCTATGCTCACAGTGTAAACAAAGCAGCAGGGAAGCTCGAACTGGGTGGAGCCCACTGCAGCTCAGCAAGGCCTACTGCCTGTCCAGATTCCACCTCTGGGGGCAGGGCATATCTGAACAAAAGGCAGCAGACAGCTTCTCCAGACTTAAACGTCCCTGCCTGACAGCTCTGAAGACGGCAGTGGTTCTCCCAGCATGGCATTCAAGCTCCAATAACGGGCAGATTGCCTCCTCAAGTGGGTCCCTGACCACCGTGTAGCCTGACTGGGAGACATCTCCCAGTAGGGGCTGACAGACATCTCAAACAGGCGGGTGCCCTCTGGGACGAAGCTTCCAGAAGAACGATCAGGCAGAAATATTTGCTGTTCTGCAGCTTCCACTGGTGATACCCAGGAAAACAGCATCTGGAGTGGACCTCCAGCAAACTCCAACAGACCTGCAGCTGAGGGGCCTGTCTGTCAGAAGGAAAACTAACAAACAGAAAGGTATAGCATCAACATCAACAAAAAAGACAGATCAACGAAAGAGAAAATTAACAAAGATATCCAGGACTTGAACTCAGCTCTGGACCAAGCTGACCTAATAGACATCTACAGAACTCTCCACCCCAAATCAACAGAACATACATTCTTCTCAGCACCACACTGCACTTATTCTAAAATTGACCAGATAATTGGAAGTAAAACACTCCTCAGCAAATGTAAAAAAACAGAAATTATAACAAACTGTCTCTGAGACCACAGTGCAATCAAATTAGAATTCAGGATTAAGAATCTCACTCAAAACCACACAATTACATGGAAATTGAACAGCCTGCTCCTGAATGACTACTGGGTAAATAACCAAATAAAGTCAGAAATAAAGATGTTCTTTGAAACCAATGAGAACAAAGACACAACGTACCAAAATCACTAGGACACATTTAAAGCAGTGTGTAGAGGGAAATTTATAGCATTAAATGCCCACAAGAGAAAGCAGGAGAGATCTAAAACTGACACACTAACATCACAATTAAAACAACTAGAGAAGCAAGAGTAAACACATTCAAAAGCTAGCAGAAGACAAGAAATAACTAAGATCAGAGCAGAACTGAAGGAGATAGAGACATAAAAAACCCTTCAAAAAATCAATGAATGCATTGGCTGGTTTTCTGAAAAGATCAACATAATAAATAGACCACTAGCAAGACTAATAAAGAGTAAAAGTGAGAAGAATCAAATAGATGATATAAAAAAAGAAACATAAAAATTGATAAAGGGGATATCACCACCGATCCCACAGAAATACAAACTACCATCAGAGAATACTATAAACACCTCTATGCAAATAAGCTAGAAAATCTAGAAGAAATGGATAAATTCCTGGACACATACACCCTCCCAAGACTAAACCAGGAAGAAGTTGAATCTCTGCATAGATCAGAAACACACTCTGAAATGGAGGCAATAATTAATAGCCTACCAACCAAAAAAAAGTCCAGGACCAGACAGATTCACAGCCTAATTCTACCAAAGGTACAAAGAGGAGCTAGTACCATTCCTTCTGAAACTATTCTGATCAATAGAAAAAGATAGAATCCTCCCTAACTCATTTTATGAGGCCAGCATCATCCTGATGCCAAAGCCTGGCAGAGACACAACAAAAAAAGAGAATTTTAGACCAATATCCCTGATGAACATCGATGCAAAAATTGTCAATAAAATACTGGCAAACTGAATCCAGCAGCACATCAAAAAGCTTATCCACCACGATCAAGTTGGCTTCATCCCTGGGATGCAAGGCTGATTCAACATATGCAAATCAATAAACGTAATCCATCATATAAACAGAACCAATGACAAAAGCCACATGATTATCTCAATAGATGCAGAAAAGGCCTTTGACAAAATTCAACAGACTTTCATGCCAAAAACTCTCAATAAACTAATATCAATGGAATGTATCTCAACATAATAAGAGCTATTTATGACAAACCTACAGCCAATATCATACTGAATGGGCAAAAACTGGAAGCATTCCCTTTGAAAACTGGCACAAGACAAGGATACCCTGTCTCACGCCTATCCAACATAGTATTGGAAGTTCTGGCCAGGGCAATCAGGCAAGAGAAAGAAATAAAAGGTATTCAATTAGGAAGAGAGGAAGTCAAATAGTCTCTGTTTGCAGATGACTTGATTGTATGTTTAAAAAACCCCATCGTCTCAGCCCAAAATCTCCTTAAGCTGATAAGCAGCTTCAGCAAATATCAGAATACAAAATCAGTGTGCAAAAATCACAAGCATTCCTATACACAAATAACAGACAAACAGAGTGCCAAATCATGATCGAACTCCCATTCACAATTGCTACTAAGAGAATAAAATACCTAGGAATCCAACTTAAAAGGGATGTGAAGGACCTCTTCAAGGAGAACTACAAACCACTGCTCAAGAAAATAAGAGAGGACACAAACAAATGGAAAAACATTCCATGCTCATGGATAGGAAGAATAAGTATTGTGAAAATGGCCTTACTGCCCAAAATAATTTATGTATTCAATGCTATTCCCATCAAGCTACCACTGACTTTCTTCACAGAACTGGAAAAAACTACTTAAAACTTCATATGGAACCAAAAAAGAGCCTGCATAGCCATGACAATCCTGGGCAAGAAGAACAAAGCTGGAGGCATCCTGCTACCTGACGTCAAACTATGCTACAATGCTACAGTAACCGAAACAGCACGGTACTGGTACCAAAACAGATACATAGACCAATGGATCCGAACAGAGGCCTCAGAAATAACACCACACATCTACCACCATCTGATCTTTGACAAACCTGACACATAAAAGCAA
Source organism: Homo sapiens (assembly GCF_000001405.40). Taxonomy (NCBI): domain Eukaryota; kingdom Metazoa; phylum Chordata; class Mammalia; order Primates; family Hominidae; genus Homo; species Homo sapiens. The sequence continues at coordinate 78,123,245 of NC_000004.12, read as the reverse complement.
TGGGGAAAAGATTCCCTATTTAATACATGGTGCTGGGAAAACTGGCTAGCCACATGCAGAAAACTCAAACTGGACCCTTTCCTTACACCTTATACAAAAATCAACTGAACATGGATCAAAGACTTAAACGTAAGACCTAGGACCATAAAAATCCTAGAAGAAAACCTGGGCAATACCATTCAGGACATAGGCATGGGCAAAGCCTTCATGTCTAAAACACCAAAAGCAATGGCAACAAAAGCCAAAATTGACAAATGGGATCTAATTAAACTAAAGAGCTTCTTCGCAGCAAAAGAAACTACCATCAGAGTGAACAGGCAACCTACAGAATGGAAGAAAATTTTTGCAATCTATCCATCTGACAAAGGGCTAATATCCAAAATCTACAAAGAACTTAAACAAATTTACAAGAAAAAAGCAAACAACTCCATCAAAAATGGGCAAAGGATATGAACAGACACTTCTCAAAAGAAGATATTTATGCAGCCAACAGACATATGAAAAAAGGCTCATCATCACTGGTCATTAGAAAAATGCAAATCAAAACCACAATGAGATACCATCTCACACCAGTTAGAATGGCGATCATTAAAAAGTCAGGAAACAACAGATGCTGGAGAGGTTGTGGAAAAATAGAAATGCTTTTACACTCTTGGTGGGAGTGTAAATTAGTTCAACCATTGTGGAAGACAATGTGGCAATTCCTCAAGGATCTAGAACTAGAAATACCATTTGACCCAGCAATCCCATTATGGGGCATATACCCAAAGGATTACAAATCAGTCTATGATAAAGACACATGCACAGGTATGTTTATTGCAGCACTATTCACAACAGCAAAGATGTGGAACCAATCCAAATGTCCATCAGTGATAGACTAGATTGAGAAAATGTGGCACATATACACCATAGAATACTATGCAGCCATAAAAAAGGATGAGTTAATGTCCTTTGCAGGGACATGGATGAAGCTGGAAACCATCATTCTTAGCAAACTATTACAAGATCAGAAAACCAAACACCAAATGTTCTCACTCATAAGTGGGAATTGAACAATAAGAACACATGGACACAGGGAAGGGAACATCACACACTGGGGCCTGTGGGGGATGGGGGGCTAGGGGATAGATAACATTAGGAGAAATACCTAATGCAGGTGACTGGTTGACGGGTGCAGCAAACCACCATGGCACGTGTATACCTATGTAACAAAACTGCATGTTCTGCACATGTAACCCAGAACTTAAAGTATAATACAAAAAAAAGTTGCCATAAACAGATACAGTTCTTGTCCCTTAAGGATCTAGAGTCTTGATTGTCGTCTAAAACAAACATGTATCCTGGCCATGTCAATGTCTTTACCTTTGGGCATCCCAAGATTTACCATCCAAGAGCTATTCCTATTCCAACTGCCAATTGATGACTATTCTGTGTGAAATTTGCCTTACGTGCTATGAGACAAAAAGAAACAGCCAAGTCTTCTGCACTGCTTTAAATAGGTACAACATAGCTGTTCTACTGTAAAACACACACGGTCCAGTCTAAAATAGAGCTCAAGCGTAACCAAAGAAGTCTTTGTTTATATAATACATCTGAAGAGTAGCAAAGAGTCAGATAAAACATCCCTTGCCTACATAGTAGGCAAGGCTGGCTCCCAGGCAAGGCTGGCTAATTCCTGCACTATATTAAGTGCTTTCCCAGGGCGTGCCAAGAGGCACATAGACAGAGTGTGCTTGATTACATTACTTGTTGACTAGGGCTCTGTGGACTCATCAAAGGAAGGAATGCAGCCCAGCACTGTGCCAACACCCCTCACCCTAATCAGGGTTCTCACTGGGTTACAGAGGCCCCTCTTAGTGCCAATGAATACTCTCAGTATGTGGGGGGCTTGTTTTAAGAAATTTAAACCCCAGAAAAGATTAAATATCTACCATCAGTCAGGCACCAGACCAAATAGTTCAAAGAAACTTGTTTTACTTTAGCCTATGCTATTGAGCAGGAATCTTAATCAGACCTCTTCCTATCCTTAAAATGATAGGAAAATGTACATACACGGCTTATTGCTTCAAGGAGAAAGGTCATATCAGGCTTACCGCTGGAATACTCAGGTTCCTGAGAAGGCCAATTTGATAGTAAGACTGGCTGAGAGGTTTCTGAACTGTCACTGCATTCTCAGAGAGACCTGGTAGCCCAGAGAGGTAAAGTGCTAAAGTATCAAAGGACCATTCTACCTAAAGATCTCTGGCTCTCTGCCTTGATCTCTTCCTTGATTTGTGTTGGGGTTAAGAAGCTACATTTCAATTTCCCACGAAGTAGCAAAGCCATCAAGCCAATGCCAGAACTACTGTAACTCCATCCCCCCCACCTGTATCACTACTCCAGATTTGGTCCAAACCTAGGTTTCAAACTTAAAATCTTGTAGCAAGATTTTAATTCAGTTGAGACTGTGGGAGAGAAAGCCTAGGAATTGGGCTTAAGTGTCCTAAGACTCTATGATTCACGGGCAGTGAATCATTATGGGATAGACCCCTAAAGTCTGCTACCCACAAGAGTGTGCTTAATCCTTCATTGAAATAATCCTGACCTTACTGTGGACAGCCACACTAACAAATGGCCTCCTCTTGAACAAGACTGGCCTGGGCTGTGGTTTTGCACACAGGCCCCTTTTTCCCCAGAGCCTGGCTGGTCTAGACGCCAATGGAGAACAAGTCAGAGCTAAGAGGGGCTTCTCCTCCTTACAACTTCTTATTCCTGGACTGTCATGCCTGTATAGAGAGCTGACAGAGATTTGCTAGAGCCAAGAGAAATATGAAAGGTATTTTGATAATCTCAGAAATAAGCCGTATTTAGAATACATGCTATTTCTTGGACAACTCTAAGTTAAACCTCAGAGATAAGCCCATATATGGAATAAGCCCATAAGCTGGCACAGGTGAGGATGATTCTTGCCCTGCTGCCACGATTCTGGAGGAGTTACTTTATTTGAACTCACATAAACAAGGTTTGTTGTTGTTGTTTTGTTATTTATAGGGAAAACTATTTGTTTAAATTCAAGATACTTGGCACATATGTTGGTCAGAAGAAATCAGTGTGCATTTTAAAGAAACCAAACATGCTGCCAATTCCAAAATAAACACTGTTTTCAGAACAATATGATAAACATCCATTCATAACTTTAAAAAATTCTCCCCATAGATCTGATTAAGACAAAAGAACAAGGAGCAAACAAAGAGACATATTTTACAATTCTGTTTCACTTCAGTAGACAAGCAGGGAAAAACAGGAGAGGAGGAGTTCCCCTTGCCTCCATGTAGTAACATTAGTGGTTTCTAGAAGGCACAATCTGAACCACCCAATTACACCAGCTGTGAGTCAAGAGGTTTTGCTTGTTTAGTAATGTTCTCCAAAGTGGAGTTTCCCATACACTGGTCCATGGACCAGTATCAGAATCACCTGGGACACTTGTTAAAAGTAAAACTCAGGATCCTCCCTCATCTCGCTGAATTAGCATCCTCAGAACTGTGTTACGTGGCAGAGTTTTTGATAAATTCCCTAATAAACTATAAGGTAAAGTCAGGATTAGGAACTATTACCCCTGTTTTTTGCAGCACTATTCACAATAGCCAAGCTATGGAATCAACCTAAGTGTCCAACAACAGCTGAATGGATAAAGAAAATGTGATATCTATAGACCATGGAATACTATTAATATTCAGCCATAAAAAGAATGAAATCCTGTCATTCACAGAAAAATAGATGGAACTAGAGGACACTATGTTAAATGAAATAAGCCAGGAACAGAAAGTGAAACACCTCATATTCTCACTCATATGTAGGGGGAATAAAGTTTATCTCATAGAAGTCAAAAGTAGGATAAAGAATACTAGGGCTTGGGAAGGGTAAGGGAAGGAAGGGATAGGGAGAGATTTGTTAAAGGATACAAAATTACAGCTAGATGGGAGGAGGAAGCTCTAGCATGCTCTATCACTGTAGGATGACTACAGTTAGCAATAATATATAATTCAAATAGCTAGAAGAATGAGGATATTCAATGTTCCCAACCCAAAGAAGTGATAAATGTTTAAGATGATGGATATTCTAATTGCCATGATCTGATCACTACACATTATATGTATTAAAACATCCTTACGTACCTCATGAATATATACAATTATTTTTTTAAAAGAACATGATAAGATAATGTTTATACTGGGAGAAAATATTTGCAACTCACATATTCTATAAAAGAGTTACATACACAATATAAAAAATAAATAAGGTGGTGGAGCCAAGATGGCTGAATAGGAACAGCTCCAGTCTACAGCTCCCAGCGTGAGTGATGCAGAAGACGGGTGATTTCTGCATTTCCAACTGAGGTACTGGGTGCATCTCACTGGGGAGTGTCGGAGAGTGGGTGCAGGACAGTGAGTGCAGCGCACCGAGTGCAAGCCGAAGGAGGGTGAGGCATTGCCTCACCCGGGAAGGGCAAGGGGTCAGGGAATTCCCTTTCCTAGTCAAAGAAAGGGTTGACAGACAGCACCTGGAAAATCGGGTCACTCCCACCCTGATACTGTGCTTTTCCAACGGTCTTAGCAAATGGCACACCAGGAGATTGTATCCTGGGCCTGGATCTGAGGGTCCTATGCCCACGGAGCCTCGCTCATTGCTAGCACAGCAGTCTGAGATCAAACTGCAAGGCGGCAGTGAGGCTGGGGGAGGGGTGCCCACCATTGCCAAGTCTTGAGTAGGTAAACAAAGCAGCCGGGAAGCTCGATCTGCAGCTCAAGGAGGCCTGCCTGCCTCTGTAGACTCCACCTCTGGGGGCAGGTCATAGCCAAAAGCCAAACAAAAGGCAGCACCTCTGCAGACTTAAATGTCCCTGTCTGACAGCGTTGAGGAGAGCAGTGGTTCTCCCAGCACGCAGCTGGACATCTGTGAATGGACAGACTGCCTCCTCAAGTGGGTCCCTGGTCCCCGAGTAGCCTAACTGGGAGGCACCCCCCAGTAGGGGCAGACTGACACCTCACATGGCCGGGTACTCCTCTGACACAAAACTTCCAGAGCAATGATCAGGCAGCAACATTTGCTGTTCACCAATATCTGCTGTTCTGCAGGCTCCGCTGCTGATACCCAGGCAAAGAGGGTCTGGAGTGGACCTCCAGCAAAATCCAACAGACCTGCAGCTGAGGGTCCTGACTGTTAGAAGGAAAACTAACAAACAGAAAGGACATCCACACCAAAACCCCATCTGTTCGTCACCATCATCAAAGACCAAAGGTAGATAAAACCACAAAGATGGGGAAAAAACAGAGCAGAAAAACTGGAAACTCTAAAAATCAGACAACCTCTCCTCCACCAAAGGAATGCAGCTCCTCACCAGCAATGGAACAAAGCTGGACGGAGAATGACTTTGATGAGCTGAGAGAAGAAGGCTTCAGACGATCAAACTACTCCGAGCTAAAGGAGGAAGTTCGAACCCATGGCAAAGAAGTTAAAAACCTTGAAAAAAAAATTAGATGAATGGCTAACTAGAATAACCAATGCAGAGAAATCTTCAAAAGACCTGATGGAGCTGAAAACCATGGCACGAGAACTACATGATGAATGCAAGCCTCAGTAGCTGATTCGATCAACTAGAAGAAAGGGTATCAGTGACGGAAGAGCAAATGAATGAAATGAAGCGAGAAGAGAAGTTTAGAGAAAAAGAATAAAAAGAAATTAACAAAGCCTCCAAGAAATAAGGGACTATGTGAAAAAACCAAATCTACGTCTGATTGGTGTATCTGAAAGTGACAGGGAGAACGGAACCAAGTTGGAAAACACTCTGCAGGATATTATCCAAGAGAACTTACCCAATCTAGCAAGGCAGGCCAACATTCAAATGTAGGAAATATAGAGAACGCCACAAAGATATTCCTCGAGAAGAGCAACTCCAAGACACATAATTGTCCGATTCACCAAAGTTGAAATGAAGGAAAAAATGTTAAGGGCAGCCAGAGAGAAAGGTCAGGTTACCCACAAAGGGAAGCCCATCAGACCAACAGCTGATCTCTTGGCAGAAACTCTACAAGCCAGAAGAGAGTGGGGGCCAATATTCAACATTCTTTAAAGACAAGCATTTTCAACCCAGAATTTCAAATCCAGACAAACTAAGCTTCATAAGTGAAGGAGAAATAAAATCCTTTAGAGACAAACAAATGCTGAGAGATTTTGTCGCCACCAGGCCTGCCCTAAAAGAACTCCTGAAGGAAGCACTAAACATGGAAAGGAACAACTGGTAAGACCCACTGCAAAAACATGCCAAATTGTAAAGATCATCAAGGCTAGGAAGAAACTGCATCAACTAATGAGCAAAATAACCAGCTAACATCATAATGACAGGATCAAATTCACACATAACAAAATTAACCTTAAATGTAAATGGGCTAAGTGCTCCAATTAAAAGACACAGACTGGTAAATGGGATAAAGAGTCAAGACCAATCAGTGTGCTGTATTCAGGTGACCCATCTCACGTGCAGAGACACACATAGGCTCAAAATAAAGGGATGGAGGAAGATCTACCAAGCAAATGGAAAACAAAAAAAGGCAGGGATTGCAATCCTAGTCTCTGATAAAACAGACTTTAAACCAAGAAAGATCAAAAGAGACAAAGAAGGCCATTACGTAATGGTAAAGGGATCAATTCAACAAGAAGAGCTAATTATCCTAAATATATATGAACCCAATACAGGAGCACCCAGATTCATAAAGCAAGTCCTTAGAGACCTACAAAGAGACTTAGACTCCCACACAATAATAATGGGAAACTTTAACACCCCACTGTCAACATTAGACAGATCAACGAGACAGAAAGTTAACAAGGATATCCAGGAATTAAACTCAGCTCTGCACCAAGGCAACCTAATAGACATCTGCAGAACTCTCCACCCCAAATCAACAGAATACACATTCTTTTCAGCACCACACCACACCTATTCCAAAATTGACTACATAGTTGGAAGTAAAGCACTCCTTGGCAAATGTAAAAGAACAGACATTATAACAAACTGTCTCTCAGACCACAGGGCAATCAAACTAGAACTCAGGATTAAGACACTCACTCAAAACTGCTCAACTACATGGAAAATGAATAACCTGCTCCTGAATGACTACTGGGTACATAATGAAATGAAGGCAGAAATAAAGATGTTCTTTGAAACCAATGAGAACAAAGACACAACATACCAGAATCTCTGGGACACATTAAAAGCAGTGTGTAGACGGAAATTTATAGCACTAAATGTCCACAAGAGAAAGCAGGAAAGATCTAAAATTGACAACCTAACATCACAATTAAAACAACTAGAGAAGCAAGAGAAAATACACTCAAAAGCTAGCAGAAGGCAAAAAATAACTAAGATCAGAGAAGAACTGAAGGAAATAGACACACAAAAAAAACTTCAAAAAATCAATGAATCCAGGAGCTGATTTTTTGAAAAGATCAACAAAATTGATAGACCACTATCAAGACTAATAAAGAAGAAAAGAGAGAAGAATCAAATAGATGCAATAAAAAATGAAAAAGTGGATATCACCACCTATCCCACAGAAATACAAACTACCATCAGAGAATACTATAAACACCTCTACACAAACAAACTAGAAAATCTAGAAGAAATGGATAAATTCCTGGACACATACACCCTCCCAAGACCAAACCAGGAAGAAGTTGAATCTCTGAATAGATCAATAACAGGCTCTGAAATTGAGGCAATAATTAATAGCTTACCAACCAAAAAAAGTCCAGGACAAGATGGATTCACAGCCGAATTCTACCAGAGGTACAAGGAGGAGCTGGTACCATTCCTTCTGAAACTATTCCAATCAATAGAAAAAGAGGAAATCCTCCCTAAGTTATTTTATGAGGCCAGCATCATCCTGATACCAAAGCCTGGCAGAGACACAACAAAAAAATAGAATTTCAGACCAATATCCGTGATGAACATGGATGCAAAAATCCTCAATAAAATACTGGCAAACCGAATCCAGCAGCACATCAATAAGCGTATCCACCATGATCAAGTGGGCTTCATCCCTGGGATGCAAGGCTGGTTCAACATACAAAAATCAATAAACGTAATCTAGCATATAAACAGAACCAAAGACAAAAACCACATGATTATCTCAATAGTGCAGAAAAGGCCTTTGACAAAATTCAACAATCCTTCATGCTAAAAACTCTCAATAAATTAGGTATTGATGGGACGTATCTCAAAATAATAAGAGCCATCTATGACAAACCCACAGCCAATATCATACTGAATGGGCAAAAACTGGAAGCATTCCCTTTGAAAACTGGCACAAGACAGGGATGCCCTCTCTCACCACTCCTATTCAACATAGTGTTGGAAGTTCTGGCCAGGGCAATCAGGCAGGAGAAGGAAATAAGGGATTTTTCAATTAGGAAAAGAGGAAGTCACATTGTCCCTGTTTGCAGATGACATGACTGTATATCTAGAAAACCCCATCGTATCAGCCCAAAATCTCCTTAAGCTGACAGGCAACTTCAGCAAAGTCTTAGGATACAAAATCAATGTGCAAAAATCACAAGCATTCTTATACACCAATAACAGACAAACAGAGAGCCAAATCATGAGTGAACCCCCATTCACAATTGCTTCAGAGAGAATAAAATACCTAGGAATCCAACTTAAAGGGACATGAAGGACCTCTTCAAGAGAACTACAAACCACTGCTCAATGAAATAAAAGAGGATACAAACAAATGGAAGAACATTCCATGCTCATGAGCAGGAAGAATCAATATCATGAAAATGGCCATACTTCCCAAGGTAATTTATAGATTCAAAGCCATCCCCATCAACCTACCAATGACTTTCTTCACAGAATTGGAAAAAACTACTTTAAAGTTCATATGGAACCAAAAAAAGAGCCTGCATTGCCAAGTCAATCCTAAGCCAAAAGAACAAAGCTGGAGGCATCACGCTACCTGACTTCAAACTATACTACAAGGCTACAGTAACCAAAACAGCATGCTACTGGTACCCAAACAGATATATAGACCAATGGAACAGAACAGAGCCCTCAGAAGTAATGCCGCATACCTACAACTATCTGATCTTTGACAAACCTGAGAAAAACAAGCAATGGGGAAAGAATTCCCTATTTAATAAATGGTGCTGGGAAAACTGGCTAGCCATATATAGAAAGCTGAAACTAGATCCCTTCCTTACACCTTATACAAAAATTAATTCAAGATGGATTAAAGACTTACATGTTAGACCTAAAACCATAAAAACCCTAGAAGAAAACCTAGGCAATACCATTCAGGACATAGGCATGGGCAAGGACTTCATGTCTAATACACCAAAAGCAATGGCAACAAAAGCCAAAATTGACAAATGGGATCTCATTGAACTAAAGAACTTCTGCACAGCAAAAGAAACTACCATCAGAGAGACCAGGCAACCTACAGAACGGGAGAAAATTTTTGCAATCTACTCATCTAACAAAGGGCTAATATCCAGAATCTACAATGAACTCAAACAAATTTACAAGAAAAAAACAAACAACCCCATCAACAAGTGGGCAAAGGATATGAACAGACATTTCTCAAAAGAAGACATTTATGGAGCCAAAAGACACATGAAAAAATGCTCATCATCACTGGCCATCAAAGAAATGCAAATCAAAACCACAATGAGATACCATCTCACACCAGTTAGAATGGCGATCATTAAAAAGTCAGGAAACAACAGGTGCTGGAGAGGATGTGGAGAAATAGGAACACTTTTACACTGTTGGTGGGACTGTAAACTAGTTCAACCATTGTGGAAGTCAGTGTGACGATTCCTCAGGGATCTAGAACTAGAAATACCATTTGACCCAGCCATCCCATTACTGGTTACATACCCAAAGGATTATAAATCATGCTGCTATAAAGACACGTGCACACTTATGTTTGTTGCGGCACTATTCACAATAGCAAAGACTTGGAACTAACCCAAATGTCCAACAATGATAGACTGGATTAAGAAAATGTGGAATATATATACCATGGAATACTATGCAGCCATAAAAAATGATGAGTTCATGTCCTTTGTAGGGACATGGATGAAGCTGGAAACCATCATTCTCAGCAAACTATCGCAAGGATGAAAAACCAAACACCGCATGTTCTCACTCATAGGTGGGAATTGAACAATGAGAACACATGGACATAGGAAGGGGAACATCACACACTGGGGCCTGTTGTGGGGTGGAGGGAGCGGGGAGGGATAGCATTAGAAGATATACCTAATGTTAAATGACGAGTTAATGGGTGCAGCACACCAATATGGCACATGTATACATATGAAACAAACCTGCACGTTGTGCACATGTACCCTAAAACTTAAAGTATAATAAAAAAATGAATAAATAAATAAATAATAAAGTAAAAATTTAAAAAAATAAAATGCCCGACCTTAACTTGCTGACATAGCTTTGTCAGACACTGTTAGATATATAATAAATGTATTAAAAGAAAAATATATCTATGAAGCATAGACATTTGATTGTTTTGGTTTGGCCATTTCATAACTGCACTAACTAAGAAATAAGTAGCCATGTACAAAATCCGTTTGGCAAGAACAAGTACTACTTACATAGTACTAATCTTTCAAGAGTGTTTCACAAGCCATTTCTGGAGTTCAAAATATTAATGATTTGCATTAATAGTTTGTGTTGCACGTTAATGTTTTAAAGCCCATTCACAAGCCAGGGACCTCAAAAAAAGTTATCAGAAAAAAAAGTCACCTAACAGAAAAGCTCACAAACTACCAAGATAAAAAATAATAATAAAATAAATCACAGACTCATGAATCTCCAGATCTACAGATTGCAGAGGTTAAGTCTAAATGTAAATATGTGTATGAAGTGATTGGTGAGTCTTTTAAAAAGCCAGGTTCCCAATATGTATTTGTTGATTTATTCATTTTTTTCAGCTAGCTTTTGACATGACTTTTCTATACCTTATGGTAAAATAATGTTATTACTTTTTATCAAGCACAAAAATATGCTAACCACATGCAATTAGACATTTTTCCTTTCTCCTTTGGAGAATTCTTATCTAAAATTTAGATTCATGATATGAAAAATACAGAAAAAAAGGGCAACACATTCCCTAAGGTGAAGGAGATTATCAAAGAAATTGTCAATACAGTACAAAACTGGCATGTCAAAGATTCCAAAAATTGCTTTTTTCTGGATTTTTTAAAACATACATTCTTAAGTTTTTCTAATCTGGGATCTTTGCCTACCTCTTGAAAACAATGTCATCAGAAGTGTGTAATATGGCTGCAGTAAGCCTGCTTTTCTCATATTATTCTCCTATGTGTTTTATTCTCCTTTTATTTTCTACGTTTTTTCTTTCTGTCTCAGTGAACTATTCAGGACTTTTACATTGTTGCAAAACAGACAGAACCTCATCTTTTTTTTTTTTTTTTTTTTTTATTATACTCTAAGTTTTAGGGTACATGTGCACATTGTGCAGGTTAGTTACATATGTATACATGTGCCATGCTGGTGCGCTGCACCCACTAATGTGTCATCTAGCATTAGGTATATCTCCCAATGCTATCCCTCCCCCCTCCCCCGACCCCACCACAGTCCCCAGAGTGTGATATTCCCCTTCCTGTGTCCATGTGATCTCATTGTTCAATTCCCACCTATGAGTGAGAATATGCGGTGTTTGGTTTTTTGTTCTTGCGATAGTTTACTGAGAATGATGGTTTCCAATTTCATCCATGTCCCTACAAAGGATATGAACTCATCATTTTTTATGGCTGCATAGTATTCCATGGTGTATATGTGCCACATTTTCTTAATCCAGTCTATCATTGTTGGACATTTGGGTTGGTTCCAAGTCTTTGCTATTGTGAATAGTGCCGCAATAAACATACGTGTGCATGTGTCTTTATAGCAGCATGATTTATAGTCCTTTGGGTATATACCCAGTAATGGGATGGCTGGGTCAAATGGTATTTCTAGTTCTAGATCCCTGAGGAATCACCACACTGACTTCCACAATGGTTGAACTAGTTTACAGTCCCACCAACAGTGTAAAAGTGTTCCTATTTCTCCACATCCTCTCCAGCACCTGTTGTTTCCTGACTTTTTAATGATTGCCATTCTAACTGGTGTGAGATGATATCTCATAGTGGTTTTGATTTGCATTTCTCTGATGGCCAGTGATGATGAGCATTTCTTCATGTGTTTTTTGGCTGCATAAATGTCTTCTTTTGAGAAGTGTCTGTTCATGTCCTTCACCCACTTGTTGATGGGGTTGTTTGTTTTTTTCTTGTAAATTTGTTTGAGTTCATTGTAGATTCTGGATATTAGCCCTTTGTCAGATGAGTAGGTTGCGAAAATTTTCTCCCATGTTGTAGGTTGCCTGTTCACTCTGATGGTAGTTTCTTTTGCTGTGCAGAAGCTCTTTAGTTTAATGAGATCCCATTTGTCAATTTTGGCTTTTGTTGCCATTGCTTTTGGTGTTTTGGACATGAAGTCCTTGCCCACGCCTATGTCCTGAATGGTAATGCCTAGGTTTTCTTCTAGGGTTTTTATGGTTTTAGGTCTAACGTTTAAATCTTTAATCCATCTTGAATTGATTTTTGTATAAGGTGTAAGGAAGGGATCCAGTTTCAGCTTTCTACATATGGCTAGCCAGTTTTCCCAGCACCATTTATTAAATAGGGAATCCTTTCCCCATTGCTTGTTTTTCTCAGGTTTGTCAAAGATCAGATAGTTGTAGACATGCGGCATTATTTCTGAGGGCTCTGTTCTGTTCCATTGATCTATATCTCTGTTTTGGTACCAGTACCATGCTGTTTTGGTTACTGTAGCCTTGTATTATAGTTTGAACTCAGGTAGTGTGATGCCTCCAGCTTTGTTCTTTTGGCTTAGGATTGACTTGGCGATGCGGGCTCTTTTTTGGTTCCATATGAACTTTAAAGTAGTTTTTTCCAATTCTGTGAAGAAAGTCATTGGTAGCTTGATGGGGATGGCATTGAATCTGTAAATTACCTTGGGCAGTATGGCCATTTTCACGATATTGATTCTTCCTACCCATGAGCATGGAATGTTCTTCCATTTGTTTGTGTCCTCTTTTATTTCCTTGAGCAGTGGTTTGTAGTTCTCCTTGAAGAGGTCCTTCACATCCCTTGTAAGTTGGATTCCTAGGTATTTTATTCTCTTTGAAGCAATTGTGAATGGGAGTTCACCCATGATTTGGCTCTCTGTTTGTCTGTTGTTGGTGTATAAGAATGCTTGTGACTTTTGTACATTGATTTTGTATCCTGAGACTTTGCTGAAGTTGCTTATCAGCTTAAGGAGATTTTGGGCTGAGACGATGGGGTTTTCTAGATAAACAATCATGTCGTCTGCAAACAGGGACAATTTGACTTCCTCTTTTCCTAATTGAATACCCTTTATTTCCTTCTCCTGCCTGATTGCCCTGGCCAGAACTTCCAACACTATGTTGAATAGGAGCGGTGAGAGAGGGCATCCCTGTCTTGTGCCAGTTTTCAAAGGGAATGCTTCCAGTTTTTGCCCATTCAGTATGATATTGCCTGTGGGTTTGTCATAGATAGCTCTTATTATTTTGAAATACGTCCCATCAATACCTAATTTATTGAGAGTTTTTAGCATGAAGGGTTGTTGAATTTTGTCAAAGGCTTTTTCTGCATCTATTGAGATAATCATGTGGTTTTTGTCTTTGGCTCTGTTTATATGCTAGATTACGTTTATTGATTTTCGTATGTTGAACCAGCCTTGCATCCCAGGGATGAAGCCCACTTGATCATGGTGGATAAGCTTTTTGATGTGCTGCTGGATTCGGTTTGCCAGTATTTTATTGAGGATTTTTGCATCAATGTTCATCAAGGATATTGGTCTAAAATTCTCTTTTTTGGTTGTGTCTCTGCCCGGCTTTGGTATCAGAATGATGCTGGCCTCATAAAATGAGTTAGGGAGGATTCCCTCTTTTTCTATTGATTGGAATAGTTTCAGAAGGAATGGTACCAGTTCCTCCTTGTACCTCTGGTAGAATTCGGCTGTGAATCCATCTGGTCCTGGACTCTTTTTGGTTGGTAAACTATTGATTATTGCCACAATTTCAGAGCCTGTTATTGGTCTATTCAGAGATTCAACTTCTTCCTGGTTTAGTCTTGGGAGAGTGTATGTGTCGAGGAATGTATCCATTTCTTCTAGATTTTCTAGTTTATTTGCGTAGAGGTGTTTGTAGTATTCTCTGATGGTAGTTTGTATTTCTGTGGGATCGGTGGTGATATCCCCTTTATCATTTTTTATTGTGTCTATTTGATTCTTCTCTCTTTTTTTCTTTGTCATCTTGCTAGCGGTCTATCAATTTTGTTGATCCTTTCAAAAAACCAGCTCCTGGATTCATTGATTTTTTGAAGGGTTTTTTGTGTCTCTATTTCCTTCAGTTCTGCTCTGATTTTAGTTATTTCTTGCCTTCTGCTAGCTTTTGAATGTGTTTGCTCTTGCTTTTCTAGTTCTTTTAATTGTGATGTTAGGGTGTCAATTTTGGATCTTTCCTGCTTTCTCTTGTAGGCATTTAGTGCTATAAATTTCCCTCTACACACTGCTTTGAATGTGTCCCAGAGATTCTGGCATGTGGTGTCTTTGTTCTCGTTGGTTTCAAAGAACATCTTTATTTCTGCCTTCATTTCGTTATGTACCCAGTAGTCATTCAGGAGCAGGTTGTTCAGTTTCCATGTAGTTGAACGGCTTTGAGTGAGATTCTTAATCCTGAGTTCTAGTTTGATTGCACTGTGGTCTGAGAGATAGTTTGTTATAATTTCTGTTCTTTTACATTTGCTGAGGAGAGCTTTACTTCCAACTATGTGGTCAATTTTGGAATAGGTGTGGTGTGGTGCTGAAAAAAATGTATATTCTGTTGATTTGGGGTGGAGAGTTCTGTAGATGTCTATTAGGTCTGCTTGGTGCAGAGCTGAGTTCAATTCCTGGGTATCCTTGTTGACTTTCTGTCTCGTTGATCTGTCTAATGTTGACAGTGGGGTGTTAAAGTCTCCCATTATTAATGTGTGGGAGTCTAAGTCTCTTTGTAGGTCACTGAGGACTTGCTTTATGAATCTGGGTGCTCCTGTATTGGGTGCATAAATATTTAGGATAGTTAGCTCCTCTTGTTGAATTGATCCCTTTACCATTATGTAATGGCCTTCTTTGTCTCTTTTGATCTTTGTTGGTTTAAAGTCTGTTTTATCAGAGACTAGGATTGCAACCCCTGCCTTTTTTTGTTTTCCATTGGCTTGGTAGATCTTCCTCCATCCTTTTATTTTGAGCCTATGTGTGTCTCTGCACGTGGGATGGGTTTCCTGAATACAGCACACTGATGGGTCTTGACTCTTTATCCAACTTGCCAGTCTGTGTCTTTTAATTGCAGAATTTAGTCCATTTATATTTAAAGTTAATATTGTTATGTGTGAATTTGATCCTGTCATTATGATGTTAGCTGGTGATTTTGCTCATTAGTTGATGCAGTTTCTTCCTAGTCTCGATGGTCTTTACATTTTGGCATGATTTTGCAGCGGCTGGTACCGGTTGTTCCTTTCCATGTTTAGCGCTTCCTTCAGGAGCTCTTTTAGGGCAGGCCTGGTGGTGACAAAATCTCTCAGCATTTGCTTGTCTATAAAGTATTTTATTTCTCCTTCACTTATGAAGCTTAGTTTGGCTGGATATGAAATTCTGGGTTGAAAATTCTTTTCTTTAAGAATGTTGAATATTGGCCCCCACTCTCTTCTGGCTTGTAGGGTTTCTGCCGAGAGATCCGCCGTTAGTCTGATGGGCTTTCCTTTGAGGGTAACCCGACCTTTCTCTCTGGCTGCCCTTAACATTTTTTCCTTCATTTCAACTTTGGTGAATCTGACAATTATGTGTCTTGGAGTTGCTCTTCTCGAGGAGTATCTTTGTGGCGTTCTCTGTATTTCCTGAATCTGAACGTTGGCCTGCCTTGCTAGATTGGGGAAGTTCTCCTGGATAATATCCTGCAGAGTGTTTTCCAACTTGGTTCCATTCTCCACATCACTTTCAGGTACACCAATCAGATGTAGATTTGGTCTTTTCACATAGTCCCATATTTCTTGGAGGCTTTGCTCATTTCTTTTTATTCTTTTTTCTCTAAACTTCCCTTCTCGCTTCATTTCATTCATTTCATCTTCCATTGCTGATACCCTTTCTTCCAGTTGATCGCATCGGCTCCTGAGGCTTCTGCATTCTTCACGTAGTTCTCGAGCCTTGGTTTTCAGCTCCATCAGCTCCTTTAAGCACTTCTCTGTATTGGTTATTCTAGTTATACATTCTTCTAAATTTTTTTCAAAGTTTTCAACTTCTTTGCCTTTGGTTTGAATGTCCTCCCGTAGCTCAGAGTAATTTGATTGTCTGAAGCCTTCTTCTCTCAGCTCGTCAAAATCATTCTCCATCCAGCTTTGTTCTGTTGCTGGTGAGGAACTGTGTTCCTTTGGAGGAGGAGAGGCGCTCTGCGTTTTAGAGTTTCCAGTTTTTCTGTTCTGTTTTTTCCCCATCTTTGTGGTTTTATCTACTTTTGGTCTTTGATGATGGTGATGTACAGATGGGTTTTCGGTGTAGATGTCCTTTCTGGTTGTTAGTTTTCCTTCTAACAGACAGGACCCTCAGCTGCAGGTCTGTTGGAATACCCTGCCGTGTGAGGTGTCAGTGTGCCCCTGCTGGGGGGTGCCTCCCAGTTAGGCTGCTCGGGGGTCAGGGGTCAGGGACCCACTTGAGGAGGCAGTCTGCCCGTTCTCAGATCTCCAGCTGCGTGCTGGGAGAACCACTGCTCTCTTCAAAGCTGTCAGACAGGGACACTTAAGTCTGCAGAGGTTACTGCTGTCTTTTTGTTTGCCTGTGCCCTGCCCCCAGAGGTGGAGCCTACAGAGGCAGGCAGGCCTCCTTGAGCTGTGGTGGGCTCCACCCAGTTCGAGCTTCCCAGCTGCTTTGTTTACCTAAGCAAGCCTGGGCAATGGCGGGCGCCCCTCCCCCAGCCTAGTTGCCGCCTTGCAGTTTGATCTCAGACTGCTGTGCTAGCAATCAGCGAGATTCCGTGGGCATAGGACCCTCTGAGCCAGGTGTGGGATATAGTCTCGTGGTGCGCCGTTTCTTAAGCCGGTCTGAAAAGCGCAATATTCGGGTGGGAGTGACCCGATTTTCCAGGTGCATCCGTCACCCCTTTCTTTGACTCGGAAAGGGAACTCCCTGACCCCTTGCGCTTCCCAAGTGGGGCAATGCCTTGCCCTGCTTCGGCTCGCGCACGGTGCGCGCACACACTGGCCTGCGCCCACTGTCTGGCACTCCCTAGTGAGATGAACCCGGTACCTCAGATGGAAATGCAGAAATCATCCGTCTTCTGCGTCGCTCACGCTGGGAGCTGTAGACCGGAGCTGTTCCTATTCGGCCATCTTGGCTCCTCCTCTCATCTTACATTTCACAATTTATTCACTGAGATTATATATTGTCACATTTCTTATTTTATCCTATTTTCAACAGTTGTACATTTCCCCTGTGATGTTAAGACTAATATGTTCAAAAACGATGGTGAGGAACACACATCCTCTCCCCCATCTCTTGTCAAACACATGCAAAAGAGAATTCGTATCGGTCTTTATAAGTACCAAGGAGTCTCCCTCCTGTTATCTTTCCTCATATCCTCCCCTGGCCCTTTGAGAGGAGCAAATAAAGAGCTCATGGTTTAGGATATGAGTATCTCTCCTTTCATTGTGCCGTTAGTTATATTGAGAGAGAAAAAAATAAACAGAAAAGCACATCTAGAGTGCTTTGAATAGCCAAATTTCTAGAACTTCCTGATGCCTGTCAACCACTCCATCCCTCTTAATCTCCTTCAAAATGAGGATTGTGGATGGACAATATATAACCATATAGAAATATGTCAGGTAAAATCAACAGTCCAGAGCAGATGTGGAAGGCAAGTATTCCCATTAAACATTTACTCTTCAGAGGACTCTGCCAAGCCAAGCCTAAATTCTGCCTTCAGAACAAAGGTAAGCACTCTTTCAGACTGGTGGGCATATCCACAGGGAGCCAGCTGATGCCAGGAGGAGAAATTGGGAGAACAGCAGGCTTTCTAAGCAATTTGGAACTAAAGGAAGGAAAACCCTGGAAAGGAAACCAAACTACTAATGAATATGATCAATCTAAATCAGAAAAAAACATCAATGGAGGAAGCAAGTTTACAAAGCAAGGTTAGGCTGAACACCTTGTCTGAGAGTCAGGATTAGTTCAATTTTATTATAAAACTATCATAACAATATAAAACATTCTAAAATCTTAATAGAAAAGTGTTGCAGGACCTGAAGTACAGAATAAGGGTACAATTCTAGAATAGGGCTCTTAAGTATCTATTAAGTATCTGCCTTCTCCCCCATTCAGTTGAAAGTTCTTCTAAGATGACTGTAAGTTCTTTGAAGACAAGCATTTCATGTCTCATTTCCATACCACCAACACCTGGCATGGAAAACATATCAGCTCTGCAATAAATTTCTGCTGAACTGACTGAATGAATAAACAAATTTATACCTACTTTTCTCCTTTAAATGAATTAATTAACAGGCAACACGAAAGCAAGTGAAAAAGTACATATGGTGAACCATTTAATCTTGCTAGTGAGATCAGACCTATTTATTCAAATGAATAAGACAATGGTCTAAGTTGTATACAGATAAGATCAGTGTATGTGCCCCAGTAGTTCAAAGGAAGAAAAATCTTAGTGGGTGGCATCAGATCTCCCTCTTCCCCACCCATCTGCCAAGGTTGTGTTTTCTAACTTCTTACTATCTCAGGCCCTTTGATAGATTTATATTAAGTATTTTTAAATTGTTTGCATATTATGGAGCAAACATGTTAACATTATAATTGCCAAAGGAACTGTAGTGAATCTGGCGGTAACTTGGTTCATGTGAAATTAGCAGCAGTACCTCAAGAAGTTCCTGTTCAGATTTATTTTCTAAACATCTTATTTTTGCCTTGTGTTGAGTGCCAAAGTTATGCCACAAACATTCCTGGAAGAAGTTGTAGTAAAATATTAAATAAAACAGTCACAGTTTCGTAGTGATGCAGGAGGTACTAGCTAAGCCCTGAGCTAAGTGAGCTGTAAGCATGCAGGAGGCTACTTTTTACAAGTGCATGTTGCATTCTACTGGTCCCAATAAACACTGAGTGCAGGAAGGTGCTGCTATCTGGCACAACTGGACATAGAGCCTAGTTCCACCAGCACTACTGATTTGCAAAGCTAAGATAAAGAACTGTGTCGTAGTCCATTTAGGCCGCTATAACAAAATATTTTACATTGGGTAGCTTATAAACAATAGAAATTTATTTCTCATAGTTCTGGAGGCTGGAAGTCCCAGATCAAAGTGCCAGCTGGTTCAGTGTCTAGTGACGGCCCACTTTCTCATAGACAATGACTTTTCACTGTGTCCTCACATGGTGAAAGGGGTTGGCTGGGTCTCTGAGCTCTCTTTTATATAGGCACTAACCCCAATCATGAGGGCTCTTCCCTCGTCATCTAATCACATCCCATAGACCCTGTTTTCTAAAACCGTTACCTTAGGAGTTAGGATTTCAACATCTGAATTCTGGAGGGACACAAGCATTCAAACCATAGCAAACTATAATACATTACCCTTCATAAATGCACATCCCTGCTAGGCTCACCTCTCTATTCTCTCCCCAGATCCCTACCTCCACCACACCCCACCTCTGAGGAGGAAGAAAACTATGAGGAACAGTTGTGAGCTACACATGAAGATCCAGAAAGACACTTGTCCAGGGTGACCTCTCAGAGGGCAAGAGAAAACTAAACCATTTCCAGTTCTTGAGATTCCAGGTATGTTTTAAAATTGAAAAAGGAAATACTAAGAAGGTCAAACGCTTTACTTAACAATTAAAATTGTTTAAGAAATGTCTTCTTCCAATACCATGAGTTTATCCACCAGTTAGTGGCTACTGAAGATAATATTAAAAGTCTAAATACCAGTCCTTTCATGGTGTTGAGGCTGGGTTCTAAGGATTTCCTCAGAGTTCCCCTGAAACCACTTCCAGAGGCCAAGATGCTCTTACTTGTCTTTCTGTGTCATAGTGGGAAAGGCAGAGAAAGCAGTTTACTAGAAAGCAATGAGCTGTTTCCTCTGCCTCTTTTCATGCTCCAGAATGAGCAGAGGTGGATACTGATATACTCCAGATGTGGAAGGGGAAGCCATATACACCCCATGCCATTTCCAAAAGCGTTTTGTTATCTATAAGATACAAATCTAGAGGTGTTTTCATTTGGTTTAAAGAATAGGAGAGTTGCTCAATGTTCAACCTCTCATCTCTACTCTAGATGAAGGTATTTTACCTTCTTTCTTCTTCCCTCAGATCTGAAGCAGGGATCAGTGCAACAAATTTAGGTATATCTGACAGAGAGAAACCCATAGTAATGTGATAGCTTCAATCTCAAGGTAATAAAATCTTTATAGTAGCCCTCACTATATATTTGGCTTGCACAAATTCTTCAACTTCTCATGTTTTCTTCAATTTTCAGTTCCTATTAAATACACTATGTAGTTAAAAGTTGAAATACCCCTGGGAAAGATGGTCGCCAGGGTCATCTTAACTTGGAAAATTAAGGGGAATTTGTGGAGTCATTCAGTAAAGTTCATACCCAGTGTGATAATGATCACAGCCAACATGTAAAGAATAAATCCAATTAGCATATGGGTACTTAGAGTTCATTCATTTAATATGAAGTGACATTTTGATATCTAAAGAATTGAGCCATTAGTGCTCTCCGGTTACAACCTGTCTGACAGATTCTGGGCATGAACTTCACTAATTGAGTTTTCAAGGACTTAGGTGAGGATTAGAAATGGGGATGTTTTCTGTTCGCTCTTTCTTCTGTAGAAATACTTCTGGTGGTCCTTTCAAATGGTTCCTTTTCTGAGAAATCTCTAAGAAAACATGTTCAACAGTTTAGACACAAGGAAACTTGTTCCAGTTTTTCTTGTCCTTTTGTTTCCTTTTAAAAAAAAATCACCATATTCAACCGTGATCAAAGTACAATTGGTTAGAACATTTTGGAAGTGCACCAATCAAATGAGAAAATGGTATTGATATAAACCTGTAATTGTACATCTTGGTAGGGCCTCTTCAGTATAATATGGAGGTATTAAGGGGGAATGGCTTTTATTTGTTATTTTGAGAGTTTCAAAGACTATTTGCTGAATAAATGTAGTGAACAAATGGACACGAGCGGAATGAAAACCTGCACTCCGTGACTGTCAACACTCTGCCTCGATGGATGTACTTGCTCTGCTCTTGTTATAGAACCCTCATTTAGTGCTCTTCATGCTCTGCCAGAATGTCAGGTCAAAATTATTTCTTCTCCTCATTCTGCCATCTTATACATATTTCTACAACAAATATGAAAGCACATTACAGGCTAAAAGCACTCTAAAATATAATATGTTATTAGAAATTGGGCCATAATATTGTCCAAGAATATCAGGCCTGGAAATTCTCAGTTCCTTGAGAACTTTCTCTAGAGAGAAAATTCCTATTTTCTGCCATAGGTAACTAATGAAAAAAATTCACTACCAAATGCTTTGGATGAAAAATGTTAAAAAAAATACACTCTCACTTTGAAAAAGTGGGGAAAATGCAGGTGGGAGAAGGAAACCAAACACAAAGTTTTGGTTTTTGTTGATGTGAATACAGGAATACCAAGTAGTTGCATTTTTGACTGCTACAACTTTTATCATCAAAACAATTCCAAAACCACTATGTTGTCTCATGCCTATATGTGAAAAAAATAAAGAAAAACATGAGCTAAATGTTGAAGCAAAAGCAAGCACAAAGGTGTTCTAATCCGAAGACTGCCACCAATTCATGGCCTAAACTAAAACTTGTCCCTTCACATTTTTTTTTTAGCCTTTCCTTTTATGAATAATACAGAATCACACTTGTTGGGTCAGTCACCAGATCTGTGGAGTAAGGTCCTTATAAATTAGTCTTATGCCAAGCTGTCTTTAAAAAAAAAATCGAGTTATTCATCTTTAAAAATTAAGGGGTGTGTATACATGTTAAATGGTTGCCAGAAGCCAAGCCCTTCAGCAACCCCTATGTTTCCATACCATCCCACCCCACAAAACAAAGATTTACCATTAGCTTCTTTTCCCTTCCCCTGTACACTTTTACTTTAGACTTGCACTAGCATAAGGTGGAAAGACAGTGGGCTTTGAGGCCAAGATTTCTCAACAAAAGTTCCCATTCTGCCCCTTCACAACACGTGTGCTCTCCAGGAAATTGCCTTAGCCTCATAGTCCTTGATTGTAAAATAGGGATAATAATATCCATACCTCAAAGATGTTTGTAAGCTATATATATATAATACACACACGCACACACACATATGTAAAACACCAAGAGCCAGGATCTGCCACATAATTTTGTGGGGCCCAGTGAAAAAAGCACAGAGTGCCTTGTTCAAAAGCTACTGAGAATGTCAAGATCATGACAGATAATAAAAACAAAGGCAGGGCCCTTCTGAGAGTAAGGCCTGTGCCGCTGCATGGGTCACACACTTATGAAGCTGTCCCTGCCTGGAAGTATTTGTAAGTATTCAATAAATTATTGGTATTATTAAAGCAAAAGAGCTCACTCTGATATGAACTTCTAACTTTTCAGTGTTTTCCCAGAGAGAGATGGTTTCTCCAGTGAGGACACAGCCCTCAGAAAGTGGAAAAATAGTGGAGCAACTGCAGGAAAGCCACTGACTGTTTCTTGGCCTGAATTTCCTCATATTCACAACAGAAGTTGACTCAGAGAAGTGGTTTTCTAACTAAGGTTTTAAACTGTGCCCTGAAGAATCCCTGGAGTACCCTCAAGAATGGGAAAGTGCAGATGCAGAGGGGAGAGGTCAACCAGGTCATTTTTACTTGGAACAGAGTGACTATGTCTGATTCCTTTCACATAACAGTAAGTGAAAGCTACTGTATTTGCTGAGCCTGCAGTCTTTCCAATTTTAAGTTCTAGGCTCTATTTCTTTTACTTTATTTTATCTTACTACAACCTGGAAATTAGGATGGATATTATCATCTTCATTTGTTAAAGAACATAAGAGAAAGTCAACTTCTAAATATGTCACTAAACAAACCCTGTCTTCCCCATTCAACACCAGTTTCCTTCTCAGGCTGCCTCTTTCCCCTGTGGCCTCCAGAAAAAATTTCCTTTTCTAGATCCTCAAGAAATCCAGCCCCCTCTAAGGTGACTACAATGCTACACTACAGTGGACAAGGAACGATGACTGTAATAAAACAGGATGAACTTGAGGTCCATTCAATATGATAAGCTATTTTACTCAATTCCTACCCAAATTGAGCCTCATTTATATCCAACATACCTCTCCCAAACCAAGAATTCCCCTCCACAAACTACTCTGGAACCACACTCCCTGGGTGTGAATACCCACTTTACTATGTTCTCACTGTATGTGACCTGGTGCAAAAAACTCTCTGGCCAGGGTTTTCTCACAGGATTATGAGTAAGATTATGAATGAATGGATAAGTGTGAAGCACCTGTAACAGTGCCAGGAACATAGTAAGTGTTTATAAGAGTTTATTCAATAGATATATTCAATAAACACATCTTTAATTTACCTCCTATTTTACGTGCCCCTTTCACCCCCATCTTTTAAATGGTTGACCAAAAAGGATTCTGCAAGTGGAGGGGAGGACTGGAATATGCAGCAGGGACAAGAGGCATGCAGAGAGCCTGCTGTCACTCCCTAATGACATGCCTACCGTCACAGCCATGATTTCTGTCTGGAAGCGCCACTTATAGAAGCATTCCAAATTTAGTTGTTCCCCTTCCCAAAGTTCTCTCATCCACTTCAAGTACTGCACACACATGTGTGAGGTAAAAATAAGTTACAGAGGTCACCCTGAACTTACTAATCAGCCAGATGCACAGGCCACCAGCTCTTCCTCGATCACCCCATGGCCCCCCCTCTCCTCTCTAAAGCTGAGACCTAGGCTTTGCAATACCAGGGGAGCCCTTATAAACTAAAGCAATGAGGAGATTTTAAGAATCTGTTAATGCAGAATTGGAAACAGAGAGGAAGTTGTAAAAAGTACAACAGGCTGATTTTGGGAGCAGGAGCTCGAGGTTCTGCTGTTACATCTCCCCTGCCATCCCACCCATAAAAAGAGAGCACGTTTCCAAGTGCTGGAGACATTTCACTCTACTTGCTTATACTGCCAACAATTCCTACCAAAAGAGATTCATTTGGGCTTAGCTCTGGCTTTTAAAACAGGATATTCACTCAGTAATATTAACTGAAGTGAAGTAATTAATATTACTTGACTGACTATTTATTCTGGGCTCTGAGAACACACTGGTTGCCAAAGTCCATGCCTTCATGTAGCTCCTATTTAGGGAATTAAGGGGCATTGATCACTCACACGTTAGTGCATGTCATCAAAGCCATTTATATTATATATATCCTAACTTTCTCTGGTGCAGAAGGAACAGGCAACACCTTGGTGGATCTGGTGCCTTGAAGAGAATCAAGATCTATCCTGCCAGGAGCGGTGGTTCACGCCTGTAATCCCAGCACTTTGGGAGGCCAAGATGGATGGATAACTTGAGGTCAGGAGCTCAAGACCAGCCTGGCCAACATGGTGAAACCCCGTCTCTACTAAAAATACAAAAATTAGCCAGCTGTAGTGGTGTGCATCTGTAGTCCCAGCTACTGGGAGGCTGAGGCAGGAGAATTGCAGGAACCTGGGAAGTGGAGGTTGCAGTGAGCTGAGATCATGCTACTGCACTCCAGCCTGGGCAACAGAGAGAGAGACTCTGTCCAAAAAAAAAAAAAAAAGAAAAGATCTATCCTAACCCCCACATTAAAGAGGAGGGTCACAGTGGGAACCCAGAGTGGCAAGAAAACAGTGGGAGGAGAGACATGGGGAAAAAGGCAAAAGAGGACCCAAGACAAACTTCTCCTATTTTTGCATTTTTAACATAAAGCCAGCTCTACTCTTTCCACACTATATGATCCTTGTATTTGTTTGCCAGGGCTGCCATAACGAATTACTACAGGCTGAGTGGCTTAAACAGAAATTTATTTTCTCACAGTTCTGGAGGCTGGAAGTCCATGACCAAGGTATCAGCAAAGATGGTTTCTTCTGAGGACCTCTTTCTTTGGCTTGTAGAAGACCATCTTCCATTGCCTTCAGGTGGTCTTCCCTCTGTGTGTGGCTATATCTTAATCTCCTCTTCTTATAAGGCCTCATTTTACCTTAATTATCTCTTTAGAGGCCCTATCTCAAAATGCAGACACATTCTGAAGTACTAAGGTTAGGACTTTGTATGGTTTGGTTCTGTATCCCCATCCAAATCTCATCTTGTAGCTCCCAGAATTCCCATGTGTTGTGGGAGGCACCCAGTGGAGATAACTGAATGATGGGGGCAGGTCTTTCCATGCTGTTCTATGATAGTGAATAAGTCTCATATGATCTGATGGTTTTAAAAATGGAAGTTTCCCTGCACAAGCTCTCTTTTTGCCTGCTGCCATCCATGTAAGATGTGACTTGCTCATCCTTGCCTTCCACCATGATTGTGAGATGGAAGGCAAGCCACATGGAACTGTGAATGTCTTAAACCTCTTTCTTTTGTGAATTGCCCAGCCTCAGGTATGTCTTTATTAGCAGCATGAAAATGGACTAATACAGTAAATGAGTACCAGTAGAGTGGGCTGAAAAGATACTTGAAAATGTGGAAGAGACTTTTGAACTGGGTAACAGGCAGAGGTTGGAACAGTTTGGAGGGCTCAGAAGAACACAGGAAAAAATGTGAGAAAGTTTGGAACTCCCTAGAGACTTGTCAAATGGTTTTGACCAAAATGCTGATAATGATATGGACAATGAAATCCAGGCTGAGGTGGTCTCAGATAGAGATGAGAAACTTGTTGGGAACTGGAGCAAAGGTGACTCTTGTTATGTTTTACCAAAGAGACTGGCAGCATTTTGCCCTTGCCCTAGAGATTTGTGAAACCTTGAACTTGAGAGAGATGATTTAGGGTATCTGGCAGAAGAAATTTCTAAGCAGCAAAGCATTAAAGATGTGAGTTGGGTGCTGTTAAAGGCATTCAGTTTTATAAAGGAAGCAGAGCATAAAAGTTCAGAAAATTTTCAGCCTGACAATGCGATAGAAAAGATTTCTCCTTTTTCTGAGGAGAAATTCAAGCCAGCTGCAGAAATTTGCATAAGTAACATGGGGCCGAATGTTAATCCCCAAGGCAATGGGGAAGATGTCTCCAGGGCGTATCAGAGGTCTTCACAGCAGCCCCTTCCATCACAGGCCTAGAGGCCTAGGAGGAAAAAGTGGTTTCGTGGGCCAGGCCCAGGGTCCACTTGCTGTGTGGAGTGTAGGGATTTGGTGCCCTGCCTCTGAGCTACTCCAGCCATGGCTGAAAGGGGCCAATGTAGAGCTCAGGCCATGGCTTCAGAGGGTGCAAGCCCAAGCCTTGGCAGCTTTCACATGGTTTTGAGCCTGCGGGTGCACAGAACTCAAGAACTGAGGTCTGGGAACCCCACCTAGATTTCATAGGATGTATGGAAATGCCTGGATTCCCAGGCAGAAGTTTGCTGCAGGGGCAGGGCTCTCATGGAGAACCTCTGCTAGGGTAGTGTGGAAGGGAAATGTGGGGTGGGAGCTCCCACACAGAGTCCCTACTGGGGTACCTTCTAGTGGAGCTGTGAGAAGAGGGCCACCATCCTCCAGACCCCGGAATGGTAGATCCACCAACAGCTTGCACCATTTGCCTGAAAAGCTGCAGACACTCAATGCCAGCCTATGAAAATAGCCAGGAGGCAAAGCCACAGGGATGGAGCTTCCCAAGACCATGGGAACCCCCCTCTTGCATCAGTGTGACCGGGATGCAAGACATGGAGTCAAAGGAGATCATCTTGGAGCTTTAAAATTTGACTGCCCTGCTGAATTTCAGAATTGTATGGGGCCTGCAGCCCTTTTGTTTTGGCCAATTTCTCCCATTTGGAATGGCTGTATTTACCCAATGCCTGTAACTCCATTGTATCTAGGAAGTAACTAACTTGCTTTTGATTTTACAGGCTCATAGGCGGAAGGGACTTGCCTTGTCTCAGATGAAACTTTGGACTGTGGACTTTTGGGTTAATGTTGGAATGAGGTAAGACTCTGGGGGACTGTTGAGAAAGCATGATTGGTTTTGAAATGTGAAGACATGAGATTTGGGAGGGGCCGGGGTGGAATGATAATGGTTTCACTCTGTGGCCCTACCCAAATCTCATCTTTTAGCTCCCATAATTCCCATGTGTTGTGGTAGGGACTCAGCAGAGATAACTGAATCATGGGGGCAGGTCTTTCCTGTGCTGTTCTTGTGATAGTGAATAAGTCTCAAAAGATCTGAGGGTTTTATAAACGGGAGTTTCCCTGCACAAACTCTCTTTTTGCCTGCTGCCATCCACGTAAGACGTGACTTGTTCCTCCTTGGCTTCCGCCATGATTGTGAGGACTCCTCCACAGCCACTTGGAATTATATGTCCATTAAAACCTCTTTTTCTTCCCAGTCTCGGGTAAGTCTTTATCAGCAGCATGAAAATGGACTAATACAGGACTTCAGCACATGAATTTGGGGCTCAGAGGGACACAATAAAGCCCAGAATAATCCTCTGCTCCCGTGACCAGAACCAAGATAACATAATAGTGAGATTTCACCAACCAGTAATTAAATAGATCCAGCCAGTTTTTATGAACTATGTGGGGAAAATATGCTCAAATTTCCAGATAAACAACTTAAAAATAAACTTTTAGAGCTGTCAATGTAATAGGCCATCTGGAAATAGTCTTTTTTTCCTACAATGAGGCTTTCACTCTTTGAATGAAACCTAACCAACCAGGATCTAGCTACTGTACTTGAGCATAGAATTTCTTCCCTTGGAAAAGTTTCAACATTTTTAAATACAAAATAGAGATTTATCCAGTCAACCGGACAAGTTTTAAGCATTTATTTATTTACTGATATTACATTGCTTTTATTATTGTGATTTTTAAAAATGTTTCCCAGTGATGGGGCCAGTCCTGGGAAGAGTGTGATGATCTTATATCAGGTTTCTCCTGCAGAACAGAGACTGAAGTATTAAATTCATTCTTTCTGGTTTGACAGATTAAATAATATATATAAACTCACTTAATTCCCCACAGTGCCCCCATGAGTTAAGCACCATTATTACCCCCATTTTACAGATGAGGAAATCAAGGCATAGGAATTCTAACTTGCCCAAGGTCCAACAGCTACTAAATAGAACATGGATCTAAACTCAGATCATATGGCTCTAAGGTATAAAGTACTACTAATGGTACTTTATACTGAATTAAGTAATCAATTGCCAGTATATAAACAGGTTCTATTAAAGTTCTTGAAAACAATCTGTTTTAATAGGTTAAGCATTGACTATACAATAATTAATTACACATCTTTTCTTAATGAAAGGTCAGCTCTCAACTCAGAAAATTTTCACCAAAAAAGAGGAGTTTCTACAACATAGTATATATTAGAACACTCTATATTATTAAGATTCTATTATAGATAAAAGTCAGAAAAATTATAATTTTAGAACTTGGTAAGCTAAAATTCACCTAAAATCCAAAAATATATTTAATATAATGTAGAGGGGAAAAAAAGATCCAAAATATCCAAAATCCAAAATACATTTAATATAATGTAGAGGGAATAAAAAGTATGTTGCCTGTGACTTTAATTCAGTTTGCCTCAGGGGAAAGCTATGCTGCTTCAAACAATCAAAATATTTAAATTCAATCATTTGCCAACATTTTCATTTTTTTGAAATTTATCCGAAATCCATTGACCTCACCTTTCATTTTTTCCCTAATACAAGAGATGTTGTGTGGCCTAGAGTTCTTTGAAAATATATAGATAATATAGAGATGTACTACCACATGCTTTCCTAATTTCATTTTTACAGTTGCAAAAAAAAAAAAAAAAAAAAAAAACTTGGTTATTCAAAAATAATTTTACCTACTCTTTCAACACTGATGTTCTGTTGCTAACTGCACGGTGATTTCCAGGTAGTCTGTTGTAATACCCAAGAATGGCCATCAAGACTTGGTGGAAGTGGGAAGGGGAGGGGGGTGAGCTTCATAAACTGATGAGTTGTGATCCAGAGCTCATTCTCATTAAGTACAACATAATATAGAATCTATTAAAACAAACTTCTGAAATTGCTGCTAAGTAATAACCTTAACAGAAATAACCAAAAATATATGCTTTGCAAACAGAATTTCTCTAAATAGAACACTTAAATTGGTCCTCAGGGGAGTGAGAGGATTTTTTAATTTTGTCTTCATAACTATGTTCTTTCACCATTCACTGGCTTTGTATCTTCAGATGTTAATTTCTTTTTCTGCTAGAAAAGTTAATAAGTACCTCTACTTACAGCAGATGGTTCCTTATAAAAAATTTAAAATAAAATGTTGGAGAGCATCTGGCCAGATATATCAGATCTGGTAGTTCAGATTTTGAATACCTGTTATTTTTCTTCAGATAAAAACAATTTTAATTCTAGTAACTAAATCTTCTGCTCTTCTGAAATCTTAATAAGGTTTTTATGAGACTAGATATTAAATATAATCAGTTGTCATAGTGGTATGAATACTGTTTTTCTTTTTCAATGTAAGCAACATGCCTTAGTCATAGCAGCTGTAAAAATAGAGATTCACTTCAATTTATACTTAGCACTTTCTATCTTAGCTCTAGAAGCCCTGGTTAACTCCTTTCCATTACTGGAATTTTATTTTTTCATGGCGCCTGCACAGTTTTGGCTCTACCAGTTTTAAGCTGGTACTTGCAGTGTTTTTCCATTTTGGAATACTTTAACATATCTTGAATTCTTCTCAATGCATATCTAATTGTTCTGGTTTGAAAGTGGCTCCTTTCTTTTGGCTGTTCCTGAATCAAGACAGGAATGTGAGCACAGACTTGGGTTCAGAATTTTCCTGTGGTGAACCAGTTTTGCCAAACAAAAGGTAACTTTGAATGAAAATCACACATACCTTACTGTGATCCTTGGTGGACACCCAGCTACACAAAAAGGAAAGGTTAAAGCCTGCTGAGTTTTTTTCCTTCTCAAACCATCACTCATAATAAAGTATCTTTCTGCTTTTTGCAGCTTCTACTCTGCTCACAGACCACCTGGGTTATATAGAAAAGAAAGAGCCTTTGCTAGCTTTGTGAGGATTTGCAGGAGTTACTCTGAAGTCTTCAAATACCTTTTAACCCAGTCTCTATCGATGCATCTGGGGTGGCAAAAGTGCCAAATTTTGCTTCACAGAAAAAGGCTCTTTATGGAGCATTTGTCCTGTGAGGTCATTGAAGCCCATGTCTCCCTAGGACCACGGAAAAGCTCAAAGAACGGCACCACTCCCATTTATGAAATGCCTATGATATGGTTTGGCTCTGTGTCCACACCCAAATCTCATCTTGTAGCTCCCATAATTTCCATGTGTTGTAGGAGGGACCTGGTGCAAGATGACTGAATCATGGGGGTGGGTCTTTCCCATGCTGTTCGCGTCTGTGATAGTGACTGGGTCTCATGAGAGCTGTTGGTTTTAAAAACAGGAGTTTCTCTGCACAAGCTCTCTTTGCCTACTGCCATCCACATAAGATGTGACTTGCTCCTCCTTGCCTTCCACCACGATTGTGAGGCCTCCTCAGCCATGTGGAACTGTAAGTCCAATAAACCTCTTTCTTTTGTAAATTGCCCTGTCTCGGGTATGTCTTTATCAGCAGCATGAAAATGGACTAATACAGCCTACCACATGCCGGTCCTGACCACAATCCAGCCTACAGGACAGAGACCTGAGTTGTGCGTAGCTTAAATAACACACAGAAAATCACTTCCTAAGAAAGCAGCAAAGTGGGATTTGAACTCAGGTCTACCTAAAAGTCTCTTTTTTCCACTACTCTACACTTCTCACCACCAAAACACTGAGGGAATATGAAGAGTCTATAGCTCCAGAACCACCAGCCAGGGAAGGTCTTACCTCCAAGCCACCCACACGTCAAGATCTCAAAATTCACTTCAAGTTTGTTTTTTTCCTTTTTTTTTTTTTTTTTTTTTGAGACAGTCTCACTATGTTTCCCAGGTTGGTCTCAAACTTCTGGACTCAACCGATCCTCCTATCTTAGCCTCCTAAGTAGCTGGGATTACAGGCACATACTACTATACCCAGTCTCAAAACTGAGGCATTTTTTATTTTTAAAAATATATTCATTTGGTCAAATGTGGTGGTGTGCATCTGCAGTATGAGCTACTCAGGAGGCTGAGGCAGGAAGATCACTTGCATCCAGGAGCTCCGGGCTGTAGGGCACTATGACCTTGCCTGTGAATAGCCACAGCACTCCAGCCTGGGCAACCTAGCAAGACTCCATCTCCAAAATATATATATAGATTCACACACACACACACACACACAAACACACGTGTGTATGTATGTATATAAATATATTTGTTTGAAAGCAATGCCCTTTTGAAAATCAACAACAACCAAAGCCCAGTGAAGAAGCTCAGAATTCCTCAAAATACATTTTGGCCCATTCATTCCACCCTAGAGCAATGAGGGCCTTTTACAGCACAGTAAGTTCCACCTCTGTAGATAATGAGGTGACACAGAGTTTTAAGAAAAGGAGTAACATGAGAATCTCCTATTAACTAGATTTCTCTTGATGCTACATAACATGGATTTGAGGGGCACGGGACAGGAGGGAGAGGACACGTTGGAGGCCACTGCAGAAATCAAGTAAAAGCAATGGTGGCATGACCCAAGGGAGTGGCAGAAGAAATACCAAAAAAGAGAGATTCCTAAATATATAAAAGCTACATAACCAAGATTTTGTGACAGACTAGATGGTGGGGGTGAAGACAGGTAGTAGAAATAAAAAAAAAATGCATCTAAACTGATTGAAATGTATGCCACTGTTTCAAACAGCGGTGAAACTAACCCCACCTAAATGCAAATTTGAACCCCAGACAGCCAAACGGCCTCCCACAAAAATAATCTTTAACTGCTAAAATTTCTTCTAAAACCCAAATTCAATTATTTTTAACAATGTACTTATTTCAAGTTTTACCATGAATTGGGCTCCTGCTGAATATTAATATCCATGATTTATAAACTACAAATTTATCCTTTATGCTGCACATAATTATAATCTTGCCATTTCTAGAATTATGCTCCTCTTAGAAGTTTTACATTTGAAAATTATGCTGAGTTAATGCACAAAAGGATAAGAGAGGCCATTCTGTGCAATGACAGCCTTTCTATCAACTAGGGAGAAATGGCTTTCTTCAGTTGTCGACTTGTAGAAAAAAAAATCCTGTGGCATTTGTTCTCTTAATGACAATGAGAAAATCATTTTTCACAACACACAGCTGCGCTTTAGGAATAGCGTGGATGTATAGCTTCAGTGATCTCGAGCACAGATGAGTTAATGGTTTGGGGGCCTCGGGAACAGCATCAGCCAAACTCCAAGATTAAGTTTAAAAGTGACGGAGGCCTCTTTGACCTACAAAGCCCGATTTTGGACTTAACCAGATCTGACAATCTGCCACAGTAATTTGTAAGTCAGGTTCTGAAAATAAGGCAAAAAAAATCAATAGAAAAAATAGCTTTAAACTTAGTATAATTTCCAGACCACTCTTTTTACCTTCCTAATAGTCTTGAATACTCAACTGGCTCTCAAAGTCCAAAGGTGTTCAAAACTTTCTGCATTAGCATATAGCTAGACACTGTTCAAAACATTTAAAATTTTCTCTACACCATGTGCAATAGCTTCCCTCCAATCTGGAACTTGATGGCTCATGCCTCTTGCATGGTCATAAATGTACCATTTGTGTGTTTTGCTAGAGTACTATGTTGTTCTTTTACACTTAAGCTCTTTCCAGCCTATGCACATTCACAATTACTGGAACAGCAAGGAAGCACAGGTTTAGGTGGGTCCCTTGATTCTCAGTCACAAGTTTGCAATGCCACGATCTTCACTGACATTTGTTACATATTGTCAACATAACCCATTTCAAATAAATTATGAAAAGGTGAAGTTCGTAACATAGGGACAGAAAACCATGAGAACTCATGGCCACAAAGAAGGGAACAACAGACACTGGAGCCTACTTAAGGATGGAGGGTAGGAGGAGGGAGAGGAGCAGAAAAAGTAACTATTGGGTACTAGGTTTAGTACCTGGGTGGCGAAATGATGTGTACAACAAACTCCCATGACACGATTTCTCTATGTAACAAAAAACTTGCACATGTAGCCTTGAACCTAAAATAAAAGTTAAAAAAGAAAAGAAAAAAGCAAAGTTTGAAGAGCTGTATCCAATTTCTATTTCCTCTTATTTATTTCTATTCCTTTAAAAGAAGTTTGAGCAATTGGCTACTTTTATATTATGTGTTCTTCAGGTAAACAAAATGAGAAGTCAAAGGGACCTGGAGTTTAAATCCCAGAGCCAGAGGAAAATTAAAAACTTGGAATGTGCAAAGAGAAAACAATTCAAAACAGTCTAAATAAATGATTCACATGTAACTCAAGGGAAATACAAAGGCCCCTTGGGTTCTGCCAATCTGTGACATTTCTTAACATACTGTTATTTTTTTTAACTTTATTATTATTATACTTTAAGTGTTAGGGTACATGTGCACAATGTGCAGGTTTGTTACATATGTATACACGTGCTATGTTGGTGTGCTGCACCCATTAACTCGTCATTTAGCATTAAGTATATCTCCTAATGCTATCCCTCCCCCCTCCCCCCACCACACAACAGGCCCCAGTGTGTGATGTTCCCCTTCCTATGTCCATGTGTTCTCATTGTTCAATTCCCACCTATGAGTGAGAACATGCGGTATTTGGTTTTTTGTCCTTGCGATAGTTTGCTGAGAATGATGGTTTCCAGCTTCATCCATGTCCCTACAAAGGACATGAACTCATCATTTTTTATGGCTGCATAGTATTCCATGGTGTATATGTGCCACATTTTCTTAATCCAGTCTATCATTGTTGGACATTTCGGTTGGTTCCATGTCTTTGCTATTGTGAATAGTGCTGCAATAAACATACGTGTGCATGTGTCTTTATAGCAGCATGATTTATAATCCTTTGGGTATATACCCAGTAATGGGATTGCTGGGTCAAATGGTATTTCTAGTTCAAGATCCCTGAAGAATCACCACACTGACTTCCACAATGGTTGAACTAGTTTACAGTCCCACCAACAGTGTAAAAGTGTCCCTATTTCTCCACATCCTCTCCAGCACCTGTGGTTTCCTAACTTTTTAATGATCGCCATTCTAACTGGTGTGAGATGGTATCTCATTGTGGTTTTGATTTGCATTTCTCTGATGGCCAGTGATGATGAGCATTTTTTCATGTGTTTTTTGGCTGCATAAATGTCTTCTTTTGAGAAGTGTCTGTTCATATCCTTTGCCCACTTTTTGATGGGGCTGTTTGCTTTTTTCTTGGAAATTTGTTTGAGTTCATTGTAGATTCTGGGTATTAGCCCTTTGTCAGATGAGTAGGTGGCAAAAATTTTCTCCCGTTCTGTAGGTTGCCTGTTCACTCTGATGGTAGTTTCTTTTGCTGTGCAGAAGCTCCTTAGTTTAATTAGATCCCATTTGTCAATTTTGGCTTTTGTGGCCATTGCTTTTGGTGTTTTAGACATGAAGTCCTTGCCCATGCCTATGTCCTGAATGGTATTGCCTAGGTTTTCCTCTAAGGTTTTTATGGTTTTAGGTCTAACATCTAAGTCTTTAATCCATCTTGAATTAATTTTTGTATAAGGTGTAAGGAAGGGATCCAGTTTCAGCTTTCTACATATGGCTAGCCAGTTTTCCCAGCATCATTTACTAAATAGGGAATCCTTTCCCCATTGCTTGTTTTTCTCAGGTTTGTCAAAGATCAGATAGTTGTAGATATGCAGCATTATTTCTGAGGGCTCTGTTCTGTTCCATTGGTCTATATCTCTGTTTTAGTACCAGTACCATGCTGTTTCGTACCAGTACCAGCCTTGTAGTATAGTTTGAAGTCAGGTAGTGTGATGCCTCCAGATTTGTTCTTTTGGCTTAGGATTGACTTGGCAATGAGGGCTCTTTTTTGGTTCCATATGAACTTTAAAGTAGTTTTTTCCAATTCTGTGAAGAAAGTCATTGGTAGTTTGATGAGGATGGCATTGAATCTATAAATTACCTTGGGCAGTATGGCCATTTTCACAATATTGATTCTTCCTACCCATGAGCATGGAATGTTCTTCCATTTCTTTGTATCCTCTTTTATTTCATTGAGCAGTGGTTTGTAGTTCTCCTTGAAGAGGTCCTTCGCGCCCCTTGTAAGTTGGATTCCTAGGTATTTTATTCTCTTTGAAGCAATTGTGAATGGGAGTTTACTCATGATTTGGCTCTCTGTTTGTCTGTTATTGGTGTATAAGAATGCTTGTGATTTTTGTACATTGGTTTTGTATCCTGAGATTTTGCTGAAGTTGCTTATCAGCTTAAGGAGATTTTGGGCTGAGACCATGGGGTTTTCTACAGATACAATCATGTCATCTGCAAACAGGGACAATTTGACTTCCTCTTTTCCTAATTGAATACCCTTTATTTCCTTCTCCTGCCAGATTGCCCTGGCCAGAACTTCCAACACTATGTTGAATAGGAGTGGTGAGAGAGGGCATCCCTGTCTTGTGCCAGTTTTCAAAGGGAATGCTTCCAATTTTTGTCCATTCAGTATGATATTGGCTGTGGGTTTGTCATAGATAGCTCTTATTATTTTGAGATACGCTCCATCAATACCTAATTTATTGAGAGTTTTTAGCATGAAGTGTTGTTGAATTTTGTCAAAGGTCTTCTTTGCATCTATTGAGATAATCATGTGGTTTTTGTCTTTGGTTCTGTTTATATGCTGGATTATGTTCATTGATTTTTGTATGTTGAACCAGCCTTGCATCCCAGGGATGAAGCCCACTTGATCATGGTGGATAGGCTTTTTGATGTGCTGCTGGATTCGGTTTGCCAGTATTTTATTGAGGATTTTTGCTTCGATGTTCATCACGGATATTGGTCTAAAATTCTCTTTTTTTGGTTGTGTCTCTGCCAGGCTTTGGTATCAGGATGATGCTGGCCTCATAAAATGAGTTAGGGAGGATTCCCTCTTTTTCTATTGATTGGAATAGTTTCAGAAGGAATGGTACCAGCTCCTCCTTGTACCTCTGGTAGAATTCGGCTGTGAATCCATCTGGTCCTGGACTTTTTTTGGTTGGTAAGCTATTAATTATTGCCGCAATTTCAGAGCCTATTAGTTTATTCAGAGATTCAACTTCTTCCTGGTTTGGTCTTGGGAGGGTGTATGTGTCCAGGAATTTATCCATTTCTTCTAGATTTTCTAGTTTATTTGTGTAGAGGTGTTTATAGTATTCTCTGATGGTAGTTTGTATTTCTGTGGGATTGGTGGTGATATCCCCTTTGTCATTTTTTATTGCATCTATTTGATTCTTCTCTCTTTTCTTCTTTATTAGTCTTGATAGTGGTCTATCAATTTTGTTGATCTTTTCAAAAAATCAGCTCCTGGATTCATTGATTTTTTGAACGGTTTTTTGTGTCTCTATCTCCTTCAGTTCTGCTCTGATCTTAGTTATTTCTTGCCTTCTGCTAGCTTTTGAATGTGTTTGCTCTTGCTTCTCTAGTTCCTTTAATTGTGATGTTAGAGTGTCAATTTTGGATCTTTCCTGCTTTCTCTTGTGGGCATTCAGTGCTATAAATTTCCCTCTACACACTGCTTTTAATGTGTCCAAGAGATTCTGGTATGTTGTGTCTTTGTTCTCATTGCTTTCAAAGAACATCTTTATTTCTGCCTTCATTTCGTTATGTACCCAGTAGTCATTCAGGAGCAGTTTGTTCAGTTTCCATGTAGTTGAGCAGTTTTGAGTGAGTGTCTTAATCCTGAGTTCTAGTTTGATTGCACTGTGGTCTGAGAGACAGTTTGTTATCATTTCTGTTCTTTTACATTTGCTGAGGAGTGCTTTACTTCCAACTATGTGGTCAATTTTGGAATAGGTGTGGTGTGGTGCTGAAAAGAATGTATATTCTGTTGATTTGGGGTGGAGAGTTCTGTAGGTGTCTATTAGGTCCGCTTGGTGCAGAGCTGAGTTCAATTCCTGGATATCCTTGTTAACTTTCTGTCTCGTTGATCTGTCTAATGTTGACAGTGGAGTGTTAAAGTCTCCCATTATTATTGTGTGGGAGTCTAAGTCTCTTTGTATGTCACTAAGGACTTGCTTTATGAATCTGGGTGCTCCTGTATTGGGTGCATATATATTTAGGATAGTTGGCTCGTCTTGTTGAATTGATCCCTTTACCATTATGTAATGGCCTTCTTTGTCTCTTAACATACTGTTATTAACCAAGCCACTGGATCAACAATTCTTGGCTGACTCATTCCAGGCACCTCTCCTTCCTTCGTCTCATGTCTGAGAGTCCCCAGAAGACAGGGTTGAGGACACAGGGAAAAGATCTTCCAGATATTCAAAACTGCTGCCTACAGCTCTGTCATCACCAGGTGACTGTTGCTATCTGAGTTTTAACATCAGTATTGATTGATTCCTTAGGCTCTAAGTTGGTGGTTTTGACTTATTTATCAGGATGCCTTCAAATGTAAATAACAAAAAGACCATGTTTCACTGATTGAAAGTTTTCTAAAAATAGAGAATAAAAAGACCAACAATGATAGGCAGGAGGTATAAACAGACGATGCATAAAAGAAATGTCAGTGACCCTTAAACATACGAACACAGAAATACAATTAAAACTATGCTGAGATATCATTTCCTATCTGTCAAATCCAAAAGTCTGACAACAGAATTAATCACATAGAAAAGAATCATTTCAAGTGACCTTAAAACACAGAAATTTGACTATCTATCCTTAGACAAAAGACATTCTAAAAACAAAAGAATACTCCCCAAAATTTTTTCATTGATTTAGTAATTATATTAATAGATTCAATATCAGTCTTATTCTCTGAAATGATCACAGTCATGTAATAGCACAGTGTGTATCTGTAATTATATTAGTGTCATTGGGAAATAAGTGTTTCAGAATAAGAGAAAAGGCACTATAAATAAAAATAATTCTAAATTTTTAATGGAAGCATAGGCATAAACTCATGCTTCATTTTCTCTTTAAAAGGAAATATGTATTTTTTAGCTCTGTTCACTGTAACAGCCAAGAAACAATGACCAATCCAGTAACAATAATTAGCTTTACACACCTAGATTTTGGTCTCCAAATACCATTCCCTACTTCCAGGAACCAGAGCTCATTGAAAAACCAGCTGAACCTAGGACTAGAGCAGGAAATGTATGAAGAGGACGGAACATCTTTCATTCCAGAAATCAAGGAATCTATCAGAGTCTACTGGGATCATGTTTAAAGGACTCAACAGCAAACTTAAAGAGGTTCTCACTATCCAAAGATGGGACAAACTGAGCAGCAAAGAATATTACCAGCAACTAATTGATAGACCTCAAATATGTTAAAATCCATGAATCTAAAATAAACTAGTTCCCCCTTACCCATAGGGGATATATTACAAGACGCCCTGTAGTTTTTTGTTATTTACATTTGAAGGCATCCTGATAAATAAGTCAAAACCACCAACTTGCAGCCTAAGGAATCAATCAATAGTAACAGCAGATAGTACAGAACCCTATATATACCTGTATTATGTTTTTTCTATACATTCATTTCTATAATAAAGTTTAATTTACAAATTACAGTAAGAGACTAATAATAACTCATAGTAAAATAGAATAATTATAACAACATACTGTAATAAAAGTTATGTGAATGTGGTCCCCCAAAAAAATATTTGATTGTATGTACCATACTCACCTATTGTGGGACCTCACAGGAACTGAAATTGTGAATAAGGAGGAACTTCTGTAATACCATTTTTAAAGTAAAAAGAGAAAACCTCACTGATCCCTTTTGGTGGATGCTAGAAAATCAAATAATTATTCTGAAAACTGGTAAATAAAAGTGGAGTGAGGGAGAATCAACCAAGAGTTTACCCTGTCTTTTCTATTTGAATTGTGCCTTAGGCCAACCAGAGGGTTAATGAGGGAAAGTTTTATATTTTAGATGGATTATAGCTCCATCTAAATAGTGAATTAGATATAAGGAAGCAATGATAGAGTATCAACATTTTGCCGGTCTCTAATGAAATTAGTGATCCAGGTAATGTTCATTGATGGTGCTAACAATATTAGGTGAGAAGCTAACAGGTAACTCTACAATGTAAGTCTCAAACTGACAACACCTGACCCTACTTATCACTGTTATCACAAAAAAGACAACCGTGTACCCCTTGATCAAAGTAGTTTTGTGATCTATGTTAGATTCTTGCAAAAAAAAAAAAAAAAAAACAGAACTTGCATGTAATGAAAAATAAGTGTCTTAAACAATAACGAAGTATTTTTTTCTTAACTAAGAAGTTCAGAGGTAGGGTGTTCCTAGGCTTTTTATTTCCATGCGTCAACAGCAACATTGAAGAATCTCATTCTGCTCTTTCTTTCTGTTCTGACATGCTAAGGGTAACACTTTGTCTTTAAGCCAGGTCTCCTGATAAAGTACTTCTGCAGCAATTCCACAACACCAGATAAAACTACATCCAGAGGAACAAGAGACTGACTCTTTCCCAGATCTGTTTTTGAGAATAAGGAAACATTTTCCTGGAAGTCCTGCAGCAGACTTCCTTTCACCTTTCATTATCCAGAACCTCATCACATGCCATGCCTCAACCAGTCACAAGCCAGAGGATGGGAACCATGGAAACTGGCCCTAAACCAGCAGCCTTCAAACTGAAGGTACTGGAGCACCATACCCCTGCAGCATGAAGCCTCCTCAAGGGTATAGTGAGAATAGGTAATCTAAAGTAATCTAAAGTTAATTTCCAGATCCCTAATTTCCAGATCCCTATTACCACATTTATTCTTTCCTAAGAATAGGATAACCCTTTTGCTATCTTGCTTCTCACTCTTTAAAAGGAAAGCCTATGTCTCATCTGTGCTGACTCCATGCAGTCTAATGTTCTGGTATATTAACATCTCAGGGTCACCAAACACAAGAGCATTGTGAAATATCAGTATAGGTGTTGAGAAACTAAATTACTATAATAACTCACAACCAATACTTCTGCAAATCAGATGGCTGCTAATTTTTGCTTTTAAACAAATTGACGAGAAACCTAATTAAGTTTTCAGCTGATCATTAAAAATAATTTTTAAGGATCAATTAATTGA
Source organism: Homo sapiens (assembly GCF_000001405.40). NCBI lineage: Eukaryota > Metazoa > Chordata > Mammalia > Primates > Hominidae > Homo > Homo sapiens. Next base: position 78,082,750 of record NC_000004.12, on the reverse strand, counting down.
TTTTGGCCTATAATTCAGAAGGAGTTCAAAGAGACTATAACAAAGTCTTTCCTTTCCTATCTACTTATTATGTGAATGAATTCCACAAAGTTTACATCTAGACAAGTGAAAAATAAGAATAGAACTGATGCTGAATCCTGTCTCCTGTAGCAATAAATAATATGCATCCTGGATGAACTAACAGAAGAAAAAAAAGCCCCATTCATCTCATTAAGAGATGCATTTCCAATGAAACTGTACTTTCTAACATTTAACAAGTATTTATCAAAAATTTTAATGTATTTATGTTGTTTTGCTCAACTGTAATAACTCAATCCAAAGGAAATTACTTAACACTTTGAGCTTTATGTTCACAGGAAACATTACAAATGCTTTAAATTTAAATTTATATATGTATTTCATTGCAGAGAAGTATAATAGGGTGATCAGTAAAAGACTTTCAAGCATAAAGGTAATAGGATAAATTCCATAGGAAAACTGCCTCAAAAGTGAAAGTGTGAGAAAAAGAAAGGACATATATTTTCAATAAAGAAGAGTTTGTGTATTTTTTATGGGTGCCAGTGGGAATCAAATTGCTATAGTATTCAGATTCTATTGGAAACATTAGAGAGGGACGTCATAGTTCTATCCTAAAGTGTCATTTTTCAAATGCAAAAACTTACAGACATTGCAACTCATGCATCTTTTGATAAAAAATGTTAGATATAATATTTTAAATGTGTAAGGAGGTACATGGTTTTCAAACTATTTGAGTGGAATATGAGTAAGATGCGGGAAAAAAAGAATTTAAACAAGAAGAGCACAGACTTAAACCAAAGAAAATTAATCACTAAGCCTGAGAAGCAGCCCTCCTTTTCTAAAGGATATGGCGTAAGGAAGGAGAATGCCAAAAAACAAACCAGGGTTCTTTGAGAAAGGAGGGAGGAGGAAAGAAGGAAGCTTTCTTAGGTAAGAAGAGTGTTTGTCCATCCATCCATCAGCTACGATGCCCTGAGGCAGCTGCTCAGGCCTGGACTTCCTTAACTGTCTACCTTCTGACTCTGAGGCTCCCAGATTCTATCTCTAGCCAAGACAAACAGGTAAGTGAGGACCTACCACAGAGGGGCTGGGAAAGCTAGTGATAAGGTTCTTGCCAATTTATTGCCCAGGTTTCTCAGAAAGTCTGAACTCAATTAATATGTTCTTTTGGTTTCACCCCCTTACCCCTCTCCTTTCCAGGTAAACAATGGCTCTGAGAGGCTGGATAGGGGGAGTTCACATGTAGCCCAGAACTACCTACAATCATTGCTTTCTTTGGGCATCACAGTCTTGCTACAAAATCTATACCAGCACTGCCCAGCATGGGAGCTACTAGCCATGCATAACTATTTAAATTTAATTAAAAATAAATAAAATTTACAATCCAGATCCTCTTTCACACTAGCTGCATTTCCAGTGCTCAGTAGCCACATGTGAGTAGCAAACAACACAGATATGGAGCATTTTCACTGTGGCAGAAAGTTCTATTGAAGTTGCTGGTCTAGATTTCCACGAGGCCAATATTCTCCCTTGTGGGGACTTTTCTCTCAGGGAACCTGTTGTTGCCCTTTACAGTCTAGCTTTCCTTTCTGCAGCCCCACAAACCCCCATCCTCACAGTCTTTAACACATGACCTTAGATGTCTGAATTCCAGTTGTTTTCAGCGTTGAAGCTCTTTTCCAGGGGGATCCTAGGCCCCAAACAAATCAAGGTATGTAGCTAAACACTGGTTTAACATTTACCCAAGCTTTCTGTGACAGACAGATCGTGTTTCTCCAGCACAGGAAAGAGGACAGATTTTAGGGATGCATAGCCCATCTCCACTTGCCTGCACATCCCAGTTTCAAGTCTGATTCAGTAAGACGTCCTGGGACAGATTTAAAAGGTAATGTAACTATGAAGGATTTAAAAGAGAAACAAAAATAGTCTTGCCACAGAAATGGAAGATGAGAAGAGAAAATAAATATTCCAAAACTATAAAGGAATTTCGAGTGGTAAAGCATTTGTGAGCCCAAAATTAATGCATCTTAATATGCACCTACAGAATGCTTACATGTATCTGCTTGTACAATTGATGTATGCAGTTTAAACTATGTAATTATGACAAAAGCAGAACTGAGCATAGAAAATATTATTTCACACAGTATTTTCCAAAGCAGATACATACCAACTGTTCACATGCACAAACTCTGAACCATAGAATGTATCCAATTAAGATAAAAGCTATTCCACTTACAAAAGATTTGATACTTTAATCGACTTCTTGCCTATGATAGAAAAAAATGATTTTAAGTCTATACAGTTACAAAGAAACAAGCCTCACAAATATTTGGCCAAAGTGCTTTCCTATACATTCATCCGTTTCTCCTGAACACCTGAGCACATCAGCCTCTTATCTAATGGACACTTCTGAATACCGCAATTATGCCTCCTCTTCTAGCCCAAGGTAGTGCAGACAGCAAGCAGTCGGCTTTCTGTTCCCCAGGGGAATAAATCAATCAGGCTTCTCGAGGCAGAGGCACAGTGGTATCCATTTTGGCTTTTCACAGGCCTTTTATTGTTAGTTCCTGTTTCTTAGCTGTGTTCCAAACAAGTGAGTTTGCCAGAGAGCTGATTTGCTGCAAGGTGAGATGCCATTCCACCTGTAGTGTAAGTTGGCCCCTTTGGGGCCAAAGGGGAGTTAAGAGATAGGAAACCTGGTTCCGATGATGCTTTCTCCAGCAGCGTTCATTAGGCCAACCAGGCAGATGGCGGCTCTCACTTAAGACTTTGTAAGCAAGCCAAGCTGCCTCCAAATGTCTATTTATCCTTGTAGAGAACATCTGCTGCTTTCTCTTTGGCCAGCGTGCTTTCACTTTTAGAACTGCCCTCCTCCACTTGGCTGTGTAGTAAATCATAAGGTTTCTTCTTCCCCATTGAGGGTGTGATTTTACCTCGGGGTATGATCCTTGACTTGAGCCAGAACAATCAGAGTGTTTTCTGGAACTTTTGCCGGAGATAGCATCTCTGAAGGGGACTCACTTTTCTCTTGGAATATTAGCCATTTGAACTGTATAAATCAATGCTGCCATCACAAGGAGGCTGCCAACCCAGAAGAAAGTGTAGCCAAGAGAGATAGCATGAAAAACACATGTTGACATCATGTGAACGCATATATACCTCAGTCTCAAGCTAATTTTATCCCCTTGGACTTTCAGTTGAGGGAGCAGAACATTACAGACTTTGCTTAAGCTAGTTTGAGTTGAGTTTCCATTACTCACATTAAGAGTCCTAAATAATATAATTTTCATAGACTTTATCTTACTTTGCTCCTATCTTTGAGAAAGAACCTTGTCTAAGTTGTCCCTGCCACTTGTGGTTTGATTCCACCCCATCTATCTGGTCCATTCTTGGTTTTCTTCAGCCATTTTTTCTTCACTCTTTCAACTTCTGTCCTTTCTCTCCACTGATTCCTTACCCTCTACTTACAAGCTCTCTCTCTCTTGTTGACAAAAAAATGGGGTTTTTCCCCCTTATGAGACCCCAATCACAGAAAGACACATTTTTAAAATTAGTTTTAATCACAAGATTTGCATTGAGTACTCAGCCTTTCACTTAACATTACCTCAGAAATGTGCCATCATGGCCACATGCTCTTCTCATCTATTATCTTAATGGCTACATAATGTTCTATGTCAAGTTAATCTACGATGATTTACTTAACCACTCCTCTAATAGAGACATTTAGGTAACTTCTTATTTTATAACATACATAATGCCAGAAAGCAACTTCTTTACAAATAACTTTTCTTTCTTCTAAATTGATTTCTTAGGGCAAATTCCCAGAAATCTCATCAAAGCTGGGTTTAATAATTTAAAATTTTTAAACAGGTATAAGGTTATATCCCATTACTGATTTAGTTTTTACCTGGTTATTAACAACAATTCTTCTTAATATATTTGTTTGCTACTTGTATTTTCTCTTATGTAAACTCTCTATTCTTATTCTCAGCCACTTTAATTCCTAACATTTGGTGGTTTCTTAAATACTTACATGAATTATTTTTGGTTAGATTTACATTTTTAAATTTTTTTGTTCTTAATTATTATTGAATGAATTATTTATAAGTTCTACTATGTAATTCTTTGTAACACTAAATCTTTGAAAACCTGTACTTTATTTTTTCTTTTTAGTTTTACACTATTAGATATTTTTAAATGTCATCAAATTTGTTAATACCATCTTCTATTCCATCAACTTTTAAAAATTAATCATTCTCAAACTAAATGTTGGTTTTATTCTTACCAAGGTTTTATCCTTACCTTACAGTCAGAGAATATACTAACTAATGGCAGTGTAAATTAGTATGACTTCCCCAAAGGGCAATGTGGTAATATGTATTAAATGTATAGACAAACATGCTTTTTAAAAATGTATACCACATGACTCAAAAGTTGCATTGCTAAGGAATGTGCCCAAAGGAAATAATTGAAGAGTGCGCAAGAACATTCATCACAGTGTTGCTTACAACACCAAAATATCAAATTAATATGAATACCAATAAACAGGAATGTGTAAAATAACTTATAGTCTATCCATAATGAATAATAGTATAGAACTGTGTATTGACATAGAAAGATATCTATTATACAGTATTAAGTTAAAAAAATAGCTAGCCAAACAGTGTGCATATTGCAGTGCCCATTTTTGTTAAATACACACATAGGAAAAGTTCTGCAATAAACTCATCTAATATTTAGTATTAATTATTTTTGTTTGTGGAATTACTTGGATTCATGGAGTTTTCTTCCCATTCTCTCTTTTATATTTGCTGTTTTTTTTTTTTTAGAACAAGGCTGTATTGCTTTCAGTATAATAAATAAAGCAACATGGCCATTTTCTCTTAGAAAAAAACAAAAAAGAAAGTTCTTCCTCCTCAAAAGTTGGAATGATACTGTGTTTCTGTGTTTTGTGGTTTGGTTTTTGAAAAACACTACTGTTTACCCTTTTTAATTGCTTTCTGTTTATAAGTGAAACAATTGAGACACAGACAGACAAATATCACACGTCCTCATTTATAAGTGGGAGCTAAATAATGTGTACACATGGATGTAGAGTGTAGGATGATAGACAATGGAGACTCGGAAGGGTGTGGGGATAGGAGGCGGGTGGATGATGAGAAAGTACTTAATAGGTACAATGCACATTATTCTGGTGATAAATACACTAAAAGCCCTGACTTCACTACTATGCAATATATCCATGTAACTAAAATTATATTTGCACCCTGTGAATGTATACAAATAAAATTTAAAATAATAATAATTTATCTACAAAACAAAAAAATTGAATTCTTAGTTGTTTGGTTTTAGTTTTGTTTTTTGAGACAGGGTCTCCGTCTGTCACCCAGGCTGGAGTGCAGTGGTATGATCATGGCTCACTGAAGCCTTGACTTCCGGGGATCAAGCGATCCTCCCACCTCAGCCGCCCAAGTAGCTGAGAAGATAGGCACATGCCACCACACTCAGCTAATGTGTGTGTGTGTGTGTGTGTGTTTCTGTGTGTCTGGAGATGGAATCTTGCTATGTTAACCAAGTTGGTCTTGAACATCTGGGCTTAAGCGTCCTCCTGCCTCATCCTTCCAAAATGCTGGCATTATAGGTGTGAGGCACCATGCAAGGCCAAGTTCATAGTTTTAAAGATACAGTCTCTCTTACTGAGTAAGCATCCTTGACCTTAATAAGTTCGCATAAAAACAGCTTACAGGAATACACATGCCTTGATGCTCACAGTATTTCTTTTATTATACTTTATATTAATCTCCTGACTGGTGTTATTGAGAATTTTTCATCCTAATCATAAATGAACAGAGTAAGAAATATAAAAGGATACTTATTTCTCTTCAACAGTTTGATTCCTCTAAAGTGGCAACCAAAGCAGCCATTTAACATGAGTTTCCCTCTTTTTCCTATGCACTTGAGTTATCTTATTCCTATAAAATTTTCCTCTCTTCTCCTCGAGGTCCTCAGGCTATGAAGAATCTTTTCTAGCAGTCCATGTTTCTCAAGAAGCTCTATTATTCCTTAAAGTATCTGACCACACTTAATCTTTCTTTTAAAAAATATATTTTAGATGTAGGAATTGATACAGCTGATAAAATCCTAGAAGCAAACAATAATATAGTTCTGTTGTACCGCATGAGAGAAAAACTATACTTTCCAACACTTAGGGTAGTATATACAAAATAATCAGGCTTCCATTTTAACAAAAAATTTTAATACAACTAAATGTACTTTTTCCTATTACTAACTGGAGCATAATTTAATCTTGGCAAATTGTGAGAAGTGCTCACCAGAATAAAGAGGAAGAAAAAAGATTACATCACCACCTCAGGATGGTGGGGAGGATCATTATGAACATCAATATCAAAGGAGTGGGTTAATGCCTATTAATAGGGAGTTCTACTTGATATAATGCCACATGAACCCACTTTTGCTGAACTAATAATGAACTTAGTACTGACTCACTGTTGGAATATGTCTGCAAATTGATCTCTCTTTTTCAAGAAGATGATCACTTACATGGAGCCACCCACACCCCCTCCAAAGCTCTACAGAGAAACTGCACCTGGACATGGATGAAAAAAAGGAGAAGGAACACAACAGAGGATGGTGCTCCGATATCTCATCTCCAACAATATACTAATCAGTTTGTACTGACAGACTCTGAATCCAAGAGCAAATGATTTCCATTTCAAAGCATCCCCACTGCCTACAGAATGTAATTCAAATGCCTTATTCCAGGCCCTATGTGATCTGGAGTTTTAAAATCCCTTCTCAGTGTTACATCACTTCTCTCGCTTCAAACTGGACTCCCTTTGCCACTTATGCGTTTACTTATACTGATCCTATATCCTAAGAGCCTTTCTCTCATCTCTCCCAATTCTAAACTGGCCCATATTTCAAGGCCAAGATCAAAAACGATTTCCTCTGGAATAAGAGTATTCTCAATTGCGAGCATCTATTTACTATATTCCAAGTACTTTCACATGTTACTCATTTATCTTTGCAGCAGCTCTGTAATATAGGCACAACTATTATCTCTATTTTAAAGACAAGGTAAGTAACTTGCCCAGAGTCACACAGTAGTGAAGAGCTCAGACTTAAATCCAAGAATCTGGAGCTCTGCCACTTCACCATGGTGCTGCCCTTCTACCTACTGACACTTATCCCAAACTGCTTTGTACTGAGTTCAATATCTGATTATAGGGTATTGGGTCGACTGCTGCTGGCTGCGGTAACATAAAATTCAATTTATATTGGCTTAAACAATGAGGGAACTTTTGAGCTCATACAATAATTCCCCAGGAAGGTCAGTTCCTGTGCTGGTTAAGTCAGCAGATCAAATAACCAACTCCTCAAGGAATCAAAGTCTCCCATCTTTCTCCCCTATCAACTTCTGTGTGTCAGCTAGGTATTCTAATGGTTGCAGCACCTCCAGAGATCATGTTTTCATGTCCCAAAGCTTAAAGACTAAGCTTCAAAATCTTCTATTAATGGAGAATTCTTGTTTCCCACCCTTGAGGTGCAGGGATATCAACACATAACTCCAGGCCTTTCTTATCCCCAGGATGGTGGCATGATTTATCTAACTGGTAAATTTAAAAGAGCAGCTAGGCATGTTTAACTCAGTTCTGTCTTCTTTCCTCTTCCAGGGAGCAAGCCTGTCAACCAAGAGCATACGAAACCGGAGTTCTTGCCTTATCAGCCCTTCTGCATGGGAAAGCTGCCTCAGCAAGGCTCTGTCTGTGAATGCCTAACTCTTCCCAATTCTGAGGTCAGAACCAGCAACCCCATTGGCTAAGAGAACTGAAGCTATATCCTCCAACTTAGCTTATCGGTTAAAAGATAAAAGGATGATATTTTGACTTCTGTATTTATTCTTTGTTTTATTTCTCAACTTGTTCAGAACTGAGGGAAGGAAGGTGCTATTTATGGGGTCCTTTCAAACACCCAACAATATTAGCAGTTCCACACATATCTCATTGGCCACAAGTCACACTCAGTCCTAAACCAATCCCTGGCAAAGGGATATAAATTTCCTGATTCGCTCACAACTAGGAAAGGGTGGGAAACTGCAACAAAATCAGGACTCTGCCAACACAGAAAAGGGAAAAAGGGACTACTGGCTAAGCAGGGTGTTCCTGGGTTCCAACTAATATCTTATTAATCTTGGTATTCTCCATAGATCCAATCACAGGGTCTAACACAGAATTTGATCAATAAATGTCTTTGGAATCCAGTTGGATCACTACTACTACACATATCTACAGCAAATATAAGAGGGAAAGGCTTCTTTTTAGCCAATAATTTCATATTTCTTCTGTTCCTGAATTCTCATCTCTTAGATCAAGTTTATTCTAGATTATAGGGAAACTCAATACAGTAAGAACACCAAAGAATGAGTGTCTATTTCTGTTAATAATTCCCTCCTGCTCACTATTACTGAACCATTTCAAGAATGGAAGGTACAAAGAGCAATGAAATCTGCTCTCTAATGCAGACACCCTCCCCTCCCTGATCCCACCCCCACCCATTCAATTTCCCTTTGGAGGAAAGAAATGACATAAATTTAATAAATATCCAATCTTGGGAGCTGTCAGAAAAGAACTCACAGGTCACGACCCAAACTCAAGAGCCTCCTGGGTACTAACAATAAACCATTTCTTCCTGTGAAAGCTTGTCCCTCTCCTTCTTCCTTTCATTTAGCTTATAAACTCTGGGAACCTAAGAAATCATTGCTAAAAGAACTTAGCTGGGACACCAGAAGCTATATGCCTCTTTTACATAAAACTGCTCAGTTATTTTTTAAAATTTTATTTTGTGCCAATTTTATGTTTAAGTGTCACAGAAACAAAATGTCATCCACATAAAATTTTCAAAGTCAACTTTTCTTCAGACATTTGTAACTGAAATTTCAGAAAAACATAAGCTGGCTTAACTCAATTGTCATTTGATATTTATATATTATCTTTCCCTTGGTAAGCAGAGAACTTCTAAAAGTAACTAAACTATAACATGATAATACCATAAGGTGTCATAAATTAGTGACAGTTCTATTATGGGGATTTATACATATATACACATGCATATATAAATGTATCACATAGAAAATAAACATATGTATGTACTTTGTAGTTATAAACAGAGAAATAGAATAAATAAAAATATCAAGTTGTAAGACAATTTGGTGTGAAAATGTCACAAACTTAAGAAAAAGTGAGGGAAGTGTATGGTGTGACCAGAAAATTGAGATATATGATAAAACGTAACATAGTTTGAGCAAATTAATATGGCTTCCAAGCTCAACTGCATCTTCTAAATTCAAAACAAAGCATAAGAAATGTGTTTGTTAACTTAAAACATCTGTTCCTACCACACAAATATGAATAAGAATAAAAATGCATATGGATTATTCATCAATAAAAGTACAAAATCTCTTGTATTATTCCTCTCATACAATTATTCTAAGAACATATAAATTCCCAAATAGGAAACCAGCACATCTAATTATGATGGACAATTTATAAAAACCCAGCAAGGACAAAAAAATTCTCAGAGACAGCTAGAGCCCAATTCTCACTACCTGACACTTAAAGGTACAAAGTTACTCCCTTTGAGGAACTAAATGGGGAGAAACCCTTCACTGCACACTCTAGTGCCAGGAGATTTTTTTCACCTTCTGTAAGGGCTTCTTTCCTTAGGCGGAAACACACAGCTCTAACCTTCTATCCACAGGTGAGAACCCAAATCAGAAAAGCCTGCCACTGCTAACTCATCCCGATTCTGTTTGTCTAGTCTCAACTTGAATATCTCTAGTTAAAGGAGCTCATTACCTTGCTAAATTTATGACAACACCTAGCACAGTAAGGATGTGTTGCAAAAAAAATAAGTTTTTATCACAAAATAAGTACATTTTAATAAAGAGTGGCATCCCCCATTTAAAAGCATATTACTCCGTATTTTAAAATAAAGACCAGAGGCATAAAAAATGATGAATTTTTGCTAAACTATAACTTAAAATGGTGATATCCTACAATATTCAATACAAGGGTATTAAGAAATTACCCAATACCTTTAGGGAAATTAAGGAATGGCTGATTGTATTGCTTCCCCGCTGAGTGCATCCTCAGGACACCAAGTATTCTCCCCACTGCTGGAGAAGTTCAAGATGTTTCAACAGCAGCCACTAGCCACCATTCACTAATTGTTTGTGGTGATTTCAAACACTGAATAGGGAAAGCTTCCAAATTTTCATTTCTCTTCTCCACAAAATCTCTTGAGCACGTTGATGAATACAAGGACAAAGCAGTTCTGAGACATTTTCATTTCTACAGGGCTATCTCTTGTGTGTTAACTGTTTCAAGTTTTAAAAAGTAACACTATAGCACACCAATTTTTAAAAAGACTCTAACATTGAAGAGCTCTAATGGTCTCCCTTAAACCTCCTTAGCCCTAATATACAAGGTCTACAGATTAGACCAGAAGTTCTCAAATCTTTTTCTGCTCTAATATAAATGATGGATAACACTCCCATGAGTTAAAAAATTTATAAAATTTTTAATGGAATATGTACAATTAACTGTAATTTTACTCCTTTTCTTTTATTCAAGAAAGCATTGATCCATAACAATTGCTTGGTTTAAAAAAAAAACCACGACAACAAAAAAGAAAACATATTTAGCAATATGGAGAGAGTAGTGTTGTAACTGTGTTGACTTCAAAACTGTTCAAATTATATAAACAAACAAAAACAGCAAACTTAGGTACTATAACAAACTTTGTATTACTTTTCTCACAACTGCTAAAAGTACTCCAGTAAGCTTCCACCCAGGGTGAGAACCATTCATGAGGCTGTATTTTAAGTACTAGAGTACGTTAAGAATTTTAAAACTCTAATGTTGCACTGTCCAATATAGTAGCCACTATCTATATGTGGCTACTCAAATTTAAACTTTAATTCATTGACATTAAGTGAAATTTAAAATTCAGTTCCTCAGTATCGTCAGCCACACTTCAAGTACTCAATAACCACATGTGGCTCGTAGCTACCACACTGGACAGCACAGCTATGGAACATTCCCATCATCACAGAAAGCTCTACTACACGATACTGGGCTAAGGAATCTTGGAGAAAAGCTAACCTAACTCTCTTAATTTACTAATTTAGAAACTGAGACCTCATTTCATTCAAGTGACTTACTCCAAGCTATACAGCTAGTAATTACAGGGCCAGAACCTGAACCAAGACCCTGGACTCTATAACTCACTCATTTCTACTCCGACATCTTGTTACCACCTGAATGATGTGAGTACGTGTTCCTTGCAGGGACAGTTCTGGGTTCTTTCACAAGTATGTTCTCAGTTAACTGTCACATCAAACCTAGGAGAAATATAATCCCAATTAAGTAGATAATGAAAGTGACACCTGGCTGTATAAAGTATTATATCTGAGACCACACAGCATGTATGTAGTGGTGCCAAGATTCAAACTCCAAAGCCTGGATTTTCCTGCAGTGTTATATATAGTCAACATTCCACATTTTTAAATTATCCTTGAAAAATATTCTTTCAAATTTGCTAAGAGTTAGTGCCTTGTGATTCACTTTGTCAGCATTTCTCAGCAAAAGTATCCCAAGTAGGAAAATCCCAACACTTAACACTTTTGATCCAGGGAAGAAGAGTCATTTATCCAACCTTGCCAGTCGTCACTGCTATAGAACAACAATAATAGCAGCCAACCTTTATTGAGCACTGTAAGTCACAGCACTGGACGAGTTGCTTCATGTTCATCTCCTTTAAGCTTCACAACAGTCCTGAGAAGTAAATAGTTCATCTCCATTTCACAGACAGAAAAATTGAAGTGAAGAGTCAAGTCATTGATCCCAGGAAGAACTTTCAAAAGGATATGTGTTTGCTTGTGGTGATGCAAAAGGAGAGTTTTTTCAATACTTGATATAGTTGGAAAAGAACAGAAGGTGTGTGAAAACTTTGAAATGAAAAATTAATTTTCCTCCTCACACTGGACATCACAGTTAAACCTATTACCTAGGTAGTTTCCCTCTGATGGATTCCTGATTTAACAGTCACGCTGTGTTCCACAAGGGCTGACTTTAGAGAAAGTCTTGTGAGCCCAGGGGTGCATGGGTATTATGGAGTAAGAAACACACCCCAAAATAGATTATTCAGTGTTTTTCAAGTTATTTTTAGTCCCTTCTGGTCATTTCTTACTCTAGGAATAAAAAGAAGAGAAAGTTACAGAAGATTGTTAAAGAAAAGAGAAGGGAGAGAGCTGAAATCAGTCCATAATTTAGAGATGGCTACACATGCTTGGGACTTAATCACCCAGGATGTCACTGCAAGTCCAAACAGCTGTCAAAAATTGGGGAAACACAACACAATACAAAGTGGGGGGAGGTATATATATATATATATATACACTTATATACATATATACACATATATAAACATATATAGTACATAATACACTGTACATTGTATGTTTTTAAGATGACATGCCTGTCTAAACATGTTTTGCATCACATAGTGAATCTGGTGCACGCCAGTGCAGGACAGCCTCAGTTAAATGGGAAGGGGTTAGCCAGGGACAGCTGGCTTTAGCAGGAGGTCAGGGACAGAGACTGGCAGAGACAACTGCATGGCAGTTGCGGCAGGGAGGGGGTGGGCATATGGGACCGAAGGTGGTGAAGTAAGCTAGTTGTGTTCAGAGACAACAAGTGGACTGACTTGGTTGTGAGAAATAGAATGCTTGATCAAATGACTTAAGAATAAGAACCAGGTTTGAACTCTCTTTTCCACTAGGACTTACTATGTAACTTTGGACAATTGACTACTTCCTGAGCCTCAACTTCCTTATCTGTAAAGTAAGTTAAAAAAAAAAAAAAAACTATTTCCTGGGTTTGTTGAGTATTAAATATATAGTAGGTGCTTAACAACTGGCCCTTCCTCTTGTTCTTCTTGGTTGCTAAGGAGAAATTGTGTTATGGCAGAAAAGCACATGCCATGCATTGCACCTGGGTGTCTTTCCCATATTATCGTCTTTGCAACAACCCTCAGGAGAGGCTTTCTTTGTCCTCATTTCACATCGGGGCAATAAGAGGTTCCAGAGATGATGTAACTTGCCCTATGTCACAGAGCTGGTTTGTAACAGAAGAGGAAGGGTCAAAACCAGGTGTGTCTGACCGCCAGGGCCATGACTGTTCCACTGTATCTGGCAGCTTCCTAAGCAATGAGTGAAGAGATTGAAAGGAATCAGTGAGAGGAATCCTCACAAGACAGGCTGAGAGTTAGCGTAATACTAGCAGCAAGTGCCTAAATCCATGCTCTCATTTGCTTGATATGCTTTATGAACTCTGGGTGAAGCTGAGGCTTTGCCATTTTCAACCAGAATAACCTACTTCTGGTTACTCACCTGGGAGATGAACAAACCTAAAGAATTTAACATCCCTGCCCCAGTTTCCTCATCCATAAAATGGACAGTCTGGACTAAGAGATTTCTCAAGTCACTTCTACCTCTAAAACAGTGAGCATGTGGGTAAAATTACAAAGTTTGGAACAGGGACACCAATCACTATTCTCAGAGCCAGCTCTTGAAAATGACGCCTCTTACACTAGAAGCCTTTGTCACCCAAAAAGTTGTATAATCAGAGAATCCTAGAATCATATAGTAATGTTCTTGAACCCTTCAATTCAAAATACATGAACATACATTCACTCTCCAATTTCACTGATGTAGACACAATGCTTTTCTTTAACGCTAGGGCATGTGGAGAGAGAGCAGCAGTGAATGATGTAGATAATAAACCAAGTCCACAATGCATCATCTACCATTTCCAGTTTCATTGTCCTTAAAATGGAAAGAGAACTTAAAGTGGTTACAAATAAACCCGAATGCAGAATCTCTCTAGATTTTGAAATATTTTCTCAATCTTGTACAGCTGTTTTTCCTACACTTAATTTGACAGAAATTTTTTAGTGACTCACCCCTATGGAGTCTTTTTAAAGTATTTAATATAGTTTCCCTGGAAACAAGCACACTCTCATTTCAGCAGTTTAATTAGATGATAAGTCCAGTGTTGCCATTCCTCCTCTCTGGCACCTCCAATGGCTCATCCACCTTCCTGAAAGGACAAGCTAAAGTCTGCACAAGGCTCACCATGCTCTGACCCCTGCCATCCTCCCTGACCTATCTCTTGCCATCCTCCATGCACTGCCTCAAATGCCCATAGGAGCTCTTGCTTCAGACTTTACATTTCTGCTCCCTATCTCTGGAATTCTCTCCCCTTGGGTATCCACCAGGCTAGCTCCTTATAATTACCTCTTTCAGTATGTCTTTGATCAAATGTCACCTTCTCAGTGAAGCCTTCCCTATCACCCTATCTAAAGTAGCCACCTTCATCCCCTATTGAGCCTTTTCTATCCGTTCCACCTCCACAATATTTTTCCCCATAGCCCACCTATCTGACATTCTATATATTTTACTTATTAGAATTCAAGCTCTATGAAGGCAGGCATTTTCATCTGTTTGTTCACAGATGCATTCCAGTGCATAGAATAGCAGGTCTCTAATTGTCATTCAATAAATATTTGTTTAATAATTTTATTATTGTAATAAATATATTGTCTCTCAGACTGAATTGCATAACTACAATAACAAGTATCTCAGGCTTGAAGAGGTTCAGAAACAAATGTAGCAGGCCAGGCTCAGTGGCTTATGCCTGTAATCCCAGCACTTTGAGATCAGGAATTCAAGACCAGCCTGGCCAACATGCCAAAACCCCGTCTCTACTAAAAATACAAAAAAAAAAAAAAATTGGCTGGGTGTGGTGGTGTGCAGCTGTAGTCCCATCTACTTGGGAGGCTGAAGCAGGAGAATCACTTGAACCCTAGAGGCAGAGGTTGCAGTGAGCCAAGATCCCTGCACTCCAGCCTGGGTGACAGAGCGAGACCCTATCTTACAAATAATAATAATAATAATAATAATAATAATAATAATAATAAAAGAAAGAAAAAAAAAGAAAAAGAAACAAATGTAGCAGAGCCTTGGTAAGCAAAGAAGTCACCTGGAAGAATGAGGAGCGTGCTGGTGTGGGAGGGTGCAGCCCACTAATCTTGAGCAGCCATGAGCCCTGGGATCAGCTAGGGCATGGTACAGAGGGAAGCAAGGTCATCCAATAAATTCAAGTTGGCTGGGCTGTTTCTCCTTTTAACTTGATCAAACTGACCTCTCCAATTACTTGATCCTTTCATATTCAAATGTACAATAACACATAGCAAAGTTAAATATAGAAGATGGTCTAGCCACTTTTTTTCACATATAGGCAGAACAACAGAAGAAGACAGGATGTCTTGTTCTGGTCCACCACTAATGGTGAATTACCTCTAGCAAATCTCTTCATCTCTCTCTCTCATCTTTTCCATTAAAAGGGGAAAGAGTATGGAATGATACATGGCCTGCCTATTTCATTGGTCTATTATAAGTATCAGACATATGAATACTTATGAAAATATATGGAAAAGTTATGAAGTACTCTACACAATAAATAATTCTCTTTTATTAGCACGGATAACTGACTTGTCTAAATATCTACTGTAGCTCCCCAAAAGTGATAATATATTTTAGAGCAAATGATTCCTAAAATATATTAAAGAATAAACAGGGCAGGATATGGAATGACAAATACAATAAAAATGGCTTTTTCCTAATTTTTGATAGAAAAATATTTAAAAAATAAACTTCTCCAGCAGTAACTACAGTATATAAAGTGCAGATTCAAGGATATTATGGTGAATATCTACAGTTATCTAGACTCTAAGATACTTCAGATATTCCTCAGCTATTTCAATACCACAAGGATAATCCAGGATGACTTATCAATATCACACATGTCAATAGCAGGTTGTGATGTAAATGAGCAAATTCTTTCCAACCATCTCAGTTCAGTTTTATTATAGCATTTATTAAACCAAAATAAAAACATGGTGAAGAATGATTTGTCACACCATTTATTAGAGTTGATGGAGTGTAGACAGTCTTTTCAATAAGGCTTTAACACACTGTTATGCACCATAGTGCATTAGTAATGAAAAGAAATGCATGAGACTTACATCAGCCTTTCCCCCAAGTCATTCTGACATTAAATTCAAAATCAATTTTACCCTATATGGCAAGAGTTCAGAAATAAATGTTAATTTCTTTGCTGTTCACCAAAACTTAAGTTTATAATTCAAAGTAACAACAGAAATCCTTCCTATTCTACTTAATTTAATAATCATACTTTTTTTGGAGAAGGGTTCAAAGTGGGAAGCAAATGCAACCAGAAGTTAAAAAATTGTGTTTCAGTTTGTATCTGACAAAAGGATGGGATCTAATTTTCTCTCTGATTAAAAGAACACAAAGAACAGCCACAGAATGTAAATCGTGTGTTGAGTGTTTGAATTTCTCTTCCAATACCTGAGTATCTGAATAGAACTAATTCACTCTGGAAAAGGTATTAAATAATTGAGCATCATTGTGCCCGAATGAGGGCTAATTGTCAAACGTTGAAGAAAAATAAACATATTCTACAATGATAGGGTCAACTCACTCACTCAGGAACTTCAATCAAGCATTTTACATTCAAATGACAGAAACCAAGTATGTAAAGAATGACCTACCGCCAACAAGGAATCCTGATAGACACAAGCACCTGTGGGGAAAAACAAAACAAGAATTAAAAGGGATGCATAATAAACCAATAGGCACTGCCCCAGCAAGCTTGCTGCTAAAACTGCATCTATATGCATCATAACCAGGAAAATGAGCTTCTTCCAAAATCTTAAAAGCTTCAGCATTCTTCCCCTGGGGAAATAACCCCATACACCAAAACAACATTCCTTGGACACACATGAGGAAAAGCATCATTAAAACTTATGACTTGAATTTTAAGATAAATGTGTTTATAACGACATGCTATAAATACAGTAAATATTTTTCTTGGTGATAAGTCAGCAAAGCCTCCATAATCCAGTCCCATTTACTTATCCAGGCTTCCCTGCCACTGTTTGCTTACACTAAGCCTCCAGTCCAACCCAAGAGGCCAACTTAGAATCCTGTAATATATTTACATGTCTCAATGCCTTTGCTCATTTTCATTTTCTACAGGAGATGTACTTTGTCTAGTCAAGCTCTTTGAACTTGATCCCATCTCCTTTGTGAAACTTCTGCCCACCAGATTATGCTCCTCTGAGCTCCTAGCATTTTGTGCCTACATCCTCCATTTGTGAATTTATTCTTGTGTATTTCCTTTCTAAGGATGTTGAAATGTTGTATTTACCCCACTACATTATATATATGTGTGTGTGTACTACATATAGAGAGAATATATACACTATATATACCATTACATATATACTATTACATATATAGTATATACATATATATACACATGTATACCCACTATATACTATATACCATATATAGTACATATATAGTATATACACATATATACACATATATATACATATATACCCACTATATACTATATATAGTATATATATAATATATAGTATAAATAGCATATGTAGTATTTAGTGTGTGTGTGTGTATGTATATATATATATATATATATATATACACTATAAAACTGAAATCTTAACTTAAAAAAAATATAGACACATTCCCAACCAATTTTTGAGCTGCACAACAGGTCTTGATTTAACTTAGAAAGAGATGGGCAGTGTGCTGTCACCTACTCTCTCAGAAACTGAGTCTGCAAAACACATTTGAACAGTATATACACACCAAGGTGAAGCATATCTTAACAATGCTCCACACAGTTGGTTTCTAAAGAGAGAAGGACATTATTTTACCACAGTGCTTACCTCTAATGGATCATTTATGAAGTCCCAATAATATTAACTTCTCAGGAAAGAATTGGTCTACCTTCTCCTCCAGTAATGGAATTAAGAACAATCTTTAAAAAAACTGAGATGACTATTTACACTTAGGTTTGAATCAAAGATCTCTGTGGGCAAATTTATTGAAATAATTTTTATGTCCCTGATATTCTTTTTTTTTTTCTTGGTATACAACAATTTTATTGGTGTTTTAATATAATTCACCCAGAATATGAAGGCATCACATTAGCTAAGTACAAGGCATATGTATAAGCAAAAATTATAAATTTATGACACCCTTGTGCCTTTCTCCTAATGACATTTCCAACTTTTAATGGTTTGTATTTCTTCCTCTGCAGACATAGGATAATTAATATAAATATGTCATTTTTGAGTTTATATTTTACACAAACTTATTATTTTACTTTAAAATAGTTTCTAGCCATGGCATTAATATTTATTAAAATTTCTGTACATATGAAAAAAGGAATTTATTTCTATACATATGAAAGAAAGGAATAGGGAGTGTCTATAAATGAATGATTTTATAGACACTCCCTATTTTTTTATTTTATTTATTTATTTATTTTTATTATTATTCTTTAAGTTCTAATAAGAATAACTTGAGATAAAACCTTGAAGGAAAATTCTTCTTAATTGACTACTTTTTCCTTAAGAAATCTTGTTCCAAGACTTAGTAGTTCAGTCTATGGTATGTTATAAGAAAGGAAATATATATATGTGTACATATGTATGTGTGTGATGTGTGTACTAAAATAATTCTATATATCTCAAATAAATACATATGAACACAATTCACTTTCTAAATTACTTATATGGACATATTTAATTATTTCTGGTGTTTAGAAAATTTAGAATAAAGATCATCATCACTTAGGTACAATTTAACAAAATTTAAACTTTAGATTAAACAAAACTTAACTTTTAGAAAAAACACAAACAAAATTTAATCTTTAAAATAAGACTATCCTCAAATAATTTTATTGCTCTCCACAGCATTACCTTCCAAAGTCAATTTCTTTTCAAAGCTCCAAAGGAAATCAAGCACCTTAAGAAGTATCTGAGTACCCATATCAAAACCTATTTTTGGAAGTTTAGATAGCCATGATAAACTCACTGCAGTATGAAAAAAATAAAGTAGCACTGAGTGTGGCACCACATCTATACCTGGGCAAGCCATGCATCTGCTGGAGACTCAAGCCAAAATGGTGTAGAGCTGCTGAAAAATTATATCATTAGGAAAAGGAATTAATTCAATTTGGGTTGCTTTGTATTGTACAATTCCAAAAGAAATAAGCTTTGCCCTCTGAGAGCTTTCCTAAAACAGAACAGTTCTACCTGGAAGGCAGCTGCATGAATGAGCCTCCATTAACACAGCTTCCAAAACCTCATTTCTACTCTCTTGAGAAAAAAAGCATTCCAGTGTGATGCCCAGTTCTATCAAACATTTATCATCACCCAATACCAGATGCAGCATCCAAAGGAAGCATATTTCTCTCACACACCCACCAGCAGATGAAGTTGAGGGGTTTGTTGACATGGGTACTGGGTGTAGCTTCTGGTTGAAAGCCAGAGTGGAGGTCTTTTCACTAATCCGTCAGTTCACATAATATGGAAAACAAAATTCATCTCTCGACTCATTATTTTTTTTTCTTCAGGAGTACAAGAATGATTGCAGGTCTATTTGACGTTTATATTTATGGCAGGGAACTTTAAAGAAAATTCCAGCTCAAGGTGAATTCTGTGAGAGAGTGCTGATCTAGAAGAAGAAATGAGCCTCCCTCAAAGGAAAACTGAGGAAAAACCGGAGACAACAGGAGTAGTTCTCTAACTATGAACAATGCCAATTTCAAGGCACAGAATGCAGCTGAGATGCCAGGTAATTTAAGTTCTAACACCTCACAACCTGTGAGAAAGAGCATAAAGTTTTGCAGGGTGAAGTAATTTTATAGTGTCAAGAAGGAAGCCCAGATCCTGAGACCTGAGCTGCTCTTTTACTGTGTGGCTGGCTCATTTCTTGCAGGTCACACAGAAAAAACGTTACTGCATAAAATTTAAACAAGTAAATGTCTGTTTTTAATCCCTTTTGCACATTATAATATACGCCTTTATGAGATGACTGTATAAAATCTAGTATTTTTGGAGAAATTTTGAGATATAATTTGCATATATTCTGAAACCGTTGGTAAACTGAGTAAATTAGAGAAGTTAAATCCAAGCACCACAAAATGTCAGACCCATTAGTTCAAAGAAATAGTGGCAGATACAACCATTAAGATACAAAAAGATTTGGAGAGCATGGTACCACAAGAACATGACTCATTAGGAACAAGCAGCCACAAGTTGGCATTTAAATGTTCAGGCTTTATGTTGTGTTATAATTCAGCATATGGCTGTGTGCACTGTGGAATACTTAAAATAGAATCATTTTCTGAACTGACAGGACAGCTCATGTCCTGATTATTGTCAACTAGGATTTAGATCAATTAATAGAGTAGTTAAAATGAAAGTGGGCCAACTGTTTTGGAACTACGGTAAGATTTGGCATGAGGCTCCAACTTTGACATGTGGTAGTCCCCTCCCCTACTCTGAGCCATGTGTTAAAGAATATTTTATGACTACTTGTGTGAGTACAGTTGGGTGACATTGCCACCCAAGTCCATAACAGTGAATACGGATGGCTGGGTCCTTACTAAAGGATGTACACTATATAAGGAGAGTAATGCCCAGAATCCAATCTTCAGAGGGCAATGGAAATATAATTGATGAAAATAAGAGTCCACAACAACACCTCTTTATTTCCATTGCCAGGTAATTACAAAAGCCAAAGGATGCAAAGTTACAACCATCATCTAACGTTTCCATACTGAGAAACCCACCAAGGACCAAATGTTCCCATATCCCTACTGCTATTCAACTGACATTAATGATTTCTAGATATGCAAACTCCTTGAGCGCAGGAGGTTTTTTTGGCTTTGGTTTTGATGTCTGTACCCACCTACTGGACATAACCTGACACAGAACCTCTCAATAAAGGCTTGCAGAATAAAAGAATTAGGTTACTTTTTTCCAGCCAAGTTCTTCTCTTCCCAACATTGAGTTATTGAGTTTCAAGCATAGAGTCTCTCAGTGAAACAACTCTGCAGCCCAGAGTGCAACTACCCTAACTCACCCATAAATAAAACATATTGTCTATCAAATGAGCCTCTTCAATGTAACCTGTTAAATAGCATTTATAGGAAAAACCCGGGATTCAGCGTTTGTGGGAATGGCTAAAATCACATGGAGAGTGATGGGACACAGACTAAAGCTCAATTCTCTTAACCTCCAATTCAATGATGTTTCCCTATCCCAAGGCAACTGTCTTATCTACTGTAACTTCACAGGACTTCCATATGTCAACAGAACTCAAGATATTTCTCCAGAAAAAGCCATGGTAGAGTTTCTGTGATTCAGAAAGCAGCCATGTTAGAAGCTTCTTTGTGACTTCTTGATTTTATTAAGTTCTCAAGTCATAGCATTAATACTTTACCAGTTTAGCAATATAAGGCCATATAAAATAACACTGCCAATAATTTGCTTGTAAAAATTTATTTTTCTTTTGATATTTCTTTTGATAAAATTTAGAGGCCAGGCACAGTGGCTCACACCTGTAATCCTAGCACTTTAAAAGGCCAAGGCAGGCAGTTCACTTGAGGTCAGCAGTTCAAGACCAGCCTGGCCAACATGGTGAAACTCTGTCTCTACTAAAAATGTGAAAATTGGCTGGGCATGGTGGCGCACATCTGTAATCCCAGCTACTCAGGAGGGTGAGACATGAGAATCGCTTGAGGCCAGGGGGCAGAGGCAGCAATGAGCTGAGATTGCACCACTGCACTCTAGCCTGGGTGATAGAGCAAGACTGTGCCTCAAAAAAAAAATAATAAAAATAATAAAATTTAGAACCAGAAAATTGCAATTGACCACTAATAATGCAGCAAATACTGATCTCTTTTTCTTCTATGTTTGATGATTAGCCAAAGTATCTTAGAGCTATCACGTAATGTACCTCATTTAGTAAATGACAGAACTATAGCGCAAAGAGGTTAGATGGTTCATTCAAGGTTAGTGAGCTAATCAGAGGCCAGTCCACCAGTTAAGCTTAATTCAAAATAATATAATTTGGCAATACTGTTCATCTGACCAATTTTTTGAGCACTTAGTGTATACTAGGAGCTGAACTGAAGATATCAGAATTAATAGGAGCCATCCTAACCCCTCAATAAGCACACAGCTAAGTGAGGAAGACCAAACCCATACCAACCACAATTGTTCTCTCTGTGCACTGAGAAGAAAACGACAAATTCTGCCATAAGCTGGTCAGCAAAGGTGTCACAAGGTACATCCCATCAAAAGAAGTATACATGTGAATGTCTCTTTTCTATTTTTAAAAATTATTCTCTAGGCTGATAATAAAAACTTGAGGAGATTTCTAAGATCCTTGAGGTTTCCAACCTTGATCTCAATGCTCTTATTTTTTAAAGAAAAAGAAAACCTTGAGAGGACCAAACCAGAGGTCTCATCAGATGACAAATGTTTTTTTGTCTGTGGGAGTGATATCACTTAATTAAACTAATTAAATGAGATAAAGTATGTAAAGTGCTTAGCAAAGAGCCAGGCAAACAATACCTGCTCAATAAATGGCCATGTTCATTCATTCATTCATTCATTATTAGATAAGCACCATTATGACGTGGGTGGAAACTCAGACATCTATCAATTTATCAATCCAATTTGTGAAACAGCTATAGAATGCTCTGACAGTAAAGTCAAACAATAAGAAGCAAAGTTTCCAAAGACTCTTTGGAGTAATATCCACACCCTCTCTCCGCCCCCGCCCCCGCCCCCCGTCTCTACCCCCAGCTTTCTGTGCTTCACATCCCCCCATCCCCACCTCCCAGTCTAGATTCCGCACTTCTTAAACTTGGCCCACTGGATCAAGCAATCTGCCAAAGAGCGCACCCTGCAGGCTCTTAATAATAATGCCTTTTGTTGATTTCAGAGTTTTGGTTCCGACAAGCTGCACCATTCCAACTGCCCCCTGGTGAGCTATCCGGGAGTGATAGCACGTTTCCTGCGTTGCTGGGATAGGACTCTAAATTTTAAAAACTGCCACCAAGTGAAATTAATTTTTCTAAGTACCAAGTTCAGGTTTGGGTGGCCTGGGGTGACTCTCTCATCTGGTTTATTGTTATAATCAAGCCCTACAAGCTTTTTTTTTTTTTTTCCAAAGTACGCGCCCACACGCACATAAACAATAAAGTTATATTTCTACAGGACTTGCACTGTTGGGAGAAGGCTGCACAGGCCCCAGATGTGCCTTTCGCGGAGATTATACACACTTGACACACATCCCGGAAGAGTGCAGAAGGCAGCACCTGGACCCACGGGAAAGTCCCCCACCCTTGTGCGTGGATTCCCAAGGCCTTTCTCTTGGGAAGCCAGCAAAGAAAAGGCAGCTGCTCCAGTGACTGGAGGTCGACCCGAGGCAGAGCTTTGTCCTCCCCGGGCCTCCCGCAGCCCCCAGTCCTGCGCCAGAGCTCGACTCCCGGGAGCCGCCCCGCGCCCCTTCCTAGGCACCAGGGCGGAGAAGGCGGCCCGCCCTGCGCCCGCCGCCGCCGCCCAGCCGCGGCTCTGGTTTGCGGCTGGGCAGGTGAACTCTTCTTCCCGCAGCTGGATGAATAATGAATGGAGCCGGGAGGGGAAGCCGAGAGCCAGGCGCTGTGGATTAAGCCGTCTTCCTCCCAGCCCGCCGGCTCCCTTCCCCCTCCCTAAGCACTGGCGGGGCGACTTCCCTGGCTCCTCGGAGCAGGAGGGAGCTCACAGCGCCTCGCGTCCCCAGGCCCGGCATCCCATGACCCCAAACTCTTGATTTACTTATTGACTCATTTATTTGGCTGAGCCCGGATTGCATTTGATATCATGGCGACAACTAGTCTCACGGCTTCCTTTTCTCTCCTGCGGCTCCGGGGTTTTACAGGTAGCTTGGAGCCTCGGAGGAAAACCAGGAGGCGGAGGGTGAAGTAAAAGAATGAACCTAAACTCTTATTAACCACTTTTGTTCTGGGAAGCAGGCTGGTTCGTGCTTCTCCGTACTGGAGAGATTTCTTTCAGTGCAACTGAACTGCCCACGACCAGAACACGCTCCAACCAGTTAGTTATAAAATCCTAACTGGACTTTAGGGGGAGACTAACTGAGGTAAGGAGGGCGGGAGAGCGATGGGGCTTTAAGATGAAAGACTGTATGTTTCTTAGGAACAGAAGTATTTTTAAACAGGTAAGAGCAATTGTTCGCTCCTCACCTGTGCTCCATGCAGTTGCTTTCCCTTCGGGGAAAGGTAGGTGGTGGAAAGAAAAAGGATCAGTTTCAGAGATGTCACCTCCATCGGCCACCCACCCACCCAAAAGCACTTAGGGCAGAGAGGGAGGCCGTTTCGGGGGTGTAATCCGAATACAAAACAATCAGGAGTAGGAATCTTATCAGAAAAAGCCTATTCCAGTTTCACTTCCACCTCACCCTTCCCAGAAAAACTTCCACCTCACCGAAATACCATAAAACCTGCTGAGATTTTTAAACTGCACGATCACTCACACATACACACACACACGCACACGCACACACACACACACACGCGGCACCGCTCTCTCACCTTCGGAATGATGAGGCAATACTGCAAATTCCGCCAACGCTAGGGCCAGCCCGAGCCACACTTTGAGGACACCCATCGCCGCCTCGGCACCCACGATGGAGGAGCCCAGCCTTCAGCATCCAAGAAGCGGCTCCGCCAAAACGCTGGCTCCGGCGCTTGGAACCCGGGCGCACTGAAGGTGGGGGACCGCGGGCCTTTACCTCCGGGAAAAAGAGATGGACGGGCGGAGAGCGACACTCATCAGCCCGGAGGCGCCGGAGCGGGCTGGGGTTCAATTCACTCGCTGCTCAGGCAGAGAGCGCGCCGAGTTCCCCCGCAAGGCAGGACGCCAACGTGAGCTTTGGGAGAATAAGAGGAGGCAGAGCACAGTTCTCCGCGTCAAAATCTCGCCGGAAAGTTGCTGGTCACTGGCCGATGGGATCTTCCAGCATTTCCCTCGGGCTAGACCCTTCCGATCCCGGGTCCCCGACAGTGGAAATCCTGGCTCTGGTTTGTCCGAAGCAGCTTTTTAAAGTTCGCTTGGCACCATACGTCGGCGTTGCGTCGGCACCGCGGGTCGCCGGGAGCCCCGAAAGACCCACCCACACCCACTCCTTGGTCGAGCCACCCGGCTCGGCAGACCTCATCTGCCGGGGTCCGCTCGCTGGAAACTGTGCAGCGCTGAGGGCAGCTCCGGGGACTCGCCCGCCCTGCAGCCGCACCGCACCACACCGCCTCAGGCTGCGCTCCCTGAAGCAGACTGTTCGGAAGCTTCAGAGGAAAGACTGGGGGGCGCTGCTGCTACTTTCTCGTCCCCGCCCCTCGCCTGGGTGAGGAGGGCTGCGGGGACGCGGCTTGCTGCACACCAACACCCACCTCCGCGCTGAACACCCCGGAGGAGGTCTGCAGGGTAGAGGTGCAATGATTACGGGAGTGGAAGAAGAGCCATAATTTTAATTGCACGGAGGAAAAAGCTAGCGAGGCTGGAAAAGACCCCCAAACTCAAGGCCACTCTGGCGAGAGAGCCTGGAAACGCCCAAAATACGCCGGGTCTGGACCCCGTGTTTAAAGGACACACGTTCAGCCTTCCTCTAGTCTCCCTTGCCTCCTTCCTCTCTGCTTTGCTCGGTGTGAAAATGGACCCAGAGACTCGGAGCTTTGGCGAAATTCCAGAGAGTCACGTGGGGAAAGGGAGAAGCGAGGAGGGAGGTGAGGGGAGGCCGGGAGAGCAACCTGATCCCTTTATTCATTCTGCTGGAGTTCAGATTGGCTTTGTCTGGGGAGGAATCAAAAGTGCTCATACCGGGGACGGAGGGGGTGGAGATAGGTTGCACAGTTCTTGCTCAGGCACACCGGAAGGCAGATGAACCGTGTCCACATCCCTTGTTAGGGGAGGAACCGATTCGGCGGGCTGGGGGAGCGTGTGCCCACATCAAAGGCCCTGGGGCTACCTCCCACCCCCACAGCCCGCCACTCCTGCTGAACTAAGTGCGTCCGGGGGACCTGATTGATCCTTCTTCCTCGCTCTGGGACCCTCAGGCTGTTGCATCCTGGCTTTTACCAGCAGCCCGGGAAGATCTTGGTGTGTGTGTCCTAGGCGGAGCCTGAGAGCAAATGCACCTTTCCCTTTCCCTAGGAGACTCTGTCAGTGGAACACAACGCGGTCTGGGAGCTGTGGGTCCAGCTGCGCCCCCAGATGCCAATGGCTGGGAAAGTAACATCAGGACACGGCCGACTGGGGCGCGCACTTGAAGAGCAGAGGCCTTGATTCCCCGCCAGGACTGACTGACGGCAGCTATTTTTATAGGACCGAATAAAAATAGCTGGTCCACGTTTAATCGTTTTATAAGGGAACAGTTGCATCAGAGAGATGCTGACTGGGTTCTGATTGGCCCAGAGAAGAAACGTCTCGGGTCCCTCAATTGAGTCGGGATGGGCGAAACTGTTGGAGGGGAAGCAGTTGCATGAGCTGTGCTGGCGGGGGTCCCACTTGTTTCCAGTCTTCACGAACACCATGACGCGGGCCCACGTTCTAACGTGCACTGACGCCACTTGGAACAATTCACTTTTCCGAATAACTGGAATAACTTGAAACTGGCAGGTCCCTGTCAGTGTTACTATTCAGCCAGAACAAAGGAGAACCTCTGACAACCTGGCTCTGAATCTTAAGTATTTGGAGGACCCAGGGTTTGCACATTTCGCCCTCAGTCTCTCTGTTGGGCTGTGGTCATTCTAGGGACAGAGGTTGTATCATCTTTGTATAATTGAAGCACATAGTAGGTGCTCTTTAAACATTTGTTGAAATAATGGATTAAGTGCCTGAGAGCAGCGGCCATATCAAGGGGAGCTGCGGGCCTTAACCTCCTCCCAAAAAAAGACCCCTCCCTTTTTATTTAGAAAGTAGGGCCTGTGCGGTGGCTCACGCCTGTAATCCCAGCACTTTGGGAGGCCAAGGCAGGCAGATCACGACGTCAGGAGTTCGAGACCAGCCTGGCCAACATGGTGAAACCCCATTTCCACTAAAAATACAAAAATTAGCCACGTGTGGTGGCACATGCCTTTAATCCCAGGTACTCTGAAGGCTGAGGCACGAGAATCACTTGAACCCGGGAGGCAGAGGTTGCAGTGAGCAGAGATCTCACCACTGCACTCCAGCCTGGGTGACACAGCGAGACTCTGTCTCAAAAATAAAGGTCGGGCGGGGCGGGGGGGTGGAGGACATCTTCTCAATCCATGTAAAGTGATGTGCAAATTCAAACTCAGCTTCCAACACACTCTGACAACCAGACGGTCACCCTTAAACCCCCTCCTAATTTTGCAGCTGCTACTGAATGGGAGTAACTTAAACCGTTTGTTCTCTCAAAAATCAACAATTTGATTTTATTTTAAAAATCAAGCTGGGTGCAGTGGGGTGCACCTGTAGTCTCAGCTACTCCAGAGGCTGAGGCGGGAGGATCACTTGAGCTTGGAAGTTGGAGGCCATGGTCCACCCTGATTACGCCTATAAATAATCACTGCACTCCAAAAATCATACAATTATGGCACAGGTCTCAATAAGATATCTGTTATACTTGCTAATTGCAAATATGCTACTTTTCAAAAAGGAAAAGCAATAAATAAAGGGAGAATAGCACTACCAAGTTACCCTGAATTAATCATATGCTGTATTTATTGGATTTATATATAACATCCCCCCTTGACCACCAGTCCACCACAGGGGCACATGCTGGCCCACTCACATAGTCCTCCCTCTGCCCTAAGTAGTCAAGGGAGAAGGCAGCCTGAGTCCTTGCCCTAAGATCACTTGGAAGAGCAAAGGGTCAACCAATATTTCTGTAATATTAGGCATATCTAACACCTATGTTCACTTCAACTGAAATGTTGGAAAAAGAGATTATATAAACCTAACATATTTCATTATGATGAAAATTTAGTAAGCATGTTTATGGAGATGCACCTAATCATAACTAGCTTATCTCTATAAGTTAACCTCCACAAATGACAGCTTCATGCTTCCTCATAGGAAGTTGGCAATTCACTAGCCAGAGATATTTGGGTCTATATCTTCAGTCCTCTTTAGTTACAAGTCCAGATTCCACAACTTTTGTTAATATGTTCCACAATATCTCCTTGGATCAGCCCTGCTGTCATCTCTTCACAACTCCCTGTCCTTGTTGCTGCCCATTTTGGGGAATTTATTTATCAACTCCTGCTGTAAACGATAATAATAACAATGATAACACATATTGAATATTTTGTGCCTAACACTGTACACTTTCTCATGTAATCCTCCAATAACCACGTGAGATAGGTGCTATTATTATTTCCATTGACAGGTGAAATAACAGATGTTCAGAGAGTTAAGTAATCTATCCAAAGTCAGACAGCTAGTACCTGACAACGCATATCAGAGCAAGAAATTCTAGCTCTCATAACAGGCAAACTCCCAAATCACAGTATCTTAACACAAAAAGAGTTTATTTCATGATCACATCTTGGCCCCTGGGAATTGGTGACTCCTTCTAGTCAGGCCATCATGAAACATATGACACCCATGGCTTCTGCATGGGGTAATGAAAGAGGCATTGCAAACTTTAAGGGCCTCAGCCCTTCCTGTCACAGTTCAATGACAAGAATGAGTATTGTGACCCCTATCTACTTACAAGGGAGGATAGGACACATAGGGGAAGACATATCTATTTAGTGAGCACTAACTGTACTGCTTTACCCTAGCACCCATGCTCTTATCTAGCTTAACTGTCCTTAGTTATCTATCTATCTATCTATCTATCTATCTATCTATCTATCTATCTATCATCTATCTGCCTACAGTTAACTATCTTAACTGTCCTTACCAAGGCCCCAGTTGCACATTCCCTGATGCCACCAGGGCTCTGCTGACCTTTATTACAACTCCTCTACAGATTCAACAGTCTGCCTTTGCTCTGCTTTCCTGCTCATCTGCTTTCCTGCTCATCTGCTTTGCTCTTTTTACTCTTTCTCCCTCCCATCTCCCTTTCCTCTGCTTCTCACTGTCTTTCTTCTGCATAACCCTACTCTGTGTGTTGAGTCTTCTATCACATCTTTCTCCTGTACGTGCCTTCTCTGATCTTCTTTCAGTTGCCCTGGGAGTGTTCTTGCAGTCGTAGTGCATTTGTTCTGCTTTGTGCATTCCAGCATGCGACAATATTTATTGCCTTTTTTCTGCTTCAAATAGTTATTCCAAAAAAGAATATTCAAATAATACAGAAATATAAACTGATTGGCTCTGTTATAATCTAGCCCCTCTGCAAGGATAACCACAGCATATACATTCAGAGATTTTCCCCTGCTTAAAGATAATTCCTTTTACAAAAATGGGATTATAACTTACATGCTATTTTATAACTTGCCTCCCGCTCTGAACAATATACTGTGCTATAGGCAAGCCACAAGTTTCCAAGCCAAATCATATTGATCTATGTCATTATTTTTAAGAGCTGCTCTGGTTAACATTGTATTGATATGTCTATTTCGCCAATCCCCTTTTGAAGAACGTTTAGATTGTTTCCAATTTTTTGCCATTGTAAACAATACAACACTAAATGTCCTTATAAAAGCCCTTTATGTACTTACCCAATTTATTTCCCCGGAATAAACTTTTGTAGGTGAAACTGCTGTGTCAAAGCATGAATAAAAACTTTTGTAGGTGAAATTGCTGGGTCAAAGCATGCTCATTTATCATTTTGATCTGTATCATTTAATCTGCAAATCGCAAAAGATAAAATAGCACTTTTCTGAACACCACTTATTAGCTGTGTCCTCAGGCATTTTAACCTCTGAGCCTCGGATTCCCTGTCTATAAAATGGACATTATGATAGTGCCCACCTCACAGGAATTTTGTTTGCATTAAATAAGACAAAAGTACCTGACTCAGGTTATCCACTTAACAGATGTTAGCCAAGTAAAATAGAGGTATTTTTAAAATCTGCGTTTCTCTGCTCTAATGAGCAGATGTGAGCTGAAACACCTTTCATATACTTATTGTGTGTGCGAATGGCCTGTTTATAGTGGGTTCTTTTTTTAGTGGGTTTTTTGTTTCTATGTAGAACTATAAGTGTTCTTCACATATTCAGGATATTCATCCCTTTCTCTGAATTTGGATAATCCCTTACTGAAAGGGAGTAGCTATTTACTGTTTATTTTTGTTGGAAATTGTCATTTCCTCAGCAGTGTCACTGGAAGTGCATGAAAGATTAAAACCAAGAAGGAGGCTTTATAACTAAAACTTTTTTCCTGGAATAAAATAAACAAAAGGTACAAGGATTTTTGTTGTTGCTGTTTTTTAAATGTCTTTGTTTGTTTATTTTTCCCACTCAGGGCAGCTACCCAGCCCTTTCACCCTGGTTTGGTGAAAGCTGTTGTCTCAGGCTAGGGTCTTTTCTGATTGGTTGGTGCCACTGCCTCACCAGTTGTTAAATATTTTTAATATCACCCCTGCGCCTACCATAGCCACACAGCAGAAAGCCAAGCATTGGAGGTCACTGAAAATGCCAAATGGTCACAGCAGCCAATAAAGGAAAAGCAGATAGATAATCTCAGCACATTTAATCAATTTCTCTCCGTACATTTTACAATGGCTTTTGTTTTCAAATTAATGTCCTACAAGACTGGACCTGATTCATCTTGCACTTTACGATGACATCCTTACTTGCAGATTTTTAAAACTTTATTTGTTATTCTCTGTATCACTAATTACCTTCTGGTTGCACCTAGAACACCTTGAATAACCTACTTACCTAATCATTACTGGTAATGAATACAAGACAATCAAGGCAATGAGAAAAAAATTAACAAAAACTTTATAGAAATCTAATTTTTTGTTTTACTAATCACCCAGATACCATGTGAGCTGTATATTCCTATCTATTCAACTGAAAGAACTGAGAGGAGCCCAGAAGTAAATATGAGAGGTGAAAAAACGGCAGAATTTCCAAATACTCTGCTTTTGCTTCAAATAAGAAGGTATTCCAAAATAGACACCACCTCTGCTCCTGCCTCAATTTATACAATAAATTATTCTGGACAACCTATAATAGAATGTGTTGAGTAAATTGCAAAACCTCCATAAAATTGAATATTACATACAGTAATTTTAAATGATACCTTAGAAATCTATTTATTGGCATGGAAAGATGTTTCTAAACTGTTGTTGACTGAAAAAAATAGGTGACAAAAATAATAATATAGAGAACGTTCCTGTTACTAGTCAGCTCCAACTACCATAACAAAATACCATCGACTGAATGGCTTAAAAAACAGAAATTTATTTCTCATCATTCTGGAGGCTGGGAAGTCCAAGATCAAGGTGCTGGCCAATTCAGTTTCTGGTGAGGGCTTTCTTCCTAGCTTGTAGACAGCTGCCTTCTTACTGGGTCTCCACATGGCAAAGAGGATATGGAGGGAAAGAGAGAGGGAAATCTCTCTCCTTTTGTAAGGCTAGAGTCTTACTGAAGTAGGGCTCCGCTGTTATAACCTAATTTAAACTTAGTTATCTTTTAGAAGCTCTGTCTTCAAATTCAGTCATATTGAGGGTCAGGGCTTCAACACATGAATTTGAGGAGACACAATTCAGTCCATAGCAGTTCCCTTGTTTTCACTTATACACTTGTACTTTCACACACTTACATACACATATCTCGAATGATATACACCAAAATATTATCTTTAAGATTCCAGGTGACTTTTAATTTCTCTTTTTAGCTTATCTGGATTTTTTTCATTTTTCTACATTGAGCACATACTTACTTGTGCAATGAAAAATTATATTAGAGCGATTTTCAAATAACAGAAGAAGCCAATTCAAAAGGACTACATGTGGCATTACTGTCTGTCATAACTAGAAACTAAGGCTTATCTTAGAAAACGTTCAGATTGGGTTCAATTTCATAATTTAATAATAATCATAAAGGACATGAATTCCTTCTTTCTTCCCACTCTGCCTTTGTGACAGACATTACTAGTGCTCACCAACATTTCTGGAATACATAGGCTATTACATTCTGCTAGCCTACTCACAATTTGGTGGGACCACGTGGTTAAATCTAGACCTGCACTGTCCACATGTGGCTACTGAACTCCTGAAAGGTGGTTAGTGCAAATTGAGATATGCTGCAAGTGTAAATAAAATACACACCAGATTTCAAAAACTTGACATACAAAAAAGAACATAAAATATCTCATTAATTTTTTATATTAATTACATGTTGAAAATATTTTGCATGTATTATGCTAAGTAAAATATATTATTAAAACTAATTTCACTTGTTTATTTTTACTTTTTAAAATAAAAATGGCTACCAGAAAACTGGTTAATATATGTCCATACACACCTAGGAGAATGGTTCAAAAAAAAAATACTGATAATATCAAGCACTGGCAAGGGTGTGGAGCACCTGGAACCCTCATATATTTCTGGTATTAATACAAAATTATACAGTCACTTTGGAAAACTATTTGGCAGTTTCTTATAAAGTTAAACATGAACTTACCATATGGTTTAGCTATTCCACTCTTAAATAGTTACTCAAGAGAAATGAAAGCCTATGTTTACACAGAAACCTATACATGACTGTTTATACTGGCTTTATTGGTCATCAAAAACTGGAAAAATACCCAAATGTCCCTCAACCAGGAAATGAACAAACAAACTGCAGTACATCCGTAAGTAGAATATTATTTAGCAATAAAAAAGGAACAAACTATTGATACACATCATAGCGTGGATGAATCTCAAATGCATGATGCTAAATGAAAGAAGCCAGACAAAAAATGACATATTTTATGATTCCATTTATGTGACCTTCTTGAAAGGCAAAACCATACAGTCAGAAAACAGATCAGCAGTTGCCAGATAATGAGAGTGGGTGTACCTGGTTAACTACAAAGTGTAGTGCACAAGGTGACTTTGAGGGGTGATGGAACTGTTCTAAATCTTGATTGTAATGGTAGTCACATGACTGAACGTGTTTGTCAAAACTCACAAGCCTACAAAAAGGATAAATTTTACTATTGGCAAATTATGCTCTAACTTAGACATTAAAAAATAAATAAATAAATAAATCTTAGCAAACAAGAACCACCTTCAAATTTAGTAATAACAGTCAGGCACAGTGGCTCATGCCTGTAATCCCAGCACTTTGGGAGTGAACTTGGAGGATCACTTGAACCCAGAAGTTTGAGACCAGCCTGGGCAACATAGTGACACCCTGTCTCTACAAAAAAATTAGGAAATTAGCCAGGTATGGCAGTCCATTCCTATAGTCCCAGCTACTCAGGAGGCTGAGGTGGGAGGATGGCCTGAGCCCAGGAATTGGAAGCTGCGGTGTGCTATGATTGCACCACCGCATTCCAGCCTAGGTAACAGAGCAATACCCTATCCCCCCAAAAAAAATTTTTGATACTAGCAACAACAATCAACAATAAATATAATAATATAGTCAAAATTATTACATACCTGGCTTGCGTTAAATTTCCACCAGACAACACTTTCTTAGGCAATAGCAAAGTGTTACTTTCTGTGTTACTTTGGGCCCAAAGCTCTACAGCAACACTCCCTTCCTCTGCCTCACTGCAGCCAGAAAACGATGACGGTGGCATGGTAAGATGGTGGAGCCTCAGTCAGCCCAAGTCCCCAAAAGGCTATGTGGAAAGGCCTCTGGCAACACTTGCTGGAGAGCTAGTGTGAGAAATAAACTCAGTTTGGCTGAGCAACAGGGATTTTGGAGCTGTTACTTTGGCATAACCTAGCTTACCTTGACAAATGCTGCCTGCCACTGTGTCAGCTTCATCTTCCGTTTGGATCCCACTTTTAGATACAAAATAGTTGGCAGCAATTCCCAGCACTATGTGCTCTTTTTTTTTTGGTCCATTCTACAAAGGGTTAATCCAAAGCTATTGAAGAAAAGCAAGGAAACTATTTTCTTGTGAACCCCCAGCAAACGTTTGTTTTTTGTTTTGTTGGTCCACATTCACTCCCAGGCTGATCCCTGAATCAACATGTTTGACCAAATTTGAGATTTCACTACTAGCTAAGGCTTGAAGTTTGAATTATATCACATGCCCCGACCCTACAGTGAAGAATAGAGTTAACTTCCCCACAAATTAAGGTGACTAATTTGTTGTCCAAACAAGATACTTTAGAGAGCAACAGAGAATGCTGTCAGTAATTATGTCAGGTTAACAAAAATGCAAATCAGGACTCCCCAAAGCACCTGGCTTCCTGGGGGAGATGTGGATAACTGATCTCACAATAATCATTCTTAAAAACCATTTTTAACCACATATCTATAAAGAAAACAGAGAGGTTGTGGGGGTACTCATTACCAAATCTACTGTCTATGAGGGAAAACTGAGTAGAGTGCAAAGCTTGCTCCAGAAGCCAACTTGTTTTCAAGGTATTCTTTCCAATGTAACAACACAACTAGGAATCAGCATTGGTGAACTTAAGCCTCCTAATGTGTCCTGGGTCTTCCCATGCTCCATCACCAAGGTTTTATAGAGAACTCAGAGCAGAAATGACAAAGAACAACATATTCCACCTTCTCAGAAGTAAACTCGAGGCTTTGAGATTATGTTTATCGCAATCCAAAGATATTGGCCTTCACAAATCTAGGAAAAAGAGACTGTGTTATCTCACTGAGCCCAAAAAGAAACACCTAGGATGCAGTCTAAGCTTAAGACTGGTTGACTGGCCTCAGATAAGTCATTAATAAATCTTCTAAGTCCTCATCTGTAAAAGGGAGATAATATTTAGAACCTACTTACCAAACCTGATTGTGTTGAGGCTCAAATTAGGAAAATGGATATGAAAATCTTTTGAAACATTAAGAGCACTATGCAAGTGTAAAGCATTATTATTAGGAACTTTCAGCTAGGTCAGGCGTTTTTATGTGCAAGGCAGTTTTAACAGTATGAATAATCCTCCTGTTGTAATTGGATATGTAAATGCTCCCAGAGGTCTACTTCAGACGTCTATTCAGATAGTTCTAAACTGATGACAATGTTGATGATGATGATGATATTTCTCTAGTCACGAATGAAAAGCAGGAAGCAAGGATAGATGATATCATACTTGGACCCATG
Organism: Homo sapiens; assembly: GCF_000001405.40. Lineage (NCBI taxonomy): Eukaryota > Metazoa > Chordata > Mammalia > Primates > Hominidae > Homo > Homo sapiens. The sequence continues at coordinate 78,047,482 of NC_000004.12, read as the reverse complement.
CAAGAAGGCTGAGTACCTCTTAGTGTCTTTATTGTTTTTAACATTTTCAGTGATGACAGAACCAGAGCCATTACTTTTACAATCAAGGTGAGTCTGATGTGTTTGCTTGCCCTAATCCATTAGCTTTTAATTTTGCTGTTTTTCTCTCTTATTTTATGAACATCTAGTAACAGCCAAGTTGCAATAAGTCTGACTTTGGTGCCCCTGGAGTGATTCAATCTTAAAATGATTGCAGACTTTGAAAAGACAGGGAAAAACCGGCCATAGGTTCTCATGGGAGTCCCCTGGTAGACAGACAGTCCTAAACCTGCTGTCATTTTTAGGAGGTTATAGAGTTGAGAAATATTTCCCCGGTGAATACAAGACAAAAAGAAGGTGGTAAAGCAGACAGTGAAGAGCCATGACCCTGTGTCCTTTCACATCTTGTTTAGAACCGAAAAGTATATGGAATGCGAAAGTGCCTCCAAGCCTAGAGAAATGTTTCCGTTTCCTTGAGTTGGCCTCCCTCATGTCAGCTTCAGCATCCCTCTTCAGCATCTGCCTTTCAGCTTCTCCTCACCAAAGCGTAGCAGCATGAATTTGAATCAACATGCATCAAACGCGGCAGTGGTATATAAAATCTAACTTGCATTGAAGTAAGGCCAAAGCTTTTTACAAAGTGTAGATATGCACTGTCTTAATTTGCATATGGTATTCTAATCAGGGAAAGATTTGCTATAAAGAGGAGAGCTCACTCCAATAAGTAAAAGGGAGGAATCTGTATAAAAATGAAGTTAATTTCATAAATAGCTAAGGACCGAACAAAGTTTATGTACATATGTACCTACATGATCTAGGTACATATCCAACATCATGATTTTTCTGTGCTCTCCCCTCCATTGAAAAAAATACAGTTAAACATATACTCTTTTTAAAATTTCTTTGTTAAAAAGAAAGATAATTGTTTTCATCCACAACTGTATTTTTAAATCCTCTTATAGTCAGAGTACATTAAAAGACTTAAGCTTTGAATTGAACTGGAAAGTGGTTCATATGGTGCTACTTTACATAATCAGCAAAAATAACCTGTTATTTTTATTTTCAATATAAATATGGGGATTCCATAGGTGGCTATCTATACCAGTTAAATTTTTTTAAACATCTAATTAACAGACACATTAATTCGCATTTTAACGGCATAAAGCACTTCACCCAGAGTAATGCCTGTCTAACTTGAGCAGTTGCAGAAGTCCCCAGCTAGCCTGTCTTCCCAGTGCCCATGTGATTGGAAGGAAGCCTATGTGCATTTACCCATCGAACTTTTTACTTAGCCCATCTCTGGCATCTCCAAATATGTATAGTCATATAAACTACAGTTTACAGTTACTGAAGAAATACACATCAGCTACCTGTAATGGTCAACTTAGTCCTTTTATAAACAAGAATAGACAATCATCATCAAAACACAGTAATAAAAAACAGTTTAAATTAAAATGTAAAGATTAACAAACAATATAACTGATCCCAAAATAAAAAAAAAAAATCATCGAAGAAACAGAAGGAAATTTTTGAAAAGATTGAATTAGTATTTTCAGAGTTATTTGAAAGGACAGTATTTCTATAAAGCAAGCACTGGCAGCTATTTTTAAAAGAGCAGCTAAGAACATAAAAGGTGTTTTGGAAAATAAGTATATAATTCACCAAATAAGAAAAACCTAATAGGAGTTCTGAATAATGAAACAAATAGCTGAAGACTTCAATCAGTTACCTGCAAGATAAAACCAAGGACATTTTCAAAACTTAGCACAATAAAAAAGGAACAAGATAGATCCAGGAGATGCGTTATCTGTCTACTAAGAGCTCTCAATGGAGGACATAGAGAAAACATAGGGAAAGAAGCAGTCAAAGAAAGAGTAGTAATTCATGCTGAGAAGATGGAGGCCTGAGCACACATCCCCGTCTCTCCCAGCTGATTAGTAGGATAAAGAGCTAATGTGGAGAGGCCCTTGGGAGTGGAGAGGGAAATGAAGGAAGTGTGGCCTACTTAGAATTTAGTGTCCTACAGGGACAGTTTACTTGGCCTGGTTAGGGCAGTTTCTGTACAACATCATTTACAAAGCTGGAAGGATCAAAGACCAGGCATCCAAGGGGAAGGCCCATCACCCTAACAGAAACTGAAGTGAAGTGTATTGATTTTGCATCTAAAATAAGGACTGGCAGTTTGAGCCTAATAAATGCCCCCAGTGCAAGAAAACCCTCTGGTTCCACCATTACAGGCCATTCTCAGGAAGAATTGTATCATCAAGCTGAACTGCCCCCTTTTTGTGATGCCTCAGAAGAAGAAGCAACTCTCCCCACTCCCCCCTCCCCCACACACACACACACAACACACACACTCAAACACACTCAAGAAAGGTAACAGACACTGTGTCAAGTTTCTGCTCACTGCTGGCACACCAGAAAAGTCGTATTTTTTTTATTCTATCTTTTGCCCATCCACCGCTGATGGAAAGATCCCAGTGATCTGACTTACACAGCTACTATTAAAGGAGAGTAAAAAAAGATTCGAGGTATTATTTAAGGCGTTAAGTAGCTTGAAGGAGGAAGATCAGGACCAAAAACCAGGACAGCAGTCTCCCATTAAGGCAGTTACTGTCCAATCCTTTGAATGCGAGGACTTTTTTGCTCACCTATGGCAGTGGATATCACGAAAATTAGGCATGGACCTTATTTTTAGCTCATCAGCTATTGTGTTAGTGTTAGTATTTTATGTGTGGTCCAAGACAATTCTTCTTCCACTTTGTCCCAGGGAAGCCAAGAGGTTAGACACTCATGGTGAAAAAAAAAAAAAAAAAAAAAAAGACAATTTCATAAAATGAAGAAAGAAATTAATGACATACAAGAAGATATTGGTAAGTGAAGGCTCAAAACACTAAAAATATTTGTTTGAAAAACAAAAACTAAAACCATTGTACTTGAATTTAAAACTTCACTAGAGGAACACCAAAATAGAGTGGATACTTCTGGAAACAAAATTTAAAATATGAAGGACCAAATAGAGAAACTATGAAAACAAAGCCCTGAAATATCAAAGTTGGAAGTCACAAGACATGGAGGACAGATCCACAAGAGCTGAAACAAACAAATAAATAAAAAAGGTCATTCCAAGATATGAAAAGAGGTCATACAAAGGAGGAGTTTAAAAAGACAACAGAAGAAAGATTCTGCTTTTCAGATAGAAATGTGCCATGCATGTGGTGACTCATGCCTATAATCCCAGCACTTTGGGAAACTGAGGCAGGCAGGTCACTTGGGGTCAGGAGTTCAAGACCAACCTGGCCAACATGGTGAAATCCCATCTCTACTAAAAGTACAAAAAAATTAGCCAGGTATGGTGGTGCATGCCTGTAATCTCAGCTACTCAGGAGGCTGAGGCAGGAGAATCGCTTGAACCTGGGAGGGAGAGGTAACAGTAAGCCGAGATCGTGCCACTTCACTCTAGCCTGGACAACAGAGTGAAACTGTGAGAAAAGAAAGAAGGGCAGGGAAGGAGAAGGGGAAAGGAAGGAAGAAAGAAAGGAAGAAGGGAAAGAAGAAACAAAGAAACAGAAAGAAGGAAGGAAGGGAGGGAGTGAGGGAGAGAGAGAGAGAAAGAGAGAGAGAAAGAAAGAAAAAGAAAGAAAAAGAAAGAAAGAAAGAAAGAAAGAAAGAAAGAAAGGAAGGAAGGAAGGAAGGAAGGAAGGAAGGAAGGAAGGAAGGAAGAAAGAAAAGAAAGAAAGAAAGAGAAAGAAAGAGAAAAATGTACCAGGCCTAATTAATTTTTTAAGTGATACACATTTTGACAAAATCTGATAAAATCCATGAATGCCAAAGATAAAAAAATAAAACCTCATACTTCCAGGCAATCTTTCTCCCTCTCTCTCTCTCTCTCTCTCACACACACACACACACACACACACACACACACACACAGAGATTAATTTACACAGGAAAGAAAATTACAATGGATTTCTCACCTGCAAATGTGGAAGACAGGGAAAAATATATTTATGTGCTTTCCAGGGAAAAAGAGTAAGATCCAAGAATTTTTTACCAGCCTAGATATCATCCCTATGGAAGGACAAGTGAATAAATTTATATGATCACAAAATATATTACCTGTGTGTCTTTTCTGAGAAAACAAAGAAGCAAAGAGAAAATTAATTCAGGACAAACATCTCAAGTTAGTAAAAGATTGAGTATACCAGAGACAATGGTAAGCAAAAAACTGCTAGTTTTTAAAAACTGAAAAAAAAGTTGTTAAAATCAAAACTTCATAATAATGCAATTTTTCAAGTATAAAATAAGTGTTGCTAAGAATCATTTTTAAAAATGCATAATTCCAGGAAGAGCAATAATTGAGAATTAAAACTTCAAAAATACCTAAAAGGGCTAAAGAAGAAGAAATTTTGAAATAAAAATTTATTTGAAGATGGGGAAGAGGAGAGAGGAAGTAGCAAAATAAAATGTGAAAATTATTGCTGTATTTTTGTTCTAAAATGTCAAAATAGAGACCAAGAGCAGAATTTTAAAATTGGTATTGGGAGTAGGAACAGAGAGGAGAAAGACTGTGGATGTTGGAAGGAGCAGGGCAGAATTAGGCCTTCGTCTTAGCCCAAAAAAGTAAAGAATGCATCTGCTTTTCAAGCATACAGGGAACAGTTATAAATATTGTCCATATATTAGGCCATAAATAAAATCTCAGTGAATTCAGGAAGGAAAATAGCATACAGAATATATTTGCTAACAGCAACAATAAAATAGGCCTTAAAAAGAATTGAATAGGTTTTGTGTTAAATATATACACTTCAAAATGTGAAAGCACTCCTTTAAATAACTCTTGGTTTAAAGAGGACATAAAAATCAAAGTTTCAAACTGTAATAAAAATAATGACAAAGAAAATTGCTTATCAAACAGTATATGAAACAGCTCAATGTTGTATCTGAAGAAAGAAATGAAGAATAATTATAGCTTAAAAGAATTTATTAAAACTAAGAAAGGTTGAAAACAAAATAGTTAAAATTATAACTCTAGAATTAAAAATGTAATAATAAATCCAGAGAAATTCAAAGGAATGAAGCAATAAACACAAACATAAATTAATTAAATACAAAACAAAACTAAGTACATAGCAGTAAAACCAAAAGCATATTTTGGGGGGAGAAACAATAAAATGGCCAAGATTTGACAACTTAGAGAAAAAGGGAAAAGATACAAATATAACTGCCTTCTCCAAGACATTAAGAAGGTGAGCCATTAGTAAGGTGAACCCTCATATCCTTGAAGAGTCTGTGGTAGTTATTGTTTGTAGGCCAGGATGGGAAAAGCTGCCATCTAACCAAGCTCCATGAATTCAATGAGGATGACAAGATGCCAGGGTGGCAGGAAGACAGTGAAAGCAGTTAATTGTCAGAGACAAAGCAGCTATGGTTACTGTCATGTAAGCAGAACCAAAGTAGTCATCAGAATGCTTAGACCTGCAGAGATCTTTGGTGTCGGCTAGTTGATCACAGTGCCCTCAGGACTGAAATAAATGGGCAGTGTATTAAAGGCTTACTTGATTTGTGAAAGTGGAAAAGCTCTAAGTCTAATGAAAGAAGTCTGATTTGAATCACAACAGAGAATTGAGGCCCCTCAACCAGTTCCTAGACCCAGAGCCCCTTGAATGAAGGGAAGACTAGTATTCTCTTGAGGTGGGACCCTGCTGTCCTGTAAAAAATGTATACGATAAATCGTACCTCTAGACTCCCAAAGAAATGTTGTGTCATTTAGCAAGGAGATTGTACATGAGGGAAGGAATATAATTATAATTTGAGGATTTCTGGAATCTTGATATAACACACTTAGGATTCAGCTGGATAAATATTTTCAAGGTTTATGTTGTAATTATTTTGGAGTATATAATGTTTCCTCATAGGTAGCTGTATCTCGTCCTCTGGTGGATGGTGGGTCTCAAGTCTGGTCACAGGTCTAAAAGCAATGCGAGGGAGTGGGAAGAGGTCCTAAAGGGCATCATCATTCTCCTGCAAAGTAACTACCTCAAAGGAAGCCATTGCACAGGTTCACAAGCAAGAGAAGACTAAACTACCTCAGTCAAGGGAGACATGTTGCTCCACACCACCCTAATATCCACCAAAGTTGCAATCCATTACAGGTCCAAATCTTATCTAAATATCATCAGCTCAAAAGTCCCAAATCTCATCATCTAAATCAAGTACTGGTGAAATCTGAGTATAATCTGCCTTGGGGAAAAATTCCCCTCCATCTGTAGACCTGTGAAACTAGAAAACAAGTTATCTTCTCACAAAGTATGATGGTGGGACAGGCATAGGATAACAGTTATAGATATTCCACACAAAAAAAAGAAAATGGAAGAAAGAAAAAAGGTCTCTGGTCCCAAGCAATTTCAAAGTGCAACTAAGAAAACTCTGTTAGGTATGAAAGGCTTGAAAATAATCCTCTTAAACTCATGGCTCTGCCCTCTGGACACAAGACTCTGCCTTCTGGGCCTAAGGCTGTACTGTTATCGTCAGCCTTTCTTTTTCTTGAAAGAAGAGAAGGACATGTTTGCAGCTGAGTAGTTGTATCAGCCTGTTTCCTGCCTGTAGAATTTTGGAGTATTGACAGACTTCTTTCATTCATCCAATATTTATTCCTTACAGTCCAAGCTAGCACTATTTCTGCTGAAATAAGAGTCTCAAAATCTTTGCAGGTCTCCTGTGTATGTCATGGGAATTTATGCCATTAAGCAAGAGGCTCCTCCAAATATATTTCCTGAATAATCACATTTCTATTCATGATTTCTGCTGAAATTGCCATGGAGATCTATGAGTCACATGCTTAATCTCTTCAAAGAGTCCTCTGTATAAATGAACATCCTTATCTTTTGATTCTTCCAAAACACTAGAAAAACATTGTCCAGCCATACCCTTGGCTTTCTTCTTATCGCATGGCAGTGAATCTCTAACTCAAAATATTTTGCAAACCAGATAGCCTGAGAATTTCCCAAATTATTGAGTCCTGTTTACTTTTTGCTTAACAGTTCTTTCCTTAATTTATCTCTTCATTCTCTCATTTTACTATAATTGGCAAGAAGAAACCAAGCTGTGCCTTCATTACTTTGCTTGGATACCTCCTCCTTTAAACAGTCAAGCTCATTACCTACAAGGATTGTTTGCCACTCAACTGATGGACACAATTCTTGTAAGCTTTTTGTCATTATAACAAGAAACTTCTTTCCTCTAGTTTCCAAAAACATGTTCCTCATTTCTTTCTGAGTCTTTACCAGACGAGTCTTTAATGTTCAATTTCTACCAATAATTGGTTTATGACAATCTAGGTATTCTCTAAGACAATACAGGACTTCTCCACCATGTTCCTCACTTCCTTTTGAGCTCTCACTGGCAGAGACTTTAACACACATATTTCTACCAATAGTTTGTTCAAAGCAATCTATACTTTTTCTATCATGCTTCTCAAAATTCTTTCAGCCTGTGCCCATTACCCAATTCCAAAGCAACTTTCACATTTTTATGTATTTGTTAAGCAGTACCCTACTCCTGGTACCAAAATCTGTATTAGTTTCCTATGGCTGCTGTAACAGATTACTACTACTTGAGGGCTTAAACAACACACATTCTCTTACAGTTCTGGAGTCCAAAATCAGTTTTACTGGGCCAAAACAAAGTATCTTCAGGGTCATGCTTACTCTGGAGACTCAAGTGGAGGATCTGTTTCCTTGTCTTTTCCAGCCTCGAGAGCTTCAATCCTTGCATTCCTTGGCCCATGGCCCCATCAGCCATCTTCAAAGCTAGCAGTGTAACATCTTGCCTCAGTATCATATTGCCTTCTGTCTGTGTAATCAAATCTCCTTCTTCCTCTCTCTTCTAAAGAAACTTGTGGTTACATTTAGAGCCCACTGAAATAATTAAGGATAATCTCCTCATCTCAATATCTTTAAGTCACATCTGCAAAGGCCCTTTTGCCATATAAGATAACATTCACAGGCTCCAAAGATTGAGATATAGCTGTTTTGGGGGCCATTATTCATCCTACCACATTGGATGCTAGACATTGTGAATCTTACCTTGCTGGGTGCTTTCAAAAGTGTAAAAATCTTACACTTTTAAAAATATTTTGGGGCTTTGTTCTTGAATTTCATTAAGTTACGTGGAAATAGTTTGAATCTTTCAAAGCTTTTTTTCAAACTTTATTAGGTGGGAATTAGAAAAATCTTTAGCCAATGGCTAATTTGGTTCCAATAAATTCCTGAATTTTCTATACAATTCCCTATGAATTATGAGGTTTTCTACTCTGGCTGGTGAGAACGTGATGCATTTCTGGACCTCGGTGAGTGCTGGGGATTGTTGCCTCTGCCCCTTTCAGATGAAATTCTGTCTGCAGTCGCAGGTACTCTCCTTATACTTATGAGATTATCAGTACCCAGCAGACCTCTGGAACTCTCTTAACAGCTCTCTCTTCTTTTGTACTCTACCCCAGGATCTTAAGCTGATTATTCTCTAAAGACTCTTAACTTTCTCTCCTCTACTCACGGAGACTGTCAGCCTCTGCTGGGTGTCCCCTGCCTGCGCTGTGGCCTGGAAACTCTCTCCTGGCAGTAGAATGGGCAATCACGCGGCTCTTCTATGCTTATCATGTCTCAGTGAATATTGTCCTGCATTGCCTGATATCCAATGCCTGAAAACCATTGTTTTGTATGTTTTATTCAGTTTTCCAGTTGTTTTAAGTATAAAGGAAGAGCAGGTCCTTCTTACTCCACCTTTCCCAGAAGCAGAAGTTCATAAAATTTATGCAAAAATACAAAGGAGCCAGGAGAGCAAAATAATTTTGAAAAAGGATGTATGTTGAGGACTCACACTACTGCCTAGTTTCAAATCTTACAATAAAACAATAGTAATCAAGAATAATATGGTATTTATATGAGGCGAGAGTGTATAAAGCACTGAAACAGTGTAGAGTTCAGAAATAGACCTCATATATATGTGGTCAGTTGTATTCTTGTGACAGGAAATGGGAAAGGAATCATCTTTCCAACTGAAACAGTCACACATCCATACGTAAACACAATGAACATTGACCCTCACATCATATGCAGAAATTAACTTGAAATAAATAATAGACATAAACTTTAAAGTTAATATTATAACACTTCTAAATGCCATAGAAGAACACTTTCGTAATTTTGGGCTAGGCAAGGAGTTTTTAGATAGGTTATAAAAATACAAACCATTTTTACAATTGATTAATTGGACATCATCCAATTAAAGACTTCTGCTTTTTGAAAGACCCTTATTTAAAAAAAAAATGGCAGACTGAGAGAAAATGCTTGTAAAATACATATCTGAGTAAGAAATTTTATCCAGACTGTATAAAGAAATCTCATCACTCAATATTAAGAAACATATATATCCTAATTTTAAAACGAGCAAGAGATTTGAACAGACACTTCACACACACAAAAAAAATGGTTTAAGGCAGCTAGGCGTGGTGGCTCATGCCTGAAATCCTAGCACTTTGGGATGCCAAGACAGGTGGATCACCTGAGGTCGGGAGTTCGTGACCAGCCTGACCAACATGGAGAAGCCCCATCTCTACTAAAAATACAAAACTGGCCGGGCATGGTGGCGCATGCCTATGATCCCCCCTACTCCAGAGCCTGAGGCAGGAGAATCTCTTGAACCTGGAAGGCGGATGTTGCAGTGAGCCGAGATCCCATCATTGCACTCCAGCCTGGGCAACAAGAGCGAAGTTCTGTCTCAAAAAAAAAATTGTTTAAGGCTGTCCTAAGCACATAAAAATATGCTTAACATCATTTTCACCAGGGAAATGCAAATTAAACCATAATTAAATACCACTACACACCTACTAAAAGAGCTAAAAGTAAAGCCTGAAAATACCAAGTGCTGAAAAGAATGTGGTGTTACTGGAACCCTCACACCTTGCTTGTGAGAATGCAAAATGTTTCTGCCACTTTTGAAATGTTTCAGTTTCTTTTAAAGTTAAATATACACTTCACATATTACCCACCAATCCCACTTCCAGTAGTTTTCCAAGAGAATAAAAATCATATATCCACACAAAGACTTTACAGAGAGGTTTACAGGAGCATTATAAATGATAGCCCTACGTTGGAAACACTCAAATGTTCTTTAACTGATAAATGGATAAACAAATTGTGATACACCTATACAATGGAATACTACTGAACAATAAAAAGAATAAACTACTGATACATTCAACAATGTGAATAAATTTAAAAAGCATTATGCTAAAAGAATGAGTCCAGACACAAAAGGCTACATACTACTGTATGATTCCATTTATATGATATTCTGGAAATGCAAATCTACATAGACCAGCAGTCAGATCAGGAGCTAGGGCTGGGAGAAGGGGACTGATTGTAAAGGAGCATGAAAGAATGTCCTGGGGTGATGAAAATATACTGTATTTTAATTATGTGTTAAAAGTCATTGAAATATATACTTTGAAAGTGTGGATGTTTCTGTATGTAAATTACATGTCAGTAAAACTGCCTTTAAAACATATCTAGTCACAGAAAAACATATATGTTATGAGCCCATTTATGTGAAGAAAAGTTTTAAAATTTAAAATATCTGTGTATTTACAGAAAGGCCTAGCAAAATATACACCAAGTTATCTCTGGAAAGGGAACTGAGATTGGGAGCCACCAAAGCTTGGATTCTCTAGAACAGGGGTCCCCAACCCCCGGGCCACAGATCAGTACTGATTTGTGGCCTGTTAGGAACTGGGCGGCACCACAGGAGGTAAGGGGCAAGCCAGCAAGCATTACCACCTGAGCTCCACCTCCTGTCAGATGAGCTGCAGCATTAGATTCTCATAGGATCATGAACCCTATTGTGAACTGCGCATGCAAGGGATCTAGGTTGCACAGTCCTTAGGAGAATCTAATGCCTGATGATCTGAGGTGGAACAGTGTCCCAAAACCATCCCCACCCTCACCCCACCTCCATCCATGGAAAAATTGTCTTCCATGAAACCGGTCCCTGGTGCCAAAAAGTTTGGGGAGCCACCTCTCTAGAAACAGAGTCTGACACAGAGTTTGGCAAGCAGGGCATTTTTTTTAAGCATCTGGACTTGTATAAGAGGAGAGGAAGAAACAGGATTCTCTAAAGGATGAAGTTGAAGGGCAATGCAGTCACAATCTAGCCTCATCCAATCCCATGGAGAGCTCTGGAGCATATATGGCTGTTTAGAGGTATCCCATGCCAGGCCCAAATGACTGGGCATTTTATTAATAGTTCCCCAGTGAATCAGTGAGAATGATGGTGAGACCACTACTGCTTCCACTTCTTTATTTCTGGACCTACATATTCTTTTTATTGGGGCCATATAGGATAGTATGATACCTCATAGAGTACCACCTCCAAGCTGATGCTTAAACTGCACCTTTGGTAGACCATGCCAAAACTCTCCTAGGCCAAAAGTTTCTGAGTGATGCCATCTCTGATGCAGCCAGTAAGTCTCATAGGCATGGTTTACTTCTGTGCCTTCTTTTCTGACAAGTGGTCTTCTGATCTGATGCCATGTTATCCTATTGAGATCCCATCCTAGTGGGTGAGATATTTCATAAACCCTCAGATAGTCTTTCTAGTTGAAACTTGTGGGCAGGAAAGGCAAATCCATGCCCAGAATACTTGGCTTTTTATGTTAGAACAAATCTCTGGCTTTTCCAAGATAGAAAGTGATCGGTGTACTCACTTACCACCAAATGGCCGACTGGTCTCTTTAAGGAAGAGTAACATATTGGGGGCTCAGTGTTGTTTTCTCTGGCTGGAGGTTTGGGCATTCAATGGCAGCAGTAGCCAATTTAATCTTGGTAAATAGGCAGCCATGCCATTGGACCCACCCGGCATAGCCTTCCTCTTTCCCACTGTGACCACTCCAAGCAAGCCCATCTGCAAGCACTGGTGTGGCCAATGACCAAGGCTAGTGGAAGTCAAATGGCCAAGCAATTTTGTCTACACAATTGTTCATTGCCTTTTCCATGACAGATGCTCTCTGATGGGCATTTGCATATGACATAAAGATCTTAACACTTTTTGCCCGCTCCTAGGTGGCCAACATCTTTTCATTGCCACTGCCCATGAGTTTGTATATATTCTAACACTGAGCCACTTTTCTTCCCATACAAAGTGAATAACCAGGCACACTGCCTGAAACTCCTTCCTCACTGCCTTCCAGTGCCTCTCACCAGTGATGTTGCAGTGCTACTATTGCCTCTTTTCAGCATGTTCCTATATACTGAGCTGAGCCATCTGTAAACCTCTGTAAGCTGGTTGTAAGGGATCTCCCAGATGGCCACAGGGATAAGCTGAGGGAGGAGCACTGGTGGAACAGTAGCAAATAGCATGGGGGTCTGGGCTACCTGCTCATGCAGTTTGCTTGTATCCTTAGTCCAGCTCATGCTTGATCATACATGTACCTCTTTCCTCTTACAATGGATTGCTACTGAGCCTGCCTTACCTTACACTCTAGTGGCTCTGACAGAACCCACTTCCAAAAGCATGGTTATTTGGTGTCTCATGGACAGATGCTCCATCTCTACCAGAACCTGATAGCTCAACAGGAGATATTCTTCGAAAGGCATATAATTCTCTACCATTAAGCCATAGCCTAGCTCCAGAACCCTAAAGGCTGAAACAGCATCTTTTCCCACCACTCATATCCAATATCATAGTGTGTGCTGGGTCATTTGTGCTGCTTACATTGCAACAGGGACCTGCTGCTGAGCTCTTTCTTGCTCTGGACCCCACTCAGTGATGGCATCCTTCTGTAGTACCCAATATATGGACTGAAGCAGTAGTCCCATGTATAGAATATGCTGCCTCCTGATCCCAAAGAGATCTCTAGGCATTGGATTTCCTTCTTTACGGTGGAAAGTGCAAGATGCAATAATTGTCTTTTCCTCTCAAGGTATATCTTAGTATACCCATGACTACTGAGCTCCTAAAATATTTTAAAATATGATAAACGTTTGAATCTTTGTAGCATTTATCTTTCACCATCAGTTGCATAGGTGTTTTGCCAAGCCCTCCAGAACACTAAACACTTTTTGTTCATCTAACCTTCTTAGCATAATATCTTTAATACAGTGGATCAGTATGTTATTCTAGGGGGAATAGCCACAAGTTCCAGATCTCCTCTGACTATATTATGACAGACTACAATATTATAGAATGCATTAGATTTTTAAAAGCCTTGGGTAAAACTGTAAATAGATATATATATATAGTTACCCATTCCATGTGAATGTTAACTGATTCTAATCCTTTTTTCCTTGTTGGAATAGAAAAGAATGGGCTTACCAACTCAGTGGCCACATTCCATGCACCTGAGATCATGTTAATGTGCTAGGAAATTTACATTTGGCACAGCAGCTGCAAATGGGGCTACTACCTGAGTTTGCAGTTGTCCACTGGAATCCTCTAGGACTTATCTGCTATCTTTGGTGGCCAGACTTGTACATTAAATGGATGAGTATTAGTGTATGTGTTCATTTCCTATTGCTCCTGTAACTAATTACCACACACCTGGTGGCTTAAACAGCAGAAATTTATTATTTTACAGTTTTGGAAGTTAGAGTCTGAAATGGGTCTCACTGGGTTAAAATTAAGGTTAGCATTCCTTCTGGAGACTCTAGGGGAGAATCCATTTCCTTGCCTTTTTCAGCTTCTAGAGGCTGCCAACAGTGCCCTAGCTCATGGTCTCCTTCCATCTTCAAGGCCGTGGAAGTAACTAGTAATTGTTAAGTCTACCTCATGTTGCATCAGTCTGCTACACTCTCTTCTGTTTCTTCTACATTTAATGGATCTTTGTGATACATTGGTCTTACATGGACAATCCAAGATAATCTCCTTATTTTAAAGTTGGCTGATAGCTGCACGCTGTGATCTGAATGTGTCCCTCAAAATTCACATGTTGAAACTTAACCACCAATGTGATAGTATTAAGAAGTTGAACCTTTAAGAAGCGATGAAGTCAGGAGGATGTAGTCCCCATGAATAAGATTAGCAGCCTCAAAGTTGAAGGGAGCACCGTAGGTGCTCTACTATCTCTTCTGTCATGTGAAGACATAGCATTTGTCACTTTTTGTCCCCTTCTGCCACGTGACAATGCAGCAAGAACATGCCATCTTGGAAGCAGACAGCAGCCCTCACCAGACTCCAAATCTGCTGATGCCTTAATCTTGGACTTCCCAGCCTCTAGAACTATGAGAAATAAATTTTTATTATTTATAAATTACCCTGTTTGTGGCATTTTGTTATGTCAGCACAAACAGACTGAGACACAGCTTTAATTCCATCTGCAACCTTAATTCTCCCTTGCTCTCTAACATAACATATTATGGCTCCAGAGATAAGGACTATTCTAATAGCAGGTGTTCAGTAGGACTATTATTCTACCTACCACAACTCCTGTCTCCCAAGAGTACAATTACTTGAGTAAATGGCTACATGCCTTTGGAGAAGGATTAGGAGACTTATTACTAGGCTAATTGTCATGGTGTCGCAAGGGCCTTCTTCCTGTGAACCCAGCCTCCTCTTCAGTCAGTGTGCTCCAGGCCTAATAACTGGTTTAGGTTAGTCTGGATTTGCACAAAGTATTATGGCTTTTTATTGTGGCAATTGCTCTCAGCCTTCTGGTCATTCATTCTCAATTTGTTATGATGGTACAGAGTACCCAGTTGGCTCTCATCTATTTTGCCCTTAGGGCACCTGTTCAATTAACCATCTACATAACCCTCTTTAGGTCAGGTCCCCTTGGCTGTCATTCCAACCCTGTGGCTCATTACAATAATTGCATCCACCTGGCTTCTAGCAGTTAAGTGCTGCCACCTGGCCTCTATTGTTTTGGGTTCCTGTCAGCCTAGCTCTGTAATAGTCTCTCTGCCCATCAGGCCTGGTTGACAGAGGAGAGGCACCACTGAAAGATTTTAGTGTTGTTGGTGTCCTCTCACCAGCATGTCCCTTGGTAGGGGGGGTGTCCTCTGGGTGTGCCTGAGGAACATGATCCTGTAGAGGGTATTCTGTCCTCATATCGTATATCCACTTTCTCACTCCCATTTCCTTGGGTCTTTGCATTCCTTCCTCCACTGTCTCCCACAACAAGCTGGCATTTCAAGTTCACATCATTTGTGGGTGGGCCATCACTTTTTCTACACTTTCAGAAGCCATCCTACTAGCAAGTCCATATCATCCCCTAGGGACTTTGCCCCATTAAACCCTATGTCTCAGGTGCATATTCTCAAATCAATAAACTCCCCACTATTCAATCTTCTGTCTCTACCCACTGATCCAGCACCCTCAGATCCAATCCCTTGAGCAGCAACTCCTGCAAGTATATGCTGGCCAGATTTACAGCTCCTTTGGGGTATTGTCTCTCTCCTCCCTTATCAGGCCCAACTGTGGGTGACTTAATTCAAGATATAGACCTAATGACCAGGAAGGGATGTGAAAACAGACCCCGAGGGAACATGTTGTCTGGCCTCAGAGAGGGCTGTAAATTGTCTTTTGGCAAGCCAGAAGCACTAACTTTAAAAGTGATGGGGTAAGCTAATTCTGCAAGATAAGAGGATTCAGAGGATTTGGGGGTTCAAAATCTGGGGTAATAGCTGTTCAGAAATCCCCATCTCAAGGCCCTGACCTTGGCATAATAGATCTACCTTGAATGGCATTCTCAGGATCTCAGCTCCTTATCTCCCTGGACCAGGTCCACAGCTTTCTCTGCGCAACCACGGGAGGAGAGATCCTCTTTGTAAGCTGAGGGAGGACCCTGGCGCTCATACTTGGCTTCCAATTGCCTGTAAATTGCCTGCAGCTTTTCCTTATCTTTTTCTATGACAGCTGTTCTGGAACTTTAACATGAGAATCATATGAAAGTATTTATTTAAATGTAGCTTGCTGGCCCCCATCTTCATAGTTTCATATTCTGCAGATCTATGGTCGGGCTCCAGAATTTGTATTTTTCACAAGTTCCCAGTAGCTGCTGTGCTTTGAAAAGCATTAATCTAGGCTGTCAATGGCTTTTAGCAGTAGCCATTCCAATACCATTGCCCTTACAGTTGCCATTTCTCTCGTATTTCTCAAATGCCTGATAAATCACACTATCTAGTATATTCCCTTCCACTCCGTATACCATTCCCATTCACCATCAATGAGAGTTTTAACAATTGTAACTTGCGCCAAGGACTTCACCTACAGCCAGTGATGGGGTCTTCACCAGTTGGCCAGCGAGTTATCCATCTTCAAATCCCCATCATATTGCTTGATTTCTCACACCACTGCAGTCACCAACCCTCCTAAATTGTGTTCTCTTTTTTTTTCTTTTTTTTCACCCAGGCTGGAGTGCAGTGGTGTGATCTTGGCTCACTGCAACCTCTGCTTCCTGGGTTCAAGCAATTCTCCTGCCTCTGCCTCCCGAGTAGCTGGAATTACAGGTGTGCACCACCACACCCAGCTAATTGTTTTTTTTTTTTTTCTTTTTTGTATTTTTAGTAGAGAGGGGGTTTCCCCATGTTGGCCTGGCTGGTCTCGAACTCCTGACCTCAGGTGATCCGCCTGCCTTGGTCTCCCAAGGTGCTGGCATTACAGGGATGAAAGATGCTAAGCCTGAGTTTGGTAGGCATGATATATTTTAAGAATCCTTTCAGGAGGAAAAAACAGGACTGGGCAGAGAAGTTAAACCATGATGGGGACCCAACAAAGCCTTGACCAATGCAATGGGAACTTCTGCAGCATACTGATGTCCAGAGGTGACCTACACTGTGCAGACATGGTGGGGCCCTTACACCCCCACCTCAAGTTACTAAATGTGAGTCACCCTGGGAGCGCTTTCCCTTGGGTGAGGCTGCTGTCCGCCACTGAGACAAACGCTGAAACTGGAGGTTGCTTGCTGACTACTTGGGCAACAAGCTCTTCCTTAAAGAGGGATCTGGGTGGTACATCTCTACCTGACCATTGGGAGATTAAAGGAAGCATGAAGGGACTGTAAGCTTTTATTCTGTGTACTGCTGTATTTAAACTTTTACAGTAAATATGTATTCATGTAAAACTTGAATTATTTAAAATAGTTTTTAGAATAATAAAAAATAAATATAAAGACATTTTCTTTGAGCCAAGGTATAACAGAGTCTTTAGATTTAATCCCAAGCAGGAATAATGGAAAAGGACACACTTAAGAATATTCAGATAAGATTTCCCAGCTCCAGGAATAAGTCTACTATTTTTAAAAAGCCCTAAATGATCAAGACTCAGATGGATTTATACTTTTCATCTTTATTGTGGGATGCAAAAGGCATGGAATAATTTCTACAAAATTATAAAAGAAGGGGATTTTAAACCTAAAATTTCATAAAAGGCAAATTGTCATTAAAACATGACAACAAATGAGAACTTTTTTGCTCAACTAAGTATTCAGAAACTTTACTGCTTAATTCAATCTTTCTGAAAAACTGTAAGATAATCCTACAAATAATTATCTAAAATATAGAAGATACGAAAGATAAAAATAATATTGAGCAAAAAAAAACCAGTAAATTTACTGATACATATAAATACATATAGTACATATATATAATGGTTAATATGAGTAAATATGAGTAAAGCTTAATGAAGAATTGTTTAAATATCATTATAATAAAATAAGCATAATATGAAAACCTCAAAAATGTAATTTAAATTCAAAAGGATTTCAACAAAACATGGGATTTTAGGGGGCTAAAAATACACCAAAAGTTATGCCTTATTGTAGAGGAGGTTACAGGCACTTTGATCTCAGAGAAGGCTCTATCAGTGACCTCATTCTTGATCCAATCTCTATGACCAGACAAGGGAGCTGCCCTGACCAGCCAGCTTGACTCAGCTGCCCATCTCTGTGATGTTGGAGGTATTGGACTGAGAGCACCACATGGAATGAAGGAAGAATTTTCCTAAAGAATCCAAAGAAGGGGCACCAGGATCCAGGAACCCCAAATCTAGAAGTACTACAGACCAATACAAATGACACTTTCCAAGTCCCTAAAGACAGAGTAAATAAACAAAAGAAAACAAATCTGCAAATACTATAAAAGGTGATGGAAAAAAAAAATGAACATAATAAATGAAAAGCATGTTTAAAATGGCAAGAAGAAAATTAAAATATTAGTAATCACAAATAAATATGAAGGGATAAGGGCTCATTTTAAGGAATGGGACTTATCTATATTCTATTTACAAGAGATGCATTTAGTTCAAAATGACACCAAAAGGTTGAAAATAAAGAAATAATTATATCCAGAGATTTCTGCCAAGAAACAAATAAAAGTGGCAATAATAAAGATACAACATAGAATTCAAAGGGACAAAGTGTTAACTAAACAAAAGAAGTATTTTATGTTGCTAAAAATTTACAACCAATCAAAAAGATTTATGCATCCAATTTGTGGATCAAACAACATCAAAATGTATAAAGCAAAAAGGGTGAAAATTAAGTGTCAACTTGATTAAAGAAAAAAAGCGTGAGTAATAAAAAGAGAAATTGACACTACATCCTACTGAGTGACTTCAACATACCTCTCCTAGATATGACTAGATCAAGTAGAAAAAAATGTGAAATATATATATTAGCTGTAATAAAGGTATGAGCACCTAAAATGTGTGTGAATCCAGAATCTTCGATGTGAAATTCACAACAAAATTTCACGTAGTTTTTAAAAATTAAGGACCTCAACTGAAAAACTATTTCAGAGTTGCATAAATGTATAGTTACTATTTTCTATTCATAATTATACGGAAGTCTAAATAGAAAAAGAATCCATTAGGTTTTAATTATTTTTGTTTTGTCCCTCCCTCATATTGATTTTAGCTAATATTATAACAAGTTCTTATTTAGTTGTGTCTGGAGATGGATGGTAGATTAGACACAGAGATAGATACATGGGTACATGGATACATGATCTACAGATAGGTTTGAGAATCAATCCTCAAATCCTTTTTTATCCTTATGTATCTGCTCCATCTAAGATTAACTTACAAAAAGTTTATGAGCCAGTACCAACCAATATAAAAATTTTATGTGCATTTTGACAAGAAGCATCTTTCAAAAATTTAAAATTTTTGAACCTCTAAGTTAAAATAGTGTTTTAAATAAAGAAATATGAGCCAAAACCGATTCTTTGAGCCTTAAAGACTTAGTTTTGGGGCCACACAAATCAACAAATATAGCAATAAAGCCAAAGAAAACTTCTTGATCATGAAAGCAGTCATGCTGTCACCACGGAGAGTATCAACATCATCAACATTCATGTTGTTCTCTTGGACTCACAGGACCATGTGTGGTTTATTTTCATTTTTATTAATTTAATTTAATTTTGAGACCAGGTCTCACTCTGCCACCCAGGCTAGGGTGTGGTGGCATGATAAGGAGTCACTGTAGGCTTGAACTCCCGGGCTCAAGCGATCCTCCCACTTCAGCCTCCTGAGTAGCTGGGACTACAGGCACACACCACGACACCCGTCTAATTTTTGTATTTTTTTGTAGAGACAGGGTTTTGCCATGTTGCCCAGGCAGGTCTTAAACTCCTGGGCTCAAGTGGTCTGCCCCCCTCAGCCTCCCAAAGTGTTGGGATTACAGGCATGAACCACTACATCTGGCCCATGTATGATTTGTTAGGTTGGTGCAAAAGTAATTTGGTGCAACAGGAATTTCCTTTTGCACCAACCTAACATACACAACACAATATGTGCTATGGAGAAGAAATTATACATTTAAATATATCCTGTAGAAATGATACCCATAGGACTTACAACATAGATATAAAATCCTCTTACAGAGAAATAAGTAGAAGATATTTTAAAACCATACAACTTGTAAGTACTATTAATAACATGAGTGGTATGAATTCACCGACAAATGAGAATGAATTGAAATATGCCTTCATACTTTTTGTGGCAGTCTGATCAAGGTTACCTTTACGTAGACCTCAACAGTTTACTCTGTCAACGTGGTAGTGCACTTCCAATCTAAACCTCTGCCACATCGCATTCCCTCTCCCAGACCGTTAAAGTCATCCTGCAGCTCAGCAGCAAAACATGGAATGATACAGAAGCAATAGTGCATCTTTAGAAGGTTGCCATAGAGGCTGGGCACGGTGGCTCACGCCTGTAATCCCAGCACTTTGGAAGGCTGAGGCGGGCAGATCACAAGGTAAGGAGATCAAGACCATCCTGGCTAACACGGTGAAACCCTGTCTCTACTAAAAATACAAAAAAATTAGCCGGGCGTGGTGGCGGGCGCCTGTAGTCCCAGTAGTCCCAGCTACTCGGGAGGCTGAGACAGAAGAATGGCGTGAACCCGGGAGGCGGAGCTTGCAGTGAGCCGGGATCGCGCCACTGCACTCCAGCCTGGGCGACAGAGCGAGACTCCGTCTCAAAAAAAAAAAAAAAAAAAAAACAAACAAAAAAAAAAACAAGAAGGTTGCCATAGAAATAGGAGGAGCTTGATACAGTGAGGGAAAAGTGATTTGCTTCAACTAGGGGAGTCAGTGGACTAGTGAAAAGGAGTTCTGTGAGGAGTAATAACAGCGCACAGGGGCCAGGAACAGTGGCTCACACCTGTAATCCCAGCACTTTGGGAGGCGAAGGCGGAGGCAGGCAGATCACTTGAGGTCAGGAGTTCGAGACCAGCCTGGCCAACATGGCAAAACCCTGTCTCTACCAAAAATACAAAAATTAGCCATGCAGTGGTGGCCTGTGCTTGCAGTCCCAGCTACTTGGGAGGCTGAGACACGAGAATCACTTGAATCCAGGAGGCAGAGGCTGCAGTGAGCTGAGATCACACCACTGCACTCAATCAAGGAAAGATAACTTTTTAGAATTGGAATGAACTATAGTATGCGTATATCTTAAGCCTCCAAAATTTCCTTGATCTCATAACACCCTTTAGAAGTGTAATATATTAATGGCACATGTGCAGCACTGCGTACAATCAGATGAAAATAAACAGTAAAAAATAAACAGTAAAAATTTTAAAATCTCAGAATAATTACCGCTAGATGTGGTCAAAAAGGGACTCTTTAACACAGAACCTAAAAAATAAGAAATTAAGTAATTTTATTTTCTAAAGGCTGAAATGAACAAAATAACAAAAATATGTGTTGAAATTATCAAAGCAGGTATATATAACTCAGACAAGCAATCACTAATAAATGACACACATCAACATAATGATTATTTGATAAATTCTACATCTGCATAACTGTGCAAAGTCAACATCATGTGCCCAGGCTTCCAGTGAGCATTACTGTGTTATCTTTTAAGGGATATTATTTCTAAACAACAGATTATCTCACAATAATAGGAATAATTTTTAAGTGTTATTAGTGGTCGTCTTCCATGTATAAACCAAAAATAAAATTCTAAGCCCCCCTGACCATTAGAATGGACCTCTCCTCTCATCCAAGGGCATTCCAAAGTTAACCTTCAAAACTAGTTTAGGCCATGATGGGAAGGGGGTGAGGCAGACCTGCCTCATTATATCCTCCTCCATTTTGAAATTCAGGAAAAGCTGACCAGCATTAACATCAACACAGACTCTAAGACTGATAGAACACACTCTTTAAATCTGATAAGAAACATTTACAATCTATTCTCTCTGAAGCCTGCTACCTGGAGGCTTCATCTGCATGATAGCACCTTGGTCTCCACAACCCCTTACCTTAACCCGGACCCTCCCTTCTATTGATTCTAAGTCTTTAGAAAATAACTTAACTCTTTCAACCAATTGCCAATCAGGAAATCTTTGCATCTAGATATGACCTGGAAGCCTCCCCACTTCCAGTTGTCTTGCCTTTCTGGATTGAACCAATGTACATCTTACATTTATTGATTGATGTCTTATGTCTCCCTAAAATTTATAAAGCCAAGTTGTAGGGCAGCCACCTTGGGCACATGTTCTCAGGATCTCCTGAGGGCTGTGTCATGGGCTAGGGTCACTCATATTTGGTTCAGAATAAATCTCTTCAAATATTTTTCAGAGTTTGAGTATTTATGTTGACATGCTTTCTTAAATACACACTAGGGAAAACAAATTTGCTAGTACTATTTTTCTTTTTTCTTTTTTGAGACAGAGTCTCGCTCTGTCACCCAGGCTGGAGTGCAGTGGCACGATCTTGGCTCACTGCAACCTCTGCCTCCCATGTTCAAGCGATTGCTGTTCCTCAGCCTTCCAAGTAGCTGGGACTACAGGCACATGCCAACACGCATAACTAATTTTTGTATTTTTAGTAGATACGGGGTTTCACCATGTTGGCCTGGCTGGTCTCGAACTCCTGACCTCAGGTGATCCACCCACCTCGACCTCCCAAAATGTTGGGATTACAGGCGTGAGCCTTTGTGCCTGGCCGAGTACTGATATTTTTCATAAACTACTTCTCTAGATCTTGCAGACAACAATTTACAAAATGCTTATATCATTTTTCATAACTTCTTTTCACCAAAGAGGAAACAAACACAGAGAAGTTCAGTGAGTCATCTCAGATTTAGCTGTTTTGTCAGTAGCAATATAGGGAATGGGAATCAAGGAAAAAAAAAACACAATAAAACACTTCATTCCTCTTTTTCTACCCATGCTGAGAAAGCCTACAAATGTGGAAGCTCATTTAAATGAATATGCCTTTAGTTTTGGTGTGCTTCATCATAAAAAGCAACTTTTTAGGAAAAGCTTTGCTTCCTCAATGTGGGCTTCCTGTTTCAGTCAAGATGACATGCTGTTTTCTTTGGAAAAGGTCATACAACTGGACAGAGAAAATACATGATACATTTCTGTTTATAATATACTTAACAACACATTAGCTTTTGTAAATTTGGTATTAAGGCCATGTAACACATATGCATACAGTTATAAGATGATATTTTATTCAAACTATATTGTGCCAACAGAGTAAGAGATGATAGTCACAAAACATACACCTGAAAAAGGTCAATAACTAGAACGTTTTTTAAAAAACTCCAAAAATCTATTTTAAAAGTAGACAATCTAATAGAAGAATGAGTAAAGACCAAGTTCTTCACAAAATAGGATATTCAAATAGCCAATACACATACAAAAAGGAGTTGAACTTTATTAGTCACCATAGAAATGTAAATTGAAACCACATTGTGATACCACTGTACAGCCATCAGAATGGCTAAAATAAAAAAGACTGACAATACCAAATATTGGTGAGGATGTGGAACAAATAACTCCTGATGACAGGAGTATAAATTAGCACAAACATTTTGGAAAACTGGTGGTATCCACTAGAATTCACCAGCCTGAAGTTTTTTCCTTGGAGAGGCTTTTAATTGTGGATTCAATTTCCATAACAGATATTAAGACTGTTCAATTTTCTGTTTTTTCTTGTGCTCAATGCTGGTGACTTGTATCTTCAAAAGATTGTCCAGGCTATCTAAATTTTATGGCATAAATTTTGATGTGATATCAAAATACTTTTTATTCTAACATGATTTCTTCTTTAACCCATGGATTATTTAGAAATGTGTTATTTAATTTATCAAGATTTGGTGATATTTTAGATATCTTTTGCTATTAATTTCTAACATTTCTATTCTGATCAGCAAACAGACTGTATATGATCTCTATCCTTTGCAATTTATTGAAATTATTTTATGACCAACATATTGTGTATATTGGTGATTTTCCATATGCACTTGGAAAGTATGTATATTTCACAGTTATTTCCTGTAAGTTCATATAATGTGATTGTAAGAATCAGCTTGCTTCCCTTCTCTCAGGGACCATGTTACTGTACTGCCTATTGTCCAATGTTTAACAACAGCTATTTCATGTATTCTGTTGAATTTTTAAGCTATTTACAGTAGAAGAAAAAGTCTGATAACAATTACTCCACTAAATCCAAAAATGAAAGTTGATATCATCCTTTACAAAGGAAAACTTCCAGTGTTAAAAATTAATATAAATAAAGTCTTCTGAAGAATTCAAAGAAGTTTCACCAATAGTTCTTTGGGTTTTAAATATTTAATTTTTGTTCTGTTGCTTGCTTTTATTGCTAAGTTACTTATCTAGATTTTTATAATAATTTAGAACCCACTGTTGCCTTTTTTTGGTCTGAAATGCCTCCATTTATTTCATGTCCATTCATCTTAAAATCCTCTGGGTAGAATTAAACCATTTTTTAATACTATAGCATTGATTTACAGAGATAGGTTCATGATCATCTCTCAGTAAATTACCACTGGGGATGTTGGCTTTTATTCATCTTAGAACAACAAAGGGTTGTAAAAGGCCTTTCAGAATATCTGTAAGAATCCTCTAATTTTACTCACAAGAAAATTACATTCTATGAAAGTTCAATAACTTATCTCAAATTATCCAGCTAGTGGTTGGCAAGATTAAAACCAGGACCCAAATTTTTCCACCAAAATTCAGTTTTTGGTTTTTGTTAGTTTGTGTATTTGTTTTACTTCATCACACTCTCTTCCTCTTCAGAAACAGAATTTGTGTAATAGCTTTTCCCATTCACTTTATTTGCCTTCTCTGATTTTTTTAGAATAATAGAAACAAAATTACTGTCTCCAATTTTATTATTTCTAAGTTTTCACATCTTTTTACTGTTTCTAAAGTCCTTTTTGTGTTTAACATGTCAAAGAAGGAAGGCTTATTGCCAGCTTAATCATTATATTCCTCCTGCTGGAAACAAGAATAACAACAGGCAATAAATAAGGCATTCAGCCAATTCATTAGACAGGGCTGCGCTGGACACTCAAGTGGCAAAGTGGTAGGCACGAAAGAAATTGGGGAGAGAAGACTGCACATAAAAAAACATTGAGGGCATAATCTGGAACCCTTCACCTGTGAGAAGAGAAATCTTTGCTGCTCTATTGCAGCAAGTATAAGGGATATGACTGAGACAAAAATACTTGTAGAATATTATCAAATATGAGCAACCTGTGTAGCACTTGTTGAAGATAGAACTT
This sequence comes from Homo sapiens, assembly GCF_000001405.40. Classification (NCBI taxonomy): domain Eukaryota; kingdom Metazoa; phylum Chordata; class Mammalia; order Primates; family Hominidae; genus Homo; species Homo sapiens. The sequence goes on along the minus strand of NC_000004.12, from coordinate 78,022,429 downwards.
AACCTAGAGATATCATCAATATTTTATCATACTACAGAACAACATATCAAGAAAATGAGTGAGTCTGTAGTGCTGCCACACCACAGCAGGTAATATCTAACGACATCCTCATTGAAAGCTCCCTCTGAATCAGGACCTTGCTCTAGTCCTGATATTTCCTACTATGCAGTCTACAAGCACTCTCAGTTTCTTTTACTTGGTGCTATCCCCAAGTCCGTCTGCATCTGTGTGGATGTTTTTCTTAACTCTGTGCAGATTGCCTAAGCTGTTTTCAAGTCACATATAAGAAGAAAACAAATTCTGTAAGATTTCAAAATGCACCAATTTCTGTTATGTTACTGATTTGTTTTTAAAAAATCAACAACTAGCAGAGAATGATTAAAGGCTTCTCAACATACAAATTCTTCATCATGTTGGACGCAGCCTTGTTTTTAATAAGAATTAAAAATCATGCTCACTAGTTTACAAGGTCACGTGGAAAAGAATAAATATTTCATTAAGCCTCCTAGAATTACTTATTGACTGTATTTTCCCTCTTCTCCTTATAACGTGGCATTGCTAATAAAATAAATCAAATGTTACATATCCATTTATATGGCCCAGGTTTACTTAGCTCACCCTGAAAGCAAAGATATAACCCCTGTTTTATGTGGTTACCATCTAACTAGACTTTACTGCGTCCAGGTGGAGGGGGATGAAGGACAATTTCATGCAGATAACATTATTGAACACTTACTGCAAGCTAGGCAGTGTGCTAAACCTTCTACTTTATCTTATTTAATCCTCACAACAAGTCTGTGAGTTAGATATTATTATTATCCCTATTTCTTCAACGAGAAAATCAAGGCTTGGAGCGGGTAAATAACTCACCTAATATAACAGAGCTGGTAAGTGGTAGAGGCCTAAATTCAACTCTAGAAATCTGTGCTTTCAACCAGTCTGTTCCTTACTCCCATGCTTTTAGCAAAACTTTACTGCACTCTGCTTTGTGTAATGACAGACTTGTGTTAGGTCATCTAGGTGGTGGGAAGTCTCTAGACAGCTTTGAAGAACCAAGATAGGTTTTTAGCCAGATAAGCTAGGAAACAGATAAAACAGCCCAGTGGATAACAAACATGGTTATCCTCACGTTCAATTTCCTGCATGTTGGTTGCTATTCACACATTGCTCTTATACAAAAGAAGATGTATTTGAATGCAAACAGTAGAGAGTGATGGTATTTAAAAGAAATCATTGCATGTTCTCTAGCTAACAAAAAAGGTAAACTATTTCAAAATGTCAATATTTTATCTATTTTAATTACAAATTACTTAGAATGAGAATTACAATATATCACAGTGTCAAAACACTTGAAAAAACTAACCTAAGATTTACTAAGTATCATATAAACAATTACAGTATTTTGATGTCAGAAGTCATCAGTTCTAATCCCTGTTTTACCAATAAATACATGAATGACCCTGCGTGAGTCACTTATTTGTAATACGAGGAGGGTAATAGCAACAGCACAAAACTCGTGAGTTGGTGTGTTGACTAAACAAGGTAATCAATGTGAAGTGCCTCATACCTGGAGAGAGCTGGCTATTGTGACATAGCCAGGTCACTGTTCCATGTTAACAGTTCGTCTGCAGACCAAGATGTGGAAAACTTAGATGGGACTTGTGCATGGAACTAATCTCACTAGATTTCCAAGTACTAGGGTTAAAGGTATGGTGAGTGCCTGGTTTGTTATCTTCAACAGTGAAGATGCTTTTGGCTCCTCTACCATGATTTGTCTGTTTTACTCTCCTTAGTTAGAAGGCCATGGAACTGAAAAATGGTAAATGGTAAATATTCAGTAGATACAATCTTACTGCAAAGAAAGGAAGAAGAGGTTTGCTTCCAAGTAAGTGACATTGGCCAGAAAAACCACTCCATTCATTAATTCTGAAGGAAAATCAGTATAAAATTTGGAAAAACAGTGATTGTGATGGAGTTTGGGTTTTGAAGTCAAAGAAGGTGTTATTGGAGTCTTAGTTCTACCACTTATACATTTGTAACTTTTGGGTAAGTTACACAAACTGTGTTTCCTCAAGTATTAAATGTGACTAATAACACAACCATTTCTAGGTATTTGTGGGGGATTGGTTCCAGGACCTCCAGCAGATACAAAATTCAAGGATGCTCCAGTCTCTTATCTAAAATGGCATAGTATTTGCATATAACCAATGCACATCCTCCTGCATACTTTAAATAATCTCTAGATTACTTATAATACCTAATATAATGTAAATCCTACGTAAATAGTTGTATTGTTTTTTATTTGTATTATTTTTTGTTGTGTTTTTTTTTAATGTTTCATCCATGGTTGGTTGAATTTGTGGATGAGAAACTCACAAACACAACTGTACTTACTTTGCAGGCACAATTGTAAGGAATAGAGAAAATGTTTTTAATGGGCCTAAAACAATGCCTCAGATCTAACAGGAACTAAATAATTGTGGGCAGAAGCTCTGTATAATATATACCTCTTCATATTATGGTGATGTTTTTGCCAATGACATTGGTGACAACAATAGTTGTAATAATCTGATTTGTAGTCTCTAATGCAGAAAGTCCCACACCATGGAATAATCTTGATGAGCATGTATGAAGATGGTACAAATTAGGCCTGTATGAAAACTTCAAGGACAAAGATAATGTATTTTACCCAGCATTATGATAAGCTAACCTCTTTATTCTTAGCTATACAGCTGGAAAATATAACCATTACTGACAGAATTGGCTACTAAAAGGAAGTATTTAAGCTAAATCCACCCCATCTCTGTTATTCTGTTATTCAAATCCTAATTGTAGTGGCTCTGCCTTATTTGGTTTGTCTTGGAACACATGTGTCTTGTCTTTGCCATCTGACTTCTTGTTGCATCATTGTTCTTTAGCAAAGTAAGATGGTCTGCCTCCAAGTTTAATATAACTGAATGGACTTGTAGCTATCAAGTAAGCACATTGAAAATATACCCAAGGCCTTTTGGGACTGTCCGACACTGATCGTTAAATAACCATCCTGCAGCTCACAGTGCCCAGAAATAGCACTTTGTATCCTATTACCTGAAGGGATTAAAAGAAAACTATATATATATATATCAGAATACAATTCTGAGTTCCACAGACAGAAGTTTCCTGCAGTTTTAAATGACCTAAAACTCTCTCCAACAAAATTGAAGGAGATCAAAGTTTTGGCCCAGCGACTTTGAATATCAGATGAAATGCCCCAGTTGGGTTAGCTTGATTATGCTTCTTTAGCCTGATTGTTTTTCTCTATCGCCTTGTGCCATTAATGGAGAAATTAATCTTTGAAGTTCTAATAGCTCAGCATTTTCAGTTGTTCATTTAGCTAAGGAATGTTTTTTAAGAACAGCTCAGTGTTCTCAGTTACGATAAGCCTACCGGCAGACACTGATACCCAACCTGGACTGCCACCCCTAAAAAAGCATCTTTTCCACAGAAATTTTTCTGAGGATTTAAAAAATTCATTCTACTACTTATTTCCTTTCTTAAAGTCCAAACTCATAATCAGCTTAAAGCATAAAAATTGTTTAATAAGCATTTTTAACAATTTTTTTCTAAAGAACATTTTCAGAAGGGAGAAAGAAACAAGAGGAATGTGAGATTAAAGCAAAAACTACAGTCTTTTTAGGACTAGTTTTATAAGCACTGTGATCTAAAATCATCCATACTAACCCTCGGCTTCTAATTTTTTACCTGGCTAGACTTTAGGAATGTATCAAGCTTTTCTAGTTTAAAAGCAAAACAAAAAACTCTCTTGTTCCCAGTATTTCCTTCCCTGTTCCAGTGTGACCCTTTGTTTTTACTGAGTAATTTCTTCTGCTTCTTGTCATTCTGCCTTGATGAGAAGGCAAGAAGGCCCTGTGAACTCACTGGCACTCTGTTGTGTTAGCACTCTTTACATAACAGCCTGTCAATGTGTAAGAAGACATTACTTTTGCTAGTCTGGTGACTCCAACAAAATTTTGTTGACTTTGGCAAGACTGAGGTGTTTTTTGTTTTTCTCCCCATTAAACTGTATGCTCAGTCTTCATTTTAAGGAGTTGGGCAGTTGCTAAATGAAGACAAGGAGATCACAGCTTCCCCTAAGCTATTTTTTATTCATTCAACATTTGCATTGCCTCTAAGCAATATTACGCTAAAAGATCATTCAGAAAAAGGCATAGTCTGATTTTTAAAGGTCTTTATTTTTGTGAACGATCATGGATTGAAGGTGTTTTATTACTTCTTCAGAATATATTTAGAAAAGGTCTCTGTTAACTAGATATGTTATGAATTTGCCCTTAAAAATTTCCATTTTTGCAAACTTGTCCAATTTCCCATAGACTTGAAATAATGTAAAGGTAATCTTTTAGTAATAATTCATGTGAGTACACTGTGTAGTGCCAAGGAATTCTGTCTCCAGAAATGTGTGTCTTAATCCCAGGTCTGGGAATAAATGAGTTGCTAAAAATTTTCTTTCCCCATGGTGTAGTTTTAGAGTTGTATTAATAATGTTTATAATGCCACTTCTCATTCAGTTCCACATCAAATATCACCAATCCACACAGGCCTTCCCTAGTCATCCTCTCTGGAGTATCCCCATATCATTACTCTCTATTACACCCCAGCTCCTTCCTGCATAGCACTCATCACAGTACATAATATTATAATGTGTTTATTGAATGTCTTAACCTACTAGAGTGTAAATTCCTGAGAGCAAGTTACTTATTACCTTCATCATTTCTGTATCCCAAGGGCCTTGCATTGAGTTAAATAAATGAGAAAATGAACTAAAATTTCCTGCTACCTGTTCAATCCCTTTGGATGTCCCTCCTCTCTTCCAGATCTCTCTTCATCCAAAATACGGCCAATGGGCTTCCTTTACTTCTCCCAAGAGTTTACCATTTTGTTGTTGTTTGGGCATGTTTTTGCCCCAATTACCCAGTTAATACATGCTCATTTTAGAGAATTTGGGAAGAAAATCTAAGTCATGTTAAAAGATAATTAAAATCACTAGGGGTGACCAATCATCCAGTTGTCTAAGACTTGAAAGAATTTCCAGGTCATGGAACTTTGAGTGCTAAAACCAGAAAAGTCCAGGAAAAAGCCAGGATGAGTTGGTTACTCTGCACTTCACCTTTCACTCAATAGTTACTATTAATAATTTACTTTCTTCTCATCTGTTATTTTATGCATATTATATATAATTGGATTTTATTGTATAGACAATTTTGAGTTCGGCTCTTTCCAATATTTTTATACCATAAACATTTCCCTATATGATTAAAATTCTTTCCTTTCTTTGGTAAAAATTCTTTCTTAATACCATTTTTAAAACTGCTTAAAAGTCCACATTTTACTTAAGAGATAGTTGTAATATAAGACTTCAGACAAAAGACTTGGGAGCCAGGTTGCCTGGATTCAAGTTCCAACTCTGCCTTGGGCATTTTCTTTATTCTCTTGGTCTCTTAGTTTCCTCATCTCTAATATAGGGGTCAAGAAAGTGCATGCCTTAGGGTGTTATGAGGATTAAAGGCGTTCATATTTGAGTGTTATTAGCAGTAATTATCTCTCTATTTTCCTGGAAAGATTGTCACATAGTATGATAGAATATTCATAACATATCTAGGTCTTTGTCAGACCCTGCTTCCTCCTTCTTTTAACTGTCAGAGGCATTTCTCCCAAATGAACCTTTGTATTTCTAACTCCACCTCGGCATCTGCTTCCCACAGGACACAACCAATATGGAAACTCTGGTAATTTGAAAGGGGGAAAGAGACATTTCATTATTCTAGTTGCATTTCTTTGATTACAGATGTGGTCAAATGTTTATTTCATACCTTTATTAGGCTCTGAAATTCCCTCCTTTGTGATGTTCTTTGCCCATTTTTCCTGCTGGGATATTAGTGTTTTATTAGTCTGTTTGTATAAGCTCTTTATATAGAAAAGATATTAGCCATTTATGTCATAATTATTTTTTGATGTATAGAAGTTTTACATTATTATGTAGTCAAATGCTGATAAATTACTTTATAATTTTTATTTTTGCTCTCATGTGAAGAAGTATGTTCTCTTTCAGAGATCAGAGTCACTTTAGTCTCTATTTGTTAGGAGTTTACATTTAGTCCATCTAGAATAAATTTCCACACACGGTGTGAGATGAAAACTAAAGTGATTATTTTCTGTATAACCACATCTCTCCAGACCATTTAGCGGACAATCTTGCCCTTTTTAATTAATTTGTCATGTCTTCCAATAGCATTTATTAAAATTTTATATAAGCTGGGTTCTTTTCCTGTTACATTATTATTTGTCTTTTTGCTGTACTCTGTACTTGCTAAATTACAGTTTTATTATCAGTTTTAATATCTGCTGAGTCTCAATCAATAAACTTCTTAGGCTTCTGTGTTTTTTCCAAAGTGCAGTTATAGCACTTTAGATGGTTTCTATACAGAGGTCGCTTTCTATTTCTACTCTCCTATGATTGGGAAATTTGTTATTCCTGAGGCTTGTGGTGATGACGATAATAATACAGAGAACTCTCATAATCCTGCTCCATAAAGGAGGAGAAACTCATTTGTGAAACAGAGCTGTTTAAAACACAATATAAGTGTGATTAGAATGACCTCTTTAGCTGGTGTAGGTAACAGGTAGCCTGTTAGTTTCGTCCTGTTTTCAAGTTGAGAGACTGAGGTCCAGAATGTGACAGTGACATCCCAAGGCATAGCAGTGTGCACTTTGCGGTGACATGAAGCAAAGTTTCATGGTGAAAGTGTGACCAACAACAGCATCATCTATTCTTGGATGAAGGAGGTGGTCAATAAATATAAACAGAGAAGTTAGTAGAAATAGAAAGAGAAGATTATGGACAAAACTTGTTTAGTCACTTCTATTGCCTCCACCACCGTTTTTTCAACATTCCTGGCCAAACTGAGTTTAGGAGAGAGAAAAGGGGAATGACAGGGAGAGCAGTAGACAGAAGATGCCAGCCAGCAGCTGCTGGAGGAGTCCTACTCAGTCATCCCCAGGATGAACACTACCAAGGAAAAACAAAAGACAAACCCCAAAAAGCAGGTATAAACACTTAAAGGACTACAGAATTCCTTTGTAATAACAATCATGTGCTAGGCTAACTGCGATCGTGAGAATGTGTTTTAGTTGCCGCAGTTGCATTTAGGGTATAATTAACTTTATGTTATCTCTGGTATCTGTTGCAACTGGATTTCTCTTTACCTCTATGGAAGGAGAGAAAAGACAAATGTTCTTTTTTTTCTCCTTATTTTTTTCGCCAAATACTTCGGTGCCTTTTAAGTGGGTTTTTTAAAAGCATGCACCTTTTCATTCACTCAGATGGATAAATAGGGAAAGGGTAAACAACTCTTTCATGGTCGATAGAGCAAACAAGAACAGGATCACACAAGCAGCTGAGGCTTGTAAAGTGAAATAGACTCTATCTGAAGAGTCTGTGTTATTAGTCAGCATTCTCCAGAGAAACAAAAACAATGGGATATAATAGATACATAAGATGAGATTTAATATGGGAATTGGCTCACATGATTCTGGAGGCCATTCTCAAATTGCTATAAAGACATACCTGAGATTGGGTTATTTATAAGAAAAGAGGTTTAATTGGCTCACAGTTCTGCAGGCTGTACAGGAAGCACGGTGCTAACATCTGCTTGGCTTTTGAGGAGGCCTCAGGAAACTTAAAATCATAGCGGAAGGTGAAGGGGGAGCAGGCACATCACATGGCAAAAGCAGGAGCAAGAGTTGGGGAGAGGTGCCACATGCTTCTAAATAATCAGATCTTGTGAGAACTCACTCACTATTGCAAGGATAGCACCAAAAAGATGGTGCTAAACCATTTATGAGAAATCAGCCCCCCATGATCCAATCACGTCCCACCAGACTCCACCTCCAGCATTGGGGATTACATTTCCACATGAGATTTGGGCAGAGACACACATTCAAACTGTGTCAGAGGCTGAGAGATCCCACCATCTGCTGTCTGCAAGCTGCAGAACCAGGAAAGCCAGTGTAATTCAGTCCAAGTCAACCAGGAGCTCCACAGTTTTAGGACAACATGAGACAGACGTCTCAGTTTAAGAAGACAGATCCAATTTGCCCCTCCCCACCTTTTTGTCCTATTCAGGCCCTCAATGGATTGGATGATGTTGACCCACACTGGAAAGGGTGATCTTTTTTACTCCATTCATTTATTCCAATGCTAATCTCTTAGAAACATCCTCACAGACACACCCAGACATAATGTTTTATTAGCTATAGAGGCATCCCTTCGCCCAGTGAAGTTGACATATAAAATTAACTGTCATACTGTGGGAAGAAAATTTTTCTTTTAACCAGTAACTTTTTACCCTACCTGAAGCAGCCACAATTTTAAAAGACGAAGGTGAAGACAGTTCTTATGAGGAAATAGATGCTCGTGTGCTCTGCTTAGGGGCCTGCCAGCATCCCCTAAGGCTGTTAAGAGTTGGCAAACTGCCGTGGGGCTACATTTTTATAACATTGGAAAACTAGATCAAGTCCTAGGAATAATGAGGCATCACCTCCCTCTGACTAGATAATGCAGTGCAGGGCAAAGAGTAAATCACCCAAAACCAACAATTACCACAAATATTACCTAGAAAAGGGAAGGCATAGTGGTCCTAAGTAAAAATGTTGGTTTTGAAGATGTAAATTATGGCATCATAGAAGACGCATATCTGCATGATAATTCAAAGTATGGATCTAATCGTCAAACAAATCCAGATCTGAATCTGTTACCTTAAGACTCTGGAACAATGGGTTTCTTCATCTGTGAAGTAGAAATGTTAGCATTTCTTACCTCACAGACTTGTTTTAGAAATTAAGTGAGATAGGTAAGTGAAGTACTTGGCCTAGAAGCTGGCGTATCAAAAGCACTCAGTAAATGGTAGCTATTGTCATTATTATTATTTATCCTCATCATCCTAGAATAGAAGGAGCTAGGTAGGTTTTCCAGTCTATCCTTCCACTTCTAATTTGTATCACATTTAAATACTTACATAAAACAAAATGAGTCCCTTTCCTGTTTTTAAGAATACTTTAGGAAAACAAAGTATACAATTCCCTACAGGAATTCTTTCTCATTCATAAATGTTTTCTAGTTTTTCCAAAAACCTCTCATGTTGCAACTTAAGCCTATTTCTTCTTGACTAACTTTACTGAAGATGTAAAAGAGTTTCACACCCTCTTTAGTAACCTTTTAGAGACTGTACTTGAAGAAAATCCTGACAGTACATCTCTCTTTCTCTTTCTTCTATGCCCCACCCCAAACACAGAGCTAATTTCTTCATTGCTTTCACTTCTCTGAGAGGAAATAATAATCTTACTAATGTTGGATTATAGTTCACAGGATGAAAAAAATCACTAGTCCTGAACCCTAGGCAGTGATTCTCTTGTAATACATCAAAGAATGGCTGTGTACCAAGAAGAATGATGGCAAAGCTGAGTAATTAAGTCAAGTAAATATACCTGTTCCAAATGGGAGAAATTAGCCAAATGAAGGCACCACAGGCCCCATCCAAGTATAAAATCCAATGGGGCAGTCAAATCTTAAAGCTCCAAAATGATCTCCTTGACTCCATGTCCCACATCCAGGTCATGCTGATGCAAGAGGTGGGCTCCTATGGCCATGGGCAGCTCTGCCTCTGTGGCTTAGCAGGGTATAGCCCCACTCCTGGCTGCTTTCAAGGCCTGGCATTGAGTGTCTGCAGCTTTTCCAGGGGCATGGTGCAAGATGTCAGTGGATCTATCATTCTGGAGGCTGGAGGATGGTGGCCCTCTTCTCACAGCTTCACTAAGCAGTGCCCCTTTGGGGACTCTTTGTGGGGGCTTCAACCCCACATTTCCTTTCCACACTGCCCTAGTAGAGGTTCTCCATGAGGGCTCCAGCCCTGCAGCAGACTTCTGTCTGGACATCAAGGTGCTTCTATACATTCTCTGAAATCTAGGCAGAGTCCCCTAAACCTCAATTCTTGACTTCTGTGCACCTGCAGGCCCAACACCATGTGGAAGACACCAAGGCTTGGGGCTTGCATCCTCTGAAGCAATGGCCTCAGCTCTACATTGGCCCCTTTTAGCCATGGCTGGGATGCAGGGCACCAAGTCCTGAGACTGCACAAAGCATCAAGGCCCTAGGCCTGGTCCACAAAACGATTTTTTTTCCCTAGGCCTCTGGACCTGTGATGGGATGGGCTGCCATGAAGACCTTTGACATGCCCTGGAGACATTTCCCCATTGTTTTACGGTTTGACATTTGGCTACTTATTACTTATGCAAATTTCTGCAGGCAGATTGAATTTCTCCTCAGAAAATGGGTTTTTCTTTCCTATTGCATCATCAGTCTGCAAATTTTCTGAACTTTTATGCTCTGCTTCCCTTTTAAACATGTTACAATTCCAAACCATATATTTGTGAATACATAAAACTGAATGCTTTTAATAGCACTCAAGTCTGCCAGGTGTGGTGGCTCACGCCTGTAATCCCAGCACTTTGGGAGGCCGAGGCAGGCAGATTACCTGAGATCAGGAGTTCGAGACCAGCCTGACCAACATGGAGAAACCCCGTCTCTACTAAAAATACAAAATTAGCTAGATGTGATGGCAGACACCTGTAATCCCAGCTACTCAGGAGGCTGAGGCAGGAGAATCACTTGAACCCAGGAGGTAGAGGTTGCACTGAGCCAAGATTGCACCATTGCACTCCAGCCTGGGCAAAAAGAGTGAATCTCTGTCTCAAAAAAAAAGAAAAAGAAAAAAAAGAAATAGCACTCAAGCCACTTCTTGAACACTTTGCTGCTTAGAAATGTCTTCCGCCAGATGCCCTAAATCATCTCTCTCAAGTTAAAACTTCCACAAATCCCTACAGCAGGGGCAAAATGCCACCATTCTCTTTGCTAAAACATAGCAAGAGCCACCTTTATTCCAGTTGCCAACAAGTTCTTCATCTCCATCTGAGATCACCTCAACCCAGACTTCTTTGTCCATATCACTATCAGCATTTTGGTCAAAGCCATTGAACAAGTCTCTAGGAAGTTCCAAACTTTCCCTTATTTTCTTGTCCTCTTCTGAGCTCTCCAAACTGTTCCAGCCTCTGCCTGTTACCCAGTTGCAAAGTCGCTTTTACATTTTCGGGTATCTTTACAGCAGCACCCCACTCCCGGTACCAATTTACTGTATTAGTCTGTTTTCACACTGCTAATAAAGACATATCCGAGACTGGATAATTTATGAAGCAAAGAAGTTTAATGCATTCACAGTTCCACATGGCTGGGGAAGCCTCACGATCATGTCAGAAGGCAAAGGAGAAGCAAAGCCATGTCTTACATGGTGGCAGGAGAGAGAGCTTGTCCAGGGGAACTCCCATTTATAAAACCATCAGATGTTGTGAGACTTTTTCACTACCATGAAAACAGTATAGGAGAAACCACCCTCATGATTCAATTATCTCTACCTGGCCCCACCCTTGACACATGAGGATTATTACAATTCAAGGTGAGATTTGGGTGGCAACACACAGCCAAATCATATCAGAGTGATAGGGACTGGGCAGATCAAAGTCCAGCAGGTTCTGATAAAGAGCTTGATTTGTTCGAGGTGTCAATGTCTCAAGTCAGCTGGGCTACTATAACATAATGCCTTAGGGTGAATAATTTTTAAATAATAGAAATTTATTATTATAACTGGAGGCTGGGAAGTCTGGGATCTAGGTGCCAAGAGATTCAGGATCTGGTAAAGGCTTATTCTGTGCTTCCAAGATGGCACCTCCTTCCTGCATCCTCACTTGAAGGAAGGGCAAAAGGACCAAACAGGCTCCTTCAAGCCCTTTTATATGGGCACTAATCCCATTCATGGTTGTGGACCCCTCATGACCTAATCACCTCCAAAAGGGCCCATCTCTTAATATTATTTCATTGGGGATTCATTGCACATGAATTTTGGAAGGACAGAAACATTTAAACGATAGCATTCAGTATTGTGGAAGAATCACACCTCTCCCTCCTGATTCAATTAAAAATCACAGAAACAGAATATAAAAGGAATAATTTTAATACAAAAAAGCAAAAAGGAAGGGCTCCATTGGTGAATAATAGATTACGCCAAATTTCTGGAAGACTGAGAACTGTTAGAGGAGTGACTATTGGTGAAGTAAGAAGGAAGAAGCCTCATTCTAGACAGAGAGAAAAAGAGCATGTGTGTGCGTGCATGTAAGTATTAAGGACAGGGGCAGGACATTTCCATCTAAGGACAAAAACAATCTGAAGAATGCAGGAAAGGCACAGGACACAGATATACCAGGTACAACAAATGGTGACATTAAGCAGTAAAAACAAAGGGATTATTTAGTATATATTCAGAAAAGTTCACCTCTCTAGGCCTCTTGAAAAGTTCTTAGCATTTACCTTAAAGAAAATTGTTCTTTTCTAAAGAAATGGAATAAGATCAATCTAAGAGATCCAACATCAATAATAGGAGTTTCAGGGAGGAAACACAGAAAAAGAGGAGATAACGACATTTTCAAATAAATACATTTTCTAGAGATGAAGGACAATGTCTTCATATTAAGATATTCCCAACTCCTCAGTACAATGGAATGAAAAAACACCTATATCCATACAGATAACTGTGAACATGAAGAATAAAAAGATGCTGAAATCATCCCTAAAAAACAAACTACATAGCAATGTTATCAAATATATACAACAATTTAGAAATTTTATCTTTCATATACCATGTCTTAGGAAACTTCTTAAAGATGTGTTTCAGTAAAATTTGAGAACAATTCAAGAAGGTGAAGGGAGACCCCAGGATGACAGCTGTGTATCAGGCCTTGAGAGCAGTTCAAATTGGAGGAGATGGATGGATGGTTTTCATTGATGAGAAAAGGAAATAATAGCATATCTGAAATTCTGTACAGTATGAAAATAATAATCAGACTATACTAAAGGCAAATAGCAAAACAAAAAGGGAACTTTTAAAAATTCATGAGGAAAAAAGCTACACAAGGAAAAGCATAATCATATTTTAATACTGTGTCAATTTATAAGTTTTATAAAGTCACAATATTAGTATTTTACTGCTTTTCAACTTTTTTTTTGAGATGGAGTTTTGCTCTTGTCACCCAGGCTGGAGTGCAATGGTGCAATCTCAGCTCACTGCAACCTCCGCCTCCCGGATTCAAGTTATTCTCATGCCTCAGCCTCCTGAATAGCTGGGCTTACAGACTTGCACCACCACACTCTGCTAATTTTTGTACTTTTAATAGAGATGGGGTTTCACCATGTTGGCCAGGCTGGTCTCGAATTCCTGACCTCAGGTGATCCACCCACCTTGGCCTCCCAAAGTGCTGGGATTACAGGTGTGAGCCACCACACCCGGCCCTGCTTTTCAACTTTTAAACTCAACCTATAGGCATTGTATGTAATACTACATTTTGGTTGCAGAATAAATTATAAAATGTTATCAACTTTGGAGATGCAAAGGAGAAAGCATAAAGGTTAGAAGTTAGGAAGAAGAAGGAGTGGAGAAGAACTGAAAGGAAGGATAGAGGCATTAACATCCTCATCTTACAAGCTGAGCAATCAAGGATAATGCCCATTGTCTAAAAAATCCCAAACATACAACTGAGCTCCTTACACTCAATTGGACTAATCTATTACCTTATAGAAGAACTAATGTTAGTATAAGTAACATGAAAACATTCTCCTCCTCATAAGCCTACATCAGACCAAAATATTAAACTGACAATTAACAGCCCAATATCTACAATCAACCAACAAGCCATTATTACCCCCACTGTTAACCCAACACAGGCATGCCCACAAGGAAAGGTTAAAAAAAGGATAAAATGAGAAACAAAGCTGTGATAATATCTCTTAGAGTTACCAGGGAAGTAGTGGATGACATCACTGAATGGATATCTTACTTCTTATTTATTATAGAGGATGAAAATTTAGATAATGTCTAAAATTAATAAATCAACCAATGATAGAAGAAGCATATTTAATGACACAGAAGTAATACCAAAAATGTGTTATAAGGGATTGACTGTAGAGAATGAGGTGAAGGTAGAATCGATAGGGCAAAGACTATTAAGTGAATAAAAATTATATGTAGGGAGATAGAAATGGATTGAAAGACAAACAGCAAAGTGTTTGATAGAATGAACTTGTTTTTTAAGTCATAGTCAACATAAAGCCTATAAGGTCAAGTTAATTGGAAAGAGAGGAAGTCATAGAAACAAGGGCAATATCTTGAGGGCAGTTGTTGCTATAGGATCTCTAGCTGTCCTCCTCTAAGGTATTTGATCTGCTCCTCCCACAGTGCAAGATTTTCTGGTTGTAAAGAACGATCCTCCCTCTCCCTCTCCCTCTCCCTCTCCCTCTCCCTCTCCCTCTCCCTCTCCCTCTCCCTCTCCCTCTCCCTCTCCCTCTCCGTCTCCCTCTCCCTCTCCCTCTCCTTCTCCCTCTCCGTCGTCTCCGTCTCTCACTTTCCACGGTCTCCCTCTGTTGCCGAGGCTGGACTGTACTGCCACGATCTCTGCTCACTGCAACCTCCCTGCCTGATTCTCCTGCCTCAGCCCGCCGAGTGCCTGGGATTGCAGGTGCTCGCCGCCACGCCTGACTGGTTTTTGTATTTTTTGGTGGAGAGGGGGTTTCGCCGCGCTGGCCAGGCTGGTCTCCAGCTCCTGACCTCGAGTGATCTGCCCGCCTCGGCATCCCGAGGTGCCGGGATTGCAGACGGAGTCTCGCTCACTCAGTGCTCAATGTTGCCCAGGCTGGAGTGCAGTGGCCTGATCTCGCTCGCTACAACCCCCACCTCCCAGCCACCTGCCTTGGCCTCCCAAAGTGCTGAGATTGCAGCCTCTGCCCGGCTGCCACCGCGTCTAGGAAGTGAGGAGCGTCTCTGCCTGGCCACCCATCGTCTGGGATGTGAGGAGCCCGTCTGCCCGGCCACCCAGTCTGGGAAGTGAGGAGCGCCTCTTCCCGGCCGTCATCCCGTCTGAGAAGTGAGGAGCGTCTCTGCCTGGCCGCCCATCGTCTGGGATGTGGGGAGCGCCTCTGCCCGGCCGCCCTGTCTGAGAAGTGAGCAGCCCCTCCGCCCCGCAGCCGCCCTGTCTGGGAAGTGAGGAGCGTCTCCACCTGGCCGCCCCCTCTGGGAGGTGGGGGGCACCCCCGCCCGGCAGCCGGCCCGTCTGGGAGGTGGGGGGCGCCTCTGCCCAGCCGCCACGTCTGGGAAGTGAGGAGCCCCTCTGACCGGCTGCCACCCTGTCTGGGAGGTGTACCCAACAGCTCATTGAGAACAGGCCATGATGACGATGGCGGTTTTGTCAAATAGAAAAGGGGGAAATGTGGGGAAAAGAAAGAGAGATCAGATTGTTACTGTGTCTGTGTAGCAAGAAGTAGACATAGGAGACTCCATTTTGTTCTGCACTAAGAAAAATTCTTCTGCCTTGGGATGCTGTTAATCTATAACCTTACCCCCAACCCCATGCTCTCTGAAACATGTGCTGTGTCAACTCAGGGTTAAATGGATTAGGGGCGGTGCAAGATGTGCTTTGTTAAACAGATGCTTGAAGGCAGCATGCTCGTTACGAGTCACCACCACTCCCTAATCTCAAGTACCCAGGGACACAAACACTGCGGAAGGCCGCAGGGTCCTCTGCCTAGGAAAACCAGAGACCTTTGTTCACATGTTTATCTGCTGACCTTCTCTCCGCTATTGTCCTATGACCCTGCCAAATCCCCCTCTCTGAGAAACACCCAAGAATGATCAATAAATACTAAAAATAAAAAAATTAAAAAATTAAAAAAAGATCAACCAGATAATGTAATCAATTATCTAAATTATTTACATCAGTATAAGAACTTTTTTGAAAAAATAGACTTTTTTAATAGCAGTTTTAAGTTCACACCAAAATTGAGTTTTAAGTTCACACCAAAAGTTATAGAGATTTCCCATATACTCCTTGTTCCCACAAATGCATAGTCTTCCCATTATCAACACCCCACTCCAGAGTGGTGTATTTGTTACAATTGATGAACCTACATTGTTACATCTTTATCATCCAAACTCCATAATTTACATTAGGGTTCACTCTGGGTGTTACACATTCTGTGAGTTTGGACAAATTTATGATGATATGTATACATCACTATAGTATCATACAGAGTGGTTTCACTGCCCTAAAAATTCTTTGTGTTCCACATATTCATCCCTTCTTTCCCCCAAGCCCTAGAAACCACTGATCTTTTTCCTGTCTCCATAGTTTTGCCTTTTCCAAAGTGTTGTATAGTTAAAATCACACAGTATATAGCCTTTCAGTACGCAGCCTACTGTTTCACTTAGAAATGTGCATTTTATGTTTTCTCCATGTGTTTTCATGGCACGATAGTTCATTACTTTTTAGTGTGGAATAATATTCCATTGTTTGGATGTACCATGTTTATTTGTCCATTCAGCTACTGGAGGACATCTTGATTGCTTCCAAGTTTTGGCAACAAATAAATCTACTATAAACACCTGTGTGCAGGTTGTTGTGTGGACATAAGTTTTCAGCTCCTTTGGGTAAATACCAAAGAGTGTGATTGCTAGATCATACAGTAAAATATGTTTAGTTTTGTAAGAAACCACCAACCTGTTTTACAAAGTGACTGTACCACTTTGCACTCTTACCAGCAATGAGAGAGAGTTCTTGTTGCTCCACATTCTTGCTAGTATTTGGTGTTGTCAGTGTTCTGGATTGTGGCCATTCTAATAGGTGTGTAGTAGCACACAACAACTTTTAGTATCCATGATGAAGTCAGGGCTACATCATGCAGCTGAATATTCAAAACATCAGAATAAATCTGATTGGGTCGGGAATGGAGAAAAGAATTGAGATGACTGCCCCTCAACTGAGGCCCTTTTTGGTCCTCCTCCAGGATTCAGGGCCAGGATGCTGTGGGGTGTTCCCAAAGACCTTAATCTTTCTAGTGAAATGAATAGGTCATTGGGCTTTGTGTCTCAAATTATAAATTATAGGCTATGAGTTTGTGGACTAGCAAGTTTGGAGTGTGTTTCCATGGCAATATAATGAATTCGTACAACAACAAGGAGCTGAATGTCAGACAGGCCTGGATGCAAACACTGGCTCCACCACTAGAACCACGAATAGCATTCGACCTTCCTAACTTTGGTTTCTTTGTAGAATGGGAATCATTATACCCACAAAATTAGATATTGCTTAGAAAAGTGTTTGATAAATTGCTACTGTGGCTGTTAATCACAAAGTACATCATAAAATTCTGAAAAAAAATGATTACAAATTAAAATACACATTTAAATAAAAAATTACCATGAGATACCACTTTATACCTGCTGGGATGGCTATAATCAAAAAGACCATATCAAGTTTGGGCAAGGATGTGGAGAAATTGAAACCCCTCATTTAATACTCATGAGAATATAAAATGGAGCAGCCACTTTGGAAAACAGGATGGCAGTTCCTCAAAAAGTTAAACATAGAGCTACCATATGACCTAGTAACTCCACTCCTGGTGTATACCAAAGAGAAATGAAAACACAGGCTCACACAAGAACTGATACATAAATATTCATAGCAACATTATTTATAATAGCCTGGGACTGGATATAACCTGAGTTCCATCAACTGATGAATGAACAAATAAAATAAATGTAGTAAACACACACAATGGAATATTATTAGGCAATAAAAAGGAACAAAGTACTGATGCGTGTTACAACATGGATGGATCTTAAAAGCTTTCTACTGAATCAAAGAAGCCAGACACAAAAGGTCATGTATCGTCTGATTTCGTTTCTGTGAAATGTTCATGATAGGCAAATCCATAGAGACAGAAAGTAGATTGGTGGTTGTCAGGTGCTGGGAAAAAAAGGAAATGGTGAGTGACTGCTAATGGATACATAGTTCTTTTTAGGGTGATATAAATGCTCTGGAATGAGGTAGTGGTGATGACTGAACAACTGTGACTCTATTAAAAACCACTGAATTGTGTACTTTAAAAGAGTGAATTGTATGACATGTGAATTACAACTCAATAAAGCTGTTATAACATACATTTAACTCTAAAAATAAAATAAGTTATATAATATTATGTATGTGAGGTATGATGAAAAACAGATATGATTAAGGAAGGAAACAAGGAGAAAGGAAGGACTGCAGAATTAATCATTATTACTTGTTACAACTCCAAAAGGCTTAGAAATTATTGTTTTAATTTGGATCATGGGGAGAAGCTAGGATTATATTGATAAGTGGCATGGAAAGATTTCCAACAAAATCAGAACTTACTTTTTTTAAAGTTATAATAATATTTTATTTAAATGGTGCAGAAGAAATTATGTGTACTTAAAAATGATTAAAAATTCATGTCATCAAATGCTAAAAGCCCAATAATTTACACAATGATAAAATCTAAAGAGATGAGAAAACATAAAATACTTTCATTTGATCCTCTCACCCAACAAAACTATTATAAACATGAGATTATAGTAATTACTGAAGTTGTGTTAAAGGCACAAGACAGCGTAATTCCTTTATACACATCCAGCCATTTTATACAAGAAACTGTTATACCTTAAATGGAAGAGTGAACAATTTGTTTAAAATATTGAGAGTGCATTATGCACCTATAATGAAACCACCTTCTCCAAAGATTCAAACAGATTAAACATTGCAAAATGGTATTTCTATATAATACTGACTTCTGAAAAATTTAATAATTCATTTAAGAATATACAAGTGAAATATAGTTTATTCTGATTTCAACAACAGATATACAAATCCACAATTTTTCCCAAGAAACCATTCACTTTATAGTTTCAAAAACACATTGTAGCTTTTCTGTTACTGGTCTGTCATGTTTTCAACTAGCTGCATGTTTAATCATTCACTTCAAATTTACATGTCCAGCTCGGCATGGTGGCGTGGACCTGTAGTCCCATCTACTTCAGAGGCTGAGGCAGGAGGGTCACTTGATCCCAGGAGTTCAAAGCCAGCCTGGGCAACATAGCAAAACCCTGTGTCTCCAGAAATCATCCAAGGAGTGAGATAAACACTACAATCCCCATATACTATATAAACATATACAATCCCCATATATGTTGTTGTAAACAACAACAACGGAGTGAAGAATGACCACGCATGCCCTAAAGCAATGTTGACGCAAATTCCTGAAGCAGTAAAGGCAGCAGCTGTAATGAGTACCTGGAACGGTTTCGTGGATTTGGAGAACTTACTTTTTTTTTCTTTTTTTTTTTGAGACAGTGTCTCGTTCTGTCACCCAGCTTGGAGTGCAGTGGCCCGATCTCGGCTCACTGCAAGCTCCGCCTCCCGGGTTCACGCCATTCTCCTGCCTCAGCCTCCGGAGTAGCTGGGACTACAGGGGCCCGCCACCACGCCCAGCTAATTTTTTGTATTTTTTAGTAGAGACGGGGTTTCACCGTGTTAGCTGGGATGGTCTCGATCTCCTGACCTCGTGATCCGCCCGCCTCGGCCTCCCAAAGTGCTGGGATTACAGGCGAAAGCTAGCTTGAAAGAAACGTTTTTGAGGTTTCCTTTTGTTTTTCTCCTTTTTGTTTGGTTCAGGTTTGAAGTTTAGATTGGCTTGCCTTAAATTCAGGTGGGCAAAAAAATACTATCTTTGGGGGAATTAATGTTTATCAAATATTCTCTTTTTTCATGTAAACCCCAATGAATTGATATGAAATTTGAAGAAATAGGAGAGAGCAAGGGCCATAGAATGGAGTCAGAAAAACCCTGCTCTTCTTTAAAATAGAGAGGCTAATTTTAAAATGTTGAGTTTGGGACCTGGAATGCGAAACATCTCAACTTAGCACTTTGAACACTTTCTCCTCCCAAGCCCGTCGCATTCCTTTCTCTATCTTCATGTTAAGGCTGGGTGGAAGGTTCATCAATTCCTGGGTATGATCCAAAATAGACTTAGATTTGTACCTATGAGAACCAATGATCTTAGCAGTACGTGGCTTACATCCAATTCTCAGAACTTAATGCTTACCATTGTAACATTATGATAATAAAACACTGGCAGATATAAAGACATGTCATTTATTTTAGTCATATTGAATCTCTTAGAATAAATTATTTCTTTTTTAGAGAAAATCTTTAAGAGTAAAATTTACATAAATAAAAGGTATTCCTGTTATAATTTTAAATAAAAATCCATCTACCCCCAATGCTTTAAGTATTAGAGAGTAGACTTGACGTCCATCTAAGACTCCTTCCAGCTTTACATAGGGTCTCATTACTATGTTACTTTTGACCCTCTTATTCTCTGTTTTCTTCAGAAAATGATGCTCACAGAGGTTAGGTAAATTGGCCAAGGTAACACAGTAATGGCTGTACTATATTTAAACTCCAGCTTTTTAAATCCATGTTTAATACTTTTTCTCAACACCTCCCAGTTGCCTCACATTATTTCAGATTCTTCTTTGGGACTCCTTGAATTCACCCTATGTAGCATCTCCCTTGGCAAAAGAAAAAAAAAAGTTAAAATGTGCTTTCTTAATAGGCAAAGCAGGAGATGTATATTTCTTCAAATAGCTTAAAAAGGGAAGTCCATATTTATTAAGTGAAAAGAACAAGTGCAATCATGTTAGCTTGAAAGGGGAAGAAGTGATTACATGATATAATTGGACTGCTGGACAGGAACAAATACGGGACTTTTCCATGAGTTATTTATTTTGGTCTTTTATTTAAAGCAGCCCTTATTTTTAGATTGTTGATTAACAGACAAATTAGAAGCTCAGCAAATTTCTTAGTGGACAATTTTAACTTTCCAAAAATGTCCTTGTATTTCTGCTACCCTCTTTAAAAATGAAACCTATCCCTCTTCAGGACACTGGTCCCAAGACAGATCATCTAGAAATACCCAAATACCTCCAAGTAGATCAGAACTAATTCAACTATTTCTAGAAAAAAAACAAAGTCTGTGCTTCATATTGGATGCCCGCAATATATTCTCCCTGCTCTTCTAGATTACTTACTTTCTATTTATCAAAATTAGTCAGCTAAGTTAGTTATTTTCTATCCATCAAAATTAGTTAACCAGCTACCTCGGAACCTATCACCCAGAATATTCCTTCTTTTCCTAGACATTGTTTGTGTTCATAAATCATATTGTGAAGCTAACAAGAATGAATTAGGAGGGAAAAAATGGGAAATAGGGTTTTAGGAGAGATGGGATTTCTCTAAGTTGGCCAAGCTGGTCTCAAACTCCTGACTTCAAGTGATCTGCCCACCTCAGTGCTGGGATTAGAGGCATGAACCACACCACCTGGCAATATTTTAATTTTTTTGTAGAGATGGGGTCTTACTGTGTTGCCCAGGATGATCTTGAACTCCTGGGCTCAAGCAATCTTCCTGCCTCGGTCTTCCAAAGTGCTGGGATTGCAGGCATCAGCCACTGCACCTGGCCCAGCCAGTGGGTTTGCTGTTGTTGCTGTTGTTGTTGTTTGTGTTTTGAGACAGAGTCTCACTCTGTTGCCCAGGCTGGAGTACAGAAGTGAGATCTCAGCTCACTGCAACCTCCACCTCCCAGGTTCAAGCAATTCTCCTGCCTCAGCCTCCCAAGTAGCTGGGACTACTGGTGTGCACCACCACACCTGGCTAACTTTGTTATTTTAAATAGAGATGGGGTTTCGCCACATTGGCCAGGGTGGTCTCGAACTCCTGAACTCAAGTGATCCACCCCCCACCTCGGCCTCCCAAAATGCTGGGATTACAGACATGAGCCGCCACTCATGTAGTTTTAACAATGCCTTGTACATTAACTTTGACTGTCAAGACAAGAATTGAGCTCACAGAGAAATTAATGCTTAGATGGGACCTGAATAGGGTGAGAAAGAAAGGCAAAGAAGCCCACTAAAAGTCAAACTTGGCGACTGCATATGAACCCGAATGTGAAAAGTCAGAGTAAGTGGGAAAGGCCTCAGCCAGACCACCACAGGTTCCTGGGACCAAAGGCAAGAATGATATATGGCCTCACTTTCTGATGGTTCATTGCCATTTCACCTCCCACCACCCACACATCCATTTTTTTAGATAAGAATGTACAGTTGACCCTTGAACAACACAGGTTTGAACTGTGTGCGTCCACTTATAGGCAGATCTTCTGCCTCTGCTGCTACCCCTGAGACAGCAAGACCAATCCCTCCTCTTCATTCTTCTTCTCAGCCTACTCAACATGAAGATGATGAGGATGAAGACCTTTATGATGATCCACTTTCACTAAACAAATAGTAAATATATTTTCTCTTCCTTATGATTTTCTTTTCTCTAGCTTACTTTATTGTTAAAATACAGTATATAATGCCTATAACAGAAAATGTGTTCTAAATGACTGGTTATGTTATTGGTAAGGCTTCAGGTCAATAGTAGGCTATTAGTAGTTAGGTTTTGGTGGAGTCAAAAGTTATATGTGGATTTTTGACTGTGCATGGAGTCAGCTCCCCTAACCTTTCATTGTTCAAGGGTCAACTGTACAATATATACATATTTAGGATTTCTCTTACCTTCAGTAGGTTTGGCTGTGGTCCCAGTGAACTATGTCTGCTGCTGAATACAGGGGTTTAGGATAGGACCTAGTCTAAGCCAATCTATGTGTTCCATCCCTTGATCACAATAATTAGTTAGGCCAATCAGTACCAATAATCCTAAGATCTAGGACCTCTCTTTGAGTTTTTCAAGGAAGAGTACCGTCCCTTCTGTTGGACTAAGAGACATGGGGTAACCAGGAACTATGAATGGAGCCAATGCATTAGAATAGAGCTCAGAGATGAAGACAAACAGAAGGTAAGTTCTGATAGCATTGTTTGAGCCTCAAATCCTGCCCTAAATGAGTCCCTGGATTTTTCAGTTCATGGGTCAATGAATTCCCCTTCTTTAATGAAACCAATTTAAGTTGGGTCTTCCATCACTGGCAATAGAAAGAGTCCAAACTGATATACGTTTCATTTACACAAATGCCTTTGTGTAATGTTTTCATATTTTCAATCATTTCTATTGGGAGATAACTTGCAGAATCTGTTGAACTAGACATTGTTAGATATATATCTAGGACAAATGGAAGTAATAATGTACTTTGTAAAATATGAAACTATGAAACATTATTTTGTTGCACCAGAGCATTATTACAATCAGAACTCCTTCATAGACACATGATTGACCACCATTAGGACCACAAGTGAATTCAACCAATCTGAGATCAGCAATGTCCAGACTTGTCACATGCAGAGAGCTGTTTATTTATGTAAGCAATCAGAATTTAGTAATTAAACTGAGTAGTAGATGATGTTTCACTTTATAAGCAATATAAATCAATTTAGAAGTGAATTGCCAGAGATTAGGGACTAACAATAAAATAATAAAGTTATGCTAAAAAAAGTTTGAGTGGAAAAAAAATGGCATTTGATTTAGGTCATGAAAAAAACATAGTCTTCTATTGTCTTTATATTTGACTTTCTGTTTTAAGTCTTGATCGTTTTAATGGCACTACTGATGGATGGGAAGGGAAATGAATATTTATTTCTAAGTGTCTGTTATCAGTTAGGAAGCTTTCTGCAGCATAAACACAACTAAAACTGGCTCAGAGGGCCGGGCCGGGCCGGTGGCTCATGCCTATAATCCCAGCACTTTGGGAGGCCGAGGCGGGTGGATCACTTGAGGTCAGGAGTTCGAGACCCACCTGGCCAACATGGTGAAACCCCCTTTCTACTAAAAAACAACAACAACAGCAACAACAAAAATTAGCCAGGCGTGGCGGTGGGCACCTGTAATCCCAGCTACTCAGGAGGCTGCAGCAGGAGAATTGCTTGAACCTGAGAGGCGGAGGTTGCAGTGAGCCGAGATTGCGCCACTGCACTCCGACCTGGGCAACAAAAGCAAAGCTCCAGCTTGGGAAAAAAAAAAAAAAAAAAACCTGGCTCAGAGAATAAGGGAGTTTACTGAATCACATAACTAGAAAGACTAGAGAGCAAACTTTAGGGTTAGTTTGGGCCAAAGGTTTATAATATTATCATCAGGGTCATTGCTCCTTTTTTAAAAATGTTCAGTTCCCGTGGTTGTGCTCTCCTTCTTGCACTGGCTTTTTATTTAGGCTGGTTTTCCATATGGTAGCAAGGTGGCTACCCGCAGCTCCTAGGGCTAAATGCTTTCTCATTTGCACTGGGGGCAAGAAGGGGTTCCTTTCCTTCCAACCATAAAACCAAATTCTTAAGCTTCCCACTGACTGGACTTTCTCACCTCTGAAAAAAATTAGTATGGCTAAGGAAGTCACAGTAATTTTAGACCTGGGAAATGAGCCCATCTAAACCAATAACAGCCAGGCCTAGACTAGTGAGAATCCACCTCTAGAGTTAGGGGAGAACAGCCACATGGTTTCTACCCAAAGTAAGAGGGTAAAATGGATGTTGTGTGTGCAACCACAGTATTTTTTACTCTTATGTGCCAGACTGAAGCTAAACAACAGGATGGATTCACTGAGCAGTCTCCTTGGCTGCCAATCTATACAGTTTTCGCTGGAAAAGTACCTTGATGAAGAAAGTTATTCAGGGATGGCTCATGTGAGGGTTGTGTTCCTTAAGCGTTGCATAATTCCAGCCTAATTTTCCCACATGGAAAATTTTCCTAAATGGAAACTAGGGAAGGATGGATTCTCATAGCACATACATCTACTGTAATTTTTGTCTATTTTCACTTTAATAGTTGTTTTATGTTTTTTCCAAGATTATTTCTAATATTTCATAGCATGCTTTCTTCAAAATGTACAACCCAGTGTGTCAGGGTGTTTGGTCTTATTTTAGCATGTCTAGCTTCTATTCCAAAGATACTGATTTTCAGGACCATTTTCTCAGCAGCATCATTTGGACCACCTTCAAACGAATGCTCACATGGTGTTACTACTGGATACTAAAAATACTTTAAATTGTAATAGCAGTGATTTTTTAAATGAAGGCAAAAATAGTTACAGTTACAAAGTGCACAATTTTGGTGCCCTGGGTCATTTACCCTAAGCCCATTTCTCATCTCCAGTGGCAGTGGACAGTATGACATAATAAAAAAATACACATCTGATCTCTGCCTCCGGTTCCTATCACAGAGCTCCTGAAAGTAATTTCCTGAACAATAGTTTTGTTAAGTGAATATCTTTTCTCTAATATTTGGTCCTTGACCCTGCTTTCTAACACAGAGCTCTTAATACCTTGGAATTTTCTGGGTGGTGGGAATGTGTTTTGTTCTAATGAGGCAAACGTTGGTGGGCTCCTGGGTGGAGGCTGGTCATCAGAAAGACCAAACCAGAATTAGAAGCTTGAATCTTTCAACCTCAACCCCCATCCTCTGGGCAGGAAACAGGCGCTAGAAACTGAGTTAATAACCAATCATCCCTACATATTAAAGCCTGCATAAAAATCTCTAAACTACAGGATTTGGGGAGCTTCAGGGTAGGTGACCATGTGGAGGTCCTGGGAGGGTGGTGTGCCCGCAGCGGGCATAGAAGCTCCGTACTCCTTCTCCATCCCTTGCCCTATGCATCCCTTCCATCTGATTGTTCCTGAGTTGTGTCTTCTATAATCAACCAGTAATCTAGGAAGTAAACTTTTTTCCTGTGTTTTGTGTGCTAGTCTAGCAAACGATTCACCTAGGGAGGGGTTGTGGAGAGCCTGATTTATAGTTGGCTGGTCAGAACCATGAGTGACAACCTGGACTTGGGATTGGCATCTGAATTGGGAGCAATTTTGTGGGATTAAATCCTTGACCTGTGAAATCTGATGCTAACTCTGGTTAGTGTCCGAACTGTAGGAGCTGATGCTAAGTCTGATGAGTGTCCGAATTGAATTGAATGCTAGGATACCTGGTTGGTGTCTGCAGAGAATTGGAGAACTACTTGGCGTGGGAAACTTTACACACAGGCACACACACACACACACACACACACAGTATCAGAAGTGAAGTATTGAGAGTGCAAATAAAGAGAAAAACAGTGAGTTTTTTCTACACAGACAGTCTCACATCAAACATTACCATGGGTCTTTTCATTTTCTGCCCCGGGGCCTTCTTTGAAATCTGAAGCCACAGGTACCACTTGGCCCATAGGCAAACAAAGCCAGGAAGTGTAGTAGGTGTTCGATCAATACATGCTGAATGATTGAATGGTAGAATATAACAGATTACCATTAAACTGCCTTGTCAGTAGATGAGCACAGCAAGGAGCACATATATTTGGAACCTGAATTACTTGGGACATAACAGTACTGTCCAGTAGAGCTTTCTGCATATCAGTGCTGTGTAATACAATAACCACTACCCACAGGTGGCTATTTAGCACTTGAAATGTAGCTGGTATGAGTAGCTGGTAAATAACCAATTTTTAAATTGAATTTTGTTTTAATCAATTTGTAGTTAAAGAGCCAAGTGTGTCTAATGGCTACCATTTTAGATAGCATAGGATAGGACATGCCAACTGCTGTCACAAAAGTCCTCTTACTCCTTGCCACACTTAGCCTAAAAAGTATTTATTTAGTAACGGTTTGTGGGTGCACAAAATTATTAGCCTACCTGGGAAACCCGCATGGCTTGGAGCAGCCCCAAAATTATACTGCAAGCCTTTTTTTCTTCTCAAAGTCAAGGTCTAGCAAAAACAGGCAGGTGGAATCAAAAAGTTGTTCCTTGTATGGAACTCCTTGGCTTGTGTTTATGATGAGGTTTGAGCACAGACTTTCACTGCTGTGTTTCTCTGTGTTGGCGCAGACAGGTAGAGGAGAACGTAACTTAGAAATGCATGTCACAGTTTAAATCCAGCCCATTCAGATTCATCTACATTTAAATAAGAAAAAAAGTGCTGCTTTTAAACAACCATTCATGTCTAGGAAAACATCTTTGAATCCTCTAATTTATTATTTGAAAAAGTCCCTTTCACTAGGAAGAAAAAGAAATATATGTTTTATGTAATTGTCAGTGTGCAGGTTGCAAAGACTGAACCTCTGGTTTCAAAGAAGTTTCTAAACTTGGTAAGCCCTGCTTCCCATCACTAAAATAAAAAATGCTTTATGTGCACACACCTTGTTCTGTATGGTTTAACAGATAGGTCACAGGCGGGCGTCAGGTGCTCAGGGGTTCTATTCTCAGCTCTCTCACTGACTCAGCCTTTGACCTCAGAAAAGCTGGGTTAGATTTAGACCAAAGGCTCCACAGAGCACAGTTGGAATGTGTGCATCCTGTGGGTTTTGCTCCTTTTCTGGAAACTCACAGCAGCACTTTAGATTCTGCTTTGATGGAACGGGTCAGGGTACAGCCATACACCATCTTGACCAGTTCCCCAGGCTTTCCAGGGACTACCTTCCCCTTTCTTCTCTTCCACATTCCTCTCTCTCCCCACGCTACTTTTCCATGATGACTGTGGCATCATTTTAGATCTTGGGGTCACAGATAAATGCAGGCAGGTGAGCCTCATATATACTCTTATTACTTAAACCTGCTTGAAGCAGTTGAGCACATTGGTGGGTTGGTTTGTTTGTTTGTTTGTTCGAAGCAGAGGATTTGATCCCTGCACAACTGCAGTTGCCCCAAGAGCACAATGACACTTTATGTTCCAGACCCAAATAGTCAGTTTCACTGCACTCCCCACAGTCCCTCATACCTAGATTCCAACTTGCATCTGTGTATCAAGGCTTCCTCTCCTGGGACCCCTTGTGGATGAAATCTGCTATAGGTTCCAAGCTTGCAGGTTTAGTTGTTATAGCTCTTTAGAGGTCCTAGGGAACTGAAAAAAAAAGCAAAGGCCAGTGTGGCTGACAGCTACTGGGGAGATTCTGCCATCCTTGTGCAGTCCAAGAACAACATGATACCTCAAGCTGATTTCCAAGGGCACATTTTTTAGATTTAGATTTTATGACTATGGCTTTTACTCTGGGTGAAATGAGTTGCTACTGGAGGATTTTGAGCAGAGGAATGACAGATTAGACTTAACTTTTAAAGGCTCCCTCTGGCTGCTGGATTTGGATCTCTGAATATTACTCAACCCTGCATTTTCCATTGCTGTGTTCCTGGCAATAAACTTTATGCTTGCTCTGCCTGCTGGGTTCACTTCCTCTCCCTCACAACCTACAACAGGCTCTGCTCTTCTATCTCTGCTTCTAGACTCGACCTTAGTCAGGGAGGCAGCTCTACCTCCTGACCCAAGCATCACTCTTCTGGCCATGCTGCTGCAGTGAACAGAACCAATGTAGCTGATTCCTTATCATCAACAATGTGTTAATACTTTATCATCTGAAATCAGTATTGAGCTCTGTATTTATTGAACTTGGCATGGAATTTTCACCTTTTTCTTAGAGATCCCCAGGTCGGGATGACCCAAATCTGTAAGTGCTCCCTCTCCCACACTGGCACCTTGATCCCTGCTGATCTTGTTGTCTCTCCTTCTCACCTTTAAATTTGTTGCTTCGTAAGGATGTTCCCGCACTTTTCTGTATGTGAACCACTGCCTTTTCATTATCACTTATTTAAAACAAAAAGCTGAGCTAATTTATAATTGAAAATTAACTGTTTTTGATAAAATTATGGAGAACCTGGACAATACAGATTGGCTTAAATAGGAAAAATACTTGCAAATATCTATAACCCTACTAATACAAATATATTTTCTAAAATTATATGCATATATATGTATAGTTTGTTTTACAAAATTACACTATATACCTATAGTTGCATTCTACTCTTTTCACCTTATAGTATATAATGAGCATTTTCCAATCTTGCTAAATGATTTTTAGTAGCTGCATAGTACAGTGTGGCTGTATCATTATGTAATCTCCTACTTAACTAATTTGACTGTTTCCAGGTTTTTGATATTATAACCATGTTATTGCAAACGTTGTATATGTGAATTTCTGAATAGCTCTCTGACAATTTTATTCAATTAAATTCCCAGAAGTAGAATTATTGGGTCAGGCCAGGTGCGGTGGCTTACACCTGTAATCCTAGCACTTTGGGAGACCGAGGTGGGTGGATCACTTGAGGTCAAGAGTTCAAGACCAGCCTGGCCAATATGGTGAAACCCCATCTCTACTAAAAATACAAAAGTTACCCAGGTGCAGTGGCGGGCACTTGTAGTTCCAGCTACTCAGGAGGCTGACGCAGGAGAATCGCTTGAACCTGGGAGGTGGAGGTTGCAATGAGCTGGGATCACGCCACTGCACTCCAGCCTGAGCAACAGAGCAAGACTCTGTCTCAAAAAAAAAAAAGAATTATTGGGTCAGAGGGTAAAAACATATTAAAGGCAGCCTGAGACTCTCTAAATAAAGACTTCAAATCCTGATGGCAGTGAAAAGAGTCACAAGAGCATGGTCCAGTCCCCTCATGATGCCTGACCATGGGCAAGATATAAAGTTGGGGTGGATTCTAGAAGCCTATGTGTAAGCAAGGGGTTTAATAATTTAAACTGATTTCTAAAGACCTGCACCTGCCAGAGCATATTAACCAGTGTTGATGAAGTAGCTTCAGCTATCAGGAACAGCAGATGGGTAAAGACATCTGGCTTCACACCACTGCTGCCTTCAGTTGTTAAGAACTTGAGTTCTTTCAAATGAGCAATGGGCATCAGGCGAAAATGTAATCATCTTCACTCTTTCTCTCAGTCCATGCAGTGAGACACCAATTGACCTTTGCTCTGATTGCTAATTAAATTCTGAGATTATACTAAGTCTGAAGAGCAGCTACTCAATGGAAATGAGAAACCTGCAAAACATTAGTACTATTTAGATTGGGAATAGGTGGGAACAGCAAATTGCTCAGGTACTTGCAATATTAGCAAATCAAGGAGAGTAGGATTTTATGTAGACTCATAACAGCAGAGAACCACAGGGTAATTTTTTTTCTTGAATTTTGTGCAACAATCAGCCTCTGAACAATTACTCTCCTACTACTGTATATTGATTCGCAAAATATACTTGTGGTATAAATCAAAATACTTGCCTCTTTTGCAGATAAGGCAAGGCAGACAAACAGATTATTTTATTTGTCTCAAATCACTTATTTAGGCTAAATTCATTTCCTTCAACTTTTATTTGAATGCCTCCTATGAGCCAGGCATTGTGCTGTGTTACAGACTTACAAAGATCATGAAGACAGGATCTCTGACCTTGAGGAAGGCGAAGCATAATCATGGAAGCAAAAATTCTGATAATGTGTTTGAGTATACTTAGGGAAGAATAAAAGATGCAATATATTGAGAAGGAAGTAAACTAAACCAAGCCTGAAGTTAACATTTGTTTAGGCAAAAACTACAAATGCACCAGGAATCTGATATCTGGAAAAATGACATAAATGTGGCTAACACATAAATTCATTCTCCACTATAGAACCCTAGAGATCAGATGCATTTACACCCAAATCAAAATTTGTAAAGATTAATAACTACTCTTTAGATCTTTTTCCAATGCAATAATTGCTCTTCATAAAAGCTCACTGTAAGCAATTTCCATATCAATTAAAAATCAGTGCCTTTGTTTGCATAACTGTAGAATGCCACGTTATACACGATGCTGGCTCAAGAAAGATTCAAATAAGCAGATCTGTTTACAATTACAAATGCTAATTAAGGGAAATAGTCAACCCTAGATAATTCAGTGATAGACTACAGAGTTTGGGGATTATTTAGACACTTTTATTTTTCTCCTCTCCCTCTAATGGATGGGCTTTCCCCATTTGCTACTTACTAGTACTCTCTCGGACCTGTAGAGAGGCAGAAAGTTGAGGTCCAACATCAGTTTTGCAACTCCATAGCAGTTCTGATGAAAGAGTTTGGTAGGAAACAATATTGAATAACATATAATAGTATAAATAATGTCTGGAAATTTTCGAGGAATTCTAATGGTCTTTGATACTTCCAAGCCTTTTAACTCAAAGAATGAAAAATGAGCTATCACTGTTATTAAATATGCATAAGTTCAAGCTTTCCAAATTTTTAAGTGTCTAATCACCGTTTAAACATAAGCTGCTTGTCTTATATTTTTAGAGACATTCAGACAGTCCACGGCCCATGCTTCACTTTAGAAAATTGAATGAATGTCACTGTAACAGGACATGTCCATGCAGTAATGGTCTCCCTGCTGCTAGATAACATCTGAAGCAAATCCACTGATGAGAAACAAATGGGGAAGCAAAGCAGAGTGTATTTCCAGAGCCAGAAACACTGACCCTTTCAAGGCACTCAATCATTCTGACTTTGTTTCTATTTATCAGGAAGTGAGTGTTGAAGAATGAATCATGTTAGTTCAATAGATGCTGGCAGGATCAATAGATACTTTTGCATCATACTCTCACTTGATGCTTGCTGCCAGAGAGGCTGCCTTATAAAGCAGAACCATGGCCAGAACAGCACTCCTGCCACTGAGAAGCAGTCTGCTCTGGCTGGATCAACTATTTTACATTCTAGATCAACTTTTATTCATATTCATTTCTGATCTTATCTCTGGTTATAGAAACAAGGCTCAGCAATTTAGGATCACCTAGCCAGCAGAATCAGCTGTCACTATACTAGTAGGAGAGTTTCATATATAAGCTGACACTCTACTCCTTCAAAGGAATGATTCCTATTGTGCTTTATCAAAGAGTGAGTGACTCTGTTTATGCATTAATTGCCAGGACTTAATGCACTGTGACTCAAGTGTTCATCTCTGCCCCATTGAGTCATTGACTTCATGCTGATTGGAGGTCCATCCAAGAAAACTAAATTATTGCTTCACTATCATTTTGTTAAGTAAAATTTGGAGTGTATTCTTCCAGTTCCCACTTCATTTACTTTGCAATCTTAGTAAAAAGGAAGGAAATGCATTTCCTTTTCCCCTACATTGTTGAGCTCTGGCTTTAGAATAGACCTACAGCCTTGGAACATAACTTCATATATCTCAAACATACACCTACAACCTTGTCATATAACTTCAAATATCTCAAACACACAAAGCACAAACACTCCCCAAATCTTGGGGGTTGAGGAGAGAGAAAGACTTCAAAAGAAGTACTTACAGCAAACATTTATGTTTAGCTGGCTCACTAGGTGTTCCTATTTCCTTTCTCCATGCCACTTTCTACTGTGCAGTCAGTATTTACCTTGTTCAGCCTCCTTGAAGCCAGATGTGGCCATGTGACACAGCAGCAGCCAATGAGCTCTAAAGGGAAGTGTACTGGGGGTTTCTGGGGAGGCTTTTGATTTCCTCATAAAATGGACAGACATGGCTGTCATAGCTCCCTTTCCTCTTCTTCCTGCCTTGCACTTGAGTCTAGTACCTGGAGCTGCAGTAGCCTTTTTGTGAGCATGCAGTGACAAACTGACACTGAAGAATGGCTGAGTGGGAGAAGTTTGATCTTTTAATAACATTCTTGAGTCCCTGCACCAGCCATGGACTATCTATGGTCTATGAGAAAAAAATGAACCACAATTTGCTACCTACCTTCATGGAGCTCACAGTCTAGCAGGAGAGATAAACTGTAACAAAGTTTACCTCAGTGGATACAATAAGACACACTGCAATAAATTCTAATATTAGGTAAGCAGATGATACAATGAGAGTTCATAGGAGTAGCAGCTTATTCAGACTTTTGCATTGAGGGAAGATTTCCTGGAAGAATTGAGACCTAAATAGGAGTTCACTTGGCAAAATATTTGGGGAAGATAATTCTAAGCAGAAAGCAACATGTACAAAGGCCTAGAAGAGAGAAGGCATGATATCTTTGGGAAACAACCATAAAGATATCAGTATGTATGGAGCTTAGAATGGAGTTGAATGAGATAAAGTTCAAGAGGTAAGTACAGCTTATTATCATGGGTCTTGAAAGCTTATACAATGCAAAATCATTCAAGGACCTTCAACAGTGAAGTGATAGAATCAAACATGCCACACTGGCTGCAGCTGGGGAGAATGAAGTGGAAGGGGAGAGTCTGCAGGCAAGGAAACCAGTCAGAGCTGTGCTGTCCAATATCATAGCCACCAGCCACATGTGGCTACTGAGCTCTTCAAGTGTGGCTGGTATGAATTGAGATGATTTAAAGTGGAAAATGCACATTGGATGTCAAAGACTTAGTGTAAAAATAACAATGTAAAATATATCATTCATTTATATATATCCATAATTGTACAGTGATTACATGTTGCAATGTATTTTGCATATATTGGGTTTTGCATATATTGCATATATTGGGTTATTTTGCATATATTGGGTTAAATAAAATATATTTTAAAAACTAATTTTATCTCTTATATTTATGTTTTTTAATGTGGCTATTAGAAAATTTCAAATTACATACATGGTTTGTGTTGTGACTGACATTATATTTCTATTGAATGATGGGTTACTTTGGCAATCTATGTAAGATGATAAAGGCTTTAGTTAAGTTAAATGCAATTTGAGTGAAGTGGACTTACTTGAGGGCTATAAAGAATGAGGATAGTGCCTTTCTGCCCATAGATGCCACTGAAGAAGCATCGTTAAATTCTCTCTTCTCCCTGCTGTTATGTCTAAGTCAGAGTCTCCTAAAGAACCCAAAGAGCTAGGGAAGCTCTTCTTTGAAGGGCTGAGCTTTGAAACAACCGATAAGAGCCTGAGGAGCCATTTTGAGCAATGGGGAACACCCACGGACTGTGTGGTAATGAGAGATTCAAACACCAAGCACTCCGGGGGCTTTGGGTTCATCACATATGCCACTGTGGAGGAGGTGGATGTGGCCAAGAATGCAAAGCCACGCAATGTGGATGGAAGACTTGTGGAACCAAACAGAGCTGTCTCAAGAGAAGATTCTCAAAGACCAGGTGCCCACTTAAAAAGATATTTGTTGGTGGCATTAAAGAAGACACTGAAGAATATCACCTAAGAGATTATTTTGAATAGTATGGGAAAATTGAAGTGATTGAAATCATGACTGACTGAGGCAGTGGCAAGAAAAGGGGCTTTGCCTTTGTAACCTTTGACAACCATGACTCCGTGGATAAGATTGTCATTCAGAAATACCACACTGTGAATGACCACAACTGTGAAGCTAGGAAAGCCCTGTCAAAGCAAGAGATGGCTAGTGCTTCCTCCAGCCAGAGGTTGAAGTGGATCTGGAAACTTTGGTGGTGGTCGTGGAGGTGGTTTTGGTGGGAATGACAACTTTGGTCATGGAGGAAAGTTCAGTGGTCATGGTGGCTTTGGTGGCAGCCATGGTGGTGGTGGATATGGTGGCAGTGGCTATGGCTATAATGGATTTGGCAATGATGGAAGCAATTTTGGAGGTGGTGGAAGCTATGATGATTTTGGCAATTACAACAATCAGTCTTCAAATTTTGGACCCATGAAGGGAGGAAACTTTGGAGGCAGAAGCTCTGGCCACTGTGGTGGTGGAGGCCAATACTTTGCCCAACCAGGAAACCAAGGTGGCTATGGAAGTTCCAGTAGCAGCAGTAGCTATGGCAGTGGCAGAAGATTTTAATTGGGAAACAAAGCTTAGCAGGAGAGGAGAGCCAGAGAAGTGATAGGGAAGCTACAGGTTACAACAGATTTGTGAACTCAGCCAAGCACGGTGGTGGCAGGGCCTAGCTGCTACAAAGAAGACATGTTTTAGACAAATACTCATGTGTGTGGGCAAAAGACTCAGGGATTGTATTTGTGACTAATTGTATAATGGGTTATTTTAGTTTCTGTTCTGTGGAAAGTATAAAGCATTCCAACAAAAGGTTTTAATGTAAATTTGTTTTTCACCCATGCTGTTGATTGCTAAATGTAATAGTCTGATCGTGACACTGAATAAATGTCTTTTAAAAAAAAGAATGAGTATAGTTAGGTTATGTTGATGGTTGCATGAGAAGAGAGAGTGAGTAAAAAGAGTAAGGATGGCTCCCAGGTGTCTGGGTTGGGCAGTTGAGTGGAGGATATCGGTGATCTCCAATAATAAAACAAGAAAGCAGCAGGAGGAGCGGGTTTGAGAGGAAGCTATTGAGCTCAGTTTTGGATAATTGAGTTTGAAGTCCTCAATACTCATATTAAAAAATTGGATAAGCAGGTATGCATATGTATCTAAAGCTCAGGAGACAGAGTTGGTGAATTTACATATACAGACATCATCAGACTGCAAGTGGTATTTAAAGCCTTTAGTACAATTGAGAGTACCCAGAGAGAGTATGCTGTAGTGGAAGAGGACTGAAGAACAACCATAATAAATATATAGACTTCATAGCTATTAAGCAAATACCAACATTTACTCTAAGGTAGTGTTTTCCATATTGTGTTTTCCAGAACACTAGTCTTACAAGATATTCCTAAGAAGAAATCTTTCTGTGACTGAGAAGAATATTGCCCACTAGAGATTACAATACACACTAACATATTCACATAGTTACAGTTCTGAGAAGTCCTATAGTGAAGAAACCTCTTTAACCAAGCATTTAAAAAATCATATATAACTACAGAAATCTTTCTTCTCCTCCAATAATACTGGTTAATTTCTTAGGAAATATACTCAAGGAACACACTTTGAGAAGTGTTTTTTCTATGGTAATCCAATTCGTTAGTGGGGCAAAAATCAAATAGAATTATATTAAATATATGGCCTTTAGGGCAGATTTATAAAGAAATGACTTTGTTATTTCTGTCAAATAGATATATTTTCCATGTCTAGTTTCCTCTATGCAAGCTTAAGCATATTTTGGGGCATTTCAGTGCTTTCTAGAATTTTAAATGATTGGATTAAAATAAATAGCTGATTTTCTATGAATAACTTACTAAGAATGCCAAAGAACTATTGTAAGTTCATAACAATAAATAATTCTTGTTTTAAGTTTGAATACAGGGTATCTAATGGTCTAAGAAAAGATTATCTCATGGAAACAAAGTTTGAAGGCCAAAAATAATTTTTCCTAGGCATCTATTAAAATTTAGAAGAGTCACAAAGTTAGGTGGGTTTTTTGTTTTTTATAAACTGCTTATTCAGTTGAAAAATGTACAAGCTACCATAATTTACATTACTTATGGTGTCTTTGGTGTGTTGATTCAAAAAGTGAGTTAGGTGATAACACACCTTATAAGACGCAGCAGATGGCATAATAATTTCCCTTGCTTAGCAACTAATACGTTATCCGCTATGGGCAATGTCTAGATTTCTATGCTAATGTAGAGTACTAGAGCATTTAACAATAGTAAGCCCCAAATCCTACAGTCAAGAGACCAGGTATAAGAGGCAGGTGTTACAAAATAGTAATGGGCCATATCTAAACAAAATGATTCAGACTAAAATTTTAAGATTTCTTTAGATTTAAGGTATCTTGAAATGCCATAGTTCTTAAAGCCACTTTAGAACCTGAGTCACGTTATCAGTTTGTACTTACACAGTCTATTTTACAGAAGAGGTTAAATAAATTGGATCTTACTTTTCCTCAGAAAATTTCCACATGCTAGATGAGGAGTTATGGGAGAAAGGATGACATAATGGGAAAAGCACTGGACAACAAATATCTGCTTCTCGAACTCACTAGCTGATTGATCTTTACTAGATACTTAATTTCACATAGCCTCTACTTCCACATTAGTAAATCAATAGAATTAGCAGCTCTACCCACTTCACAGGGTTGTTGTCAAGACCAAAAGCAAACAACAGATTTTACTAGAATGTAAGCTCCATGAAGGCAGATATTTTTGTCTTTTTTGGTTCACTGCTGTGCCCCTAAAACCTAGAAAAGTACCTGGCACATAATAATCACTCAGTGGATGCTATAAAAATGAATATTATAAATATGTAACATATTGTATGTGAGGTATTATTA
This sequence comes from Homo sapiens, assembly GCF_000001405.40. Lineage (NCBI taxonomy): Eukaryota > Metazoa > Chordata > Mammalia > Primates > Hominidae > Homo > Homo sapiens. The sequence goes on along the minus strand of NC_000004.12, from coordinate 77,985,533 downwards.
TTATTCGCTAAACCAAGGAAGACAAACAAAGTAGAGAGTGACTCGCTCAAGTTATTTACTAAATCAGAAAGAATTTAAGACTGGATTTCAGAGCAGATCTCTTGACATTTTATCAATTTGGTCATTCAACAAAATTTTGACAGCATGTGCCATAGAGCATACTATATGCCAGGCATGGTACAGATGCTGGATATACAGTGGTAAAATACATATACATAAGAGTCAAACATGGGATATAGACATTAAACAAATAAACATGAAAATGAATGCACACAAATAAATTGTAATAAGAAAGGAAGGAAGAAAGAAGAAAGGAAGAAGAACCTCTGAGGCAAAAACAACAGGATAAAGTTTCCTTAACTTACATCTAGACTAAATCTTTAAGCTAAAATTTACCCAAAAAAACTGTTCACTCTTTTGATAAGACGTGTATTTTTAGAGAGTGTTCATTTGTTTTTATACATATCAGTATTTCCAGCTATTTCATGTCAGTATTTCCACCAAATTATGAGAAACTTAACATTATCATCTAGAATTAACCATCCAAGACAGATCTATTAAAATAAAAATTAGAAAAACAATGACAGCATTAATCACTCACCCTTGTTATTTTAGTTCTTACAGCTAGACGCTTAATGGTGTTTGCTGACCTTAATATTAAAATTGGCCTCTGCCTCTGCCTCTGCCTCTGCCTCTGCCCCTCTGCCCCTCTGCCCCTCTGCCCCTCTGCCTCTGCCTCTGCCTCTCCCCCTCCCCACGGTCTCCCTCTCCCTCTCTTTCCACGGTCTCCCTCTGATGCCGAGCCGAAGCTGGACTGTACTGCTGCCATCTCGGCTCACTGCAACCTCCCTGCCTGATTCTCCTGCCTCAGCCTGCCAAGTGCCTGCGATTGCAGGCGCGCGCCGCCACACCTGACTGGTTTTCATATTTTTTTGGTGGAGACGGGGTTTCGCTGTGTTGGCTGGGCTGGTCTCCAGCTCCTAACCGCGTGTGATCTGCCAGCCTCGGCCTCCCGAGGTGCCAGGATTGCAGACGGAGTCTCGTTCACTCAGTGCTCAATGGTGCCCAGGCTGGAGTGGAGTGGCGTGATCTCGGCTCGCTACAACCTCCACCTCCCAGCCGCCTGCTTTGGCCTCCCAAAGTGCTGAGATTGCAGCCTCTGCCCGGCCACCACCCCGTCTGGGAAGTGAGGAGCGTCTCTGCCTGGCCGCCCATCGTCTGGGATGTGAGGATCCCCTCTGCCTGGCTGTCCAGTCTGGAAAGTGAGGAGCGTCTCTGCCCGGCCGCCATCCCATCTAGGAAGTGAGGAGCGCCTCTTCCGGGCCGCCATCCCATCTAGGAAGTGAGGAGCGTCTCTGCCCGGCGGCCCATCGTCTGAGATGTGGGGAGTGCCTCTGCCCGGCCGCCCCGTCTGAGTAGTGAGGAGACCCTCTGCCTGGCAACCACCCCGTCTAAGAAGTGAGGAGCCCCTCCGCCCGGCAGCCACCCCGTCTGAGAAGTGAGGAGCCCCTCCACCCGGCAGCCACCCCGTCTGGGAAGTGAGGAGCGTCTCCGCCCGGCAGCCACCCCGTCCGGGAGGGAGGTGGGGGTCAGCCCCCGCCAGGCCAGCCGCCCCGTCCAGGAGGGAGGTGAGGGGGTCAGCCCCCCGCCCGGCCAGCCAACCCGTCCGGGAGGGAGGTGGGGGGATCAGCCCCCTGCCTGGCCAGCTGCCCCGTCCGGGAGGGAGGTGGAGGGTCAGCCCCCTGCCCGGCCAGCCGCCCCGTCCGGGAGGAGAGGGGCGCCTCTGCCCGGCCGCCCCTACTGGGAAGTGAGGAGCCCCTCTGCCCGGCCACCACCCCGTCCGGTAGTTGTACCCAACAGCTCATTGAGAACGGGCCATGATGACAAGGGCAGTTTTGTGGAATAGAAAGGGGGGAAAGGTGGGGAAAAGATTGAGAAATCGGATGATTGCCGTGTCTGTGTAGAAAGAAGTAGACATGGGAGACTTTTCATTTTGTTCTGTAATAAGAAAAATTCTTCTGCCTTGGGATCCTGTTGATCTGTGACCTTACCCCCAACCCTGTGCTCTCTGAAACATGTGCTGTGTCAACTCAGGGTTAAATGGATTAAGGGCGGTGCAAGATGTGCTTTGTTAAACAGATGCTTGAAGGCAGCATTCTCGTTAAGAGTCATCACCACTCCCTAATCTCAAGTACCCAGGGACACAAACACTGCGGAAGGCCGCCGCAGGGTCCTCTGCCTAGGAAAACCAGAGACCTTTGTTCACTTGTTTATCTGCTGACCTTCCCTCCACTATTGTCCTATGACCCTGCCAAATCCCCCTCTGCGAGAAACACCCAAGAATGATCAATTAAAAAAAATATATATATAGTTTTATTTAAAAAAAATAATAATAATAAAATGCTTTTATTTTCCTCCTTTATCTTTTAAATATAAATATAAATTTAATAAATTAAAATATTTACTATTTTAAAAAAATAATAAAAAAAATAAAATAAAATTGGGCCATCAATTTCAAAACATACCTTCAAAATTATCTACTGTAGTTAAGTCAGGTTTACACTGTGCTTTACTTTTAGTAGGCAGTGAAAGGGTTTTGTTGTGCTAAATTTTCTTCTTTAGGATGTTGAGGGTTAAAACTATGGTATACCTAAACATTATCTTCCCATGGTAACACGTATTTGTTAATGATTAGCTTTCTCATTGAAAAAAGATTTCTTGCCAGCTAAAGACACATAATGAAGGCTATGATTTATTATTTTTTTGAATTCTCAATGAATCCATTAAGATGACTTGACAAGTCTACCTGCTTTTAATGGTTAATTTAGGCTTTTAATCTATCCAAAATTGCTTTTTACCTTGAAAGGCAATATCAGGAGAAGAGCAAGAGTTGAAATCAACCCTTTCTTTTTAAATTAACACAAAGAGTGAGAACACTGTATTTTAAATTAAGGAACAACCTTTGGTAAATATGCTTTTCTAGCCTGAGATGACTGACAGCTAGAATTTTAAGGTCAGGTATTGCCAATTGATAACTTTTTTAAACTTTAACAAATAATAATAAAGTCAGATGCATTTTGCTCAAGAATTTAAAAAGAAAAGATAAATTTATATAACAAGACTACTGGAGATAAAAAAATGAATTTAAATACTATTTAGAAAAAAGTGTGATGGATTTTCTTTTAATCTCTTTTAAAGTGGTAAGCCTTCAAAAGCTTTCTGTTTATAAATTAATTTGTTATCCTAAGGAAGGGTAGCTTATCGACTTAACTTTTCCCTAGAATTATGAATTTATTTTTAAATCAACTTTACTGAGGTATAGTTTACCTAAAATAAAATGTATTCACTTCATACATACAGCCAGCTCTTCTATAACTTAGCTAGTATTTCTAGAACTTACAGTGCTATTCAAATCCCCACAATTAAAAAAAAATGGACCTGGGAGAAAATGGGTTTAGAAAAACAATAGTCAGATACTATGCCATTCACACACACACACACACACACACACACACACACACACACACAAAGATATTGCCTAATATTATCTAATAAAATGGTAGCATACTTGAACAACCTTAAACCAACTCTAACAAACCTCTGTAGAACACTCTACTCAACAACAGCAGAATATCTATTCTTCTCAAGTGCATAGAGAACATTCTTTTGGATGGACCATATGCTAGACTATAGCACAAGCCTCAATCAATTCAAAAGGATTAAAATTATACAAAGTATGTTCTCCACCTACCACAATTGAATGAAATTATAAATCAATAACAAGTAAATTTAGGAAGTTAACAAATATGCAGAAACTAAATAGCACACTAATATTAATAAATAATGTGTCAAATAAGAAATTACAAGGAAAATTGGAAAATACTTTGAGATGAGTGGAAATGAATATACAACCTACCAAACCTTATGGGATGCAGATAAAGCAGTGCTTGAAGAAAAACTTACAGTTTTAAATGCCTACATTAAAAAAGAAAACATATATCAAATCAGTAAACTAACCTCCCACCTTAAGACACTAGAAAAAGCAAAGTTTTTTTTACCACTTCCTGGTAAAAAACACTTAACAAACTAAGAATACAAGGACAGTTCCTCAACACTTTTATAAAAGGTGTCTACAAAAACACCCAGCTAACATCATACTTAATGGTAAAAAATGTGAATGCTTTACTTATAAGACCAGAAACAAAATGAGAATGTTAACACTTGGTACTTCTATTCAATATTGTTCTGGATGTTCTGGCCAGGGTAATTAAGAAAGAAAATGAAATAAAAAGCATCCAGTTTGCAAAGGAAGATGTAAAACTATGTCTAATCACATGATCTTGCATACAGAAAATCTTATGATATCTACACACAAAAAAAACTATTTAAAATAATAATCAAGTTCAACAAGGTGCTGGATATAAGCTCAATAAACAAAATCAACTCTAGTCCTATACGCTACCAATGAACAACCCAAAAATGAAATTGAGGCAACAATTTTATTTACAATATCATCAAAAAGAAGAAACTATGAATAAACTTAACAAAAGTACAAGACTTATATACTGAAAACTATTACACATCATTGAAGAAAGTAAAGAAGGCCTAAGTCAATGGAAAGCTATCCATGCTCATGAATAGAAAGATTTAATATTGCTAAGATGGCAATACTCCACAAATTGACCTAAAAATCCAATTCAACTCTTATTAAAACCCCAGCTGGCTCTTTGCAGATGTTGATAAACTAATTCTACAATTCCTATGGAAATGTAAAAGATACAAAATAGCCAAAACAATCTTAAGATGAACAAAGAGGAATCACACTTTCTGATTTCAAAACTTACTATAAAGCTACAGTAATCAGGACAGTTTGGTAAAAACCCTCACATTTACAGTCACTTGATTTTCAACAAAGTTGCTAAGTCTGCTACAGATAGGAGTTCAAAAACAAACAAAAACAAAATTGCTAAGACAATTCAGTGGAGCTTTCCACCATTATCTGTTTTTTTCAACAAATAGTGCAAGGACAACTGGATATCCACACACAAAAGAATGAAGTTGGACCCCACATCATATAAATAATTAACTAAAATTAGATCAAATATCTAAATGTAAGAGCCAAAGCTATAACACACTTAGAAGAAAACATAGCCTTTAATTTTCATGACTTTGGAGTAAGCAAGAGTTTCTTAGATAAGACACTGAAAACACAGGCAACAGAAGAAAAAAACAGATAAAACAGACATCACCTAAAGTACAAAATTTTGTGTTTCAAAGACACCATCAAGAAAGTGAAAAGCCATATTAACTCTTCTAATCCATGAACAGGGGATATTTTTCCATTTATTTGTATCTTCAGTTTCTTTCATGAATGTTTCATAGTTTTCAGTATACAGATCTTTTGCCTCCTCAGTTAAATTTCTTCCTTTTTTAATATTTTGCAATATTTGCTTTATATGAACTATTTCAAAGAAATTTATAGACATGACAATACTTAACCATGCATCTCCTAAGAATGTGATTCTATATAACCTTAATACCATTGTCCCACTTAAAATACTTCCCTAATTTAACATGAAGTCCTTATTTCAGATTTTTCCACTTGTCTCTTTTTTTAAATAGCTACTGTGTCATCCCCCAAGCAGGATTCAATCAAGATTCTCACTTTCTGGAAATACTAGTCCTGTTGTCTCATTGAGTTTTTCTTTGCAGTGTCATTAATTTAACCTCTTTTTTATGTGTATCATTGGTGGCTTTATTTATTTATTTCCATAGGTTTTTGGGGAACAGGTGATATTTGGTTACTCAGTTAAATTTATCTCTAAGTAATATTTTTATGCTATTGTGAATGAGAATGTTTTCTTGATTTTTTTCACATAGTTGTGAGTATACAAAAATGCTACTAATTTTTTAATGTTGATTTTGTATCTGCAACTTTACTGAATTTATTTCTTACTTCTAACAGTTTTTTGGTGGTGTCTTTAGGGCTTTCTATATTTAAGATCATGTCATCTGCAAACAGAGACAATTTTACTTCCTTTATGATTTAGATGTCTTTTATTTCTTTTTCTTATTTATTTGCCCTGGCTAGGACTTCCACTACTATGTTCAATAGAGGTGGCAAGAATTGGCACCTTGTTTTGTTCCTGATTTTAAAGAAAAAGCATCTAATTTTCATTATCGAGTAAGATGCTTGTTATAGATTGACATATATGGTTTCTATTATGTTGAGAAACATTCTTTCTATACCTAATTTGTTGAGAGTTTTTATCATGAAAGGATGTTTTATTTTGTCAGATTCTTTTTCTGCACGTATTGAGAAGATCATATTATTTTTATCCTTCATTCTATTAATGTGTTGTACAACATTTGTTAATTTGCATATGTTGAACCTTCCTTGCATCCCCAAAGTAAATCCCACTTGGTCATTAAAGTAAGGTGTAGGCTCCTTTTAAATGTGTATTATTAGTATTTTGATGAGGTATATGATTTTTTAATATGCTGTTCAATTCAGGTTGCTAGTATTTTGTTGAGGACTTTTTTTATGTTGACCTAAAATTTATTTATTCAAAAAAACAGTCATTTCTAAATGAAAGGTATTATGCTAGGTTTCATGAAGACTATAGACATGGCAATGAATTGATTTATATAACGCACTTATATTAGGTGCCTTAGTAACTACAGAAATTAATACACAGTCTTTGCCTGACAGGAACTGAGAGTCCAAATTGATATAAGGAAACCATATTGTTTTTATTCTTGCTTAAATATAAACCTTCTATGCCTGTCATTTCTCTAAACTTCCCTTAGTTGCAGGAACACTCCTATTTTTTAGTACTTCCAATCAGCCAGTCAGTCTGGTAAACAAACCTTTGTGTGCCAGGCTGTAAAAAATATAAAGTTGAGTAAAAAGTGGAAGTGGTGGCTGCTTCTGGGGATCTTGCGTTCTTTAGAGAGTAACAGATTAATGTAAAAAGAAAGAGAAAGATACACACAGTTGCACACAAAGCTGAGGATTTTTGTATCCACATTAATTGGATACAAAATTAATTGGATTAATTGTCCTATAATTTTCTTGTAGTGTTCTTGTTTGACATTGATATCAGAATAATGCTGATCTCATAAGAATGCATTTGGAATTGCTCCTTCCTCTTCAATTTTTTTAAGAGTTTGAGAAGGATTGGCATTAATTGCCCTTTAAATGTTTGGTAGAATTCAGCAGTTAAATCTGTCAGGTCCTGGGTTTATCTTTGATGAGAGACTTTTTATTACTGTTTCAATCTCCTTACTCTTTATTGGTTTGTCCAGATTTTCTATTTCTTCATGATTCAGTGGTGGTAGGTTATATGTTTCTAGGATCTTATCAACCTGTTTCTTCTAGGTATTCAATTTGTTGGCATATAATTGCTCATAGTAGTCTCTTATTGTACTTCTGTAGTAACAGTTGTATTGTTTCTTCTTTCATTTATAATTTTATTTATTTGAGTCTTCTCTCTTTTATTTTTTACTTAGGCTTCTTAACAGTTTGTCAATTTAGTTTCTCCAAAAACCAAGTCTTAGCTTCATTGATCTTTTCTATTATTTTTCTCATCTCTATTTCATTTATCTCTGCTCTGATCTTCAATATTTCCTTCTTCTGCCAAATTTGGGCTGAGTTTATTCTCTTTTTTTTCTAGTTTCTTGAGATGTAAAGTTACGATGTTTATTTAAGATCCTTTTTTTAAATGGAGATGTTTAGCACTATAAAATTCTTTGTTAGAAATTTCAAAACCCAAAGTAGCCTAGACAAATTCAGTGCAATCCCTATCAAGGTCCCAGTGGCATTTTTCACAGAAATAGAAAAATAAAATCTAAAATTCCCATGGAAGCACAAAACACCCCCAAATAGCTGCACAAAAAGAACAAAGCTGGAGGTATAGCAATACCTGATTTATTTTAAAAAATTACAAGCTACAGTCTTCAAAACAGTATGGTGGTGGCATAAACACGGACACATAGACCAATAGAACAGAATAGAGAGCCCAGAAATAAGCCCATGCATTTATGGTCAATTGTCCTTTGACAAAGGTGCCAAGAGCATCCAATGGGGAAAGGACAGTTTCTTCAATAAAGGTATTGGAAAAAGTGGATATCCACATGCAAAAGAATAAATGGACCCTCATCTCACACCATATACAAAAATCAACTCAAAACACATAAATGTAAGACCTGAAACTGTAAAACCACTAGAAGATAATATGGGAGAAAGCTTGATGTTAATCTGGACAATGGTTTTTCAGATATGACCCCAAATGCATAGACGGCAAAAGCAAAAATTTTAAAAATGGAATCATTTCAAATTTAGAAACTGAAGCAAAGGAAACAATCAACATTATAGCAGCATTTTCATAACAGCCAAACAATGGAAACAACCCAAATGTCCATCAGCTGAAGAATGGATACATGAGGCCGGGCTCGGTGGCTCACGCCTGTAATCCCAGCACTTTGGAAGGCCAAGGCGGGCGGATCTTGAGGTCAGGAGATAGAGACCATCCTGGCTAACACGGTGAAACCCCGTCTCTACTAAAAATACAAAAAATTAGCCGGGCGTAGTGGCGGGCGCCTGTAGTCCCAGCTACACGGGAGGCTGAGGCAGGAGAATGGCGTGAACCCGGGAGGCGGAGCTTGCAGTGAACAAAGATGCCCAGCCTGGGCGACAAAGCGAGACTCCGTCTCAAAAAAAAAAAAAAAAAAAAAAAAGAATGGATAAATGAAATGTGATGTATCTACACAATGGAATATCATTCAACAATAAAAATAAATTAATGGCTAAAAAAATTTGAGTTAAAAAAATAAATAGATGAAGTGCTGATACATCCTGCAATATGGATGAACCTTTAAGAGCGTTATACTAAGTGAAAGAAGCCAGAAACAAAAGGTTACATATTATTTTATTCCATTTATATGAAACATCCAGAAAAAGGATATTTATAGAGTTAGAAAGTAGTTTGGTGGTTGCCTACAGCTGGGGATGCTTGTGCTAAAAAAAAAAAAAGACTGACTAGATAAAAGATTTTTTTGGGGGGGAGTTATGAAATTATTCTCAAGTTGATTATGGTGGTGGTTGCACAATTTTGAATATACTAAAAAACAGAGTGTACACTTTAAATGACCACATTGTATGATATGTGAATTACATCTTAATAAGGCTCCTATAAAATTTGCAATTAAATAGAAAATATACAAAGAATAAAGAAAAGTCAAAAAATCTAAGCTGCTTTTAACAAATGATTGATAAAATAATAAACTGCCAGCTTAAACCAATGAAAAAAGAGAGAAGACAGATTTCAGGTATAGAAAAGGAAGAGAAGCATCACCGTAAATATTACAGATATTAAAAGTATAGGTATAATAAAGGAATATTTTAAACATTTATTCCAATAATTTTGACAACTTAGATGAAATAGATCAATCCCTTGACAGTCAAAAATTACACAACCAAACCGGTAAAAGAAGAAATATTTTTGTAAAAATCTAAATAGCTCTGTATTAATTACATAAATTTAAACGGTAAAATAAAATCTTCCCACAAAAAGCACTCTAGCTCCAGATGGATTTACTGTTGAATTTTAGCCAAATTTGAGGAAAACATAATAGTTCCCTTACCAGAAAGTTTCAGAAAATAGAACCAGTACTTCCCAGCTCATTTTATAAGTCCAGCACTACCTTGATGCTGAGAGTCAAACTATTATAAGAAAAGAGAATTGAAGATCAGTATCTCTTCTGAACCTAGATGAAAAAGTTTCTAATAAAATTATCAAATTTGAATTAGAACCATATAAAAAGGATAATGCATTATGACCAAGCGGAATTCATCCCAGAAACAAAAGGTTGGTTTAAACTTTGAAAACCAATCAATGTAATTCACCATGTTAACAAACTAAAAAAAAAAAAAAGACAAAACTCCATATGTTCCTATAAATAGATTTAGAAAAATCATTTGATAAAATTTTAACACCTATTCATGAAAAAAAAAACTCTCAGCAAATTAGGATAGAAACAAACTTCCTCAAAATTTTTCTCTCTGAAAACCATCCAAGAAGATGCAAATAAATTGAGAAATACACCATTTCATGGATTAGAAAAATCAATATTGTTAAGGTGTCAGTTGGATATAAATCTAATCTCCAGCAATATTTTTTGTAGAAATTCACAAGCTGATTCTACAACTTATATAGAAATACATGTTAGGTGACCTAACATAACTGGAATAAAGTTTTAAAAGGAGAACAAAGTTGGAGTGCTTATATTATGTGATTTTAAGACTTACCATAAGTCACAATAATCAGATCAGTGGAACAAAGTAGAGAGTTAAAAAATAGAACAATACATTTACATTTAATTTATTTTAATCAAGGTTCCAAAGATAGAGAAATAGTCTTCTCAACAAATGATGCTGGGACAATTGAATATTTGTTCAATAAATAGAAAAACTATACTTTGATCATTACACCATGCTAAAATTTTACTTGAAATGTATCTTATACCTAAAAGTAAATATTACAACTTATATACCTTTTAGAAGAAATATAATAGAGGAAAACACAGAAGAAAATTTTTGTAACTATGGGGAAGGAAAAGATACCTTAGAACACAGAAAACACTAATTGTGCATGAAATTTTTTAATGGACTTTATGAAAATTACAAAATTCTGCTCATTGAAAGATACAGCTAAGAAAGTGAAAAGTGGCCCAGGCTCGGTGGCTCATGCCTGTAATCCCAGCACTTTGGGAGGCTGAGGTGGGCAGATAATCTGAGGCCAGGAGTTTAAGACCAGCCTGGTCCAACATGGTGAAACCCTGTCTCTACTAAAAATACAAAAATGAGCCGGGCATGGTGGCGGGTGCCTGTAATCCCAGCTACTCAGGAGACTGAGGCAGGAGAATCTCTTGAACCTGGGAGTGGGAGGTTGCAGTGAGATGGGATTGCGCCACTGCACTCCAGAGCCAGACTCCATCTCAAAAAGAAAGAAAGAAAGAAAGAAAGTGAAAAGTAAATCCACAAATGGAAGAAAATGTTTGTAACATGTATATATTGACAAAGGACTTGAAACGAGATTACAGAAAGTATTCTTACAACTCAATAAGAAGAAAACCTAATTTTTTATTTTATTTTTTGTGCTGAATGTGTTGAATTTTATTTTGAAAAATTTGAAATCTTATTCAAAATTTGAAAAATTTTGAAAAAGAATAGTACAGTGAACATCCGAAAACCCTTTACCTTCATGGACCAGTTTTTTACGTTTTGTTAAATTTGCTTTTGTCTTTGCTACAGTAAAGGCTGTTAATGTTTTGGGTTTTTTATTTTTTCACACAATTTTTTTTTATTATACTTTAAGTTCTGGGATACATGTGCGGGATGTGCAGGTTTGTTACATAGGTATACATGTGCCATGATGGTTTGCTGCACCCATCAACCCGTCAGCTACATTAGGTATTTCTCCTAATGCTATCCCTCCCCCAGCCCCCTACCCACCCCCAAGAGGCTCTGGTGTATGATGTTTCCCTCCCTGCGTCCATGTGCTCTCATTGTTCAACTCCCACTTATGAGTCAGAACATGCAGTGTTTGGTTTTCTGTTCCTGTGTTAGTTTGCTAAGAATGATGGTTTCCAGCTTTATCCATGTGGCTGCAAAGGACATTAACTCATCCTTTTTTATGGCTGCATAGTATTCCATGGTGTGTATGTGCCAAATTTTCTTTATCCAGTCTATATGATGGGCATTTGGGTTGGTTCCAAGTCTTTGCTATTGTGAACAGTGCTGCAATAAACATATGTGTGCATGTGTCTTTATAGTAGAATGATTTATAATCCTCTGAGTATATATCCAGTAATGGGATTGCTGGGTCAAATGGTATTTCTGGTTCTAGATCCTTGAGGAATTGACACACTGTCTTTCACAATGGTTGAACCAATTTACACTCCCACCAACAGTGTAAAAGTGTTCCTATTTCTCCACTTCCTCTTCAGCATCTGTTGTTTCCCCACTTTTTAATGATCACCAGTCTAACTGGCATGAGATGATATCTCATTGTGGTTTTGATTTGCATTTCTCTAATGACCAGTAATGATGAGCATTTTTTCATCTCTTTGTTGGCCACATAAATGTCTTGTCTGGGGAAGTGTCTGTTCATATCCTTCACCCACTTTTTGATGGGATTGTTTTTTTCTTGTAAATTTGTTTAGGTTTCTTGTAGATTCTGGATATTAGTCCTTTATCAGATGGATAGATTGCAAAAATGTTCTCCCATTCTGTAGGTTGCCTGTTCACTCTGATGATAGTTTCTTTTCCTGTGCAGAAGCCCTTTAGTTTGATTACATCTCATTTGTCAATTTTGGCTTTTGTTGCCATTGCTTTTGACGTTTTAGTCATGAAGTGTTTGCCCACGCCTATGTCCTGAATGGTATTGCCTAGGTTTTCTTCTCAGGCTTTTATAATTTTAGGTCTTACATTTAAGCCTTTAATCCATCTTGAGTTAATTTTTGTATAAGGTGTAAGGAAGGGATCCAGTTTCAGTTTTCTGCATATGGCTAGCTAGTTTTCCCAACACCATTTATTAAATAGGGAATCCTTTCCATTGCTTGTGTGTGTCAGGTTTGTCAAAGATCATATGGTTGCAGATGTGTGGCATTATATCTGAGGCCTCTGTTCTGTTCCACTGGTCTATACAACTGTCTGGGTACCAGTACCATGCTGTTTTGGATACTGTAGCCTTGTAGTACAGTTTGGAGTCAGGTAGCATGATGTCTCCAGCTTTGTTCTTTTTGCTTAAGATTATCTTGACTATGCGGGCTCTTTTTTGGTGCCATATGAAATTTAAAGTAGTTTTTTCTAATCCAGTGAAGAAAGTCAGTGGTAGCTTGATGGGGATAGCATTGAATCTATGAATTACTTTGGGCAGTATGGCCATTTTTACGATATTGATTCTTCTTATCCATGAGCATGGAATTTTTTCCATTTGTTTGTATCCTCTCTTATATCCTTGAGCAGTGGTTTGTAGTTCTCCTTGAAGAGGTCCTTCACATCCCTTGTAAGTTGGATTCCTAGGTATTTTATTCTCTTTGTAGCAATTGTGAAGGGGAGTTCACTCATGATTTGGCTCTCTGTTTGCCTATTATTGGTGTATAGGAATGCTTGTGATTTTTGCACATTGATTTTGTATCCTGAGACTTTGCTGAAGTTGCTTATCAGCTTAAGGAGATTTTGGGCTGAGACGATGGGGTTTTCTAAATATACAATCATGTCATCTGCAAACAGAGACAATTTGACTTCCTCTCTTTCTATTTAAATACCCTTTATTTCTTTCTCTTGTCTGATTGACCTCGCCAGAACTTACAATATTATATTGAATAGGAATGGTGAGAGGGGGCATCCTTGTCTTGTGCTGGTTTTCAAAGGGAATGCTTCCAGCTTTTTCCCATTCAGTATGATATTGGCTGTGGGTTTGTCATAAACAGCTCTTATTATTTTAAGATACATTCCATCAATTCCTAGTTTATTGAGAGTTTTTAGCATGAAGGGGTGTTGAATGTTATCAAAGGCCTTTTCTTCATGTATTGAGATAATCATGTAGTTTTTGTCATTGGTTCTGTTTATTTGATGGATTATGTTTATTGATTTGTGTACGTTGAACCAGCCTTGCATCCCAGGGACGAAGCCGACTTGATTTTGGTGTATAAGCTTTTTGATGTGCTGCTGGATTTGGTTTGCCGGTATTTTATTGAGGATTTTCACATCAATGTTCATCGGGGATATTGGACTGCAATTTTCTTTTTTTGTTGTGTCTCTGCCAGGTTTTGGTATCAGGATGATGCTGCCCTCATCAAATAAGTTAGGGAGGAGTCCCTCTTTTTCTATTCTTTGGAATAGTTTCAGAAGGAATGGTACCAGCTCCTCTTTGTACCTCTGGTAGAATTTGGCTGTGAATCTGTCTGGTCCTGGGCTTTTTTTTGGTTGGTAGGCTATTAATTACTGCCTCAATTTCAGAACTTGTTATTGATCTATTTAGGGATTCAACTTCTTCCTGGTTTAGTCTTGGGAGGGTGTATGTTTCCAGGAATTTATCCATTTCTTCTAGATTTTCTAGTTTATTTTCATAGAGGTGTTTATAGTATTCTCTGAATGGTTTTTTATTTTTTCAGTCATTCTTTCTTTTTTTAATTTTATTTTTAAGTTCCGGGGTACATGCGCAGGATGAGCAGGTTTGTGTGTCATGGTGGTTTGCTGCACCTATCAACCCATCACCTAAGTATTAAACCCAGCATGTATTAACTATTTTTCCTGATGCTGTCCCTCCCCCTTTCCCCCCACCCCCAGACAGGCCCCAGTTGTGTGTTGTTTCCCTCTCTGTGTCCACATGTTCTCATTGTTCAGCTCCCACTATGAGTGAGAACATGTGGTATTTGGCCATCTGTTCTTGCGTTAGGAAAACCCAGTTTTTAATAAGGGAGAAGGATTTGAATAGACACTTTACAAAAGGAGATAAAAGAATAGCTAGTTATGCCTGAAAAAATGTTCAACATCATTAGTCATCAGGAAAATGCAAATTAAAACCATAATGATATACCACTATATACCCACCAGAATAGCTAAAATAAAAAAGATGAAAAATTCCAGCTATTCCTGAACATCTGGAGCAATTTCAACGTTTATATATTGTTGGTAGGAGTATAAAACGGTATGGCCACTTTTGAAACCTATTTGGTTGTTTCTTACGAAATTGAACATATACCTACCATATGACCCAGTAGTTCCACTCATATTTAAGAAAAATGAAAGCAAATGTCCACAAAAAGGTTAGTACATGTTCACAGAAGTTTTATTTATAATAGCTGAAAGCTGGAAATAACACAAATGTCTGTCAACAGGTGAATGGATAAATATGTTTGGTATATACATACAATGAAATATTTCTCAGCAATAAAGAACAAATGACTGATTGAAACATACAACAACATAGATGAATTTCAAAAACATTACTCTAAACAAAAGAAGCCAGACATAAAATATATGCATTACACTATATATGACCCATTTATATGAAATTATAGAGCAGGAAGAAGTATAGTAACAGGAAGAAAATCTATTGTTGCCTTGGGCTGAGGGCAAGTATCACTGCAAAGTGCACAAGTGAACTTCTCGGGGTGATGGAAATGTTCTGCATCTTGATTTCATGGTTCACGTGGACATAACCTTTTGCCATACTCTGAACTACACAGTCAGTTCTACTATAACATTTGTTTTTGAGAATGCAAATTTGTTACAACATGATAGGTAACAATTTTAACATAGCCTGAATTTTAATCTTGTTTATGTGTGATTTTGTCCACTAAAAACACTAGATGAATGCAGAAAATTGCACTCACCTGAACCAAGCCATAAATACATACCCTGCCATTCTTTGTGCTGCTGTTGTCATACATTTTAATTCAAACTCTTATAAACCCCACCATACACTGTTAGTACATTTGCTCTTCAAAGGTTTTTTTTTTTAAGAAATGGTAAAAATGAGAAAAACACATTTTGTGTTTTCCCACATATTACCATTTCTGGCACTCTTCATTCATGTGCATAGAAATGAGTTTGTACCTGGTATCATTTTGCTTCTTCTAGAATAACTTTAACATTTCTTGTACTTCAGGTCTGCTTAAAACATATACTCCTTGTTTTTGTTTGTCCAAAAGGCTTTATTTTGCTCTCATTTTTAAAGGATACTTTCACTCAACAAAGAATCCTAAATTAACTTTTTTAAAAGCATGTTAAAGTTTTTGTCCTATTGCTTTCTTTAGGCTTAGGCTTGCATTATTTCTAACACAAAGTTCTTGCGTTGTGGCTTGCATTATTTCTAACACAAAATCAGTAGCAATTCTTATGTTGGTACCCTTGTATTTAATGTTTGTTTTCTCTGGCTGATTTTTTTTTTTTTTTTTTTTTTTAAGACGGAGTCTCGCTCTGTCACCCAGGTTGGAGTGCAGTGGTGCCATCTCGGCTCACTGCAAGCTCTCTGCCTCCCGGGTTCATGCCATTCTCCTGCCTCAGCCTCCCGAGTAGCTGGGACTACAGGCTCCAGCCACCACGCCAGCCTAATTTTTTGTATTTTTGGTAGAGACAGGATTTCACCGTGTTAGCCAGGGTGGTCTTGAACTCCTGACCTCATGATCCGCCCACCTCGGCCTCTCAAAGTGCGGGGATTACAGGTGCGAGCCCCCGCAGCCAGCCTTCTCTGGCTGCTTTTAAGAATTTCACTTTGTCACTGGTTCTCAATGATTTCAATATGATGTGCCTTAGAGTGCATTTCCTTTCAGTTATTCTGCTTGGAGTTTGTTGAGTTTCTTTGATTTAGGAATCAGTTTTCATCTTGTTTGGAAAATATAAGTAATTATTCCTTCAAATACATATTCCAGCTCCTCTCTTCTGACCTTTTCAGGAACTCCAATTACACATATGTTAGATCACTTGGAATGCTCCTCAGGTTACTGAGGATCTGTTCTTATTATTATTATTTTCTTTCTGTAACTCAGTTTGGATAGTTTCTATTACAATATCTACAAGTTCGCTGTTCTTTTCATCTGCCATACCTAATCAGTTGATAATTTTATCAGGTGAATTTTCATTCAGATATGACATCTTTCAGCTCTAGAAGTTTCCTTGTTTGTTTTTAATACCATCGATTTCTGTCCTCATTATGCTCATGTTTTCCTTTAAATATTTGGACACATTTATAATTGTTCTGATGCATCTATTTCATTCATCTCTGTAATTTGAGTCAGTTTCTGCTGACGGATTTTCTTCTTTGCATTTTCCTGCTTCTTCTCATGTCTTACTTTTATTGGATGCCATACACTATAAATACCATGTTCTTAAGATTTTTGAATTTTGTTTTCTTCACTTAGATTGGTGAATTTGGCTAGCAGGTAAGTTTTTTGCCAATCATCTTGATCCTTTTGGGGTTGTTTTTGAACTTCGTTAGTAGTAGTCTATGGTGTTTTACTCTACAGCTTGTTAAGCTTATTTTAAGGCACAACCCTGGGATACATACTGAATTCCCAGGATTTTCAGTGAGGTCCTGTCACTCTGGCGATTGAAACTCAAATGTCTCTTAGCCACATTTAAGCTGTAGGAATTGTTCAACTTATAGTCCTCTAGTACTTGCCATTTGTCTGGCCTTGTGGCATTTCACTGTATGCATGTGCACCTTAGTATACAGCAAAAGACTCGATGAAACCCCTCTGCAGATTCCTAGAGCTTCTCTGAATGGCTCCTACAACCCTGGAGCTGTGCCCTGCAAACTGAAGCTGCCACAGCTTTCCCAAAGTCTGGTCTCAGTCTCTTTCACAGAGAGACTGCCATGCTTTCCTTGGTTTCTCATTCCTGTGCTGTTCTGGAAAGTGACTCCAGGCAGAATACTAGGGATTTTGTGGAACTCACCTCATTTGTTTCCATTCATTGAGACTGCACTCCTGCACTGCATGTTTTCCAATATTAAAAAATAGTTGTTTCATATATATTGTCCAGTTTTCTAGTTGTTTACCAGTAAAGGACAAGTTTGGTATAAGTTACTCCATTACAGACAGAAGTAGAAGCCAGAATATTTTTAAAAATCGAATTTGAGCTTATTATGTGTTGAGGCTCACATAATTGCCATAGTATTTATGATACTACATTCATTTAATTAGTATAAAGCTATTTCATTTACATTACCTGATTTAGTCCTTAAAATACAGTGAGCCACAGGTGACCATTCTTATGATCATTTTATAGTAAAAAAGATTGAGGCTTACAGAGGCAAGTGAATGCCTTACACATCTTGTAAGGCTTGGAGTTAGGAGTATGACATTCAGCATAAACTACTAATGCTAAAGCTTATTTCCTGACTTCCTTTTCCTTAGATCTCTGGTTTCATCCACTACTGCCAAACTCTTATCTATCTATCCATCCTTCCTTCCTTTCTGTTTCTGCCTCATGTTTTAATTATCTTTTACCTTAGATTTTAATTATCACCTTTGTTTTCTCAGCATGGCCAAACATTTTTAAAGACATAACTCTTTCTTTAACTTTCTTCTTTGAAAACCCCTATCTTTAATTCATTGCCATATTTTTTAAATTTGAATTTCAAGCAACATGCTATTATCAATCTATATCATACCATAATCAACACATCCAACACATTCCAGAACCTTACAGACCTTTAAAGCTACATACTCTCCAGCGAGCCCCTAAATTGTCAGAATTCATGCTTTTTTTTTGAAACGGAGTCTCGCCCTGTTGCCCAGGCTGGAGCGTAATGGTGCGATCTTGGCTCACTACAACCTCCACCTTCTGTGTTCAAACGATTCTCTTGCCTCAGCCTCCAGAGTAGCTGGGATTACAGGTGTCTGCCACCAGGCCCAGCTATTTTTTGTATTTTTAGTAAAGACGGGGTTTCACCATGTTGGCCAGGCTGGTCTCGAACTCCTGACCTCAAATGATCCGCCCGCCTTGGCCTCCCAAAGTGCAGGGATTACAGGCGTGAGCCACTGCGCCTGGCCTATTCATGCTTAATCCATTTGTATCATCTTTCCTCCTCTGTCACCCACTTCCCCTAAATTACTTTGACCTATGAAGCTATAGCAATCTTCTCAGAATTTTCCCTAGTCCAAATGAAAATAAAAGATTAAAAAATTAAAATATAAAGGAAGAAGAAAATTTTAAAACTAAACAGAATTAAACTTAAACTACAAGTAAACCAGCTCCTCAGTTAGTATGACAACATAATAGATTTAAATTATAGCTTTTTTTTTTTTTCTTGAGATGGAGTTTTGCTCTTATTGTCCAGGCTGGAGTACAATGGTGAGATCTCGGCTCTGCCTCCCAGGTTCAAGCAATTCTCTTGCCTCCCAGGTTCAAGCAGTTCTCTTGCCTCTTGCCTCAGCCTCCCAAGTAGCTGGGATTACAGGCATGTGCCACCATGCCTGGCTAATTTTGTATTTTTAGTAGAGATGGGGTTTCTCCATGTTGGTCAGGCTGGTCTTAAACTTCCAACCTCAGGTGATCCACCCACCTCGGCCTCCTAAATTTCAATCAGTCTCCTACAGGGACAACCAACAATAATACTTGGGAA
Organism: Homo sapiens; assembly: GCF_000001405.40. Lineage (NCBI taxonomy): Eukaryota > Metazoa > Chordata > Mammalia > Primates > Hominidae > Homo > Homo sapiens. The sequence continues at coordinate 77,966,394 of NC_000004.12, read as the reverse complement.
GATTGTAAGATTCAGCAAATTACCTTGTACCTTGAGGTACAGGAGGCAAAAGTGTTTGAATCTTCCATGACACTTCTAACCAACAGTGTGATTGTGTGGAGCAGTATAGTGAGGAAAAAAACAACCCTGAGACCTCATAGAAATCAGTGGGAAAGTCTTCTGTGATTCACATCATCTGTCATGTGCCTGATGGGGATGGGGAATGGTAAGAATCTGTGCCATAAATTTGCAGACTCTATTCTAGGTAAGAGCAGTAATATTTAAATTGCATAATGTATCAGAAATAACATCTTAAAACCTTATAGACTTGACTTTACCAAATACTGGGATTTAAATATAAAGAGGAGGTAGGGTTCAAATCAGCTGGGTATCCTAACCAACCTGACAGGATTCTTCATTACACTGCATAATACAAACAGAATTAACCCCTCTCCCAGGAAGGCAGTAACTTGTTGGGAGTCAGAAAATAACAGATTTCTTCCATCTCTAAGTCTTTTTATTTTTAAGAAGTTATTTTATGAATCCCATAAAACTCTAGATCACCATACTACAACTTTAATCAATGTAGAGTGATATTCTAACTTCTGTCTCCTCCACTCACAGGATTTTTAAATCCCTCAAAAATTACTGGACAATGTCACATTTAGCAAAATGATTAAAGTGAAAAAATAATGAACCAAGTATTGGCAAGAATATGGAGAAGTTGGAAATCTTCCACACTTTTGGGAATGTATATTGGTACAACTACTTAGGAAAAGTGTTGAGCATTGTAATGGAGCATGTTACTATCCAGCAAGTTCACGCTTAGGTATATATACAACAGGAATGTTTATGTATATATCTTGTGCACTTCTGTTGGTGAATATATATATATGTTCACCAAACTATATATATACTCATTTTCCTCATGTATATATGTTCATCTTATCTATACATATGTTCATCGCCCTCATATATATATATATATGTTCACCAAACGTGGACAAGATATAAATATGTGCGTATAAACTTGGTACAAAAGTAATTGCTGTTTTTAATGGCAAAAACAGCAATTACTTTTGTACCAACCTCATACATACATACAAATACATATATTTGTGTACACACACTAATGTGTATATATAAGCATTTCTGTTGTATATATACCTATGAATACATATATATTCTTTTCACCAGAAGTGGACAAGAATGTTAATAAGTAGCATCATTGTAATAGCCCTAAAACTTCACAAGAAGAAATATACAAAAATGTTCATATCAACGTTATTTGTAATACCCCAAACTGTAAAAATCCACATGTCCACCAACAGTAGAATGGATATTTGTGATACATTTAAGCAATGGAATATTATACAACAATGAGAACGAACAAACTACAACTACACACTGGATGAATGTCATAAATATAATGTTGAATGACTGAACCCAGACCTCCCCCAAATCACATATGATAATTATTCAATTTAAGGTAATTTTCAAAATCAGGCAAAACAAATATATAGCCTTGGAAGTGGTAATAGTGATTACCTTGAATGAGAGTGGTTTCTAAGGGGTTTCTAGGGTGCTGAAATTATCCTGTTTCTTGATCTGTGTGCTAGGTACATGTTTATTTTGGGAAAATTCATCAAGCTATACCACCATACTGTACCAAGCAAGGTTAGTGCCTACTGAAATTACCACCAGGACAGGGCTATCTAAAGACACATTTGGTAGTGTGTTAACTATATAAAAAAAGACACTGTACAGTTTAAAAACAAATCTTACACAAACTTACATTTCAATTTTTTTGTTTGAAAGGAGTGAATTGTGTACAGGGAGGTTAAATTCTTTATAGACAAGAAAAAAATGTGCTAACATTAACTTATTCATCAACATCTTCTTCATCATCTTCTTGTCCTCTTCTTTCTTCTCTTTCTTGCTTTTTTCAGCCTTGACAACTCCCTTTTTGCTGCATCTGGCTTTCCTTTAGCTCAGTATGCAGCAGTATCTTTTTCACATTTTTCCTTGAGCTTCGCAGCGTTCTTTGTATAAGGCTGCTAGTCATCTGCAGCAGTGCCATTCCACATCTCTCCCAGCATCTTTGCAACATCACCAATGTTTAGGCCAGGATGTTCTTTGATTTTTGGGTGATACTCAGAACAGAACAAGAAAAAAGGCTGAAGAAGGCCTCTTGAGTGTATTGGGATCCTTGAACTTCTTTTTTGTCTCCCCTTTAGGAGGGATATAAGTTTTCATTTCTCTTTCATAATGGGCTTTACCTACCTTTGTCATGTCTTCCAATTTTCCTTTTGCTTTAGCAGAAGTAGTCTTTCACCTCTCAGCACTTCTCAGAAAACTCTGAGGAGCTGACTGAGGCATCTGGGTGCTCCTTCTTGTGCTCCTCCTGACAAGATGGCACAAAGAACACATATGATGACATTTTGCCTCTTGGTTTCTTAGGATCTACTTTACCCATGTTTAGTTATCTTTCTTCAACAAGGCACAGAGTTGCCCAGTGCCCATCTGGCTCTCACTTGCCCCAGCACTCTCTCTATGGAGCTCAGTGTACTGCAATCAATTGAATATTTTTACCATAGAAATCTGTTCATGTGTAATTACATATGTTTGTATTTATGTTTAATAAAATGAAATTGGCATCTCTCCCCTCTAAAAAACCAATTAGTAATTTTTTTTGCATCCAAAGAATATTTGCTATGTATGTAAAAACACTTGGAGGGTGATGAAGTTAGTATTATGAATTCAATACAATGTAGTTAGTGATTTCATAGAACTGTAGGAGAAGACATTTAATAAAAATTCAAGTAATTAATGGGTCTAAGTTTTGTTGCCTCCTCCTATCACTGCTACTAATTCCTCCCAAATAGTCATCAAAGGTAGTGACCTAGTATAGTGGCATCTGTTGGTTTTGCCTGCCCAACACCCAGTAGCCCCTTTTTTTGGTAAAGTCACTTCAATATTTCTTTGGGGAATTTCTTCTACCCTACCACATGCACTTTGGTGAGATTATCAATTCTGCCTTCTTCTGACCAAGAAGTGGGCATGTAAACCAAACTAGGCCAAGCAGATTCTCTCCCCTTAGAATTTAAATCTTGAGTGACACAAGGTCAGAAAACAGAAATAATTCACCTTGACAGTAGCTCTCTGAGGAGGCTGTTCATTGGTTTCTGTGACATAGATCTCTTACGCTGCCCTGCTGCTTCCTGTCCTTTTCAAGTTACAGTTGTGTGGCTTTTCCTTTGATTCTGTGACCCACTCTATATCCTTAAAATACATGACTCTCATTAAGTCAGTCAATTTCTGTTGACTGTAGTTGACGAACACTGATACAGCTGGATATAAATACACTCAATAAAAAGGTCACTATTATGCAAGAGAGTCCATAGCATTTAAGTTTTGCCTTACTTTGTGCCAGAATTTGCTTCTTTATAAAGTCTATGTTAGTCCTGCCTAGCTCTACTTCCAGAGCTTCATAGTGTACATATATTCTATCCTTTAAATGGCACATGTTTGAAAACTACTATCATTTTTCCCCATATGCTTTCTCAGCAAAATAACTCATTTTCTCATTTAAAACATATATGACTACTACACACCCACTAAAATAGCTGAAAGAACAGACAGTTCCAAGCGTCAACAAGGATGTGGAGAATCTGGAACACTCATGCATTGCTGGAGGGAATGTAAATGGCATAGCCACTTTGGAAAATAGTTTGGCAATTTATATAATTTATAAACGTACTTAATATTTTCAATGGGTTTTAAAAATAAATGTAATTACCTATTGTAATGTCATCTTAGGAAACAATTTCATGAAATCATGGCCTTTATGTTAGTTATCTTATCCTACAATGCATTAAAGATATACTTAATTATTAATTTAAAATGTGATTTACTTATAATCTAAATTAATTCCTTGTACCACGAATGGTACAACTCCTCAGAGTTTTCTGAATACATATATTGATTGCCCTTTGGGAAACACCAGGTTTTTGTCTTTAAATTAAAATTTTGAATAAAATAATTTTCATTAAAGCAATAACCAACTTTGAAAGCAGTATTATAAAGTTTTACAAGCCAACCCATCAGAGAAATGCAAATCAAAACCACAACAAGATACCATCTCACACCAGTTAGAATGACAATCATTAAAAAGTCAGGAAACAACAGGTGCTGGAGAAAATAGGAACACTTTTACACTGTCGGTGGGACTGTAAACTACTTCAACCATTGTGGAAGACAGTGTGGCGATTCCTCAAGGATCTAGAACTAGAAATACCATTTGACCCAGCCATCCCATTACTGGGTATATACCCAAAGGATTATAAATCATGCTGCTATAAAGACACATGCACACATATATTTATTGCGGCACTATTCACAATAGCAAAGACTTGGAACCAACCCAAATGTCCATCAGTGGTAGACTGGATTAAGAAAATGTGGCACATATACACCATGGAATACTATGCAGCCATAAAAAATGATGAGTTCATGTCCTTTGTAGGGACATGTATGAAGTTGGAAACCATCATTCTCAGCAAACTATCTCAAGGACAGAAAACCAAACACCACATGTTCTCACTCATAGGTGGGAACTGAACAATGAGAACACTTGGACACAGGTTGGGGAACATCACACACTGGGGCCTGTTGTGGGGTGGGGGGAGGGGGGAGGGATAGCATTAGGAGATATACCTAATGTAAATGACGAGTTAATGGGTGCAGCACACCGACATAGCACGTGTATACATATGTAACAACCTGCACGTTGTGCACATGTACTCTAAAACTAAAAGTATAATTAAAAAAAAAAAGTTTTACAGGCCAAGTACGGTGTCTTACATCTGCAATCCCAGTACTTTGGGAGGCCGAGGCAGGAGGATTACCTGAAGCCAGGAATTTTAGACCAGCCTGGACAACATAGCGAGACCCTACCTCTACAAAAAAAATTAATTAGCCAATCATGGTGGCATGCTCCCGTAGTCCCAGCTACTCAGGAGGCTGAGGTGGAATGATTGCTAGAGCCCAGGAGTTTGAGCTGCAGTAAGCTGTGATCGTACTACCACACTCCCGCCTAGGCAACAGAGCAAGACCCTATCCCCACCCAAAAAAAAAGAAGAAAGGAAAAAATAAAGTTTTAGGTAGCATATAATGAGATATAGAAAGTGTTAGGCCTTTTATTCATTTAGCAAATACTTCGAGTTTTTTTTTTTTTTTGGTTGGCTTTTTATCAATGGGAAGTGACTGAAGAGTCAGAGATGTGGAAAACCTCCAGAACCGGGATGTCTCCCTTCTACTCTATGTCCGACATAAACATGCAATTTCAGGGAAGAGGGAGACCTCCACATAGGAAGGAGAAAAAGGAAATATAACAAAATGTTAAGTGGTTGTTTTAGGAATTCTGGGTCATTGAGTTCTTTCTTTAAATTCTTAATTATGTTGATTTCTCTACTTGCCAAAATGTAATATGCTTCCATTTGTTTTAGATAAAAACCATACAGTAAAACTTTTTGTTCTTTTGGATACCTTGGATAAAAAGATATACAAATATACCTTCCATTGTTGATAAGAATACATTTCTAATTGTATATTTTTATTCAAAAATAAAAATTCAGCCAAGCCCCGGAGCTTGTGCCTGTAATTCCAGCACTTTGGGTGGCTGATGCGGGCAGATAGCTTGAGCCTAGGAATTCGAGACCAGCCTGGGCAACATAGTGAGACCCCCATCTCTACAAAAAATAAAACAGCCAAGCATGGTGAGCACCATGGCATGTACCTGTGGTCCCAGCTACTCAGAAGGCTGAGGTGAGAGGATCACTTGAGCCCAGGAGGCCAAGGCTGCAGGGAGCGTGATCGCACCACTGCACTCCAGCTGGTGCTGGATGACACAGCAAAACCTTGTCTCAAAAAAATAGTAACATTTTTAAAGTAAAAAACAAAAATTTAATTGAAGATATCAATTTTTATTTTAAAAATATTGATATTTACATGCAACCTTTTGTGACTAATTATGCTGCTGCCTCGTTTTGAGAACTACAGTTCTCAAAGCACTAGAAAAGGTGTTTGGCTCGTTATTATGTGAAAAATATAATCCAAACAAAACAAACAAAAACTAACGGTACTCAATGGCTAGAGTAAAACACAAAAACAATGGGTTCTGAAATAATGCACCTAAAATCTTCTTGTAATTATAGCTTGACAATTTTTAAAGCTCTATAGGTTCAGTAACATGATATGTGGGATTTGCTTGTAAGTTCTGCAGAAGGGATGACGACAAGCTGGGGGCTGGGTACATGGAAGGGACAGGTAAAATGGGAATAATAGCAGAACATTGATCATTGCTGAAGCTGAATGGGTATTCATTATTGTATTTTCTTCATATTTGAAAAATTCTATACTAAAAGTTTTAAAAAGAATTTTTACAAACCTCTAAATACGCATGATCACAGAAACAGAAAGCAACCTCTGTTATATTCCCAAAATAGAATGAAATAAACAAACAAAAAATTCACTCTGAAATAAAGCTCCAGGTGGCCTATAAAGTGTTTTGTGTTTTCTATTTGTACAGGCAAGTGAGAAAACAATTATTGACCAGTAAGTACGCAACTGTTTTTAAGTTGTATGAAAGGCTGTTATCGCCACCTACTGGACTCTGTTATTGACTACTTGCTGTAAAAAATTAAGATTTTTTTAAAACCAACAATCATTATTTAACAGGTCCCCCCATCCCATCTTAAGCATCTAGTTAACAAAACAGTATAAATAAAACCATCAAATTTATGTTCTTGTTTTTATATTAGTAATGCTAATTAATGTTATGTTACATCACTTCTTAGTGTGAAATGCCCCCTGCTAAAAAGGTATATATCATAAAATTTGGGTTTGAAAGTACATTGATGATCATCCTATGATGTTCTTGTTTTACAGAAGATCACAGAACTTGAATTGTTTTCCCATAGGGTAAGAACCCAGAATTTAAATTATTTACACATAGGGATAGTCCAGAAAGTTATAAACTAGTCCTGGCTCTTAAGTTCAGTGCATTATTTTTTTTTCATTTGTCTTTTAAAATCTAGACCTATATTGCAAATTTTATATCTTTTATAACTTGGCTAATTGCACACACCAGTGATTCTCCACTCTGGTGCATCAGAATGACTTGTGAAAGTTTTAAAATAAAGCTGGCACCAAAGCCAGAGATTTTTATATCCAGCCAGGGTTAAAAGAACTATTAGTAGATACCAGTGGTTCTCAAAGTGTGGTCCCTGGACAAGCATCACCATCATCATCATCATCATCATCATCATCATCATCATCATCATCATCTCGCCATCACCTGGTTAGAAATGCAAATGTTCACAGTCCACCCCAGAGTACTGGGTGGGGGGCTGTAATTTGTGTTTTGCAAGCCTCCAAGTAATTTGGATACAAGCTAAAGTTTGAGAATCACTATTATTTACTACAAAACCGGTAAATTTCTACTCTTTTACATACAAGAATTAATTTAACTGTAGTAGAGCCCTCTGGCTGTGCGTGTCTGAGGATCAGCCTCCGGGGGCTGGACAGTTTGCTGAGCCCCTTAGTGTCCCCTGGCGCTAAGACTCACACAGCGGTCACGTCCAGCTACCTGCGTCCTCCAAGGTGCCTCTGTTCATCAGGAATGGAGCCAGTAACAGCAGGTTCAAAGATTTATGGCATGAATTTGGTCATTATGATCCTATAGTTGATGTGTATGTTCCACTTGATTTCTACACTCACTGTCCAAGAGGAGTTGCTTATGTTCAATTGGAAGATGTTCGTGATGCTGAAGATGCTTTACATAATTTGGACAGAAAGTGGATTTGTGGATGTCAAATGGAAACAGTTTGCACAGGGGGATTGGAAGACCCCAAATCAGATGAAAGCAAAGGAAGGTAGGAGTGTGTACAGTTCTTCACGCTATGATTATGACAGATATAGATGTTCTAGAAGCCAAAGTTATGAAAGAAGATCAAGAAGTCGGTCTTTTGCTTACATCTATAGAAGATCTTGTAGTCCTAGAAAGAGTGGATGGACTGGAAGACCATGGTGTAGCAGAAGCCATTCCAGCAATGATAGAGTCAAACACTGAAATCAGTCTTTTTCAAGATCTAAATCCAATTCAAGATCAAGGTCCAAGTCCCAGCCCAAGAAAGAAATGAAGGCTAAATCGTGTTCTAGGTCTGCATCGCATGCCAAAACTAGAGGCACCTCTAAAACAGATTCCAAAACATATTACAAGTCTTGCTCAAGACATAAAAAGGAATCAAGGAAAAAAGAACCGCCTTGTTCCAAATCCCAGTCAAGGTCACAGTCTAGGCCTAGGTCAAAATCTAGATCAAGATCTTGGACTAGTCCTAAATCCAGTGGCTACTGATAGTATAAACCATGATCATTTTTAGGCACGTATCGTTCATTCGCTCATAGATTGGCTTAAATTATCAGGAATACAATGTTTAACAAACACTTGTTAGTTTTCCCTGTACCAGGCAATGGTTATATTAAAATGACATGCTGTTGAGAAGCCACTCTTGAGTCCAGTTTGTTTAGTGCTATGGGCAGCTACCAATTTGTTGTGTCTGTGTATATTTTTGTAAAGATTCTCGTTTTTATGCTTGAAGTATTTGGTGAAAAGATGTTGGTTAACCATAATTTGCAACATTGTCTTACTAAACTTTCATATTAATATTTGGTAGAACTGTTAACCTAGGAAGGAGTAAGATAGAGTGTTACAAAAGTGAAGTTGTGGCCACAGTACAACACTGACTGCTCAGACACATTTAGGTTCAGTGTGGACCTTTATGTCTTATCAAGATGTCTAGGCCCTTGATAATAGTTTATGATGCAATGTGGATTAGTTCTTTTGTTAACTCCACCGTCTTGGGGAATAATGCCAACTGAGTTATGTAGTATTTTCAAGGAGATTAAGTTTTTGACTGAAACATGGAGCCTTTGCTTTTTTTCTGATTTCTATAGACTTGGAACAAAAAAACATCAGAAAGACTCACCTTAAAATTTGAGGGGGTCAATGATGGCAGAAACAATTTTAAGGGGAAAAGAATGTTCTTATGTGGTTATTCTAAAATTTAAGAAGTACTGTTGACCATAACATTGCTTAGTTTTCTTACTGCCCTTAGAAACGAGTGAATTGTTTCAAAGTAGGCTATGTGTCGGGGGCGGGTGTATAGTGTAAAATAACTGAAATGTTGATGCTTACAGCACTTGGTCTATACATTCGTATCAAAATTTGCCTGCTTCTTTATGTGGGAGGCTTGCTTTTCGCACCTCAGTTTATTTAATGTGAGGCAAGTTCAAAAACAACACATTCATTCTAGGTGATTCTGTGGTGCCATGAAATTTAAAATGATTTTGGAAAAAAAGATTAGTCAGTTTTAAGCATGAGTCACATCTTTTGAATTTTTGACTACCAGTGTAGTACCTGACTAAAAATAAAGAAATAATACCCTTTACCATTTATAATTTCTAGTACTCCTCTGAAAGATTGTTTTGGGGACAAAAGTGACTTGACATGTCTAATCTCATATTGCATAAAAAGCTAGCACCTTTTAAAATCTCAGATTGCTTGCTTAAAGATATAAGTAAGAATTATGGAGAAGCAATTCCTTTAAGAGGATTACTTATTTCAGTTGTTTTTAGTAATCTAGGCTTTGTCTGTAGAGAACAAAACGATGGCAGTAAGCTGAGATAGCTCAATTGGGAGAGTATTAGACTGAGAACAAAACGATGATTTTTAAATACTACATGCTAAGTGCTTAAGGGGTTGATTGTAGGACCTTTGTATATTTGATAGTATTTCTTCCATTTCTTTAGTGTTTGCAGTTAATGTTCTGTTCTGCTACGCAATCATTTATATGCATGTTTTTTTATTTTTTAAAGATTTTCCTGGATGTATAAACAACAAAAAGTGTATTTAAAACTGTAGCAGTAGTTTGCAGTTCTAGCGGAGAGGAAAGTTGTAGGGCTAAACTTTCTACTTTTTTTCTTGTAGAAGCTTCTAAAAAGGCATTTTATAGTTCTCTTTAACAAATATTGTGTACAGCTTTTAAAACATCAATATTTGGATCAAAGCAAGACCCAGCTTATTTTCTGCTTGTTGTAAATTAAGCAAACAGAAATAAAAAACTTTATTTTATGAAGGAAAATTTTTCTTCATTTTGCTATAATAAAAACAAAATGAAGAAAAAAGATTTGATTTACTGTTCTCTAAGAAAAAAAGAGATTTAAATTTAGTAATATAGTGTGATTTTACTCTTTTTCCAGAAGCATACACTGAACAAAGCTCTAGTTAGCCAATAGGAAAAATGCTCTAATGGAAGAGTGGAGAGTAATTTATTCATAGGCCAGTTAATAAGACCCTGGAATGTTCCTGCCTAGAGCAAATTTTCCAACCATATTTCCTTATTCTGGCTTGTTCTGCTCAGTAAGTTACCTTTCTAAGACATAATAAGGTCTTTTAGTCACATCAGACCTTTTGACCCAGGAATGCCACTTCTAAAAATTAGAAAATAAATTACGCTCCAAGGATTTCTCCAAAGCACTGTAAATAATGGGGGGAAGGGGATCCTGGAGTTAGTTAAATGTACAACAATTGAGGAATGAGTCCATAAAATAGAACATCAACAGGATGGAATATTGTTCAACCATTAAAATGATGCTTTTCATATGGCATTTTAAATATAGGAAATGCTTACTTTATAACATGTACACACACAGATACATACACACTCACAACTGAAGACAACAAAGTACTAAAATATTAATGCTGGTTATCCTTGAGTAATAGATTATGAGTGATTTTAAAAATATTTAATCAGTATTTTTCAATAAATTTTTCAATAATGACTTATCCATTAATTAAAATAAAATCTACAAATAGCAGAGCTTCTACTTTGTGAACTGAGATCTTCAAATAATGATTAATCTGTAAGCTTTCAAAAAACAACTGTGGGAAATGGGTAGGTATCTTTTCCTCTCCATCCTACATTACTCTTTCCTCATCCCACTCTAACTCTTCTACTTCTACTTCCTTCACATCAGCCCTGCCGTAATTCATTAACTAGAAATACCAAGAAACTGAAGGTGATTATTCAATATTTTAAAATTTTAAAACTGTTCAATTAAATGGTTGATCTTAGAATATATATTTTAAAAAAGAGGTAAAATAGCCCAATGGTTAAAAGAGCCTAAGGGCTTTAAAATTAGATAGACCTGGGTTTAAATCTTTGCCACTTAGGAGACCTCCTGCAAGTTTCACTTTCCTTATCTGTGAAATGGGAGTACCACTCTGCTCAGTGAATTGCTGTGAGGATGAAATGAGAGGATGCATCTAAAGTATAAGATGGTAGTATGCATTTGTTAGTCTGTTTTGTGTTGTTATAGCAGAATACCTGAGAAGGTAATTTATGAAGCACAGAGATTAATTCCTTGCAGTCTGTAGGCTGGAAGACCATGGTGAGCAGCTGGCTTCTAGTGATAACCTTCTTGCTGTGGTCATCCCATTGCAGAAGGCAGAAGGGCAAGAGAGGGCAAGAGGAGGTAAGTCGGGGAGGAAGAGAGAGCAAGCAAGCATGCAAGGTGTGCCCAAGAGTTCCTTGCAGTCTTAAGCCCTTTTATTTTTTTACGATTTGTATAAATTTAAGAGGTACAAGTATAGTTGTGTTACACGGATACATCGCTTAGTGGTGGCCTGGGCCTTTTAATGTAACCATTACCCAAATAGTGTATACTGTACTTGTTAATTTCTCAACCCTCACCATCCTCCTCCCACCCTCCCTCTCTTCTGAGTCTCCGATGACTATACTAAGCATTAATCCATTCATGAGGGCAGAGCCCTCATGACTTGTACCTCCCATGAGGCCTCATCTCCCAACACTGTTGCATTGAGGATTAAGTTTCCAACACATACTTTTTGAGGGGCACATTCAAACCATAGCAGCACTCAGTAAAAGGTAACTGCTGTTATTGTTTTCTAGTAATGTTATTGCTGTTTTGGGTAAGCAACCCCTAAGTTTTAATTTTTCTGTGGGGGGATAAAAAAGCTTAGTGGGGTACTGTGGCTATTCAGTCATTTGGACTTCTCAGATCACTAACATTTCAAAAAGAATTTGGGAGACCTATATGGAGCTGTCAAAATTTCCTTTACAAAGTAGGTATTAATCAATTTTCCCTCAAATGTCTTGTACAGCTGATGTTTTCAAACTATGCATTTATCACTAACCCACACTAGAGTTAATTGTTATGTCTGAATTCTCTTTAATGGTTTCTCCTTCTGCTTGTTTCTATGAGGCTGGGAGGGTTGAACTGTATAACATCCCACATTCTGAACTGGCCTAATTATTCCCACTTGAGGTCAGTTGATTTGTCCCGCCATCTCCTATATCTTCTGTAAACTGAGATGTAGGTCTATAAGCTTGATTAGATTTAAGCAGAACAGCCTTGGGAAGAATAAATACTTCATTGGTAGTGATGAACTTCATCTTGAAACATGTCTATTCCTTGGCCAAGTTGAGTGTGCAGATTCTGTGTGCTCTAGGCAGATTTATGGTTCCCAAATAGATCAATGCAAAATGAATCAAAATAATTCGTGTTATTAGAAATCCAATTGTTTTAAAATCATACATTTTGGATTGTGAGAATTGTGTTACCCAGCTCTTCTTCAAAAAAGATTTTACCTTGAAAAGCTAGAGCTGGCAAGTCAACACCAAAACTAAAATAAAATGAGGTGCATTAATGAAACAAAACAAAAAACAAAGTAGGTATTTAAACCCCACCAACAAAGTCACCATCACTATTATTTCATAAAAGAAAACTCATTCGAATAATCCCTAAAAAAGTGGAAGATACTTCAAGTAATCATTCCCAAGAAAGGACAGCTGGCAACTGCATGCCAAAAATTATCCTTATTTTTTTCACTTTGTCATATATCAGTAAGCACTTAAGGATTAACATCGGTCTGCAAACTGGTACTTGATGCAAGGTGCTTTACTTCTTGGCCTGATTTTTAATCCATGAATGAAGTTGTTCTAGCTACTTCATGGGAATGTTCATTCGATAAACACTAACCAAACACTTGTTATACTATTAAGCAGAGAAATTCAGGAGCAAATGAGGTCACGTATATGAAAACACTGCATACAGTGCCTTGTAGACTACAAAGCATCATAAAAATATGTGGTATTATTACAAATGTATATATTACATATATAATTATATAATAATATATATTACATATACATATTATATATATAATTACAAACTGATTCCTAAAAAGAGATTACCCAACATACGGTTTAGTGACTTAGTAATTTTCTATATTCATGCTATCACAAATAGTATTCAGAATACTTTAGAATGCTTATTTTCTTTTTTTTTTTAAAAGAAAATAGCTATATTTGTGATGTAGCTCATGATTCTGCCATTTTCTGCTTTATGGGAACTGAGGATGTTACTATTCCCTCAGATGGTTATGACTCCCAAGGGAAAGTTATTAAGCCAGAAACTGCTGCTATAATTACCAGTACGTAGACTCTGGATTCTAAAAAAGAAAATGTCACAGGGTCTAAAAGGCAGGTTCAGACAAAGAGAAAATTTTATTTTCTTATTCTTGAAATGACTGTACGATTTTTCAATGTTAAAGTTCACTTTCAAGTATGATCAATAACAAGACATCAAATGTAAAAATTATGCTGTATTATCATTTTCTCCATTGCTTCTTAAACCACTGAAAGTAATTTCACAATTCACCACATTTAGGCATCTTCTTTTTCACTTTCTTCATTTTTTACTTCTTTAGGCAACAATGGATCAATCTTCAGTAATAAACCTTCACTTGTTGAACTACGAAGGAAAGCACGTACCACAAAGGGACCTGGAAACAAAAACGAGAATCAACTTTGATTTTTATATCGCAATACCACCTCATGAGCAAATAAAGTAGGTCCTCACTTAATATTGTCACTAGGTTCTTGGAAACTGCAACTTTAAGCAAAACAACTTATAAAGAAACCAATTGTACCGTAGGCTAATTAATAAGAGTTAAGTTTCTCAGGCATATTTCTAGTCACAAAAATATCACCAAGCTTCTAAATAAAGAGCTCAAACACTTCTAATATTAACCATTGAAATAAATTTGAACTATAAATACATTTAAGATTAATAAAAGCAATAATTATTTACCCAACTGTGGGTGAATCAGAGTGACAGGAGTCATAGTGGTGGTGACTTAAATCAAAGACTAAGTGTTTGCAAAGTGAAAACTGTAAGAAGCGCCTTCTGCCACCGTGCAGTTCAAAAACAAACTAACAAATATGGTTGCCTCACTGAGTGCTTTCATACCACATCATTTATTGTCCTGCATTTGTATGATTATCATATACTTTGCCCATTTTTATTTTACAATAGTTTGTATTCATTAATTCATCTTCCAACTCCCTTATTCCAGTCCAGGGTTGTGGGAGGCCAAAGCCTATCCTGGCAGGTCAGAGCATAGGTGGGAATGATCTCCGGATAAGCAGCATCTCATTGCAGGGCACACGTACACAACCCACACACTAACTCACACCGGGATCATGCAGACATACCAATTAACCTAACATGCCACCTTTGGGATGCGGGAGGAAACCGAAGTACCCAGAGAATCCATGCAGACATGAGGAGAACATGCAAATTCCACACAGACAGTGGCTCTGGCCAGGAATCTATTTTTTTCTTATCAATGTTATAATAAAATAACATTGAACAAAAGGATGTTATTCAAGGACCTGCTGTACAAATATACAACAGGAAAACTTATAGAACTCATGTCATATTTTCAGTGAAAAGTACTGTATTACTGAACTAATATTTTGAATTATAAGAAGGGGAAGATAGTTTCATTTCTAGAATAGAAGACAAACTAGTTGTACTCTAGAATATTAGAGATTTATCCTTCAAACTACACACACTCACTAATAATTCATTTCTCTCTTCCAGAAGATGATCACCTAGAATTTATTTTATTGCAAAGGCAACAGTGAAGGGAGCAGGTGGTGATATTTACATTTGATGGAAATGTTATAAATATTTATTTAAAACAGTCAGCACAGATGCTACCTTTGTGTTACCACACAGTTGGTAAAATTCCCTAAAAACTAAAATGCTTTTCATAAGAACAACGTTAAGTGGCTTCATTTAAAATAGCAAAAAGACAGCCGGACACCGTGGCTCACACCTGTAATCCCAGTACTTTGGGAGGCCAAGGTAGGTGGATCACCTGAGGTCAGGAGTTCGAGACCAGCCTGGCCAACATGGTGAAACCCCACCGCTACTAAAAATACAAAAATTAGCTGGCATGGTGGCAGGTGCCTGTAATCCCAGCTACTTGGGAGGCTGAGGCAGAAGAATTGCTTGAACCCGGGAGGCGGAGGTTGCAGTGAGCTGACATCAAACCACTGCACTCCAGCCTGGGTGACAGAGTGAGACTCCGTCTCAAAAACTAAAATAAAATGGCAAAAAGAGAATCACAACATTTAAACATGCTAAGGGGCTTCATATGAAATAGCAAAAAGAGAATAACAACATTTTGAGGATTTACTGTCCATCATCTACTCCTACTATTGTCTCAAGAGGATCCTGTACTGAAATCAAAGTTATCTGTGGACTCTAAGAATCCATACACATCCAATTACTTAGTAGTATGGCCATATTTAGGGCAAGAAAATTAACAAGGGTGGTATTTATTCACCAGTATGGTTAACTCCCAAAGAAGGTAAAAAATAGCTTAAGATTGTGTTTTAATTATAAACTTGGTTATAAAACTAAACCTGACAAATTCTTATCATGGTAAGCCTACAAATGAGTAGTCAATTGAGTATAATGGACCCTTGCTTGGCTTCAAGCAGCCACAAGTGAAATTTGTCTGAGGAAGGAATTTGAACAGCACACAACGCAATGATAAAGAAACTGGATGCCTGTGTTCTAGCCTACTACACAGCTTCCACATCTCAATTGAGTTGAGTGATTCTCTATGAGTCACCTCATTTATAAATGACTCTCATGACATAATAAAATGATCTTCTTTCTGTCCTGTAATAAATAAATAAGATTAAGAAAACTAATTGCTAGTGCCAATGACAAAGTGAATGATCTGGTTTCAAAATATCATTTTAGAAATAATTTTAGTCCCTAACATCATTGTAAGTTTAAAGCAATCAGTTACAGTTTTCTTTCAAACTTTGCTACATCTATTATTAGTAATAATGTGGGAATCTACAAAGGTTTCAGGATGCATTCCTTATTAATGCTAGAGAAATCCTTTGGAGAATTAAATTTTATTTATTTAATCCCTGGAAATATAAAACTTGCATGTTAACTTGATTTTTTATTTAATATTTTACATTTTGCTATTATACTTGCATGTTAATTTGACTTTTTTCTTCATATTTTACATTTTAAAGTTTCACAGGGTCATAGGGAAGTCTACCCTCAGCAAACCACTTACCCAAATTCAGCGGTCTGTGCCTACAAACTTCATTAATAACTGCTTGCAGATTGGCAGCTATCTGGTCACTTGACATATCCAACTGAAAGAAAATAATATACATAACATTAATGATGAGAAAGCAAGAAGATAATAAATTATTCTAGACTATTTTTCAAATAGTCAACCAATGCAAATTATCTAGTAAATGACCCTACTGTGAAAGGGGAAAACCTCTATAGCTCTTTGTTTCGAATGCCACATTTACATGTCTTCACATGTCAAGATTTAATAGATTTATAGAACATATTATAGCAAACTGAAGTTGAAGTTTTTCCACTTGAGAATCCTTGACTTCCAAGTAATTTCCCTAAAGCATATCTTGGAGCAGAATACATCATTCCCTACACGCACCCCCCAAGAAAACAGTGACATTTTCTCATGAAGTTTGTTGATTTAAAGGAAACTAAGAAAATGTCTAGAAATTAATGTTTTCTTGAGTCCAAAATAAAACTGCTTGCTACATGCATTCAGATAATACATATCTCACACAGAGACAATTTCAGGATGTTGTGCTAACATTCTAATTTTTCAAACACTATGCAATAACAATTATCTTGTCATTTAGCAGTAAGTAAATATACAGTGAATGAGTTCTATTCATAAAACTCCTAAACCCAAATTACACCCTTGAAAAGTCTTTCTGTTTATTATTCAAATTCAATTACTCTTATTCTTCCTAAATATTCCAGTTAAAATCCGTTATATTACATTCAAATGTTTACAGGATTTTGCACTGTGCCAAATAAATCAATTTTTAAAAGTTCACGGCTGGGCACGGTGGCTCACGCCTGTAATCCCAGCACTTTGGGAGGCCAAGGCAGGCGAATCACCTGAGGTCAGGAGTTTGAGACCTGCCTGGCCAACACGGTGAAACCCTGTCTCTACTAAAAATACAAAAATTAGCCAAGTGTGGTGGCAGATGCCGGTAATCCCAGCTACTCGGGAGGCTGAGGCAGGAGAATCGCTTGGTCCCAGGAGGCGGAGGTTGCAGTGAGCTGAGATTGTGCCACTGCACTCCAGCCTGGGCGACAAGAGCAAAACTCTGTCTCAAAAAAAAAAAAAAAAGAAGAAGAAGAAGATTCATATAAAATTATAGTAGCTTAACAGGCAAAATTTATACAGTACAACAGTTGAAGTTCAAACAAGATTTCTGTTTTCCAAAGACTCTGAGAGCACTGTGAGAAATGTGCCCCGCATAAGCATAAAGAGAATTCCTCCTTAAAAAATCCTTTTATCATCATCCAACAGCATTTATTCAACACCCACTTGGGCATGATGCAGTACCAAATCCTAAATGAGAAAGGTTGGACATTACTGCAGGAATTCTCACTTTATGCCAATCCTTAACTAGAAGTTCTGAGAGGAAAAAAAATAAAAGCAATGCTTAGTTCACCTTATTAAGTCCATACACCGTACAGACTTTAATTTACATTGAAGCAAGTAGTTCACTGGCAGGGAAGGCACCTTACATATTTTATGTTGAAAAATAAAAAAGAAAAGGCTAAAGGCATCAGCATGTGTCCCTGCCTTCAATTCCCCTCTTAATTCTCTACTTTACCTCAAATTGTCCTTCTTTCTATCATCAACTGAAGTAACCATCACAGCTCTAATCAATTCTACACCCCCCGCTAAAGACCTATACCTACTTAAAATTTGGAAAAGAGATAAAGAAAAAGCAAGGTTTCCAACCTATCTTTTTAAACAGTTATAATCTATATTGGTATATTATATACATTAAACTTCTCAGATTTTTGTAACTATACTTTCTGCAGCTTTATATTGCCATTCCTCTAGCAAGCTAAAATGACAATAAATGTTTCAGAAATATAAAACAATTATGTTCCCTGCAACTTTCATGATTAGGATGGTTTCAATGATTTTATCAATTTAAGTTTAAAAAAACCACAAAAATGTTTTAAAACACAGTTTATACTTTTATTCAAATTTTAGCAACTTTAATATATAGTACTGTGCCCTCTACTGAATTTTAAAATATATGTACAGCTATAATACTTTTTATTTTAGATATTGTGCAAAATTATGGAAATGTTACATATCTCATAGGCATTACTGTGATTATTTAATTGGCTAATGACAAGATAGCTGTGTAGGCAAACAAAATGTATATGTGCATGAGTTTTATCAAAACTTGCAAACGAAATTCATTTGGGATGACAATGTTCTAGAGAGAACTCAGGAAAGCAAACTTGCAAGGTTTTCTGCCTACTTCTCAGTTAGTCTGCACTTCCAATAGTGCTTTCCCATGTAATAACATTTTGTGGTCTTACGGAGGCAGGATGACTACTTTGAGGAGATAATATTATCCATTATATTACCAATAGCACATTATATGATTTGGTACAGCAAGGGAAAAACAAACAGGGACAGGGTTGATCTTGAAGGGGATATAGGACTATGTTAAGCACCATATTTGTGCCTGTGCATATGTGTGTATTTGAATATTTAACAGTCACAAAACTATATATGTTTAACTAAAGTGATTATCCACTGCAAGACAAAACAGTTATTCCTTATTCTGAAGCATACATGTTTTCAAACAAAAAGACCACTTTACTGAATCTTACTGTCTGCTTAGCAACCCTTACTATGTCGGAAACCATTCCCTAAGCAGACTAGATGGGAAGACTTCTACAAAAGATGTCAGGGTAGTGGCTCAGTGGACACAGGTGAACTTTATGTCTCTATCTCTGTTTTAACACTCAGATTTTCCTTTTTTGTGTAATTCCTAACCTTTTTATTCAATAACTTTCTTATCATTATGAGAAAACTAAAAATCAGTGGTTCTTAACTTTTTTTTTTTTTTTGTCCCATTGAGATGCACATGTCATAATTCATCTCAGGGCAAAATATAATCACAAGCATGTCCAAACCAGTGATTCTTAAACATTTTTAGGTCACTGAGTCTTGCTACAGAAAAATGCACACAAAGAACTTAGTCTACAATACCAGGGTCTTCATAGATTCTCTGATTTAAAAGAAAGGGGATAAAAGAAGAAAGACTCCTGGGGAAAGTGTCTGAGTTAAAAAGGATCCCTGGACCACACTCTGAGAACCACTACTACAGAGGTTAGTCTGTCCAAATATTTTGGAGGACTAAGGATTGTTGTGGGAAGTCAGGGACCCTGAATGGAGGGGAGGGACTGGCTGGAGCCATGGCAGAGGAACATAAATTGTGAATATTTCATTTTAATATGGACATATATCAGTTCCCAAAATTAATAGTTTTATAATTTCTTATACCTGTCTTTACTGCAATCTCTGAACATAAATTGTGAAGATTTCATGGACATTTATCAGTTCCCAAATAATACTCTTATAATTTCTTACGCCTGTCTTACTTTAATCTCTTAATCCTGTTATCTTCATAAGCTGAGGATGTACGTCAGTCACCTCAGGACCACTGTGATGACTGCATTAACTGTACAAATTGATTGTAAAACGTGTGCTTAAACAATATGACATCAGTGCACTTTCAAAAAGAACAGAATAACAGCGATTTTAGGGAACAAGGGAAGAGAGCCATGAGGTCTGACTGCCTGTGGGGTCAGGCAGAATAGAGCCATATTTTTCTTCTTGCAGAGAGCCTATAAATGGACGTGCAAGTAGGAACAATATCGCTCAATTCTTTTAAATATTAAGACCCTAGGAAAAGAATTGCATTCCTGGGGGGAGGTCTATAAACGGCCGCTCTGGGAGTGTCTGTCTTACGCGGTTGAGATAAGGACTGAAATACGCCCTGGTCTCCTGCAGCACCCTCAGTCTTATTAGGGTGGGGGAAAAAACCCCACCCTGGTGAATTTGAGGTCAGACTAGTTCTCTGCTCTCGAAACCTGTTTTATGTTGTTTAAGATGTTTATCAAGACAATACGTGCACAGCTGAACATGGACCCTTATCAGGAGTTTTTGATTTTCCCCTTTGCCTTGTGATCTTTGCTTTGCCCTTTGCCTTGTGATCTTTATTGGCCTCAGAAGCATGTGATCTTTGTTCTCCTTTTTGCCCTTTGAAGCATGTGATCTTTGTGACCTACTCCCTGTTCGTACACCCCCTCCCCTTTTGAAGTCCTCAATAAAAACCTGCTGGTTTTGTGGCTCAGGTGGGCATCACGGTCCTAGCGATATGTGATATCACCCCCAGAGACCCAGCTGTAAAATTCCTCTCTTTATACTCTTTATTTCTCAGCCGGCCGACACTTATGGAAAATAGAAAGAACTTACGATGAAATATTGGGGGCAGGTTCCCCCGATAAAGGATTACAATGTGAATAAAGGATTTTTACAATCTTACAGAAGACAGAACTTAAAAAAAAAAAGCAAAGTACACATACATGATTTTTAAACAATCACATGTTCCTTCTAAAGTGGCAGCTTCTATTAACTATAACTGTTCTGATAGTCTCTAGATGACTAATCACCTTTGACTGAAAACTGAAGAGAGGACTGCTGCTTTGGATAAGCACTTGTTAGACCAGTTGTCCTCCAAAATCTCTTCCAAATGTAATATTCTAAGACTATATAAAGTGTGGCCTGGCAGACAGCTTTTGAAGATGAGCCAAAACTCTTAATTTCCATGACTCCTAACAGTCTAAACCAAGAAAAGAAAGGTTATCTGTATGTCTCCTACATAACATAAAGTAGTAGTAGTAGTAATAATAATAATAATAATAATAATAATAATAATAATAATAATTGATGGTGCAGCTCTGTTTATTGGGTACTTACTTTGGGCCAAACTCTGAGTGTTCACATAGATATTCTTATTCATTTCTCCCAAGAACCTTATGAGGTAGGTGCTATTATTATCCTTTATTTACACTTATAAACTGAGACTCAGAAAACTCTGTAACTTATTCATGAGCACACACATGGTAAGGAGTGGCCAAGTAGCTACGTGTCTGAGCACTTAAGGCAGACAAACCCCACTTCCACCACCTTACTAGCTTATGACTCTGGACACAGCTATTACAAGTTCGTGATCTTTATATAAGGAAAATGAAGTATCAGTTGTCTGAGAAACACAAGTGAGCGTGTTGTATACTAAGGGGAGAAAAAGGGAAACTAAGTGAAACACTAAAAGAATATACATTTAAGATGGAAAAATAAGAATTTTTCTCTCTGCCTAATGAATCCTTTAGTGCCTTCCTAATTTTTAGATGTTAATACCATACAACTTAGCAACATTTACTTAACCCTCACTCTGTCAAGCAACACATGGAACCAGGAACAGGAAGACGAATAAGATACAAACCTCGCCCTTGAGATTACAATCTAGACACTAAAACACAACATAAGAAATACCACTTTATATGAACGAAGTGCTACAAGGGCACAGAGGAAGAAGTAATTGACACGGAAGGCTTTACTCATCACGAAAAAAGGTAGTATCTAAGCTGAGTCTTAAAGGATGGAGAATTTTGAAGGACAAAGAGGATCTTCTAGGCAGAGGGACCAGCATAAGGTAATGTGAGACAAAGGTGGATCAGGAGAGCCCACAGACCCTTTGAAGGAAGTGGATTGCTGCGACAGGCCCCAGAGACAGCTGAAAAACTGTGCTGCTATCTATGGCTGTGAGACCTGAAGACAGTTCACATCATAGTACTCTGTGCAGACATGCCCCAGTACCAGCCTGGAGCCTGGTAACTGCTGGGTGGCCAGATCCAGAAGAGAAATAACAATCACTACAGTTTGGCTCTCAGGAATCCCCATCCCTAGGGGAAGGAGGGGAGCACTACATCAGTGGAACACCTGGTGGGACAAAAGAATCTGAACAGCAGCCCTTGAGCCTCAGAACTTCCCTCTGATGTAGTCTGCCCAAATAAGAAATCAGAAAAACAATTGTGATAATATAACAAAACCAAAGTTCTTAAACATCCCCCTAAAAGATCACACTAGCTTATCAGCAATGGATCGCAATGGATCCAAACCAAGAAGAAATCCCTGAATTGCCAGGAAAAGAATTCAGAAGGTCGATTATTAAGCTAATCAAGGAGGCACCAGAGAAAGGTGAAGTCCAACTTAATGAAATAAAAAATGTGATACAAGATATGAAGGGAAAAATGTTCAGTGAACCAGATAGCATAAATAAAAAATAATCAAAACTTCCGGAAATGAAGGACACACTTAAAAGAAATGCAAAATGCACTGTAAAGTCTCAGTAATAGAATCGAACAAGCAGAATAAAGAATTTCAGAGCTTGAAGACAAGATTTTTGAATTAACTCAATCTACAGAGAAAGAAAAGAGAATCAAAATAAATAAATAAACAAAGCCTCCAAAAAGTTGGGATTATGTTAAATGACCAAAACTAAGAATAATTGGTGTTCCTGAGGAAGAAAAGAAATCTAAAAGTTTGAAAAACATATTTGAGGGAATAATCAAGGAAAACTTCCCAGCGTGGCTAGAGATCTAAATACATAGCAGCTCAAAGAACACCTGGGAAATTTATCACAAAAAGATCATTGCCTAGACACGTAGTCATCAGGTTATCCAAAGCCAAGATGAAGGAAAGGATCTTAAAAGCTGTGAGGAAAAGCACCAGGTAACCTAAAAAGGAAAACCCATCAGATTAACAGCAGATTTCTCCACAGAAACCCTACAAGCTAGAAGGGATTAGGGCCCCATCTTCAGCCTCCTTAAAAAAAAAATTATTGGCCAATAATTTTGCATCCAGTGAAACTAAGCTTCATAAATGAAGGAAATACACAATCTTTTTCAGACAAACAAATGCTGAGAGAATTTGCCACTACCAACCCAGCACTACAAGAACTGCTAAAAGGAGCTCTAAATCTTGAAACAAATCCTTGAAATACACACCAAAATGAACCTCCTTA
The DNA here is from genome assembly GCF_000001405.40 of Homo sapiens. NCBI lineage: Eukaryota > Metazoa > Chordata > Mammalia > Primates > Hominidae > Homo > Homo sapiens. The sequence continues at coordinate 77,942,989 of NC_000004.12, read as the reverse complement.
AAACATAAATCTCACAGGACCTATAAAACAAGGACATAATAAATTTTAAAAAAGGGTATCAGGCAACAAATAACGCAATGAATAGAATAGTACCTCACATCTCAATACTAATGTTGAATGTAAGTGGCCTAAATGCTCTACTTAAAAGATACAGAATAGCAGAATGGATAAGAATTAACCAACCAAGTATCTGCTGTCTTCAAGAGACTCACCTAACACATAAGGACTCAAATCAACTTAAGGTAAAGAGGTGGGAAAAAAATTAATCCATACAAATGGACACCAAAAGTGAGCAGGAGTAGCTATTCTTATATCAGACAAAACAAACTTTAAAGCAACAGCAGTTAGAAAAGACAAAGACATTATATTTTGACATTATATAAAGACAAAAGAACTTGTCCAACAGGAAAATATCACAATCCTAAATATATATGCATTAACACTGGAGCTCCCAAATTTATAAAACAACTACTACTAGACCTAAGAAATGAGATAGACAGCAACACAATAATAGTGGCAGATTTCAAAACTCCACTGACAGCACTAGACAGGCCATCAAGACAGAAAGTCAACAAAGAAACAATGGATTTAAAATATACCCTAGATCAAATGAGCTTAACAGATATTTACACAACATTCTACCCAACAACTGCAGAATATACATTCCATTCATCAGCACATGGAACAGTCTCCAAGATAGATCATAGGATAGGCCATAAAACAAGTCTCAATAAATTTAAGAAACTGAAATTATATCAAGTACTGTCTCAGACCACAGTGGAATAAAAGTAGAAATCAACTCCAAAAGGAACCCTCAAAACCGTAGAAATTAAACAGCCTGCTCCTGAATGATGATAGGGTTAACAATAAAATCAAGATGGAAATTAAAAAATTATTTGAACTGAATGATAATAGTGACACAACCTATCAAAATCTTTGGGATTCAGTAAACGGAGTACTAAGAGGAAAGTTCATAGCCTTCAATGCCACATCAAAAAATCTGAAAGAGCAAAAACAGACAATCTAAAGTCACACCTCAAAGAACTAGAGAAACAAGAATAAACCAAACCCAAACCCAGCAGAAGAAAAGAAATAACCAAGATCAGAGCAGAACTAAATGCAATGGAAACAAACAAACAAAAAACAATACAAAAGATAAATGAAACAAATGGATGGTTCTTTGAAAAGATAAATAAAATCGATAGATGATTACCAAGATTAATGAAGAAAAAGAGAAAATCCAAATATGCTCAATTAGAAATGAAACAGGAGATATTAAAACTGATACCACAGAAATACAAAAGATCATTAAAGGCTACTCTGATACTTTTACGCACATAGAAAACCTAGAAGAGATGGATAAATTCCTGGAAATAGACAACCCTCCTAGATTAAACCAGGAAGAAATAGAAACTCTGAACAGACCAATAATAAGCAGTGAGGTTGAAATGGTTAAAAACAACAACAACAAAACTGCCAACAAAAAATTCCAGGACCAGATGAATTCACAGCTGAATGATATCAGACATTCAAAGAAGAACTGGTACTGATCCTACTGACACTATTCCACAAGATAGAGAAATAGGGAATCTTCCCTAAATTGTTCTATGAAGCCAATATCACCCTAATACCAAAACCAGGAAAGAACATAACAAAAAAAGAAAACTACAGATCAATATCTCTGACGAATATAGATGCAAAAATCCTCTTTTTTTTTTTTTTCTGAGGCAGAGTTTTGCTCTTTTTACCAAGACTGGAGTGCAATTGCGTGATCCTGGATCATGGCAACCACTGCCTCCCGGGTTCAAGTGATTCTCCTGCCTCAACCTCCCAAGTAGCTGGGATTACAGGCATGTGCCACCACGCCCGGCTAATTTTGTATTTTTAGTAGACATGTGGTTTCACTATGGTGGCCAGGGTGGTCTTGAACTCCTGACATCAGGTGATCCACCCACCTCAGTCTCCCAAAGTGCTAGGATTACAGGCACCGCTAGGATTGAGCCACTGCACCCAGCCTATAGATGCAAAAATCCTTAACAAAATACTAGCTGACCAAATCCAACAGTATATCAAAAAGATAATCCACTATGACCTGGGGTTCATATCAGGATGCAGGCATAGTTTAACATATGCAAGTTAATAAATGTGATACACCACATAAACAGAATTAAAAACAAAAATCACATGATCATTTCAATAGATGCAGAAAAAAGCATTTAACATAAGTCAGCATCCCTTAATGATTGAAACCCTCAGCAAAATCAGCATAGATGGGACACACCTTAATGTAATAAAAGCCACGATGACAAACCCACAGCCAACAAAATACTGAATGGGGAAAAGTTGAAAACTTGAACCCTGAGAACTGGAACAAGACAAGGAGGATGCCCACTCTCACCACTTCTATTTGACATTGCACTGGAAGTCCTAGCCAGAGCAATTAGACAAGAGAAAGAAAAGGCATCCAAATCAATAAAGAGGAAGTCAAATTGTCACTGTTTGCTGATGATATGATCATATACCTAGAAAACTCTAAAGACTCCTTCAAAAAGCTCCTATAACTGATAAATGAATTCAGCAAAGTTTCAAGATACAACATTAATGTAAACAAATCAGTAGGTCTGCTATACACCAACAGCAACCAAGCTGAGAATCAAGTCAAGAACTCAACCCTCTTTACAATAGCTCCAAAAAATAAAATAAAATACTTAGGAGTATACCTAACCAAAGAGGTAAAAGACCTCTACAAGGAAAACTACAAAACACTGCTGAAAGAAATCATAGACAACACCCACAAATGGAAACATATCCCATGCTCATGGATGGGAAGAATCAATATTGTGAAAATGACCATACTGTCAAAAGCAATATACAAATTAAGTGCAACTCCTATCAAAATACCGACATCATTCTTCACAGAACTAGAAAAAAAAATCCTAAAATTTATATGGAACCAGAATGAGCCCACATAGCCAAAGCAAGACTAAGCAAAAAGAACAAATCTGGAGGCATCATATTACCTGACTTCAAACTATACTATAAGGCCATAGTCACCAAAACAGCATGGTACTGGTATAAAAAATAGGCACATAGACCAATGGAACAGAATAGAGAACCCAGAAATAAAACCAAATACTTACAGCCAATTCATCTTTGACAAAGCAAACAAAAACATAAAGTGGAGAAAGGACACCCTATTCAACAAATAGTGCTGGGATAACTGGCAAGCCACATGTAGAAGAATAAAACTGGATCCTCATCTCTCACCTTATACAAAAATCAACTCAAGATGGATCAAGGACTTAAAATCTAAGACCTGAAACTATAAAAATTCTAGAAGATAACATCGGAAAAACCCTTTTAGACACTGGCTTAGGCAATGACTTCATGTCCAAAAAACCCAAAAGCAAATGCAACAAAAACAAAGATAAATAGATGGAACTTCATTAAACTAAAAAGCTTCTGCGCAGCAAAAGAAACAATCAGCAGAGTAAACAGACAACCCAAAGAGTGGGAGAAAATCTTTGCAATCTATACATCAGACAAAGGACTAATATCCAGAATCTAGAAGAAACTCAAAGAAATCGGGAAGAAAAAAAACAAGCAATCCCATCAAAAAGAAGGCTAAGGACATGGGGAGACAATTCTCAAAAGAAGACACACAAATCCCAACAAACATGAAAAATGCTCAACATCACTAATGATCAGGGAAATGCACATCAAAACCACAATGCGATACCACCTTACCCCTGCAAGAACAGCAACCTGGATGGAATTGGGGACCATTTTTCTAAGTGAAGTAACTCAGGAATGGAAAACCAAACATCGTATGTTCTCACTCATAAGAGGGAGCTAAGCTATAGGATGCAAAGGCATAAGAATGATATAGTGGACTTTGGGGAATCAAGGGAAAGGGTGGGAGGGGAGTGAGGGATAAAAGACTACACTTTGGGTACAGTGTACACTGCTCGGGTGATGAGTGTACCAAAATCTCAGAAATCACCACTAAAGAACTTACTCCTGTAACCAAACACCACCTGTTCCCCAAAAACTGATTGAAATAAAAAAATAAAAGGTGGATCAGGGGACCATGAGGTAGCTCATTGTATCTAGGTCCAGGGTTACGAACTCAAATGCCTACAGTGGCCAAAGTGGGAAACATGTACAAGTGAGGAGGACTGGGTTTAGGTGCATATGCTTATACCATGTGTGTGATACAGGTTGTGCTGAGGTGGAGAGCAACCACTAGGGGTGGAGACAGCAGAGTTGCTACAACTAAGGGTTAACAGACTGAGGGCTGTGGGGCCAATGTCCTCAGAACTCCTGATTTGTCAAGAACAGCTAAAAATCTGGATTTTTATGGGATACTGTCCAGTATTTAAATCCTGATTCAATAAGACAAAACAAACCACCACCACTATTTGGGCCCAAAAAAGTAAGACCAGTGGCCAAATTCAGCCTGCAAGCTGCCATTTGTAAGTCTGGTCTTCCAGTTGCACAACTGAAAACAGCAGGAAATACTGAATTTGAACCAGAGGGAGTGATCTGAAACTAGGTTGCAAAGGGATTTAAAGGTAAAGGTCTTAGAAAATACCCCGTCAGCAGTGAAAAGCCATTTGATGTTTCTAAGCAGATAAATGGTATATCTGATCTATGTTTTAGAAAGAATTCTAGAAGAGTATGAAACAGGAGTTGGCATACTTTCTTTGTAAATGGTAAGGCAGTAAATATTTTAGGCTTTGCAGGCCAAATGGCCTCTGTCACAATTCTTCCATTTCTGCTGTTCTGGTGTAAAAGAAATCATAGACAATACATAAATGAGCACAGTTATATTCTAACAAAACTTTCTTTACAAAAACAGGTGGAGAGCTGGATTTGGTTTGCTGACTCCTGGGACAGAAGACAGACTGAAGGATGTCTGAGGAAATGAATGAGTAAAAGCCACCATTTTTGTTTTGTAAGTTTTTGCTATAGCAGAAGTATTTTTTGTTTTGTTTTTTTAAAGAAAGCTTTGTTGGATCCTGATAGACTTCTGGTTTCCTACTATGTATCTATTATGCAGTTGAGACTTAGGGTTTCCTACTATGTATCTACTATGCAGTTGTCTGGCTAAGAAATGCATTGTCATTTAAAATGTTTTAAAATGCTTAGCAGTGGTTTCAGTAGCTGATATAAACTTTATATATGCATTTGAAACAAGTTTCTTCAAGATTCACAATGAAGACTCAAATCTGAAAGGAAAAAAGGCATTCAGTACCCTATATTCTAAAGAAAGATGCCAACAATTAAGGCCACCAAAAAGGTCCTACCATAATCAACACCCAACCCAAGAGGCAGCAGAAGCCAAGTGAGGAGGAAAGTCTCCAAGAGGTTCATCTGTAAAGACTGGGTGGTACCTGCAGGAAGGAGAGACTGAATGACTGAACATGTGCTATATGAAGGAAATCAAACCACCCAAAATGGGGACCACAAATATGGGCGGGGAAGTAGAGGCATTTGGGTTTTCCCCCTTAATCTCCTCTTCAGGCATCTACCCCAGAGCAGTTAGGCCTGGAAAAGGCACTGGGGGCCAGGTACTTAGAACTGAGTATTCTAAGATCAAACCTGGGAGGCTGAAATCGCAATAAGTGCTCCCCACTTCAGGACACACAAGCCATCAAAGCCTGGCTCCAAATTAGTCAAGGGAAATCTTTGGATATGAGATTAGAGTTTTGAACTGGAACACAGGCACTGGAACTATGAGATCTGTCTAGTATGCGTGCGTCTAACGCAGAAGGGAAGTAGTACCGGGCACAGTTGAAAGAGAATGAAGAAAATGATGTCATGTTTATACCCACTAAATTCACCTTTCTTCTTTTTTTTTTTGAGACAGCATTTTACTCTGTCACCCAGACTGGAGTGCAATGACACTAACACACCTCATTACAGCCTCGGCCTCCTGGCCTCAAGCAATCTTCCTATCTCAGCCTCTCAAGTAGCCAGGACCACAGGCATGCGCCACCACGCTGGGCTAATTTTTAAAATTTTTATAGAGATGGGGTCTCATCTTGCTGCCCAGGCTACTCTTGAACTCCTTGGCTCAGGCGATTCTCCCATCTCGGCTTCCCAAAGTGCTGGGATTACAGGCATGAGCCATCGTACCTTGTCTAAATTCAGATTTTTTAATAAACAATGCCACATTCGTACATAGACACAGAATGCATTCTGTGTGTATGAGAGCCTTGAATTTATGTTCATTAGAATATTTATAATAATGAGATATTAGAAACAGGACTTGGCATACTTTCTTAGTAAATGGTAAGGCAGTAAATATTTTAGGTTTTGCAGGCCAAATGGCCTCTGTCACAATTCTTCCACTTCTGCTGTTCTGGTGCAAAAGAAATCATAGACAATACATAAATGAGCACAGTTGTATTCTAACAAAACTTTCTCTACAAAAACAGGTGGAGAGCTGGATTTGGTTTGCTGACTCCTGGGACAGAAGACAGACTGAAGGATGTCTGAGGAAATGAATGAGTAAAAGTCACCATTTTTGTTTTGTAAGTCTTTGCTATAGCAGAAGCATTTTTTGTTTTGTTTTGTTTTGTTTTTAAAGAAAGCTTTGTAGGATCCTGATAGACTTCTGGTTTCCTATGTATCTATTATGCCCAACAAAAGAAATAAAGTTGAATAAATAATTATATATCTACATAATAGGTTATGAAACAGCTATTAAAATACTTTGCAAGGATTTTAATGACATGGGAAAGTGTTCAAGATACAGTGTTAAAGGGAAAAGAATACGAAAGTCAATATATAATAGCAATTACATAAAAAAAAAATACGTCCATACAGAAAGAGCAGTAATAAAAAGTACTAAAATGGTGAATGATTACAGGAATTCTGAATGATTTTTGTATTCTTACCTAGACGATTCAGTATTTTCTAAATATTTCACTATGTGCATTTATTACCTCTTAATAAAAAAATTAGTTTTAGTTTAGCATTTAAAATTATTTAAACTAGCCCTTTAAGATGCTATAAAATGCAAGACAGAGTTTACTTTTTTTTTTTTTTTTGAGACATAGTCTTGCTCTGTCGCCCAGGCTGGAGGGCAGTGGCGCAATCTTGGCTCACTGCAACCTCTGCCTCGCAGGTTCAAGTGATTCTCCTGCCTTAGCCTCCCGAGTAGCTGGGACTACAGGTGTGCACCACCATGTCCGGCTAATTTTTTGTATTTTTACTAGAGACAGGGTGCACCTGGCCCACAGTTTACTTCTTAATGAAGATATAAAGCAATATAAGAATTATTCTCAGCCGGGCACAGTGGCTCATACCTGTAATCCCAGCACTTTGGCAGGCCAAGGCAGGTGGATCAACTGAGGTCAGGAGTTCGAGACCAGCCTGCCCAACATGGCGAAACCCTATCTCTACTAAAAATACAAAAAATTAACCAGGTATGATGGCGGGCACCTGTAATCCCAGCTACTCATGAGGCCGAGGGCAGGAGAATTGCTTGAATCCGGGAGGCAGAGGCTGCAGTGAGCCAAGATGCGCCACTGCACTCCAGCCTGGGCGAGAGAGCGAGACTCCGTCTCAAAAAGAAAAAAAAAAGAATTATTTTCACTGTTGATCTAGAGGCATAAACCCAAACCCCTGCCTGACCACCACTACAGCTCCTAACAAGCTAATTATGTTGTTATATGTTTATATATTTTTTAAGTTACATTTTTAAAATCGAAAGATAGTAAAATTAACATTTTGGGGGGTGTATCTTTTGAAACTCATGCATACATTCAGGTAATGACCACTCCAATACAGGATACAGAATCCAAAAAATTCCCTCATGTGATTTCTCTCAGGCACAAACACCATCCACTCCTGACTCCTGGTAACCACTTATTTACTAGTGTTCTTTTTGAAAATGTCATATAAACAAAATAACAGTATATAACCCATTAAACAATAACTCCCCATTGCCCCCTTCCTCCAGCCCCTGGCAACCACCATTCTACTTTCTATCTCTACGAATTTCACTGTTATAGGTACCTTATACAAGTGGAATGATACAATATTTGTCCTTTTGTGACCGGCTTATTTCACATAACAAAATGTTCTCAAGGTTCATGCATGTTGTAGGATGCGTCAATTTCCTTCATTTGTAAAGGCTGATACTATTGCATTCCATGTGTGTGCTGCACTTTATCCATTCATCTGTTAATTGTCATATGGGCTGCTTGTACCTTCTGGCTCCTGTGAATGCTACTGTGAACATGGGTATGCCATCATCTGTTCAAGTCCCTGCTTTGAATTCTTTTCAGTATGTATCTAGAAGTGGATTTGGTGGATCATATAATTCTATGTTTAATTTTTTGAGAATTGCCATATTGTTTTTCATAGCGGCTATAGTATTTTACATTCCCATTAGCAATAAATAAGAGTTCCAGTTTCCCTATATCCTCGTCAACACTTGTTATTTTATTTTTTTAAATAATAGCCATCCTACAGAGTATGAAGGGGTATCTCATTGTGATTTTAATTTGCATTTTCCTGACAGCTAATAATGTTATGTGTTTATTGTCCATTTGTATATCATCTTTGGAGAGATATGTATTTAGGCTCTGTGCTCCTTTCAAAATTGAGTTATTTATCTTTCTATTATTGAATTGTAAAAGTTATTTATGTACTGTAGATTCAAGTCTCATATCATATATATGATTTCCAGATATTTTCTCCCATTCAGTGGGTTGCCTTTGTGCTCTATTGATAATGTCATTTAACGCACAAAAGTTTTAAATTTGGATGAAGTCCAATTTATCTTCTACTTCTTTTGTTGTCTGTGCTTTTGGTGTCAGTAAGTAACAATTTCAGACTGGCTTCTTTCACTTAAGTTACAGTACAAAACCTTTTGAGATTCTAAGTTGCTGTGTCTATACAACAGCTCATACCTTTTTTTATTGCTGAGTAAAATTCCACTGTATGATGCACCAGAGATTTTTTCACATGTAGGAAAACATCTATGAACAAAACTGGGTTTTTCCAGCTTTTAATAATTATCAATAGAGTTACTGTAAACATTTGTGTTCAGATATCTGTGTGAATGTAGGTTTTCATTTCACTTTAAATTTTTCATTGTGTGGAGTTAAAAACCCACAGTAGAACTGCTGGGACATACGGTAATTGTATGATGAGCTTTACAAGATACAACTGTTTTCCACAGTGGCTGTACTACTTTGCATTCCTACTTGAAATGTATGAGAGTTGCAGTTTCTCTGTAATCCTGCCATTATTTCTTTAAGTAATTTTCTGTACCACGCTTCTTCTTTCCTTCTGGAATTCCACTGATGTGAAAGTTAGATCTTTTGTTACTATCCCACAGGACCCTCAGGCTCTCTTCATTTTTTTCCAGTCTTTTGCCTCTCTGCTTTTCAGATTGGAAAATTTCTATGATCTTAGAGTTCCCTGACTCTCTTCTGTCATCTCCATTTATTTCATCTCCAGGAGTTTATAGTTTTATGAGATCACTTTTCCAAGTTCCACACTCTGCTTGATCTCCCCCGTACTTCTGGGTTCCCTGAGGCTCACCTTTTCAGCTCTGCCAAGAAAGCTGGGGCTTTATTTACCCAGTTCTGACACTTTTTGCAACCAAATGTTTCTCCACTGAGGGCCAACTAGCCCTCAGAGGACAAAGACAGAGAAAAAAAGCAAGGGTGGTATGCCCCACCCTCTTGTGACTACAGCTCCTCTAAACATAAAGACAGGTTCTAGCTGGGTGTGGTGGCTCACACCTCTCATCCCAGCATGCTGGGTGCTGAGGCTGGAGGATCACTTGAGAACAGGAGTTCGAGGCCAGCCTGAGCAACATAGCAAGACTCCATCTCTAAAAAGAAAATTAAAAATTAGCCACGTGTGGAGCGCATGTAGTCCTAACTACTTGAGAGGCTGAAAAAGGAGGATCCCTTGACTCCAAGTTTGAAGTTACAGTGAGCTATGCTTACATCACTGCACTCCAACCTTGGCAACACAGCAAGACCTGTCGCAAACAAAATTCCTTTTTTTTTTCTTTTTTTTTAAAAAAGGAAAGTTCCCTTCTCTCAAAGTTTTAGATACCTGTGCCTTACCCTACACAAGTGGTCCCAACCTTTTTAGTACCAGGGACCAGTTTTGTAGAAGACAGTTTTTCCAGTGCGGTGGGGGTGGGAGGTTCAGGATGATTTAAGCACATTATATTTATTGTGCACTCTATTTCTATTATTATTACACTGTAATATATAACAAAATAATTATATAACTCACCATGCTGTAGAATCAGTGGGGGCCCTGAGCTTGTTTTCCTGCAACTAGATGTCCCATCTGGGGAGGATGGGAGACAGTCACACCTGAAGTGTGTTGCTTATGTCCAATCTACTCTGTAATCTCGTTTTGGTTGCTGTCACTGTGGAAAACCCTCCTTCACAAAGAGGATGTTGGAAATGGAAGCAGGCTTTCCAGTGCTTTTGTGGCAATCTCAGGATATTCCACAGTGACTTTAATCCAGAACATATGGAGATTTGAAGCTATCTCAAACCTACTTTCAAGGTCACTGTCATTTGTGATCTCACAAATGGGCCAAGGATCTATTCCTTCCCAATTCAGGAGCCTTTTGTGGTTGGGAAGTAATGCCCAAACTCTTCGGAAGCTGAGAGAGGTGATCATGCACCAGCTGGGAGAAAGGAGGCCCTGGCTAAGTCTCTTTAAAAATCTCTGCTATTGTTTAAAATGTGTTAGAAATCCCAATGTTCACTAGTCACCCCCGTAATTCCAGTTTGACTTTGAATGCAGCCCCTTTATCTGCCAACTTGAACACAGTTGTTGTTGCTCCCAGAAGTGGCAGATTGAGTTTCTTGAGCAGGCTGAATATGTCAAACAAGTAAGCAAGTTTTGTGTCCCATTCTGTATCACTGAATGTGCTGCCAATGGTAACTGTTTTTCTAAAAGAAATCTCTGGAGCAGCTCTTGTAACTCAAAAACTCTGGCCAGTGACCTATCTTTAGAAAGTCATCTCACTTCTGTGTATAAGACGTCTGTGCTCTGCGTCCATCTCCTCACAGCGCTGCGTGAACAGATGAGAGTTAAGGGCATGTACTTTAACATAACTGATAATTTTAATGACGTCCTGCAAAACATTTTGAAGTTCGGGTGACATTTTTCAGCTAGCCAACATCTGTTTATGGATGACACAGTGCGCAGACTCACATTCAGAAGTGACCTCTTTTACCTAAGTAGTGAAACCAGAAAGCTGTCCAGTCACGGTAGCCACTCTGTCCATGTATATACCAACACAAGATGACTAATTCAGTTTTCCTGATGTGTAATCATTCAAAGACTTGAATAGTTCTGCAGCTGTGGTAATGGTTGGCAACAAAAGTACACATAATATATCCTCATATACATCCTCCTGAAAAATATATCACACAAAAACAAGCACTGTTGCCTTGCTAACGTCAGTAGAATTGTCAACCTGGATTGTGTGTCACAGTGATTCATTAATCCTCTCTAACAATTGTGCTTCAATATCCTCTGTTATTTCATCAGTTCATCTAGTTACAGTGCTAGCCAAAAGAGGAACATGTGCCACCTTTCGAATGCAGCTTCTCCTAAAAGTTCACAACAAATGTCCTTAGCAGCAGGCAGGATCAACCCCTTACCAATAGTAAAGGGCTTTTTAGCTTTAGCAATGTGGTTAGCCACTAAGAATGATGCTCTCAGTGCAGACACATTTGATGAAGTGGTGGCCTTCAATAATTGCTTCTGTTCTTCGTGTTCACGTTCTTTTCTTTTGAAAAACTCCAAAGGCTTGCCTTTTAATGAAGGGTAAGTGGTCTCCATGTGACAAAGCAGTTTTGAGGATTTCATGGCTTCACTGGACAGCCAGTCACCACATATTATACAAAGTGGGCTTGGAGAATGTGAATCACCCATTGCAACAAACCCGTTAATTTAAGAAGGAATCTTGCTCTTGGTATTTCTTTTAAATGCAGCTTTCTTTTGGCTGGCAGTCTTAGAGTCTTCTGCTGTCTCGTCATTGAGTCTTTCCCCCTTTTCAAAAAAGCTCTCCAGTGGCATTTGTTTTGTACTCATTTTGGCTAGGGTTAGCCTGTGGGCTTACCAAAACTGTGACTGAGACAAGTGCGCAGTGCGGGAAAGAGGTGCAGAGGGAAGTGGTAAATCAAATAATAGGCAGGACATACACGGACTAAAATAAGGGTTGGATTCTGACTTAAAGCCTGCCACCAAATGCAGCTGCACAATTGAAGTACATCAGCTTACCTGCCATTATAAAGCCTGCCACCAGATGCAGCTTTATTGTCACCTGCCACTCACTGACAGGGTTCTGATATGAGACTGCAGCAATTGATTTATTATGGCCTCTGTGTAGTCAAATTTCTCTGCTAATGTTAATCTGTATTTGCAGTGGCTCCCCGGCACTAGTATCACTAACTCGGCTCCGCCTCAGATCATCAGGCATTAGATTCCCAGAAGGAGCATGCAACCTAGATCCCTTGTATGCACAGTTCACAATAGGGTTTGCATTCCTTTGAAAATCTAATGCTGCCACTGATGATGACACAAGACAGAGCTTGGACAGTAATGCGAGCCATGGGGAGCGGCTGTAAATACAGATGGAGCTTTGCTTGCTCCCCCACCACTCACCTCCTGCTGTGAGGCCCAGTTCATAATAGGACACGGACCATTATCAGTCCATAGCCCAGGGATTGGGGACCCCTGCCCTATACCTACTATTACTACAAGGAGACATGATTTCCACTTCTCAAGCCTATAACTGGACGGTTTCTCCTGGAGCTCTCTCTGCCTACACTTAGGTCTGCTGCCTAATTTCAGGCAGTGTTGAGACCAGGCCAGGTGACGACAGAAGGGGACAAATGGCAAACTTGCCACTAGTTTGATGGTACTTCGAAATCTGGTCTTCTCTCCCAACCTGCTATTATTTACTTTTCAGAATCCTCAAGTAGCTATTCCATGTATTCTGTCCATTTATAACAGCTGCATTCAGTGGGAGAGAGAGGGTGTCTTGTGATTATGCTGTCTCACCTGGAACTGAAACCTCCCAGGTTTATACATTATGTATTTATATTTTAAACTTGGTAAATATTTTTTGTAAAGAGATAGATGGTAAACATTTTAGACTTTAAGGGCAACTTATGCTTTCTGTTCCATATTATTCTTCTATTTTTTTTTTTAAATAAAACCCTTTAAAGGGGTTCTAAGCTCACAGGCCATACAAAAACAGGCCACGGAGCCATTGTTTGCCAGCCTCTGTTTTAGAAAACATTATTTATCTACAAATACATGAAAATTCATATAAAGACAAGCTGTGGTATAAGCTATGCTTTACATCACTTTAACAAATGAATATTTGCCAAAATCTGTAATGGGAGAAGGGTGCTCTGAGGCAAAAGCAGCTTTTATCATTATTTATGATAAAGCTGTTTGGAAAATGCTTAACTTTGTATTTATATTTAATAATTCATAACATGGCCTTATAGATGTTTTTATTGTTTCTGTAAATACTATATTAATAAATGTTATTTTTTTTAGATGTAATACTAATGACACTCATAAGGAATTATCTTTCAGATCCACTTAATTTCTTCTCCAGGCATTTGGATAAAGACAGAATTCAGTAAATGCTATCATATTTATCCACTGGTTTTAAATTTGTTTTTGTTTTTATTTTTATTTTTATTTAGAGATGTGGGATCTTGCTATGTTGCCCAGAATGATCTTGAACTCACAGGCTCAAGAGATCCTCTTGCTCAGCCTCCTGAGTAGCTGAGACTACAGGCATAAGCCACCATGCCCAGCTTACCACTGCTTTTTAAATAAAGCCAACAAAAGAAAGCTGCCTATGCAGCAAAGTGGCTGGCAAGGGAAAGGAGATCAGTTTACTCCCTTTTTACACATTATGCAACATTTATATTTTTCATCATGTGTCATTCTATTATCTATGATCACTACATTGTAAATACAATGGATTAATGAGAAAAGTTAGCTATTTCTCTCAAACGGTATGGTTTTTCTTATGCTATTATTCAAATCTGTTAGTAGGGGAGAGTCACACTTTGAATTTCCAAAACTTCTGGGAAATTAAAATCTGATTTTGTGATAATATAGGTAAGAACACTAGAAATGATAATAAATTATTTTTGATCAAAAATAGTTTTTGATCAAAAATAATTCAAATGATGTAACATAAAATACTGCAAGGATGACTCACCCCAACTAAATATACTTCTCTTATAATAAAGCAACAAAGACAGAGCTGACACAGAATGGAGGATTCTGGATAAATATTAGTTTTTCCTCTTTCTTAGCTCCATATCCTTGGAGATCTAAGATCTATTGCCAGCCTACTTCCTCTACTTTACATTCTAAAGTTTATTTTCCTCTCTTTATAATTCCCTTATTTATGACACAGTACACTATAGTACACCAAAAATAATGCAACAAAAGAAAAGTTAATTATTAACTAGAAGGAATAAGGGAAAAGGAGGAAGGGAAGTGGCAGTGAGCCATGAACCAATGGGCTGCTTCCTTTTATCCAGTTATTGTTTGTAGATGTAAGCAATATTCCTGGCTAGCTACTATTTCAACCTATGGACCCAGTTGCTTCAAAATAAGCATTTAATTTCCATGTCTTATACTATCCACATCTTGCTGTTTGGCTGAACTCCAGAACATTCACTTTTCCTGTTCTAACATGTTCACTAAAACCAAAGGCTCTCTAATTTCAACATAAGATTTTACTATTGTTTATAGTCCCTTGTCCTGAACTTGTTTATTTTTGTTACAATATGCTTCAGCTTTTATCAGCTGCCAGGTTGACAATACGCTTGCCACAAAACCATTCACTGTTACACAAGCACACAAAATGATACTCACCTATAATTGGACCATGTCTACACTTTAAAAAGAAGAAAAACAAAGAACATATCAAAGGCTTTGCTTTTATATTAAGTATGTCAAAGCTCCAAATATATTTGAAATCCAGACAAGAAATACTTGTTAAATCAGGCCTTGACATGATTTGGTATAAATATAACTCTGAGTTGTCTTACTCTTTTCTTCTCTCTAGAAAACAAGCTTAGATTGGATTTGCCAATAGCATTATTATTTACATGTTCTCAAGATCTGGATATTTACATGATTGTAATATGGCTATAGTTTTTTTCTTTAATGTTTTAACTTAATGCCTAATCTCCTAGGCTATCATATAAATGCATTTATATATTGTACTTTAAAGAGGTTTTTCATCATTTCAATTGTACTTAGTGAAATTTTTATCATTTTTCCTCATTCCAAATAATCAAGATTTTATATTTGAATTAAATATTATTAAAATACTATAGTAATAGTTTTTAAACTGAAACAGAACAAGTAACATCCATATTTTTAAAGTATGTAGTTTATTTACAATACTTTATTTGCTTTTATTGACTTAACTTGATTTATAGTATACTAACAGGAATCTGTCCTGTGATATAAAAAAACAGAGTAGGGCTCTACTCACAGGAGGAATTGATGCTTCACAATAAACTTACTGATGTCACTAACTTGGAATTAATAATTCAGAAACTGTGCCAAATATGTTTTAAAAACATAAATAATGTAAATAAGATTATAAGAAAACATTTAAACATCTTTAGAAAACAACCTTTTAAAACAACAATTTGTTAATTATATAGCATTAATTCAGGCAACATCTACCAGGCAATATTTTTTATTAGACACTCTGTAACTAAAATTAATTAGGTTGCATGTCATTGAAAAACTATTCTGTGAGACACACTTCCCACTAATTCACATTAATTTTCTGATAGGTTTCATTCTATCTTTCATGTCTTTCTGACATGTAAGTAGATGACCAAGGAGGGAGGGAAAAGTATAAAAGAGTGGGATAAAAAAGTAATGAGAGAAAGGGAAGAAGAAAATAGAAATGAAAAACTTCAAAGAGCTATTAAAAGAAAAAAAAGGTAAAGAGAACATGGGAGAGAGGAAGACAGAAGAGAAACCTGAAAACAAGCATCAAAAACAAGTTATAGGCCAGATGAGGCAGCTCACGCCCGAAATCCCAGCACTTTAGGAGGCCAAGGCAGGTGGATCACTTGAGGCCAGGAGTTCAAGACCAGACTGGCCAACATGACGAAGCCCCGTCTCTACTAAAAATACAAAAATTAGCTGGGCACGGTGGCATGCGCCTGTGGTCCCAGCTAAACAGGAGACTGAGGCAAGAGAATCACCTGAACCCAGGAGGCAGAGGTTGCGGTGAGCCAAGATCGCACCACTGCACTCCAGCTTGAGCAACAGAGTGAGACTCTGTCTCAAAAAAAAAAAAAAGTAAAAAAGAAAAAAACTATAAGAATGATTCTTAAATCATGTCAAATAGTTCTCACAAAGTACCAGAAATGACCAAGTATCTCTTTATCCAGAAATGGAAAGAGAGAGGAAAGCCACCATGAATGTTCAAAATGGGAAGGAAAAAATTGTAAAGCTGGGTCAAAAGCCTTACTATCATTAGATCCTTGAACTAAACCTCTTCTTATCTCCTGCCTAGAGGGTGAGGCCTGGCTGCCAGAGTTCTGGGAGCTAAATCAAGGAAGAGAAATGGTGGTGGAGGGTAAGGGGAGTTTCTCAGCATTCAATATTGATATATTCACTTAATCTCCTTATTTTCAGTTTCAACTCCTGATCTCCCCCAGTGTAGAGACCCTATATTTTAATCTCTCCAGTCATGTGCTGGCAAGGAAAGGGCAGTTACCCAGCATGATAAAGTAAGGATAAAAAAATTCCCTTTTTCAGATTCCTCCTGTCCCATCCCCAAGCTCACCACTAACATGCAGTTCCAGAGGTATCTAGAGCCCCATTTTAAGTCTTTTAAAGATACTAAGGTTTAGATTGTGTTTGGCTTTTGCCATTGCTGATTTAAGAGTTGGAATTTTCTAATAAGTTACCACTGTGGTGTTCAAACCACTATCTTTACCTAGAATTCTCAGAACACATGTTATTTTCAAGTGTCCATATATGCCAGAATGAAAGTCTCAAGATATTTTAAAAAATAGAAACTACAAAGGATGCATTCTTCAGCCATAAAACAAAAATATTAAAAAACTTAAGCCAAAAAAGGTTGCAAAGTATAAAATACTCTCCCAAATAAGAAATAAAAAGTGCCATTGCAGACTACTTAGAAAATAATAACAAGAAAACTAAGAATCAAAACATGGTGATGCAGCCAAAATTGTAATTAGAGGCAAATTCACACACTGAAACTCTTTCATCATTTAAAAAAAAAAAACCTCACAAATCTCATATATAACTTAGATAATCAGAAAACCAACAACACATCTCAGAAAAACAGGATAAGGAAAAAAAGCAGCAATAAACTACAAATTTAAAAAGTACCAATAATTAAATTTTAAAAACTGTTCTTAAAAAGAAAAGTACTTAGCCGGGCATAGTGGCGGGCACCTGTACTCAGGAGGCTGAGGCAGGAGAACGGTGTGAACCCGGGAGGTGGAGCTTGCAGTGAGCCGAGATCACACCACTGCACTCCAGACTGGGTGACAGAGCGAGACTAGGTCTCAAAAAAGAAAAAAAAACAAAAAACAAAAAAAAAAAAGTACTTAATTATATCTCTATAAATCTATTCACAGTTAAATACACACACACATATATATCTAATTATATAGTTTAATACATATTAAACATATATATTTCATTATTTTTCATACATATATGAAAATATCCCTAGCCTCAGGCTATGCATGCTAAAATGTTTACGGGTGAAGTACTACAATGCCTGTTACTTACTTTCAAGTGGTTTAGAAAATTCACAAAAGAATACCTACTAGTTTCTGTAAGTAATCTAGTTGTATTAGTTTTTGTAAGCAAATGTGACAAAATTGGTAAATCTAGGTGATGAGTAGTATATGGGTGTTCTTTGTACTGTTCTTTCAACTTTTCTACTCATTTGAAATTTTTTGAAATAAAAAAGTGGGAGAAAACATATGCAGATACTGAGGGCATTTACAAATAAGATTCTAAGTACAAAGTTATGCTAGTAAATTTGGATGGCTTTCTTAGGTATATAACTACCAAAATTCACTTAAGAAATTAAGAGAAAAAACAGACTATGAGCCATGAAAGATGAAAAAGGTTATTAATTTATTCTACAAATACTGAGTACCGATATGTACCATAAATTTTTCTTGATGTACAAAGTAAAATGAATAGACTATGAGTAAAAATGATAGGCCACGTTCTTACCATCATGAAGCTAACACTCTAGTAGGAAGGAGAGAACATGACAAACATGACAAACATACACATATATAGCATGCCAAGTAGCAATAAGCACTATGAAAAAAAATGTAATCAAAGGAATGAAAGGCATGAGGACTGCTTTGTGAGAAGGGGTCTCAAGGTGGGGGCTTCTCTAAAATGTGGTATTTGAGCGGAGCCGTGAATGAAGGGAGGAGGCAAGATTCAGAACTATCTAGTGAAAGATGGGTCCAGTCATAAGAAACAGTAATTATCAAAGAATTATGACCCTCCTCCAAAAATAAGCTCTTGGACAAGCTGCTTTTATTAATTTTTTCAAACTTGAAAGACAAAGATAATTCCCATGTAATATAAACTGCTCTTGAGCACAGAAAAAGATGGGAAGCTTTGAAGTTCATAATCCTGACATCAAATCCAGATAAAAATGGCACGAAACACACTGATTAATAGTACCAATAACTATAGATGCAAAAATCTAACAATCATCAAACTAAATTCAAAGGCATTTAAAAGATTCTTGTATAACTATATTTTCCAAGGTTTATAATTTCCAGCTGAGAGAAACCAGTGGTGGTCTGCAATCAACATGAAGGACAGAAAGAATAGGGAAAAAAAACTCACTGCATTGCATATAATAAGTATAGTATCATTAAACTATTTTTTTTTTTTTTGAGACAGAGTCCTACCCTGTCTCCCAGGCTAGAGCACAGTGATGCAATCTCGGCTCACTGCAACCTCCGCCTCCCAGGTTCAAGCGATTCTCTTGCTTCCGCCCCTGAGGTTCAACCGATTCTCCTGCTTCCATCTCCCAGGTTCAAGCAGTTCTCCTGCCTCAGCCTTCCAAGTAGCTGGGACTACAAGTGCATACCACCACGTCTGGCTAATTTTTTTATTTTTTGGTAGAGACGGGATTTCACCATGTTGGCCAGGCTGGTCTTGAACTCCTGGCCTCAAGTAATCCATCTGCCTCAGCCTCCCAAAGTGCTGGGATTACAGGTGTGAGCCACCACACCCGGCCCTCATGAAACTTTTTTCTCACATACACACATAAGTTTGATTGAGTCATGATACAAAAATTATTTTTTACTATGATAGTGGCCAGAAATATTTGGAAAACAATAATATACAATAGGGTTTATCCTTGGAATATAAGAATAGTTGGATATAAGTTAGTATGTTATGTCAATAGATTATAGAAAATAATTATCTCAACAGATTGTTTTAAAAACTATTCAGTAAATTCCAATGTATATCCACAATTAAAAGGACAAACCAGGGTCGGGCACAGTGGCTCACATCTGTAATCCCAGCACTTTGGGAGGCTGAGGCGGGCAGATCACCTGAGGTTAGGAGTTCAAGTCCAGCCTGGCCAACATGGTGAAACCCTGTCTCTACTAAAACTACAAAAATTAGTCAGGTATGGTGGTGCGCACCTATAATCCCAGCTACCCAGGAGGCTGAGGCAGGAGAATCGCTTGAACTCAGGAGGCAGAGGTTGCAGTGAGCCAAGATCACGCCACTGCACTCCAGCCTGGGAGACAGAGCGAGACTCCATCTCAAAAATAAATAAATAGATAAATAACAAAAATATCAGCTCCTCTGCTAAATATCAAACCTCTTTTAAAAACTATTCATTTACATAATAAAGAATATTTAAACAAACAGCAAACATCATACTTACTGAGGAAAATCAAAGTTTAAGAACTATCTATATGCAGATGACTCACAAATTTGATCCCTATCCCAGCCCTTTTCTCTGATTCAGACTTGAATATCCAATGACCTATTACACAGTTCCATTTGGACATCTAAAAGGCATCTCAAACTTAACAGGTCCAAATCTGAGCTTCTGATAATAACCCTTCCGCCTATTCATTTACTCTGCTTTGTAATCTTTCCTATCAATTAGAAGCAACTTCATTATTCCAGTTTTGTCAGCAAAAAATCTTGCAACCATTCTTGGCTCTCTTCACTTTCTATCACACCTCATATCCATTCAATCAGTAAATTCCATAAACTATATCTTTAAAGTATATCCTGACTCCAGTCAGTGTCATCACTTTCACTGTTAATGAATAGGTCCAAGCTACTCTCATCTCTAGCCAAGGTTATTGCAAAAGACCCTTAACTGGACTCTGCTTCCATCCAGGTTCCCTTCAGTCTACTGCCAATACAGCAGTGAGACTGAGCCTTTTAGAAGCCAGATCATGTTAGTCTGCTCAATCCCTTCAAAGGGTCTCCATCTCACTCTAACTAAAAGACAGTAGCCTTACTATGACCTAATCACCTACAACCCCTGCTCTCTGCTCTAGCCACGCTAGCTATGCTAGTCCTCAACCATACCAGATATACTGTCAAGGCCTTGCATTTGCTGTTTCTTCTGCATGTAACGCCTTCCTTCGGTCACTTTCTTTGGATCATGATTCAAAAGTCATGTTTTTAGAGAAGTTCACATGAGATATCCTATCTAAAATTTCAATATCCTAACTCTACTACTTACATACACTTCCTTCTTCCAACTTGTTTTTTCCTCCTTAGCACTTCCATCTAAAATACTTTCTTTTTTTTACTTATTTTCTACCATTCATCTTCTATCAACAGATATCTACCTTTATACCATCTACACGTCTATCCCATGAAGGCAAGGATTGTTGTCTACTTTGTTGATGTATATAACCCCATTATCTAGAGTAACGCCTGGCATATAGTAGGTACCCAATAACTATTTGCTCAACGAATGAGTCATGAATTCCTGATGGAAAACACAACCACTCACCCAAGAAAAATGTACACATGCACGTACACACAGTACTCTGCATAAAATTTCAGGAAGTTCACAGAATCTTGAAGTCTATTGTTAGCCTCATAAGGGTTTCCTGATGTTAAAAAAAAAAAAAAACTCTGCACGAAAGGCTTTTCTATTCAAATAAAAGCAAGTTAAGATTGCTATTATGTAAAGATATTCAGGAATGTATTGTCAGTAAAATATGTAATTCTATGTCCTCCTGTATCAAAGTAGTTTCCTTTGTGTATTTAATACTTTTCTCAGAACTTTTTGAGCATGTTTTTCTTCAAAGATATTTTAGCCTTTTCTAACACCCAGAAGAAATACCTCTTGTTCCTATAAAAGCTCAATCCCCTTTTTTTCTCAGAGCCTTTGTACTTGCTGCCTCCTGTCTCAAGAATACTTTTCTCTCAGATATCTTCATAACTTGTTCTCTTATTTCATTCAGTCTCTATTCAAATGTTACCTCCAATTTAGAGAGGCAGGCCTTCCCTGACCAACCTTTCTATAATAGCCACACATACACACACTCCACCATCATAAGTACATATATATTTATTTGTATATTATCTATACCCTAACTAGAAAGTGATCTAGTTGAGGGCAAGAACTTCTGGACAACAATATATCCCCATAGTTAGGAACAGTTTTTGCCACTCGGCAGGCATTCAGAATGTGTGTACATGTGTACTTTGTCATAGAAAATAGTAATAAAGGGACAGAGAGTTATTAAAGGAGATGCCAGCACATGTAGAACCACTGAAAAGTTTTTTAACTTTTACTAGATTTGGTGTGATATGCTGAAGTCCTAAATCAAGGAATGAATGGGGCCGGGCGCAGTGGCTCATGCCTGTAATCCTAACACTTTGGGAGGCGACCGTGGGCAGATCACTTGAAGCCAGGAGACTAGCATGGCCAACCTGGTGAAACCCCATCTCTACTAAAAATACAAAAAATTAGCTGGATGTGGTGCCAGGCGCCTGTAATCCCCACCTACTCAGGAGGCTGAGACACAAGAATCAGTTGAAACAAAGAGGTGAAGGTTGCAGTGAGTCAAGTTCGTGCCACTTGCACTCCATTGTGGGGGACAGAGTAAATAAGACACTGTCTCAAAAAAAAAGGATGAATGGAAGGGAGAAGGGTACTATAGAGGGAATAAAAGCAAAATCACCCTTCTTCCTTTAGAAGAAGAAGAGAATTTGTTCGGGACATAAAAGTATGTGCTAATTAGCAGAAGCCAGACTTCCTGTGTTTGTATTTCAACTTTTGCCACTCAAGAAGCAAACCTCAGGTGATCCCACATGCAGGTTCCTATAGTCTCTCTGCTCAGCAGTTTTCCCTTTTTTGGGAAAGAGCTTACTAGAGCTACGGCTGTATGAAGCAACAGATCTCAAGACAATGTGTGATGTTTCATTTCCTTACTTTCTTACCTGAAATGTATGAATATGGATTAATTTCTCTTTAGATTTTCTTTTGAAAAACGCTATGAACCCAAGGAGTCTCCAATGTTCTAAGATAAAATATCAAAATTCCTTATTTTATGATTTGTCAAAAAATATTAGAGTAAGTCATTTTAAAAGGCTTCATTTGTATATACAGGTACACTTGAAAGGAATTACTTTGAAATGAAAAAAAGCAGAAGTTGATTGAAAATATAGCAATCTTTAACTAAACATACTTTTGAAGACCAAACATGTTTTACAAAATGTGGCAAATTCTACCAAGTTGCTACAATGATAGCAAAGCACTTATAAAGACACCAAAATTATTCTTAAAAAGATAAAAAACTAAGTCACTTTCATAGTACATTGCACTTCTTTAAAGTTCCAGTGTGCATTACCTATGCAAATCTGTTTTTATTTCCAACTTTTACCTAACTTTATTAATCCCCAAAGATTTTTTAGTTAGAATTGACTGTAAAATCTAAAACCTATGAAAACTACAGTAAGTGCTTCTATATTTATGAAACTCTACCCAACTGGATTCAGCCATAAAAGTCTGCTAATTGCTACTAGAAAACACACACACACACACACATATATATATATATAACATGGATCTGATTTTACAGGTTCTTGAATATATATATTTTATAGGTTCTTGAATATATATAATAGGTCATGAGAGTTATGTAATTTATTATGGTATTAAATGTTATGAAAGGCTAAAAAAAGCAAATAAACACATTTTAAATTTTTCTTTAAACTATAGCCATGCCCTATTTTGTTGATAAATACTTCTTATGACAAGTCCTAATATACCGTATTTTATAGCTTAAGTAATTTTTTCCTAGTGGAAAGTTCCATTCTTTGATTACCACTCTCAGCAAATGAAAGAAACCTCAACTACAATGCTATCACTTTTCTTTGTTTTTGAAATATGTGAGGTAGTCAATATTAACAAAAGTGAAAGGAAAGAACATTTTAGTTTTTGACAAACAGAAAGGTATTATATATACCTCTGTAAAATGGGATAGTCAACATTTATAGAAAATTAGAAAGAACTCTTATCTTATAATGAAGAACAAGTGAAGAAAACCCAGCAACAATGTAAGTGGCCTTCGATTACACTTAGAAGTGTTCTGGAGAAGCAGGCTGAAGGCCAAGTATTTTAAATCATGCAAGAAATCTAACAGTGAAAAAAAAACAAAGCAAGTTCTGAGAGCCTCACAGCTAATATAAAATGGATTTGTGGTATGTTATAAAATACTAACAGTCACCCTTTGAAAATTACTTCAAAGTCTCTATTCTGACAGGTTAATGCTACAGTATTTGGACACGTTTTAACTTTCTTGAGTAACATCAAACTATACACCTGCCTAAATATTTTTATAATAAATAGAGGACAAGACAGTTAATTCTGTCATTTTGTGAAATTCCAACAATTCCAGCGATATTACTCCACTTTTAAAAGTTTAGTTTCACATTGGTTAAATTTTGTAGACAAAAGCTCTCCCACTGATTCACTATATAATTTGAAATGTTGTTTAATAATTTCTAATTGATCTTAAATTAGAAAATTTTGTTTATTCATACATATATATATATTCATCCAACAATTATTTATTGAGTACCTGCTATATGTCAGGCACTCTTCTAGGAGTTGGGGATATAACAACAACAAAAAAATTCTTGCCTTCTATTTTCTTATTCCTTTAGGTTTCCTGGTTCTTCCTCAGGTATGGCAAAACCTTAATTTCTCCCCAAATCTCTCCCCTCTTCTTTTAATAAAGTTTAGCCAGGTATATGATCACATGATCACCCACCTAGATGCTACAAAACACAGACCTTGAGCTAAGCCGTATGACTAAGCTATGGACCATGGGATGGGGCAAAAGTGATGAGAGCAATAGCTCACATGCTTGTAAGAAATTGCTTATTCTGTATCTCCTCTTGCCTCTTTCACACAGGCTACAATTCAGACATAGTAGTCAGCAAGCTTCAACCACATAGAAAAAAAAACCCTAGAAGACTGCAACAACAAAAAAGAGGTGGGGTGGAAACCTTGATCCCTGGATAATCCTGTGGAGCGAAGAAGCCCTGAGCTGAAAACCAATTTAAACTTGGGAGAAAATTAACTTTCTATCAAAGTTAAATCACTGTTATTTGGTTTCTTTAAAACAGTTGAATCAATAATGTGTGGTCCACTGATCATCATGCATGTTATTTTGAAATACGAACGACCCTTTATCTACCTGGTATATATTTTCGAACTCCTCCTAGAACCCATCCTTGACCTACTTGTTCCATTGCTACTCCAAACAATCATTGCTACTTTTCTGTAACTTCTATATCATGTATATATATAAACACATACCTTTTTTTTTTTTTTTTGAGATGAAGTCTCGCTCTGTTGCCCAGGCTGGAGTGCAGTGGCGCATCTCGGCTCACTGCAACCTCCGCCTCCCAGGTTAAAGCAGTTCACCTGCCTCAGCCTCCCAGGTAGCTGGGACTACAGCATGCACCACCATGCCTGGCTAATTTTTGTATTTTTAGTAGAGAAGGGATTTCACCTTGTTGGCCGGGCTGGTTTCAAACTCCTGACCTCAGGTGATCTGCCCACCTCAGCTTCCGAAAGTGCTGGGATCACAGGTGTGAGCCACTGCACCCAGCCCAATATACACATTTCTATTATTATACTCACCACATTTTCCTGTACTTTATTTACATATCTATCTCGCCTACGAGAAGTATTTTTCTTGAGGAAAAAAGGTCATAATCTTTTTGTATCACCAGCATTGTGTCTGGATCAGAGCCAGTATTTTTACATATTTGTTAAAGAGAATTTACATATTAAGTTGGTTGTTTTCTGTTTTTTTTTATGCTTAGATTCTAAATGAGCTAACGATAATTTTACCTGATCAGAAAATAAAGCTTAAGAAAAGTCAAAAAATAAGGATAATTTTTTAAATACATAGGATACATTAAAAATCCCTACTGTATCATGGGTCAGAAAAACCGGTCCCCTTTTCTACTGGATAGAAAAGGCTTTCTTTTCAGTAGTTAGCAAATGCCAGGCAATCTCAGTGTTTGTGAACACTTCAATTTTACAATCAACTTTTAATGATCATGGCTCTTGTCAATTTTATTTACCAGGCACTTGTAAACAGAGCAGGTGATGGTAGGGGTGAGTCAGAAACGGTCTATGGTAAAAGGAGTCAATAGGAGACTGCATACACAAAAAAGAGAGTTGTGGAGAATAAGAGTGGGGCTAGGAATATGAAAATAAAGGAAATAAGAATGGTGGACAGATGAGGAAATTCAGAATCTTAAGGGGTAAAAGAGAATAACACTGTAACCAAAGAAACAATGATAATGTTCACACTGAAATTTTTAAGCTGTTAAAAGTACACATGTGCTCACACTCACACCTATATCAACTTTCAAACTGACAAAATGTTTAAGTGTGATAATACCCAATGCTAGTGAGGGTATAAAGATACAAGTACTTTAACACACTGTTGGATAATGATAAATTAGTATAAACATTTTAGAAAGTAATTTGGGAATTCATATAATAAAATTTTCAACATATACTCTATTTCTATAAATTTACCTTATGGATATACTTAGAGAATTTTGGCAATATTTCTTTGTGAAATTTTCATTAAGTATCATTTGCAATAGCAAAAATCGGGACACAAACTAAAGGCCCATCAATAAGGAACTGATTATGGTATATGATAGAATACAACTCTATGCAGGCCTTAAAAAGAATGTGGCAGATCTCTTTGCATCTTTGATGACATTCATACTATATATTTGAAGACATCCATGCTACACTTTTATCCACAGAAAAGAAAGCTACAGAATAGTATGTGTGGCATAATATAATTAAATGAATTTTATAAGGGTGCCTAGGTTTATGCCTTAATATTTCTGGAAGAACAAAAATAAAACTGTAAATAGAAATTCCACAAGAAAACAATTGCAGGGAAAGGGGCTCTGGTGTTTCTTTATATGCATTTGTAAATTAACTTAACCATGTACATATATTAATTAAAAGTTTTTTAAGTTCCACAAGAAAACTATTGCAGGGAAATGGGTTCTAGTGTTTCTTAATATGCTTTTGTGAATTATTTGAATTTAACCATGTATGTATATTAATTTGAAATTTTTTAAATGTCAAAAGTTATCTGGATAGCAGAATTATGACTATATTATTTTCTATATAGCAAACTCAGATAAATCCTTTTAAAATTATTTAATTACTATCTGAAATTAAACTGCTATTTAGAATATAAACATTGGCCAGGTACATATGTCTCAAATTCATTTTTTGAGAATCTGCCTTAGTTTCATTTCTATGTCATGGAAAGAGCCATTGGGGGAAAAAGGTTGAAGAAATGTACTTTTTCTCCTCTGTAGCTCTTTATTTTCAGTTTTATGCTCTAAGACTTTTCCCTTTTATCTGATCTCTTGGCAGCTTGCTTTTATCCCAACCAATTATGCTTCATGCTATGAGAGAAAATAAATGGTGTCTATGTGATAGCAATATAACTGATTAAAAAATAACATATTCCAATAACTTGTTTTGTCTTCATGATGTTCAACGTATCATCTTATGACATTTTCACTGATATGAGCATTTGATTTGATAGCATAAGACATAACCAATTTCATGACTATGTAAGTTACAGATACAAATGGTAGGAAATATTAAGAACAAAACTAAGGCCGGGGCAGTGGCTTGTGCCTGTAATCCCATAACTTTGCAAGGCTGAGGTGGGCAGATCACTTGGGCCCAGGAGTTGGAGACCAGCCTAGGCAACATGGCAAAACCCGTCTCTACAAAAAATACAAAAATTAGCTGGGCATGGTGGCGCACACCTGTAGTCCCAGCTACTGGGTTAAGGAGCTGAGATGGGAGGATCACTTGAGCCTGGCAGGGAGCTGAGATCAAGCCACTGTACTCCAGCTTGGGTGATACAGTAAGACCCTATCTAAAAAACAAGCAAAGAGAAGCGAAAAAAACTAATTTACCTGCAAGTACTGCTGACAAATGTTAGATACTGGCTGACTGTAAGAGCATTAGTATACACAGTTTGGATATACAAAGGCAGTAGTGGCTGAGTTCTAATATCCAAGATACTAATCCTCAAGTTAAATAATTAAGAAAGATCATTCAACTGACCATATTTAGCACATTGATACAGAAGGAAAACTATAAACTACTCAAGATCAATTCCGTATTACATCAATACTAGAAATGGATCTTGAAATGCAGAATCGTAACACAGAACATCAAGATGATTTAACTACAGTGAGAGTCTCTCCTGTACAGGTAAGTAGACACACAAAACTAATCCATTTCACTCTCCCAAAAAACATCTTTCTAGATCAGAAGTCAGCAAATCAAGAGCCAGATAGTGAATTATTTAGGCTTTGCAGGCCATATCCAGTCTCTGTAGCTATCCTTTATTTTTTACAACCTTTAAAACTGTAAAGACCATTGTTAGCTCACAGGCTATACAAAAACAGGCCACAGCCACAACCAGATTTGGCCCCTGGTTGTCATTTATTGACCCCTGTTCTAGATATCTTCCTTTTATCCAAAATAAGGACGCTTAATAGGCATGTGATACCGTCATACCGTCAGTGCCCTTTTATCTGCTGCACTCATTCTATATCAATTTGTCATAACATATTGGCTACAGACACACACACACACACACACAAATACCACATCTTCAATATTTTCAACTGCATAATAAGAATAATTTCACTCAAGGAAACCTCATTAAATTGCTGTAAAATCATTTCTAAATTTTTAACTATAAGATAATTCTAATAATAAAATTTACGAAACAATTATTTTGCATAATACAATGGTACAGTTTTTTACTACTTTGTAAAACTAAAACCTTGTTTTACTTTTCTAAAACTTGACATACTGCACGTTTTTAATTAATGTTATAGAGGCATACTTTGCATATATTATTTACCATTTTCTGATGTAAAATTCAATGTTTCTTAGTAGGTTGATCGAGTTGTGCAACCATCACCATAAATCAGTTTGAAAACATTATCACCCCAATATGACCATGCACACTTAGCATTAATACCTGTTTCCTCCCACCCCTCCTATGCAACTACTAATCTACTTTTTGTCTTTATACTTTTGCTTTTTCTGAATATTGCATATAAATGGTATCATACAGCAAGTAGTTTCTGTGTCTGGCTTCTTTCCCTGAGCATAATATTCTTGAGGTTTATCCATGTTGTACCATGTATCCTTAGTTTATTCTTTTTTATTGCTACATAGTATTCCATTGGATATCCTCCACATTCTTAATGCCTACAATTCACTAAGCTTTGACTTATGTATACACACATGCAACAATCACCAGTCAGAATAACATAACAATCACTTCCAAAATTTACTGTGTGCCTTTGTAATTCTTCCTTCCTGCCCCTCTTCACCCACCTCTGACCCCAAGGCAACCACTGGTCTGCTTTCTGTCATCATACATTAGTTTGCATTTGCCAGAATTTTATACAAAAAGAATCATACAGGATGTGCTCCCTTTTTTCTAACTTCTTTCACTCAGCAAAATTATTTTGAAATCCATCAGTATGGTAGAATGTATCAACTTTATTTCTTTTTATTACTGAAGAATTTTTTTTATATTCACCTGCAGTGAACATTTGGAAATTTTCCAGTTTGGGGCTATCACAGATAAATCTGATATGAACCCTTGCTTACAGGTCTTTGTATGGACACATGTTTTCATTTCTCCTAAGTATCTAAAAGTGGAATAGCAGGATCATATAGTAGGCGGATGTGCAACTTTAAGAAACTGCCAAATTGTTTGCCAAAGAGGTTGCATCATTTAACATACCCACAAACGCTGTAAGAGTGCTCAAGTCCCACCGCATCCTTACAGCAGTTGGTATGGCCAGTCTTTTTAACTTTATTCATTCCAAATAGATGTGTGTTATCCCATTGTGGTTTTCATTTACATTTCCTAAAGATTAAAGATGCTGAGCATCTTTCCATGTGTTTGTCATCTATATATCTCCATAGTGAGGTGTGTTCATGTTTTCTGATTTTTAAAATTGGGTAGTTTTATTATTGAGTTTTTGACAGTTCTTTATATATTTTGAATTTATCAGATACATGATTTTCAAATATTTTTCCCAGTCTGTAATTTGTCTTTTCTTTCTCTTAACAGTGTCTTTTAAAGAGTAGAAGCTTTTAATTTTTATAGGGTGATTTATCAATTTCTTCTTTTATGGATCATGCTTTTCATGTCTTATCTAAGAAACATCCCCTAACCCAACTTTTTCTTCTCAAAGTTTTATAATTTTAGGCTTTACATTTAGGTCTTTGATTCATTTTTACTTAATTATTATATATGTCTTGAAGTATTGGTTGAATTTCATTTTATGACATATAGACATCCAACTGTTCCAGTACTGTTTGTTGAAAGAACTATCCTTTCTCCAGAAAAAATGCCATTGTACCTTGTGGAAAATCAGTTGTCCATATATGCATGTTTTGTCTTTCTTTCTGGACTCTCTATTCTATTCCATTAACTGTTTTCTTTTGATGTCAATACCACATTGTCTTAATTACTGCAGCTTTATAAATCTTGAAATCAGGTAGACTTCCAACTTTGTTCTTTTTCAAAAAAGTTGTCTTAGCTATTCTAGATACTTTGCATTTTTCTATGAATTTTAGAATCAGCTAGTCAGTTTCTACAAAACTGTTGACTGGTACTTTGAGAATGCTATGAATCTATAGATTACCTTGGGGAAAATTGATATTTTTAACAATATTGAGTCTACTGATCCATAAACAAGGTATATAGTCACCATTTATTTAGATTTTTTATTTTTCTTAACCATGTTTTAAAGTTTTCGGTGTATGGATCTTCCACATCTTTGTCAGATTTACCCCTAAGTATTTAATATATTTGCTATTACTACAAATGGCATTTGTTGCTTTTTCATTTCAATTTCTAATTGTTCCTTGCTGTTATACAGAAACATTTTTGTACATTGAGCTTCTACCTTCAACCTTAGTTAACTCACTTCGTTGTTCTAGTAGCTAGAACATGTAATCTGTGAATAATGACAGTTTCACTTCTTCCTTTCTAATCTAGTTGACTTTTTATTTCTGTTTCTTGCCTGATTGCGCTAACTAGAAGCCCCAGATCAATGTTGAAAAGAAGCAGTGGTGAGACGGATGTCCTTGTCTTGTTCCTGATCTTAGGAGAAATGCAACATTCAGTGTTTCACCACTAAATATGATGTCAGCTTTGACTTTTCTTAGACACTCTTTTCAGGTTAAGGACATGGACTTCTATTCCTAGTTTGCTGAGACTTTTTAATCAGAAACAGATGTTGGATTCTGTCAGATGCTTTCTCTGCATCCACTGCAATGCTCATATGGCTTTTGTTTTTTACTTTCTTAATATGGTGAACTGTAATGATTAATTGTTGAATGTTAAACTAACCTTGCATTCCTAGAATAAACCCTACTTGAGCATGATATGTTACCCTTTTTATATATTGCTGGATTCTATTTGCTAAAATTTAGTTTGCAATTGTTACATCTATGTTCACGAATGATACTGCATTGTGGTTTTCTTTGTCTGGTTTTGGTATCAAATAATGCTGACTGTTTTAGGTAGGAGGATAAATTAGGTCCCTGTTACTCCCCCTTATCCAGAAGTACTCTGCTAAATGGTTATTATGTTATTATCTCATCTATTCCTTCCTAGCTTAGAAGGTACATATTATTACCATGATTTTATATACAGGAGAAATGGGAAATGGGGAAAAATTGAGGCTCAGAGAGCAAGGGGGTACAGCTCTTTCTAGCTGGAACAAGGGTTTGAATCAAGACAACAGGAATCTAAAACCCACTCTCAACATCCTTCTATACTGCAATACTAAGTGTTCAAAAAAAAACTCTTTAAACACATAATTTCTTTTTCATTAAGAAATTATATCTCCTCTGATCTACTACTTAGTGATCTACTACTTAGTGATTAAGACCTATGTCTTAATCACTATGGTATTTGTTGAAAGAAATGAATGCGATGTCATGGTTTCTTATATTCTGAGTCAGGATCTACATAAACTATTAACTACTAAATATACTGAAAACATTACTTAAGACAGATTTAATCCAGCTAAAAAGAGCCTTATAAGGATATTCCACAGTCCCAAAAGGCCAACCAAAACAATAACAATAGATGTTACCATTTTAAAATTTTATGTAATCTTCAAAACCACATAGTGAAAGAAGTACTATTATACACATTTTATAGATGAGGAAATTTGAGACACAACAACATTAAGAAACTTCCTTAAAATCTGCCATCTCTGAAGTAGCTGAAAAGGTAGGTATTCAAACTCAAGTCTCTACAACTTCAGAATAGACTCTTAAAATTTGTATTTTATGTTTCATTTGTTTGGTTTTTCAATTACAATGTTGTCAACCCTAAGAAACAAGAAGTACTGTCAAAGGCCTTTTGGGGAACAAGGAAATTCCAACATTAGACTGGAGCAGAGCTCAGTGCCAAATAAATTGGAGCTGAGCTTTGATGATAATGATGGCAAGCTGGGGTTTCCCCAACTAGATTAAACCTGCTTTGCTCCATTTCTAAAGCAAGTTTTTTTGTTTTTTGACCATAAAACTAGCTGAGAAGCCTAGCATGGTGGCATACATCTGTAGTCCCATCTACCCAGAAGGCTAAGGGAGGATTATTTCAGCATAGGAGTTTGAGGCCAGCCTGGGCAACATAGCACCCAGCTTTTTCTTTACTTTCTGGTTTGGTTTGTTTTCTTTGAGACAGGGTCTCACTCTGCAACCTTGGTGATCCCAGGGATCGCCTCAGCCTCCCAAGTAGCTAGACTACAGGTGCATGCCACCACACTCAACTAATTTTTTTGTATTTTTTATAGAGATGGGGTTTCACCACGTTGCCTAGGCTGTGTCACTCAGCTTTTTCTATATTTCTGATGACCTGCAGTGGGCACAGCTCAATGAGCTTGGACTACTAGCTATAATGCAGAATTCCCCTTAAGAGTAAGATGGGAAGGCAAAGAGAAAGAATAATAGCTATTCAAATAATTCCAGTCATGAGGCAAGATGGTATAGGGATAAAGAGCCTGGACTTGAGGAAACTGCCAAAGTTCAAATGCTTATTCTGCCTCATAGTAGCTGTGAGACCTTGGAAAAGTTACTTAACTTCTCTGGGCTTGCATGCCTTCATCTATAAGACAGGGGTGATCATTTTACCTCTCATATGGCTAACAATTAAAAGACAGAATATACAAAAATTGTTTAGAATAGCAACTGACACTTGGTAGGTCCTGTTTAAATTTTGCTATCAATTTATCAATTACTGTTATTCCTATAGTAAATGAACAAGAAAAAAATTACATATGTTGGATAGGCACTTTAGAGATTCTTTAGTATAAATAACTTTAATGTTTGTAATGACAATATATTTTAAAACACAGTCCTAGAAATGTGGCATATCTACATTAGTATCCTAAAAATGGCTTTGGAAACTGATTTCCAGCATCTTCTAAAAGCAGGCAAACAATTTTAAAAACACTAGCAGAGAAAATTGGACATAATTCATTAAAATAAAGCAAATTACTCAATTCCACTAAAGTAGTATTGAACACCTACTATGTGCTCAGCATTATGCAATCTTGATTAGGGGGACATACAAAATCTAAACCCTATTCTCAATAAGCTTAAAATATAATACATAAATACAAAAGTGTATACATACAACAGATAAATAAGGCAAAGTACAAGTAAATGTGAGAGTAGCACATAACTCTGGAAGAAATTCTCAAGTACCATTAAAATTTATGAGTTTAATTTATAGAATAAAAAAAGTATCTATGCGTATGTTTAATGCCATTCTTAATGCTAGTGCCAAAAACAAGTTCAAATGACTGGCATTTTATAATATTATAAATTACTGAAGAATACTTGAACAACAAAAAAAGAGGATTATTTGATAATTTTCATTGTAACTTACTGTTGCTATTTTGGTCTGGAGAAAGTTCTCCCTTTCTTCATCTACCTTAATTTCATGTCCATTTTTAAATAATTCAAGCATTTTGGGGATGTCACGGCCAATGGAATCTAGTTAGAAAAAGTAAAATCCACAATTATCACTCCAAATAAGTAGTAAAAATTACTGAATAAAAGAAACACATATCTCATGTAAAGATATAGCAAATAAATTGTGGCAGATAAACTTTAGTTCCAAAGAGCTCTGTTTCCTGGTGTTCACATTCATTGAGTGTGAATGAAACTTGCAACTTGCTTCAAACCAAGAGACAGAATAATCATGTGTACATAATTACATTACATAAAGCTATAATGCCTGTCTTGAAGAAGACTATCTTCCTTACTGGCTTTGAAGAAACAAGCTGCAATGCTGTGAGCTGCCATATGGAGAGGGCCACAGGGCAATAAGCTGAGAGCAGACTCAAGCTAACAGCCAGCAAGAAACTGAAGCCCTGTGTCCAGCAGCCTACAGGAACTGAATTCTGCCAACTGTGTAAGTCTGCAAGCAGATCCATCGCCCATTGAGTCTAAGATGAAACCACCTCTCTGGCCAATACCTTGAGTGGAGCTTTGTGAGACCCTTAAGCAGAGAACCCAACTCTGCTACACATACATTCCTGACACACAGAAATGGTGAGATAATAAATGCGTGTTGTTTCAAGCAACTGTTTGTGGTAATATTGTTGCACCATTATGGATAACTAATACCTAAGTATATGCAATAATAATATACAGCATACATTAAAAACACAGATGACATATTAAAATAAAATCTATAAAATAACCTATGGCAAAAGATAACACTGGCCAGGCATGGTGGCTCACGCCTGTAATCCCAGCACTTTGGAAGGCCGAGGCAGGCAGATCACCTGAGGTCAGGAGTTCAAGACCAGCCTGGCCAACATGGTGAAACCCTGTTTCTACTAAAAATACAAAAATTAGCTGGGTGTGGTGGTGCACACCTGTAATCCCAGCTACTTGGGAGGCTGAGGCAGGAGAATTGCTTGAACTCGGGAGGAAGAGGTTGCAGTGAGCTGAGATTGTGCCACTGCACTCCAGCCTGGGCAGCAGAGTGAGACTGTCAAAAAAAAAAAATAATAACAGTACGGTCTTGGAATCTTTTAAGAACATTTTACCTACCATAAAGAAGTGAAAGAAAAAAAAAACTAAAAAGCAGA
This sequence comes from Homo sapiens, assembly GCF_000001405.40. Classification (NCBI taxonomy): domain Eukaryota; kingdom Metazoa; phylum Chordata; class Mammalia; order Primates; family Hominidae; genus Homo; species Homo sapiens. The sequence continues at coordinate 77,908,159 of NC_000004.12, read as the reverse complement.
AACATTTAGCAGTGGAAACAATATCATAGTGAATGATACAGTATAGAGGTAGCTCATTATTACACAAATGGTTACAGAAACTGGCATGAGTTTCTATAGTCGGGCATGGTGGCAGGCACCTGTAATCCCAGCTACTCAGGAGGCTGAGACAGGAGAATCACTTGAACCTGGGAGGCAGAGATTGTAGTGAGCCGAGAATGAGCCACTGCACTCCAGCCTGGCAGCCTGGGCAACAGAGCAAGACTCTGTCTCAAAAAAAAAAAAAAAGAAAAGAAAAGAAAGAAACTGGCATGAGAGGCTGGGCATGGTGGCTCATGCCTGTAATCCTAGCACTTTGGGAGGCCGTGGTGGGCAGATTACTTGAGGTTGGGAGTTCGAGACCAGCCTGGCCAACACGGCGAAACCCCGTCTCTACTAAAAATACAAAAATCAGCTGAGGTGGTGGCGCATGCCTGTAAACCCAGCTACTTGGGAGGTTGAGGCAGGAGGATCACTTGAACCCAGGAGGCGGAGGTTGCAGTGAGCTGAGATCATGCCACTGCACTGCAGCCTGGGCAACAAAGGAAGACTCCATCAAGAACAGGAGGGGAGGGGAGAAAGAAAGGGAGGGAGGCTGAGAGAGAGAGAGAGAGGGAAGGAGGAAGGGGGAGAGAGAGAGACGGAGGGAGGGAGGGAGGGAGAGAGAGAGAGAAAGACCCATGAGAAAATAATTAAAAACTGAAACAATTTATTGGATTCTAATGTCACTTTGTCCTCCATTAGGTAGAGAAAGGGATGCAACTAAATATAGTAAGGAGAAAAATGGAATCAGGATAAAAATTAAGAATCTTCAAAGGATCATACAGGAGACTACAAAATAAACTATTTCTCTCCTAAGATTTAGTCATTATCATTTTAACACAAATTTAATAAACAAAAATATGGTATATTCCACTATACCATAACTTACCTTGAAAATTTAATTCCATGCACTGAAAAATGTGAATTATTTAAAGGGTAAGAAATAGAATGAAGACTGTGCCACTGAAGAGACATCACTCCCACCATGCTCAAGCAAGTCTTCCATAGATGAATCAATGTGAGGAACTCATTACATAGAGAGCACGGCATACCCTCAGCATACATTATTCCTAGGATTATCTCAGCAGTTGTTCAGTTGGCTCAGGAGCACTACAGCTATAAGTGAAAGCAACTACCCATAGGCAGTTTAAAATCTAATTGGGAGATAATGGATATACAAATGAATAATTACTAAAAAATACTAAGTTTTTTCAGTATCACAGTCTGATGTAACTGAATACTAAACAATATGATAAAATTGTATACTAGTAAACAGTTAAGATGCTAATAGTGGTATACAAAAAACAGATACCTGGTTAAACCATCTACATCTCTATTTAAATTTCTTTACTTAAATATATTTTTTTACGTTTGTTTTCATAAGAACAGTGCCTTGTACATACTAAAAGCTCAAGAATTATTTAGTGACTGACCTAAATCTAAGCCCACAACACTGCCTGCCTTCCTGTCACTATGGGTGAACTGTCTATGCCCCTAACAAAGGCCATTCCTCTTCATTTCTGTGCTCAGCCCCACTTCTACTCACCCATAAAAGGACGCTGCTCCTCCCTTCTTTCCTCTACATTGTCAATTTTCCCTGCTTCCCTAGACAATCTTCATTAGCTTACAAACTTGCTATAAAATCTTCCTTTTCAAAATAAAATAAACAAGTCTCCTATGTTGCCTTCCAGTTACCACCCAACATTCCTCTTAATGTAAGTTCTCAAAAAAAAAAAGCCATCTCTATTTCGTGTCCTTCTATTTTCTCTTATACCTACTTCAGTAACCTTCACATTGGCAAATCCAGTAGTCACTTCTCAGTGTTCCTCTGACTTGACCTATCAGCAGGAGTTCACAATGTAATCTGTCCTCTTCCTACAGTATCTTGACTTGTCCTCTGAAACATGATTCTCACTGGCTATTTCATTTCATTTCAAGGGCTGAGCCACCCACCCTCACTTAGCTGCCTTCCAAAGGTTGAACTACCTCAGGGATCAGTCATGTTACTTCTCTTATCCTATCCATGCACACCTCCCTGACTGATCTCATGCAGACACATGGCTTTAAATACCATCTATCCACTGATAACTTCTAAATGCTTATCTCCAGCCCCAATCTCTCTCATGATTTCCAACCACCAATTTGATATCTCTACCTAGATGCAGGCAAGTTATTAGTAAGGAGTAAATATGATAAATGTCTCCTGGAAGAATAAACACATAAAGGACTTCATAATTTTGAGCCTGATATCATACTGATGATGTAATGGTAATGAAGACAGAAAGAACAGGACTCAAGAAGAAAAGAGAAATAGTTCTGCATTAAAACATACTAAAGTGAAGGTCTGATGGAATATCAAAAAATGTATATATCTGTATAGTTAGAAAAAAGGAACTAGAAAAAAGGTGATAGATTGATGATGTAGATTTTAGTTTTTAAGGTAGTTCCATCCTAAAACACAAACAAAACTTCCTTCCTTTGACCTTGTATATTCCTTCTTCTTTGTCTAATTTGCATTTCCCCAATGATCAAGATGTTTAGTATTATTTCATCTGTTTAATGACCAATTACATATATTCTTTTTTTTTTTTTTTTTTTTTTTTGAGACGGAGTCTCGCTCTGTTGCCCAGGCTGGAGTACAGTGGTGCGATCTCGGCTCACTGCAACCTCTGCCTCCCAGGTTCAGGCAATTCTCCTGCCTCAGCCTCCCAAGTAGCTGGGATTACAGGTGTGCGCCACCATATCCAGCTAATTTTTGTATTTTTAGTAGAAACAGGGTTTCACCAGGTTGGCCAGGCTGGTCTCGAACTCCTGACCTCAGGTGATCCTCCTGCCTCGGCCTCCCAAAGTGTTGAGATTACAGGCATGAGTCACTGCGCCCAGCCACGTATATTCTTTTGTACAATACCTACTCAACTATTTTGCCCCTTTTTTAAAAAATTAGGTTGACAGTCTTACTGAGTTATGAGTTCTTTATATATTATGGATACAGGTTCTTGTTCAGAGCTATGTGTGGCAAATATTTTCCCCTAATCTATGACTTTGCCTTTTCATTTTCTTAGGGGTATTCACCCATGAGCAAAAATGTTTAATTTTGATTAAGTCCAAATTAGCAATTTTTTCTTCTATAGCTCATGCTTTTTGTGTCCTAAGAAATATTTATTTAATCTAAGGCCATGAAGATTTTCTCCTAGAAAAATTTTCTTCTAGAATTTCATGACTTTATCTTTTATATTTAGGTCTATGATCCATTTTGGATTAATTTCTGTGTTTGATGTGAGGAAACAATTATCCAGTTATTTCAGCACAATTCATTGAAAAAATTATTCTTTTTCCATATAACCTTGACACCTTTGCTGAAAATCAGTTGATCATATAAGTTTAGGTCCATTTCTGAACCTCAGTGTCTGATCTATCTTCATTTATCCTTTATACCATACCACACTGTCTTGATTACTGTAGCTCTATGATAAAGTCTCACATCTCAAACTGTGTTCTTCCTTTTAAAAATCATTCTCTCTTTTAATTTCTTTTTTTCTTTTTTTTGAGACACAGTCTTACTCCATCACCCAGGCTAGAGTGCAGTGGTGCAATCCTGGCTCACTGTAACTGCCACCTCCCAGGTTCAAGTGATTCTCCTGCCTCAGCCTCCCAAGTAGCTGGGATTACAAGCATGTGTCACCAAATTGAGCTAATTTTTGTATTTTTAGTAGAGATGGGGTTTCACCATGTTGGTCATGCTGGTCTCAAACTCCCAGCCTCAAGTGATTCACCTGCCTCAGCCTCCCATAGTGCTGGGATTACAGGTATGAACCAGCATGCCCGGACAAACTTTTTCTCCTTTTTTTTTTTTTTAAGACACAGTCTTGCTTTGTCACAGGTTGGACTGCAGTGGCACGATCTCAGCTCACTGCAGCCTCAATCTCCTGGGCTTGAGCAGTCCTCCCACCTCGGCCTCCCAAGTAGCTGGGACTCCAGGCACATGCCACCACACCCAGTAGATTTTTTTTTTTTTAAGTAGAGATTTGGTCTTGCTATTTTGCCCAGGCTGGTCTTGAATTCCTGAACTCACGAAACCGTCCTGCCTCGGCCTCCCAAAGTACTGGTATTACAGGTGTGAGTGTGCCACTGCGCTCAGCCTAAAATCATTTTTTCCATTCTAGGTTCTCTTTATTTCCATTTAAACATGAGAATATGCTTGCCAACTTTTTTTTTTAAAGCTTTCTGGGAGTTTGGTTGGGATTACATTCAATCTATAGAAAAAAATAAGTTTATCTTAATAATATGCTTTCAAATCCACTACTATGGTATATCCCTCTATTAACTTTCAGCAACATTTACCAGTTTTCTATGAAAAGGTCTTGCACAGCTTCCGTTAAATTTCCTCTTAAATATTTTTATTTCTTTATGCTCACATAAATGGAACTGTTTTAGAAATTTCAGTTTGATTGTAGGTTGGTTACATATAGAAATACCACTGATTTTCATGCATGGACCTTGTATCCTATAACCTCATTAAATTCACTAATTAGAATTCACTCACTAAAATAGCTTAGTATCATCTGGGAATAAAAAAAGATTTATTTCTTCCTTTCCCTTATGTATGCCCTTTATTTCACTGACCTCCATCCAGTACAATGTTGAACATAAGCACTGACAGCAGAGATCTTTGCCTTGTTCCTGATCTTAGGTAGAAAGCATTCCTTCTCAATGATCTCACCATTAAGAATATTGCTTTTTCATAGATGTGCTGTGTCAAGTTGAGGAATTTCACTTACATTTCCAGTATTCTGAGAGTTATTATTGCCAAAATGCTTTCTCTGCATCTGAGATGATATCAACGTTTTCATCTTTTATTCTACTAACATGGTGTATTATATTGATGTTCAGATATTAAGCCAATTTTGAATAACTGGAATAAATGTCACTGGTTAAGGTGTATTAACCTTTATTTTTATGTACATATATATTGCTGGATTCAACTTGCTAATATTTTGTTAACAGTATTTTTTGCGTCTATTCTCATGAAGGAAAAATCCTGTAGTTTTCTCGTAATGTCCTTGTCTACCTTTGTTATCAGGGTAATGCAGAGCTCATAAAACAAGCTGGTCAATGTTCTTTACTCACTATTTTCTAAAAGAGGTTGTGAAGAATTGGTATTATTTCTTCCTTAAAACGTTGGATAGAATTCACCAGTGGGAATCAGGTGGGCCTGGACTTTTCATGGGAGAACTTATACATGACTAATTCAATTTCTTTCCTTTATACAGATCTATTCAGGTTTTCCATTTCTTCCAGAAACTTTTGATAATTTGTCTTTCAAGGAATGTGTCATTTTATGTAAATTGTCACATTTATTTGCATAAATGTATTCATATTTCCTTATTATCATTTAAATTTATGGGATATGTATTCATGTCACCGCTTTCATTCCTGATATTAATAATCTGTCTTCCCTTTTTAAAAAAAAAATCAGTCCAGCTAAAGTTTTATCAGCTTTATTGAACTTTTTAAAGAACCAGTTTTGCTTTCATTGCTATTGTTTGTTCTTTTTCTATATCAGTGACTTCCACTATGTTCTTTATTATTTTTTCTTCCTTGTACTTAATTTGGGTTTAATTTGCTTCTTTTTTTCTAGGTTTATAAGATAAAAATCTTAGAACAATGATTTTAACCCATTCTTTTCTAACTCGGTTTTTTTTTTTTTTTTTTTTAGAAAGCCGGTCTCACTATGTTGCCCTGGCTAGAGTACAGTGGCTATGCACAGGCACAATCATAGAGCACTGCCACCCTGAACTCCTAGCCACCAGGGATCCTCCCATCTCAGTCTCCCAAGTGGCTGGAATGACAGGCATATGCCACTGTGCCCAGCTAATTTAGCCTTTAAAACTATAAATTTCCTTCTAAGTACTGCTTCAGCTGCATCCCACAAGTTCTGACATGTTGAGTTTTCAGTATCATTCAGTTTAAGACAGTCTTTCATTTCTTCTTTGATCAATGAGTTATTTACTAGTGGGCTTTTTCATTTTAATTTATTTAGAGATTTTTCATGGTTACTGATTTCTAATTTAACTCAGTTGCAAATCAGAACACATACGTGTGTCACTTCAATTCTTTTACATTCATAAATTTAAGACTTAATATATTCAGACCTGCCTTGTAACTCAGCAAATGGTCTACCATGGTGAATGTTCAACACCAAACAACATTTGCTGTTGTTGGGTGTTTTATAGACATCAGCTAGGCCAAGATGACTAAGAGTGTTGTTCAAATATTTTATATCCTTACTAATTTTCTGTCTATATGTTCTATCAGTTACTGAGACGAATATTAAAATCTCCAACTGTACTTGATGATTAGTCTATTTCTCCTTTCAATTCTGTCAGGTTTTGCCTCAAGTATTTTGAAGCTTTAAGATGAGTCTTATTATTATTATAGAATATCCATCTTTTTCTCTAATAATAATCATTGTCTTAAAAGTCTATTTTGTCTGATATTAATATAGAATCCAACTCTCTAATGCTTATAGTTTTTATGGTATATTTTTATCCACCATTTTACTTTCAGCCTATTTGTGTTTGACTATAACGTGTCTCTTGTAGACAGCATATAGTTGGGTTTTTTTTTTTTAATCTTATAATCTCTGCTTCTTGGAGTGTGTGGTCCATTTCCAATTATCATAACTATTTATATGGCTGAATTTAGGTCTTTATTTTGATATGTGTTTTCTATTTGTTTCATCTTATTTGTTCTTCTGTTCCTCCTTTACAGGCTTATTAAATAAAAAAATTTTAGCATATCATTTTTATTCCTCTATTTATAGTTTTAAGCTATATTTATTTGTGTGAGTATGTTTTACTTGCTCTAGGGAGCACAATGTGCATACTAACCACAACCTACTTCATATTAATACTGTTAATGCTTCATGTTAATACAAAATAAAGTTGCGCCAGCTTATCTACCTCCTTGACCCCTTCACCTTGTGATATTATTGTCATACCCAAATCTGCTTTACTTCCTGTGCATTTATAGTTAAAATAGTATTTACTAGGCTACTCAAGACCAAAATTAGGAAATCATTCTAGATCCTTCCCCCTCCCTTACCCCCTACATTTAATCAATAACTCCTGTTAATTCTAATTCTTAATATCCAACAACATCTTTCCTCATCTGTCTTCACTGCCACTACCAGACTCTTTCCTTCTTCATCTTTTACCTGGATTACTGTAATCGCCTCCTCGCTGGTCTCTGTTCTTAAAGTTTCACCATCCTCATATGGCTACCCTACCACTTATACAGTTCTCACAATACTCATTCTGATAAGCAAATCTTACATCATTCTTCTGAGCTAAAGTTTTCAATGGCTCCTATTTGCAAAGAGGATAAAATCTAATCTCCATGGTATAGCACACAAAGCCTGCTGTGACCTAGCCCACTGTCTATCACTGTCCAATCCCATTGACCACCAGTATCTGATAACATTTTATATACCAAATGATAGAAAGCTGCTTATAATTTCTTGAACACTACTGGCTCTCTCATACTTTTGTATATGTAAAATGGCCATTTCCTCTGCCTGATTCATGTAAGGAAAGCAAATGCCTATTCATGCTTAACCTCTCAACTGCAGTCTTCTTTATATAATCTCATTCTACAAAGCAGTCCCTCATTCCTCTACAATACTTTGTACATTTTCTACCAATAAACTTATTGCATTTTAGTGCAGCAGTTTGCTCTCATCTCTCTCTCCTCAGTGTTTATCTTCTTAAAGACAGAAAATGTCTTTTCAGTTTATTTTTCAATCCTCAGTACTAAGTGTAGTCAGCTGGCACATAGGTAGGCATGCCAATAATTATCTGCTTTTTCAACAAATAAGTTATGAAGGTGATATATAAATACATGAAAAAGAATAGCTTCTCCTAAAGTAATTGTGGAGAATGAATAGCTACTTTAGGAATGATAGGGAGCTAATGATAATCATAGTGGCCCACACATCATATGTTATGTACCCAGCTTGTGCTTCATACATTATCACAAAAACAGTATGGGATGGATGTTATAATGAAACTCATTTTGTAGATGAATAAATAAGGCACAAAATGTTAAAAAGTTTGCTCAAGGTCACAGTAACTGACAAAGACAAGACAAAGAGAGATCTATACTAACCACTATTCTACTCTGCTTTTCAATACAGGCAAATGTTAAATCATCACTGCTATTTCTAGGGCTTTGCTATCCCTTACTGCTATTTAACTGCTTTCCTCTTTCTCCACTTTCACTTTTCTCTGTGTTTTTAGGCTCTTCTTTCTTCATTTTCTTTCTTCCTTTCACTTTCTTTTCCTTTAATTCTCTATTCAATTTCCATAATGAACATAACCTATACTATACGATCAAGTATTTCCTCCTAAAATACCTTCTCTTTTCTTTTTTTAATCAAGGAAAACAAAGAAGAAATAGTTAGAAAAGAGGTGAGTTAGGACTGCATACATTACCTCCTGAAAGAAGTTGCAAGAAACAGAGAAAACTAAGAACAGACCTTTGAATATGGCAAAAGAAAAACCTGTGATAACTGAGAGAGCAATATTTTAGCTAAATTATGGAAGAAAAAGCTGTAAGGAATACTAATGCTTAGTAAGAAAATGAAGCCAATTGCTGAAGACCATTATTTGAAAAACTTAACATAAAACACATAAAAAACTAAGATCGCAGCTGGAAAGGATAGTTGAATCAAATGAAGGTGCGGGGGGGCTCGTGATTTGCTTTTTGTTTGTTTAAAGAAATCTGAGCATAAATGGCCAGGCATGGTTGCACATGCCTGTAATCCCAGCACTTTGGGAGACTGCAGCAGGTAGATCACTTGAGCTCATGAGTTCAAGACCAGCCTGGCCAACATGGCAAAACCCCGTCTCTACTGAAAATACAAAAAAAAAAAAAAAAAATGAGCCAGGCGTGGCAGCACATGCCTGTAGTCCCAGCTATTCTGGTGGCTGAGGCAAGAGAATCACCTGAACCCAGGAGGCAGAGGTTGCAGTGAGACAAGATCATGTCTCTGCACTCCAGCCTGGGTGACAGAACGAGACTCTGTCTCAAAAAAAAAAAAAAAAAAAAAATCTGTGCATAAGTAACTGTAAAAAGTTAAACTAGTTTCTCTACTGCAGAAAACAAAACTGTTAGTTCTATGACCGCAAGAACTTTGTCTGTCTTGTTCACTGCTATCACACCCAAGGCTTGGCACATAGTAGATACTCAACTACTATAAATACAATTATTCTGATAAAAAAAAAACTATAAATTGTATATAGTCCAAGCTGGGTGCGGTGGCTCACGCATGTAATCCCAGCACTTTGGGAAGCTGAGGGATGTGGATCATTTGAGGTCAGGAGTTTGAGACCAGCCTGGCCAACATGGTGAAACCCCATCTCTACTAAAAATACAAAAAAAATTACCTGGGCATGGTGGCGCACACCTGTAATCTCAGCTACTCAGGAGGCTGAGGCAGGAGAATTGTATGAACCCGGGAAGGGGAGGTTGCAGTGAGCCGAGATGTGCCACTGCGCTCCAGCCTGGGCAACAGAGCAAAACTCCGTCTCAAAAAAAAAAAAATTGTATACTCCATTTTTAAGTTACAGTTTAATTTTATATCTTCTACCAACTGAATGAGTGCTGGATTAAACATTCATTCATTCATTCATTCATTCATTCATTCAAATATTTGTAGAGTACGTACTATTTTCCAGGTACTATACTCTAGGCAATGGGAATGTAGCAATGGACAAAACAAAACCATCTTTGCTCTAATGAGAGGCACTGAACACACATCACACACACACACACAAAAAAAAGATGCTAAGAGTGATATGTCCTAAAATGAATACAAAAGCATAATAATGATATTTAGTGATAATAGGAAGTGGTAGTAATATTTTATATAGGATGGTCATGGAAGGTCTCTCTGTTTAGATGATGTTCGAATGAGAAAGTGAGCAAGGCAAGTAAGCAAACAGTACTACTACAGACCTATGCAACAGTAAATCCAAAGACCTGAGGAGGGAGAGTGCTTAGTGTGTATGAGGAAGATCAAGGAGGCTGCCAAGGCTGAAGTAAAGGAAGCAAAGGAAAGCATAACAGAACCAGCTATAATAGATCCATATTTCATCTACAACAATTGTAACAGTACCTAATCATTAATGGAGTCTTTCATACATGGATAGTTTTTAAACTAATATGTGAAGGGGCAGAAATTTAGAAAAATTTCAAATTCATTACCTTGCAAAAATTCTCCGTTTTGGTTATTTTCCCTTATATAACCAAAACTTCTGATTGTTCCAATAATGCAAACAAAACCCTGAAGTACAAGGTACTATTCTATGAGTTAAAAATGCTACACATTACAAGAACTTTAATATCCATGAGTCTCACGTATGATACAACACCAAATTCCTCACGGAAAGCAGTGTCCTGCTCATATGTGGATATCTTTTGGACAAGTCTGCTGGGATATCGTTTGGACAAGACATCGAGTGGAGCACTAGTGTTCAATTCTAAGAGTTAGAAGTTAAGAGGAATACACATTAGTGTAATTCTAATTTTCTAATCATGTCCCTTTCTTACCTGACAATAACTTAGTATGGTATAAAAGAATTCAACTGTTCCCATATATGCCACAGTACCTATCACAGGTTAATATGCATAATAAACATCTGATACCATTAAGTCAAGATTTTTTTTTGGCTGGGCACAGTGGTTCACGCCTGTAATCCCAGCACTTTGGGAGGCCAAGCACTTTAGGAGGCTGAAGCAGGCAGATTACCTGAGGTCAGAAGTTCGAGACCAGCCTGGCCAACATGTGTCTACTAAAAATACAAAATACTAGCTGGGTGTGGTGGCATGCTCCTGTAATCGCAGCTACTTGGGAGGCTGAGGCAGATTCACTTGAACCCAGGAGGCGGAGGTTGCAGTGAGCCGAGACTGCACCCCTGCACTCCAGCCTGGGCGACAGAGGGAAACTCTGACTCATAAAAAAAAAAGATATATTTCACGCTAGTGTTTTTAGTTTCTAAATGCTAATTTATAAATAGGATTAGAAATAAAAAAGTTTTAATTAACAAAACATATCTATATTAGAGATGAAAGAATTACAGAGGGTACTTATATTGGGGAGGAAGCCAGACGATAAGCAAAATAAAACCAAATTTCTTAGAAGGAATTTAAAAAAACAGGTTTTAATTTTTTTTAATAAAACAAAAAATATTGAGAAAACAAGCCAAATGTGCATTTGAAAAACAAAGAACTTGCCTACAGTTATGTAAGCAATTAAAATAAAACGAATAAAACTGCAGCATTAAACAAGCTGCAAAATGTACACACGCCCACTCCCATTAGTAAAACTGGAAATGGGAAACTAATGAGCTCAGCTGCAGGAGCTTGTTTTTTAATTTTCTCCACTTGCTCAAAATGTAATTTCTATTTTACACTAAAGACTTTTGTTGGATATAGGGGGAATCAAATGTTCTTAAACAAGAATCTGAATGAGCTTTGAAAATGCATAATAGAAGCTTCATTTGTTCTAATGCACATCTGATGTATTCCATTTAACATTTTTGACAGGTTGTTTGTTTTCATGTTTAAAGAACACAAATGTTTTACCAGTGCCATTAAATAGATCATGTTGGGGTGAAAAGAAGGTGTCAGAGAAGGGAAAAGGTCCATCTCTTCACTCAAGGTGCCTACGCAAATAGGGGGGAAAAACATACTTAGGTACTTGACCATGATATGTGAAGTTGCAATTCATTATGAAAGGAGAAATAAAGTAAAGCTCACTAATAAACATTTTATTAGGAAAATTATTATTTGGAATAAAGAAATAAGGTATTTGAAAACTAAAAAAGGTTCCAAATATTGAGATGCCAATGAGAAAAAAAAAACCCTCAAGGCTAAAAAAAAAAAAAAAGGAAGCTAAAAGGGTTACAGAGAGAATGGATAAAGTAGCAAAGGTGACAAAATTAATGTCTTTTAAAAATCAGATCACCATGCAAAGCAAGGAGCTAGATATCTAGAATACAAACATATTAGTATTCATTTTTGGTTTTTACTGTATTTAGTACTGTTTGTTTTGCTCTGATTTGAGCTTGAATTTAATTAAGAACAAAAAAGTTATGAGAAATATTTTCATCAAATTCAACTGCAATTCTGGTTTAATTTTTAAAATATGTTCAGTTTTAGGTCTTACTTAAGAAAGAATATAAACTGGACTCCATAATGAACACTGCTGTAAGGGAAATCCCTAATAAAAAGTGCCAGACACCAGTTCAAAATCTAATAAATATTTATGACTTAATGCATGCTATCAAAAATAAACAAAACTCTAACACAACAAAAGAACTGGAAAGTCCATTTGAATTTAATTTACAGGTCATGATCTAGAATTCAGACAAGTTGTTAGTGGCTAGGATATATAAAAATTTTAGCAGAATTTTTTTAGCTCAACTAGAGTTAAAATTTGAAGACAAATCTACTAACACAATTTTAAAATATTTGTTCTGTTTACACTACAAAATTTTATTTGAAATAATAATATACCAGACATCCAGCACTATCTAAAACAAACTGTGTCAGCAAGTGAACTTGTTTTTCCTCCCAATTGTACTCCCTGTTTCCATTAATGATAACACTTATTAGGAGAGTTCTCTAGACTTAAAAAACCTCAGTATCATTTGACTCTTCCTTTTCTCCCCCTCAACCTCTCCATTCCCAATTAATTGCTAAGTCCTAATATCCTTGACATTTATACATTTCACTCCAGTCTCGTTATGAAGACCTTAGCTTAAACATTACATTTATTAGTCTCTTGCCATTGTACCTGAACTGGTTTCCCTGTCTCTAGTTTCAATTATCTTAAAAACCTCTTGCCAGATTAAAGCTCTAAAGAACAGATTATGTCACTCCCATCTCAAAAACTTCTGAGTCCTGCTGAATATAGAATGCAGATGTTCATGCTCATTAGCCCATCATTCAAAGTTCTTCTCAATACGGCATCAATCTACCTTTCCAACATCATTTCCCATTATTCTCTTCTATTTCAATGTAGGGGTACCACTCCCCACAGTCAAAGAGAGCTAATTAATATTTCTTGTACCTGGCCTATGATTTCTGACTTACTTTGGTGTCTATGATTAATACATTCCTTCTACTTAAAATATTCTCCTCAATCAATTCATCCAACTAATGTTACCTCCTTTATGTTTAAATGTTACCTCTTTTATGATGCCTTCCCTGATTCCTCACCTATGTGTAAACTCCACCTCCACTGAACACCCCTAGCACTTTTTTAATTTATTATATAATACCTCACACTTTATAACACAGTTCCTTATTTAGTGACCTTAACTTTCTTATTAGATTTCTTAAGGAGAAAATATCCATAAGGGGAAAATTTCTTAAGAGAAATTACCTTCAGAGCCATGCATATGGTCAACATTCATACATATGTTGAACACTTTTAAATAAATGGGCATACATATTATATTGATAAACAGGGATAAAAGCCAATAAAACAGTATGATGATAATATACTGAGTAAATAATACATTCCACTAATTGGGAGCTAGACTTTGATCTACATTTTAAAAACTGGTATTATAAAGTAACTAGGTTTTCAAATCATATTAGATTACCAGTATTAATGCCAAAGCGGGGGAAAAAAATCAAACCCGTAGGTTCTCGTAACTCAAACTCAAATACCAGGACATACTATTTATTCTACGCATACATGAACAACTTTGTTTCCTAACTAAGCAAAGTTCACAAGAAAGTTGTTGACAGGATATTGAAATAATAGGAATTCTCTTACTTCGAGAAAGCTTTGGATATTTTTTATTCAGTTTCTTCCTTAATCGATTAAGTTCAGGCATTATTTCTGGAACAGCTACGTAAAAGTCTGCAACAATTTCATCATCCCAAATCTGAAAATTAAAAAAAAAAAGGTGACCTCAGATGAGATGAAAAGCTTTATCGTTCTGAAAAAGTACAATGTAGTCATTTCCTTTATAATTCAGAAAACAGACATTAAGCACAATTCTTTTCTTCAAACACAAAGATCATACAAATACACCTGTCAATTATAAAAACCATCAGAAGTAAAACATTTTCCTTTAAAAACAGCCACATCCTTAAAAAAAAAAATTAATGGTTTCTTCCTTTGGGTTGTGTTAGGCAAAAGTGTTACAAGTCACAACACAGCAATGAATGTGTGCATGGCTTACAGAATCCCACAAAGTTAAATTCATATATTTATTAAAACTGAAGGAACCTACAAAAGCTGAAACTTTTGCAACAGATCACATGTAAAATTAATAACCACTAACTGCCAAACTCACTAGCAACCACTAGCTTCCTAAATTTAGAGCATCAGAGAATTGAATTTATAATTACTTTCACAAAGAACTGAAACTGAAATTTTCCTTACCACCGATAACTAAGAATAAAAGAAGACGTGGTGATCAAAGACAAGTTCACTTATAGTTTATTATCCATACTCTATATCCATTCTCAGAACAAAGGAATTAATATTCAATTTTTAGAAAACATTTTTATTAATTCAGGCAAGCACCTAAAATAACTATTATACTACTACAATATACTCCACTTAAACTCTACTTAATATACTCTACTTAAAACATACAATATACTCCACTTAAACTCCACACCTGTAATCCCAGCACTTTGGGAGGCCAAGGCAGGCAAATCAATTGAGCTCAGGAGTTTGAAATTAGCCTGGGCAACAAGGCAAAATCCTGTCTCTACAAAAAATATAAAAACTAGCCGGGCGTGGTGGCACACATCTGTAGTCCCAGGTAACCGGGAGGCTGAGGTGGGAGGATTGCTTGAAGCCAGGAAGGCAGAGGTTGCAGTAAGCCAAGATCGTGCCACTGCCCAAGCAAGAAATATTTTACCAATGATTCCCTTTGTATGAAATCTTACAATATGCCATTCAAAGCCTTGATTTAGGGGTACACGGTGAATTAAAAACTTGAATTCTGACAAAATTAAGCAATGACTATGGAATTTTATCCTTCTGTTACTATTCTTTGCACAAATTTTTAGTCCTTAAATAACATACCTCTCCTTAACAACAACTTACATTAAATGGGCACTTCTCATGTGCCAAGCATTCTGCTAAATATTTAATATAATTTAGAACATCCAGTCTTCATAACAAACCTTGAGACAGGTACCAGTATTGACCACACATTCCAGATAAAAAAAACTGAGGGATCAGGGAGGATGAGTCAGTCTGTACACACCTAAGAGGCAGAGCTAGAATTGAAAAACAGGCAGTGTGGGTCCAGAACCAGGGGTCTCATCACTGGAAATAGGAAAGCAGAGGCAATTTCTAAATGTCAAAGAACTGTATGTGAGATTTCTATTTCAAGATTTTCCAATCCTAATTCTATGACATGTTCCTTTAAATTAAAATTATGTTTGGAAGTTATGCTATAAGTAGGACTGTATCTTGGAATAATAAAAAACTGTGGATGGAAATCAAGCTCTTAGAGACAAGTAAAAATATGAAGTTACTTTAAAATCACTCAGAACCAGGCATATCTGTGATGTTTCAAAATAAAGTAAAATAAATTTAATAAATGAATGTGTTATCTAAGAAATTACTACGTGGTGCGGTGGCTCACACCTGTAATCTCAGCACTTTGGGAGGCCGAGGAAGGTTGGATCGCCTGAGGTCAGGAGTTCAAGACCAGCCTGGCCAACACGGTGAAACCCCATCTCTACTAAAAATAAAAAAAATTAGCTGGGCGTGGTGGCAGGTGCCTGTAATCCCAGCTACTCGGGAGGCAGATTCAGGAGAATTGCTTGAACCCGGGAGGTGGAGGTTGCAGTGAGCCGAGATTGCGCCATTGCACTCCCCACTGGGCAACAAGAGCGAAACTCCATCTCAAAAAGAGAAAAAAAAAAAAAGAAATGACTACATAAATTTATCCTACTTGGCATTTTATAGAGCTAAGCAAAATGATAAACTAATTTAAAAACACAGGAATGTATAAAAAATTGCAGCCATAATATTATTTACTAAACTGTATTGAATTTACCTCATAACCTGAATACCTTCTAAAAATAACATGGACTAGCTTTAAAAAGACACCACGGGGTAACTTGCAAACTTATCCTATGATGCCTTACACAGATGGCATGCTCCCTCTAATAACAGATCCTCTACTGGGGCCCTAAAGAGAAATTCTGTACCTGTTAATATTTTCTATACTACAGAATTTTAAAATGTCTTTGGCTTCCTTATTTGGGTTACTTTAAAAAATGTGTTTCATTTAGTGAACTTACAGCTTCATAACACTTTCTGCTCTATTACCATTTCTTTCTTGAGAGGTAACTTCTTGCTTAACATTTAAGAACCAAAGGCCAGGTGTGGTGTCTTGGCTGGGAGCAGTGGCTCACGCCTATAATCCCAACATTTTGGGAGGCCAAGGCGGGCAGATCACTTGAAGCCAGGAGTTCGAGACCAGTCTGGCCAATGTGGCAAAACCCCATCTCTACTAAAAATACAAAAATTAGCTGGGCACAGTGGCAGGCGCCTGTAATCCCAGCTACTAGGGAGGCTGAGGCAGGAGAATCACTTGAACTCAGGAGGCAGAGGTTGCAGTGAGCCGAGATCACGTCACTGCACTCCAGCCTGGGTGATGCAACGACACACTGTCTCAAAAAAAATGAAAAAAAAAAAAAACAAAAAAAACTGAACCAAAGGAGTGGCTATGACAGTTCTACAAGGTAACTTTAGTGGTTGCAAGAAGAAAATAGAAAGCTGTATACAAACTCAAGATTAGTTCTCTGATTCTAGAGACCCAGCTCTATTCTCAAATTACCAAACATTTGTGATGATTATTTTTTAATAATTAAAAGTTTTAATAATTTTTTAATTAAAATTAATAATACAACAGAAAGAACTGAGTCCCACTGACTCTGGCCTAGAACCTGTATTAAAGCATACTCTTCCTACTTTCCACTAGTTCTGCAACCAAAAATCATTCTGAAGACCCTCTTTATTTAAAATCCAGAATCCTCACCAAATTTAGAGTACTTTTAGGGGTGGGAAAAAAACAAACTATGAGCACTGCTGTTTACCTCAAAGGATGAGCCCAGTTAAAAGTTCCCCAAATGAAAATTTGAATATGGGACAAAGGATAAATTTTCAAATCACTATTTCCTGTCTACTTTCTCCTCCCCGGCAAAAATTCCATAACATATAGAAATGCTTGTGATTTTTGCACATTGATTTTGTATCCTGAGACTTTGCTGAAGTTGCTTATCAGCTTAAGGAGATTTGGGGCTGAGACGATGGGGTTTTCTAAATATACAATCGTGTCATCTGCAAACAGAGACAATTTGACTTCCTCTTTTCCTAATTGAATATCCTTTATTTCTTTCTCTTGCCTGATTGCCCTGGCCAGAACTTCCAACACTATGTTGAATAGGAGTGAGAGAGGGCATCCCTGTCTTGTGCCAGTTTTCAAAGGGAATGCTTCCAGTTTTTGCCCATTCAGTATGATATTGGCTGTGGGTTTGTCATAAATAGCTCTTATTGTTTTGAGATATGTCCCATCAATACCTAGTTTATTGAGAGTTTTTAGCATGAAGGGCTGTTGAATTTTGTCGAAGGTCTTTTCTGCATCTATTGAGATAATCATGTGGTTTTTGTCTTTGGTTCTGTTTATATGATGGATTACATTTATTGATTTGCATATGTTGAACCAGCCTTGCATCCCAGGGATGAAGCCCACTTGATCGTGGTGGATAAGCTTTAGCTTTTTGATGTGCTGCTGGATTTGGGTTGCCAGTATTTTACTGAGGATTTTTGCATCGATGTTCATCAGGGATATTGGTCTAAAATTCTCTTTTTTTGTCGTGTCTCTGCCAGGCTTTGGTATCAGGATGATGCTGGCCTCATAAAATGAATTAGGGAGGATTCCCTCTTTTTCTATTGATTGGAATAGTTTCAGAAGGAATGGTACCAGCTCCTCTTTGTACCTCTGGTAGAATCTGGCTGTGAATCCATCTGGTCCTGGACTTTTTTTGGTTGATAGGCTATTAATTATTGCCTCAATTTCAGAGCCTGTTATTGGTCTATTCAGGGATTCAACTTCTTCCTGGTTTAGTCTTGGGAGGGTGTATATGTCCAGGAATTTATCCATTTCTTCTAGATTTTCTAGTTTATTTGCGTAGAGGTATTTATAGTATTCTCTGATGGTAGTTTGTATTTCTGTGGGATCGGTGGTGATATCCCCTTTATCATTTTTTATTGTGTCTATTTGATTCTTCTCTTTTCTTGTGTATTAGTCTTGTTAGCGATCTATCAATTTTGTTGATCTCTTCAAAAAACCAGCTAATGGATTCATTGATTTTTTGAAGGGTTTTTTGTATCTCTATCTCCTTCAGTTCTGTTCTGATCTTAGTTATTTCTTGCTTTCTGCTAGCTTTTGAATTAGTTTGCTCTTGCTTCTCTAGTTCTTTTAATTGTGATGTTAGGGTGCCAATTTTAGATCTTTCCTGCTTTCTCTTGTGGGCATTTAGTGCTATAAATTTCTCTCTACACACTGCTTCAAATGTGTCCCAGAGATTCTGGTATGTTGTGTCTTTTTTCTCATTGGTTTCAAAGAACATCTTTATTTCTGCCTTCATTTCGTTATGTACCCAGTAGTCATTCAGGAGCAGGTTGTTCAGTTTCCATGTAGTTGAGCGGTTTTGAGTGAGTGTCTTAATCCTGAGTTCTAGTCTCACTGCACTGTGGTCTGAGAGACAGTTTGTTATAATTTCTGTTCTTTTACATTTGCTGAGGAGTGCTTTACTTCCAACTATGTGGTCAATTTTGGAATAAGTGCAATGTGGTGCTGAGAAGAACGCATATTCTGTTGATTTGGGGTGGAGAGTTCTGTAGATGTCTATTAGGTCTGCTTGGTGCAGAGCTGAGTTCAATTCCTGGATATCCTTGTTAACTTTCTGTCTCGTTGATGTGTCTAATGTTGACAGTGTGGTGTTAAAGTCTCTCATTATTATTGTGTGGGAGTCTAAGTCTCTTTCTAGGTCTCTAAGGACTTGCTTTATGAATCTGGGTGCCCCTGTATTGGGTGCATATATATTTAGGATAGTTAGCTCTTCTTGTTGAATTGACAGGGTGGGGAACATCACACACCGGGCCCTGTCTTGGAGTAGGGGACGGGGGAGGGATAGCATTAGGAGATATACCTAATGTAAATGACGAGTTAATGGGTGCAGCACACCAACATGGTACATATATACATACGTAACAAACCTGCATGCTGTGCACATCTACCCTAGAACTTAAAGTATAATAAAAAAAATTCCATAACTTTATAATAAAGGATTTTATCTAGAGGAGGAACTTTTAGAGAGAACCCTAAGAAAAATCTTTTATATTTTCAGAAATAACTCCATGCCTCTTCTTCCTACTTCCTAAAAAGGAAAAAAAAAGTTCTCATTTTCAAAGAGGCTCTCCAAGCTCTGTTATTTTCTTATTTATTTGTTTGTTTATTTATTTTATTTATTTATTTTTTTGGAGACAGAGTCTCGCTCTGTTGCCTAGGCTGGAGTGTAGGCGCAATCTCGGCTCACTGCAAACTCCGCCTCCTGGGTTCAAGAGATTCTTGTGCCTCAGCCTCCCAAGTAGCTAGGATTACAGGCATGTGCCACCACGCCTGGCTAATTTTTGTATTTTTAGTAGAGGTGGGGATTCACCGTGTTGGCCAGGCTGGTCCCAAACTCCTGGCCTCAAGTGATCTGCCCACCTCAGCCTCCCAAAGTGCTGAGATTACAGGCATGAGCCACTGCGTCCAGCGAAGCTCTGTTACCTTCTAAAGGCAGGCTACATAATCACTTGTTGCTACCATACTGAGTCTATGCCATTCTGAAAGGATTAGAAGCTAAAAGTTAAGAGGAACCAAAAGCACCAACATTATAGAGGGCAGATACCATACTTTATAATCTACTAAGTGAATTACACCTTCACTCCAAGAAAAAAAACAAATATTTGATCTTCAAAACATGAATAGAGGTGTCCATGGGTATCAATGAAATCCATGCGACCTTGTGGATTTCATTTTAAACCTTACATTCAAAACCAGAGTCACACTGCCCTTTCCTATCTATCCACAAAACTCTCAGACAAAAAAGAAGCGAAAAATAGTAATAATAATAATAATCACAATAATAATTCAAGTATAATCAATATCAGACTGTCTGAGGTTGGGTGTGGTGGCTCACACCTGTAACCCCAGTACTTTGGGAGGCCAAGGCAGGAGGATTGCTTGATGCCAAGAGTTCAAGACCAGCCTGGGCAACAAACAAGAACCCTATCTCTACAAAAAAATTAGCCGAGTGCAGTGGCATGCACCTTTAGTCCCAGCTACTCAGAAGGCTGAGGCAGGAGGATTGCTTGAGCTCAGGAGTTCAAGGCTGCAGTGAGCCATAATTGCACCACCATCTTCTAGTCTGGACAACAGAGAGAGACCTTGTCTCAAACACAGACAAACACACACACACACACACCCCAAATAAACACAAACACACAAAATCAGACTGTCTGGATAGTTTTCTCCTAGCTTGATTTTGAAACTGAAGAAAGTTGGAAATTTTTTTCCTGCTCTTATAAAGACCTATTAACTATTTATCATAAGATATGAGACTAGTGTTCCACATATAACAGATCAATGAATGGTAAAGATAACAGAATCATCTCTATACTTAATGAACATGAAAACAACACTGTACCTTCTGTATCAGACTAGTGCCTCCTGCAAATGCAGCTCCATTTTCTTCCGCTATTTTGACCTCTGATGCATTCTACCAAAACACAATAATTTGAAAATCAATCATTAATTTTAAATATATTCAGTCTGCTTTGAAGTATGTTGTCAGAAATAATATCACAGTTCAAAGTACAAATTGTAGCTTTTATTTTTAATTGAAAATGTGGCTGGATGCAGTGGCTCTCACTGGTAATCCCAGAAGTTTGGGAGGCTGAGGCGGATAGTTCCCGAGGTCAGGAGTTCAAGACTAGCCTGGCCAACATGGCAAAACTGTCTCTACTAAAAATATAAAAATTGGCCGGACGTGGTGGCACACACCTGTAAGTCCCAGCTACTCAGGAGGCTGAGGCAGAAGAATCCTTGAACCCAGGAGGGGGAGGATGCAGTAAGCTGAGATCACACCACTGCACTCCAGCCTGGGTGGCAGAGTGAGACTCCATCTCAAAAAAAAAAAAAAAAAAAAAGAAAATGCAAACCAGGTGCAGTGAGCCACACCTGTAATCCCAACATTTTGGCAGGCTGAGTCAAGAGGATCACTTGAAGCCAGGAGTTCTAGACCAGCCTGGGCAACAAAGTGAGATCCCCGATCTCTACAAAAAAATATTAAAAATTAGCCTGCCAGGCTGGGTATGGTGGCTCACGCCTGTAATCTCAGCACTTTGAGAGGCCAAGGCAGGCAGTCACCTAAGGTCAGGAGCTCGAGACCAGCCTGACCAACGTGGAGAAACCCCGTCTCTACTAAAAATACAAAATTAGCCAGGTGTGGTGGTGCATGCCTGTAATCGCAGCTACTCGGGAGGCTGAGGCAAGAGAATCACTTGAACCCAGGAGGCAGAGGTTGCGGTAAGCCAAGATCACGCCATTGCATTCCAGCCTGGGCAACAAGAGCAAGACTCCATCTCAAAGAAAAAAAAAAATTAGCCTGCCATATAGTGGCTAGCACCCGCAGTTCCAGCTACTCAGTAGGCTGAGGCAGGAGAATCGCTTCAGCCCAGGAGTCCGAGGCTATAGTGAGTATGACTGCACCACTGTACTCCAGCCTGGACAACAGACCAAGACCCTGTCTCAAAAAAGAACTGAATGCATGAATTTTCAATTAAATGCATCAGGGATATTACATTCAGAACCATTATAGTTTGTGGATGATTAAAAAAAAATCATAAACACATTATAAACAAACATTTATTTAGGACAGTTTTATAAAGACTAGATACTTTTGAAAGTTGTGGTTTCTAAGGCACCACAGTACTAAATGGTTCCATTGCTTTAAAATAATCTTGTTGTCTGGGGAGAGAAGTTTGAACAGAAAGCAGCAGTTAATAGGATAAATTGATAAATTCCACTTTTCAGTTTCTTGTGAGAAACACAATGTAGCATTCTAGTAATGATGAAACTAATGTTCTAATTTAGCTCTTTCTCAAGCTAATAATATAACCTCAAATAAATCATCTAAATGTTTTGAGCTCCAAATGGGGAAAATAAGACTAGGTGAATGCTAGGATTTTCTCTAACTCCATTTATTCAGGGTGCTAATGATTGGTTAATAATTAATGATTAATTTGTGATCTCTAAAAAAAATTAAATGATGAGGCTGGACATGGTGGCTCACACCTGTAATCCCAGCACTTTGGGAGGCCGAGGCGGGCGGATCACAAGGTCAAGAGATCAAGACTACCCCGGCCAACATGGTGAAAACCTGTCTCTACTAAAAATACAAAAATTAGCTGGGCGTGGTGGTGCACACCTGTAGTCCCAGCTACTTGGGAGGCTGAGGCAGGAGAATCGCTTGAACCTGGGAGGCGGAGGTTGCAGTGAGCCGAGGTTGCCCCACTGCACTCCAGACTGGTGACAGAGTGAGACTCCGTCTCAAAAAAAAAAATTAAATGATATAAATAGTTGACGGAAGTTACTCACCTCTGTAAATACAGCAACTTTATTGATTTCGGAAGCAAATGGGTATGGCAAACTAAGAACACTGGTAAATGGCTCCACGTTTTTCTAAACACATGACAAGGAAAAATAATTACGTAAAGTTAATCTTTTCTATTTCACACACTCTATATAAAACAAGAACGGACATGTTTTGTTTTCAGTGTTCTGATTCTACTCTATGTTCTTCCATTAATTCAGAACTATTCATTGATTACTATTCATGAATTACTATTCATCGATTACAATTTAAAGCACAACAGATTATTTTTTTTTCAAGAAACTTTTTCAAGATTATATTTTTTTGAGAATAAAAAACTAAAATCTCTTTTTCCAGCTTCATAATCCCATGCCACTTGGCTTCTATCTCTACATCATTCATCACAGTCTCTCAAATATTATGAAATGTGTTTGCATATCAACATCTTCCCCAGCACTAGTACAATGCTTTCCATCTGATGTATAATAAATGTTTGCTATCTTCAATTAAATTTGTTTTAAACCCATGTAATCTTCTGACACCATCAGGGAGACATGACTACAGCTGTACATGCTGAACAATAGACAATATCCAGCTGATCTGCCCAGTAGGTCACCCCCAATTGCCATCATTGGCTCTAAACTATCAGGAATTGTAAACCCTAAACCCAAGACAAAATGTCGAGCCTAAAGGGATCTTCTGAGTGACTCTATTTTTGAAACAACCTAGACCATCATCACTTTCAGATTTATTTAGAAAGTCAATTGGAAAATCCTAAATAAACAATGGCATGCATTTGAGGCACGCTAATACAGGTGGAGATTTTACAGGACCACTAAACTAATCTGTCTAGTCATTTTGACCAGGAACTATTGAGGCCTGAGGCCTAGATCTCTCAGGGAGATTTTACAGAGAAACAAGTTCTAGGCCCTCCAAAGTTTTGTTGCAGCCTTAAGGTTTGGAAGAAAAGGTGGTTGTTCCCCTAATAAAACTGATTGAAGGATCAATATTTTTAGAAAAACCTTATTTTGAGTAGAAACATCCTCCTCGGGATTTCTTTATAGACAAGGAGAGACAAATTCTCTTTTTTTTTTTTTTTTGAGATGGAGTCTTGCTCTGTCGCCCAGGCTGGAGTGCAGTGGTGCGACCCCAAGGAACACATCTGAAGGACACTGAGCTAATCCAGAGCCCTCATTTACAGAGAAGAAACATGCCACCTAGGCAGTTTAAATCACTTTTCAAAGTTACAGTGATACCTCCGTTAATTTTAACACTACTTTTGTTGAAATTTATACTAGTGACTCTCTTAGAGGAAATAGGAAATCTATGTTAACTCTCTAGAGTGTTTTCAACAAATTTTATATTTGGAAAATTTTTAAATGAACAAACATATTTTTCATGCTAAAGTACAGAAAGAGCATGAAGTTTTCTAAAAATTATGAGAGGCAATAATTTTTAAAATTAAGAGGCCAGGCACAGTGGCTCATGCATGTAATCCCAGCACTTTGGGAGGCCAAGGAGCGCAGAGTGCTTGAGCCCCAGAGTTCAAAACCAGCCTGGGCAAAATGGGGAAACCTCATCTGTACTAAAAGTACAAAAATTAGCTGGGCGTGGTAGAACACACCTGTAGTCCCAGCTACTCAGGAAGCTGAGGTGGCAGGATCACCTGAGCCCGGGAGGTGGAGTCTGCAGTGAGCTGAGATCATACCACCGCACTCCAGCCTGGGCAACACGGCAAGAAGACCCTGTCTCAAAAATAATAATAACAATAAAATAAAATAAAGAAACACCAATTCATACAGCCACTGTTCACAGGTAAACTTATTTTAATGGACTCTACATACCTTCTTTCCCAGTGCCATATCCAGTGTCAAATCAAGATAAACACTTTGCTTTGGACTAGTAAAGTCAAGAATTTGAAATTTCTTAAGTAAGTGAACAGCTTTCTCCACCTCATATATCTGTCTCGGGTATAAGCGTTTTAAATAGACATCATCCTCAGGTTCGCCTTCCATATAGGGATATGCTTTTATTTTTTCTATTTCATCTTTTTTCTCATCTGGTGTTTTTTCTTTAGCACCTTTTTTTGTTTTCTTTGCAGACCTTAAAAGAAAATAAAGTTGAGTTATATCAATATATATCCTAAGAGATTTTTTTTAAAAAAAAAGCCAGTGTACATAAGAGAAAAAAAAACAAAGGATGAATTATATTTTAATTCAAAAGCATAGACTGCTTTACAGTTTTTCTAATTCAACAAACATGAAGTGAACTTTTCCAATGTCTGAAGTCATGAATAAGTTGAATTACCGCACTGATGCTGCTCTCCAGAAACTTACAGAGGAGTAGATCAGAAAGACATACTAACAGGTCATTTCAATATAATGTAGTAATACAAGAGCATCATCAGAGCCTGACAGAAAAGACATTCAATCCAGCCTAGGAGGCTAGGGAAAAGTTATAGAGGAAATGACCTCAAAGTCAATTCTTAATGGATAAGGAAGTGTTAGCACCCCAAAGAAGTGAAAACATATGACACAAAATCTAGTACACAAATGTTCTTAGCAGCATTATTCATAACAGCCAAAAAGTAGAAACAACCCAAATGTCTATCAACTGATGAATGGATACATAAAATGTGGTATGTCCATATAATGGAATATTAATCAACAATTAATAAAAGAATGAAATATTGATCAATGCTACAACACGCATGAACCCTAAAAACATTAAGCTAAGTGAAAGAAGCCAGTCACAAAAGCCCACATATTATTCCATTTATACCAAATATCAAGAATGAGCAAACCTAAGAGACTAAAAAGTAGATCTGGTGGTTGTCTAGTGCTAGAAGAGGAGGTTAGGGGAACAAGAAGTGAATGCTCATGGGCATGGGGTTCTCTGGGAAAGCAATGAAAATGCTCTAAAACTGATTACAGTGATGGCTGCACAACTGTGAGTATACTAACAACCAATGAACTGTACACTTTAAATGGGTGAATTGTGTGATATGTAATTATATGATACCTTAATAAAGCCATTATTTAAAAAATAATAGAGTTAGCCAGGTAAAGAAACAACGTAATAAAAAGTACTGAGGCACAAAATAAAATGGTATAAGAAGGAAGCTATTATAAGTTCTACATGACTAGAGCAGAGTTGGCAAACTTTTTCTGTAAAGGACCAGATAGTAAATGTTTTAGCTTTGTGAGCCATATGTTCTCTGCTGCAATGACTCAACGCTGCCACTGTAGTGCAAATATAGTCGGTAAACAAGATTGGCTGACTCGCCAAAGTTTGCTGACTTCTGAACTAAAACGGTAAAAGAGAAGGCAGGCAAGAGTGGAAGATGAGGTTAGAAAAGACAGAGCATAGGGGGGCATCCTCTAGAGGCAATAAGAAGTCAGTAAACAGGAGTAACATCTGTATTTTAGGCAAGGTATTCTGGCTGCAATATAAGAGAGAGACCTGAAGGAAGTAGGATTGAAAACAATTAAGAGTCTGTTCCCGCCCTTTCTTCTCAGAGATATGAGAACCTGAACCAGAGTAGCAACAGTAATAAGACTGGAAAAGATGGCAGATTAGAGAATACTTGTCAAGCTAAATACTGGGCCAAGCACGAGGGCTCACGCCTGCAATTCCAGCACTTTGGGAGGCCAAGGCAGGAGGACTGTTTGAGGCCAGGAGTTCAAGACCAGCCTGGGCAATATAGCAAGACCCTGCCTCTACCAAATCAAAAAAATTAGCTGGGCATAGTGGTACACACCTGTGGTCCCAGCTACTTAGGAGGCTGATTTGGAAGGATCACCTGAGCTCAGGAGTCTGAGACTGCAGTGAGCTGATTATGTCAGTGCACTCCAGGTAGGTGACAGAGTGAGACCCTGTCTCAAAAAAAAAAAAAAAAAAAGTAAATATTGAAGATGGGAAAAGGAGAGAATAAAGACTCCAAAATACTTCCTAGGTATCTAGCTTGGGTGACTAGGCATAGAATAGAATCATTAACTAAGATCAGAAATAAAGAGGGCAAAACAGGTTTCTGGTGAGGGAGGCAGTCACAGAGATTAGTTCAAGTTTGGGGGATATGAAGTTTGAGTATGGGTCAATTGTATCATTGGTCCCAATTCTTTACCTCCTTTCCATTCAAGCCCTTTGCTAAATGACTTTGCTGTTCCTCCCACTAAAGAGGAGTATATTTCCCAGCCCCTTTATTTGTCCATGTGACTACTTTTGGCTGACAGAATAAAGCAAAGATGACAGTTTCCCTGCTCTATGCTTAGGCCAAAAGAAGTTTCACATGTTTCTACTTTCATGTTTGCATTTCTGCCTTTTCATTAGAAGAACATGCCTAGGCTAGCTCAAAGGTAGAAGGATGAGAAACATGTGGAACAGAGCTGCCTCCACAGAGCCCCAGGCTACATGAGATGATTCTCAGCTTACCTGCAAACTTACAGATGCACTACAAGTCCAGCCAAGGTCATCAGAGATATCCATCAAACCCAGCCTATGTCAGCTGACCCATAGATATGTGGGCAATGATAAATAATTGTGGAGTGGTTTGTTACATAGCAAAAGCTAACAAGGTGCTTACAAAATATCTAAGAAAATATATTTACCAGGTAATGGCAGATAAGAATTTGAAGATAAAAAGAACTAGAGGTGATGTAATTTTCTCAGCATTAATTCAGATCATGTCTGTACTCTTCTAACCATAAAAGTTTTAAATTAGTGTAATAGTATTCTGGAAAGATGTTCCGGTTCTGTGGTAGTCAGAATAATAATGCCTCAAAGAGACCCATATCCTAATTCCCAAATCTTGTGAATATATTACCTTACATGGCAAAAAAAAAAAAAAAAAGACCTTGCAGACGAGATAAGGTTAAAGACCTTGAGATGGAGAGTTATCCTAGATTATCTACGTGGGCCCAATCTAATCACATGCATCCTTAAAAGTGAGAGTCTTTTCCCCTTCCCAACTGCATCACACAGATATGGGAAAATGACACTGAAGAAATTCAAGCAACCAGCCATTGCTTTGAAGATGAAGGATGAGGGCCATGAGCTAAAGAATGTGGGTGGCCTCTTGAAGCTGGGGATTGCAAGGAAATGGATTATCCCCTAGAGCCTCCAGAAAATAAACTGCCAATACCTTGATTTTAGCCCAGTGAGATCCATGTCAGACTACTCGCCTACTGAACTGTGAAATGAAAAACTTGTATAGTTTTAAGCCTCAAAGTTTGTGGTAATTTGTTATGGCAGAGATGGCAATTTGTTATGGAAGAAAATGAATATGAAGTCCTATAAAACTGATGTGAAAGAAATGGATGATAATAAAACAGTTTTTTAAAAAAGACCTCAAAAACCAATTCAACGTATAATTCCATTCTCACTTTTAGTACTCAGTAAATCCTTACTACCACCACTAATAATAGTACCCTCCCAGCTAATGAGCAATTCAACAGAATATTAGATAATGACAATGCTCATTTTCAATGGGGCACAGGTGTCCTTCTGGACTGATGACAAGTCTAAGCAAGTGCCCAAGTGGATGCATACAACACATCTCAACAGCTACCGTGGAAGTACTCCACAAAATCCTGAAACCTTCCAAACTGGAGCAACCATATTTTTACTTTATATTTAGCAAAGCAGCAGAGAAGCCAACAGAAGGATTTTGGAGAGCCTGTTTTAGGAATAAATTCTCCTATTTAAAATAACAAAATGTTCTAGCTGTAGCCTCCAGGCTTACTTTACATAAATGCAGAATTCGCCACTAAATTTTCAATCATAGTGGAACCTATGCAATTAATTTGCAATTAATCTGATATTCCCCAAGGCTGAAATATGACTTTTTAAATTAATAAATATTTTCAAAATTCAATGAAAGTCTGATACATAAAGAGTCTGAGTTGGGTATATTGCAATTTATTTATACTTTGGACCTTGTTTCACAACATATTTAAAGTGGTTGAGTGAAAATATTTATAAACACAAAAAAAGTATAACAACATTATAATACTGATCAAATAGGACTCTCAGGAAAATGCATTCTTAAAAAAAGAACTGCAATTTAACAAATTTCTTCCAAATAATTAATCTAACAGACCTGCCACCTGTTTTCCATGGCCTTCCAAAAAATAGCTACCTTTATTCATAAGAATCACATTCAGAAGAACTTTGTTGTTCATGCAATTATATAAAGCTCTATCAGGAACCCTTAAATACTGTGATTCTCAGAGAATACAATAAATCATACTAGAAAGATTTTTGGGAAGGTAGAGGACAAACACCTGGCAGTCTGAATCAAAGAGAACAGAACTTAGCTGCAGTTACCTGGGTAACTAAACCACACAGATTAAACGAGTAATAAGAGACTGTACAAAAGCAATAACTTTTCCCCTGTCTCATCTGTCTCCCAACTCCAAAAACATGATTTCCATGGTCATACCCAATAAAATATGATTTTTTTTGTTTTTAAGACGGAGTCTCGCTCTGTTGCCAGACTGGAGTGCAGTGGTGCGATCTGGGCTCACTGCAACGTCCGCCTCCCAGGTTCAAGCGGTTCTCCTGCCTCAGCCTCCCGAGTAGCTGGGACTACAGGTGCCTGCCACCATGACCAGCTCATTTTTTCTATTTTTAGTAGAGACAAGGTTTCACCATGTTGGCCAGGATGGTCTCGAACTCCAGACCTTGTGATCTGCCCGCCTCGGCCTCCCAAAGTGCTAGGATTACAGACATGAGCCACTGCACCTGGCCTAAAATAAGATTTTTAAAAATCAGAGATATAATAAAGTTCACTTCAAGGCCTTTGAAAATCTGTGACCCCCAAGAGACCAATCCAAGTCTT
Organism: Homo sapiens; assembly: GCF_000001405.40. NCBI lineage: Eukaryota > Metazoa > Chordata > Mammalia > Primates > Hominidae > Homo > Homo sapiens. Next base: position 77,878,506 of record NC_000004.12, on the reverse strand, counting down.
TCCAAGGCTGAAGAATCCTTTACATTGGGACATTAGTGGGGGGAAATTCGTACAACCTCTGTAAAACTAAAACGAACTAAACAGAACTAAAGAGAAAATGCCTAGGGCATATTAATGGAATGGAAATATTTGGAATTCTTATTTCTTAGTGTAATCACATAAAGAAATTCACTAACATCTCTGATGCTGGTTTACTCATTACCTTTTAAACTAAATGCAGAAGTTCTGTTTCCACTTAAAATGTAAAAGCTGGAAAGACCATTAACAACGAGAAAGAGCTCGATAAAAATCACAACTTTTCTTGAACCCATGACGGAGCGAGACTGAACGCAAATAACCTGAAATCCAAGGACAGTCAGTCCCACACTCCAGTTCCCACCACAGTCTCCCTTGCGCCAGAGCACGAGAGAAAGGCAAGCAGGTAAGAAACAACCAGCTACAATTTTAGGGCTAGTGTGACAGTATAAACCTCTTGGGAGACCCAGGCATACGGGGAGTTCACACTCAATTCACAGGCCATTTTCCACATACCTCCCACCAGGTGCTCCCAGGAAAGACTGGAGCAAAGCAGAAGATTAGAAGCGCGCCGTCCCCCCACCCCCCAGCCAGTTGCAGGCACACAGGAAAAGGCACAGGTAAACACGCACTGTGTCTAACGATGGAAGGGAGAAAGAAGATAAAAACCTACAACACTTCTACCCACTGAGAGCAGGGCAGGAAATAGTCCAGAGCCCAGTATCCTGTACCAATCCAGCTAGGGAAGGGCTAGGAAACTTCCCCATAAGACATGCAACAGATAAGTGGTGCCATGAAGAGAAGGAACAGAAATGCTGAGAAAACCCCAACCCCAAGGTCCAGCTGCACTGGGCCTACTTAAGACTAGGGCTGCATTTATTTAAAAAAAAAAAAAAAAAAAATCCCTCCCAACACCCATCACCAGGAATAGAAGTCTACTGCTAGGGAAGGGTGCAAAAGAGTGACCCACCCCACCCCACCCCATCACTGCCACTGAAACACAGCTGCACAGGGAATGCAGAAAATTGAGCATGAACAGGAACGCTGAGAAAAACCCTCCAGCAACCCAGCCCCCACCCTAAGAACAAGGTAACTACAGAAATTTGAAGCTGATGGTAACCATGGCAACAACAAAACCAAAACCTAGCTCAACTCCTGACAAGATTGACTCAATGCTCTGACAGATGAAGGGGCATGCCTGTTTGCAGGCGTAAATATTATTTACTTCAGTCCCTACACAACATATCTCGCATTCAGATATCTGACATAAGCAAGAAAAAAACCCATTGTCAGGCCAGGTGTGGTGGCTAACGCCTGTAATCCCAGCACTTTGGGAGGCCAAGGCAGGCGGATCACCTGAGGTCAGGAGTTCGAGACCAGACTGGCCAACAGGGTGAAACCCCGTCTCTACTAAAAATACAAAATTAGCTGGGCGTGGTGGTGCGCGCCTGTAATCCCTGTTACTCAGGAGGCTGAGGCAGGAGAATCACTTGAACCTGGGAAGCGGAAGTTGCAGTAAGCCAAGATCACGCCATTGCATTCCAGCCTGGGCAAAAAGAGCAAAACTCCACTCAAAAATAAATAAATAAATAAAGAAGAGTAAAGAAAAAGAAAAAACCCACAGTCAAGAGAGAAACAAAACCAGACTCAACCTAATGGCCTTTTTAAAAATCAGGATCTGCTACTGGCAAATAGAGGATATATGCTTGCACAACACAGGGTAGAGGGGAGAGCCAAAAGGACAGACAAGAGAAGCTAGCAGGTGCCCCTCTACTCCATTCAGATTCTGATAAAAAACAAAATCTAGCCATGAAAAAAATATTTTTTAGTGTATTATAAAGTCAATACATTAAACAATAAAAACTACAACTAAAATTATGAATACTATGATTCTCATCAAACTACTAAGTAACTCTCATTGTCAGACATGAAAAAAACCATCTGCTTATAAATTTTCATGGTTTTTTAAGAGTAGGCATATTTCTTGTTCTATGCTCTCTAGGTTTTTGAAAAGCACATTTAAAACCATACTGGAATAGAACTTGGGGTAGACACAAATGAAACATTTCTAGGGTATAAAGGAAAACAACATTTAAAGATAAAATATTCTTGAAATAATTAGTATCCCTAATAAATAACTATGTTTACAGAGCAGAGAGAAAAAGACGAAGCCCAACAGAAAAACAGGCAAAAGGCATAAGCCAGAAATACAGTAAAGAGGCTGGGCATGGTGGCTCACACCTGTAATCCCAGCACTCTGGGAGGCTGAGGCGGGCAGATCACTTGAGGTCAGCAGTCTGAGACCAGCCTGGCCAACATGGTGAAACCCCATCTCTGCCAAAACTACAAAAATTAGCAAGGTGTGGTGGTGCACGCCTGTAATCCTAGCTACTTGGGAGGCTGAGGCAAGAGAATCGCCTGAACCTGGGAGGTGGAGGCTACAATGAGCTGAGATCATGCCACTGCACTCCAACCTGGTCAACAGAGCAAGACTCCATCTCAAAAAAATAAATAAATAAATACAGTGAAGAAACACAAATGAAGATTGATGGTATCCAAGGTTGTTAGGCATGTGGAAAACTGGCACTACTCACTAATTACTAAGTGGGGATATAAACTGGTACAAGCGGTACTCCAGCAACTTAACAATAAAAAGAATCCAGGCACTATTCACACTCAAAGGAAGCCTCCTTTCTTGTTAGATTTCTGCCACCTCCGTATTCATCTTATATTCAAACCAAATTAGTTATGTTTGTATATGTATCATTCACTTTCATGTCTCTGCACTACCGAAATACCTTTCAACCAATTCCCCTGCAAAATTCTTTTTTTTTTTGTTTTTGGCAGAGTCTCAATCTGTTGCCCAGGCTGGAGGGCAGTGGCGCGATCTTGGCTCACTGCAACCTCCACCTCCCAGGTTCAAGCAATGCTTGTGCCTCAGTCTCCTGAGTAGCCAGGATTACAGGCATGCACCACCAAGCCCAGCTAATTTTTTGGTATTTTTAGTAGAGATAGGGTTTCACCAAGCTGGTCTCAAACTCCTGACCTCAAGTGGTCCACCCACCTTGGCCTCCCAAAGTGCTGGGATTACAAGCATGGGCCACCACACCCAGCCCCCTGCAAAATTCTATCTTTCAAGACCTAGCTCAAATACTTCTTGCCCTACTCTTCCCCAGACAGAATTGACATTTCATCTGTGATCGCATAGCACTTGATCCAATCCTCTAATATGACAGTTAAAACAGTCATACTAATCAGAAGTTGTATCACAGACGTGTTAATTCATAATATACGAATATCATATTTGTATATAACAATATATAGAGAAGCTTCTACATATCAATAACAACAAAAAATTAGAATAGGACATGAACAGAAAATTCACAGTAAAGAAAACATAAACGGGCCAGGCATGGTGGCTCACGCCTGTAATCCCAGCACTTTGGGAGGCCAAGGCAGGTGGATCACCTGAGGTCAGGAGTTCAAGACCAGCCTGACCAACATGGTGAAACCCCATCTCTACTAAAAATACAAAAAAAAAAATTAGCCGGGCGTTGTGGCGTGTGCCTGTAATCCCAGCTACTCGGGAGGCTGAGGCAGGAGAATCGCTTGAACCTGGGAGGCGGAGGTTGCAGTGAGCTGAGATTGCACCATTGCACTCCAGCCTGGGCGACAAGAGCAAAACTTCACCTCAAAAAAAAAAAAAAAAGAAAAGAAAATATAAGTGGCTCTTAAACATATGAAGAGGTATACAACCTCATTAATAATAAAAGAAATATAAATATAATAATGCTATTTATTACCTATCAAATTGTCAAAGATGAAAAAATTTGACTATACTATACATGGGAAAATTGGCATTGTAATAATACTTGCTGGTAAAAATACTGGCAAGATTTCTATGAAGGCAATTTGGTATTACTTATCAAAATTATAAATGCACACATCTTTTGACCCAACAATTCTATTTCTCAGAGTTTATGCTACAAACATATTCATTATATTTGACAGGATCTATATGCATGATTATTCACTTGCAGGATCACTTGTAATAGAAAAAGAATGGAAAGAAAAATGTGCCTCAATAGGGGAATAGTTACATAAATTATGCACTACTACATTTCACACAATGAAATGCAGTTAAAATGACTAGACAGCTCCATATGAAACTATTTCCAAGATATATTGTTAACTTAAATGCAGGCGGTCCGGGTGCGGTAGCTCACACCTGTAATCCCAGCACTTTGGGAGGCCAAGGCGGGCAGATCACAAGGTCAGGAGTTTGAGACCAGCCTGGCCAACATAGTGAAACCCCGTCTCTACTAAAAATACAAAAAATTAGCTGGGCGTGGTGGCAGGCGCCTACTTAGGAGGCTGAGGCAGGAGAATCATTTGAACCCGGGAGGTGGAAGTTGCAGTCAGCCAAGATCGCAGCACCGCGCTCCAGCCCAGGTGACAGTGCAAGAATCCATCTCAAAAAAAAAAAAAAAGCAGGCAATATGCAAAACAGGGTACATAGTACACTACCATTTATGTAAAAAACAAATAATATACTCATGTACTTACATATGCACAGACGATTACAAAGGGCTAAAGGATGGGGTGGGAAGAAGACCAACTTTTCACTAAATACTATGCTTACCATGAATATCTTTTATCTTTTACCATGAATTATCTTTTATCTACTCACAGAGTTAACTAACTCATTTTAATTAATTCATTTAAAACAAAAAGCAATTGTTTATGTTGCTGTCAGTTCACTGTGAAAATCTCAAAGACAGAGGAACGGAATGTGTGCCTTGTTCATCTTCATATCATCATTTTGCACAGTGCCAGGCCTACAGCAGATGCTCAACAAAGTATGCTAAGTAAGAGGCAACTGAGGCACAGTTGTCTGATATTAAATTAAGTTTATGGAAATAAGAATATATTAAGTGAAAATTTACAGTCAGCAAAAACTTTCTACCCTTTAGTTTTCATTTTGGGTATCCCATAACCTGAGGACTGTATTCTAGCAAATTTCATCATAAAGTAAGATTTTTGTAGCTGGGACTCTATTTGCTTTGCAGACCCTATCCTCCAGAGCCAATGATTCTATTATTATATACTAACCATGAAGAGTGTGACAGTTCTAAAGTCAGAAAATTTAGGCTGAAATCCTTCCTCCAACACATTCTAGTTGTGTAACTTTGAACGTATTACTTAACCTCTGGACTTCCATTCCTTCATCTGTAAAACACTTACAATAGTATCTATGCTTCACAGAGTGTTGTGAAATTTAAAAGAACTAACATATGCTATGTGCTTTGTATACTGCCTAGCACAAAGGAAGCATTCTATAAATTTTAACTATTATTATCCTAGAGCTTTTTGGCAAGAAACCAGATCCTGCTCTTGGAAATACAAAGTTGAGAGAACAGATTTCATTCCTTTACATATATCTTATCTTATTTTATTTTTGAGACAGAGTCTCCTCTGTTGCCCAGGCTAGAGTGTAGTGGCGCAATCTCAGCTCACTGCAACCTCTGCCTCCCAGGTTCAAGTGATTCTCCTATCTCAGCCTCCCAAGTAGCAGGGATTACAGGTACACACCACTATGTCCAGCTAATTTTGTTTTGTTTTTTGTTTTGAGATGGAGTCTCACTCTGTCGCCCAGGCTGGAGCACAGTGGTGCGATCTCGGCTTGCTGCAACCTCTGCTGCCCAGGTTCAAGCGATTCTCCCACCTCAGCCTCCCGAGTGGCTGGGATTACAGGTGCCTGCCCCCACACCCGGCCAATTTTTGTAGTTTCAGCAGAGATAGGGTTTCACCATCTTGGCCAGGCTGGTCTTGAACTGCCGACTTCGTGATCCACCCGCCTCGGCCTCCCAAAGTGCCGGGATCACAGGTGTGAGCCACGGTGCCCGCTAATTTTGTATTTTTAGTAGACACGGGGTTTCACCACGTTGGCTAGGCTGGTCTCGAACTCCTGACCTCAAGTGATTTGCCTGCCTTGGCCTACCAAAGTGCTGGGATTATAGATGTAAGCCACCATACCCAGCCAAAATAATACAAATTTATACCCAATATATATACTATGCAAATCTGAAATCTTACTATGTAATCATAGTACGGATAATCCTCTAATACATGATGTATAAAAAGTGCCTAAAAGGAAAAAATATAATTTAAAGGACAGAAAGAAATTAAATTAATTTCTTAATTAAATTAAAATTCATTAATTGCAACAGTGGGTTCTGTTCTAAAAAGGCAGCGAAAGCATACTGGAAAAAGCTTTGGTTCTGGAATAAACTCCATGGATTCAAACCCTAGCTCTAAAATTTAGTAGCTCTCTGACCTTGGGCTAGTTATATAACCTACCAGTGCCTCGATTTTCTTCTCTGTAAATTGTGCATAATAACAATAGCTTCCTCATAAGGTTGCTGTTGGGAATAAGTTAGTTATTGAACATCAGTGTTCAATAAACGTTAAGTATTATTATGTCTTATCTTTCCTTCAGGACTATAAGGTCGATGAAGCAGAAATAATAAACTTTTACAACTATATGTCCTGGTAAATCTTTATGGAACTAAACATGCTTTTTAAAAAAAATTAAAATGACAACAAATGAAATAATAACTAAAAAAAAATACTTACTTTGTAGCAGCAGCAAAATGTCTGTTGGGCACTCGGATGTTTACAGAACAAGAACAAAGTGATGTCTGATAAACCATCTTGGAAAGGCTATGCCTTTGATGATGTATCAAGGCTTGAAAGGAAAAACATGTAAAATATTAACATTAAATAATCATTATATTCATAATTTTTTAATTTTAAAAGTCAGTACTTTCAAAATGAAAACATTCAATATTTTGTGATTTTTAATCCTTCTTTTAAAAGTGTAATAATAGCCAGGCACAGTGTCTCATGCCTGTAATCCCAGTACTTTAGGAGGCTGAGGCGGGTGAATCACGAGGTTAGGAGATCAAGACCATCCTTGCTAACACGGTGAAACCCCGTCTCTACTAAAAATACAAAAGATTAGCCAGGCATGGTGGCACGAACCTGTAGTCCCAGCTACTTGGGAGGCTGAGGCAGGAGAATCGTTTGAACCCAGGAGGCGGAGGTTGCAGTGAGCCGATATAGCGCCACCGCACTCCAGCCTGGGCGACAGAGTGATACTCCATCTCAAAAAAAAAAAAAAGTGTAATAATAGAAACCACAGTTCTTGAAACTAAAAGCAGGTAAATACATCTAATATTTGAACTATCTTATCTTTTTTTTTTCTTTTAAAGACAGGCTTTCACTCTGTCACCCAGGCTGGAGTACAGTGGCATGAACACAGCTCACTATAACCTTGAACTCCTGGGTTCAAGTGGGCCTCCCTCCTCAGCCTCTCAAGGCTCTGGGGTTTTCATCTATTTTTAACTTAAACTATTTCATATTCATCAGAGTATGTTAGTTCTATTATTAGGGAATATGTATATGTATCCCAAAATTTCTTAATTTATTTGTTCATTTTTACAATAAATAAGACATTAACACAGTTGCCCAAGTACTTCTGAAGATAAGAACAAAGTGGGGTACTGGATCTGTGAGAAATAAGAAAAAGGTACACAGGTCTTTGAAGGTATTGTTAATGTTCTATTTTTTTAAGCTTAATAGTGAATATTTAGAATTTCAAGCTATTATTATTCTTTTCATCTTAACTATATTCTTTTGCGTGTGTAAATATTAGAAATATGTTTTTATTTAAAGATTACAAAAGTAAAGTCTTCCTCCTACACCTGGCCCCCAGCTTCTCTCCCATGTTAGCAATACCTTATGCATCTTTTTAGAAACACTATATACATATATAAACATATAGGTACCAATATATTTCCCTCCTCTTTTATAAAATGGTAGCATACTCTAATCACTACTCCATCTTGCTTTTTCACCTAAAGGTATTAGAGCCTATTTTCACAAACATACACACACATATACATGAGATGCAGATGAGATTTTATGTGTGCCTTTCATAAAGGTGTGTGTACATGCATACATTTGAGAGATCACTTCATATCAGTTTATAAAGATTTTATTGCTGAGTGTGGTGGCTCATGCATGGAATCCCAGCACTTTGAAAAATCACGTATGATAAATGAAGGAACAAGCAATTATCCATTCGAAGCTTGGCAAACACTTCCAAACAATTCTAGTTGTACTATACAAGAACCTAACAACCTTGGAAGATCCCAAAATAATAATTCTCTTGGGGAAACAAACAAAAAAATCTCTTGAACATATCAATTGCAATCTGCTATTTTAAAAAATCAAGGCCAGTCACAGTGGCTCATGTCTGTAATCCCAGCACTTTGGGAGGCCAAGGCAGGAGGAACCCTTGAGCCCAGGAGCTCGAGCCCAGCCTGGGCAATAGAGTGGAACCCCATCTCTACAAAAAATTTAAAAATTAGCGACGGTGCACAGCTGTAGTCCCAGCTACTCAGGAAGCTGAGGTGGGAGGATTGCTTGAGGTGGCAGGATCACTTGAGCCAGGAAAGTTGAGGCTGCAGTGAGTTCTGATCTCACTATTCCACTCCAGACTGGGTGACAGGAACCCTGTCTCAAAAAAACAAAACAGGCTGGGTGCGGTGGCTCACACCTGTAATCCCAGCACTTTGGGAAGCTGAGGTGGGTGGATCACCTGAGGTCAGGAGTTTGAGACCAGCCTGACCAAGATGATGAAACTGTCTCTACTAAAAACGCAAAAAAAATTAGCTGAGTGTGTTGGTGCATGCCTGTAATCCCAGCTACCTGAGAGGCTGAGGCACAAGAATCGCTTGAACCTGGATGGCAGAGGTTGCAGTGAGCCGCGCCACTGCACTCCAGCCTGGGCAACAAGAGCGAAACTCTGTCTCAAAAACAAACAAACAAACAAACAAACAAACAACAAAAAGCAAGCAAGCAAGCAAAACCACTACTATCAGTCATGACAACCAGAAACTACAATTTTCAACAGAAATCAAACACTACAGACCAAAAGAAACCAAATACCACTATTTAAGTAGCACTGTTAGATCATGATATCTATGTTTTCAATCCTTTTGTAGTCAATTTGTCTAGCTGTATTATTTTATCTCCTTTATTAATACATTTCTCTTCCCCTTATTCTTAGCATATAACCTCACTTGCTACTTCAGAGAAAATAGCCCTCAGAACTTCCTGAACTACTGAGTCTCCCTGATCCAGCACTCATTCTCAAAATCTCTCCCACCCCGTGGCAATGAGATAGAAACAACTCCCTCTCCTTTCTTATCTCTTTTAATTGATAGTGAAAGGTTAGAGTTCCCTTGAGGTCAGTCCTATACTGCCTTCTCACCTGACTCTATAATCCTCACTCTCCCTAGGGAATCGTATCCATCTATTCTTGCCTTTCTGCTACAACCATCACAGTCCAGGCTACCATCACCTACCACCTGGATTACTGCCACAGCCTCTAAACTGTTCTGTCTTCTACACTTGGCCCTCTCCATTTCTTTTCCACCTATATTAGTAAGAGGGATCATTTTAAAATGAAAATTTCACCATGTCCTTAAAATACTTGGATGGCTAAACTTGGCTCTTTGAACAAAGGAAATTTTTACCAAGGTACTCCACGAGCTACTACTAAACTATCCAGTGAGCATCCTCTAGCCCCACTCTCCCTCATGTTCACCATGCTACAAATACACTCATCTTCTTTCAGTTACTTGACTCTGTTCTTTACCACCTAAGAATTTTCATAATCTTCCATCTATGACATTTTCCCCTATTGCTTTCCACTCCACTAGTTCATAGTAATACAGTTATCTTTCAAGGACTCTACTTAACATTATTTCTTCAGAAGAGTCTCCCCTGAATAGATTAGGTCTCTCATATACATTTGTATAACATCTTACACTTTTCCTTCACAGCACTTAGGACAATTTTAACTAAAGAAATAATTATCCAGGTCGGGCGTGGTGGCTCATGCCGGTAATCCCAGCACTTTGGGAGGTTGAGGAGGGTGGATCACAAGATAAGGAGTTCAAGACCAGCCTGGCCAACATGGTAAAACCCCGTCTCTACTAAAAATACAAAAAAAATTAGCCGGGTGTGGTGGCATGCTCCTGTAATCCCAGCTACTCGGGAGGCTGAGGCAGGAACTGCTTGAACCCCAGAGTCAGAGGTTGCAGTGAGCCAAGATTGAGCCACTGCACTCCAGCCTAGGCAACAGAGGAAGAGTCCATCACAGAAAAAAAAACAAAATATACACACAAAAGTTAGCTGGGCATGGTGACACGTGCCTGTAGTCCCAGCTACTCAGGAGGCTGAAGCAGGAAAATCACTTGAAGCTGGGAAGCAGAGGTTGCAGTGGGCCAAGATCGTGCCACTGCACTCCAGCCTAGGCAACAGAGTGAGACTCCATCTCAAAAGGAAAAAAAAAAGAAATAACTGGCCAGGCGCGGTGGCTCATGTCTGTAATCCCAGCACTTTGGGGGGCTGAGGTGGGCGGATCACGAGGTCAGGAGATCAAGACCATCCTGGCTAACACGGTGAAACCCCGTCTCTACTAAAAATACAAAAAATTAGCCAGGCATGGTGGCGGGCGCCTATAGTCTCAGCTACTCGGGAGGCTGAAGCAGGAGAACGGCGTGAACCCGGAAGGCAGAGCTGGCAGTGAGCCGAGATCGTGCCACTGCCCTCTAGCCTGGTCGACAGAGCAAGACTCCGTCTAAAAAAAAAAAAAAAAAAAAAAAAAAAAAGAAATAACTATCCAAGGCTGGGTGTAGTGGTTCACGCATGTAATCCCAACACTGGGAAGCCAAGGCGGGTTGATCGCTCATGCCTATAATGCCAGCACTTCAGAAGACTGAGGTGGGAGGATAATTTGAGCCCAGGAGTTCAAGACCAGCTTGGGCAACATAGTGAGACCCCGTCTCTTGAAAGAAAAGAAAAGAAAAAGAAAAAGAAAAAGAAAAGAATTATCCAATTAATTCCTGCTCCTCAATAGATGGTAAGCATCATGGGCAGGAAATGTATATAGCTTGTTCAGCATTGTATACCTAGCACCTAGCACAGTGTTTGTCAAGTGAAGACTCTAAATAAACATTTGTTGAATGAAGAAAATTTGAACAAATGAGAGCAAAAATTGGACTCAAATATTATGCATTACAGCACATGAAAGGGGCCATTTTTCTGATGATCCATTTATTCATTCATTCATTCAACAAATACGCCAATGAAACATGTGCTAGCACTGCTGGAAGCATTTAGGTACATCAGTGAATAAAACATAAAAATCCCTATCCTCATAGGGCTTATGTCTAGAGGGGGAAGACAATACCAATAAAAATAATTGGGGGATGGAGGCACTGCAGGATAAAAGGGATTGTATCAGTGGAAAGTGGTTTGCAATTTTAAGTATAGTGGTTAAGACAAGCCTCATTAAAAGGGTGACATTTGAGGCCAGGCATGGTGGCTCATGCCTGTAATCCCAGCACTTTGGGAGGCCGAGGTGGGAGGATCACGAGGTCAGGAGGTCGAGACCAGCCTGGCCAACATGTTGAAACCCCATCTCTACTAAAAATACAAAAATTAGCTGGCCGTTGTGACAGGCGCCTGTAATCCCAGCTATTCAGGAGGCTGAGGCAGGAGAATCGTCTGAACCCAGGAGGCGGAGGTTGCAGTGAGCCGAGATCGCGCCATTGCACTCCAGCCTGGGCAACAAGAGCGAAACTCTGTCTCAAAAAAAAAAAAAAAGGGGGGTGATATTTCAGCAAAGAGTTGAAAAGATATGGGAAAGTTAGCCACGCAAACACCAAGAAACTGTTCTAGGGCAAAGATTCTAAGGCAAGAGTGTTCTTAATGTGTTTAAGAAACTAGAAGGCCAGCTGGTTACAGCAGAGTGAGTGTGAGGGAGGATAGATGGAGAAGAGGTCAGAGAGGTCAGCTGGGTGAGGCGGGGGTAGGAGAAGGTAGGCACAAGGTGATATCGAAGACTTGTACACCAGTGCTACTCAACAGAAGAATAATGTAAGCCACATGTACAATTTAAAATTTTCTAATAACTACAATATATAAGGTAAAAAGAAACAGTAAGTTAATATTTTATCACTAATACCCCAAAGTATTATTAAATTATCAATGTAAAAAAATTGGGCTGGGTGTGGTGGCTCACGCCTGTAATCCCAGCAGTATGGGATGCTGAGGCGGGTGGATCACCTGAGGTCAGGAGTTCAAGACCAACCTGGTCAACAGGGCAAAACCTCGTCTCTACTGAAAATACAAACATTACCCGGACCCAGTGGCATGTGCCTGTAATCCCAGCTCCTCGGGAGGCTGAGACTACAGAATCACTTGAACCTGGGAGGCACAGGTTACAGTGAGCCGAGATCATGCCACTGCACTCTAGCCTGGACAACAGAGCAAGACTCCATCTCAGAAAAAAGTATTTTACATGTTTTTTTTTATGCTAAGCCCTCAAAATCTAATGTATATTTGACAAATTCAATTCAGATTAACCAATTTGAAGTGCTCAATAAATAGTGGCTAACAAAATGAATAGCACAACTGTAGGCCATTCTAAGGGCTTTGGATTTAGAAAAATGGAAAGGCTTTGCAGAGTTCTGAGCACAGGAGTAACATGACTGAGGTCCTTAAAGGATGAATTTCACTACTCATTGACAGTAGACTGTAGAGAAATCCAAGTGAGAGATGGTAGCAGGTGGGAACAAGGTAGCTGCAGTGGGGCAGTGAGAAGTCAGAGTCTGGATTTATTTTAAGCGTAAAGCCAACAGGATTTGCAAACTATTTAATGTAAAGTGTGAGATACAGAGAGGAGTCAGCCAGGTGCAGTGGCTCAGAGCCTGTACTGCCAGCACTTCAGGAGACTGAAGTGGAAGGATCACTTGAGCCCAGGAGCTCGAGAGCAGCCTGGGCAACACAGTGAGATCTCATCTCTACCAAAAAAAAAATTAGCTGGTCATAGTGGGCCCCAGAGGTCAAGGCTGCAGTGAGCCGTGACCGGGCCACTGCACTCTAGCCTGGCCAACACAGTGAGATCCTGTCTCAAAAAAAAAAAAGAGTCAAGGATATTCTGAGGTTTTGGCCTGGACAAATGAAGGATGGAATTGCCTTCAAATGAGAAGAAAAAGACTGCAGGCTATGACAATGAATTTGATTTTAAACAACTGCAAGGTGCTGATATGCTATCAAAGTGGAGATGTAGAATACTCAGATGAGTATAAGAATCTAAAGTTCAGAAGAGTGATCCCAACTGTAGATATAAATTTGATAACCATTAAGGTATAGACAATAATCGGCTGGGCATGGTGGCTCATGCCTGTAATCCCAGCACTTTGGGAGGCAGAGGTGAGTGGATCACTTGAGATCAGGAGTTCGAGACCAGCCTGGCCAACATGGTGAAACCCCACCTCTACTAAAAATACAAAAATTAGCCGGGCATGGTGGCACGCGCCTGTAATCCCAGCTACTTGGGAGGCTGAGGCACAAGAATTGCTTGAACCCGGGAGGCAGAGGTTGCATGAGCCAAGATCGTGCCACTGCACTCCAGCCTGGGTGACAGAGCAAGATTCCTTCTCAAAAAAAAAAAAAAAAAAGATATACACAATAATTGGCCATCCATTTCTCCAACAGCCAGGAAGAATGCTGGTATTGAGGCTAATACCTAAAAAGAACAGTAGCTACCGTGGCTTCCAGTGCTTTAATGAACCTCCGATGTGGGGCCTTCTGGCAAAACATTTGCAATTTCATATTGTTGAAGCATTCATTGTATCCCTGGGGGTTTTCGCTATGTTCGCGGTGGCTGAGCCAAGAAAGAAGGCATGTGTCGACTCCTACAGAAATGATGATTCCATAAAAGATTTTGAGGAGATGAGGAAAACGTATATTTCAGAGCACAAAGTGATTTTGCAATATAAAGAATTTCTTTGGGTTGAATTACCTAAAAGTTTGTCACTGACCTGTGTTCTTGAACTATGAAATGTGAAAGTTTCTCCTGATAAGTAAACAATTAAAAAAATAAAAAAGATAGACAATAATCAAAGCCACAAACTTTGGATGAGCTAACCAAGGAGTGAATTTAGATACAGAAGAGATGAGAATGAAGGATGGAACCCTGGCTTCCAGAACACTCCAAAGTAAAGAGGCTGGGGAGAGGAAGAGGAACCAGCCAAGTAATGTGAGAAAAAATGACACATGAAATAGGAAGACAATTAACAGAGAGATATCCTAGAAGCCAAGAGAAGAAAATGTGACAAGAAAATTATAATATTCAGGTATTTTTGGTTTCTTTGGATTTGTGTAACATAACGATTTCTGTCATACATGAAGATGCCTTCAACCTCCTTTCAGAAATAATATACATTTTGGTTTGCTCACAAAGTAGGCATCAGGGTCTGTTGTTATCTCTTGTCACCCCTAATTTTTGAGCAATAACTCTCTTGACACAGTTTTCCTAAAAAGAAACTCAAAAAAAAAAAAAAAAAAACTGTGATGCAGTGTTAAATATACATGTATCACTGACCTAGGATTGCAAGCTTCAGTACTTCCTCTGCCATTTACTAGTTATATGAACTTGGCCACATATCTAATAAGTTCAGTTTCTTCCTCTGTAAAATGGGGGTAATGCTGGCTACTGCTTCTACCTAAAGACCTACCTAAATTAAACAATATATATCACTGGACTTCAAAAACACAAAATAAAAGCAAAAAGCGTTGCACAGGCCGGGCGCAGTGCCTCACGCCTGTAATCCCAGCACTTTGAGAGGCCGAGGAGGGCGGATCACCTGCGATTAGGAGTGCAAGACTAGCCTGGTCAACATGGTGAAACCCTGTCTCTACTACAAATACAAAAATTAGCCAGGCATGGTGGCACACGCCTGTAGTCTCTGCTACTCGGGAGGCCGAGGCAGGAGAATCGCTTGAACCTGGGAGACGGAGGTTGCAGTGAGCTGAGATCGCACCACAGCACTCCCAGCCTGGGTGGCAGAGCGAGACTGCCGTCTCAAAAAAAAAAAAAAAAAAAAATTGTTGCACAAGAAAGGGCTGTCATCGTAGACAAAAAGTTGAAATTATTAAGATGAAAAGAGGCGCTACCAAGAGGTACTACAGAATTAGCCCCCTCAAATGATAAACGTTGATCCAAATTAGACCACCTATGGAAGTTTAAGAACTGGAATCGCCTATAACGAAGTAATTCCGAAAGCACCAAAAAGCACTTTGAAAATTGCTCTAATTTACAGACTTAAGCCACTCAAATACATCATCTTTCCCTTATCAGAACTCACCTCACTTATCACACTCCACTACCCGCAGCCCACACCCCAGTATCAGAGACGACCCAGTCCTTGCCATGCCCATAGGTGGCTGGAGGGCGCTCGATGTACGTCCCGCTCCCACTCCCTCCCTCAGGGTGGACGTCTCCAGAATGGAGTGAAACCCTTCATAAGGTCACTTTTAAGTAGTAATGACCCACCCTCTGAAAAACCTAGAGACCAGAAACAGCACGAGGCATTTTCAGCACCCAGAGCAGAATCCGCCTTGCACTCTGCTGCAACCAGAGACTCGGTGCCAGAGCCATTTCCCCTGCAAGACAACCCCTCGCCTTACCTCTACCCATGCACCTTACGGCCGCCGCCATGTTGGGCACTCCGGATTGCGTTCACGAAATTGTTCCTACGTTTCTACTGGGAAGAATTAAAAAAAGGTTCCGTTCTAGAATCCGCAAAGAGGGAAGGAGTTAAAAAGAGAAAGAGGAACGGGGCGGGGACCAAAATGAGCTTTGCTGCCGGCGTGGCGGTGTTACTGTTAGTCCTCCGTGTTGCCCAGGACCCTGTGTGTTTCGTGGTTCCGGTATGGCTGGTTAACCACCTTCGGGAAAATACGATCCTGTTGGCGATGCTGTGATTATTTTAATCCTTCCTTCTTATTCTTTTTCTTTTTTGATCCTGCAAGTGTACTCAGAGCGACAATTTTAACAGGCTGTGAGAGTACTTAATACCCAACGTAAAATCTTGAAAAACAGGAACCCTGAAACCCACTAGCTTCCTCCGCCACTTTTCCGGCCTTGGAAAGACTTATTTTAAAAATTCTCTAGGCGTTTTCGCCGCTACCCGAGGGAGGTGTCCAACTCACTGACAAACTTTTTTTGCTAATTGTCAAACTTTCTGTCAGCGCAAGATCAACCTTAGCTTTAAAATCTTAAATTAATCTCTACATTTACCCCCTGCTGGCAAGCGAGTAGACTTACCATTAGGATCAATTGAATAATAATACTTGACATTTATAAAACATTTCTAGTTTTAAAATGGCAGCTCCAAGACCCACGCACAAGTTATTCTGATAGGAAAAAAAAACAAAAACAAAACAGAATGAGTGTACTTTCCATTACGTCACAGCTGTCGGTGTGGTTTATCTAAAACAAATCTGATTACGGATTTTATCACTTCCCAGCTTACCTCCCCCACAACACACACACACACACACACACACACACACACACACACACGTTTCTCACCTCCATAACTTGGTTCATTCTATCTTCTCTGCTTCGTGTGTACCGTACCCTACATCACCTAGGTAACTTTTTAAAGATTTCGCCTCAGGCTGTGTTTCTTTTAAACAGTTTTGAGATATAATTTACATAGCATACAATCTACCAATTTAAATTGTACAATTAAATGGTTTTTAGTGTACTCAAAGAGTTGTGCAGCCATCACCACAATATATCAGTTCTTGTCACCAGTCTGAGCTTTTTATGGGTAGAAACCATCTTACTCATTTTTGTAACCTCAGCACATACTTCAGTGCCAGGCCCATAGGAGGCTCTCAGTAAATGTTTGCTGAATAAATGAATATATGCATACATGAATTAGTGACTCAATTAGAATGGCAAGCCTGCAAAATTAACTTGCTTCAATGAAGCTGCCCACAGGCAGATGAACTGGATCAAAGGCATTTCCCAGATGCTTTATTCATATTTATACATAGTACTCATCTACATGAAAAAATAAGATTTCTAATGTATTGCCTTGTCTTGTTAACACCTAAGCAGTTACTTCAAAGATTCTATAACAATTTGTGACTTATGCAAAAAAATCGAAGAACTTAAATCTATCTTTGTAAACTTTTCCTTCTCTCCCTCGCTCCCTCTCATCCTCCCTTCTTTTCACAAATATATGAGTGCCTGCCATGTGTCAAGCAGTGTACTTGGCTATGCATAAATGAAAAAAACTAATTCAATTTGAGAGTAAGTACCAGAATTGGAGCAAGTTTACCCAGTCAATTTCAGAGAAAAACAAACACTCAGATTAGAGGTGCTGGTCCTTAGACCCTATATCTGTTTCCTTTCCACAGTCCACAGCTGGGGTCAGTTGGCCCCCATCTGTGGACTTTTTTTTCCCCCTCTCAAGACAGGATCTCACTCTGACACCCAAGCTGGAGTGCAGTGACAAGATCATAGCTCATTGCAGCCTTCACCTGCTGGGCTCAAGTGATCCTCATGTCTCAGCCTCCCAAGGGGCTGGGACTACAGGCACACACCACCACACCTGGCTAACTTATTTTTATTTTTCTTTATAGACAGCGGGGAGTGTGGGGTGTCTTTCTTTTTTGCCCAGGCTGGTCTCAAACTCCTGGCTTCAAGCAATCCCAAAGTGCTGGGATTACAGGTGTGAACCAACACGGCAGGCCCCATTTATGGACTTTTTTATGTCTACTGTTCTAACAAGAGAGTTTAAACATCCTATATTGAAACTATTACCATATAGTATGCTTACATACCATATAGTATGCTTATAGTGGTAGCCTAATTAAAGTAATGTCCTGTACAGGTACAGCTTACCTGTTGCCCACTCTGGTCACCAGAACTCGATGGCATTAGGTAGGATCCAGATTCCAGTTTTGTATATAACAATACATAAAGAGATTCCTTAGCCTGAGACTTTATTTTTATTTTTTTGAGACGAAGTCTCACTCTTTCGCCCAGGCTGGGGTGCAGTGGTGTGATCTCGGGCTCACTGCAAGCTCCGCCTCCCAGGTTCACGCCATTCTCCTGCTTCAGCCTCCCGAGTAGCTGGGACTACAGGCGCCCACCACCATGCACGGCTAATTTTTTATATTTTTAGTAGAGACGGGGTTTCACCGTGTTAGCCAGGATGGTCTCAGTCTCCTGACCTCGTGATCCACCCGCCTCGGCCTCCCAGAGTGCCGGGATTACAGGCGTGAGCCACCGCTCCCGGCCTTAGCCTGAGACTTTATAAAAACAACAAAAGGACTTTATAAAAACTACAAAAATCCATACTCTGAAATGGGAACTCCAAGACTGTAAATATTTAGTACATAATGAGTTTCTTCTCACTAAAAAGAGGTAATAGAGCAGGAATATCCAATCTTTTAGACCACACATAAAATACACTAATGATAGCTGATGAACTTAAAAAAAAAATCATCAAAAAATCTCATAATGTTTTAAGAAAGTTTACAAATTTGTGTTGGGCCGCATTCAAAGTCATACTGGGCTGCATGTGGCTGGCAGGCTGTGGGTTGGATAAGCTTGTAATAGAGCATTTTGGTTAAGCAGCTGTGCCCTGGAGCCAAACTGCCTAGGTTTGAATTCCAGTATTATCACTTAGTAGTTGTGTGACCTGGGGCAAATTTATATACCTCTCTGGGCCTTGGTTTCCCTGATATGGGGCTAATAATAAAATAATTTACTGAGGTGCTTACTGAAGTACTTGGCACAGAGTAAGCACTCAAAAAATATTAAGTGTCATTATTAAAGAACCAGTGAGAGCTCTGAACCAGAAAGGCAAAATGAATAAGCTGTTCTAGTACTCCTTCTTCCAATATCTGCTTATTTCTTAACATGATCCATGCTGTTGTTATTCCCACATGTATAAGGATGTCACTTTCTTTATATTAGAACTTTTATATGTATTTGCAGAAGGTCTTTAGACTGTATTATGGACTTAAAATTCACTTTAAAATGCAACTTTTGATTTCTAGGAAGATTTATACTTTCCAGGAGTCTTGGCAAAATGCCAGCTGCCAGCCTGCTTGGCTAATTTCCCTGGGAAAAGCTAATAAATATTTGTCTAGCCCTGTAACTTACTTGATCTGTGTTCTCTGCCTTCTTCAGCCATCTTCCAGTTGAGTTGGAAACTTCTTTGCAAGAAGTGTCACTTCCCTTTGGGGTTCAAGTTGAAAATGGATTCTCGGCCGGGCGTGGTGGCTCACGCCTGTAATCCCAGCATTTGGTAGGCCGAGGCGGGTGGATCACCTGACGTCAGGAGTTCGGGACTAGCCTGACCGACATGGAGAAACCCTGTCTCTACTAAAAAAATACAAAATTAGCCAGGCGTGGTGGTGCATGACTGTAATCCCAGCTACATGGGAGGCTGAGGCAGGAGAATCGCTTGAACCCAGGGGGCAGAGGTTGCCGTGAGCCAAGATCGCGCCATTGCACTCCAGCCTGGGCAACAAGAGTGAAACTCCATCTCAAAATAAAAAGAAAAAAGAAAATGGATTCTCTTATTAGACAAAAATAAGGAACTCCAAGACATTTCCTATTTCAGTAATGTGCATCAGAATCACTCAGAAGGCTTGTTAAACTCAGGTTGCTGGGCCCCACCCCCAGAGCTTCTGATCCAGTAGGTCTGAGATGGGGCCTGTGAGTATAATAAATTCTCAGGAGATACTGATTTACTGGCCCAGTGACCGTACTTTCAAAACTACTCCCTATGTAATACCATGAAATATTTGCATTTATACCCAATGTTAACTTGGGGAGGAGCTGTTGTTTTGTTTAAAATTTTTATGGTCAATATAATATAGACTATAAACGTTCCTCATGGGATATGTCTCCAGAACCAGAATCTACCCAGTCTTATTTTCTTCCTCTCTACATACAAACTGCTATTCTATGCCTGGGTTTCAACTCCAAACTGTCCACCTGCCAGCTGAGAAAATTTCCAATGCCTGTCTGTCTGCCTATCTGGGTCTTAAGTATTACCAACTCCTAGATTCCCTTTCCCCCTTGTGCTTACTTCGGAATCAGATCTTTTTTTCCCATGAAGAAATGTCTATCTAGGAAAATGTTTTTTTAGTCACAAGGCTGAAAGTTCAGTAAGTGGCAGACTGGAACTCATTTTGTCTTGTCCCCCACACGTGACAGTTTTTATGTCCAAAAGCCCCCAGGAGATTTGTTTAATAGTAGATTGATTTAGGAGATTTAGAACTGTCCAGTGGTGTGTTGGTAAAAGTTTAACAACTGGTTCTCCAGTATAAAAGAAATGAATTTGTACCATTTGTCAATTTCCATGGTGTAAATACTCCCACAAGTAGGTGACTTCAAGCCACCAAACATAAAATCAACCAACTCAAAATTTCTGACAATTTATCAATTGGTTCTTGCATAGCTACAACATACTACTAGAAGATTTCAAGTGCAAGTCTTCAGTAATTTTTAGGAGGCCTAAACCAAACCAATTCATCCTAGAGCCATAATTAAACTTTAATGTGAATTCAAATCACCTGGAAATCTTATTAAAATGTAGATTCTGATTTGGTAGGCCTAGGATGGGGCTTGAGATTCTGATTTCTTTTTTTTCTTTTTTTGAGACGAAGTCTCTCTCTTGTCCCCCAGGCTGGAGTGCAGTGGCGTGATCTTGGCTCACTGTAACCTCCACCTCCCGGGTTCAAGTGATTCTCCTGCCTCAGCCGCCCAAGGAGCTGGGATTACAGGCGCCTGCCACTACGCCCGGCTAATTTTTGTATTGTTAGTAGAGATGGGGTTTCACAATGTTGGCCAGGCTGGTCTCGAACTCCTGACCTCAGGCAATCCACCCGCCTCGGCCTCCCAAAGTGCTGGGATTACAGGCATGAGCCACCACGCCCGGCCTCTGATTTCTAACAGGCTCCTAACAGTGATGTTGATGCTGCTGGTTCGCAGACCACCCTTTGAGTAGCAAGGTCCTAGAGCATATTTGAGAGCAAAACTCACATACCTATCATTAATCCCAAACCAGAACCTTTTAAATAGGCTCCTTCTAATACAGGGAATAGAATAAGTTTAAGTAGATTCACAAATTTCTGGGAGTAAACTCCATTGCCTCCATCTTTCAGCGTCTTTCAATAGAGATACTAAAAATACCATTAGCTTCCTGCCCCACCCACATCTGCTTCTGGTAGAAACTGCCTCCTCTCACATAAATAAAATTCCCCAGCCCAGGATATTTGGATCAGTGGAAGCCATCTGACCCAAGGAAAGCCCACCCATACATGGCCAGTGACCTGCCTTGAAAAGAAAAACTAGATCAATTATTCCTCTCACAAAACCAAAGTTGGGAAAATGAAAGACTGAAACACTCAGGTGGGAAAATTCAAGCTCCAGGGTCATAGAATAAATTCCATGCTAGAACGGCCTTGAAAGGCAATCTGAAACTATTAGGGAACAGAAATGACGAGTGAGTGAAGTTACAGGAAGCCAGTGAGTTGCAATAATATAAGGGAATAAGGATGGCAAGAAAAGCAGAGATACCGCAAGAAAGAAAGAAATCAAGCAGCCTATGAGAGAAAGATAGCAAATGCTGCCTCAGTTCCTGTTAAAGTTTCCAACAAGCCTGCTGTATCTCTATCCCTTTCCCTGCATTCTTGTGAGATCCCTATCTACCATATATATGTCTACAATATCCCTGTTTTCTTGAGCTAGCACCAGTGAATTTCTATATCTTCTTTAAAAAAAACTAATTAAAACTGTGGGACTCTAGTTATTCTGATTTTAATGCTGTATTGGCAGCTCTATTCCAGAATTAGTGGCAAAACCTTAATCATGGAATCTCAGAGTTTGAAAAGCTTTTGGAAGTCTTCATCTACCTACCTCCCTATAATTCTCTGTTTAAATTTCTGGTGATACAGTCTGGAATATTCTGTAAGGTAGTTCATTCCATTTGGGGGCAACTCTAATTGTTAAAAAGTTGTTATATGTATTGAAAGCTTAAATAGTCCTTGTAACCTGGACTAAATGAACCATTCACGTCAATTCCATTTCCACATGGCAACTTTTCTGGTGTTTGAGAATAGCTATCATGTCTCCCTTTAAGTCTTCTCCTCACTTGGCTGAATATGTCCCTATTTTTAACCACTCACAGTTCCTCCCTTTCATGGTGTGGTGATGAGAACCTCTCATCTTACTAGGAGATTTATGAAGGATATACTCTAGATGCCTATGTCTCTCTTAAAATGTAATCCCACAGCTGAACAAAACACTCCAGAGGAGAAAAGAACACTGGGTTCTGGAAAAATTAATGCAACCTAAAATTGTATTAACTTCTTTGGCAGTTCTAATGGCTTCACTTACTACTTTGTAATTCCCTTGCTTGTCCTCAATATTTTATGACAAAAAGTGTACCACGAATATCCTACATTTTGAACTAAACCAAAAGCTAAGGTTCTTTTTGATGAACTTTTTGCTTTAAGATTTCTAAATTCTAAAAAACAGCACTGTCCAATATAAATATAATGCAAGCCACACATGTACTTTTTAATTTTCTAGTAGCTATATTAAAATGGAACAAGTAAAATTAATTATAGTAATTTAACTCAGTATGTTTAACTATAATTGATATAAAAATTATTAAAATATTTTACATTCTTTTTTATATTAAGTATTTAAATTTGATGTGTATTCTACACTTGGAGCACATCAAAGTTAGGACTAACTACATTTCAAAAGCTCAGTAGCCACATATGGCTACCACATTGGACAGCACAATTTTAGAATAATAATAGCTAATGCTTATTGAACACTTACTGTGTGCCAGGGCTTTATTATTTTAACTATTTAAATCTTCACATCAAACCTATGAGATAGGTACTATAATTATTCACAGTTTACAGATGAAAGAACAGAGTCAGGCCTGGTGCAGTGGCTCAGGCCTGTAATCCCAGCACTTTGGGAGGCTGAGACGGGTGGATCACCTGAGGTTGGGAGTTCGAGACCAGCCTGGCCAACATGGAGAAACCCCATCTCTACTTAAAATACAAAATTAGCCAGGCGTGGTGGTGCATGCCTGTAATCCCAGCTACTTGGGAGGCTGAGGCAGGAGAATTGCTTGAACCCGGGAGGCGGAGGTTGCAGTGAGCCAAGATCGTGCCATTGTACTCCAGCCTGGGCAACAAGAGTGAAACTCTGTCTCAAAAAAAATAATAATAAAATAAAGAAAGAAAGAACAGAGTCATGGAGAAGTTAAGTAACTTACCCAGTTAGTAAGTAGTTGGTTGGGATCTGAACCCAGGATGCCTGCCTACAGAGTCTGGGATCTTAACAGCTATTTTACATGTATCACACACATATTGCATGCTGGACACGGTGCTAGTAACTTTGTGTATGGTATTGTGCTTAATCCCCATTTCATGGATGAAAAATCTGAGGCCCTAAGAAATTAGTGACCTGCCAAAGTCCACAAGCTAGTGTTAGATTCTGACACCAAAGCCAATGCATCTGACCACCACACCCTCTTCCTGCTTCACTGCTACCCAGAAACTCTGGTATTTCCACATATATTCAGCCGTGACTCAATATTTCGGTGCTGATGTATTAAATTAGAGAATGGCCAGATAACATCAGAGTGTATAGGAGAAAGTAAGTAACATGTAAGTACATTACACTATTTTTTGATCGTCAAAGCCACGCATATAAATCACAAGTGCCAACAAAACACTAGAGTTATTTTTTTTTATTTCTAATGCATGAGGAGGTAAAACTTGTTTGAAACATTTATCTAAAATATGGATAGACATATTTTTAAAACTTTGTAGACCTGAGAAAAGTAACAATACTGACAAAGCAATTCTCACGAGGACATCTTATTTTTGTAGAGAGTGTGCGTAACTCACAAGAGGAGGCAGTAAGCAATTGAAAGGATATGACACTCTTCCTCCCTTATGTACTGTGTGGCTTTATTGTTTTGTTCACTTCGAAGTGAACTTGACATTTTGTTTTTACTCTCCTTTCAGGTCCTGTCTTTCTTTTAGATTAGGTCAAACTGAGCCTGAGTTCCTTGCCAAGTTCCAGCCTCAGGGTTTTTTTCTCTATCTCTAGGTATCTCTTTTCTACTGCTTCAGGAAATGAGCCCAGGGTTTTCAGAGAAACTTGGGAATTATTTCTTAGTCATTTTTATCTGGACAATATTGAGTTCAAATACTCCAATATTCGCCTGTGCACAGTAGCACTGCATCTTGCCTAAACTATTTTATTCCATCTACTGATGTTTCTGTTGTTCCTTCCAGGTTAGCATTTTTCTTCTTCTTGTAGTTATTAAGTGGTAGATGTAGGGTAGTAGTGGTCTTGGAGGAAATAAGGTAAGGTAGGATGGGAGGGGAATGGAGAGAAAAGAGACTCAGAGTAGAGGGGCCTTTAATAATCAGGAGGCCAGAGGTTCTGGTCAGGCTTTCTTGGCATGGTCAACCCCAGCAAGTTATGTGCCTCAGTTTCTCTATCTGAAAATAGGGGTGACAGTATTTTTATGGCACACAATTCTCCATTGCTGTTCCCCAGCTTCAATGACATCTTGACAATTTATTCTAAACAACTGTGGATAATTGTTAAGGGTTAATATTTAATAGAAAATAAAAGCTGCTTTTCTGGCTCCTCTGGGAGAAATGAAAGAGCTCTAGGCCTTAGCAAACAAACAAACAAAAACAAAACAAAACAAAACAGATCAAAGAACTACACAGGGGTCCAAGGTGAGGAAGAAAAGTAATTAGCATCCTGAGCCATTAGGAAAAATAGATTGTATTTAGAGAATAAAAAACAACAAAAAAAAAGATTTCTCCAAAGGTCAAAGGAAAAAAATATCAACTGGGCATAGGTATATGAGTAAAAGAGTAAATAAAATATCTTTAAACTGTAATAATCTAGGCTCTAAAATATGTGCTGGTAACTTCCTATCTTTTCTTAGTTCGTACCATCATAAATGGTATATGACATGTAATTCTTCATGAAAACACAAGAATGCATCGCTCTTCTGAACCTACCCAGAGGGAAAGCTACAGAAGGCTAGGGAGAGTAAGATGCCCAAGTTCTCAAAGCTCTGCTATAGGAAGAGGCCAGACGCCTTCCGTGGTTTACGGTGAGGGTGGGGAGTTTTGTAGCATTACCACAACTCACCATGTATACTGCACACTGAAAGGATTCAGGAAGTAGCAACTGTATAATAGGAGGGCTTCATTAAATGCAAGCGGTGTGCACCCTGAGATTCACATACAAGCTGGACATACAGAGAATGTCCTGACTTCTTCAGGGGGTCTTTGCGTGGCTCTGAGGAGTGGTTCATCCTAAGGACAGTGAGAATGTTTGAAGGGCACAGGACCAGTATGAAAGGGAAGGCAATTCTGTGAGTGTTCCAATAACACTGTGTCTCCCTTTGTTCCTTGTGGCCTAGGTGCAGTTGTAGCTCCCACGCTTGCCTGTCCACATTTATTTCAATCCCTTATTGGTGCCCTTAACCCTGCCCACACCTCAGTAAATAGTACCCCTTTTAAACTCTCTTCAGTTAAATTATTTGAGTTTACCACCTGTTTCCTGCTCTGTCTCTGGCTATTACAGACACCTAGTCAATATATTGCTAAATCAGATTTTAACTGAAGAGGTGGGATAAACAAAGATAATTACTTACATTGGCCAAAAAAAAAAAAAAAGTTAACACTATGCTAATAATAACAATTTCCAAATTCCAAAGGAAATGCAGGCAAGAAGTCAAACCATTTTCAGCACGTCCTCTTATGGTTAATTTTAGTTCTTAAATCTATGCCGAGGTCTGTGTCTTACAATAAGAATACTACCTTCAACTTACTCACAATGTGCAATGCTACGGCAGTCTTTGCCAAAATCTTTTTCTCTACATAGAAAGAATGGCCTTACCCTATGATTTACACCGCTTCCAACACAGTACATATTCAATATCTAGAGTTGTTCAGTCAAGACGAATGCCTTGGGAACTCCCAACAAGACAGTTCTTTATGTTCATTAGCATTCTCCAAGACCCACAGAACAATCCCAGAGGACCATAGACACTACAGTCTGATACTCTTTAACTTTTCCCTCTAGTGTGAGTTGCAGAAAATGCCTCTTTGTTATTTCAGTTGTCTAGTGGATAACTATTAGATTGTACACACACACACACACACACACACACACACACACACACACACACAATCTCCTAAGGAAAAATATGAATTCTCAGAGACAGTTACTTAACAATACTTTGTTAATACAGTATTGGCCTACAAATATTTTTTAATGGAGCTGATGATTAACCTTAAGATCTAGATTTCTGTCTTATTTTGAAAATAGTCAGATTAAGCCATATTTCTACATAGCTATGATCCACTGGAGCTGAATAGACATTGCAATTTTTAGATGGGCGATCAACTTCCCAGATACACAGTCCTCATCACACTGCATTGCCTCTCTAGGCATTTTACTCATTCACAATATCTGCCTAGACTCTGCAGACACTTGAGTTTGCAGAGTCCCACTCCTTTTTAAATTATGTTCAGTAAGAAATAGATCTACAGTTGAAGAATAAACCTCTTAATAGTTGCTCTATTAGCCAAAAACACCAGGCCAAACCTTTGAAATTACCACTTGTAAGGGTTTGACTAAATTCTTAGGTAAAGATCCATTTGTCAGCTGGGCGCTGTGGCTCACACCTGTAATCCCAGCACTTTGGGAGGCCGAGGCGGGCAGAGCACGAGGTCAGGAGATCGAGACCATCCTGTCTAACATGGTGAAACCCTGTCTCTACTAAAAATATAAAAAATGAGCTGGGCGTGCGGGCGCCTGTAGTCCCAGCTACTCGGGAGGCTGAGGCAGGAGAATGGCGTGAACCTGGGAGGCGGAGCTTGCAGTGAGCCGAGATCGTGCCACTGCACTCCAGCCTGGGCAACGGAGTGAGACTCCGTCTCAAAATAAAAAAAGAAAAAAAGATCCATTTGTCTTTCATATTTTAAGCAATTCATGTAAGTTTTTTTTCCATCTGAACCTTGTATGTTTAATAATTGTTTTTGCTCCTTTTTGTCACTGGTGGTGTGTTTTATGTTCAGATGGTGTCTTTTTCTATTTTATATACATTCATTTGAATACATTAGAAACCCTTAGTCAAACTGGGTTAGGTAAACTAGCTCTCAGTAAATTAGTCTGATCCTACTTAATTCATGATTTTTAATTGAATTAATTAGTGAAAGTTTTCCCATTTGAACCTTGTGGTGTTTTGTCCAGTTTTAGCTTTATATGCTACAGAATATAATATAGTCATAGTTCAGACATTTCTTGTCCCTAGTCTAGAATTCTTGTTTGAAGTCTGTCTACTACCATTCCAACCCATTATTTAAACTTGATTGCCTACATTTGGAAATATAACGGAACACTGTATTTAATTTATTAAATTGATATTGTACTGAAATTGTAATTTTCCAAATGGAATCTCCATTGCCTAAAAAATCTTATTTAGAAAATTCAGAAACTTTTAAGACATTGCTCATTCAGCCAGGTGTGGTGGCTCATGCCTGTAATCCCAGTACTTTGAGAAGCTGAGGCAGGCAGATCACAAGGTCAGGAGTTCAAGACCAGCCTGGCTAATATGGTGAAACTCCATCTCTACTAAAAATACAAAAATTAGCCAGGTTGGTGGCACGCGCCTGCAGTCCCAGCTACTCGGGAGGCTGAGGCAGAAGAATTGCTTGAACTTGGGTGGCGGAGTTTGCAGTGAGCCGAGAGCGTGCCACTGCATTCCAGCCTGAGCGACAGAGCCAGACTCCATCTCAAAAAACAAACAAACAAAAAAGGCAGTACTCACTCAAACTTAGCCATGTTATAGTCACTACTGATTTAAAAATGATAAAGAAAAACATGGTTTTATTGCAATTGTAGTATGCACCCTATTAATCAACTTTGATGTAATCAATTTGTCACAGGCATTTGAACCAGAGCAATCCCAACTCTATATTTATTTATTTATTTAGAGAGGGAGTCTTGCTCCATCTCCCAGGCTGGAGTGCAGTGGAGTGATCTCAGGTCACTGCAACCTCCACCTCCTGGGTTCAAGCAATTCTCCTGCCTCAGCCTCCCCAGTAGCTGGGATTACAGGCACATGCCACCACACCCAGCTGTTTTTGTATTTTCAGTAGAGACGGGGTTTCACCTTGTTGGTCAGGCTGGTCTTGAACTCCTGACCTCAGGTGATCCACCTGCCTCGGCCTCCCAAAGTGTTGGGATTACAGTTGAGAGCCACCGTACCCGGCTATTTACTGAGACAGAGTTTCGCTCTGTCCCCCAGGATGGAGTGCAGTAGCCATCTCGGCTCACTGCAACTTCTGCCTCCCGAGTTCAAGCAAGTTTCCTGCCTCAGCCTCCGGAGTAGCTGGGATTACAGGCATGTGCCACCATGCCTGGCTAATTTTTGTATTTTTAGTAGAGATGGGTTTTCACTATGTTGGTCAAGCTGGTCTTGAACTCCTGACCGCAAGTGATTCACCTGTGTTGGCCTCCCAAAGTGTGGAGATTACAGACGTGAGCCACTGCGCAGGGCCGCAACTCCATCTTTAATAGGGCATGAGTAAAATAAGGCTAAGACCTACTAGGCTGTATTCCCAGTTGGTTAGGCATTCTTCCTTACAGGCTGAGATAGGAGGTCCACGTAAGATACAGGTCATAAAACCCTGCTGATAAAACAGGATGCAGCTGCTGGGCATGATGGCTCATGCCTGTAATCCCAGCACTTTGAGAGGCTGAAGCAGGTGGATCACTTGAGCTCAGGAGATGAGACCAGCCTGCCCAACATGGCAAAACTCTGTCTCTACCAAAAAATACAAAAATTAGCCAGGCGTGGTGGCACGTGCCTCTAATCCCAGCTACTCAGGAGGCTGAGGTGGCAGAATCGCTTGAACCCAGGAAGGGGCGGTTGCGGTGAGCCGAGATCGTGCCATTGCACTCAAGCCTGGGTGACAGGGTGAGACCTTGTCTCAAAAAAAAAAAAAAAAGACCAACCTGACCAACATGGCAAAACCCCGTCCTAATCTCAAAAAAAAAAAAAAAAATTAGCACAGTCTGCTGGTGTGGCCCTGCAGTCCCAGCTTCTTGGGGGGCTGAGGCAGGAGGATTGCTTGAACTCAGGCAGTTGAGGCTGCAGTGAGCCAAGACTGTGCCATTGTACTCCAGCCTGGGTGACAATGAGACCTGGTCTCAAACAAAACAAAACAGGATGCTGTAAAGAAGCTGGGCACGGTGGCTCATGCCTGTAATCCCAGCACTTTGGGAGGCTGGGGGCTGGGGAGGGGGTTGGATCACCTGAGGTCAGGAGTTGGAGACCAGCCTGGCCAGCATGGTGAAACCCTATCTCTACTAAAAATACAAAAAATTAGCCGGGTGTGGGCGTGGTGGTGAGTGCCTGTAATCCCAGCTACTCAGGAGGCTGAGGCAGGAGAATTGCTTGAACCCAGGAGGCAGCGGTTACAGTGAGTGGAGATGGCACCACTGCACTCCAGCCTGGGTGACAGAGTGAGACTCCGTCTCAAAAAAAAAAAAAAGCCAGCCAAAACCCACCAAAACGAAGATGGCAATAAAAGTGACCTATGGTAGTGCTCACTCCTCATTATAAGCAAATTATAATGTATTAGCATGCTAAAAGACACTCCCACCAGTGCCATGACAGTTTACAAATGCTGTGGCAATGTCTGGAAGTTACACTATGTAGTCTATAAAGGGGAAGAAACCTCAGGTCTGGGAAATATCCGCCCCTTTCCTGGAAAACTCATGAATAATCCAACCATTGTTTCGCATATAATCAAGAAATAACTGTAAGTTTACTCAATTGGGCAGTCCATGCCACTGTTCTATGGAGTAGCCATTTTCTTTTCTTTTTTGAGACGGAGTTTCACTCCCATTGCCCAGGCTGGAGTGCAATGGTGCGATCTCGGTTCACCACAACCGTTGCCTCCTAGGTTCGAGCGATTCTCCCGCCTCATCCTCCTGAGTAGCTGGGATTACAGGCATGCCCCACCACGCCCAGCTAATTTTGTATTTTTAGTAGAGACGGGGTTTCTCCATGTTGGCCATGCTGGTCTCTAACTCCCGACCTCAGGTGATCCGCCCGCCTCGGCCTCCCAAAGTGCTGGGATTACAGGCGTGAGCAACTGTGCCCGGCCCAGTAGCCATTCTTAACTTTCTTTACTTCTCTAATAAACTTGTTTTCACTTTACTCTATAGACTCGCCCTGCATTCTTTCTTGTGTGAGGTCCAAGAACCCTCCCTTGGGGTCTGGATCGGGATCCCTTTCTAGTAACAAACTAACCAAATTCACTGACCCTTTCCAGTGCCTTTGTACAATCTTAATAGGTCCGTGGCCAGTGCACAAGGCAACTCAATATGCCGAGACACTGGGTTGCAGCAGAGAAAGTGGTTTAAGTGTAAGGCCACCAAATAAAGAAACAGGAGGTGACCTGAAAGCCATCTCACTGAAAAGTTTGGGGCTAGGGATTTTAACGGTTTTGGAGTGGGCCGAAGTATGGAGATCATTGATTGGTTAAAGAGTGCAGGGTGAAGTCACAGGACAGGGAAATGAAGAAGCTGTATTCTCATGCTGATTCCATTCCTCTGTGAGGGTCTTCAAACTGGTTGGCGTCAGCTGTTTCTCTGGAATTCGGGATCTGAAAAACATCTTAAGAAATCCTTAAGCAAAAGCAGTATAATTCTAATGCCAGAGATGCTATCTGCAGGAACAATGGGGATGCAAATGATCAGTATCTAGTGACTTTGAGCAACAAGGAAGTGGGTTAATGTGCAGCCCGATTAATACTTAAATATAACTATATTTCTGTCCAGAACCGACATGCAATTCTTGTCAACCCTGAGGGGAAATTTCATTTCAATAAACATACTGATACACAGTACCCTGAAAATTCATCTAGTAATCTGTTCTCCAGTCTACCCACCATTTCTCCCACTAGTAGAGTTTTATACTTAAGAGTTCGGCTGGGTGTGGTGGCTCATGCCTGTAATCTCAGCACTTAAGGAGGCCGAGGCAGGCAGATCACTTGAGCCCAGCCTGGGCAACATGATGAGACCTTGTCTCTACTAAAAATACAAAAAATTAACTGGGTGTGGTGGCGTGTGCCTGTAGTCCCAGCTACTGGGGAGGCTGAAGTGGGAGAATCACCTGTGCCTGGGAAGTAGAGGCTGTAGAGAGCCAAGATCATGCCACTGCACTCTAACCTGGGCAACCAGAGGGAGAACCTGTCTCAAAATAAATAAATAGAATAAAAATGAAAAAGTCCATTATTTTAAAAATCTGTTTATGCTTCCTGATGAAATGTGTATACAAGAAAGAAAAAGTATTTTTTGAATGTGAAGTTTTTTTTAATGTGAAAACTAATGTGAATGCTTTGAAAAGACTTGATAAAGGCAAAGTGCCAAAAAACGCTGCTGCCAAATTTGGGGTAACAAGACAACTATAAAAATATGGAAAAAGGGGTCATGTATGGTGGCTCACACCTGTAATCCTAGCATTTTGGAAGACCAAAGTGTGAGGATCTTTTGAGGCCAGGAGTTTGAGACCTACCTGGACAATGTAGTAAGATCCTGTCTCTACAAAAAAAAATTAGGTCAGGGGCAGTGGCTCACTAACCTGTAATCTCAGCACTTTCAGAGGCCGAAGCAGGTAGATCACCTTAGGTCAGGAATTCAAGACCACCCTGGCTAACATGGTGAAACCCTATTTCTACTAAAAATACAAAAACTAGCAGGGCATGGCAGTGCATGCCTGTAATCCCAGCTACTCGGGAGGCAGAGGCAGGAGAATCGCTTGAACCTGGCTGGTGGAGATTGTAGTGAACTGAGATCATGCCACTGCACTCCAGCCTGGGTGACAGAGCGAGACTCTGTCTCAAAACAAACAAACAAACAAAAAAATTAAAAATTAGATTGGGCACAGTGGCTCATGCCTATAATCCCGGCATTTTGGAAGAGGAGGCAGGAGGATCACTTGAGCCCAAGAATTCAAGACCAGTCTAGGTAACATACTGAGACCCCATCTCTGCCAAAAAACAATTTAAAAAAATTTACCTGGTCATGGTCCCAGCTACTAAGGAGGCTGAGGCAGGCGAATTGCTTGAGCCTGGGAGATGAAGGCTCCAGTGAGCCATAATCATACCACTGCACTCCAGCCTTGGTGACAGAGTGAGACCCTGTCGTAAAAATAAATAAACAAATGAATAAATAAGTAATAGCCCAGTGTGGTGGCATGTGTCTGTAGTCCTAGCTACTTGGGTAGCTGAGGGGGAGGATTGCTTGAGCCCAGGAATTGCAGGTTATGGTGAGCTGCATGCCAGCCTGGGCAACAGTATGAGACTGTCTCTAAAAATAGATACATAAATATAAAGTATATGGAAAAAAGAACAAATATCTATAAAGATTCTTCCTTCAGACTGCCCCACATGTCCTTACTCCGCTTTTAATGCAAATACTTCTATTGCCCTTATTATGTGCCAGACGAATATCTGAAGTACTTAGCCTACTCATTTTATTATCTTATGAGGTAGATACTATAACTATTCTCATTTTACAGATGAGGAAATTAAAGCTCAGTGAGGTTAGGTAATAGCCTCCAGATAATTATGTGGTAGAGCCCCATTTTAAACCTGAGAAATCTGAATTCTAGCTGAAAACACTGGATACCATAGGCAATGCATTATGGTTGTGTTGTATGAAAAAAACAAAAAGACAATTCAGAACACCAATCAGCAGACCCATATTCAAAGAAGGGTTAGGCAAATGAACAAGTTTTATACATTTTAAGTGAAAAGAATGTTTAAGTTATGTAGTTGTCGTTTTATATGACTAACCACTGATTCTGAGTTAAATAAAGAGCTTTCCTCTATTCAAGAGAAGTACAATACTGAGTCATAGAAAAGAGTGTTTTCTCATGAGAGGAAGGATGCAATTTAACATTAAAAACAGAAGAATAGTGTTTTCAACAAATGGTGCCAGGCCAATTGACCATCTATATGCACAAAAATGAACCTTGACACACACTTCACATCTTACACAAAATTAATTCAAAATGAATTGTAGACCTAAATGTAAAACACAGAACTGTAAAACTTCTAGAAGAAAACATGGAAGAAAATCTAGGTGACCTTGGGTTTGGCAATGAGATTTTAGATATAACACCAAAGTCATGAAACCTACAAAAGAAAAAATGGATAAACTGGACTTTATTAAAGTAAAAAAAAAATGCTCTATGTAAAGAGAATGAGAAGACAAGCCACCTCTTGGGGGAAAACATTGGCAAGCCAAATACCCTATAAGAGACTTGTATTCAGAATATGTAAACAACTCCACTATTGTTAATAATACTAAAATGAGTATTTTTGCACATAAAATTTTGCTAGGTTTTTGACCATTAAAAAAACAAGACAGGCCAGGTGTGGTGGCTCGCACCTGTAATCCTAGGACTTTGGGAGGCCAAGGTAGGAAGATGGCTTGAGTCCAGGAGTTTGAGACGAACTTGGGCAACATGGCGAAACCTCGTCTCTACAAAAAATATGAAAATTAGCTAAGCATGGTAACGCACATTGTAGTCCTAGCTACTTGGGAGGCTGAGGTGGGAGGATCACCTGAGCCCAGGAGATTGAGGCTGCAGTGAGCTGTGATCGAACCACTGCACTCCAGCTTGGCGACAAAGTAAGACCCTGTCTCAACAAACAAAACAGGATTTGGAAACTAAAGAAAATAATAATGAACTCTTATATGGTATTTACTATATGCCTGAAACTGCTCTAGGAACTTCACATATATATTCATTTTATCCTATGATAATGCTATGAGGTGAGTACTATTATATTATGTCCATTTTACAGATAAGGAGATTGAGGCATAGATGATTTAAAAAAAAAAAAAAAACTTTCCCAAAATCACAACACTAGCAAGCAAAGGAGGTGGCATTTAAACATGTTTTGGCTCCAGTCCATACTGTGAACTATTATATTATACTGTTAATGACATCAACAGGCATTTTTGAAATATCTACTTTGCAACAAAAGATATTGTATAAGACATAACAATAAAAATAAGAGTAGTTTGCCCACAAAAACTCACAGTTATGGGAGAAGCCTATAGCTAACTCACTATGGGAACAAAGAAGACAAAATGACCTAGCCCAGATCAGGAGAATCTCAGGTTTCAAATGAGAGTTGAGATTTCATTAGTGGCGTATGGAAGGTGTAGGTGTGAAAACTGATAAGGACGTAAAAAACACTCAAAGGAGACTGCATTTTAGGTAAATTGGTCATTAACAGCAGGACCATTAAGTAAATAAGCTTTGGACAAATTGACTTCAGGGTGGTTTATATTGTAGTTAACCAATTTTAGGCAACTTTTTGTTTTGTTTGTTCAGATGGAAGCCTTATTGAGCACCTACTATGAAAACAAGTGAGAGTCTGAGGATATTGAGATGAATATAAGTCCTCTCTGCCCTAGAGCTGTGAGTCAGAATCACTGAAAGGGCCTGTTAAAAGAAACATATTAATAGACCCACTCCTAGACTTTCTAATTCAGTAGGTCTGAGGTGTGATCAGAGAATTTCTAGTTCTAACAAGTTCCCAGGTGACTGATGCTGCCTGTAAGGAACCACACTTAGAGAACCACTGCCCTAGTGGAATCAAAAGTTAGTGGAAAGGAAGTTGGTATTTGGGAGGCCTTCACAGCTGAGTTTGTAATGGAAAGAATTTGTAATGGAAGGCCAAGGGGGAAGGGGATTCCGGGTGAAGGTTAACATTTACAAAAGCAGGGACTGTCTAAGAGAGTTCTGGAAAAGCAAGTGTTTTTGGATGTTTGAAAACCGAAGAGGATTCGTGGGAGACCCAGCAGGAAAAGCAGCCCTTGCCTGCTAGGCTAAGGACCTTGACTTATCACAGCAGTCCTTGGGGATTGAAGGATTTTAATCAAAACAAGGGAGAAACAATAATAGTTTCACTACAATGCTCGTTTGACACCCATAAAAGTTAGTGATACCTGCTGCGTTCTTTAAAAGAAGAGAAAACTAGAACTTTATAGTACAACAATACTGAAAGCAATTATTTCTAAATTATCTTTTCCCAGACAAAAGTGTGTAAGTAGGCTGCATCTTTGGTACAGAGGGACTTCTATTAGACATTTTATATTAGAAACTCAAGACAAATTTATTTAATTCCATAACAGTATTTAAATAAGAGTACTTCAATTTTTTCTTCATTTCTAGTTGTAACTAACTACCTGGGAAGGGAATATAGTTAATTTGCCTAGGCAGATTTTGACATTTAAAATAATGCATAGGCCCAAGGGGTAGGAATTTTCATTACTTAGGTTTACTTTCAGTAAATCAAATCGCTGGTTTATATAAGGTTATCCAGCAGAATTTGTTCCATATTAAGAATCAAAAGAACATTGTAAATGATTATTAATAACACCTCAAATATATTTAAATTTTAGTAGAGAATTAAAGCCAGCACAATAATTATGTACATTATCAGTGATTACACTGAGACATAATGCTGGTAAATGCTTGGGCACAAATAATCATATAAAGCTAAGAACAAGAGTTTGGAATTAAAAAAAAAATCCAGAAATAAAGAACATTCATGTTCTAAAAAGAACTATGAAATAACAGGGATTTTGTGTCTATTAGTTAAAAGTTGTAATTCAACACTGATATCAGCCAACCACCTGCACTGGGTGCTTAGACTTAGAAGAGGTACCAAGCACAATCCGCTAAGGATGATTTGTGTTCTAAGAGTTGCGTGCCCAAAGGAAACTTGTAGTTTCCAGAACAGCTTGTAAATGTAGCTGTGAGCACCTAATTCACATGTACAATAGGTGGAAGGAAAAATGCTGTTCAGAACACAAGAGGTAAATATTCAAAGCCAAAAAAAATTCCTAAAAATTCATGTGAACATCCAGTGAATTGGCGGGAGGGGGAGGGAGGGGTGAGGACCAGTGGGGAGACAGGACACTCATTTCTGCATACAAACAGCTTTTCCCCTACAGCAACTAGCTTAATTCTAAAACACTAGAGGAAAAGACTCAATTAAAAAAAGAGAAGGAAAAGAAAGGAAAATAAATTTAGTAAAAGCTGATCTATTTCCAAAAAGTTAATTTTCCCTTTCTTTCTTCAAAGTGTATCTATCAATACCAGTATCTTTTAGTAAAGACCATTCTATCAATTTTAAAATATAAAACTCAAAAAAATACAGTCAAGACATTTCAGTATTTCAGATCCATTTAAACTTTGCTTATAGCCTCTCTCTTTCTCTCACTTTCCCAATGGCTTTTTCTCTCTCAATCTATTTCAGTCTCTCAATCTTCCTTTTTTTCCTCTAAGTCTGTCTCTCTCTTTCCAGGCACAGAATAGGGAGAGATTATTTTTGGCATTGGAGAAGAAATGTAAGTTTGTACATTTAAAGACTGCAAAGCCTCGTTGATGGTAATCATAAAATTTACTATAAATAGGTTGTAAACCAAGATACTCAACCATACCTGTAGTAAGCAGACATTTCTTAACTGGCTTAGTCTTTCATGTCTTCCTGCCAAGCATTTACTAGAACAAATGATCCACTTATTTACTGCCATGGGGGAAAAAAGTATTGCACTGCCACCTCTTTGTTTTGAGGAGACAACAGGGCTCAGGGGGCCAAGAAGCAGTGTGGGGGAGACAGGGTCAATAAATACTAAATCTGTCCTTGCCATTCCTTGCCTTTGGAATCTTAAGCAAAGAACTTAATCATGCATCCATTCATTCATTTAATCATTCCCTTCTAACTCAGATAACAGCACCAGAGGAGTAGTTGTAAGGAATAGTTAATGAAATAATATGAAAGATGTTTGTTAACATAAAATGCTTTATTTAATAAATTCTTTAGAAACTGAAATATCATATGCAACTTATTTGTTAGATTGATTTTTTTTATTATATAAACTAATTCCAGAAAATAAATAGGTAATTTTAAAGACATTGTAAAATCATTTAGGTTACCTCCTTTTAGGTAACAGCAGTAAAAAATCCTGTTTCAGTGACCAAACTAGTATCTTTCTCTCCTAAAAGTTACTGTGGCTTCAGAATAGAAGATGAAGATTTATTTAATGCATTCATTCAACAAACACATATTGATCATCTGCTATGTATCAAGAATATAGTGTACCCTTTGAAAAAAAACTAGGAACTCCAAAATCTGTGGACACAATAATAAAATATTTGTGAAAGGATAGAAGCAAATGAAAATAATTTTCTTCCAAATGCCTATAAATTTATGCCATATTCATAAAATCTACTTTAGAAAATAAAGAATAATTGGCCGGGTGCGGTGGCTCACTCCTGTAATCCCAGCACTTTGGGAAGCCGAGGTAGGCAGATCACAAGGTCAGGAGTTCGAGATCAGGCTGGCCAATATGGTGAAACCCCGTCTCTACTAAAAATACAAAAATTAGCTGGGTGTGGTGGTGGGTGCCTGTAGTCCCAGCTACTCGTGAGGTTGAGGCAGGATAATCACTTGAACCCGGGAGCCGGAGGCTGCAGTGAGCTGAGATCATGCCACTACACTCCAGCCTGGGCAACATAGCGAAACTCCGTCTCAAAAAAAAAAAAAAAAAGTAGAGAATAATTGTTTTTGATCAGTCTGACAATTATACCTATTACCTGAAATGTCCGGATAAGAAGCCTGCTTTCAGTTTTGGATTTTTAATATACCACATTATACTTTTTTTCTTTTCTTTTTTTTTTTTGAAGTGGAATTTCACTCTCGTTGCCCATGCTGGAGTGCAATGGCGCAATCTCGGCTCACCGCAACCTCCGCCTCCTGCCTCAGCCTCCCGAGTAGCTGGGATTACAGGCATGTGCCACCACACCCGGCTAATTTTGTATTTTTAGTAGAGGTGGGGTTTCTCCATGTTGGTCAGGCTGATCTTGAACTCCCGACCTCATCAGGTGATCCGCCCGTCTTGGCCACCCAAAGTGCTGGGATTACAGGCATGAGCCACCACTCCCGGCCAAAATTTTTTAAAAATAAAAGTAATATGAATAATTGCAGAATGTAAAGTAAAAATGGAAGTCTCTTCTGAAATACCCCATAATCCCACTCCC
Organism: Homo sapiens; assembly: GCF_000001405.40. NCBI lineage: Eukaryota > Metazoa > Chordata > Mammalia > Primates > Hominidae > Homo > Homo sapiens. The sequence continues at coordinate 77,840,320 of NC_000004.12, read as the reverse complement.
CAGTAGTAACCACTGTTAACATGTTTATTCATCTACACATTTTTTTCTCTATGCCCTGTTATGTGATCTGAGAAAGTAGAAATTTCCAAAGTACTGGCAAATTTGACAGTCAAACCTCTGCTATAATTGATGAAAGCTTAAAAGAATCTTAAGTTACCCAAAGACTGCCAACAGTATATGCCTCTCCCAGTTGGTCAGTTGTCTGTTGTGCTTCTGTGCCACACTGCTGTATGAGAAGCTGGGTACAGAGTATATCTGTTAATTCCCTCTCTAGTCTTGGTGAGATCCTTAAAAGTAAAAGTTGAAGACTTCAAGGTAACTTCATTGTCAAAGCCTTGTCACCACTCTTCATGGGGCTTTGTGTAATCCTGTTAATAATTCCCAAACTCAGATGTTATGACACTGCGTGTTGGATATTTCCAGCAGGCAAGTGTTTAACATGATCCCTTTCCCAGCCAGTTCTTTCATTCTATTTTGTTTATTTTGATGCTTTGTTGTTGTTGTTGTTGTTTTTGATACAGAGTTTTTCTCACTCTGTTGCCCAGGCTGGAGCGCAGTAGCCTCAAGGCCTTGACCTCCCTGGGCTCAGGTGATCCTCCCACCTCAGCCTCCCGAGTAGGAACCCCAGAACCCCTGGCTGTACTAAAAATACAAAATTAGCCGGGTGTGGTGGCATATGCCTATAATCCCAGCTACTCAGGAGGCTGGGACTACAGGCCTATGCCACCACGACTGACTAATTTTTAAATTTTTTGTAGAGATGGGGTTTTGCCATATTGCCCAGGCTCATCTTAAACTCCTAGGCTCACAAGCGATCTGCCCACCTTGGCCTCCCAAGGTGCTAGGATTACAGGTGTGAGCCACTGTGCCCAGCTCTCTCATTCTACTGATGTCAGAGAGATGCTCATAATTCTGGCCAGACATGCGAGTAAAAAACATGTTAATATTTATTCACTCAATAAGTACTTTTGAACACTTGCTTTATGTCAATGAATATTTAAGAATGAATGCCCTGAGAGGCCATGAAGGCCAAACTTCCCATTTTATCAATAAGAAAATTGAGGCCCAGGAAATGAAGAGACTCTCCCAGAATCGCATAGCTCGCTGACTAAGCAGAGTTAACTAAGGACCTGGGTCTATATTCAGGTTAGGGCTCTATAGCAGGGGAAGAGGCTTCTAGAAAATGTAAGCATCCTAAGGAAATAAACAAAATTTGAAAAAAAAGGACAATGTTTTTAAGATAAATATATAAAATATAGCATGATTAGGTGCTTAACAATCCTTTATGGCTTCCAAGAAATTACTACTGAGAACAGAAAAATAGAAGAACAATGTACAAGAAACATCAAAGGCAGGATTAACAATTTAGCTTCATTTCTGAGTAAAACATGCTATATCCTCCATGTGAACTGCTCATAAGATGTTTTAGATCAGAAGACTTTCCAATAGCCAGAACAAAACCCAGTGCTAAATTCTAGAAGTACATGAAGAGCCTGTTGCATTTATTAATCATCTTGGATCAGGCCCTATTCTGTGAAAGGATGCTGATATATTTCTGTTTGAGGCACTATATTTTATATTTTTATCTTACACTGTTGTAGAAAGAAACTTTTTTGATAGTTGGAGTCTAGTCTTGTGTCAAAGGCATGGGAAAGAAAAGGTTTTTTAAAAATTTGTTTATGGGGCCAGGCACGGTGGCTCATGCCTGTAATCTCAGCACTTTGGGAGGCCGAGGCGGGTGGATCACGAGGTGAGGAGTTCAAGACCAGCCTGGCCAACATGGTGAAACCCCATCTCTACTAAAAATACAAAAATTAGCCAGGCATGGTGGCAGGCGCCTGTAATCCCAGTTACTTGGGAGGCTGAGGCAGGAGAATAGCTTGAACCCGGGAGGTGGAGGTTGCAGTGAGCCGAGATCATGCCACTGTATTCCAGCCTTGGTGACAGAGTGAGACTTCATCTCAAAAAAAAAATTTTTTTTTTTTGTTTATGGCTAGGCGTGATTGTTCATGTCTAATGCACATTAGGAGGCCAAGGTAGGTGGATTGTTTGAGCCCAGGAGTTTGAGACCAGTCTGGGCAACATGATGAAACTTTGTCTCTAGAAAAATTAAAAAAAAAAAAAATTAGCCAGGTGTGATGGTGCGTGCCTGTAGTTCCAGCTACTTGTGAGGATGAGGTGGGAGGATCACTTGAGACCAGGAGGTAGAGGTTGCGGTGAGGCGAGATTGTGCCACTGCACTCCAGCCTGGGTGACAGAGCGAGACCCTATTTAAAAAATATATATATATATAAATTTTTTTTATTGGCTGATTTGCAGTTTACCAATCAATATGGCTTCAGCTAAGTGCATTATGAGACTTAGTCTCATGTAACTTAGACATAAATGAAATTAGGGAAGACTTTTGGAGGTAATGCATTATAGTCTTTTATTTTTACTTCATTTTTACCTTGTCTTTTCCATCTAATCCTTCTACTAGAACACTCTCTGATGATTTATATTCATTTACCTTGAATTCAAGAAATTGTCAAACTGCCGTATGTTGCTACACTGAGACAAATATTCCACAAAACTTTATTTGATTGAAGAGTGAGATAACTGTTATATTCATTTAATAATATAATAGCCCCCTTAACTCTCCAGTATTTTGATATCTGCTGTTAAGTCATTGGCATAGACAATTGGATAAATGCTCACTGTAATAAAGTCTTTGTTTTTTGTTTTTGTTTTTGAGATGGAGCCTCACTCTGTTGTTACCCAGGCTGGAGTGGAGTGGTACAATCTAGGCTCACTGCAACCTCCGCCTCCTGGGTTCAAGCGATTCTCCTGGCTTAGTCTCCTGAGTAGCTGGGACTACAGGCATGCACCGCAACGCCCAGCTAATTTTTGTATTTTTAGTAGAGACAAGGTTTCACTGCGTTGGCCGGGCTGGTCTCGAACACCTGACCTCAGGTGATCCGCCTGCCTCGGCCTCCCAAAGTGCTGGGATTATAGGCGTGAGCCACTGTGCCCAGCCTCAGTCTTTGAAATAGACTCAAAGAGAGTTCTTTGATTCTAGTGCAATTATTTGGATCTACAGAGTCCACTTACTATCTGCATTAGTAGTTGCTAAGATTTGGATTCTTTTTTTTTTTTCTTTCAGAGACAAGGTCTTGCTCTGTTGCCCAGGCTAGAGTACAGTGGCACAATCATGGCTCATTGTAGCCTTTAACTCTTGGGCTCCAGCGATCCTCCTGCCTCAACCTCCCTAGTAGCTGGGATTACAGGCATGAGCCACTGCACCCAGCACTGGTTTGGATTTTATATGCTGAAAAGTTTAGTCCTACTGGATCACCATAGTAATAATCTATACTAATTTTCCATATAAGGGTTTAGTGAAAAGTATTTCTACAATACAAATTGTAGTTCAAATAAGTAAAACTACATTTAAATGTAATTATAAATAGGCTGATGGAATAATGTATAGCATGAGGAAGCAGAAGGATCATATCTTAAAGGGAAGAATGCCTGGATCTGAGACCTAGATCTGCCAAATACAAATAGATCTTGTAAGTTTGGAGATCTCATTGGCCTCTCTGTGATTTCTTAACTGATAAAAATGACAGTTATGATAGGACTTTGATTTCTTCACAACATTATTGTGAAGATCAAATGAGCTGTTGTACATCAAAAAGCTTTTTAAATAGTAAAGTGCTATACAAAATCAGAAATACTGTAATAAAATATTTGTAAAAAAAAGTAATATTTCTTTTCTTTTTTTTTTACAGCTGAAGAGGTATAGAATGGCATTTTTGGGGGGGTCTTAATTCATTTTATTGGATCTTTGCTATACAACTCAGATTTCAGGTAACTATACTTATTGTGTGATCTGATTTTAATGAAACAGTATTGTTTACATTGTCTAGGAGACCGTGTGTAGGCTGGACACAGTGTCTCATGCCTATAATCCCAGCACTTTGGGAGGCTGAGGCAGGAAGATGGCTTGAGCCTAGGAGCTGAATACCAGCCTGAGCAACATGGTGAGACCCCCTCTACTAAAAACAAAACAAAACAAAACAACACAAAAAAACAAAACAAAACAGGCATGGTGGCCTACACCTGTAGTCCCCAGCTACTTAGGAGGCTGAGGTGGGAGAATCTCTTGAGCCCAGGAGGTTGAGGTTATAGTGAGCCATATTTGTGCCGCTGCACTCCAGCCTAGGTAACAGAGTGAGATCTTGTCTCAAAAAATAAACAGTGTGCCTATGTCCACCATTAAGAATTTTAACCAGCTTCTGTAATATGTTATGTGTTCAAGGTTAAAAACAACAACAACAACAACACATTAGGCTCAGACTTTCCACTTTACTAATAAAACATATACATAAATAAATAAATAAAACATATACTAAAACATACACTAGATTTTCTTCTGGGGAAAATCTGGAGAATGTCATTCTACCAAAAGTTAATAACAGTCAACTTGAAGTACAGAAGAACTTGAAGGAAAATGAAAAGAAACCAGACTTGAAAGATAATCAAAGAAAAGTATCTAGGGGAGTCTTTTCTCCAGTCAAGAAGGATGTACTCAAAGCTTTTTAAAACAGAGGAACGAGCTGTTAGAGTAATAAGAATAGTTGATACGAAAGAATATAAGAATGGTGTCAAGGGAGTGAGTCAGGCAAGGAAGATGAAGCACAAATGCACAAGTGTTCTTAAGGGAGAGAGAAACTGAAAAATGTGTACAAAAAGAAAGGCAATAAGGTAGGAAACTTCAGATATCCCTGTGGTTACACACTAAAAAGAGAGTTCTTTATGTCCATATCTATCTCAGCCACTAGACTTTAGCTCCTTAAAGCAAGGTGCCATGTCTTATTCATTCTTACGTATCCGCAGCAGCTAGCTCAGTTCCTTGCTCATGGAAGGTGCTCAATGGATGTTGAGTTGAACATGAATAAAAGTCACCTGGACCGTAGCTTACAGGCTAGCTATAAAACAAAGTGAAAGGAACAAAGCAAAACAAATCTCAATAAATATGTAATGGCTCATTTATTTATTCTACAAATTCTTAGGAAGCACCATGTCCTAGGAAGGCTCTGTGGATAAAGCAATGAATCATATGTGTTAGGATTCTGTTTTTCTTTACAGAAATATAACCCTGATCTTCAAATTTAGCATTATAAGGAGAATTTTCAGATGATCAGGAGACAGACCACTTGGTCCTGCCTATTTTCCCTGGCTTTCCCTTGGTATTGGGATCTTTGAACTGACTGCCCTTAAGACAAACATACTAGGGGCAGGAGGGTTATGGCTAGCCCTTTTGGCATTCTGGCCCATGCATAGACAAATGACCCTCTTCTTACTTCCTGCACTACAACTAAAATAGTTTATTATAGATTAGGGGATTTAAAAAATGGAAACAAACCTGAATAATTGCATGAATTTGGATAACCTGGGTTAAAACTATTTCTTGCTCTCCAAAACTCATGTGCTACCCTGGAAGAGGAAAAAAAAAACAAAAAACAAAAAACAGATCTGATCTGTGCCCTTCCTTCTTAGCTCTCTGTTTGGTACTATGTGATGGATCAGGAGAGCCCTTGTTAATAGCAATTACCTAACAGTACACGTCTAAACGTTCTGAATCCTTGACCTTTGGAGATCAAATCTCATCTCACATCAATTTTGAGCCCACTCACTTAGTAAAATGTTCCTATCTGAGGGCTAGCCTCTTTCCTTGGCAATTGTCAACAAGAAAGACCTAGTCGTTCAGACAAGACTGTACTCTCAGATCTGAGGCTTTACTTTTATGAACCCTTCAGAATAATTGCTTCACAACACAATAAGATGAACATCCCTCCAAAAGATACACACATACAGTGATAGTATAGGTGGAAAAGTTAGTTCCCTACCATGAACGCACTATTCCCTAGTTTCTTCTTTATATATATTTTAAAGACTTAAAAGTTGTTGATTATGTCTACATATCCCACTGAATTCCATATGCATATCACACAGAAAGGCAAAAACATTTATGTACACAGGTCCAAAATTTGAACCCACATGTCAGCTCAAAGTACTCCATGAAGAGAAGGGGTTGTGTATGGAAATGATAGAGAGAGGAAGAGAAGCCACTCTTTTTTGTTTTGTTTTGTTTTTTGAGATGGAGTCTTGCTCTGTCGCTCAGGCTGGAGTGCAATGACGTGATCTCGGCTCACTGCAACCTCCACCTCCCAGGTTCAAGCAATTCTCCTGCCTCAGCCTCCCGAGTAGCTGGGATTACAGGTGCCCACCACCAAGCCCAGCTAATTTTTGTATTTTTAGTAGAGGTGGGGTTTCACCATGTTGGTCAGGCTGGTCTCGAACTCCTGACCTCGTGATCCACCTGCCTTGGCCTCCCAAAGTGCTGGGATTACAGGCATGAGCCACTGCGCCTGGCCAAAGCCATTCTTTTTAAATGTCTGCCATGTGTTGATATAATCTAACAACACTCACAAATATCATCTCCTGGAATCTTCACAAGAACTCTGATTTAGGAACAATTATGCTCATTTTATGGGTGTAGAAAACAAAACACAAACGATCTAAGTGAAGAAGTCTTCATATTTACCTATAATTATTGTGCTAAATTAGACTGAACTCAGCTTCATGAACTCGATGGATTGTGCTAAATTAGACTGCACTCAGCTTCATGAACTCAATGGACAGTTACTGTGAATTTACTATGTGTAAGTATTACGAAGTATCATAGAGTAAACAAAGTGGCATACATTCTCTGACCTCAAATTACTTCCACTCTAGTAATGGAGAAGAAAAACACTCCACTAATGAGGAGATTGTTCATAATCACTGAAATAATATTTTTAGATGACAACAGTGGGAGTGGAAGCAACCATCTAGTAATTTAAAAAGTGAATGGCTGGTGAGGAATAAAAGGCAATGAACAGGTAAGAGTATACTCCCTGGACATGTTGGTTCAAGTTAAACACTCTCAAGTTCCTTTAAAAATGAAATGTGCTCAGTTATATTGAGTCATTCTTTTAGAGACAGCCTTAGGGTAGGGACATTAATTAGAATCAATTGTAGCAGATCCAAATCTAGCACAGATCTCTACTTTAAAAGGGGCTGGGGTGGGGGGTGGGGAGGAAGTGGGGAACAGCCTTATCTGTTTCCAGAAAAAAAAATTGTTCCAGAAAGACAAAAAAGGAAAGCCATTTACAAAGGGAAGCTACATCAGAAGGTAAGAAAAGTATGAATAGAAAGAGAACAGCTGCTTTCAGTAATAAAAACTACATTTGGCAATATATTGTAGTGGCTAAGCACATGGATTTAAACATCAAAAAGACCTGTTTGGATCCATGCTCTCCTGAAGAAAGTTATTTGGCATCTTTGAGCCTCAGGTTTCTCATTTTTCACTCCTATGACAAATCAACACATCTGTGTATCAGTCTGTTCTTGCAGCCATGAGATTCACATTAAAGCTACATGTAGATACAAGATAAAAAATTTGAACCTGTGTACCTACAATTTTTTGCATCATGGGGAAAAATAATAATACTTTATATGGTGGTTATAAAGGTTAAACAGGAAAATGTAAATAAAGTTTCTGGGGCATTGTGAACTCTCAGTAAATTGTCCCTATTGAGATTATTCAGTGAGTTAAGGAGTTGTGCCCTTGAATTTAGTGAATAGTTGGTAATTCACTACTGTCATATTCAACAGAACGCTAGGCAATTTTTAAGATATATTCTACAATAGCGGTTCTTAACTCATGGATAAGGGCATTTTGAGAGTTGGTAGGAGAGGTTTTTGGACATCCCAATCACAGAGGTGGGAGTGAGGAAGTGACATTTGGAATGAGTAGGGATGCTAGCCGTCCTAGACTTCTCAGGAAAGTCCTACATATAGAAGGATGCATTCTACATGATTTTCAAATGTCCCTCTAGACAAAAGGAAAAACCTGTTGATGATGATCTAGAACCAACTCCATTTTACTGATAATAAAAATAGGTTTTTTTTGTTTTTTTTTTTTTTTAGACGGAGTTCCAGTCTTGTTGCTCAGGCTGGAGTGCAATGGCGCAATCTCAGCTCACCGCAACCTCTGCCTCCCGGGTTCAAGTGATTCTCCTGCCTCAGCCTCCCAAGTAGCTGGGATTATAGACACGCACCACCAGGCCTGGCTAATTTTGTATTTTTAGTAGAGACAGGGTTTCTCCATGTTGGTCAGGATGGTCTCCAACTCCCGACCTCAGGTGATCCGCCCGCCTAGGCCTCCCAAAGTGCTGGGATTACAGGCGTGAGCCACTGCACCTGGCCAATATAAAGAGTTTTGAGAGTGTTTGAAATAACCGTAATATGGATTTTCTAGGAATGTAGCTATTATGCACATGGAGAAAACAATGTATGCGCTTTGTTTTGCTTGGAATTTACCAAGCATAGTTCACCATTTTAGAAGAATCATGTCACTCCTTTGACAAATTAACACATCTGTGTATCAGTTGGCTCTTGTAGCCATAAAATTTACATTAAAGCTACATATAGATATAAACATCTAACTTCTTCACTATGCCTTCTAATGTAGTCAAGCCTGATAATTTCATATTATTTCATTATTAATATTTTGCTTTTAATTATCCTAAATATTATAGATAAGGCATTATATTGCTTTTCAAAATAAATTGTTTATGTACGTAAAATATATTATCTATGGATTCCAGATGAGGGTAATAACGAAGGCATTACAAAATATTTGCTATTAAAAGGGAGGGTGGGGTCTGATGGGATTGAGAACTATGCTCTAGGATTATATGTAATGACAAGAAAATATATCAACAGTATTATTTATGATTTGACCCCCACTTTTTTTTTTTCTTTTTTTGAGACAGAGACTCTGTCACTCAGGTTGGAGTACAGTGGCGTGATCTCGGCTCACTGCAACCTCCGCCTCCTGGGGTCAAGCAATTCTCCTGCCTCAGCCTCCCGAGTAGCTGGGATTACAGGCATGTGCCACCATGCTCTGCTAATTTTTATATTTTTAGTAGAGACAGGGTTTTGCCATGTTGCCCAGGCTGGTGTTGAACTCCTGACCTCCAGTGATCCACCCACCTCGGCCTCTCAAAGTGCTGGGATTACAGGCATGAGCCACCGCGCCTGGCTCCATTTTCATAAACAAACAAAACCCACAAGAACTCACTGTTTTTTCCCTCAAAACATTTTACAGAATTAGAGAAATAACAGAGCCAGTAACCCAACTGAAGAGGCCTCTTATGTACACTATAATTCTGTAGCATTTTGATCTCAGGAATAAGATGGGAAATGAAAGGTAAGTTCTCATCCTGGCTTTATTACTTAAGCCACATAATTTAACTTTTATAGGTCTATTTTTTAAATCTGAAAAGCTTGAGACTTAAGCTACATTATCACTATAAAAGATTTCCAGCTTTATGTTTCTATAATTCTAAAGCAAGTTTTCCTGATTGTAGGTTTAGGTAGCGTTTCACAAAGCATGTTCCAAAGAACACTGGTATGATAGGACATTTATGGGTATTAAGTAGAGCTCTATGGTCAATATATTTGAGAAAATACTATTAATCATATTTCTTTAGGTAAGATTTCTTAATTGTTTAAGAGTATCATGAGTTTTTAAGAGAAAAAATGCAGTGTGTAGCATTTCCTACATTTATTTCAGCATAGAATCTCCCCTCTCCACATACCCTAAGAATCTCATGGGAAATTGTGTTCTGCATAGTAGGTGTTGTGACACACTAATTTAAGATGATGTATGGTATTTTAGAAGTTTTTATTTTCAAAGGAGTCAATCTCCATGCTGAATTTTCAGGCATTATAACATGCAATGGTGAAAACAGTTTCATGTAGTGATTTCTCTTAAATCACATCATATGTTGGAATCTTAACTAATCCTTGTTAGTTCTGTTTGGCATAAAGAAGGAACTGAAAAGGTTAACTAGAGAACACAAATTAAAATGTATGATGAGCGTGAGTCATTTTAGAACCAAAGGGTGAAATACAGGCTCTATCTTCACATCAAAAGATTTGCTCTATTTCATAAATTCTGTAAAAAAAAAAAATAAAGTTTGGTTGGCCCATTCAGTTAAAACAGTTAAATCTAAAAGTTGCTTACAAAAAAAAAAAACACAAGTTATAAAAAGAATATACTATTATATATGGAAGATAAATAGGAAGAAGTTAGAAGATTTGAGATGTTAAAAATATTGTTCTTTCCTAGCTATTTTTGGGATTGGAACACCAATATAGAAAAGCTAAATAAAAAAGTAGAATATAATTCTGGAAATAATGCAAATAACGAGATTATTCCTGTTGCAGAAAAGCATAATTCTTTTTACTAATGATTATTTTAAAGGTCAGCTGGTGGAAGTTTACCGAATTTGTTTTGTGTAGGTGTATCAGCCGTTGGTATTAGTTTAAAACAAAAACAAGGTTTAATGCTTGACATTTAAAGAGTTATTCCATATTATATAAATCTCAAATTTCAAAATATAAATTATTTAGTGGGTGGAATATCTGTTGTAAAATTTTAACATCTAGTTTATTTTCCCTGCCATACAGTATATTTCTGTGCCACAGTTTTCAGCACAAGATGGTGTATGAAAACTAATTTTAGGCCAGGCACGGTGGCTCACGCCTATAATCCCAGCACTTTGGGAGGCCAAGGTGGGCGGATCACTTGAGGTCAGGAGTGTGAGACCAGCCTGGCCAACACGGTGAAACCTCGTCTCTACTAAAAATACAAAAATTAGTTGGGCACAATGGTGTGCACCTGTAATCCTAGCTACTGGGGAGGCTGAGACTGGAGAATCGCTAGAACCTGGGAGGAGGAGGTTGCAGTGAGCCGAGATTGTGCCACTGCACTCCAGCCTAGGTGACAGAGCGCTTCATGAAAAAGGATGGGAGTAAGCGCTTGAAGGATGTGCTTGATGGTGTGGAAAAGGAAAGTTGAGAAGTGGAAGCCATGAACAATGTGAACAAAGATACAGAGTTGGAAACTCAGGGCGTGCATTGTGAACAAGTTTGGATAAGACCTAGTGTGAATGTTTGAGTCCAGATTATAAACATCCTTGAAAGAAAGGCAGTGGGGAGGCTTTGTTAGATATCATGTGCTTAGAAACACAGGTACAAGCATAATGAACACAATACTAAACTTTCAATGCTATCTTGGATAGGAAAAAGAACTCCTGTTAAGAGGAGACTTTTAAAAAAATTATAAAATGTAAGGGAATCCTTCTACTTGATAACTCAATTTAAATACTGATGTTCTTTGGAATATCAAAAACAAACTTTCAGATAGAGAAACAGAGAGAAAGAGAGAGAGAAATTATCATCAGTTTCTAAAAACAGACCATGAATGTTTTGTTCAAAGTGTCTTGCTTTAATTCAGATAAACATAATTGTAAGATTGCTTTGCTAGAGTTAAAACTCTTAGTTACGAAACTCAGCAGAATGCTTTATTTCTTTGGACTCATCAACCATTAGACATTGAAGTGATGAATCGTTATCCGTGCTGCACTTAGACCGAGGCTATCCAGTAGCTTATTTATGGTGGCAGTGTATCTCACCAAAACACTATGCTTTCCAGCTTCCCTTTCAGCGACCCATGTTCTTTCATTGCTTCTGGTCAGTGAAATCTAAGCAAGTATTTTTTGGGTGAGTCTTCCAGGAAAGTGTTTAGGGGTGTGGTTAATTTTTGTTCTGCCAGGAAAATGAGTGGGATAGCTGGAATCATGATAGTCATGGCATCTCTGTTAATGTTTTTGGTGCCTTTGAACAGAATAGGAAGAATCCCCCATCTTTGCAGATGAGTTAGAAAATTTCCTCCTCTGGGTAGAAGGAATCCCTCAGAATACACAGCCCCCACTCACTTCTTGGTCAGGTGTCTTCACAGTAAATAAACTACACAACTGTATGGGGTGGCCTGGACAGCCATATTGGACTATGAAGCAGGAAAGGAAGCCATGCTCTAAAGATAGCAAACCCAAGGAGAAAAGCAGCCTGGTCCTTGCTGACCATGGATGTGCCATATCAGCCCTGCATTGACTACTTCCAGACTTCCTTTATGTGAGAGAAAAATAACATTTATTTTGTTACTGTTATTTCTGATTTATTTTACTAGCAGCTAATTGCTTGTAAAGTTAAGACTACATGATATGATTTGAGAATTGCTATCATTAATTAATTAAGCAATTGTTCCTTGTGAATTCTGTATCAGAAATTCTATGATGTACTAGAGATAAAGACAGAATTTGCAATCTAGGATGTGAAAGACAGATGTGTACACATACAGGTAATTATAGCATAATGTCATATGCTTGTTCAGTTTGCATGCTGGATAGAGACATCTAGGCAAAAGGTTAGTGGGGACTGTGCTTTGATAGACTGCATGCACCCAGAGGGAAACATATCCTAATTCATCTCCACAAACGGGGTACCTCTTTTTAAAAATGCTTCAACCAATAATAATGCTTTATTATCATTTAGTTCAGTGATTACCAAACTTATTTTAGCAGCCATTAGCCTTCTTTGAAAGAATAATAATACAGAAACACAACTTATTAGTTCAGATGTTTTGGAGAGATCTAACTCAGATTAGATCTAAAAGAGAATTTGCTGGTTAATTTAACCACACTTACTGTAAGAGAGTTGGGCACAGCCTGTTAAGGGAGTACATAGCAGGGTTTTTAGAAAAAGCTTCACAGAGGAAGTGATGCTTGAGGTGAATCTTGAAGGATGATTTTAAGAAAAGGACAAAATGGGAAACAGCATACTATGCTGAGGAAAGATACTATACTTTGCATGTGCAAAGATATCTAAAAGAGCACATCCTGTTTAAGAAGTGACAGGTGGTTCATTAAAGGCAAGGGTGAGAGAGAGAAAAGCTGGTGGTTAAATGGCTGCAGGTGGTGGTGGTAAGAGAAGGGCAAATCATTAAGGAACATATATGCTTGTGAAGTTAGGCTTTATTTTATAAATTATGTAAAGTCATTTAAAGAGCAGAGTAATTAATATGAACAGGGTATGTTTTAGGAGGATGTTAGGATTATACTTAGGATACTAAAACAATAGACAAAATGCAAAAAGCTCAGGCAAGAGCTGACAGGCTGACTTATAACTCTGGAGTGCATTAGGATGAAGGGGCTAGATTAATGAAAATATTTAGTAGGCAGAATTGGTAGATCTTGGTGAGGCTGGGAGAGAAAAGTTAAGGATTACTCCTAGGATTCTGCATTAGGTGACTATTCATATGATTACATGATTTTTAGCGTGATAGTACCATTTTTAATAACAGAGGGTCATGCAAGACCAAGAATCAATTTTGGGGAAAAGACAATGAGCTCAGTTTTAGACATATATATCTTGCAATGTGTATAGCCTGTCTAGGTGGAGATATCCAGGAGGAAATTGACAGTATAGATCTAAATGTGTGATGAGAACTCTGGATTGAAGATGTATATTTGGGAGTTGTAAGCATAAAGATGGTAGTTAAGACCTGTAGATGTGATCATCTAAGATTTAAAGTTTGTTTGGGTCCAATATGAAAAAGGGGCTCAAAGTTTGAGGGGCTCAAAGAGGAAAAGGGATCCATTATGGCCTCCATGCCACCAAGTATCTTCCCACTATGTAGTCAGTGTCTGAAATTGCCGTTGTTTTGATTTATTCTTTTAGGTTAAGGTTTATTTCTAAATAATTACCTCATAAAAATACCTTTGGGAGGAATTAAACAGAGAAGCTTAATAAAGAGAACAAATGAACTAGGTATCCAGAGACCAGTTTCTAACACTGACTGCCTGGGTGATGTTCATTCAGCAAGTCATTTTGCCTCAGATTCCTCATGTGGAAAATGCAGAAGTAGGACCAAGTGATCTTCAACGTTTGGTAGACTACGATTCCACCAATCATAACGACTTAGTTTAGTTCAGTGATTTTCAAACTTATTGGGCAGCAATAAGTTTGAAAGAACTTATTGAACGTTCGAGAGTTCTTTCTTTGAAAGAACTTATTGAAAGTTCAAGAGTTCTTTCTTTGAAAGAACTCTCATGCAGAAACACAATGTATTCAGATGTTTTGGTTGCAGAGGTCTAACTCAAGTTAGTTTGGATGTAGAAGAGAATTTACCAGTTAATTTAGCTATATTATGTGAAAAGGTGCAGCTGGGACCTCAGGGATCACCAGAACCTGAGACTGGTGCACCGGCAGGAATTGTTCTTTACATTTCTCATTTGAGTGGTGGCTTCATTCTACACAAGGCCATTGACCGTTCTGACTTCCTTCTGGGCTCTACTGCTATGGTGGAATAGCCCTTCTCCCCTTAGTTCCACCTGAAAACATCCTGGGGAAGAACTCTGCTTGCTTTGACTTGAGTCCTATGTCCACCATTGTAGCCAAGAAGTTGGGGGATTCTTTGAGCTGTAGCTGCACTAGAATTACCGATCATGGTGCAGGTAGAAATAGTTTCCCCAAAGACAGAGAGCATTGTTCAAAGAAAAAGGTTACTGGGCAGACAAATAGATGGTCAATATATTAAGAGATAAAACACAGGCTTTCTTGTTCAGGACCCATCTACCTGGTTCCTTTTGTGTACTCTATGTAGCTTCTGAAACATACCTTTGAAAACCTCAAGAAGATGCTTGGAGTACAGCTTTAAAATAGTTATCCCTCAGTATCCTTGGTGGATAGTTTCTGGACCCCCTCATACCAAAATCCATGGATCCATAAGTCCCTTATATAAAATGGCATATATTTGCATATAACCTAAGCATATCCTTCCACATACTTTAAATCGTCTCTAGATTACTTGTAACACCTAATATAATGTAAATGTTATGTGAATAGTTGTTATACTTTGTTTATGGGGTAATGACAAGAAATAAGTATCTATACATGTTCAGTAGAGACATAACCATCCACTTGTTTTTCTGAGTATTTTTGATCCTAGGTTGGTTGAAACCAAGGGTATGGAATCCATGGAATGTGGAAACCACAGCTATAGAGGGCTGATTGTAATAGATTTTATTAATTGGAAAGCATGCCAGTCACCTCCAAGGCGTAGACAAAATGAAGCACTGGATATTTATTGGTGGTGGTGGTGCTCGCCTAGTAAAACAATTTTGGGAATATAGGAGTGTGGTGTTAACTGGTGGGGTTGAGGTGGAGATTCTAATGTATTCAGGATCAAGGGACTTGAGCTGGGAAGTGTAGAAAGGGGAGGTAGGACATCTGCCTTCAAAGTTCAAAGATGAACTCGGCTTACTTTATCATTTTATGGAGAACTGATGGATCACATGGCACACTATTAATAATGGTGAAAAATGTTCATCTTTGGCTAAGATAGTGGGAATGATCCTTGGTGTCATCCATCCACAGCCACTCCAGAGAAAGGAACAAGTAGGAGATTGATGGAAAGAGAGTTGAAGACCCCAGAAAGGGGCAGAGGCAATGAGAAAAGCCACGTGTCTTGGACGAGTATGCCCACAGTAGATGGTAAGAAATATAAGAATAAGTGGGAGATGGGAGAGACAGAGGAGGGAGGGAGGGAGGGAGAAAGGGGAATAAATATGTACAAGATAGGAAGATGGGGAAGATTGTAGTTCAGTAAAAGTAAGACTATGTCACTGAAATATAGTTTGAAGGCCCTGTCAGGAGGTCCAGGAAGTAAAAATTCATGATTATCTTGATTAATACTTGCTTTAAAGTTATTTTTTATTAATAAATATGATGTAAAATATATTTGTTACTAATTATACCTTACTGAATACACTTAAATGTGACATTTTTATTGTTATGTGGCTATTAGTATGAAAGTATGTATTAAATAAAATCAAATTTGCCAGGCGCAGTGGCTCACACCTATAATCCCAGCACTTTGGGAGGCCAAGACAGGCAGATCACTTGAGGTTTTGAGACCAGCCTGACCAATATGAAGAAACCTCATCTCTACTAAAAATACAAAATTAGCCAGGTGTGGTGGTGCATGCCTCTAATGCCAGCTACTTGGGAGGCTGTGGCAGGAGAATTGCTTGAACTTGGGAGGCAGAGGTTGAGGTGCGCTGAGATAGTGCCATTGCACTTTAGTCTGGGCAACAAGAGCAAAACTCTGTCCCCCACCCCCCCCAAAAATCAAATTTAATAGATTATCAAATAGTACTAATTTTCTTTTTCTTTTTTTTGAGATGGAGTCTCACTCTGTTGCCCAGGCTGGAGTGCAGTGGCGTGATCTCGGCTCACTGCAACCTCTGCCTCCCAGGTTCAAGTGATTCTCCTGCCTCAGCCTCCCGAGTGGCTGAGACTATAGGCACACACCACCACGCCAGACTAATTTTTATATTTTAGTAGAGATGAGGTTTCACCATGTTGGCCAGGCTGGTCTCAAACTCCAGACCTCAAGTGATCCGCCTGCCTCAGCCTCCCA
Organism: Homo sapiens; assembly: GCF_000001405.40. NCBI lineage: Eukaryota > Metazoa > Chordata > Mammalia > Primates > Hominidae > Homo > Homo sapiens. The sequence goes on along the minus strand of NC_000004.12, from coordinate 77,823,903 downwards.
AAGTGCTGGGATTACAGGCATGAGCCCCACCACACCTGGCCAAATAGTACTAATTTCTTAAATAAAAAAATTGAAATCTTTGTCTTTTGAATAAGCTGCTCAACAGAATTTCAGAAAAGAGACAAAAGAACAGTTATAAGGGACCTTATAGGACCCGCTACCTGTGTTACCAACAAAACACGGAGAGATAGGAATATTTATTCAGCTCAAACATTAATTGCGAATTTGGAAAAGACACAGGTGGTCTCTAGAACATGAAGCACCTTTTTCTTTCATTGAGTAGGAATAAACCAATTCTCTAATAATACAAATAAACATAATTGTTGTTTCAGAACAAATTGTACCTATATACTGCTGCTACTAAACCAATTTGGTCAAAAAGGCCACACTTAAGCCAGAAGCTTCAATTGGATAAATCATTTCTTTAAAGAGATTTTTTTTTTTTTTTTGAGATGGAGTCTCACTCTGTCACCCAGGCTGGAGTGCAGTGGCACCACCTCGGCTCACTGCAACCTCCTCCTCCAGGATTCAAGCAATGCTCCTGCCGCAGCCTCCTGAGTACCTGGGATTACAGGTGCCTGCCACCACACCGGGCTAATTTTTGTATTTTTAGTAGAGATGAGTTTTCAGGCTGGTCTCGAACCCCTGACCTCAAGTGATTAGCCTGCCTCGGCCTCCCAAAATGTTGGATTACAGGAGTGAGACACCACACCCACCTATTTTCCTATTGCATTATTTCTAATCTTAAAAACTGCAATAACTGACAAACGTGAAAAATCCTCAGAAATGAGATATCGAAAGCAGGTTACTCTCTGTAGCAAACTTTGATCCACTATAAAATTTCTTTTTTTTTTTTTTTTTTTTTTGAGACAGAGTCTCACTCTGTCACCCAGGCTGGAGTGCAGTGGCACAATCTTGGCACACTGCAAGCTCTGCCTCCCGGGTTCATGCAATTCTCCTGCCTCAGCCTCCCGTAAACTGCTTCTTAACAATGGCTAAAGTGCTACTCATTTGTTGTCGTTTCTGGGGTGTCTTTTGAAGCGGAATCTTATGAGGAACTATTTTTTTTTTTTGAGACAGAGTTTCCCTCTTGTTGCCCAGGCTGGAGTGCAATGGCTAGATCTCGGCTCACTGCAAACTCTGCCTCCCAGGTTCAAGTGATTCTCCTGCCTCAGGCTCCTGAGTAGCTAGGATTACAGGCGTGTGCCACCACACCCAACTGATTTTGTATTTTTAGCAGAGATGGGGTTTCACCATGTTGGTCAGGCTGGTCTCAAACTCCCGACCTCAGGTGATCCACCACCCGCCTGGGCCTCTCAAAGTGCTGGGATTACAGGCCTGAGCCACTGCGCCTGGCCTGTTTGTTTTTTAATCTCACTGAAGACAATTTCTTGGCATTTGTATAGTGCCAACTATCTGAAAACTATTATTTCTCCAATGTCATTCTAATTGCAAATGAGAAAAACAGCAATCTATTTTTTGGATAATATAGTTAACATATAAAAGTATTGCTTTCCTTTTGTTTTTAGTGAGTCAATCAATTTGATATGGTATAAAGAGGACATCTTTGAGAGTAAATTCTAAACTTAACCTGCATTAAAATAAATGATCCTATGACAACATCCACTGTCCACTATTAACTCTGAAAGTTACAATTACCCCTCCCCACCATGGATTGTGATGCATTTACTACTTAAAATTTAGAGGCCAACAAAGAACATCCCATATATAAAGTTGACCTTCAGGACCACCAAAGTCCACCATTTATTAGTGCTTCTTTAACATCCACAATGGCCCTGTCATTTTTCCCCACCTGTCACTACTGCTAGGCAGCCTGTGAGAGTGGGCAGATGTCAAATGGCTCACGTGTAAATGCCAGTGCTGTCAGCCCATCCTCCTAGACATTGTTGTGACTATTAATTTTGTGTCACCTCTCATACTTTCATTTCTGGTTTGTTCTGTGAGAATTTCCTGTTTATGTGTCAGCTTCCCCTACAATGATAGTGAGTTACTTAAGAAAAGGGACTATATATGCTTGGCTGTGTGTCTCCAATGCTAAACATAGCATCTGGAACATAATATGCCCTCCATATGTGTTTATTGTATATGAATGAAAATTCATTGAATACTCACAGAAAATTCATATAAATTTATTGTTATTTAAAGATGCTTAAATCTGTGAGGCTATCACATTATCTGATTTACATTTTTTCAGGTATTTATTTTCCTCTTTCCTTCTATAATTGGTGGTATTTCTCCCTGGGAGAGTGTTTGTGTGCTACGGAGAAATACTGTGGCAAGATGCCATTGAGGCAGGTCCACTATTTGGACTCCTGAAGTGACTTGCTTGGCTTTGCTGCTTACAAAGCCAAAGATAATTATTCATTTTATGTCAGCCTAGACTCTTAGATAGTTGGGAAAGAGTGAGACTTCTTCCAGGCTTAAGGCCATTTTGACATGTTTCACAGAAGATGGTGTGGGGCTGGTGTTGCTAGGGAGGGAAATGGAAAATTAACATAGGTAGAAAAGAAAATAGTCTGTCGTCTTGTGAACTGAGGGGCTTTTTTACTCACTCATTCACCCATCCTGGTGCCAAGATGAAAGTGGTGCAATAGTTCTGCAATTATGGACTCTTGTAACAGCTGTTCAGTTTTAGCTAAATGATGATTTGCATTTTCACCGCACCTTTTCCCCCAAGAGATGAAGGCATTTTACATTCAGTAATAAGGCCTAAGATGAATTGCAACCAACGCAACGTGCTTAGTGTGCTAAACACTCCTGTGGGGGAAAAAATACTGAACATTGCTAATATACCCTTGACCAACACTGGTAAATACACGAGCCCGGGCATGCATTGAGAAAGAGATTAAAATTGTGCAAAACTGCAACAGCAGTACTCTGCCTCCACAGCCGGTGTAATTTGCTTTTTGGACTGCTGGCCCAAAAAAGCTGAAGCTGGCCCACAAAAACAAAAACAAACCCCAGAAACTTAAAGTATCACAGCCAGGTTCACCAAGTAAACACTACTATTTCTAGTTTGCATTTGGATGTTTTCATTCTGTAGATGGCATGGATAAGCTACAAACAACAAACTAAAGTCTACAACGAGAAGGGAGAATTAGAAAATAGGACCGGGTTATCGCTGAGCGTCACAGGTTCTTTTATTTACCTTTGACGATACAACTTACAGATGCTATATGTTTTTAAAAAAAATCCACCGAATATGTCAGGAAACATTTCCTTCGGTCACTTCACCTCCCCTGGCGTCTCAGCCACCTAGACCTACGCTCTGCTTCGCTGTCAGGTCGCCTCGGGCGAGGAGGGTGCAGTAAACAGCGCCCACACAAGAACCCGGGGTGAGGCGGTTTCCCGTCTCTTCGCCAAGGCTCTGTGGATGTGGGTTTCTGAAACTCTACCACTCTTCTCAGCCCCGCTCCTCGCTCAGGCCAGGAAAAAAGAGTGAGAAAACAGCCAGAGCAAAACAGAAAACCATTAAGAAGCCCGGGCCTCCGCGCGCTCACCGCGACAAAACGCGGCGCACGGGGGGCGGGGCCAAGGCGCTGCGTAGGAGCTCCGCCCCGTCACCGCCCCGCCTCCTTCCCCTCACCCCAACCCTCCGCGCCGGGGAGTGACTGACTCCCGCCAGCCCCTCCACGTCAATCAACCCTCCTCGTTCTCGCACTCTCTGCACCTTGTTATTAATCTCAATACCGATATCGCCCGGACGCCTCTCCCCCGGCCCTCGGGGGTGTGAACGTGTGTGAGCGGGAGCGAAGGCACCGAAAGCTGGCGTCTCTGTTCAACCTCGGCCCCAGCAGCACCCGGCGCAGCGGCAACCCCCGCAGCGGCGGCAGCCCCAGCACCAGGAGGCCAAGGCCAAGGCCAGGCTCTGCGTGGCTCTCGGAGCAGTAGCCGCGGCTCCGGCCCTGCGGGGGCGCAGCTTCCTTCGGCTGGGGCCTTCGCGCCGGCGGCCGCGGCCGCGGGGCCTCTCTTGCGCGCCTGGGGTCACTGTCCTCGAAGCCCGGCGGCGCGGCCCTCGTCCCCCTTCCCGACCCCCGGTCTGTCTCCTCGCTCCCTTCAGCCGCCTTCCGCGCCGCCGCCTCTGCCGTTCGTCAGGCGGCCCGGCCCGGCCCGCCCGCCCCGCATCCCCTCCGGCCGGTGCCTCTCCCCTCCGGCGGGCTGCCTGCATGTCTTTGCTGCCCTCAGCCCCGCCGCCACCGCCGCCGCCGCCTCCCCCGCCGCCGCAGCACCAGCACCAGCCGCCCCGTCGCCGCCGCCGCCGCCGCCGCCCGGACCCCGGCGCGCTGAATGCAGGTGAGGAGGGGGCGCGGGCCCCCCGAGACCCCGGGCCCGGGTTCCCTGCGCGCCCGCCCGCGAGCCCCGGTTACGGGCCCTGTGTGCCGCCGCGGCTTCCCCTCGGGGCGGGCGGGAGCGAGGCCCGCCGTGGGTGTTTGTGTTTGCGTCTGCGTCTGCGGCCGCGGCTCTGGAGGGGAAGCATCTGTGGGGGCCTGGTGCGCGCGCGCGCGCGTGTTTGTGTGTGTGTTTCCCCTGCCGCGGGGAAATGGCTGCTGTTGCTTCTGGGCCAGAGGAAGAGAATGAGGTAGAGTGTTCTTTTGCCTCCGAGTAGGACCGAGAGTGTTGGGAAGAGGAGCGCGTCCCCGGGGAAATGAGGTGGGAGAGGGACAAATGTGCGTGTGGGTGTGCGAGTTGGGACTTTGGCGGGCGGGGAGGCGGCCCGAGGACCCACGGCGAGTGGGTGTGTGTCGGGTGACTGGAGGGGGCGGCGGGGCTGACCCGCGTCTCTTCAGAGGCGGGCGAAGGTTCCGGGGTGTGTGTGTGTGTGTGTGTGTGTGTCGGGGGTGGCCCGGGGCCGGGACCCCAGAGTGGCGTGTCCCTCCCGCTTTGTGGCTGCGGCTCCCGAGCCTCGCAGGTGAGAGCTGCTCCTAGGGGGCCGGCCGGGGAGGGCTGAGTGAGTGCGGCACACGCGCGGCAGCGGGGCTGGGAGAGCTGCTGGTCGGTGCCGCGCCGCTGATCCCGGGGCCGCCGTTCCCCGGCCGCGGCAGGAAGCGCGCCGGCCTGCAGCGCGGCCTAACTGCCTGGGCGCCCGCCCACCTCCCCGGACGCCTCCCGGGACGGCGAGCCCGCGCGAGCCCACGGCGCTGCCTCGGGCCTGGGCAGGTGAGGGTCGGAGGCGGGACTCGCCGATTGCCGTCGCCGTGGCCGCCTCCGCGTCTCCTGAGAGGCGAAGGCTTATTTTGGCGTTCCAACTGCAAGCCTTCGCCCGGCCGGCTGTGGGACCCGAGGGAGGAAAGTGAATCAGAACAGTCAGTCTTGGGAATACGCGGTGTCGTGTTCCCTTCTTTTCATCCTTCCCCTAAGGCTGTGTGGAGGGACTGAGTAAATATTTTGGATTTTTGTTGCAAATACTTTGCCGTTGGTAAGATTTTTTTTTTTTTAATTAGACAAACATTTTCTTGGAAGGGCTGAGGAAGAAAGGGAAACTGGCTTTCCTGGCCTGTGGGATTGGATGGATTTTGTGCATTTGAAATTGTTTTATCCTGCCTCCTAGGGGGAGAGGCGTGTACGCGCCGCCGAGCTGAGGAGCTGGGTGAGGAAGAGGAAGTTACTGGAGCTGTCATCCTGCTTAACTCGGTCGGCTATTGAGCTTAGACTGTTTAGGTGGATTGTGTTCAGGGAGTTTAGCTGAGCCGTTTGTACACATTGGAAGCACAGTGTTACATTTTACCGTATTGCCTCTAGTTATCTTGTCAATCAAGATAGGCTCAACAAACATGTTTTCCTCAGTCTCCAAAAACTAGATCAAGCAACCTCTGTTGTCTACTCAGTATGTGCTGCTGGAAAGCTATTTTGAGAATAGCCTAAGCAAAACCCAGTTGTAAAGATAAACCTGCTGCCAATAGGTCTACAGTACATTTCAGAACCAAATACAAATGGCATTTGGATAATTATTTGCTAATGTGCTTTTCTACTCCAACCTCATTACATTTGTATGTAGTTAGATCATTTAGCTAGAACCGTGCTGTGGATAAAAGCATAATACAGTTTCGATCCTTGTAGGCCGTACTCTGTGTCATGGCCAGAGATTGCTCTTTGCACCTGGTCTCACAAAGAAATAGTGTATGCTGTTCACGGGGAAGTGGAGGGAAGAGAAGGAGGGGCGAAGAGCTGTTCTCTATTACCACTACTGGAAAAACAATTTAACATACGTAGTTAGTGGGAAAAGGACTTGTTTTACAGACTTCAGTTAGCCTCCCAGCTGTGTGATTTTTCCTTAGCTGTTTGACCTTAGGTAACATATCTATAAGCCACAGTTTTATCAGTCACAGAGAGCTAATACCTTTATAGTAAGGTCGTTTTGAGAATAGAATGAGAAAACATATGTTTGGCATGTAGTAGATGCTTAGTTAAATTTTAGTTCTGCCTCCTGCAGCCCTGACTATGGGCATTGAAGAACCTTTGCAAACACAAATATGATTAATTATTTAGAGCAATATTAAGTAACTATAACGTAAAAAAGACAATGGAATCTTTCAGAGCCCTTCAGTATACAAAAGGTATATATATAAACTTTAATGTATATAAGAAGTTTTTTTCTAATAATAAAAATAGTCATTAAAATAGCCTAGTTATTTATAAAAATAGTCATACTTAATTTTTTTTTCATATTTTCAAATAGACCATCTCTCAGTTTCATTATTCTTTATGATTTTCGTTTTGTAGCCCTGGAAAAAAATTTTCAACCTCTATATAGCACATGTATGTTTCAATACAGTTAAACATTAAAAAGGATCAAGGAACCAAAATTTAGATAGATCCCCAAAGTTTAAATGCTACGAAAAATGCTAGCTCATGTTGACTGATTTGGTAAATAAAACTTCTTAGAATATTTCTCTGAATATAAGGTAAAATCCTCTGTCCACTTAATTTTCAATAACTTTCCATTTTTAGTATTTTCTCTGGAGTAGGAAATGTGTTCATTAAATTTTAACTGCTGTGTGGAAAAAATAATGTCATGGAGAGGTATGGAATTTAAGGTAAAGATAACAGAAAAGTTAACATAAAGATTGTTTTCTTTTTGTTTTGGGAAAAGACAGGACAGAGAATGTGGGAGTTTGATTGGTTTAAGTTTGTCATGGCCCTATTTACAAATGCCGGGTTTCCCAGTAGGGCTTACGTAATTTATTTGTATCAATAATGATAAGCTTTAAAAAATATTATTTTCTAAAATTCAAACTAAAATTTCAACACATTCAGTATAGCTTTTATGCATATTTTTATATAAAAATTTCTGTGAAGGTAAGAGTCACAGGATGGGGAGGGGGAAGCTCTCATCATTGAGGGGCTTGAATTTTTATAAATAACTAGGGGCAACTATTAGAATGCAAATTGTGATTTTCTTAAAGTGTGTGTTGTGGGAGTGTGTATTTACATTGAACAGAATCTTCTGCCATGTGGTTATATTTAAAGGAATAATTCTTACCTTAAAACTATAAATGATACTTTTTAATACCTTAGAAACAAAGAAATAGAAATGAATCTGCTCTTATTTAGTATTTGGTAAAGTAATTTTCATTGGACTTTATGAATTATTTTAAAAGACTTTATATATATATTTTTTAATTTGGGAGAATTGGGAAGAACATTTCCCTGTAGTAATCATGAAAACAGATGATATTGAACTATAAAGATATTTGGATATGAAGTGGAAGTACTAAGGTTATTATTTAGACTAAAGGAATTATGTTACAACAAAATCAAGGTGGAAACTTGTTTAGATTTTAAAAGTTAATGTTACTTAAATGGGCTTTTAAGCAATCTTTCCAAAATATCTGTTATTAATGTCTTTAATTTGGGAGAATTGGAATACTTAGGAATTTCTGTATGTATTACTTTGGGTAATGCTAATCAGAGTAATAAATACATTCCAAAATTTCAAAGAAGTTTACTTGCTTTCATGACAGTTCCAGTGCAGATGTTTACTTGCTTTCATGACAGTTTACTTGCTTTCATGACAGTTCCAGTGCAGGTGCTCCTGGTTAGCAGGTTTCTTGTGGCTTTCCTCTTATGTTGTTTAGGGACTCATACAACTTAGATCTTGTGACTCCACCATTTCTTAGGGCCTTGGAGTCCTCCCTATTGCCTGAAGACCATTTCTTAAGAAACTCCAGACTTAAATGACAAACATTCCTCCAAATTTTATTGGCAAGATTTGTCACAGAGTCTTATTTGAATGCAAGGGGAGTGGGAAATGTCCCTGGCAGGTGGAAAGCTTGGCCATCTCTGCTACAAGGGGCATTTCATGGTGTTATTTTAGATGTTAGCATATATTTATGAAATTACATCCAAAAGGTGAATTATGATAGTTAGGAATTGCTTTCCATCTTCAAAGAGTAAAATTGGGTGTGAGTGGAGAGTGGTGGGGAGAGGAGAAAGGAGGGAAGAGTCACAGGAGTGGGAGGGGGAAGCTCTCATCACTGAGGGGCTTAAATGACAAGTGAGTTTCTGTAACTATTTAAAGATATAAATTTTTCAGAGAACATTACAGTTGGATTCTGTAACCTTTAGTGGGTCTCTCCTGTAGTATCCAGTTATTGATTGTCATTGTGCTTTAATGAGTTCTGGCAGTTTGAGTTATTTCTCTTTGTATTTTGAAATCAGTTCAGATCAGTAGGACAAAACTCTGAATTTCAGTTTCTGGGTATAGTTTCATAGGAAACACATTTTTTGAATTTTCTTCCTCTGTTATTGGGATAGGTGATGAAGATTACTTTATACTTTGAGGGAAATCTCATTTAGGTGGACCTTACCATATTCTCTTGTTTGTTGCTGCAGTTTTTATAATTCTAAAGTTATTAAAATTAATACATGTGAGCCTTAACCCAGAAAGACCAATAAAATCATCAAGTAAACAACAGAGGCTTAATTATTAATTTGTGCTCATGCTTTGTGATGAAAATACTACAACTTTCTTTTACTAACTGCACTGACACTGGACCTCTAATACAGTAAATGGTATTTTATCACTGGACAACTTTAATTGAATCACAATTTATTCTATGATTGTGCAGGTTTATTATAATGTGAAACTTCAGCTCTGTGTCACCTTTACTTATTTTTTATTCTAAGAGTTTGGTTAGGGATCTCTGGGGAGTTATATATAATCTCTTTATTTCCCAAAGGGAAGATTTTGGAATAGTCTGGTTAACTTCTCCATGGTAAATACTTCTCTAACATCTTGCATCTTGAAAATTGAAAACCTAATCTGAGGACCCACTGTGCACCTATTATTGTACCCAGTTCTAAAGAGAAGTATGAAAGATGTAGAGGCTTATAGTTTGTGAGTAAGGGAAATAAAGCATGTAATTTAGTTATTTCAAAACAAATGAACTAGTGCAAGTCAATATGATATAAACTGTTTATAGACATTCTGAGACATAAAATGGAATGTCAATTGGGTCAGGAATTACTTAAAGGGTTGCTTTTTTTTGGACAACTTTTATGAGGTATAATTTAGATACCTTAGAAGTATCCATTTAAATTGTACAACTCAGTAGTTTTTAGTATATTAACAATTGTGCAACCATCACCATAGTTAATTTTAGAACATTTTCATTACCTAAAATATAAATCCTGTATCTTTCAAGAGTCACCCTTCATTCTCTTATGCCCCTAGTTCTAGGCAATTACTACTTCCTTTCTCTATAGATTTGGCCAATTTTGGACATTTTGTACAAATGCAATCTTAATATATGGTCGTTTATGATAAGCATATTTCACTTACCGTGTTTTCACGGTTCATCCGTGTCATAGCAAGTATTTCATTCTTGTAATGGCTGAATAGTATGTCAGCATAAGAATACACCACATTTATCTTATTCATGAGCTGATGGACATAGACTTTTTGGCTATCATTATAAATCATGCCGCTGTGAACATTCATGTACAAGTTCTTATGTATGTATGTTTTGAATTCTTTTGGGTGTGTACCTAAGAGTGGAATTGCTGGAACATATACCACTTTGTGTTTAAACTTTTGAGGAACTTCTAGACTGCTTTCCAAAGCAGTCGCAGTATTTTACATTTCCATCAGCAGTGTATGAGAGCTCTAATTTATCCACTTCATGCCAACAATTGTTATTATCTCCTTTTTTCATCATAGTTCTTCTAGCAGGTGTGATTTGATCCTGGTTTTGATTTGCATTTCCCTGATGGCTAATGATGCTTTTTATGTGCTGTTGGACATTTGTATATCCTCTTTGGAGAGAAGTGTGTGAAAAGACTCAAATTCTTTGCCCATTTTTATAATGAGTTTTTTAATTATTGAGTTGTAAGAGTCTTTTTTATACTCTAGATGTGTCCCTTATATATGATTTGCAAATATTTTCCTCCATTTTGTGAGTTGTCTTTTCATTTTCCTGATGGTGTCATTTGAGGCACAAACGTTTTTAGCTTGATGAAGTGAAATTCTTGTTATTATTTTTGCTGTGCTTTTGGTGTCGTATCTAAGAAATAATGACTTCTTGTTTCTAATCTAGCTAATCTATCTAATATATCTATTTCTAATCTATATCTAATCTATTTCTAATCTATCTAATATATCTAATCTAAGGCCACAGATATTTACTTCCCTGTTTTGTCCTGAGAGTTTTATAGCCTTAACTCTTACATTTAGATCTTTGATCCATTTTGAATTAATTTCTGTACATGGTCTGTTGTAGAAGTCTAATATCTCTTTGCCTGTGGGTACTTAGTTGCCCCAGTACCATTTATTGAAAAGACTGTTCTTTCTCCATTGAATTGTATCATCACCCCTGTCCAAAATTAATTAACTGTAAGTGTGGAGGATTTATTTCTGGACTTTTAATTCTATTTCATTGATTTATATGTTTATCCTTATACTAGTATGGTCTTGACTACTGTAGCTTTGTAATTGAGAGGTCTGAGTCCTCAAACCTCTCAAAGTTTTTCCTTTTGAGAAGAAAAAATGAAAAACTCTTTTTTTCTTTTTCAAGATTGTTTTGGCTATTTGAATCTCTTGTGTTTCCATATCAATTTTAGGATCAGCTTGTCAGTTTCTGCAAAGAAGTCAGCTGGAATTTTGATGGGGATTGTGTTAAATCTGTACATCAATTTTGGGACCATTGCCATCTGAATATTAGGGCTTCCTGTCCATGAACATGGGATGTTTTTCTATTTATTTAGATCGTCTTTAAGTGTCAACAGTGTTTCATAGTTTTCAGAATATAAGTTTCATACTTCTGTTGCTGCATTTCTTCCCAAGTATTTTATTCTTCCAGATGATATTGTAAATGGAATTAAAAAAAATTTGGGGGGTTTTTGCATGACAAGTGCATAAAAATACACTTGATTTATGTTTGTTGATCTCGTATCCTCCAACCTTGCTGAATTTCTTAGTTCTAATAGTTTTTTTTTTCTTTTTTTTTTGAGATGGAGTCTCACTCTGTCGCCCAGGCTGGAGTGCAATGGCACTGTCTTGGCTCACTACAACCTCTGCCTCCTGGGTTCAAGTGATTCTCCAGCCTCAGCTTCCTGAGCAGCTGGGATTACAGGTGCCTGCCACCATGCCTGGCTAATTTCTGTATTTTTAGTAGAGATGGGGTTTCACTGTGTTGGCCAGGCTGGTCTTGCCGACCTCGTGATCCACCTGCCTCAGCCTCCCAAAGTGCAGGGATTACAGGTGTGAGTCACTGCACCCGGCCAGTTCTAATAGTTTTTAAGTGGATTCCATAAGATTTTCTACATACAAATATCATGTCACCTGCAAACAAATGAAGTTTCAATTCTGCTTTTCCAATATGGATGCATTTTAGTTCCTTTTCTTGCTTAATTGCCCTGGATAGAACCTCCAGAACATTACTGAAAAGAAATGTCAAGAGAAGTCACTTGAGTTGCAGCAATCCTTGTCTTGTTCCCAGTCTTAGGGGGAAAACATTCCATCTTCTGCCATTAAGTAGATGTTAGCTGTGATTTTTTTTTTTTTTTTTTTTAAACTGCTCCTTGCGGAGAAAGGCTAGCCCATAGGCAGGCAGTGTGCGGAAAGTAGTGAGCTATAAGTTTTTCATTAATAGCCTTTATCAGGTTGAGGAAGTTCATTTCCTAGATTGTTGAGTGTTTGTTTGTGTGAGTGTGTGTGTTTGTGAGAGAGTGTTAGGATTGAGTTTTGAGAGAATTGTGAAATGTGGATTAGAAAAATAAAGATGCTATGTCAGGTAATAAGGGGCAGATAATAATGCTTATCTTGCTGGAGGAAGAGGGGCTAGATTTTCCTCTTTTTCCCTCTCCCTTTCTTCCCCATTCCTTTCTTGTTTTTGTTTTGAGACGGAGTCTTGCTCTATCGCCCAGTCTGGAGTGCAGTGGCCTGATCTCAGCTCACTGCAACCTCCGCCTCCCAGGTTCAAGTGATTCTCCTGCCTCAGCCTCTTGAGAAGCTGGGACTACAGGCTAATTTTTGTACTTTTAGTAGAGACGGGATTTTGTACTTTTAGTAGAGATCACTATGTTGGCCAGGCTGGTCTCGAACTCCTGACCTTGTGATCTGCCCGCCTCAGCTGCCCAAAGTGCTGGGATTACAGGTGTGAGCCACCGCGCCCGACCCTTTCTTGATCTTTAATCATCTTCCCATCAGTCCACATGCACATTTGGAGAGCACTTAATCTTTTACTGATCTGTATAATTAAGATTTTTTGAGCAGTGGAAGTATCCTTTCTTTTGAAAAATACTAAAAATTGTGTGGAGAATTTCTTACTGAATAGCTTGATAGCTAGGTTTGGAGGGCATCAGAGAAGATACTAAATCATAAATGAAGTGCCAACCATGGACTTACAAAGAAGTGAACACAGTGGAATACTTCAGCCATAAAGAATGAAATCCGTCTTCAAAAAGAATGGAATCCTGTCATTCTTGGCAACTTGGATGGAACTAGAGGACACTGTGTTAAGTGGAATAAGCCAGGAACAGAAAGGTAAAACACCACGTATTCTCACTTCTAGGTGGAAGCCAAAAAAAGTCGATCTCTTAGAAGTAAAAAGTAGAAAAGAGGATTCTAGAGGCTGGAAAGGGTAGGGGGAAGAGGGCTAGGGAGAGAGATTGTTAAAGGGTACAAAATTATAGCTAGATGGGGGAGTAAGTTCTAGTGTTCTGTAGCACTGTAGGATGACTATAGTTAACAATATTATTATGTAGTTTCAAATAGCTAGGAGGAAAATATTGAATGTTCCAAATGCAAAGAAATGATACATGTTTGAGATGATGGATATGCTGATTACCTTGATCTGATCGCTACACATTGTATGTATGGAAACATCACTGTGTATCCCATATATATATACAATTATGTGCCAATTAAAAAATTTAAAAAGTAAGCAAACCTTTGCCATATTGGGGGTATGGTTAATAAAAAATTTTATGTTTAGTTTAATGTACTTTGAATCTAGCTGTCAGCTGACATTCTCCCACCCTAAACATTTCAGCATCAATGGCTTTGTTTTTACAAGTTTTCTTTATAATTTTCTAAAAAATTTAACAAATTTCATATGAAACTTTGCTCAGTAAGGTAAAGTTGTGTTTCACTTTGATGTGGTGATTACCCTTTGTTTACTTTTTGAAATTTTAATTGTGTTCCCATGCATCCACATTCTGATCAGATAAATATTTTTAAAAATTTTTATTTTTGTCTTTCATGTATAGTTCTCAGAAGTTAAGATAACTTTGAGTTTAGCTAAGAATATTCCTGTTAACAGGTGAAATTGGAAAGTGGTAATAGAATTTTTGTTTTGTAACAGGTTTATTAGTTTTCATTATTTTTAGTCCGCTTTAAAATTTTGATACAGATACAATTTATTATTATTTTTAAAGAAATAAGTAGTCTAATAAATAAGACAAATGAGAAACTCGTCATTTGTACTGAATAGATGCCTGGTAATTTGGGGCTTTCAAATATTGTTTTCATTTATTAACAATTGAAATTGGTGACACAAAATAGAGATTAAAACACTTTATGTTCCTTATATTCATCTTTTGCAGAGAGAACCTCCCTCTCTAATCTTAAAGTTTAAACTCTATTTTTCTCTTTCCCATATTACTTAAATAGATTTCCTAAATGAGTAACATAAATTAGAGTTACATAATACCAGCTACAAATACTGCTAAAAGAATAGAACTAAATTTAGTATATCCCAACCTTAATGTCTCTCTATACAAAGACTTTGTTGGAATCTCATATATCCATTGCTTTCTGATCATAATGTTTATCATATTTAACAAAGCAAAACTCAGAAATTACTTAACAGGGTATATTCTTCTATAGGTTCATATTTAGTACAATCTTCTGCAATATCTACATATAATTTTATGAAACAACATAATGTGAGTTATATACAGAATGGTAGCCTTGAAACACTGTCAGAATTTGAATCACCAAAATATAACCTGTTAATTAATATTTATTAAGCTTCTATTTGTTATAGACTATTGTATTCAGGGTTCTGGGGAATAAAAAGAAATGTAGAATAATCTTTCTACCAGGGAATGGAGCTAATATTTTTTTGACTACTGAGTACCAAGGAATGTGAAAAGCCACTCCCCTCCTTCCCTTTAAATGTGTAATCTAAATTATTCTTCATGAAAATCCTATGAGAGAGGCAGTATGATTCTCATTCTGAAGCTGGTTAAGAAAGTGAGCCTTGGGTCCTCCACTTTCCAGCTCTACGGAAACTCATTTAACTTCTCTATGCTTCAGTTTTCTCATCTGTAATAGGGAGATAATATTCCTTATCTCGTAGAGTTTTGTGAGGATTAAATGATGTAGTCCTGTAAAGTATTTAGGACACTACCTGGCACATCTGTAGTAAAAAACCAAACTAAAAAACAATACACGTACACTATTACTGTTTCTTATTAGGAAAGAAGTTAATTAACGTGCCCAAGATTACAACCAGATCTATTTGAATTTAAAACACTCTTATACTATAATGCTTACATTTATAGGATGTTTAAGTCTGGATCTAGTAAACAGGTGAAGGCAGAATATGCTAAGTGACTAACATTAAGTGCTATGACATACAGAGTACATATGGATTTTAAACTACAGGGATAAGTAAGAGAGGAGATAGATGTTGCTCTTGCCTTTATGATGAGAAAAAAGGCAGGGAAAAAATTAATAGACTACTGTAATATCTTCCTTGCTAGTCTACAACTTCCATTATATCTCCTTTAACATCTTTTCCTTTGTACACATTGTCACCAGAGAAATCCTTGTAAAATTCATCCCACATTGCTTAAATTCTCTGCTTACAGTCCTTTAATAATAATAGTTACTGTTTTCTGGTTACCTACTGTGGGCTAGGATAGGAGACAGCAAGCTTCTCTTCTTTTCTCTTCTCTTTTTTTTTTTTTTTTTTTGAGATGGCAGAGTCCCACTCTCACCCAGGCTGGAGTGCAGTGGCACGATCTCAGCTCACTGCAACCTCCACCTCCCAGGTTCAAGCGATTCTCCTGCCTCAGCCTCCCGAGAAGCTGGGATTACAGGCGCACACCACCACACCCGGCTAATTTTTGTATTTTTAGTGGAGATGGGGTTTCACCACGTTGGCCAGGCTGGTCTCGAACTCCTGACCTCAAATGATCCACCTGCCTCAGCCTCCCAAAGTGTTGGGATTACAGGAATGAGCCACCTCGCCAGGCCTAGCAAGCTTTTTTCTATGAAGGGACAGATGTAAATATTTTGGCTTTTTGGGTCATGCAAGATCTCTGTTGCATATTCTTTTTTGCTGTAATTTTTTTGTTTTTTAACAATCCTTTAATTTTTGTTGTAA
Organism: Homo sapiens; assembly: GCF_000001405.40. Classification (NCBI taxonomy): domain Eukaryota; kingdom Metazoa; phylum Chordata; class Mammalia; order Primates; family Hominidae; genus Homo; species Homo sapiens. The sequence continues at coordinate 77,808,049 of NC_000004.12, read as the reverse complement.
TTCTTTTTTCACAATCCTTTAAAAATGTAAAAACCATTCTTTGCTGCCAAATCAGTCTGGATGCAGCTTATTGACTGACCCCTATGCAAGGAGATTTACGTGAACTAACTCATTTCTTCTTGTAACAATCCTGGTAAAGTTGATATTATTTCTACTTCACAGTTGAGGAAATTGAAGCTTAGAGAGGCAGATTTGATGAAGGTCAAGTAAGTGACAGATTGAGGCCATTGGAATACCTAAACCTGTGTACTTCCTAAGATATCTTGCTGCTTCCTATTACTTTTAAATAAGATGCAAATTTCTTAGCATTATGTGTAAGGCCCTTGATGATCTTGTCTTTGCTTACTTTTCTAGTTTTCGTATTTGTTACTACTCTCTCTCACATATTCCCTAGCCTAGCTGTAGTGAGTGACTTACAGCGTGGTCTGTGCTTTATATATGCCTACAATACCTTATACTTTATGACCTCATTGATTTCTTTAATAATCTGCCTCTGGTACTTCCTACTTTGGGAAACCTTACTTGGTACTTGTAGTCCTTGCTTTATGAACTTTTTCTGTGCTCCTCTAGCATTCTGTGCATTCTTCATTCATAACACTTACTACATTGCCTTGTGTTTAACTTGGGTTTATGTCTCCGTTTTGCGTTAGACTGTGAGTTTTTTTTTTAAGAGATGGAGATTTTGCTATGTTGCCCGGGCTGACCTTGCATTCCTGAGCTCAACAGATCCTCTCCCTGTAGCCTTAGATTGTAGGATTTTTTTTTTTTTTTTTGAGATGGAGTCTCACTCTGTCGCCATGCTGGAATGCAGTGGCGCGATCTCGGCTCACTGCAACCTCTGACTCCCTGGTTCAAGCGATTCTCCTGCCTCAGCCTCCCGAGTAGCTGGGATTACAGGCACACACCACCATGCCCAGCTAACCAAGGCAGGCGGATCACCAGGTCAGGAGATCGAGACCATCCTGGCCAACATGGTGAAATCCCCTCTCTATTAAAAATACAAAAGATTGTGAGGTTTTTAAGGGCATAGATGATATATGCCTTACCTTTGTAGCTCAAGTGTTTGATACATAGTAGGGGCTTAATACAGAGTTTGGCATATAGTTGGGAATTTGAAAGTGTTTATTAAATGAATGAATAATTAAATGGCATTACAGACATGGAAATCATATCAGCAGATCTATAGTTGCAGAAAAATGAGTCCAGGTTCAGGGGTGGTGGTGAGTGGGAAAGTAAGTAAATTTCTGGTTAACTTCTAGGGCTCGAGTGGGAACATGAGGTTAATAAGGCAAATTGGAGAATGATCGTGGAGGGGCTTGAATATCTTGGTAAGGAATTTTAATTTTGTTCTGGAGTCATTGATACAAAGCTTTCAACTCTAGAGCAGCAGGTGTTTTTTAAATCCATAACTTGGGTTCTCTTAATACACAAATTGTATGTTGTAATATTGCTTTAGGTATTTTATAGAACATTCATTACCTAAACAATTGTTTTGATTAATAGATACTGCAAGATGTAGCTCTAGAATATCATAATTATCAGTACTACTATTAAAGACATTGGGAACCATGGAATGATTTTGAACAGGTTGGTGGCAGTTTGAAATTAATCTTTTTTTTTTTTTGAGACAGAGTTTTGCTCTTGTTGCCTAGGCTGGAGTGCAGTGGCACGATCTTGGTTCACTGCAACCTCCGCCTCCCAGGTTCAAGCGATTCTCCTGTCTCAGCCTCCTGAGTACCTGGGATTACAGGCATGCGCCACCACGCCCGGCTAATTTTGTATTTTTAGTAGAGATGGGGTTTCTCCATGTTGGTCAGGCTGGTCTCGAACTCCCAATCTCAGGTGATCCGCCGGCCTCAGCCTCCCAAAGTGCTGGGATTATAGGCGTGAGTCACTGTGCCCGGCCTGAAGTTAATTTTTTAAGATTAATCTAGTTGAGGTATTCACCATCAGTTGAGGAGATGGGACTGGGAAGAAGGAGGCCTTTTAAAAAAAGTTAAAATATAAAGTGATAAGTCAATGATTGACTATGAGGAAGTCAGAGACGAATGAGAAAAACGGAAGAGGCAGGTCAAGGAAGGAAATTGTGTATTTTATGTTGGTTAAATTGATTACTGTGAATTCTATTGGAGTGATTTCTATCGTTGCCTGAATTTGGGCTCTGCTTACTTTATGCTTGAATAATTAGAATACTCTTATGATTGGTTTCCCTTCCTGTTGCTAATTCATGGATTCTTAATCTTTGGTGCTGTGGACCTTTCTTCAGTCTGGAGAAGGCTGTGAATCCAATGTAGAATGACAATTTTAAATGAGTGAAATAAAGTAAATAGGACTTGAAAGGAACTTGTTATATTGAAATGCCAAAATATGATATAGTAATATATATGCTTCTCTACTAATACTGTTAAGTAACGTCTTGCAATGAGTCTAATAGCTACCATAATTTTGTAATACTGGTACATATAGATATTTTGAGATTTCTGTAACAACTATAATATGAAATGAAAATGTACTTCTGTTAGTGACAGAAATCACAGGTACTGCTAATACTATTATGGTTGATTGTTTAGGTTTGTGTGAAAATTTTAGAGATTAGTGAAAATGGTGATGTAATTTTTTTTCTATATAAATTCACAGGTTTCCTGAGATTTATGGAACCTAGGTTAATTACCTTTGCTTGTACTAGCTCCTGTTTTACTCTTCTTCTGTGTATTTTTGTCATAGTAATGTACTTTTCTTTGCAGATGGTAGTATTTTTATTGCATCATGTCTGTTTTGGGAAATAATATGTACTCTTTGTAAAAAAAAATTCAAATGGTAATAAAACGCATAATTTTCTGGTTATCCTGCTTCATGGCGATCAAGCTTGTTAGCAGTATAATATATACAGTAGTTTCTTGGTATAGAGAGGATTGGCTCCATGACCCTTGTGTATGCCTAAATCCATGCATACATACTCAGGTCCTGCCATGTATATGAAAAATTGGCCCTCTATATACATGGGTTTCTCATCTCACAAGTGCTATATTTTCCATCTGTGTTTGGTTAAAAAAAATCTCCACGAGTGAACCTGTGCAGTTCAAACCCATGTTGTTCAAGGCTAAGTGGTAGTACTGTTACCTGTTTCTGGTCAATATATACTTACATAACCACAAAAACATAACTAAAATAGGTTCATACTGTGTATACTTTTTTAAAAATTTGCTTTTTTTTCATTTGAAAACATCTTTTTTCATTAATAAATACACCTCATGCTTTAAAAAATTGTAGGATGAAAGTTGAGATATGTATTACATAACACAAACATTCACCATTTTAAAGTGTATATTTTAGTGGTTTTAGTACATTCAGTATGTTGCCAACCACCACTACAAGCAAATTCCAGAACATTTCCATCACCCACAAAAGAAACCTCATATTTTATGTCAGTTAGTTCCAGTTACCCCATCCATTGACAATTTCTGGTCTACTTTCTGTCTCTATGGATTTGCTTCTTCTAGTCATTTAATATAAGTAGAATCATATAATATGTGACTGTGTCTGCTTTTTTCACTTAGCATAATATTTTCAAGATTCATGTTGTAGCATATAACAGTATTTCATTCCTTTTTTTTTTTTTTTGAGATGGGGTCTTGCTGCATCACCCAGGCTGGAGTGCAGTGGCACGATACCGGTTCACCACAGCCTCCGCCTCCCAGGTTCAAGCAGTTCTCCTGCCTAAGCCTCCTGAGTAGCTGGGATTACAGGAGCCCACCACCACGCCTGGCTCATTTTTTGTATTTTTAGTAGAGACGGTGTTTCACCATGTTGGCCAGGCTGGTCTCAAACTCCTGACTTCAGGTGATCTGCCCACCTTGGCCTCCCAAAGTGCTGGGATTACAGGCATGAACCACTGTGCCCGGCCAATATTTCATTCCTTTTTATGAGTGAACAATATATTATTATACATACTTGGTTATTATAAATAATTCATGTATATGGTTTTGTGAAGACGTATGTTTTCATTTCTCTTGGGTGTATACCTAAGAGTGGAATTGCTGGGTCATACGTATTTCTGTGTTTTAACTTTTTGAGGAATTGACAAACTTTTCCACAGTAGCAGCGCTGTTTTACATTTCCACACCTCACGCTTTTTTCTTTTTTTTTTGAGACGGAATTTCGCTCTTGTTGACAGGCTGGAGTGCAATAGCATGATCTCGGCTCACTGCAGCCTTGGCCTCCCGGGTTCAAGCGATTCTCCTGCCTCAGCCTCCCGAGTAGCTGGGATTACTGGCATGTGCCACCACACCCGGCTAATTTTGTATTTTTGGTGGAGATGGGGTTTCTCCATGTTGGTCAGGCTGGTCTTGAACTGCCGTTCTCAGGTTATCTACCTGCCTCGGCCTCTCAAAGTGATGGGATTATAGGCATGAGCAACCGCACCTGCCCTACCTCCTGCTTTTTAATGGCTTCATTGTAATCCATTTTATTGATGTCCTGTCATTCAGTCCCCTGTTGATTGACAATTTATTTCTGTATTTTTGATGATTATCAACACTAATGCAGTGAAAAAACTTGTATAAACACCTTTTGCACACTTTTTTAAAGTATAAATTTTTAGGAAAGGAATTGCTGGATCAAAGTAATTACACATTTAATATTTGATACATCTTGTCAGATTGCCCTTTAGAAATGTTTTATAAAATTTTACTCCCAACAATTGTGTGATGTATGCTTATTTTCTCAAACTCATATTCACATAATTAATTTTTGTCATTTTAATAACAAAAAGTCATACATATTTTAAATTTTGGAATTTGTTAATTATAGTGGAGATAATTTTTTTTTTCACATTTTTTTTGGCCACTGCATTCTTTTGTGATTTGCCTGATCATGACCTTTACCCTAAATTTTTCTATTGGGTGTCTCTGTTTTTCTTATTACTTTGTTAATAGCTGTTTACATTTTAGAAACATTACCTTATTGCTCATTATCAATATTGCAGAGACTTTGTTCCAGTTTCTTGTTTGTTTTTTGACTTTGTTTATGACTTTGCTCTTTGCCTTATAGACATTAAATTTTTAAAATACTGTTTATCATTCCTTATAAAAGGTCTTTGCCTTGCTTAGAATAAGTTTTCTGCACCCCAAGATTATAAAATATTTTCTCCGCATTTTCTTCTGGGAATGTCTAAAATTTGGCATGATTTAGTAGAAGCTTGGTTTTTGTAGTTGGTCTTAACTATGTTCAGATTCCCGTCTAGCCACTTACTAGCTGTGAGGTGTTAGATGTCTGCACAACTTCTCTGTATCTCACCTTCCTCATCTGTAAAATGATAGTTGATAATTAGGGTCTATGCTTTTGGTTAAGTTAAATGCAATAATTCAAATTCTCTAGCATACCATCTGGCCACATACTGGGTGTTCAGTGCATGTTTTCTTTTCTCTCTCACCCATAAACTCCATCTTCTATCAGTCTAGTTAAAATCTGGTCCAGAAGATAAGGGAGGGGAAAGTTTCAAGAAATAATGTTGCCCTTAGTTTTCAAAGTCAGAGAAGCCATGTGGGATGAGTACTGTCTGAAAAGGAGATTGAAAATTCATTTAGTAATTAGGAAGTAATTTATGTTTAATGAAAACATTTTTTAGTAGCATGATAAGAGGCATATTTTAATACAAAGAAGACTAAAACCTATATAACATACCTAAAGGATATGTGCATATGCAACATGTATCCATCATGATTTGTAATATTTGGGAGAAATAGTTGTAACTCTACTCTTCTTATTGTTGGAATACTGGTAAGAGGATAGAGAATCAATGCTGACATACAGTATATTTATATTGTATGTATAAGGTGTACATAAATTTAGGTAATTTTTACTATTAATAGTTACAAATTACTGTATTTGTAACACACCTCACAATCATCAACCTGTATTAGAACTACTGCTCCATTGGAATCTTCTTAGTAGCATTATAATGGACTTTAATGGAATTTACACATATTCTTCACTAAATTAAAATTATGTATAAACTGTTATATTTCTTTTGGGGAAAGCAACTTTAAATACATTTTAGAAAGAAATGGGAAATAAATGTTTACAACATGGTAGTCATTGTTTACATTTTTCTCATCTTGTTTCCTGGACTATGAGGATTTTAGGACAGGGGGACATAGTTTTTGCTATATTGCCCAGGCTGGAATACAGTGGCTATTCACAGATGTGACCATAGTTTGCTATAGCCTCGGGCTCCTGACTTCAAGCAGTCCTCCTGCCTCAGCTTCTGAGTAGCTGGGACTACAGGCACATGCAAGGTGCATGGCTTATAATGGGTTTTTGATAAATATTTATAAAATGTTTCATTCTCCCCCCCCCCCAATTTTTATCTTCTGGTAAAATAACTTCAAAATAAAGGTTTTAAAATTTGTTAAGAAAAATAAATATTCCTCAAGTGGAGTAATAATAGACATGGATTCTGTGCAATTTGTTTTCAGAAAATTATATCAAACTGTATTCCTTGACTCTTAGTAACTGTCTAAAAATTTTTTTTGGTATGTTACATGTATACTGTCATTATTTTGTCAGCTTCAAAACAAGAAGGAAATTATTCTGTATTGGTTAGCTCAGGAGGAAGGTAATGAGTTTTAAGTAACAAAACAGGAAATTAGCTCCTCTGTGACCTTTGATGAGTTTGTGAAGCTGGCGTTGTGAGTGCAGGATTGAAATTGTGAAGAGCATTATATTTAGTTTGCTTTGTTGCTTTTGCAGAGTATCTATTTGCCAGGAAAACCTAGGAATTGAAGTTAAAGACTCTGCTACCTTTGTGGGAAATGAACAATACTCTTCCTTCTGCTGGCAAAATCTGGGTGTCTACTTTTCAGTGGCTGGTTTTTGCTTTCACGTAGGGTCAGAGTATCCTTTTCCTGGAACCAAGCTTGACTCAAAGCCATTGTAAGTTCTCTTGTTCTTTATCCTTCTAATCAACTATTTTAGGAGCAATTTTAAAGTTGACACCCTTTCCCTTCTAACCTTTCTGCTCAATACAAAGCACCACCTTCTTGGCAGTCATTTATATGAGTAGAGTGGATACTTTTGTAGGCATTTTATTCATGCCAAAAAGTTAAGGGTTAGCTCTTTGTTTAATGCTAGTTGTTTTGGATCAGTGTGAGTCAGCATTGGCCTTAACTTTCTTTTACATCCTTTTGTAATTAAGATGTTGGTACCTTGGAACCCTCTCCTGGATGGAGCTTTTCTTTATACTTTATCAAGTTTTATTTCAGACAGTTGGGCTACTAAGATTTTTCTGTTTTACTCTACTGTTTTTAATGGAGACTTGTAGATTTCAGATATGGCTTATACACATTCTAAACCCTGCTTCTCAGAATAGTCATACTAGTTTTAACACCTCTTTACACAACTTTTATGTTTATCTAACATTAAAATATTGTATAATTTGGTTCAGTTCAAAAGTATGGGATGGCTGTTACAGCTATTCAGACTTTCATATTGTTCAAAACTTTGTATACAAGACTTTATTTTTTTTAATTTTTTTTTTAAGAGACAGGGTCTTGCTTTGTCGCTCACAGGCTGGAGTGCAGTGGTGTAATTATAAGCTCATTGACCTCCTGGGCTCAAGTAATCCTCCTATCTAAGCCTCCCAAGAAGCTGGTGCTCACTCACAGTCACATGCTACTGTGCCTGGCTACTTTAAAAAAAAAAATTTTTTTTGGTAGAGTTAGGGTCTCACTATGTTGCCCAGGCTGGCCTTGAACGCCTGGGCTCAAGCAGTCCTCCCACCTTGGCCTCCGAAAGTGCTGGGATTATAGGTGTGAGCCATAATACCTGGCCTTTGTGTAAGACTTAATTTAAAATATTTTCCTGAAGAAATAGAAAAGCTAAAGTAATTAGCTTTATGAAAAGGATTCATTAGTTCAGTTTTTGATACTATCAAGTTCAGTTTTCTGGTAATTAAAACCAATTTCTTGAATTAGTTTTTTTTTTTGATGGAGTATAACATGCTTAGTTTTATGTACAGGTGATTGTTTATATAAACAGATATTAAATTTGTGAAAAAATACTCAATTCTTGGATTTGCCATGTACTACCAGAGAGGCAGAGCCCGAAATTGGAAGGTAGGAAAAGGAAAAAGATGAAGGATTTCATATGAAGTGTTAGAATGTTACTTCAGTTTTTTTCCACATTAAAACATGGACTAAATCTACTTTTTCTAGAGGATTTGTTACTTTGAATGAAAGAGCTCTCATACACTTGGCTTATAATAGATGATATGTGATCCTTTTACAGGTACCCTTGCAACTTCTTAGTTTGGGTCTGAACATGTTCCTTTTTTTTTTTTTTTTTTTGAGATGGAGTTTCACTCCCCTCACCTAGGCTGGAGTGCAATGGCACAATCTCAGCTCACTGCAACCTCTGCCTCCTGAGTTCAGGCAATTCTCCTGTCTCACCTCCTGAATAGCTGGGATTACAGGCGCCCACCACCACGCCCAGCTAATTTTTGTATTTTTAGTAGAAACGGGGTTTCACCATGTTGGCCAGGCTAGTCTCGAACTCTTGACCTCAGGTGATCCACCTGCCTCGGTCTCCGAAAGTGCTGGGATTACAGGCGTGAACCACCACACCCATCCTGAACATATTACTTTTGACCTTGTTTATACTAGCCTAGGCTGGAGTGCAGTGGCATTAGCGTGGTTCACTGCAGCCTCAACCTCCTGGGCTCAAGTGATCTTCCTGAGCAGTTGGGACTACAGGTGCGTGCCACCATTCCCAGCAAAGTTTGTTTTTTGTAGAAACAGGGACTTGATGTGTTGCCCAGGCTGGTCTTGAACTACTGGCCTGAAACAATCCTCTCACCTTGGCCTCCGAAAGTGTTGGGATTACAGTCATGAGCCACTGTGCCTGGCCTGTTCAACAGTTTCCAGTTTTGGGCTGTTATAAATAAAGCTCTAAGAACATTTGAGTTCAGTTTAATCTTTGGGTGAACAAATGTTTTCATTTATCTTGGGTAAATATCTAGGAGTGGAATGTCTGGGTCATATGGTAGCTGCATATTTAACTTTTTTTCTTTTTTTGAGATAGGGTCTTGCTCCTTCACTCAGGCTGGAATGCAGTTGTGTGATCATGGCACACTCTAGCCTTGACCTCCCAGGCTCAAGCAATCCTACCTCGGCTGCCTTAGTAGCTGGGATCACAGGTGCACACCACCATGCCTGGCTATTTTTTTTTTTTAATTGAAATGGGGTCTAACTATGTTGCCCAGGCTCATGTTGAACTCCTGGCTCAAGCAATCCTCCCACCTCGGCCTCCCAAAGTGTTGCAATTATACGTGTGAGCCACCGTGCCTGGCCTGTTTACCTTTTTAAGAAACCTTCAAACTTTCTCCCAAAGTTGTAGCATTTTGCATTCTCATCTTTAGTGTATGAAAGTTCCGGTTGTTTTCTTGGCTCGGTTTTTTAAAAACTTAGCCATTCTAATAGGCCAAAGTATAGAGTAGAATCTCATTGTGGTTTAATTTTCACTTCTCTAATGACTAAAGCATCTTATGTACTTTTTTACCATCAATATATCTTCTTTGGTGAAGTGTCTATTAAAATGTTTTGCCCATTAGAAATTTTTTTTATTACTGAATTTTGACAGTTCTTTATGTTGGATATACATTCTTTATCATATACATGATTTGTAAATATTTTTTCCCAGTGTGTGGGTTATTTTCTTTTTTTAAAAAAATTATTTATTTGTTTTAGAGACAAGATCTCAATCTGTTGTCAAGGCAGGAGTGCAATGGTACGATCATAGCTCACTGCAGCCTCTGGGCTCAAGCAGTCCTCCTGCCTCAGCCTCCTGAGTAACTAGGACTATAGGCTCCTGGCTGATTTTGTATTACTTTGTAAAGACGGGGTCTTGCTATATTTGCCCAGGCTGGTCTTGAACTCCTGGTCTCAAGTGCTTCTCCTTCCTTGGCCTCCCAAAATGTTGGGATTACAGACAGGAGCCACCATGCCTAGCCTATTTTCCTAATAATGTTTTTCAAGGAGCAAAAGTTCTTGAAAGTCTAATTTATCAATTTTTTGTTTTATGGATCATGCTTTTGTTTTGGTGTTGAAGATATCCTTGCGAAACTCATAGTCACCAAGGTTTTCTCCTGTGTTTTCTTCTAGATATTTTATAATTTTGGCTCTTAAATTTAGGCCTGTGATCCATGTTGAACATAGAGTAGTCCCACCCTTATTTGTGGAGGATATATATTCCAAGACCCTCAGTGGATGCCTAAAACTGCAGTTACCACATGAATTTCTGTTTCCTTCTTCACAATGTCATAGGTGGAAGATTAATTCTTACCATTGATTTTGGCAACCTCACTATACGATTTTTTTCTTCCCTTATTAAATTGAGAATTTTCACCATTTCACTTAAAAAGGAAGCCCCTTATGGTTTCTTTTTGGCATACCTGAATTTCCAGCATCACTACTCTTGTGCTTTGGGGCCATTATTAAGTAAAATAAGGGTTTCTTAAACACACTGTGAGACTGACAGTCTGATAACTGAGATAGATACTGATTGACTAATAGGCAGGTATACTAAACAGTGTGAATATGCTGGACAAAGGGATGAATCATGTCCAAGCAGGACTGAAAGAGACAGCAGGAGATTTCATCACACTACTCAGACTGGCACACAATTTAAAACTTGTGAATTGTTTATTTCTGGAATTTTCCATTTAATATCTTTTGACCCTGTTGGCTACAGGTTACAAACTGCAGTGAAACTGTAGATAAGGGACAGAGATGGGGGGCTACTGTGTTTTTGTTTTTTTTTTATATAGTATGAGGTAAAGTTTGAGGTTCGTTTGTTTAAAATATGGTAATCTAATTGCTCTACCACTATTAGTTAGAGATTATCCTCCCCAGTGAATATCCTTGGCAGTTTTTTTTTTTTTTTTTTTTTTTTGAGACAAGGTCTTCCTCTGTCAGGCTGGAGTGCAGTGGCACCATCACGGCTCACTGCAGCGGCACCATCATGGCTCACTGCAGCCTGGACCTCCCAGGCTCAAGTGATCCTCTCATCCCAGCCTCCCAAGTAGTTAAGACCACAGGGACACCACCATGCCCAGCTAATTTTTTTGTATTTCTCTGTTAGACATGGGGTTTTGCCATGTTGTCCAGGCTGGTCTCGAACTCCTGAGGTCAGGCAGTCTGCCTTCCTTGCCCTCCCAAAGTGGTGGGATTACAGGCATGAGCCACCACACCTGGCGTCCTTGGCAGTTTTGTTGAAAATTAATTGACCATGTATGTTTGTGTTTGTTTCTAGACTCTGTTCTCTTGATGTTAATCTTTGTCAGTACCTTATTGCCATGATTACTGAAGCTTTGTAATAACTCTTGAAATTACGTAGTTCTGTTAGTCTGTTCTCACACTGCTGTAAAAAATACCTGAGACTGGGTAATTTATGAAGAAAAGAAGTTTAATTGACTCCTGGTTCGCAGGCAAGAAGCATGACTGGGAGGCCTCAGGAAACGTAGAATCATGGCAGAAGGTGAAGGGGAAGCAAGCATGTCTTAGCATGGCAGAGCAGGAGAGAGAGTGTAGGGGGAAGTGCCACACATCCCCTTCAAGCAACAATCTCTAATGAGAACTCACTATCACAAGAAAAAGCAAGGGAGAAGTCCTCCCCCATGATTCAATCACTTCCCACCAAGCACCTCCCCCAACACATAGGGATTGCAATTTGAGATGATATTTGAGTGGGGACCCAGAGCCAGACCATATCAATAGTGTAAATCCTCCAATTTTATTTTTCTTTTTCAAAGTTGTTTCAGCGTTAGCTTTTCTAGGCCCTTGGAATTTCCATATATATTTTAGAATAAGCATGTTAATTTCTATAAAAAAAAAATGTCATGAGGGGAACAGGGCTGAACAACTACCTATTAGATATTATGCTTACTACCTGGGTGATGCCATCATTCATACCCTAAACCCCAGCATCATGCAATATACCCATGTAACAAGCCTGCATGTGTACTCCCTGAATCTAAAATAAAAGCTGAAATTATTAAAGATAAAAGGAAAGAAAAAAGATCACTTTCAATGAATAAAAAAAAACCACCTTAGGTATTTCACTGGGATTGTGTTAAATTTGTAGATCATTTGGGGAAGAATAACATCTTAATATTGATTCTTCTGACCCATGAATATAAGGTATGTCTTCATTTATTTAGTTCTTTAATTTTTCTCAGTAATGTGTTATAGTTTCCAGTGTACTGGTGTATTAGTCCAGTCTCACACTGCTGTAAAAACATACCTGAGACTGGGTAATTTATAAAGAGAAGAGGCTTAATCAGCTCATGGTTCTGTGGGCCCCGTACAGACTTCTGCTTCTGGGGAGGCCTCAGAAGACTTAACAATCATGGTGGAAGGTGAAGGGGAAGCAGGCACATCCTCACAAGGCCAGCAGGAGAGAGACAGAAAGAACAGGAGTGAAGGGGGAAGTGCCACACACTTTTCAAATAACCAGCTGTCTTAAGAACTCTGTCATGAGAACAGCAAGGGAGAAGTCTGTCCCCATGATTCAGTCACCTCCCACCAGGCCCCTCCTCCAACACTAGGAACCACAACTGGACATGAGACTTGGGTGTGGACACAGAGCTAAACCATGTCAACTGGTTTGCACATCTGTTTTCATATTAATCTCTATTTTTTTATGTCATTGTAAATGATACTTTAAAAAATTTTACTGGCCGGGTGCAGTGGCTCACACCTGTAATCTCAGCACTTTGGGAGGCCGAGGTGGGTGGATCACCTGAGGTCAGGAGCTCGAGACCAGCCTGACCACCATGGAGAAACCCCGTCTCTACTAAAAATACAAAATTAGCCAGCCGTGGTGGCGCATGTCTGTAATCTCAGCTACTCAGGAGGCTGAGGCAGAAGAATCACTTGAACCTGGGAGGCAGAGGTTGCAGTGAGCCGAGATGGTGCCATTGCACTCCAGCCTAGGCAACAAGAGGGAAAGTGTCTCAAAAAAAAAAAAAAAAAGAAAAATTTCTTTTTTACTTTTGCTTGTTACCTGTATGTAGAAATAAATACACTTGATTTTTTTGCAGGGGACATATTAATCTTGTATTCTGTTACCTGTTAAATCTATTCATTAATTCTGTTAGATTTTTTGTAGATTCTATAGGATTTTTTACATATATATAATTTATTGTTTGTGAATAAACATGAGTTTAATTCTTCCTTCCAGTCTCCATGACTTTTATATCTTCTCTCTTGCTTGATTGCATGGGCTAGAACTTCTGGTGTCTGGTGTAAACTTCAATAGAAGTGAGAGCTAACATCCTTGCCCTGTTTCTGATCTTAGGAGAAAAGCATTCAGAATTTCACCATTAATGTTAGCTATAGATTTTTCATTGATGCCATTTATCAGGCTAAGTAAATTCACTTTTATTTTTTAAATGAAGGTTTTCTTTTTAAATAGGAATGGCCATTGGATTTTTCAGATGCTTTTTATGTATCTATTGAGATGATCATGTGTATTCTTTTAAGTTTCTTAATAGGTGGTTTTTATTATTTTGAACGTTAAATCAACCTTGCTTGCATTACTGGGGTAGTCACCACTTGGTATAATGATGGATCACTCTTTTTTTTATATTGCTGGATTTAATTTGCTAAACTTCAAAAAAGACTTTATTTGCATTTATGTTCATGAAGTCCATAGTTTTCTTGCACTCTTGTTTCATTTGATATTAGGGTAATGTTTGCCTCAACTTTATGGAAGAGTTTATGTGGAATTGGTATTGTTTCTTCCATAAAGGCCAACCAAGGTTGAGAACTACCAGACTATAAGACTATAATCTCTCTTTCCTTCTATTTCTAAAATCTTTTTTTTTTTTTTTTTTTTTTTTTTGAGACAGAGTCTTACTCTGTTGCCAGGCTTGAGTGCAGTGGTGCGATCTGGGCTCACTGCAACCTCCGCCTTCTGGGTTCAAGCAATTCTCCTGCCTCACCCTCCCAAGTAACTGGGATTACAGGTGCCCACTACCATGCCCGGCTAATTTTTTGTATTTTTAGTAGAGGTGGGGTTTTACTATGTTGGCCAGGCTGGTCTCGAACCCCTGACCTCAGTTGATCTACCCGCCGCAGCTTCCCATAGTGCTGGGATTACAGGTGTTAGCCACTGCGCCCAGCTGGCTATATAAAATTAACAAAAATTGTTTTACAATTTTTAAGTTTCATGGGAGACATTTTAGTAAAATTTATAACGCATATACCTGTACACTCTTACTGCATAGAAAGCTTATCTGTCTTCTAATCTTGAGCAGTTTCTGTAGTAATCATGTTGGCCATGTCTTTCTCAGCTCCCCTACCCAACACTCAGAAATCAGTGGCTGCTGCTTAGTACTCAGGGAAATGCCCAGAATTCCTGTCAAGTTTTTCTCTGTTCTCCTGCTCTGTCCTCAGAGTTTTCCAAGTCCATCATAAGAGACGGGGGCAGCATGATGTAGTCTCTGCTGCTGGGACTGTAGAGCCAGACTGCTTGGGTTAAATCCCACTGTGCCACCCACTAACCATGTGACCAGAGGCAAATTTCAGAATGCGCTTATGCCACTCTAAAATAAAGATAATTAAAGCACCTCCAACTTAAAAGTTGTGATTACTGACGCGTAAAACACTATGGATAATGTTTGTCACATGGTTGGTGCTCATTGAATGATAGTTATATCCTATTATTTGTCTCCAGTTGGAAATTGCTGGGATGCTCAGCCTTTGGTGGAATAGCTGTCTGCTTCTCAGCATCCAGAGATACTTTTGATGGCTAGAATATCATCATCTCTTACGAAGAATTTGGAAATAAATACAATTCATAACCTCTGGCTTTTTCATTTCTCTCTGACAATGATTTCTTTGCATGGTACTTGATTTTCTAAATGCTTTTTTCAATGGATACTATACTCTGGACTCATGCTTAGGTCATATTTGTGCAGGGATTTTTAACCTTAGCACCATTGGCATTTGGGACAAGATATTTCTTGTTGTGGGGGCTGTCCTGAGTTCTGTAGGTGTTTAACAGCATCTGTGACCTCTGCCTACTAGATTCCAGTAGCACCCCTGCCAAGCCACCCAAGTTGTGTTAACCAAAACCATCTCTAAACATTGCCAAATGTCTCCTGAGGGGCAGAATCACATCTGGTCGAGAGTCACTTTTTTAGAGGGGACTTCAGTATGTGCTGCCATAGAAAACTGTGATTTGTTATGTTAGTATTTCTTGGAGAGAGCCATGACAGTTACTAATCAATACTTTCTAGACTTGTCTTTTTTTTTTTTTTTTTTTAAGGCAGAGTCTTACTCTGTCACCCAGGCTGGAGTGCAATGGCACGATCTTGGCTTACTGCAACCTCTGCCTCCTGGGTTCAAGCGATTCTCCTGTCTCAGCCCCTCAGTTAGCTGGAATTACAGGAGCATGCCGCCATGCCCAGCTAATTTTTGTATTTTTAGTAGAGACGGGGTTTCACCATGTTGGCCAGGCTGGTCTTGAACTCCTGACCTCAGGTCATCTGCCCACCTCAGCCTCCCAAAGTACTGGGATTACAGGTGTGAACCACTGCCTGGCCTATTAATTTTACTTAATATATTTTTCTCATATTTTCAGTTTAGCATAGCTACTTGATTTAGTTGCTGCCACTGGGATTGGTCAATAAGGGCGTCTGTATTTTTTTTAATTTGCTGATTGTTCAAACTGATGGCTTAAAGTATAGAATTTTTGCCTCTATAGTTGCCATGGATGTAGGCACCTAGGGAGGTTATCGGTGGTTAACAGCACCCAAATCTATACTTTTTTATATGTCATTGCACTTTGGTTTCAAAAAGAAGAGACATAGCTTACTTACTAATGATTCTATTTATCTTATGCCTAGAGGTTGTTGGGAAAACAAGTATTTTGTATCTCAAGACAGGATGTTACTGCTTGGGGATAATCTGTTATCCATGGGCATTTATAAATGACCTTTAGGCACTTCTAAACAAAGTAAAGTAACTCTGGGTAATTTTATTTGAATTTAAAATTATTGAACAGCTGATGAGTAAATACAGTGTAAAGTATCCTTGTTTTTAAACATGCTTTTGAATATATTTATGCTTCAAGTATATATATATGTACATATATATTCTCTGGGAGGAATATGGTCTTGAATCTATAAATTAAGAACATGCAGTGTTTCCTTTAGATGCAAGGTTTTCCTTATCGGAATATTTTTCACAATACCAAATGATTTTTAAAATATTATGGGTATGTGAGTGATTTACAGTCAAAAATACCTACCATTTGTTGTTTAAATAATACCCAAGCAAAATCAGATTAATTTTTCTCAATCAGAATATGAAAAAAAACTTAGAAAAATATCATGAGTACAACAGAAGAATGAGCCTTAGAGAAATTATATGCATTAGTATTAGGCTTATAATAACAAAACATTTTACAAAAAACCATAAATGTTCTGCTTTTGATCAAAGAAAATATGGATGTTTAAATGGACACTGAACTTTTTACATACCCATTTATTTTGTGAATCTGTAAGTATTCTTAAACTACTTCCTCTACTTGGCAGTATTTTCTCATTTTATTAATCTTTGCTTTTTTTTTTAACCGTACACATTTGTTACTTATCTTGATAGTTTGCAGATATCTTTAGGTAATATATAGCTTTCTCAATGTTGATAACATGCTAGGCTATCAGAAATATGACAAAGATGATGCTGAAGATGATGATGATGATGATTATTTGGAGACGGAGCCTGGCTTTGTTGCTCAGGCTGGAGTGCAGTGGCGCGATCTTGGCGCACTGCAGCTCCCACTTCCCGGGTTTGTGATTTTCCTGCCTCAGCTTCCCGAGTAGCTGGGATTACAAGTGTGCACCATCATGCCTGGCTAATTTTTTTATTTTCAGTATAGACGGTGTTTCATGATGTTGGTCAGTCTGGTCTGGAACTCCTGACCTCAAGTGATCTGCCCGCCTCAGCCTCCCGAAGTGCTGGGATTACAGGTATGAGCCACCGCACCTGGCTAACAAAGATTGTTTTTAAAAATGTGAAAGTTTTGGCTGGGCACAGTGGCTCATCATGCCTGTAATCCCAGCACTTTGGAAAGCCGAGGCGGGTGGATCACGAGGTCAGGAGTGTTCGAGACCAGCCTGGCCAAGATGGTGAAACCTCATCTTTACTAAAAATGAAAAAAAAAAAAAAAAATCAGCCAGGCGCAGTGGTGGGCACCTGTAATTCTGGCTACTTGGGAAGCTGAGGCAGGAGAACTCTAGCCTGGGCGACAGAGCAAGAATCCGTCTCAAAATTAAAAAAAAAGTGGGGAAAGTTTTTTGCATATCTTCAAATATAGTCAAATGCCTTTTTATTTTTTAATTAAAAAATCCTTTGTAAACAACAATGAGATACCAGTGTACCTTTTAGAATGGCCAGATCCAAAACACTGACAACACCAAATGCCAAGGAGGATGCGGAGCAATGGGAATTCATTGCTGGTGAGAATGCAAAATAATATAGCTAATCTGGAAGACAGTTTGGCAGTTTCTTACAAAACTAATAAGCATACTCTTACCATATGATCCAGCCATCATGCTTTTTGGTATTTACCCAAATGAATAAAAAACTTATGTCTACACAAAAACCTGCACATGAATGTTTATAGCAGCTTTATTCATAATTGTCCAAACTTGGAAGCAACCCAGATGTCCTTCAGTAGGTGAGTGGATAAATAAACTGTGGTACATCCAGACAGTGATGTGTTATTCAGTGCTAAAAAGAAATGAGCTATCAAGCTATGAAAAGACATGGAGGAAACTTAAAATGCATAATACTAAATGAAAGAACCCAATCTGAAAAGACTACACACCGTATGAGTCCAACTAAATGACACTCGGGAAAAGGCAAAACTATGGAGGCAGCAAAAAGATGAGTGATTGCCAGGGGGAGGGGGAGAGGGAATGATAAATAGGCAGAGCACAGAGGATTTTTAGGGCATGCTTTATATTTAAAAATTTGTATGTTGTATTAAGCAGATGGGAATGAATTTTTTTTTTTTTTTTTTTTTTTTTTTTTTTTTTTGAGACAGTGTCTTGCTTTGTCGCTTAGGCTGCAGTGGCACAATCACCGGTCACTGCAGCATCCACTTCTTGGGCTCAAGCAATCCCCTCACCTCAGCTTCCCAAGTAGCTGAGAACATAGGCACATGTCACAATGCCCAGCTAATTTTTGTATTTTTTGTAGAGACAGGGTTTTGCCATGTTGCCCAGGCTGGTCTCAAACTCCTGAGCTCATGCCATCTGCCCACCTCTGCCTCCCAAAGTTCTGGGATTACAGGCATAATCCATCATGCTTGGCTTTTTTTTTTGAGGCGGGGTTTCCCTCTGTCGCCCAGGCTGGAGTGCAGTGGCATGATCATGGCTCACTGCAGCCTTAACCTCCTGGGCTCAAGGAATCTTCCTGAGTAGCCGGGACTACAGGCATGCACCACCACCCCAGCTAATTTTATTTTTTGTAGAGACAGGGTCTTGCCATGTTGCCCAGGGTGGTCTTGAACTACTGGCCTCAAACAGCCCTCCCACCTCAGCCTCCCAATGTGCTAAACAAAAAAAGACTGACTTTTTTTTCCCCTTTGGCTAAAAGGTCCTTGCATTGTATTTGAACATTTTGTTAATGAGAAAATTGAGTTGACTAAATGATTGCATTGGGGCGGGGTTGGGGGGAGCGTGGGGGGAGCTGTGTACTCAGCATAGTCAGTTTGTAGGATATCTTAAGTTTTTCCTTGAAAACAAGCAGTTAGAGGGTTTACTATCACTTTGGGTTTGACTAAGAGCTGTATGATTAGCTAAATAATTTAACAGTTTGGGAGACAGCTCTGCATTGAATCATTCTGTGTTTACCTTATTCTGTTTTGGCCTAAAGTCCATCCCATTCAAGCATACCAGTTTTAGCTGCTTAAAATTAAAAAATTGAAAACATTATCTTCATTGTAGTGAAATACTAGTGATGTGTGGAAGGGGAGTTGGTGGAAAATTTAAATCAATTTATTTACTTATGAAAAGAGAGAAAGGAGACTTGTACTGCCATATAGATATGGCTGTATTTTATTTAACTACCTTATTGTTGAGAATAAACTCTTGTCTTTAGGCTTAGGTTAAATTCCTGAAAGTGGCATTATATTTTATTGCCTTGTGTTTTTTTTTTCCGTTTAGAATGAGGTTAATTTTTTATATATGTATTACACATTTGCACTTCTTTCATCAATTGCATATTATTATTATTATTTATTATTACTTTTTTGAGACAGAGTCTTGCTCTGTCGCCCATGCTGGAGTGCAGTGGCATAATCTTGGCTCACTGCAGCGTCTGCCTCCCAGGTTCAAGCAATTCTTTTGCCTCAGCCTCCTGAGTAGCTGGGACTACAGGCACATGCCACCACGTCCGGCTAATTTTTTGTATTTTAGTGGAGATGGGGTTTCGCCGTATTGCCCAGGCTGGTCTTGAACTCCTGAGCTCAGGCAATCTGCCTGCCTTGGCTTCCCAAAGTGCTGGGATTACAGGCGTGAGCCATGGTGCCTGGCCGAATTGCCTATTATTATAATATGTTCTTTCTCATTTAAAAAGGTATTATGTAATCTCTTAGCATGTTTAAAACTGTTAACCTTATCATGCATGTCATACATATCTTCCGTATTTTACTTGCTTTTCATTTTGTCTTGTATAATGTACAGGAGGTTTGAATTTTTAGATAATCATATAAATATGTCTTTTTATGTTTCTATTTTTGGATTCCTGCCTGAAGAGATCTTTTCCCATCCAAGTTTTTAAAAAACTGTTCGCTTACATTTTACCTTAGTATGCAAAAAAATTAAATCTTGAATATATTCATTAAATCTTGGAATGTGATCGAGCTATTTTAACTTACTTTTTGCCAAATTGTGGAATGTAGATTTCCCACTAATATTGGAACAAAAAAGAAGTTTGGTCAAAGAAAGTAGATTTTCAGATTTATGATACTAGTATTGGAGATCATTTTGAGGGTTTTCAAACTTTAAAGACAAAGGATTTATTGAAGGCATATATCTGAGGCAGATCAATGTAGTGGAATTGGATTAGAATTCCAGTTCTGCTGCTTGCCAGCAAGCTTCTAAACCTCTTTATATTACAGTTTTCTGAATGCTAGAATTGGAATAGTAATACCTGCTTACAAGATTGTTGGGAGAAATTAATTAAGTGAAATAAAGTTAGGTAAATAACTTATATGTAGTAGCTAGTAGTTGGTAGTTGCAGTGATGGTGATCATTGTCATCATCATTTGCTGCACCTAAAGAATCCCAAATTTAGAAATAGATAGTGTAGTCTCCTTTAAGTGGATTCTCTGAGTTTCAAGGAAGAGTTTGAGTACACATTTTAGATTTGAGTCTTGTGCTAACTGAATGAATCTCTTCACTACACTAGTGATTATAATTGTGTATGCTGAGAAACTGGGGGTAAGTGTAATGACATTGAAACGCCATGCTATAGTTTGCTTTTATGATGGCAAGTGACAAGAGTATTTTATATTTAATATAAGTACAGGGATTTTAAGGCATTTGTAATGTCTTTAATAATGTGATAGCTAAATCATTAGAGGATATAGGCCCACTCAGATGTGTAACTAGAAGCAATGTTGTTGAGTAGAGGAAAATAAAAGCGAATGAAGGAAGGAGGCAACTAGGATTAGTAGTGTCATCTATTATTATTATTATTGTTATTATTTTTTGAGACAGAGTCTCACTTTGTTGCCCAGGCTGGAGTGCAGTGGCACTTTCTTGGCTCACTGCAGTCTCCACCTCCCAGGTTCAAGCGATTCTCCTGCCTCAGCCTCCCGAGTAGCTGGATTATAGGTGCCCGCCACCACACCCGGCTGTTTTTTTGTATTTTTAATAGAGACGGGGTTTCGCCATGTTGGCCAGGCCGGTCTTGAACTCCTGACCTCAGGTGATCCGCCCACCTTGGCCTCCCAAAGTGCTGGGATTACAGGCGTGAGCCACTGCGCCCGGCCTCATTTATTATTAGACTCTTATGGATGGCAAATTCTTTACATGAGGAAAATGATTTATAGGAAAGACTCAGTAAAATAGAAGCAGATTTTTGAAGCTTTCTATCTTTACATATAGAACATCATCTCTCCATGACTCTGGTGATATTTTTCAGCAACCCCTGTGAACAGCCTCTCTCCTCATATTGTTTCCTTTTTTAAAAATATTTTTAGGCCAGGCCTTGGCTCACACCTGTAATCACAGCACTTTGGGAGGCCAAGGTGGGCAGATCACTTGAGCTCAGGAGTTCAAGACCAGCCTGGGGAATGTGGTGAAATCCTGCTTCTACAAAAAATACAAAAATTAGCCAGGCGTGGGGTGGTATGCACATATAGTCCCAGCTACTTGGGAGGCTAAAGTGGGAGAATCACTTAACACCCAGGAGGTCAAGACTCCATTGAACCATGACAATCCCACTGTACTCCAGCCTGAGTGACAGAGTAAGACCCTGTCTCAAAAAAAATTTTTTTTTAATTTACTTTTATTTTCTTTAGCAATACAGACAGGGTCTCACTGTGCCACCAGGCTGGTCTTGAACTCTTGGACTTAAGCACGATCCTTCCACCTCAGCCTCCCAAAGTGCTGGGATTACAGGTGTGAGCCACTATGCTCAGCATCCTCATGTTATTTCCTCTCTCTCTCTGTCTCTCTTTCTTTCTTTTTTTTTAGAGGGAGTCTCACTCTGTTGCCCCAGCTGGAGTGCAGTGGTGCAATACTGGCTCACTGAAACCTCTGCCTCCCGGGTTTAAGTGATTCCCCTGCGTTAGCTTCCCCAGTAGCTGGAATTACAGGTGTCCGCCACCATGCCCAGCTAATTTTTGCATTTTTAGTAGAGACGGGGTTTCACCATGTTGGGCAGGCTGGTCTTGAACGCCTGACCTCAGGTGATCCACTCTCCTTGGCCTCCCTAAGTGCTGGGATTACAGGCATGAGCCACCGCACCCGGCCATGTTATTTCTTATTTATGTGTCTTTGCTTATGCTTTTATTTTCGCTTTGTCTGTCCCTACCACACCTACAACCCCCTTCCTTGAGGGAAATACTGATTCCTGTTCATTCTTTAAGATTCAGCTTAGTGTCACCTCTTCATGGAAGTCTTGCATCATCTCTTCTACTTCAGCACTGTGGCACTTTGAGACAAGTTTTCTTTTAATCCCCCTTGTTTTGTGCGTGTGCATGCAGACCAAATCTTCGTCAGCACTAGATATTGTCATTTATTAAATTTAATCCTTCTAATGTGTAGCGATATCTCATTGTGGTTTTTAGTATTTCACTGATGCCTAATGTTGTGCATCTTTTCATGTGCTTATTTGCTATCCGTGTATCTTCTTTGAAGTATCTGTTCAAATATTTTGGTAATTTAAAAAATAAGATTGCTTTATTATTTTGTTTTGAGAGTTCTTTATATATTCTGGAGTGTTTTTTTTTCAGATACGTGTTTTGCAAATATTTATTCTTAAACCCTGACATGTCTTTTCCTTCAAATTTCAAAGAGCAGAAGTCTTAACTTTTCTTGAAATTTAGTTTATTAGTGTTTTTTCTTTTATGGATCATGCTTTTTATGTTATATCTAAGTAATCTTTGCCTAATTCAAGGCCACAAAACTTTTCTCTGATGTTTTCTTCTGATGTTTTATAGTTATTGGTTTTATATTTAAGCTCATGGTCCTTGTAAGTTTACTTTGTGATGCAAGGTATGGATTGATGTTTGTTTATTTATTTTTCCATATGGATATACCATTGTTCTAGCACCATTTGTTGAAAAATCTGTGCTTTCTCTATGGTTACCTTTTTGTTGTAAATCTATTGACCATGTATGTGGGTCTATTTCCAGCTTCTCAGTTCTGTTCCATTGAACTATGTGTGTCTTCTTTCATTAATACCAAACTCTCTGGATTACTGTAGTTTTAGTAAGTCTTGAAATCAGATAGCGTGCACATCTATGTTTATACCTTTTTCAGAAGTGTACTGGCTATTTTAGATTGTCTTTCCGTATAAATTTTAGAATTAACTTGATTTCTGCATGGGGAAATATACAGAAGAAGAGGTAAAAGATGACTTAAGCCAAGAATGATGAAAAGGAAGTTGATACCCATTAAAAAAGATGAAAATGTACGTATCAGAGGAGAAAGAAAACAGAAACTAAATCAAAAAAGTGGAAAGAAGGCTGGGTGCAGTGGCTCATACCTGTAATTCCAGCACTTTGGGAGGCTGAGGTGGGCAGATCACTTGGGCCAGGAGTTCAAGACCAGCCTGGGCAACATGGTGAAACCCATCTCTACAAAAAAATACAAAGATTAGCTGGATGGTGGTGGCGTGCACCTGTAGTCCTCGGTACTCAGACGACTGAGGTGAGAGGATCACTTGAACCCAGGAGGTTGAGGCTGCACCACACTGCACTCCAGCCTGGGTGATAAAGTGAGACCTAGTCTCAAAAAAAAAAAAAAATAGATTATATTCAGTATCTTTAGATGAGTAGGAGGCATTAAATGCAAGGCATTAAAGCATTGTAATTGTTAGGTGGAGACTAAGACTTAATTTGGAATTCTGGGAGGAAAATCATAAGCTTAAGTTGTCCATATTGATAATGAAATAAAATGAAACATGTCTATAGTAGCATTATTTTTGAAATTTTGAAGTGATTGATTTATAACCCCAGGTCTGGTCTCTGTTTTTTATTTTAGTATTTATGTATGTTTCATGTTGTTGCTGCTGCTGTTGTCTTGTATCTCAGATATGGGAAAAAGTTTTAAATATGCAGAAAAGGAATTGTATTCGATTTCTTTCTCCTTTATTTCCTCCTGGTAGTACTGTAACTGACGATTAGACTATGCCCTCATCGCTTTCCAGAGCCAGAAGCTTCCTGTAAGTTATCTCTGGATTGCCGTAAAGTTATCTTCGGATTACCTTTGGAAAGATGTATAACAACCAATAACGTTTTCTCATATTCATCTAGGGACTTTATTGCCACATATGCCTATGCATTTTATTTGCACAGATAACTAGTGTTTGACTTGAGATATATTTAATATATTAAATATTAATATATTTAATAAATTTAATATATTTAATAAATAGAGCCCCAAGAATAAACTGACTAGAAATAAAACATATTGAATCCAAGTATTTCCTTGTTCCTTGGGTTATCTAATTATTTGGTTTGCTAGCAAGGATTGTAGAAAAGAATATTATCACTGATTTAGGAAACCAGTTGCTATCATCTTAAGTTAAATGTACTAGTATGTGTTTAACTTATTATCTTCAGTCCCATTCCCCAATATTAGGCCATTTAAAACTTCTCATTCTTGTCCTGGGAACTCTGTTCTCTCCACCTATTCTTGACCATGCCAGAGGTTATCGGTTATTCATCACCCTCATCCTTTGTGATAAGGATGTTTTATTTTCCCTTTAGTTGTTCTACTTATTTTAGAGTAGTGACAGTAGAGAACAATGCAACTACCTGATGAGGGAGAAAAAGGAAGTAGTAACAAGAAATGCCAAATTCCTTGCAGAATTATTGAAAAGCAAAATACTGTATAGCTTTTCTTTTTCAAGTAGTGCTGTGAAAACAGTATATGCTCCATGCGGGTAAGGACAATGTCCAACTTGTTCACTATTGAAGCACCCTAGTGCTTGGTACAGTAAATGTCGTAAGGAATAGGCATGCAATAAATATTTCTTGAATAAATGTTAAACTGGTCAGAAACATTAGACTTCAAAAGTCTGAAGGTTATTTTTTTCAATAATGATGAGTGACTTTGCCATTATAAAACATGTGTTTTTTTTTTTTTTTTTTTTGAGTGGTCACAGAGCTGGAGATGTCATGAACACTTGGAATTAAGTCTTTTTTAAAAAAATGTTTGCATTATTTTATAATCTATGGACTTTAGTTGAATGTATAATTAAAGAAAGACAAATGCCATCCACAGGCCTTTGGTATGGAAATGGAATGGGGTTGCTAATGAAATTGTTCTTTATCCCAGGGCATCATTTAAGCTCTTGTGATTGCCATCAATCTTTAATTTTGTCAATATGATCTTACTATATGCAGTATAGTTTGCTAGGGGCAGTTTTTGTAGTATCAGCTGCTTATCCCATTCAGGTGAAGTACAAATTTAGTATGACAGTTGTAATGATTAATAGTTGTGTATAGTTAAAAATAAATACTATAGTTGGTTGTAGTGGTGACACCTGTAGTCCTAGCTACTTGGGAGGCTGAGGCAGGAGGATTGCTTGAGCCCAGGAGTTTGAGGCCAGGCTGGGCAACATAGGTAGACACTGTCTCTTTAAAAAAAAAAAAAAAAAAAGGCTAGGCACTGTGGCTCATGCCTGTAATCCTAGTAGCACTGGGAGGCCAAGGCAGGAGGATGTCTTGAGGGCAGGAGTTCAAGACCAGCTTGGGCAACATAGTGAAACCTTGTCTCTACTAAAAAAAAAAATAAAATAAAATTAGCTGGGTGTGATAACATGTGCCTGTAGTCCCAGCTACTGGGGAGTCTGAGGAGGGAGGACCACTTCATCCTAGGATTTCAAGCTTGCAATGAGCTATGATTGTACCACTGTCCTCCAGCCTAGGTGACAGAGTGAGACCTTGTCTAAAAACAACAACAACAAAAAAGATATTGATAAGGAAATAGAAACTTCAAAAATGGCACAGTGCAAGAGTTATTTGCTTTGTTAAGCAAGATAAACACAGACACATTTTCTCAGGAAGGGAGCTCATAATGGTTAAGACCAGATGGGAAGGATAGTTATTTATTAAGATGAGTATGTAGTAAGACACAAAAAAACATGTTTTCCCTTCCGTAACTTTTGGGAATAAATGCCAATATAAGACAGATTTATATGAGAATGTGTAAAATGGAATAAGTTATTGATATTTACTCTGAACTCTAAATTAAGCCTCATATAGGCTTAATTTTGTGTTTTTTCAATTTTAGGAACTCTGCCAGCATCTGTGTCTCTGCCTGTGATTGATTTTGCAAACTATTGTTGAGATGATTAGTGATTTGTATTTTGGGTGAGATTTCATTGAGTTAGCAGTCTGATTCATTATGAAGCACTCTGGTGCTTGTAGGATTTTTAGTCTGAATCCTAAATGAAATAACATTAATTGTGCCAAACTACAGACTGAGATAAAATGACCTTACACTTAGGGTGATAAGAGAGAAACTGTAATTTAACACTATAGGACTTACATCTTTACATACGCTATAGAGGCATCGTTTTTTGTAAGCTACTTTAGATGACCAGTATTTACAGAAGCTTAGTTCTAGCTTTTACCAGTTTGCCCTGATTTGGCCAGCTTGTTTTTTCAGGGGGAGTTATGCTACTTTATTTTCCTAGTGCTACATATAAAACTTGAGATTTGGGGTTAACAATAGTATATTTGTATGTATTTCATATGTAGTTTTAAAATATACCTTTCATTGAAATAGCATGTTACGTAGATTTATTTGCAGTTTTGGAAACTCTAAATTTAAATTTTTCTGTGCAAAGCAGACCTAGCGTTACATATAATATTGCTTATAAATTAAAAAACTAAAATACAAAAACCCCCTAAAATACATTAAATATTTTTTATTTTTAATGTTTTTTAAAATTTTACTTTAAGTTCTGGGATACATGTACAGAACATGCAGGTTTGTTACATAGGTATGTATGTCCCATAGTGGTTTGTTGCACCTATCAACCCGTCATCTAGGTTTTAACCCCTGCATCCATTAGGTGTGTGTCCTAATGCTCTCCCTCCCCTTGCCCCCTACCCCCTGACAGGCCCTGGTGTGTGATATTCCCCTCCCTGTGTCCATGTGTTCTCATTGTTCATCTCCCACTTAGGAGTGAGAACATGCAGTGTTTGGTTTTCTGTTCCTGTGTTAGTTTGCTGGGAATGATGGCTTCCAGCTTCATCCATGTCCCTGCAAAGAACATGAACTCACTCTTTTTTATGGCTGCATGTTTTTTTATGTTTTTTAGAGGCAGGGTCTTGCTGTGTTGCCCAGGCTAGAGTGCAGTGGCTATTCAGAGGTGTGATTATAGTGCACAATGGCCTTGAACTCCTAGCTGCAAGCGATCCCTCCACCTCAGCCACCCAACTAGGTGGGACCACAGGAGTATACTGCTGTGCCCAGCTTTGAAATACGTTTCCTATGAAGTCAGTATTTTACAGATTTATCTGAAGCTTTTGTTTAATAGAACCAAAGACAAATTTATTAAAGTCTTCACCCTGTGGTAGTGTTTAATCAGCCTTTGGTGATGGAGATTAAAACTTTTTAATGTAAGGAGTATATAAGAAGTAGGAGAAAATCGGGTTCCTTATCTAGGACTGATGGTTACTCTCAGAAATTTTACTCAGAGTCTCTGAGGCCTTTGTAGGAGACACGCTAAGAAATAAAGAGTGAATGGATGGCAGACTCAAAGCAGCTTGTGTAGTATTTGGGAAACTAAGTGGAGTGTTTTTCGTACTGTTGAAATGGAGTTAGATGGCAAAGTTGGAAAGGTGTTGCTAACAGGCTTTGTTATGTAATCAGGATTCCCAGTATAAATTTGGTTGATGTAATGGGAGGATCTTTTGAGAATCTATGTAAGTTGTTGTAGAAATTAGAAACTCTTGGAAAAACTAATTCAAAAACCTGCCTCTTCATTAGTTTGAAATTAAAGATAAGAAATTAACTGTGCTGTGTTTTCCCAAATAAAACATTTCTCTTTCTTGGATGAAAAATGTTAATCACTCAGTATTTAAGTCTTGAACTGAGCTGTATATGAGACTGTTTGAAGCCACATGAGCAGTGTCACATTTAGAGATTTAAATTACATTTGAATAATTTATTTCATAATTTTAAGTTATTTTGAAATAGATTTTTGTGGTATGCCTACAAGGTGGAAAGTTGATGCCGAGACCTGAGAGGGGAAAATAAAGCTGAATGGAAAGGTTTAATAATGTTAATTTCCTGAAATTGAGTTCTCTGTTATTGATTGATTGATTGAGACAGGGTCTCACTCTGTTGCCCAGGCTGGAGTGCAGTGGGGTAGTCTCGTCTCACTGCAAGCTCCGCCTCCCGGGTTCATGCCATTCTCCTGCCTCAGCCTCTCAAGTAGCTGGGACTACAGGCGCCCGCGACCACACCCGGCTAATTTTTTGTATTTTTTTTGGTAGAGACGGGGTTTCACCATGTTAGCCAGGATGGTCTCGATCTCCTGACCTCGTGATCTGCCCGCCTCGGCCTCCCAAAGTGCTGGGATTACAAGGCGTGAGCCACTGCGCCCAGCCTTTGGTCATTTTTATTGGCATCCTAATCAAATCCAAAAGAGACCTCTGACCCCTAATATGGCAGTATTGATCTTACTTTGGTTTTTACATATTATAGATATTGGTAAACATTTTATGGAGCTTTTTTTTTTAAGGAAGAGATTTCATAATTTTAATGGACTTACAAAGATTGAAACATGAAGAATTAAAAAATAGAAATCTAGTTCTATATAATATCTGTTTTAGAGATTAGAATTGGAGCACCAGAAAAGATGGTAATTATTAATTTTCTATTTAGATTTTAAAAATATCTGGGAAAATTGAACATGTGGATAAATTACCATTTCTTTGTATCAATTTTTAGAAAAGCATTGGGTGTTAATTGGCTGTGAGATGAGTAGGAAGGGAGGAAGGTGGCAGATTTTAGGATTATAAAGCATATGATCATTGATCATTCCACAAATACATGTTATGTGCTTCCTATGTGGCGGGAACTGTATGGAGATATAAAAAGAATATGCCTCCACACAGAAACATAGTCCCCTTAAGGAACATACCATCTAGTGGGAGCCGTGATTAAAACAGATTAAATTGCCTTCTAATCCTATGCCTGTGTGTTTTTTGTGTTTTTTTTTTGTTTTTTTTTTTTTTTTGAGACAGAGTCTCGCTCTGTCACCTAGGCTGGAGTGTAGTGGCGCGATCTCGGCCCACTGCAGGCTCCGCCTTCCGGGTTCACGCCATTCTCCTACCTCAGCCTCCCGAGTAGCTGGGACTACAGGCGCCCGCCACCACGCCCCGCTAATTTTTTGTATTTTTTTTAGTAGAGACGGGGTTTCACCGTGTTAGCCAGGATGGTCTCGATCTCCTGACCTTGTAATCAGCCCGCCTCGGCCTCCCAAAGTGCTAGGATTACATGCGTGAGCCACCGTGCCCGGCCTGCCCTGTGTTTTATAAAAATGATCTAAAATTGGGCTGGGTGCCGTGGCTCACGCCTGTAATCCCAGCACTTTGGGATGCCTGTAATCCCAGCACTTTGGGAGGCCAAGGCGGGCGGATCACAAGGTCAGGAGTTCGAGACCAGCTTGACCAACGTGGTGAAACCCCCATCTCTACTAAAAATACAAACATTAGCCAGGCGTGGTGACACGCGCCCGTAACCTCAGCTACTCAGGAGGCTGAGGCAGGAGAATCACTTGAACCTGGGAGGCAGAGGTTGCAGTGAGTCGAGATCTCGAGATCACGCCACTGCCCTCCAGCCTGGGCGACAGAGCAAAACTCCGTCTCAAAAAAAAAAAGATCTAAAATTAGTGAAACCTATGTTTTTGAAAATTTAGGGTGTTTTACCCATTCTCATTGTAGGTAATGAATTATGTAGTGTGTCTTTGGATCTAGATCTATTTGATTTGGCTTTGCTTAATCTTGTATTTTTTTGTAGACTCTTTTATTATTACCCAAAAGTACCCAAAGAGACATGTGTGCCTTATGGTGTCCAGCAGAAATTCTGAAAACCTTGTTACCTAAAAACTTTATTTTCAGAAGTATTATATATAGGCTGAATATGGTAGAAATCAAATTTTTCTCCTGCGGAAAATGATCATATTCTTTGTGCTATATGAAGTTCTAAGACATTTATGGAAAATAAAATACGGTTTAGCATCGCCCAAATTGTGTAAGATTAGAGTTGAAGAGCTTAACCTGGAAAGTTGGAAACTAATTACTGTTAACATATGAACAGATATGGAAAACTTTCTCTTTGCTCCTTTAAGTAAGTGGAAAGGAATGACTATTTTCCCTTTAGAAATGTGAGAGAAAGTGATAGTATGGGAAACTTTGATTGCATTCTTATAAACTAGCTTTTTGATTTCTTATTACATGATAGAATATCTCTTTTTTCTTTAATCTCTATATGTTACAAATTTCAGATGACCTGAAAGCAACTCTTCAATTTGGGATATAAGTTCTAAACTTTACTTGGAAACAGTTCCAGATTCAGACACTTGGTTTTGGGGTGTGTGTATATATGTTAATATATGAGCAAAGAACCCAATATAAATACTATGTGGCAATTTATTGAAAGCATGCAGGAGTTTAATTTAGGCTCAGGACATTGTGTCATTTGCTATTCTTGTTAGATATGAACTGGATTTTATTTTTTGTCTAGTACCAAGCAGTACTTCTTATATTGGACCCCTTGAATAAGGTTACCTTTAGAGCCATTTGTCACCTACTTCATACATAGCACATTTGATGAGTTTTATGTCTAGCTGGTCATCATTGATGATTGTTCAGTGATTATTTTGGCAGTTATAGCAGGAAGATGGCACAGTATAGTTATGTGCTGCATAACAACGTTTGGATTGCCTAACAATGCATTTCTCAGAACATGTCTTTGTTAAACCACACATGACTGTGCTAGTTTTGATTAGGGTGGCCATGTAACTCATCCAAATTGGACTCTTTTGAGCATGAAAAGGGATGATAATAATAATTGCTTCAGAACAACAGATATAAACCAAGACTGACCCAGGCAAACTAAGATATGTACTCATACTAATTAGGACACTTTTGATTACTAGTAACAGAAAACACAATTCAAAGTAGCTTAAACAGTAAGAGAACTATATTGGCTTGTGTATCAGAAAAGGCCAGTATTTGGGTGTGCTACAGGTGTCATTCAGTGAGGACCCTGCCTTTGTTTTTCTGTTTTCCAGACTCTGCCTTCCATGGCTGACTTTCCTTATCGTTGTTGCGTGGCTGCCAGCAGCAATTTGGGCTGTATTCTTCTTTGTTTATGACCAGCAGGAGAGAGAAGCCTGCTTCTCCTATAAACATAGAATGAGTTCTGCGGTTTTGTGATTATTAGATACTCCTGAACTAAATCTCTGCAAGGGGAATGTCATGTGCTGATTGTCTTAGGCATGGGATATCTGAATATCACTGAGGAAAGGAGGATAGAATTACCTTATTCTCTTAGACTAGTCAGAGTCCATTCACGAAACTGCTGTGTGGGAAAGCAGTGCAGCTAAATGAAGGGAAGGAGTTAGGAAGCAACCATAATGTTCATTGCAAAGTCCAGTGCTGTTGCTTATTTGCATTTTCCCTTAGGCATCTGATAATGAGTTCCTGCAAGATCCTAGCATACTGCAGATAATGTGTGTGTTTTCTTTTTCTGCAAGTGAGAATTTGTAGTATAAAATGACTTACTAGACTGGTAATGGGAGAGAAAAGGAGTTTACCATCCTATTTTCTCTTTTTTTAAAGTAAGACTATAATAATTATTGATCTCCTCCTTTTTTTTTTTAAACAGACTAATAGGGATGCCAAAGGAAAAATATGATCCTCCAGATCCTCGCAGAATTTATACCATCATGTCAGCAGAGGAGGTAGCCAATGGGAAAAAATCTCACTGGGCAGAATTAGAAATCTCGGGTGAGTGGAATCTGAAGCATTTAATCTGGAATGTAATAGTGATAATACAAAAGTTGAGTATTGCTATATTTTTTGTTGTACATTTTTAATTAGATGGACTCATTGAAAAACTACAAGATGGTAAGATACTAGTGTTTTCTGTTTTATGTGTGACTGAATATCTTTGTTTCCATTTTTTGAGATTAATTACATTGAGCAAGCATCTGGAATTGAGGATATGGGGAGTTTAGTTTCTAAGTAAAACCAGTTTCTTTGATATAATAGATTTTGTTTAGGCTATTTCAGAGTAATTATTTTTGCAAATTGAAATCTTTGCCATCCTCCTATCTCAGTGTCGGCAAAGAAGGAAACCTGGAAGCTATTTATTCTAATAAATATATAATAACTGTGTTACAGGACCTTAATACCTGTTTAGGATTTGGTAAAATAGAATGTGATTCCTAAAAACTCATAATTCCAGTCTAATAATGAGAAAAACATCAGACAAACTCAAGCTAAAGGACCTTGTGCAAAATACCTAACTTGATTAATACTCAAAATTGTCATGGTCATGTAAAACAAAGGCTGAAACTGTCACAGACCAGAGGAGACTGAGGAGAGGTAACTAAATGCAAAATGGTAGCCTGCGTTGAATCTGGAACAAAAAGGTATAAAAACTGGTGAAATCCAAGTAAAGTCTAGAGTTTAATTAGTAGTAATGCACCAGTGTTGGTTTCCTAGTTTTGACAAATGTACCATGGTGATGATGTAGATTCTAATGTTAGGGAAGCTGAAGGAGGGGTATATAGGAACTCTCTGTGTTATCTTGGTAACTTTTCTGTAAATCTAAAATTATTACAAAATTTAAAGTTATTAAAAATAGAATATAAGTATTTTTCTTTTATGAATTGGTATAATACAGATTATATATAAAATGCCATTTTTTCCCCAGTAGGCATTCATTTGGAAGAGTTAAACCCCACATTGTAATGTCAATAGCAAGAATTACTTGCACATTTAGCTAAAAGGTAACTGGGTGGATGGATGATTGGTAGTCAAAAGAATGAATATGAGCAGATCTTACTAAGTTAATCTAGGGTTTCTTAGCCTTGGCACTACTGACACTTTGAGCTGGATAATAGTGGAGGCCTGTTGTGTGCATTGTAGGATATTTAGTAGCATTTCTGGCCTCTACTCACTAGATAGCAGTAGTACCCCTTCAGTTGTGGCAACCAAAAATGTCTCCAGGCATTCCAAAATCCTTTGAGGAAACAAAATTGCCTCTGGTTGAGAACTACTCAGTTAAACTCCAAGGGTTTCCACATTTTGCCACTTCTCATTTAATACATAGAAGGTTCTTGAGAAAGAGTGGTTGTCAGGTGAAAGTGGCATGAACGTAAAGGAGGGCCAGGTGTGTTTGGAAGCAATCAAATGGCATTAAATAAAAAATTAAAATGTCAGAGATACAATATCCATGTGTATTTGCAGCCTCTCTTACCACTTTTCAGTCGTTGTAGTTTAGGTGTCATCTTGGGCCTGGGGTTTTTTTTTACACTTCAGTATTTTGCCTTTTAGGTAGAGTGCGGAGCCTAAGTACATCACTTTGGTCATTGACACACTTGACAGCGCTGCACCTAAATGACAATTACCTTAGTCGCATTCCACCTGATATTGCCAAGCTTCATAATCTGGTTTACCTGGATCTGTCATCCAATAAACTCAGAAGTTTACCAGCAGAACTAGGAAACATGGTGTCTCTCAGGTGAGGAAATAAAACAGACATGACTCACTATATAAAATTCTAAATTTAAGAAAATGAGGGGATGTTACTTTATTACAGTAGGATTTCTGTGTGTTGTAACTATCAAATTATATAAACTGTCTAAGCATAGTGCTTGAGTTGGCCTCCGTTGAACATTTCTTTTCCTTTAAATTTGGAGGTTCCTGAATTAGAGTGTGCTTGTATTACCAGTTTCCTTGACAAACTTGAGGTGGGGTGGGGCTAAAATAGTAAGTCTCATTATCCAATATGATAAGACTGATTAGAAGTACTTGAAAAATGAAGATTTGCTGATGAATAAAACTTACAAGAACATATCTCTATTATATGAGTCAAAGAATATTTATATTTCATAATACAGCTCCTTAAGGAAACCTTAAAACCTGATGAAATGGATTTATTTCTAATTTTTAGGGATTCTTTAAAAATTCCCTAAAGAAATTCTAAAAAAATTTTGCAGGAATCTTAAGATCTTATCTAAATGTTTCCAATGATTATCTGTTGAGTAATAATTTTTAAAAATTGCTATCACGTGTTTAAACATATTGTTTTAAAATCTTGTTCTTCACTATCCTTTACTTGCTTTTTTTACTTTTGGTCATCCACTAATGAGGATGCTATTTTTTTCCTATAGGCTGCTCAAAATTTCACAATCATAAAGTTAGATCTTATTTATGCTATCCTATTCTTGTCTGTACTATCTATGCTTTATTTTAATATTTATGTTTCATGTCAGTGATTGTTGATCATAGTATATTTTTTCATCTTTTCACATTTTCTTTTGTCTTCTTTAATATACTTCACCTGTTGTTTCTTATTCTTTTTATTTTTATTAAATTTTTGGTTTGTTTTCTTAGTATTTTGATGTGATTAGAGTAGTATTCAGTTACTTAAAAAGAGATACCGGTGATTGGCTACTAATTACAGTTTATTCCTGAAGTTTGTGTAAAAATTTGTACTTTTTTCTATTAATTAGACGAGTTTCAAGGATATCTGTTGTTTAGCTGCTAAGGATATCTGTCGCATTTGCATTTGATAGGCATTTTGGGTGAGAAAAAAGGGGGTAGATTTAGCCTGAGAATGATATGCAGTTCCTACACCTCCAACTTTAATGTGAGCTAGCAAATGAGTAAATCCTAGAAATAGAACCATTGTTAATAGTTGTGGCAATTGCACATTTTGTAGTACTTTTATATTGTGCAATGTTTTTGGATGAGCACATAGAAATGTGCCTTGAATATAAACAATCACTCATAGTATGTTAGAAGGAGCCTTAAGAATGGCAAATACAGATGTTAATAAAACTTAGTATATTAAACTAATTTTTTTTTTTTTTTTAAAACAGGGAATTGCTTTTAAATAACAATCTGTTACGGGTTTTGCCTTATGAACTTGGTCGGCTCTTCCAGCTACAAACTCTAGGTTTGAAAGGTAAGTGATTTTTAAACAGTTTTGAGGTATTCTGAGCCTTTTAAAGAGCATTTTGGCCTTTAAAAAGGTCAAGTTTTAGTATGAGTTTTAGAATGTGACTACGTGTACTTTCTCTTGAAAGAAAAGTAGTTTTTGTTTGTTTGTTTGTTTGTTTGTTTGAGACGGAGTCTTGGTCTGTCGCCCAGGCTGGAGTGCAGTGGCGCAATCTTGGCTCACTGCAAGCTCTGCCTCCTGGCTTCATGCCATTCTCTTGCCTCAGCCTCCTGAGTAGCTGGGGCTACAGGCGCTCGCCACCATGCCCGGCTAATTTTTTTGTATTTTTAGTAGAGACGGGGTTTCACCATGTTAGCCAGGATGGTCTCGATCTCCTGACCTCGTGATCCGCCGGCCTCGGCCTCCCAAAGTGCTGGTATTACAGATGTGAGCCACCGTGCCCTGCCTAAGAAAGTAGTTCTTTAAGTATCAAATTGAACTTGAAGATTTCAATATGTGCCATCATATTAACAAACTTGTAAGGGGAAAATTTTTTGGTTGTTTTTGTATCTTACCTTTAATTTTTCTATAAAACTGAACTTTCTCAGAAGAGATAATTTAAATTAACACTTAAAAAAAAAAAGGGAATACTAGGCTGGTTTGAGACCAGCCTGACCAACATGGAGAAACCCTGTCTCTACTAAAAATACAAAATTAGCCGTGTGTGGTGGTGCATGCCTGTAATCCCAGCTACTTGGGGGTCTGGAAAATCGCTTGAACCCAGGAGGCAGAGGTTGCGGGGAGCCGAGATCGCGCCACTGTGTTCCAGCCTGGGCAACAAGAGCGAAACTCCGTCTCAAGAAAAAAAAGGGATTACTTTACCTAATAATAGTCTAAACCTCAGCCAGAATGCCTCATGTTTAGCTTTTGACATGGTAGATAAAATAGCATTGATGTGATTACAGGAGAGAAAACATTATAATAGTAAAATTAGCTGTACCTATTAAGTAAATTATTCTAGGTAACGTGTTAGTCCAAAATGCATGCTTCTCTGACCATCTTTCTCAGTTAATTTGGGATGAAAGGCATACTCAATTCATAGAAACACTGAAATTTGTGTAATTTTCTCTTATGGCATAGCATACAAGAGTTTATTTATGAATTAATAGGACCAAATACAAATGTTCTGTATTAGTTAAACATTTTCTTCTGTGCTCATGAGGAATAAACATCAGTCAAAGCCTTGTAAAGTATACACTTTCATAGATTTTATTTTCCTTCTTCAAAGACTATTTTAGTTTCCATGATAATGTTCTGCCTGCATTTGCTTTTGTTATATAATGGATCATTAAGAATGAAATTTGAATAAGAATAGAAAGAATGCTGATTTTATTGGTTGAAATAACACATGATAATTAGGTTTCCTTATTCAGTTTCATAAATTAGACAATTATATGAATGGTTTGAATCTTGTGTTATAGTTTCTTTGTAGGATTTTATTGATTTTTTAAATCACATATGAAGTAGAGAGGGAAAGTACTTATATCTAAAATATTTTCCTAAGGATTGAGGATTAACCCAAGGCATTTGAAATTGTACTGTTGAGACATTTCACCTCATTTTCTTTATGCTCAGTCTTATTCTTATGTAGCTGAAATAGCCATTCAGCTAGAGTTGGAGTAGGTGCAAGTCTATTCCTCACTAACAGCTGTTTTCTTCTTCCCGATATTGATAGAAAGCATATCAATGACAAATGAATAATTTACTTTTTTTTTTTGAGATGGAGTTTCACTTTTGTTGCCCAGGCTGGAGTGCAATGGCATGATCTTGGCTCACTGCAACCACCGCCTCCCGGCAACCTCCGCCTCCCAGGTTCAAGTGATTCTCCTGCCTCAGCCTCCCAAGTAGCTGGGCGTGCACCACCACGTCCGGCTAATTTTTTGTATTTTTAGTAGAGTCGGGGCTTCTCTATGTTGGTCAGGCTGATCTTGAACTCCCGACCTCAGGTGATCCGCCCACCTCAGCCTCTCAAAGTGCTGGGATTACAGGCGTGAGCCACTGTGCAGGGCGAATAATTTACTGTTGAATCCAGTGGACTTACCCTTTGTATTAGAAACATTCCTGAAAAAGCAACTGTTAGTATTTCTTACTCTTTCATAACTGTTTCATATTATCTCAAGTACAAGCATGTTTCCAGAAAATTTGTACTAAGTATCAACTGAATGAGTAATTTTGAATATTATCTCCTTAGTCCTTCATTCAGTTTTTCTAGTTAAAATGGTAGTTTTCCAAACGATTGTCTTTGGCTGGCCTTCGATTCTAGTGGCATTTTGTCTACTGATTTACGTTCTTTAAAATCTATCAAGTCAGACGCCACTGATTTACATTCATTAAAATCTATCAAGTCAGACACCAGCTCTGCTTCACGAACTGTAACTTAGCTTTGTTTATGCCTGTGGTTAAATTCTTTTTTATTAAATTTCAATTTGTTGTAAGTACCTATATGTAGCCCTTTTCTAAACTTCTTTGAGAGTCTATTTAGTTTTTTGTCAGTGTCACTTTCCAAGGTGATCCAGAAAACCAGATCTCTTCCTTTTAAAAAAGTTTAAGATGGTAATAGCAGGAGTGGCTTTTGAAGCAATTGAAGGGATACAGTGTTGCTAATGAATGGTAGTTTTATATTCTTAGGAAGGTAAAATTTGAAATAATTTCAAAGTCAGTTTTATTAGCCATATTATGGTACTTTATGTCAAAAAAATGGAATGGAACATTTGAAATAGCACTGTGATATAGTTAAACAATGAGAATGAACTGCTTCTGAGACATTTTGTCTTGAAACTGGAAGATTTTTTTTCTCTATATCCTTTTCCTCCTTTGAAACTCAGATACTGAAATTTTAGTAATGATTTGGGTCATGCTGGCTCAACAAGCTAATTTTTAGAAATTTTATTTTGAGATTTGAGGAGAGCGTGGAGAGTAAGTTATTTGAGGAATTAGGATAAGAAGGCCAATTTTAAAACTATAGACACAGACACCGCCAGTCTAGTAAGTTGGAAGTGTTCTGTGAAGTCACTTAGAAAAATAAAAATGTATTAATTTTATGAAGAAAAGGCATAAGTAGAAGCAATTCTCATACAGTTATTTTAAAAGAATTTAGAATTCATGTCCTAAGGTGTAAGGCAATACTTTATCCGACATATGGGCCAACAAGTTGTCCTTGAGCAATAAAAATTGATGTCCCAGGTCATAAAAATATGTAGGACCTCACTAATTTTGAAAATTTCTAGCTTTCTTCCAAGGATTACTTGGTCTGTTTATGGACCATGTCAGTGGAAGACTTTCTTTTACTTTGTAAATTTGTTTTATTCTTGAAATATAATATAAAAGAATAATTAACATGCATTTTAAAGAAAATAATTAAATGAATAGTCATTCTCCTATTAGCCAATATTTTAAATACCTGTTTTAAAAAAATGCACTGGGAAATATAATTTTCATTTATATAGGAGGCAAAATACTTATTTTTGTGTTGTATGTGAGCTTCTAAAAATCAATAAGAAAAAGAACAGTCTAGTAGAGAACATATTAATAGTTCGTACCAGATGATGTACAAAGAGGTCTAAAATTGGACCTGATCAGCCTTATGCATAATAATAGTACAAATTGAAATTATATTCAATTACATTTTTCACCTATCAGATTGGGAGAATTTAAAAAATATGACAAAATAGCCCTGTTGGTGAGATTATGGGGAAATAGGCACAAACACACCTTGTCATTATAGATCCCCTATACCTTTTATGTTTCCTGCGTTTTCTTTCACGATTATGTCTTTCTCCCAGATGTTACTACTACCCTGAATTTAGATATTGGGGTTATGTATGCATCTGTTAAAGGTGTTCTAACCTTTTTATGAATGGAATCCTACTGAATGTAATTTTTATGACTTGGTTTTTATTCAGCCTTATGTTTTTATGATTCAGCCAT
This sequence comes from Homo sapiens, assembly GCF_000001405.40. Classification (NCBI taxonomy): domain Eukaryota; kingdom Metazoa; phylum Chordata; class Mammalia; order Primates; family Hominidae; genus Homo; species Homo sapiens. Next base: position 77,769,120 of record NC_000004.12, on the reverse strand, counting down.
GTTGATGCATACATCTAATGACAGTTCTTTGTTTTACTGCTGTATTGTATTCTGATATGTGAATATGCTATAATTCACTCATTCTGCTGTAGATATTTAGGTTGGTTCCATTTTTGTTTTTGGCTACTATAAGCAGTACAGCCATGAACAGACTCATACATGTCTCCTGATATACTTCATAGGAGTGGAATGGGGATGTAGAGGTCTGTACATCCTTAGGTTTTTTTTAGGCAATACCATAATGTTTTACAAAGTGGTTGTACTAAAAGATTCTACTCAAAATAATACAGTTTTCATTTTCAGTCTTTTCTCCAACACTTGATATTGTCAGATTTTTAAGTTTTGTCAGTTATTGAGTATGAGTTTCTAACTGTACTCTTAATTTACATTTTCCTAATTGCTGGTAAGATTTTGCATCTTTTCATGTGTCTGTTGGCTATTATATTTATTTGAAATTACTGTTGATGTTTTTAGCCTATTTTCTATTTGATGATTTCTTATTGAATTGGAGGAGTTCTTTTTTCTATTTTGCGTTATAAGTGTCTTCTCCCACTCTATGGCTTTTCCTTTTGTTTTTCTTTCTGGTATCTTTTTAATGAGTAGAATATATATATATATATATATATATATATATATATATATATATTTATTTATTTTAGACAGAGTCTCACTCTGTTACCCAGGCTGGAGTGCAGTGGCGCGATCTCGGCCACTGCAACCTCTACCCCACGGGTTCAAGTGATTCTCCTGCCTCAGCTTCCCAAGTAGTTGGGATTTACAGGCGTGCATCACTATGCCTGGCTAATTTTTGTATTTTTAATAGAGACGGGGTTTCACCATGCTGGCCAGGCTAGTCTCGAACTCCTGACCTCAGGTGATCCTCCCACCTCAGCCTCCCAAAGTGCTGGGATTACAGGTGTGAGCCACCACGCCCTGCCAGATTTGATATTTTTAATGTAGTTGAGTTTTAAAATCTTTTCTCTTGTAGTTAGTACATTTGTGTGTTGTTAATAACAGAAATCTTGCCCTTCCCGGATCAGAAATATATTCTCTTGTATCATCTTAAAGGTTTTGAGGTTTTGCTCTTCGCAGTTAATTCTTTAATTCATTTGTAACTGATTTTTTTTTTTTTTTTTTTTTGGGGACAAAGTCTCGCTCTGTCGCCCATGCTGGAGTACAATGGTGCAAATCTCAGCTTGCTGCAACCTCTGCCTCCTGGGTTCAAGCAATTTTCCTGCCTCAGCTTCCTGAGTAGCTGGGATTACAGGCTCCCGCCACCATGCCCAGCTAGTTTTTGTATTTTTAGTAGAGACGGGTTTTCACCATCTTGGTCAGGCTGGTCTCGAACTCCTGACCTTAGGTGATCTACCTGCCTCAGCCTCCCAAAGTGTTGGGATTACAGGTGTGAGCCACTGCACCTGGCCCTTGTAACTGATTTTTAAATATAGTATGAGGGGTCTAATTTGGTGAGGAATTTAATTTTGTTTTTTCCCTATGAGTAACCAGTTGTCTCAACATCATTAGTGAATAGTTTTTCCTTTTCTCAGTGATCAGTAAAGTCACTTCTCTTGTGTATTAACCATGTCTAGGTCTATTTTGGGAATTTCTTTTCCTTTCCAGTAGTAAATTTGTCTAACCTTGTACCAATTAGCATATTGTCTTAATTATTATGGCTTTATATTAAAACTTGATACCTGGTTTTGAAAGTCTCCTCACATTTTTCTTTAGCAGTGTTTTGACAATTTGGGCACCGTGGCTCTTCCTCATACATAAGAAACAGCTTGTTAAGTTTCATGAAAAACTCTGTTTGAACTCTGGAATTTCATTGACTGTCTGGATCAATTTAGGAAGAATTGACATCTTAATTGTATTCAATCATCCTATTCATGAATTTGGGCTCTTTGTCCATTTATTTAATGTCTTCTAATAAAATTTTATAGCTTTCTACACCAATCAAGTACATCTGTTAGACTTATTTCTAGGTACTTTATACTTTTTTTTTTTTTATTGTAAACCACAACTGTCTTTTTTCCCTTTTTTTTTTTTTTTTTTTTTTTTGAGACGGAGTTTCGCTCTGTTGCCCAGGCTGGAGTGCAGTGGCGCGATCTTGGCTCACTGCAACCACTGCCTCCCGGGTTCAAACGATTCTCCTGCCTCAGCTTCCTGAGTAGCTGGGATTACAGGCTCCTGCCACTACACCTAGGTAATTTTTGTGTTTTTGGTAGAGACAGGGTTTCACCATTTAGCCAGGCTGGTCTCAAATTCCTGACGTCTGGTGATCCACCCTCCTTTGCCTCTCAAAGTGCTGGGATTACAGGTATGAGCCACCGTGCCTGGCCAACTGTTTTATTTTTTAAGGTTTTTTCTTCTTTTTTTTTTTCTCTTTTCTTGGTTATTTCCTATTTGCTATTGGATATAGAAATACAATTGGTTTTGTTTTTTGTTTGTTTTAAAATTAATCTTATAGTGAGCCTTCTTGGCTAAACTCTCATTCTTCTAAAAACTTGTCTGCAAATTTTTTGGAGTTTTACATGCAGTAATCATTTCATCTGCTGAAAATTATGGCTTTTTTTTTTCTTTTCCAGTTCTTACATATTTAATTTTCTTATTTTAATGCACTGACTCTAGGATAATTCATATGATGTTGAGTGGAAGCATTAATACTGGGCGTACTTCTGTTGTTTCCAGTTTTAAAGGGACTGCTTCTAATAGTTTTTATTAAGAATGATACTTGCTGTATGTTTTTGTTAAAAAAGTTTTTTAGATTTTAGAAGTTTCCTTCAATTCCTACTTTGCTAGTTCATTTTCAGATATTTTATCAAGTACTTTTCTCCTGTAGAGATGATTATATTATTTTTCTCATCAAAAGTTAATAAGGTAAATGTATGGTAAAATATATATATACATATACATACACACACTTTTTTTTCCAATTTTAAACAAATTTGCATTGCTGAGATAAACTCAACTTAGTCATGTTGTTACATACTTTGGATTTAATTTGATAAATATCTGTCTAGAACTGTAAAGGCTTTGAGATTTTACCCTACTTAAAAGCTCATAAGTTAGGCAGTTACTGGTTCATGGATGGTGGCAGAAGACATAAGATTCCTGGGTCAGAGAAAAAGAACATTATTACTCAAGCTACAAAATGGGCCCAGATGCAGGCTGTGTACACAGTCAGTTTGTATTGCATGCAATTGAGTAATCCAGGTCTGGGGTCCAGCACTTTTTAAGTAAGCAGCAAATATTGTAGCAAAATAGCGAAAAGCTACTAGTCTTGCTTCCCCAGGGTAACAGTTACATGATAGTAATGATGGGTTGCCTTGACCTGTTTAGTTGCCTATATAAGTAATTATAGAAATTACTCAGTATCAAGAGACAGATAACCCTTGGAATCAGTCACACTAACCAAGAATGCAGAGGGAGGCACAAGGCCCATAGTAGACTGATTCTCCTAACAATTTTTTAAAGGATTTTTCTGTGTATGTTCATGAATAAAGTAGACCTGTGTCTTTCATGCATGTGTATCTAAGGTTTATAATGACCGTAGAAGCAGTGGGGAAAATTCTGTATTATTCAGTTCTCTGAAAGAGTTTATGTAAAATTGAATTAATGTATTCCTTGAAATCTTGGTAAAACAGTCCTGTAAAACTGTCATTGCCTGGTGTTTTCTGTTTTCATTGAGAAGATGTTAACTACTATTTCAATGTATTTTAGTTATGAGAACTTTTGAGAAATTTTTTTTTTTAAGTGAAAGCAAGTTTATTAGGAAAGTAAAAGAATAAAAGAATGGCTACTCCATAGGCAGAGCAGCCCTTAGGGCACTGGTTGCCCATTTTTATGGTTATTTCTTGATTATATGCTAAACAAGGGGTGATTTTTTCATGCCTCCCCTTTTTCGACCATATAGGGTAACTGTCTGACATTGCCATGGCCTTTGTAAACTGTCATGGAGCTGGTGGGAGTGTAGCAGTGAGGACGATTGGAGGTCACTCTTACTGCCATCCTGATTTTGGTGGGTTTCAGCCGGCTTCTTTATGCAACCTGTTTTACCAGCGAAGTCTTTATGACCTGTATCTTGTCCTGACCTCCTGTCTCATCCTGTGACTTAGAATGCTTAACCATCTTGAAATGCAGCCCAGTAGGTCTCAGTCTTATTTTACCCAGCCCCTACTCAAGATAGAGTTGCTCTGGTTCAGAGAACTCTGACATTTCTCTGCTCCCTTTTATAAGAGAACCTTTAATCCTAAGGGTTGCAGAGGGACAAGAGTGCATCTTCTGTAACTTCTTCATGCTGAACAGGGGCGATGATATTCCTTTCTAACTTTTAGGGTCTCTTGTATTTGGGGTAGAGAGGAGCTCAGTCAGAAAGCGTCAGTATGTTGAGAGCCATTCATAATTCCGAGTTCTGACAAAAGGTGATACCTAAAGTTGGCCGATTGCTGTTGTGCGCAGATGATTTTCCTTTGGGTCAGGGGTCTTTTCAGTATTACTGCTTCCATGGTTTGCCAGAAAGATGTTACTGGAAAGGGGTCCCAATTCCAGTTCTTGGATCTCCTGCAAGAAAGAGTTTGGGGCAAATCCATACGGTAAAGTGAAAGCAAGTTTATTAGGAAAGTAAAGGAATAAAATAAAATGACTACTCCATAGGCAGAGAGCCAAGAAATTTCTGTTAATGAGTCAATTTTGTTGGATCATCTCTGATATTTTCCCTTTTCTCTTTTTAAATGGGACATACGATTTATTCATATTTAGATTTACATGTTTTATCTAATTTTATTATCTTTTTCTGGAATATGACATCCAATACATGCAATATATTAGTAAAGTGATTCATATATAGTTACTATATAATTATCTATATATTCATAGTCCGTTTCCAGCTATTGTTTAGCTGGTATTAGACTGTGATACTTAAAATGTGGAGATTATTATGCCTTTAATTCCATATTACCGTGGAGCTTCTTCTGGTTCTAACAAGACAGCAGAACTCAACTATGCTAAAGGCATCAGTATATGTTGGTGGCAACTATGCATTGTTTGGTTCTGGAAGTTGAGATAAATGTGTACCTATACTGGATTATAGATTTACATACTTTCAAATATAAGCATTTAAGGCTACAGCTTTGCCTGTTTGGCTACTTTTTTGTTGCATACACTATTTTGATAGGAAGTATTTCATTACTGTTTCGGTCTAAGTATTTTTAATATGGGTTATTATATCTTCCTTGACTTGTCGGTTATTTAAAATATTATTTAAAATTTCCATGCATGTGATTTTAAATTTATTTTTATTGTTAGCTTTAAACCTAATTGCATTATAGACTAATGAACCAGTTCTGTGACATTTGTTGATTCTTGCCCTATGGCATAGTATATGATTGGTTTTTGTAAATGTTCAACCTGTATCTGAAAAGAATTTCTTTTCTCTAATTGTTGGGCACAGGATTTATATATTTGTCCATTAGTTCAATTTGTAAGTTGTATTTCTCAGATTTCCTATGTCTTTAGAAATTTTTGACTGTTGGCTTTTTCTGTATTTTTGTTAAAATTTCCATTAAAATGGAATTGTTTATTTTCTTATGTAGTTCAGTCAGTTTTTGCTCTACATATCTTGGGTTTATTTTATTAGGTAGTTCCCACTTAATATTGTTATAATCTTATGATGCTAGTGTCTTTTGGTGAATTGAACCCAATACTAGGTACTGAGCTTCTTATTAGGATTTTTTCTTATAGTCTGTATTTCTAATATAGCTATGCCAATTTTCTTTTGGTTAATGTTTGTCTAGTATATATTCTCTCATCCATTTACTTTCAACCTTTTGTGTGCTTACATTTAGGTATAGCTCTTATAAATAGTATATAGCTGGACTTTGTTTTTAATCCATTCTACTCTTTGTTTTTAATGTGGGTTCAGACCAGTTGCCTTACATATAATTATTGGTATTTTTGTTATTGCTGTCCTACCTTTTGATTCCACTGTGGGTAATTTTTTTCTGCTTCCTCGCTTTTCTAAAAGTAGGTTTTTCCCATATTTTTCATTCTATTTACTTTCTCTTCGTTTGAAATTGCTCTATTCTGTTTCTAGACTCCTTGTGTTTATTCTTGAAATGGTGCCTTGAATATATTTTTTTAAAGATTACTTTTAAAGTAACTTTAAAAATTGACCTGCTATTTATACATAGTGAAATTCTTACCTCTTTGGTGTATAGTTCAGTGAATGTTGACAGACATGTAGTTGCATAACCAGCACCACAGTCAAGAAATAGAACAGTTCCATCACTCTCCAAAATTCATTTATGCCTGCTGAAGTCAATACCTTCTTCTCTCAGCCCTTGACAACTACTTTTCCAGAATGTCATATATTGGAACATACAGTATGTCACCTTTTGAGTCTGGATTCTTTGGTTTAGCATAATGTGTTTGAGGTTCATTCATGTTGTGTGTATAAAACCTGTGGCACATCCATATAATGGAATATTACTTAACAATAGAAATGAAGGCAAATTTGTTTTTTTGAAATTTTATAGTTTTAGATTTTACCTTTAGGTTGATGGTTTGTTTTGAGTTAATTTTTATATACGGCACAAGGTTTATTATTTTGCATATGCATGTCTAGTTATTCTAGCACTATTTGTTGAAAAGATTATACTTTCTACATGGGATTTTCCTTGCAACTTTGTCAAAATTCAGTTGCCCAAATATGTGTGGATCTACTGCTAAACACACTATTCTGTCCCATTGTTCTATGCTAATATCAAAATGTTTGATTGTTGTAGTTTTATGATCAGCTATGATACAGGGATTATAAGTTTCCAAACTTTGTTCATAGTTTTCCAAGTTGCATTGACATTTCTAGATACTTTGCATTTTCATATACATTTTAGAATGAACTTATGATTTATGCAAAATATCCTGCTGAAATTTGTCATGGGATTATGTTGAATATACAGATCAGTTTGTGGATAATCAATACCTTAATCTTGAGACTTAATACTGAGTCTTTCACTCCAGTATAGCTCTTCATTTACACAGATCTTCTTTGCTTTATTTTCAAATAAAGTTTTGTAGTTTTCAGGGTATAGATCTTGTAAATATTTTGCTAGATGTATATCTACTTACTTGATTTTTTATGCTATTGCAAATGGTACTGCTTTTTAAATTTTCAGTTATTCATTGTATAGAATTAAATACAATTGATATTTAATTGTATTGGGCTTGTCTCTTGTGATGTTTGTAAATTTACTTTTTCTTGGAGCTTTTTACGAACTCTTGATCTGTGAACACAGTTTCATTTCTTCCTTTCTGATATGTATTTTTAATTTCCTTTTTCTTGCTTTATCACATTGGCTAGGACCTCTAGTACTATATTGAATAGAAGTGACAATGGTGCACATCCTTACCTTGTTCTTGATTTTAGGGGGAAAGCATTATCTTTCACCATTAATGTTAACTGTAGATTTCTGGTAGATATCCTTTCAGGTTAAATAATTTTTCCTTCTTCCCCACATTTGCTGAATGGTTTTTGTCATTAATGCAAGTTGAATATGGACAAATACTCTCTGGAAGTTGTTGCTATTACTTTTATTTTCAGGAAGAGTTTTCAGAATGCTTTAGAACTCAAAACGTTTCTGTTACTGCTTTCTTAAATGATTGGTAGCATTTTCCAATAAAACCATATGAGCTTGGAATTTTCTTTATGGAAACATTTTTAACTTCTACATCAATTTCTTTTGTAGATACAGGTCATTAAGGTTATCCTCCCACCTTTTTCTTTTTTTCCCCTATAGCCATGTCAGCTTTCTCCTGCAGTCATTTGGTTGATTCTCCTGCACTAATTTGGTTAATTCTCAGTGTTCTCAAATAGTTGATTCTGACAACTTTTTTGTTTTGTTTTGTTTGTTTGTTTGGATTTTTTGGTCATCGTTGCTTGTACAGAGCAGCACATTTTTGGAGGTTTTTACTCTGCCATTTTTGCTGATGTTTTCTATCCATTTCATTTTGAGTGAGCTTTGGTAGTTTCTGTCTTTCAAGGAATTTGTCCATTTCTTCTAAGTTGTTAAATTTACACACATATAGTTTTCTTAATATTTCCTTTCCCTGGCTGGGCAGAGTGGCTCATGCCTGTAATCCCAGCACTTTGGGAGGCCGAGGTGGGCAGATGACGAGGTCAGGAGATCAAGACCATCCTGGCTAACACAGTGAAACCCTGTCTCTTCCTTAAAAAAAAAAAAAAAAAAAAAAAAAAAAAAAAAAAGCCAGGCATGGTGGTGTGCACCTGTAGTCCTAGCTACTCAGGAGGCCGAGGCAGGAGAATGGCGTGAACCTGGGAGGCGGAGCTTGCAGTAAGTCCAGATTGCACCACTGCACTCCAGTCTGAAAAAAAAAAAAATTTCCTTTCCTTTTACTGTCTTTTTGGCTGTCCCTTCATTGTTGATATTTATAATTTGTGTCTTTTCGTTCTGGTCAAAGAGAAATGTATCAGTTTTATTGCCTCTTTTTCAAACTGTGCCACGCTTTGAATTCGGTATTTTTTTTTTTAATTTTATTGATTTCTGCTCTTATTTCTTCTGCTTGCTTTGGGTTTCATTTGTTCTTATCGAGTTTAGATCTTTTTGTTTCTAATATCAGCATTTAAAGCTGTAAGTTTCCCTCTAAAAACTGGTTTTTCCATATCCTACAAATTTTGATAGTGTCATGTTTCCATTTTAACTCAAAGCATTTAATTATACTTTTATTTTTTGAGACAGGGTCTCAGTCTGTCACCCAGGCTAGAGTGCAGTGGTCTTATCATAGCTCACTGTAGCCTCTAACTCCAGCACCCAAGCAATCCTCCTGTTCAGCCTCGTGAGTAGCTGAGACTATAGGTGCACACCACCATGCCCAGTTAAATAATTTTTTTTGTTTGTAGAGATGGGGGTCTCACCATGTTGCCCAGGCTGGTCTTGAACTCCTGGCCTCATGGAGTTCTCCCACTTTGGCCTCCCAAAGCACTGGGATTACAGGTGTGAACCACCATGCCCGGACCAATTAAAACATTAAAAAATCTCCTGGTGACATCCTTTTTGGCTCATGGATTATTGGGAAGTGTGATGTTTAATTTCAGAATATTTGGGAACTTTCTGGGTATTTGTCTGTTGGTATCTAGTTTTATTAGGCCATAACTGTATGTTTTGTATGATTTTATTTCCTTTTTAATCTGTTACAGTTTGTTTTCTGGCCCAGAATATGGTCTCACTGGTGAATGTTCATGTGCACTTGGAACGAATGCATATTTTTTGGTTTCCGAGTGGAGTATTATGTAAATAATAGGCCAAGTTGGTTGATAGTGTTCTGTTTTTCAACCTTACTAATTTTTTGTGTGCTTTTTTCTGTCAGTAACCATAGGAGTGTTTGAAGTCTCAATTACAATTCGTGTAACTCTTTGGGGATACTATTTTATTGTATTCTAGCTCCTGTTGTCGCTGCTGACACTTGTCATTCTCCTGTTTATTCTTTTGATATGGTTGTTCTTTCAACCCATCTTGGTTGTTTTTTTTTTTCTTCTTTTTTGGAGACGGAGTCACGCTGTGTCGCCCAGGCTGGAGTGCAGTGGCGCAATCTCGGCTCACTGCAAGCTCTGCCTCCCGGGTTCATACCATTCTCCTGCCTCAGCTTCCCAAGTAGCTGGGACTACAAGCGCCCGCAACCACGCCTGGCTAATTTTTTGTATTTTTAGTAGAGACGGGGTTTCACTGTGTTAGCCAGGATGGTTTCGCTCTCCTGACCTCATGATCCACCCGCCTCGGCCTCCCAAACTGCTGGGATTACAGGCGTGAGCCACCGTGCCCAGCCACAACCCATCTCGTTTTAAAGTCTTCTGTTTGTCATTTTCTAGTTTGCACTATAATCTGTTTTTAAATGAAATCCTTTCATAAACTTCTTTGTATATATTGTGCATCTTGTATCAGTTTATTTATTTAAAAAACTGGTTTTTGAAAATTTGCAGCCTTTCCTCTTCAGATATTGCCTTTTCTCACTTCTCTCTCTAATCTCTCTTTCTGGCTAGGAGTTAAATATGTTTACTGTTTGCTGTAGGTGTTGATGTAGTGGTAAGGTGCGGAGGGGGAGGAAGTGCCCTATAGTCCTGTAATTAGGTCTGCCTTAGTGAGCCAGAGTTGACTATTTCCCTACTTGATGTCAAAGTCTAGAGAGGGCATTTATCTTACTCTAGGTCTGTTAAGCTTTGGGAAAACTTAGATTCTGGTAAAATAGTTTCCTTTGAAGATAGTACTTACTAAGGAGAACATTACTTTCTCTTGCCCCCTTTTGGAAGAATGAGGAGATTTTTCTCCAGTCTTTATAGTAAGACTCGTGGAAGTAAAACTTAGGAAAGTGTGGGAATGCCCTAAGACTAGGCCCTCTTGGAGTTTTTAACTCTCAAGCTAATCTACATGGAGCCTCCAGTAATTTGTCAGTTACACTTTAAAGTGTTCTAGTTCTAGTTCTAGCTGTGGACTTCTGCTGCCAGTAAGTTGTGATTCTCTGTATCTGCTTGTTTGTGTTTGGGACAGCAGTTTGTCCTATAACCTCAATTGTGAGGACAGGAGTGACAGCTTTTAAAATCTTTACATGTTGGATCAGAACTTAAGTCTTGTTCTTCTTTCTAGAACTCCAATTTCATATAGTATTCTAACTTCTGTATCTTTTACTGTCTTATGTTTTCCATCTTTGTGACTCTCAGTGACGCATTTTGGATAATTTTCTTTGAATCTGTTTTTCTTGATGACTGATTTTCTTTTCAGCTGTGTCTAATCTGCTGCCTAACTCATTCATCAAGAGTTTTTTCCCCCTAGTACTTGGAGTTATAATTACATTCAGTAAAATATCCAAATATTTAAAATCCAGTTTCACTAATTTTGACAAAGGTATACACCTTAATAGCCAGCACCTAAATCAAGATAGAATATTTCCGTCACCCTAGGAAGTTTCCTCTTCTCACTTGCAAGTCAATTAGAAACTACCAACCAGACTTCCAAAGTATTCATACCATTTACCAGTAATTGAATTGAAGTAGAAGAGTTCAAGGTATTCTGCATTCTTTGTAACATTTGGTTGGTCATTAAAAAAATTTGTTTAGGCCAAGCAGAGTGGCTCATGCCTGTAATCCCAGCATTTTGGGAGGCCAAGGCGGGCGGATCACTTGAGGCCAGAAGTTCAAGAGCAGCCTGGCCAACATGATAAAACCTTGTCTCTACTAAAAATACAAAAATTAGTGGGCGTGGTGGCGGGCACTTGTAGTCCCCATCTGCTTGGGAGGCTGAGGCACGAGAATCACTTGAACCCGGAAGCTGGAGGTTACAGTGAGCCCAGATTGTGCCAGTGCACTCCAGCCCAGGCAACAGAGTGAGACTGTCTCAAAAAAATTTGTAGCTGTGCTGGTGGGTATGTGTTGCATTGAAGGTTTGGTTGATTTGTTATTTAACAGAACCTTCAATTTTGGAAGTTCTTTGGTTTTTATTTTTTCAAATTTGGATGCTAGACTGTTGTTGCATGCTTGTCTTAATGAATACCTCCTTTATTTCTTAAGGGACTATATAGTCTGTTACCAATAGTGTGTTCTTTGATGTATGATAAATCTGTACTCTTAGTACTCACACATTCCTAATTACTGTTATAACAAAATTCTTTTCTTCTCACATTTCACTCACATATCTTGGTAACACATTTTCTTCTTACTTGAAATACGTTTGTTTTCCCTATATGTAATATAAATATTCTACGAAGACCCTTCTTTTTTAAGATATCACTCATTCTTTCTCCTATATGGCTATTTGAGTTTGTCTGTGGTCTTAAAAGATAAATGCAGGTTTTCAAAGATTAATGTAGAACCTATAGGATTACTTCAAGGTGCCAGGTTGTGATATTACTTCAGAATTGACTATGATTAATATATATGCTTTTATGTATATGTGTATATATGTTTTGGACAAGCCCAAATTTTAGAGTTCTTAAAGAAAATATTTATTTACACATACATTTTTAAATGTATATAATAGATTAAATATAGTAGAATTCAATTTAAGAAATTGAATTTAAGAAATTAGTATTTTATTTTATAGTATACATTTCTGTCTTGCCTTGCAGTTATAAGTTTTAAAGGTTTTATTTTTGTCTTCTGCTTTAGGCAATCCTTTATCACAGGATATTCTCAACTTATACCAGGACCCAGATGGAACCCGAAAGCTACTGAACTTCATGCTTGACAATCTCGCAGGTAACTGTTAGTGACAAAGCTGTAAAATAAATTCTACAGATATTATGAACTAGCTAATATATGTTCCTCAAGAGCATCTGACTGTTTTTTATAATTGCCTATGGGTTTGGAGTTCCTTCCATTGTATATCCTACGTTAGTGGAACATTCTTCTTTTCATATACTGAATGTTTTCTATTTACCAAGCAATATGTTAGGAGATTAGTTGCATTATTTTGTTTAAGAACCTAGGACATAGGAACTTTAACTCACAGTTTAGAGATGCAAATTCTGAGATTCAGAGACTAAAGTAATTTATTTATACATAGCTAATCAGTGCCAGAGCTGTGAATCTAAGATTATCTTGCTCTTAATCACAAAAATACACAGTTATTAGTTGTTTGCATTTGATGCAAATGACTTGGAACCCACACATTTTACACATTTTTAATGAATGAAATGACTAGTTTGATTCATTACACGTTTGTGGAAATTTTGCAGCTAGGTTTTAAATTAAGAACACCAGATTTATTTAAATACAATTTAAAATCATTGTATTCCAAATGGAAGTTTTCTTCTATAAGAATACCAGGCTGGATGTGGTGGCTCACACTTGTAATCCTAGCACTTTGTGTGGCCGAGGAAGGCGGATCACCTGAGGTCAGGAGTTCTGAGACCAGCCTGGCCAACATGGTGAAACCATGGTGAAACGTCTCTACTAAACATACAAAAATTAGCCAGGCGTGGTGGTGCGTGCCTGTAATCCAAGCTTCTCTGGAGGCTGAGACAGGAGAATCCCTTGAACCTGGGAAGCAGAGGCTGCAGTCAGCTGAGATCGTGCCGCTGCACTCCAGCCTGGGTGACAGAGCGTGACTCTGTCTCAAAAAAATATATATTAAAAACAAAAACAAAAAAAGAAGACTATTAGGTATTTGATTTAAAACTTTTTTTTTTTTTTGCCTAAGCTCTGAAAATATGAGTAAAAGTATGGAGATACTACTGCATACAAATATTTTTCTTAGCATGATGTCTTTCTGAAATAACAGAATTCTGAAACAGCTAGAAAAATCATAAGTTCCAGCATAGTGGCCATGATGACATTTTGGCTATATTCTTTTAAAATTCTCTTTATCGTAAGACGCCCTTCTTCCCCACTCCTTCACATAAAGTAAGGTTTATAATAAGGTAAAACTAAATTAATATTATCTGAAAAGTTTATGGCTAAAAAGACTAAAAGTTGATCAATAGAAATCAGCAAATTTATTATAGAGGCGTTCTTAGTAAAGAATTAGGAATATGTGGCAATTTAATGAAGCTGTATACATAGCATGTGTATGCTGTTTCTAACTTACTTTAAAATTAAATATCTCGGCCGGGCATGGTGGCTCACGCCTGTAATCCCAGCACTTTGGGAGGCCAAGTGGGGAGATCACGAGGTCAAGAGATCGAGACAATCTGGCTAACACGGTGAAACCTCATCTCTACTAAAAATACAAAAAATCAGCCAGGTGTGGTGGCACGTGCCTGTAGTCCCAGCTACTTGGGAGGTTGAGGCAGGAGAATCGCTTGAACCCGAGATTGCGCCACTGCACTCCAGCCTGGGCGACAGAGCGAGACTCCGTCTCAAAAAAAAAAAAAAAAAAAAAAAAAAAAAAAAAAACTCTTGTCTCTATAGATGTAGCCAGTCAATCCAGCCATATGTGTGTGCTGTGTGTGTGTCATTTGTAAGGAGTTCTTGTATGTTTTAGATGTAAGCTTTTTTTTGGTAATATGTTGCAAATATGTGCTCCCATGCTATTATTAAATTTTTCGTTCTCTTAATTTGTCTTTTGACAAACAGAAAAATTTTAATGTACTCCAGTCCAATTTGTTGATCTTTTTTGTTATGGTACCGCTTTTATCCTTTTTAAGAATTTTTTGATACCACAAGATCATGAATATATTCTCCTATGTCATTATCTAGAAACCGGTTTTTTTTTTTTTTTTTTTTTTTTTACTTCTAATGTTTAGAATTAGGTTTTATGACTTTTCCATATGTATTTTATATTGACTCTGAGCCATTTATTGATTAGGTTGTCCTTTCACTATTGTTTTTTAATGTCATCTTTGTCATAAATCAGGTGTCAATGTATGTGTAGGTCTATTTCTGGATTCTTTATTCTCTTCCATGAGTCTTTATAGCAATGTAACAGTGTTTAATTATGGACAGCTTTATAAAAAGTCTTGAGATCCAGTAGAGTAAGTCTTCCCCCTTGACCTATTCTAAAGAATTTTGGCTAGTTCTGGCATCTGTGTTCTTTTACCTTGTATTTTTATTAAAATTTTTAGAACGAGGTTTTTAAATCTCTCCCCTCTCTAAAATGTAGAGATTTTATTTGGGATTATATTGAATCTATAGATGGCTTTGGAAATAATTGATATGTTTACAACAGTGGATCCTATTCTATTTGTTACGCTTTTTATAATTTCTCTCAGTAGTTTTAAGTTTCTATGTAGTGGGCTTGCCCATATTGTATTACATTTATTCTAAATACTAACTTCTTAATTCGCTTAAAAATAGTCATTTTAAAGATTTATCTAACTTAATGGTTGTTACTGATTAATGGAATACAATTGAGTTTTGTATATTTTTTGGTATTCAGTCATCTTCCTAAACACTAAATGCCTTGCTAAAGAACATATTCAACCACTTTGCTAAATAGTTTTTAATGCTAATGCATTTTTTATTTTAATGTATACAATTATGTCATCTGCAAGTAATGAGAGTTGTATTACTCCATTTCTAATCCTTTTAATTTTCTTGCCAACCTGCTCTTACTGCACTAACTAGCTAAAAGTGGTGATAATGGGCATCCTTGTCTAATTTCATAATTTTTGATTAAGTATCATATTCACTGTAGTTTTTGTATAGATAAACTTCATCAGATGAAGGAAGTTTTTTCTATTCCTGGTTTGCTAGGCAAGTTTTTTTTTTTTTTTTTTAACATGAGTAGATTTTGAAATTTATCAGATGCTTTTCTTTATTAAGATGAGTAGATTATTTTTATCCTTTAATATGGTAATTATATTGATGGTTTTTTTGTATGTTATACCACCTTTGGTATTCCTAGAATAAAGCCAACAAGATTATGATAAATTATTATCTTTTTATACCCTAGATTCAGTTTGCTAATATTTTATTTAGGATTTATTTATTTATTTATTTATTTTTATGAGATGGAGTTATGCTCTGTCACCCAGGCTGGAGTACAGTGGCATGATCTCGACTCACTGCAACCTCCACTTCCCAGGTTCAAGCGATTCTCCTGCTTCAGCCTCCTGAGTAGCTGGGATTAGAGGCACACACCACCACGCCTAGCTAATTTTTATGTTTTTAGTAGAAACAGGGTTTCGTCATGTTGGCCAGGCTGGTCTCGAACTCCTGACCTCAAGCAATCAGCTCACCTTGGCTTCTCAAAATGTTGGGATTACAGGTTTGAGCCAGTGCGCCCAGCCTATATAGGATTTTTTGCATCTGTGTTTATGACTGAAATTGGCCAGTACTTCTTTTTCTTCAGTGTCCTTGTCAAGTTGTGATATTAAAGTTACACTGGTTTTGTAAAATTTATTTAAGTATTTCCTTATTTTCTGTTGTTTGGAAGAATTTATTTAAGGTTGAATTTTTTTTTTCTTTCTGGGTTTTTTTTTTTTTTCTGGTAGGAAGTTTTAAATTACTGATTTAATTTCTTTAATAATTATAGTACTATTCTGATTTCCATTTCTCTTTCTATGAGTTTCTGAAAGTTGTGTTTTCTGGAAATTTGCCCATTTTATGTAAATCTTCAAATTTACGGGCCGAAAGTTGTTCAGAATATTTTATGATGTCTTAATATCCATAGGTTGTGTAGTGATGTCTTTTTTCCATTTCAGATATTAATTTATGCAGATGATAAATTATGCAGGCATTTATTAATATTTTCTTTGAAAAGAAGAACCAACTTTTAGCTTCATTGGTCTTCTTTATTGTATGTTTGTTTTCAATATTATTAATTTCTTTATTTCTTCCTTCTGGTTTCATTTGGTATTCTTTTTCTAGCTTAAGGTGAACATGCCTTAATTTCCAGTCTTGCTTTTTTTTCCTCAAATATATTTATGTATATATTTATGTATAAATATTTCTCTAAAGTGGCTTTTAGCTGTATCTCACAAGCTTTAGTTTGTATTATTTTCATTATCATTCAGTTCAGCATATTTTCTAATAGCCCTTATTTCTTCCTTGGCCTGTGAGTCATTTAGAAACTTGTTTCTTTATTTTCAGAGGAGTTCTTCCAGTTTTCTTTGTCATAGGTTCCTAGCTTAATTCCATGGTGGTTAGAGAACATATCTTGATTAATTTAAATGTTAAAAATATTTATTACCTCTGCAGATGATTAATTTTTGTAATTAAGTATGCACTTGAGAAGAATGTCTCTTCTCATTAGATGCAGTATCCTATATGTTAGTTTGTTTGTTCATTATATTGTTTGAATGTGTTAGATGTACTTAATGATTACTTTGGTTTTATTCATTACCAATAAAGCTATGTCAAAATGGTAGGTTTGTCTTTCTTCTTGTAGTTATTTCAGCTTTTCAATTACATATACTTAGGGTGTATTTTCATGTGTTTTATATTCATGGTTATTCAAACTTTCTATCTTGCTGCACATTTACTTTACTGATTCCTTGTTCTTTCCTTTTTTGGTGTTCCATTTCTGTTTTCCTTGATATTTAGAGAGTTTCCTTAGCTCACTGCAGCCTCCAACTCCTGGGCTGAAGTGATCCTCCTATCTTAGCCTCCCAAGTGGCTAGGGACTACAGGCTCCCGTCACCACGTCTGGCTAATTTTTTAATATTTTTGTAGAGATGGGATCTCACTATGTTGGCCAGGCTGGTCTTAAACTCCTGGCCTCAAGTGATCTTCCCATCTCAGCCTTCCAAGGTGCTGGGATTATAGGTGTAATCCACTGCATCTGGCCCTCTTTTAGCTATTTTTTAAGGGCAGGTCTGCTAGCAATGGAAGTGTTTTCCTTTGTCTGTTAACATCTTTATTTCCCCTTGATTTCTGAAGGATAGTTTTTCTGGATACAGAATTTCCAGTTGACAGTTCTTTTCTTTCAGTCCTTGAAAAATATTGTACCACTTCCTTAGGCTTTCATGGTTTCTTAAAAGAAATCTAGTGTCATTTGAGTTGATGTCCTATAGGTAATATGCTATTTCTGTCTGATGTTTTTAAGGTTCGTTCTTTAGTTTTCAGAAGTTTAGTTACGATCTGTCTTAGCATGGATTTCTTTGGGCTCTTGATATTTGAAGTTTACTCACCTTCTTAAATTTGTTAGGTGTAAGTCTTTCACATAAATTTGGAAATGTTCACCTGTTCTCTCATAGAATACTTTTTTAGCTCCACATCCTTTCTCCTGTCCTTCTGGAACTCTGATAATACTAATCTAGATATTTTTAAAAAATTATAGTTCCACAGGTTTTTTCAGGCTCTGTTCATTTGTTTCAGTCTGTTTTCTTTTTGTTTTTCAGACTAAGTTCTCCTGATTCGTTCTCAAGTTCACTGATTTTTATCTTTTGGCATCTTTATTATTGTGCCTTTCCAATGACTTTTAAAATTTAAGTTATTGTATTTTTCAGTTGGATAATATCTATTTGATACTTTTAAAATAATAATTTCTCTGTATTTGCTGGATTTTTCTATTCTTTTCAGGGATATTTGTAATTACTTGTTCAAGCAGTTTTATGATGGCTGTTCTAAAATCTGTCAGATATTTCAACATCTGATTCAGCTCAGTGTTGGTGTCTGTTGGTCTTTTAACACTTAAGTTGTGATTTTCCTGGTTCTTGGTATGACCAGTGCTTTTTATTTGTACCCTGGACATTTTGGATATTATGTTAGGAGACTTCTGATGCTTTTTAAATCTGTGATTTCAGCAGACAGTTACCCTGTTTAGGTTTAGCATGTAGATTTGGTTTGTCTCTTCAGGTTCAGCTGACACCTGCACTGTAGGCAGATCAGGCCTAGTGCTGCCAGTCAGTGTTAGGTGTGGGGAGGAAGGTTGGCTCTCTTGAGCTCTGTTGAAGATTGGGTCACCAATATATTTATTTATTGTATGTGATAGTAGCCCATATAACTCTTTATTTCTTTGTTTTGTCATATCATTGGTGATATCATTTGGCCATGTAGTTTCATCTTTAAAAAACCTGACTTTAGGCCAGGTGCAGTGGCTCACGCCTGTAATCCCAGCACTTTGGGAGGCTGAGGCAGGCGGATCACAAGATCAGGAGATCGAGACCATCCTGGCTAACATGGTGAAACCACGTCTCTACTGAAAATACAAAAAAAATTAGCTGGGTGTGGTGGTGGGCGCCAGTAGTCCCAGCTACTCGGGAGGCTGAGGCAGGAGAATGGCGTGAACCCGGGAGGCGGAACTTGCAGTGAGCTGAGATGGCGCCACTGCACTCCAGCCTGGGTGACAGAGCAAGACTGTCTCAAAAAAAAACAAACTGACTTTAAATGCATGTCTCACATGAATATATTATCCTTTTGTAAAAAAAGTTAAAATTCCTGTTATGATTAAAATTTCTTTTAATCATTACTTTTAATCACAGTCCCTTCCATGCAGGTAATCATACTTGTGAGTTGGGTGTATATCCTTTTACTTTCTGGTAGGCATTTACATACAAAAATTATACCAGCAGAAATTTTATACTATAACTTTTAGTGTATGGTTTAAACATTTTTAAATAAAATATATCACATTTTGTTATTCTATTTTTTTCTACTTCTTTTTACTCAACAGTATTCCATGGATATATTTCCACTTGAATACATATTTATCTTTTTAAACTATAGCATAGACTTTCTTAAAATGGATATTATTTAGCCATTTACTATTGCTTTCGTTAATATAAACAATGCTGTAATGGATATCTTTTTGAATCCTGCTTAAAGAAGATAGGGCTGATCCCAGGAAATAGAATTTTACTCAGTCATAGGGACATGGGTGTTTTAAATTTTAAAAGATGCCAGTTTGTTCTCAAGATAGCTGTACTAATTTATATTCCTACCAGCTGTACATGCTGTTTATCGCCATCACCAGTCCTGGATGTTATTGAACTTAAAAATTTTGCGTGAACTTGGGTAACAAATATGCCATCTCATCTTTTTTAATTTTGCTGGTTAGTAGTGAGATAGAGTATTCGCTCATATTATGTTTTTGGCTCTTTGGATATTGTTGATTGCGTTATACTTAAACTGCTACATTGTGATACACTAGTTAAGATTTGGAAGCACCAAAATGTTGATATTATATTACCTGTTTTATTTTAGAAGTTTCTGGATTTCTGAATTTTTAAGCAAGCCAGCTTAGGTAGATTTTGCTAATTAAGGATCCCAATAGCTAGAAATTTTTTTGTTTACTCTTTCTGTTTCTATATTAGATTTTTCATTTTTGAGACACTTGCTGTGACTCTGCCATGGCACTCACATAGCCAGAAGATTGTTTTCTGGGATTCAGTATGTTGAACAAGCTGGATGATTTGTCTGTCATCTTATAACCTTCTTTTCTTTCCTGGCAAGATATGGAATATATGAAATAGAGTTCATTCTACTCTGTGAAAAGTATGGCTGCTAAAACAGAGTATCATATAGGTAGACTTTCAGAACACCAAAACTGTTAATAAAGTGACAGTTTTAAAGATCTGGGCTACTTTGGTCAAAATTTCTGTGGCTAGATAAAGATGGAGTGTTGTTTTAAGGGAATACATTTCTCAGCCATTAATGCCATGGGCAAATCTGCAAACTTGAATCAAGTTGTACTGTAATTTCAAAGATTTTGAAAGGAAAAGAAAAGGGGGTAGTTAAATCTTAACTCATCTGGTAGTTAGGTAGCATTTAGTTCCATAGTATTGATAACCATATCTGAGCAATTAATGTCTAACAAGTGCCTACCTTTTTTCTGCATAATGTGGTTCTATCCTTATCTCTTGTTTTGTGCTGACATTATAAAAGAGTAAAATCAGAAAATGAAGGCCCCACTAGAAAATTCACTAACTTTAATACATCCATATGTACTTTTTTCTGTTTTAAAGATGTTTGAGTATTTTAATTCATCAGGGTTGGAATTTCAGATGGCTTTGATTTCCCACAAGGCTAAGTCAATACAATTTACATATATAATTAGAAACTTAAGATTTTACATAGGGTTTTAAATAGGTACTTTTCGTAAATACCATGTAAGTGAAAATGCCATTAATGAATTTCCTAATGTTATTTTCTTGTATTAGTTCTGTGTTCTCTGCATAGCTTTTCTGAAATTTCCTTTGGCTCCTTAATCTTCATTAAATTTCAGCATTAGATTAAGTCAGTTTGCAGGCCGTTACAGCAGAATAGAAAACAGAAGTGTTTTTGACATTATAAACACATTTCAGATTTCAGAAACACATGAAATTAACCTATATTTACAAAATTTTTTTCAGTTCATCCAGAGCAGCTTCCTCCGAGGCCATGGATTACATTAAAAGAACGAGACCAAATTCTGCCGTCAGGTAAATAGTTTTTCTTATTCTTCCTTTTTTTTCAGAAATTCTTAAAATGTTATTTGGGCTTCATGATCTGTAATAAATAAGACTTCATTTTTACCTTTCATGGGTAGATGCATTTAAAAATACTGATGGATAGACTTTTAAAAAGTCCACATTAAGATAGACCTGTCAATAGGTGTCTTATATCTTTCACAGTAATGCAGCCCTTGGTTTTAAAATTATTTCTGTAATACAGCTTTCCAAATAGCATCTTCATAGAGAGTATTGGGTGATTTAAGATTTAAGTAATGCAGCCCTTGGTTTTAAAATTATTTCTATAATACAGCTTTCCAAATGGCATCTTCATAGAGAGTATTGGGTGATTTAAGAAAAATGAGAACAATGATATTTCTTGTGAAAAATTTTAAACTACTGAGAAGTACTTGATCTTTCTTGAGAGATAGATAACATTTATGGAAGAATAATGTAGACTAGACATATATTTACTATACTGGCAACAAAGTATAATACCAGCCCAGGGGTGTAGAAGTAGTACATAGTATTTGAGCAATATAAGGATATAATCTAGCATTTCTAGAACTGAAGTAATGTAGAAAACATAAGCCTTTATCTGTTTGCAGGGACCAATAATGGTTTGACATTTATAAAGCTTCTTCATATTTGACATTTTAGGCTTGGGAATTCTACTTAAAATAAGTTATGAATTACCGTTTTTCGAAATGTCTTTTTTTTAATCACAAGAGTAATAATTTTCATGATATCTAATTTCATTTTAAAATTAAATGAAAATTCTAAGTGTTTGGATATGAAGATTAAACCAGTCACAGAATAGTACTACATTAATAGATTTTGGCTGGGCACTGTGGCTCATGCCTGTAATCCCAGCACATTGGGAGGCCAAGGCGGGCAGATCTGTTGAGGCCAGGAGTTCAAGATTAGCTTGGCCAGCATGGTGAAACCCCATCTCTACTAAAAACACAAAAATTAGCCAGGTCGTGGTAGCGCACTCCTGTAATCCCAGCTACTTAGGAGGCTGAGGCACGAGAATCGCTTGAACCTGGGATGCGGAGTTTACATACAGTGAGCCAAGATTTTGCCATTGCACTCCAGCCTAGGAGACAGAGCAAGACCCTGTCTCAAAAAAAGAGATAGTTAATTTTTAAAGGGTAAATCACAATTAGACTTTATATATATTTTGAGCAATATAAAGGCCTTTTGTTTGTGAGTTTTGGGCTTTTTTTAAGTTAAGAGGATTCAGAACAAGTCTTTTTTTTTTTTAGTATTTGGAAATGTGGGATATATAGCCTCTTCATGGTTCTATTTGCATTTTAATAACACTACAAAATATTATAATATGCAGTACATTTTTGTGTCTTTCAGAGGTAATAATTTTAAAACCAACCCACTCTAGAGCTGCAATATCAGCTTGTTTTAAGAGGCATTGTGTCAGTGTTATGAATAACATTTTTACTATCAGGTTGCATGTTGGTGTTTAAGTGAAAGGAGTACCTAAGGTTTTCTACAAAACTTAAAGCTAGATAGATTTATTTTATACTTGGCCTTTCCTAGTGTATAATTAATTATTCCCTTCTGATGTTAAAAACACCATTTTCTAATTCTTCATAGTAATCCCTTTTGAATATGAGTGAACATAATCTTGAAGAAAAGATTTTCTAATATTGCACAGCTACATTTCTATTAAGAAAAGGAACAATAGAAACAAATTTTCATTAATTGCTGAATTCTCAAAGTAATCTGTTCTTGGGTTTTCTTTATTGAAAAACTAGTGTGGACTTTTCTTGTGAGGTATGGTGCTTCTCTGAGTAGGATCTGAGTGCTGAAAAAAAGTTACTGTTAAAAATGCATTTTACTTCTGATGCATAGAGGGATGTGTATAATACTTTGTGGTGGCTAAGGGTGATTTATTGCTTAAAAACATGATAAACTATATGGAAATCAAGCCTAGATAATGAAAAAGGTCCCAGATAGAAACAGAGTATAAGAGATGAGTGGTAATAACACTTAGGTAGTTTTTACTTCTGTTTAAAAATTGCTGGTTCATTCTCAGGCACTGGCAGGGATATAAAGAGTTTTGGCTATATTATAAAAATTGCAATCTCTGATCTTTTTAATGAAATCTCAGTTTACAAAGTCTTAGGAAAAAACTGAATGAAGCAAATGGCAGTCTGCCTCTTTCGCCTTACTTCCAAATGACATTTCAAATACTGAGAAGCATAGTAAGGTAAATTCAGGGTGCTTACTTCACAGTGTAGTGGCTTGGAAATGATGCTGGGTCATTTCCAAGATAAATACTCAGAAAGTACAAAAGTCAACTCAAATTGAAATTTAGCTCCCAGTGTACAAAATGGTCACCAGTCAGACCCCCCAGGGGACTGAACTGAGTTTCTCTTAATACCTTTTCCATCATCTGAAACAGAACCAACTTCAATCAAGTGTCACTTCACTTTGAATTCCTCACGTCTTATTTAAATAAGTGATTCTCAACCATGTCTGTTCATTATAATCACCTGGGATGCTGGGATCCTTTTTAAAAATACGAATAGCTAGACTCTTAATATTTCAACTTAATTAGTCTGGAGTCAGACCCTTACTTCAGCATTTTTCTTTATAAGGTCTACAAAGTGATTCTACTAGGCAGCCAAGATGGAGAATTACTGATAAAAATCAGGGCTTTTCAGACTTTAACATGCAAGTGCATATGAATCACCTGGAGATTTTGTTAAATTGCACATCCTGTCCAAAAGAGGTGTTTATGGGGCCACAGATTCTGCATTTCTAAATTCCCAGGTGATTGATTACTGATGCTGCTGGTCTTCACAGCACAGTTTTGAGTAGCAAGGATGCAAACCATCTTCTACTATTAGTTTGCTCACAGTCTTTTTATAGTTAAAGGACATTTAAAAATGAGCATTTTATTTCAGAAATGAACATTTGATTGACAAAAACGATTCTCTTACAACTAAATTTTGTTAGTCCATACTCTTCTGCTTCAAAGTAATGATAGCAGTAGGAGGCACAAAAAATACTTAGATATTTTGTTAATAAGAGGTAATGAGATTAGAGTTCTTTAATTAAAATGCAACTACAGTTTACTTTTGTTCCACTCATTTAAAGAAGCTTTTCTCAAAGTTATAAGCAAAAAATTAGCAGATTTAAAATTTAAATTTTTTATTAAAATAAATTTCCTTAAAACTCTCAAATATAAGCTGTTAGTCTAATTCTAGACTTAATAAAATAAATTTTGTATGATAGACTCCAATGATGTTTTAGTAGATTAGCAATCTTTATCTTGCCTAGGCATTTTACAATGATGATATGTGGCGTATGTGTGTGTGCTTGTGCAGGTGTACACATGATATTGCTTTAGAAAAAGTTGCCTAATTTTCTCCCGTTTGTCTGTTGTTTTTTCTCCCACTTCTTAGCATCATTCACGGTTATGTGTTACAATGTGTTATGTGATAAATACGCTACCCGGCAGCTATATGGCTATTGCCCATCCTGGGCATTAAACTGGGAATACAGGAAAAAGGGAATTATGGAAGAAATTGTTAACTGTGACGCAGATATCATTAGTCTTCAGGTAACACCATAGAAATTAAACTGTCTTTAACTTAAAAGGTGAACTTAAACATAAGAGAAGATCTGACCACTGGGAGAGATCCTGTGTTTAGAGCCAAAGCTCAAAAAGAATTGTTTTCTCTCCTCTTAAAAATAATGGACAATTTAAATAAGCATTTAAGACATTTCCATAGTGAAACTATTTTGCTGACTGAATACAACCACCTACTTATATTTATTTACTGTTTTCTTAAGTGGAAATAATCTTACCCGTTCATGTTAATATTCACCTCATGATCATTGGTATTGCTGAAAGAGAAAACCACAGAAGATTGCCAGTCTTTTAGGAATATAAATTTACCTTGTATTGGAGTCTGTTTTTTTTTAAAAAAAAAAGCTTGCCCACAGTTATTCCTTAAACAGACATATTTTAATATATTGTACTATAAATCATGCATATTTGCCTTACCTTACTTTATAAACCATCTCTGAAATTTAGATTCTTCTGTTTTATAGCACTTTATAAATTGAACTTTACTGAAGAAGCAGCATCTTTTCATGAAATGTGTTCTGTTGCTTCAAAATTTAGCTAATGATTAGCCAAAAAGATGTTTGAATAGTTTTTAGTAACTTTTTTCTTAGCAACTTTCAAAACATATTAAGTGCTTAAAGGTTTAAAAATTTTTAATTGACAAATAATTGTATATGTTTATGGGGTACATTGTGATGTTTTGATACATATATATTTTTTTAAATGATCAAATGAGGCTAATTAACATATTCATCAACTCAGAAACTTACTATTTCTTAAAGGTGTTTAAAAATGTTGTGTGTTACAGGCCGGGCATGGTGGCTCACGCCTATAGTCCCAGTACTCTGGGAGGCCGAGGCGGGTGGATCCCTTGGGGTCAAGAGTTTGAGACCAGCCTGGCCAGCGTGGTGAAACCCCATATCTACTAAAAATGCAAAAATTAGCCAGGCAAGGTGGCGTGCACCTGTCATCCCAACTACTTGGGAGCCTGAGGCATGAGAATTGCTTGAACCCAGGAAGCAGAGGTTGCAGTGATCAGAGATTGCACCACTGCACTCCAGCCTGGATGGCAGAGCGAGATTCTGTCTCAAAAAAAAAAAAAAAAAAAAAAAAAAAAAAAAAGTTGTGTGTTACAATTTCACACATTCTTTTCATCATAGCCTGAGAGGAAAAATTATTAAAAATTTTTTTATGTAACAGAGTAGCTTGATAATTTATTTTTAGGTTGCTTGGGAAAAAAGTAAAAATCTTTTAAAATTAAAATAAAATTTCTTCTAAATACTGAGACTAACAGAGAATTGGGGAGAGGAGGCGGCAAACAAAATCAGGCTATTGTAGTTTCTTGTCTACTTCTTGGTTTAGTATTTGTAGTGATAACAGCCTCACACCCTCCTAAATATAGCAGTTTGAAGGATAGAACATAATTTAAGAAAATTGTCTTATTATAAAAGCAATGCTATAATACTATACTGTATTAAAAAGAGATCATTCTAGAGAAGTTGAAAATTTTGAAAAAATATAAAGCATGATGGAGGGAAATACCTAATTTCATGTCATAAGATAGTTGTGTTAAAACTTCTGGAGTATTTTTCTTCTATACATTAAGTAAAATATATTTACAGATACATTTTGATTCTTATTTATTGTACTTAATGGATTTTCCATGTTACTAAAATTCTTCAAAACTCATTAATTATATGAACGTATATTGATGTAGCTTTTCCCATACCATTGGACACATTTAGTTGTTTATGGGTTTTTGCTGTCATAAACTCATGCTGTTAGAAACATCTGCATACATAAATTATCTTCATATTTATTTCATTTAGAAAGACCTGTTAAAATATTTTATGAGTCAAAGAATAAAATAGACTAATAATTATTAAATTAATAGAGGCCATTGGATGATTGCGATTTAGGTACTTAAAAATTTCTTAAAGTAGAATTTTTTGTGGATAGATTTTACGTTTCTCACTCTTGGGTATCATTTCTTTCCACCATAGTTCAGAAGGATATGCAAGTTTTTAAATTACCTTTTTATATATAAATTACTATTCCCTATCACAGAATCTATCATATACCCAACTTGCTTTGTTTAGTTGCCAGTCTTGAGGAAGTAAAGTATAATGGAGTGAACTGTAAATTGGGAATCAAGAGACCTTGGGATGTAGTCCTACTCCTGTTACTATCTGTGTGAGCATGAGAAAATCATGTCACCTTTCTGGTTCTTTCATGTTTAAAAAGCTGCCATTGTCAAGTAGCAGCTGCTAGCAATCAGGTAAGATAGTAAGATAATATTTGCTATGTGAATTATTTTTACTAAGTTACATCTTACTCATAATGCTGAACATTTTTATATCTTAATCAGCATTTTCCCTCTGTCATATAGATGATAACTTTTCTTTCATCTCAGGAAGTGGAAACAGAGCAATACTTCACTCTCTTTCTGCCAGCATTGAAGGAGCGTGGATATGATGGATTTTTTTCTCCAAAGTCACGTGCCAAAATCATGTCTGAGCAGGAGAGAAAGCATGTAGATGGTTGTGCAATATTCTTCAAAACAGAAAAGTAAGTTAAGGAAACAAAGCACAATGGTGTACTTTTATTTATTTAAATGCTTACACTTTAAAATTGTCTTTGGTTTTGCCCTATAAAATCAACAGAAAGCTAGAAAACAAGTATTATGCAACTTAAAACTGTTGTTAATGTTTCATTTCTCAGGCTGTGTATTCGAAATAAGGATATTTATTGTATTATTCCTTATGCTTTTATTACCAAATAACACTGAACATTTTAAGAGATACAGACTTGAATGGTCTCATATTTCAGAACATATTTTCATGAAGTAAAGTATTAGTTTTTGTGTAAAAAAAGAAAGTGATACCTTTTAAGGTTGGCCATAAGTGATCTGGGTTTCTTTTCTGTGATTTTTTTTTAATAATTGATTTTTGAGAATCATTCATTTTAAAATCATTTATTCACTAAATGTATACTGAGCATTTGCTTTGTGATAAGTCCTGTGCTAGACACAACAGACACAAAGATAGTCAAGACATAGTTCCTAATCTCACTGAAAGCTCAAATCCAGTAGGAAAAACTAGGCATATAAGACAATTGCAATATCATATGGTGTAATATAAGATAGAGGTCTGCCTGGGTAGATAAGAGAGGCAGGCACAGAGCATATGGAGGTAGAGAGTTAAAAGGGTTGACTGAGACAGGGCAATGGAAAATGAAACGTGACATCTGATAGAGGTTGAATCCCATGGTTAATAGTTTGGATTTCATACGTTAGGAAATCATCTTACAGGATAAGCATATACATGCTTACAGCTGTTTTCCAGTATTTCCCCATTTTACATCTATTTTACCAAAGCCAATCTGTTTTTATTGATCCAAGCATATTACCAGCATGACATGCTATTTTAAGTAAACAAATTCAATGAATTTGAAAGATATTTGGTCCACTTCCCATTTATCTATGCCTACTTTCCTGTCTTTTCCATGAATTTGTAGTAGAGATATTCTTATTTTGGTTAATAATTAGTACAAAGCCTTGTAGTATTTGAGGTCAGAATATACTAAATTCTTCTAATGGTTTGGTAATTTTTTATGCATTTTAGAATAATTCTATTAAAACTACGTATCTCTTAACTACGGGAATATGTTCTGAGAAATGCATCATTAGGTGATTTTGTTGTTGTGGGAACATCATGAAGTGCACTTACACAAACCTAGATGGTACAGCACTATACACCTAGGCTATAAGGTATAGCCTGTTGTTCCCAGGCTAGAAACCTGTACAGCATGTTACTGTAGTAAATAGACAATTGTAATACAATGGCATTTGAGTCTAAACATATCTAGACGTAAAAAAGGTAATGTATTGTGCTGTGATGTTAAGACACCTACATCATCACTGGGTGATAGGAATTTTTCAGCTCCATTATAGTCTTGTGGGACTACCATCGGCATGTAGTCCCTTGTTGACTGAAATCTTGTTATATGGTATATGACCGTACTTCCAGAGTGTTTGCCATCTGTCAGCCTTTTCGAATTGTTTATATTAGTTGTCTTGTTCAAATTTTAAAGCAACTCTTACAGGCAGCTATACAGCTATTTCCTTGTTTTTAAAGATGAGGAAACCAAGGTACAGACAAGTTCAATAACTAGTTCCAGTTACACAGTCTGATTTCATAGTCCATGCTTTTAACTACTGTAATAAACTGAATCTTTAGCCTTCTTGTTTGAGCTTTTGATATCACTAATACCTCTTATAAGATTACCTCATTTAGAAAAATTGCCCTGAATTTGACATTTGTTTTTGTTTTTAGACAGGGTCTCAGAGTCTTACTCTGTCACCCAGGCTGGAGTGCAGTGGCGATCATGGCTCACTGCAGCCTCAACCTCCCCAGGCTCAGGTGATTCTGTCACCTCAGCACCCTGAGTAGCTGAGACTACACGTGCATGCCACCACACCTAACTAATTTTTGTATTTTTTGTAGAGATGGGGTCTTGCTGTGTTGCCCTAGGCTGGTTTTGAACTCCTGGGTCCAAGCAATCCACCCGCCTCAGCCTCCCACAGTGCTGGGATTACAGACGTAAGCCACCGTGCCTGACGATATTTGTTACCTATGTTCATACACAAATCCCCTTGAAACACCATAGCTTAAAAAAAAAATGCACCAGTAAACTTGAGACATCTAACATCAGGCTCTTTTTCTATTTGCTATAGTTTCTTTCAAGATAATATGGAAGATTTTTATTATTACTCTCACAGTTTTGAGAGGAAAAATCTAAAATTCCTTAACAATTTACTAGAAGTAGTTAAGGCTTTGAAATAACAGTTAGAACTGTTATCTGGGTATTTGCAAATTGATTCTTGAATTATTAAAAATGCTGTGAACTAGTTAAGTAATGAGCACATAGGAAGTACTTAGATGTGTCACCTGTTTTTCTTTTCTTCCTCAACTCTTTTTTCCTGAATAGTAACATGGATCTGGCAACAGATTGAATGTGATACATCAGTATATTGTACCTCTTTTCAACTTCTTTCCTGGAATGACAGGACTATATACCTCCTATAGGTAGAACAAAACCACCTTCTGTCCCAGTACCAGATATTTATCCATGTCTTAGCTGACTATTCAGTGCCAACTATTTGGAATTTAAAGTATTATACCCTGCCTTTATTCTTTCTTCAGACTGGAAATATAGGGCAAAAAAAGACTGTGAGTTTTGAAGCCAGGTGCTTCTTCTATTTATTTAGCTATATAATGTTGAAAGACTTAGCATTTCTGGACCTGTTTCTTCATTTGTATATTCTTATCTTGTAAGATCATTTTTGTAGAGGTTACAAAACTAACAAAGATAACTGTGGAAGAGTAGTCAACACTGTACTTACTCTCAGTCTCTTTCTTCTGTAATCAGAGTATCTGATAATTCCTCATCTTCACTGATGACTGTTTAATCATACATGAAAAACTGGTACAGAATACGCAACAATAAATGGAAACTATCATAATTGCCATTTATAGCAAAATACTATAATAAAAATCTCTAATCCATCATGATGAAAGGATAGAGTATTGTTTAGTAAAGGCTAGGACACAAGTTACCAATATTCAGATAATTAGAATATAATACACTGTTCTTTAAATCACATTATTCTAGTTTAGTTTTGGGGGATTCAGAATCTACTTCAGGATTTGGCAGCACCTGTTTGGTCATCATTATGAACATCATTTTTTGGGAGTTAGATGCATAGAGATACTAGAAAATAGAACTTTGAGTGATAAAATACCAGATCTCAGCTTTTGCTTTGTCTTTTAACAAGTATTATTTACGTTCCAAAGCATTTTATAAAATACATTCATACATATGCATATGTTTCTTATATGTATATAATGTATATGTAGAAACTGAGTTGTAAATACATTTTTTTTTTTTTTTTTTGAGACGGAGTTTCACTCTTGTTGCCCAGGCTGGAGTGCAGTGGCGTGATCTTGGCCCACTGCAACCTCCGCCTCCCAGGTTCAAGCAATTCTCCTGCCTTAGCCTCCTGAGTAGCTGGGATTACAGGCATGCGCCACCATGCCTGACTAATTTTGTGTTTTTAGTAGAGACAGGGTTTCTCCATGTTGGTCAGGCTGGTCTCAAACTCCCGACCTCAGGTGATCTGCCCTCCTTGGCCGCCCAAAATGCTGGGATTACAGGCGTGAGCAACCGCGCCTGGCCGTAGATACATGCTTTAGACTCATAATTTAAATTTCTTTTTGCCATGTTTTGTCCTATAGACTTAACCATTAAGTAGAATTGGGTCTTGGAGCCAGATACACAACTTAATAGTGGGGGAAAATATGAAGATGAAAGCAGACCTATATGCTAGACTTGCTGTTCCTGAGGTTAGCAGTTCTGACCTCCTTATCATGCTTTATTTCAAGTCAATGAGAAAGGGAAAGATGAAAACAGCAATTTAGAACAGTGTGATCATTGCACTGTGAAGAGGCAATCTCTTATCATAGGATTGGGAACTTAGGTTGTCATGGCACTTAGTTCTTGCTGTACTTCCTAACCTGCTTCCATTCTCAGAGGTACCAGGTAAGGCCAAGTCCTTGCTTTTTTTTCTTCTATTATCACAGGTAGTTTTGTGCTTGGAAGGAGGGTTTTCAGAGGTCATAGTATCATTCCAAAATGGTACAGTATCATTACTGTTGTGATACTCCCATCTCACTGGTCTCTCAGTTATTAATTTCCTGTGTCATAGGTGGTTGTTGCATTTAGAATTTGTACGTAGGATTTTTTTTGAAAATGAGATTTTGATCTGTACTCTTCTGGTAATTTCTATTCAACCTGGATCATAACATTACGACTTTGTACTACAGTTTCTGTACCTTTCGAATATAGATAATAACTGTTCCACTTTAGAGGTTTCTTATGGGGTTAAAATAATGAATGTGGATGCACTTTCAGTGGTTAAAAGAGCTGTACAGTCTGGGCGTGGTGTTTCACCCCTATAATGGCAGCACTTTGGGAGTCTGAGGCGGGTAGATCACAAGGTCAGGAGTTAAGTCCAGCCTGGCCAAGATGGTGAAAACCTGTCTCTACTAAAAATAGAAAAATTAGCTGGGCTTGGTGGTGGGCGCCTGTAATCCCAGCTACTCGGGAGGCTGAGGCAGAGAATTGCTTGAACCCGGGAGGCAGAGGTTGCAGTGAGCCAAGATCGTGCCGTTGCACTCCAGCCTGGGTGACAGAGCAAGATTCCATCTCAAAAAAAAAAAAAAAAAAAAAAAAAAAAAAAAAGAACGGTACAAATATAGGATGTTATTTATCTACTTCCTTATTTAACCTGGTCTCTCAGCTTACCTTTTCCAATTAGTTACCTTCTGGCACTCCCATGATTACTTAAAGGGACCAAGAACACATTTTATATCATTTTATACTGAATATAGTAAGAACTTCTATTTGGTTTGGTTTTAACAGTGTTGGGATGTGATCCAGAAAGGGTCAGAGTTAACTTTGTGTGATTATACTATTGTCTTGACTGTGTATTACATTGCCCCTTTTTACTTGTAAATGAATTCAGGGATGGAATATTACTTAAATCCTATAGATTGCTTTAGTTTCTCATAGTTGGCAGTCACTGTCCTCTCTCTAGCATTAATTAATTACATCAGAGCCCACAAAGTTATTTTTAGACTACAAGTTGGTAAGAAATTGAGTTATGTCTTTATTTGAAGGACTGCTCTGGACGTGTTCTTTTTGCACATGAAACATCCAACCTAATAATAATTCTCAAATCATATAAGGGGATTTTTTGGTCATAGCAGTCTTTATTATATTAATATATGTTCTTTTATCCATTTGACCTTTCGTCTAGTTTTTTTTTCAAAAATGTGAATATACAGAAGAATTCTTAGAATAAAATATCATCAGGAATAATGCTTTTAGCATCTGTATACCAGTCACAGAGTATGAATGGTAAACTAATGTATCGAAAGAGACAAGTTTAAGATTTTCCGTATTACCAAGGCTGTATGGCTTGGAACAATGATTGGAAAGTAACTATAAACTAATATGTCTAATTGAGAAGAAACATCTAATAATAGAAAGAATGGCAGAAAACCTCTATATTTCAAAATGTTACCTGTATGGAAATCTGTGAAACAAAGTAGATGCAGAATAGAGTGCATTTGGTTTGTATGGGAAGGGAATGCAAGAAGTAGCATTGTTAAGGTAGTAGGGATAGAATATGGGTAATTATATCTTACTATATTGTAAATTTATTACAGTTATAAACAAGGAAATAAGATAAATTGTAGATTACAGCCATCAGCACTAATGCTAGAAATCTCATTCTTTTAAAAACAGAATATCTGAGAAAGTCTTAAAGTTCAAGAAACATATCAACACTCTTATTTACTAGAAAGAAGGAACTTTATTTGGTTCAACTAGTTTTCAACTCTCTCTTTGGTTTTTCAACCCTTGGTGAAGCTGAAGTGATAAAACTTGAGTGAGAATGTGTGCTCTAGAGTTTCTCAGTGGCAGTGGAAGGGAGTGTTAGTTATAATGACATATGCATCCTGTTTAGGAAGACTAGTTTTGCTTTTCTGGACTTTTGAAACCATGACAGTAAAAAGAAGGTACCTTTAAAAGATTGAGAAGTTTTAAAAGTCAAAAGTATGGCAGTATATACCAATGAGAAATAAAGTTGGAAGGATAGTTGCAAGCATCTGATAACCCAGTGGTTGCTCAAGATTTATGTTTAAAGAATTGTTATTTAAATGAAGAAAGATCAATAACTAATCATGTATTTTTAAAAAAGTTTAATGAACCTATGATCATTACTAAGAAACTTAAGAAAAAGAAAAGGCTGGGTGAAAGTGCTAAGGCAGTGAGGAGGATATTTTAACTAACATTATGCACTGTAAATAACAAGGAAGGAATGGACCCGCTGCAGACTGTATAATCAGTAATTGACGATCAACAAAAAACAGCTCTATACAATTTATGTTTTGCTTTCATGATTTCTATTGAGAAGAATTTTCCTCAAAGTAGAAACACTAAGACCAGGTAAAGAGGAGAATGGCAAACCAAGACGGTGAGATTGGTAAGCCAAGAGAGTCACTAAACTGCACTAACTAGTTAGGTTTTCAGATGAAGATAATTATATCTTATGGTATTAAAGATCTTACGGAAGTGTGGTTAGAGAACTGGCAAAGGTAATCTGTTATAAATATTGGAGTAGAGAAAAAAATTCTAGGATTTGGGGGATGGATGAACTATCAAACTTTTCAAAAAGACAGACTTGCCCAGCCTCAGTTTTCTTCATCTTTGTAATGGCAGTAGTAATACCTCCTGCTGCAATGTGGGTTCTCAGAGATAACCGAAAGAAGACTCGGAGATAGTTTGGTGTTCAGGAGTTTATTAGAAATCAACACCTGTGGAAAGGGGAGGAAGCAGAATTGGACATACGGAGAAAAGTGAAGTGTTGCAGGCCTGACTGCCTCAGGTGACTCAACAGGGAGCTTTAGAGCTTATATGGCCTGTGAGAGTTAAACCACAAGGGGCCCACATCCCTGGACTTTTAACTTTTGCTTTCGATTTCTAATTGGATGGTGGTGCTCCTAGAAGTATGTGACCATGAGTAGGCAGCTTTCTGCAACTGAAGCAATCCCTGATGAGGAATCTGAGCAGTATATCTCCATGTGCAAATTTTAGGACTAACATATATGAAGTACTTAACACAAATCTTGAGACTGGATAGATCCTCAATAATGGTAGCTTTCATTTTTTTTTTATTATTCTGTCCTATTGAGAAATTTAATTATTTTGAGAGAAGAGAATGCATGCTCATAACATTTATAAATGTCCAAAAGCTGGCAGGGATATTTAATCTATTAGAAAAATAGAATTAGATCCAATAGAAAAATAGAATTATATCCTGTAAATTTGTGCATCTATCTTACATATCTGTAAAAAATTAAAAATTAAATAGAATGAAGTTTCAGAGCACTTAATATCCGAATAGGTGAACTAATGAGCAGATGTTCATGAAGTGATACTTAACTGAGGTAAAGATTGCCGCTCTTAGATTATTAATGGAAGGAATAAAAAGAGGGAGGGACAAGAATCAGCTGAGACCACAGAAAAATATATGTAGCAATGTTCATTACGGCATTAGTTAAAATACGTAAGTAACTTAAATGTCCAACACAGGTTAAATAAATTATGGTGAATCTGTAGAGTGGACTATAATCCAGTCATCAAAATTGATTTGGAAGAATATTAAATGTTATAGGAAATGTCCCTGATAGAATAGTATTGTTCTAAATGCGTAAAAATATGTGTGTGTATGTGTGTAGAGAAAAGTCTGGGGAAATATATTAACTTTTAAATGGAGGTATTGGGTTATAAGTGACTTAGTTTTCTTTGTTCTCATATCTCTACAATAAACATATTTAATGTATCATTTTTTCCACGTTTTTGTTTTGAAGTACCTATAAATGCAGGACTGACAAGACCTGGTTTAAGAGCAAAAAGATCAAAACATTTCAGATATATGTTAGTTCCTGTTTGGCTTACAATATGACTTTCCCCAAAGTGAAGTTTTAGTCTTTATTAATGAAAATACAGTTAAAAAATGAAGAAGGCTGTAGTTCATTTATGCCCAGTTATAGGTACTGCACCTTTGGGTAAACTTGAGTTGTTCAAATGAACTTTTCAAAAAGACAGACCCAGTTGTCAGTTCAATTTAAATTTGTTGAGCAAATTTAAACAAATTGTTCAGATGAACAACATCACACATCATGTAAGTGTAACTGATCGTTTCTTTTCCGGAGAAGACATGGAGGGTGGGAGAGCATTGACATCTATTGTCAGATATTTAAAGTGGTGTCATTTGGAAGAGAAATTAGATTTAATGTATATTCTTGAAAAGATCTAGATCTAGTTTTAATGGAAAAAATGGGAGAAGAATACAGGAAAGCAAATTTTAGTTATTTCTTTTAATTAGAGTCCTATGCTCCCCTGCCCCTACGCCCCAAAGAATGACCTAGCTTTGGTAGAAGTAAAATTATTCCAGTTATAAAAATATTATAATTAACAGGATTTTTAAGACTTTTGTACAGAATCCTAGGTTCCTGTAAGTATACCATAGAAGTTCTGTGAATATTTAGAAGATATCTCAAAAATTAAATGTGAATAATTGAACTGTAATTTGAAAATAACATGTTCACTCACATGTTTCAAATACAAGTTTTAACATTTTGGAAATCATTAACGTGTTCATAAAGTACTGCTTAGTTAACTTGTTTTTGGTGCAGACCTCTGAATCAAATTTCTTCATGTCTGCTTCTTTTTTCTGAGTATAGGGCCAGTTATTTACCATTTATAGCTGTGTGAATCAGGATTTTTAATAATACTCTGTAACCAAAACAAAATACAAAAATTGGACACTGAGACTGATATAAAACTATATCATCTCTGTCCTCTGATTTCAAATTTTTATATTCATCAAAATAGGTTGCTTGTTTTCAGTGGTTGATTTATTCTAACATAATGCTGCTTTTATCTGTTTTATCTGTGGGAATCTCACCAGAAACTGTAAAAGGTATTCCACAGCTTAAAATTGTTTGAAGAAGTCTGATATGGACAATGGTCAATCCTGTCTATAGGACACATTTTGAAACTGCTCACTCCTCTTGATTTCTCTTGCCTTTGTTCAAGCCACCATCATTTCTCTTTCAGATAACCTCACAAACTTTCTAATCTGCTTCCCAGTTATCAGTTCTTTAATTGAGCAGCTAAGTGATCTTAAAAAACATAAATCAAATGATACCATGTCCTGGCTTAGAACTTTTATCTCTCCTCTTCAGCATCATTTCATACCCTTCCATTCTTTTCTAACACATAAACTTGCAGTGCTTTTTGCTGTCTCAGGACCTTTCACATTTTCTACCTGGGATGCTCTTAACCCCATTCTTCACCTTAGTAACTTTCATCTGTCATATTTAAGCTTATAGATTACCTCTTTAGAGGGTAGAAACTATAGTCACTTTAAGCACTCTGGGTTAGAAATAGGCACATAAACTGACCCTTTACACTTGTCAGTCCAGCTGACACGTTCAGAATTGGAGGAGGGAAGGGAATATTGCTTCATTTAGTGCAGCATCCTGTGGCATAGTAAGTCAATATTTTTGAAGAAACAGAAACTAGCTTCTGTTTTCAAAGCTTGAAGGAAAGTGAGGAGGGGATCTGTTACAAGACTATGTCTTCTCTCCACTGAACACCTAGTGCAAGTAATGTATTTAGTAGGTTTTGATTACTTATAAATATTTCACAAATTAATAAAATTAGACTGAAAAAGGTTAAATGACTTCACCAACATCCCACTGCAATTAAATGTCAGCACTAAACCAATTCTATTAAATCCTACAACTCTACAATGCTTAATAATTTGGCATTAATGAAGGAAAGAAAAAATTATTAGTGCAGAAGCTATAATCACAGAGAGAGTCATTTCTTCATCTTGCAGAATCTGTTTCTCAGAATACTTATACCCCATTGCAACTTTCTAGTAAAAGTCAGATGGAAAAATCAGTTACTCTTTAGCTGAGATAAAGGTGTGCCCCTGTATTTTGTTGACAAATATCTTGATGTGGTAGAAATAAAACTACAAACAGGGTAGGTGGATTGTATTCTTTTTATCTTTTTCTCATTAACTTAGTTGAGATTGTGTGCACCTTTAAATACCAGAAAATTCTAGCAGTAGCTTAAACAAATGAGGGAAGGGTGATTTTCTCACACAAGAAGTCCAGAAATAGGCAGTCCAGAACTGGTTCAGCTGCTTCCCCATTTTTAGAAGGTTGGCTTTTGCCTTCCTGCTTCTTATTTCATGGTCACAAGATGGTTATTATTTCTCCGAGCACTAGCTGTAAGGGGCAAGGTATAAAAGCATGAAGGGATATATATGCTGTCTTTGTTAGGTGGGGCCTCTGAGAAACTTTTTACAATAATCAGACTTCTTGTGTCTTAGTGGCCAGAACTGTATCACATGGTCACTTGCAGCTAGAAAATGACAAGGGAGACAATGCATGTCATGTTTCTTTCATTTAATATCTTTCAGCATGATAGTCTAGGTACCTAAAATTATAATAATGTACCTTTTAGATTTACATTGGTGCAGAAGCATACAGTGGAATTTAACCAAGTGGCGATGGCTAATTCAGATGGATCCGAAGCTATGCTGAACAGAGTGATGACAAAAGATAACATTGGTGTCGCTGTGGTATTAGAGGTCCACAAAGAACTATTTGGAGCAGGTGAGTGCAATGTAAAATATTCTTACTAAAAATAAACACCATCCCAAGTTTTTCCATCTCAAAACAAGTGAAGAGAATTTTGCCGTTATTTATTGCAAAGTTATTTTCTTTTGAGGAAAGTTAAGGGAGATGGGCAGGAAAATAGCACCATTGTGTAAAGCATCATATATTTGTTGGGATATTTTGTGCTCTCTATCACAGTCTTTTTTACTTACCAGATAATCTATGTAAAGTCTTTTTTAATATGCCATTAATCCCAAACAGTTCTTTTAAATAGGGAATATTTTGGTTAGGCTGAATTTAGAAATTATGATGACTTGGCCCTCTTTTTGAATTATATTTTTAGCTTGAGTGTGATTCTTTTGTCTTTAAGGTTAAGGACTTGGCACATTTCCTCTAGTTTCTTTGTTATATCTCAGTCATTGTCAGGGTAAGAGCAGGATCTTTTATCTACATGGTACTTACTTTAGCATTTTAGATTATTTATAGCTTCCTTCAGAGTCAGAAACTCATTATGTACTTCATACACAGACCTTTTTTATCCTTCTTACTGCCTGCCTTTGAGCATCTCACTGTTTACTAGTACATTTTAAGCAAGAAAGGAGTGAGACTACATCAGGGCTTTTTTTCCCCTGTACTTTTTGTAGAGGAAAAGATTATTTTGGACTAGAGTATTGATTTGAATTATTCAGACCATGCATATGTGTCAAACCTTCTTTTCTCACCATACTTCAATTTATTCCTTATCAAAGGTAATCTTTGATATGAAATTTTGGACTTTTTACTTTTCTTAGCCCCTCCGTTTTTATTTACCTTTATGTCCTTTACAATCTTATTCTTCCCAAAGTTTGGTACTTTTTTTTCTGATATTGTGGAGAATATCTTTTGGAGTTTTACTCCTCTTTTAATTTGCGGAAGAGTAATTCTAAATAGTAGAGACTTTTACGTTCTGAAATACATATCTCTTGTACTCATAGAAGGGGAATTTAGTAATATAGTGCTTATGGCTCTTTGAAGGGGAAAATTTTTAATATTGTGAATACTTAATCTATAGCTAAAAGTGACACTGTAAAACTGGGAAAAGAAGATCGCTTAGAAGATTTGGCTACAGACATTTATGATCAAATTGCTTTTAAGGTGACTATGTCAGATATAACAGATACTTCAGTTTCTTATTTTCTCAACATTGAAGATAATTATAGCTTGGTGAGACTGGAAAGAAACTTTAACAAACTAGTAGACTTAGAAAATTAGGTCTTTTCCCCCAAAGCTTATATTCCAATAGAAAAATTTGAGACGCTTCTATAGAAATTATAAAAGAAAAATTAAATTTGTATGTTTACGGATAGTCCAATGGTTTAAAGGTATGTAAAGTAAAAAGTGAGAGATCCCTCATGTCATTCATACTCTAGATTATAGCTCTTGTTGATTTCTCTATAGAGTTACTAACATACAGAATGTGAGTATATGTATTAATAGTTTTATATCTTGAATATTTTATGGACATCTGTCAGTAAATGTTAACTATGTTTAATTTTCAAAAATCTTAATGTATTCCATCTACCATTTGGAAAGTACTATGTTAATGTTTATTTTAACAGAATTAAAAAACATAGAATTATAGGAATAAAAAAAAAACCTTAGAGATATTCTAGTTGAATATTTCACTTCCCAAAAGAATCTGGTTAAATTACTGACCCAAAACTACATAAAATAATTAGTAAGAAAGCCAAGTCTAAAACCCACGTGTCCAGACTTTTATAGCACACTACTCTCTAATTCTGATTTTAAAAATAATGTTATTTCGGTATATGGTGTGAATTTGTTCAGGTAGCAGATGACTTTCTTATTTTATCTTATATAGGTTAATATAATTTACTGCCTTTACTGCTGACCTATCACAGTTGTGCTGTGTTGTGCTTGGGAAATGCAAGGTGAATGAGTACTAGACAGTAGTAAGAATTTAAATTGAGGTTTAGGTAACTCAACTGAAAACCTGCCTTACTACATTATTGTGCTATTTAAATGACAGATATTTAAAGGGCTATACCAAATTTGTGGGCCAGATTTAGCCCATGGGCTACAGTTTGCCAACTTGATCTAGGAGAGTAATTCCCATAGTAGGATTACCAGAATCTCAGCCCTTTAGCTTCTAAGAATTACTTTATGAGATAAAAGGGAAGTTATAAATTCATGGAAAAGAGTAAAGAAGTAGCTGTGGATCATATTGAGAAAACCTGAGGATGCCACATTTCTTCAAACATAAAGCATAACTTTGTCTTCTTTTTGTAATGTTTAAATTTAGGTATGAAGCCTATTCATGCTGCAGACAAACAGCTGCTTATAGTGGCAAATGCCCACATGCATTGGGACCCAGAGTATTCTGATGTGAAGCTCATCCAGACCATGATGTTTGTCTCAGAGGTTAAAAACATTCTGGAGAAAGCCTCTAGTAGGCCTGGAAGCCCAACTGCAGATCCTAATTCCATCCCGCTGGTGCTATGTGCAGATCTTAACTCATTGCCAGATTCAGGTATTTATAATATCATTTCCTCACTGCTTTCAATTTCACTTTTACTCTTGGTTCAAAGGCCAGCTAGCTCCTAAATTTTGAGTAGATAAATTAAGGAATGTATCATAAGAATTCCATGGATGGGACACAAGGTAATAGAAGAGAGTTTAATAAAGAAGCTATTACCAAAGGTGTTGCCTGGTTTAAGGGAAACAAAGCAATAAATGATGCAGTACTCTGCCACTAGGGGATTTAGTAATAGATCTCTTTACCACTCCTCTACCTAAAAGGGAAAGTGGTGGGAGCTGTCTGTCATTAGAACTTGGAAAAAATACAGTTGTAGGAAAGGGCCACATAATAGGAGTGATGGCTTTGAATTGCATGAAGCGGTCAATCCCTGGCAAACCAAAAAGAAGGGAGCCAGGGAAATATATATTCTTACCTCACTCTGCTTCTGTCCTTTCATCTCCTGCTAGGCTGCCCATTGATCAAATCCAACCAAAAGCTAGAGCGGGGAGGGATTTGCAGTTGATGCAATAAAGATCAGCTGCCTGAGGCACAGAGTGTACTGCAGAAGGGTGATCTGAAGGGGCAGCCAGAAAATATTCATTACGTGTAGCTCTCTAGTTTAATAATGTTAGCAACTTTTAAGTGAATTCATTAAATGATATTTGGATAATGTTAGTAGTTACAGAAGAATGATCAAAATTATCCTAGGGCTTCATATTACTTCTTGAGCTCCACTAAACTACTTTATGTCTGAACTTTTATCATTTTACTTTTTATAAAAATAATTTCTGCATTTTAGGTATCAAATGGAAAACATTAGACTATTACTCTTTTGCCAATACCAAAGCATATGCTAAATTTTGTATATTATCACTGCTAGGCTATTTTAAGTTATTTAAAGTAAGTAACAATAAGGTTACTATAAGATAACCTAAATGCCTACACTTGGAATATTAAAAAAAAGTCACTGAACTTGAAAACATCTTTTTCTTCTTAGCAAATAATGCTGAAATCATTGTTTATAAGTGTTTGTCTTTAACCCCTAGCCTAATTGGCACTTTAACCACATGCTCCTTTCTTAATCCTTTCTTAAGTTGAATTACTCTCAAGTGCAAGTTTTTCTCCCATTGTATTTGATTTGTTAAAACCAGTTAGTTGTCATTTGGCAACACAACATAGTGAAATGACTTTGGTACCAGACTGTCATGGTTGGATCCTGATTTTGCTACTTATGAACTATGCAATCTGTGACTAAGTTCCTCATTTTTCCTTTTTTTTTTTTTTTTTTTTTTTTTTTTTTTTTGAGACAGAGTTGTGCTCTTGTTGCCAAGGTTGGAGTGCAGTGGTGCAGTCTTGACTGCAACCTCTGCCTCCCGGGTTCAAGCAATTCTCCTGCCTTAGCCTCCCAGTAGCTGGAATTACAGGTGCATGCCACCACGCCCAGCTAATTTTTGTATTTTTAGTAGAGACAGGCTTTCACCATGTTGGCCAGGCTGGTCTCGAACTCCTGACCTCAGGTGCTGGATCCGCCCACCTCGGCCTCTCAAAGTGTTGGGAGTTTTACAGGTGTGAGCCACCGCACCCAGCCTAGTTCTTCATTTTTAACAAGGGGGGAATCATGTTATCTACTTCATAGAATTGTGAGATTTACATGAATAAAGCACTTAGAACAGTGCCTGGCATGTAGCAAATACTAGACAAATGATAGTGCCTTCTGAGCTATTTACAATACTGATATTGTGCTT
The DNA here is from genome assembly GCF_000001405.40 of Homo sapiens. NCBI lineage: Eukaryota > Metazoa > Chordata > Mammalia > Primates > Hominidae > Homo > Homo sapiens. The sequence continues at coordinate 77,727,120 of NC_000004.12, read as the reverse complement.
ATCACACATTCATTATATCTTACTATCAATCCTTATTACAAATAGAAAGATGACTCTAACAGTGCACTAATCATCATAAGGGTTTTGATACTGTTTTCATGTTTGCTAATTCAGTGGAAGCAGTGCACTTTTCTGAATGCTATTCTTCTCTTCAGCCTTGTATTTTTAGCCAAGTGGTATACTTCTGGCATATAATATGCTTTATAGTGTCAGACTGAGAAAACTCACTCTAGCTCAAAATAAAGAATGATATTGTCTAGCTGACATTAGACATTGAAATGTTGAAGATGCAAAATCTGTTTTTGTTGTAAACTATTTTTATTAATATGCTCTACTTATATATTCGCAAAGTTGTTGATTGCTTAGAATGGGGAAATACTAAAGAGATAGTGGTTTGGAATAATTTTCCAAAAACATTTAGGGTTAATACCTTCCTGGTGAATGCCATCCTAGGTCCTGGAAATCATCTTTAGCCTGAAAAACCACTAAGAAAACTAAGGATATCTTTGAGTGTTCCTGATATATTTTGTTCTGAAATAGGCAAACATCCTTTGATTCATTTGCTTGACTCATATGAAATGGCTGGTATTTGATTTTTTATTTTTAAACAACAACAAAAGGCAGTTTTATATGGCTCAACCTAAGAAGACCACTCTGAGCCTGGTGGATTAACCTGGTAACAAGTCTTGGCTGTGAAGCCTTGTGTAAGGTCTAAATGCTAAATGGAAGTGTCTCTTCTTTATTCTACCAGGTGTTGTGGAATACTTAAGCAATGGAGGAGTAGCTGACAACCATAAAGACTTCAAGGAACTAAGGTACAATGAGTGTCTTATGAACTTCAGCTGCAATGGAAAGAATGGAAGCTCAGAAGGGAGAATCACACATGGCTTCCAACTTAAGAGCGCCTATGAAAATAACTTGATGCCTTACACCAATTACACCTTTGATTTCAAAGTGAGTGGCAGCCTTTGGGCAGGTGTAGAAATTATTTCAGATACAAGCATGTAACAAAAAAGGTGTAAATTCTTTATGATTAATTGTATAATCTTCAGGAATTTTTAGATTCTTAAAATGTCTAGGCTAAGTATGCACCTAAATATAAGTAGGTTTATTGGGTTTTGTGGCTATTGTTGTCTTAAATTCTTCTTGCTCTCTTGCTTGTTTAGATTTCAAATAATATAATAACAAAAACTTCTAAAATGCTCACTAGGTACCAGGCACTGGTCAAAGCACTTTGTATATATCAATATAGTTAACCCTCACCTGCTCAAACCATCCCTAACTTTCAGCAGTAACCTCCCTCCCCTAACCTCCCGCCCCCCACAGAAAAGCACCGAATATAGCAAAACTCACTTTGAATGAATTTATATAGTATTTTCTCAAGATTTTCTTTCTACTTTCCATTGATATCTTAGTATCTTTAAGTTTTTCAGGTTATTTTTGGGTATGGGGTTAGAGCAGGTTGTACTTTGGTTCTACTTTATATCTGTGTATTTATACTAATATATTCCTAGGCAGTGGGACACTCTAAAAGGAAAAGAAAGACATTTTTTGACAAATATGAAAAAAAATGGAAAGGCTGATTGTACAGGACCAGCTATTCTTTAGAAAGACAGATTGTGGTGGCTTTATGTAATCTCTTTCCCAGTGCTAGTTTTCTGATCACTCTGTGTACCTGTAGCTCTGCTATTATACCTCTCTTTGACTTTCTGGCATTTCAGGCATCTATAGTAGAATCTTATACTATCTGGAAAAATCCAAGTGTTAGAAAGTGGTTTGGTATAAGAAGCCTAGAGGAAATTTAATAAAATACCAAAGGAAATTTACAAATGGCCTCCCTTATATTTCCAATAACCTTTTTCTATTTTTGTGTGGGTTAGCTCCTGTCCAAGAAACAAATAGGAGGAAGAAAAGAAATTCGTGTGTTGTTACTAATCAGCTTTCATAATCATGAAGAGAAAAAAAATTGCTTAGAAATTGAATCTAATTTAGTATTTTTGCTATTAGAAAAGATAATTCAATCCAGCGATAGTTCATTTTGTTCCAGCCACTTGTATGTAGTGATGTGCTGGTAAATATTTAATAATGAGCTTTTTGGGAAAAAGCTCTGATTTGTGGTGTTTGCCGATTTCTGTGGTTTAAGTACTTCTGTAGCAGAATCCTATCTTCCAACATGATACCATTGAACATAGAGTTGGGAAGAGGTGCTAAGAAAGCTAGCACTAGCTGACTCTAGCACATCATTGCTTTTATGTAAGCTTAAAGGAATACCTTTTAATGATACAGTTTACCACAGCTTAAATCCTATCCTTGTAACTATAGTGATATATATCTGCCAGCGTAACCCAGAAAACCTGTGATAAAGTTCCCGAAAATAAGTGTTTAGTAATTCTGCAACTATTATTATTGTTCAGGTATGTGTGTAGGTAAAAAGAAAAAATTTTATTCTATTTCACATAGCCCTTTTTTTTTTTTTTTTTTGAGATAGGGTCTCAGTTTGTCACCCAGGCTGGAGTGCAGTGGCAAGATTTTTGCTCACTGCAGCCTGAAACTCCTGTGCTCAAGACATCCTCCTACCTCTGCCTCCCAGGTAGCGAGGACTACAGGCACACACCACCATGACCAGCTAATTTTTTGTATTTTTAGTACAGACAGGGTTTTGCCATGTTGCCCATGCTGGTCTCAAACTCCTGGGTTCAGGCCATCTGCCTGCCTCAGCCTCCCAAAGTGCTGGGATTACAGGTGTGAGCCACCCTACCCAGCCTAGATTTTTTTTTTTTTGAGACAGGGTCTCACTCTGTCACCTAGAGTGGCACAATCATGACTCACTGCAGCTTCACCCTCCTGGGCTCAAGCAATCCTCCCACCTCAGCCTGTTGAGTAGCTGGGACTACAGGTGTGTGCCACCATGCCTGGCTAATTTTTGTATTTTTGAGGGGTTTTTTTTGGTAGAGACAGGGTTTCACCATGTTGCGCAGGCTGGTCTTGGGCTAATTTTTGTATATTTGAGGGTTTTTTCTTTTGGTAGAGACAGGGTTTCACCATGTTGCCCAGGCTGGTCTTGAACTCCTGGGCTCAAGCAATCCGTCCACCTCAGCTTCCCAAAGTACTAGGATTACAGGTGTGAGCCACTGTACCCAGCCTAGACTTTTTTAAAGCTTACTTCTTCCTTGTCCATAAATAAAAATCAGAGAAACACAATTTGGGACATTAATCCACCTTCCTCAGTCATCTGAATTGGTTTAAAATTATTTACTGACAGTCCTTCAAAAGCTCTTACATGTGTTAGTAATTGAATCAAAAATCCTATTGAGCCATTTACATTGTTCAAATAAGTATGGCTAAAGAACTAGAAATGCCTGGCTCAGAGAGTGTTTGATGTTTGGATGTATAAGATAGGATCAGAGAGAAGGATAAAGGTATAAGTTGGTGGGAGAGAGTAATATATGGGAAGATAAATAGGCTGGCTGGATAGATAGATGGGATGAGACAATAGAATAGTATTTCAAGGAAGGATGGCTAGAGACTAAGGGCACACCTGAGTAGAGAGAATTGAGCTCTTAGTCCAAGTAACAGAAAATGAACTTTTCAGTTTTATACATATATTTTACATAGTTAATGCTATCCCAGTATTGAAAGCAATCAGTAAAAAAGGGTAGGTAACATCAAATATAAAATGCCATGTGATCAGCATCAAATGCAGATCCAATTGTATTAGTGAGGGGCCATTGTATCAGTGAGGTGTTAAATTTTGTTTGCTTAGCTTAGTATTTGTTTACTTTCTTCGTCCTTGAACAAGCTAGAAATGTAGAAAAGAGTTATTTAGAGCTCAGATTCATTTAATTGCAAACTGATTTGGAATGAACTGAAGGGTAAACAATTAGAAGGATTACTCCTTTTTCAACATTACTTTCAGACCAGGTAAGTTTAATAAACAGCTTAATTCAAACCTACTACTGCTGCTCCTCACCCCACGTTTATCCTCTAATCTGAGGGTGTGCCCAAATCATTTAATAAAAAAAAGGAAGGGCAGCTTTTATTTTATAGCAAATAGTAAACTTTTCTGTTACATTATGAAATTGTAATTTTCTGGCATTCTTTTAAAAAAGCTTAGCATAGTGGTAACAGACTATTAATATTTTCGTTGTGTTTTGACTTTTTGTTGAAATACAGTTCTATAGACTTATACAATAATAGTCTTTACTAATATAAAGAGTGCATTTTCCCACATTATTAATATTAAATATTTTAAGAAAGAAACTGACTCAAAAGGGTTAAAAATCATTAGTCTATAACCTTTTTTGTGCATATGATCAAAGTTAGGGATCCTCCTCATAGATGCATATGTACAAATATGTTGGGTGAATTCACAGACATAACCTGGCTGAGAGTTTTGATAAGAGTTTTTACTCTGGATATTTCAAACCATGAAAATAGTTACAAGTGATGCATTCAATTAAAAGCGTCTTACTTCCTGGAGTGTTTAACTTTTTCTTGGGGCCTACGTTTGCAAAGAACTCTAGCAGTTGATGTGCATGACGGCACTCTAATAAGGTTGTAAGATATAGGAGGGTTTGTCGCCCAGGCTGGAGTACAGTGGCGTGTTCTAAGTACACTGCAACCTCTGCCTCCCAGGTTAAAGCAATTCTTGGGCCTTGACCTCCCTAGGAGCTGGGACTACAGGTGCACGCCCCCAGACCCAGCCATTTTTTTTGTATTTTTAGTAGAGAGGAGGTTTCACCATGTTGGCCAGGCTGGTAATTAACTCCTGGCCTCAAGTGATCTGCCCGCCTTGGCCTCTGAAAGTGCTGGGATTACAGGCATCAGGCATGAGCCACTGTGCCCAGCCCTATAGGAGATTCTGTTCAACATAAGTAATTGAGATTATTTCATGTGTTTTATTTTAGAATTGAAGCAAAAAGTTGTCTCATAAGGAGAAGTAAAACTACCGTGATCCTTGTAACTCATTTTCTAAAATATCACTGTAAAACTAGGCATTATAACCAAAATGAAGGGATAATACCTTATGATCCTATCATTTTTTGACTGTTTAAACTTGGAGTCCCCTGGACTCATGTAAGTTCCTTAATTTGTGGTAAAGTAAGGTTGGATAAGGGCTTCTTTTTTTTTTTCTTTTCTTTTATTATTATTTTTTAAGAGACAGAGTCTTGCTGTCAGCCAGGCTGGAAAGCAGTGGGACAATTATAAGTAGCTTGAAACTCCTGGCCTCAAGTGAGCCTCCTGCCTCAGCCTTCCGAGTAGCTGGGACTATGGGTGCCTGCTGCTACACCTGGCTAATGTTTAAATTTTTCGTAAAATCCTGGGTCTCATTATGTTTACCAGGCTGGTCTTGAACTCCTGGACTTAAGCCATCCTCTTGCCCCCACTTCCCAAAGGGCTGGGATTACAAGCATGAGACACTGCACCTGAATCTTGTCTCTTAGAAGAGGAACAGTTTTGGTGTTTTGATATTGGTCAAATGAAAATCAACAAACTGAAATGATTGTGTCCAAAATCTCACAATAAAAAAATTTGTTTTCATTAAAAGTTTTTATTTTTTAAGTAGCCCATTTCATTGTAATACCATTTAAAGTATTGGCTGGAACTCATGTATAGTATTTGTAAATAGGTTTTTACAGGTGTAGAAATATTTCTCCCTACTTGGGCTCAGGCTATCTTGATATGAATAGGAACTAGATAGGAAGAAATTTGATTTTGCTGTCTTGCATACACAACCTGGGATAATAAAAGCCCCCTGGTTTTAGACTTACTGATCAGACAAATCCAGTCATCTAGCTCTGACAGATAAAACTGCTATGTATGGCTTCCTGCTGAATGATTTTTGCTGAGTTGTCTTTATGTAGCAAGGAAATCCAGAATTTACACATATTCCAGTATTTGTGAAAATGAGTATTTTAAATTAAGAATAGAATAGTTAACTGTGTAGTGTTTTGTATGTATGTAGCAAATCTGGGAAAGCTAGACTAGGATTAGCAAATCCATAAACATGGTTTACTATAGCTTCAGTCAGGTGTGTTTGGATATCTTGATATGCAAATAATTGAAAATAATACCGTTAACTATGTATGTGCTCATATAAATATTCTTATTTTCTACTTATTATAGCCAATAGGATTAGTACAGGCTCCATTATATTTATACTGATATGTTGGATTTCACTAAACCAAGCAGGCCAATTCTAAAGATGACTAGACATAATTTAATGTGTTTAGCTTCTCAAATTATCACTTACACACAAATGGAAGGATTTATAATTCCAATAGCATGCTGTGTTTCCCTATTGAGCCACCTTTATTTCATGTAATACCCATTGAATATTTGAGCCTTATTTGACCCACTATCAAGACAACAGGTACCAGAAGAAAGGGTAGTCAGTTTTTTGGTTTTTATAAATTATGGATTGTTCTTTATATATCTTGAATTTTTCTTTTTTTCCTATTCCCAATCTCTTTCCAGGGCGTGATTGACTACATTTTCTATTCCAAGACTCATATGAACGTGCTTGGTGTCCTGGGGCCTTTAGATCCTCAATGGCTGGTTGAGAACAACATCACTGGGTGTCCACACCCTCACATCCCTTCAGACCACTTCTCACTGTTAACACAACTTGAACTCCACCCTCCACTCCTGCCTCTTGTCAATGGTGTTCACTTGCCTAATCGGAGGTAGTGGAGTACTGCCCCGCCAAGACGGGGATCTGTTGCTATGGACCTGTACAGTTGTAAATCAAAGTATGTAGGAGTGAAGTATGGCCATCCTTAAGCTGCTTCTTCAGGTTTCTTTCATTATGTGTTTGCTGTAAGACTTTGTACATTTTTGTGCATATTGGTATCATTTGGCAGTAGGGCTGGAACCAAAGTATTACTCTCTTTACAAAATTTTAATTTAACATGTTTTTAAATTGGACCTTCTTTATATTGTATTAACAGCCAGCATTCAAAATTGATAAATTACCAATTTGAGGCCCAATAACAGTGTATTTGTTTTTCCAAAACAAATACTTTCTTTTGAATGGTTTCAGTGAGCCAACCATTTTATAAAAGGCAATTTTTAAAAACTATAAATACAGTATTTTAAACTGAATGATGATATGCCTTCCAGGGAAAACCTTGAATTTTTCCTTTATAACTGACTTTTGGATTCCAAAGTCATTTGCACATTAACAGAGTACTTAAATTTACTTGTTCAGTCCATAAACTATGATATAGCCTCTATACATGGTAAGAAAATTTGAAAAATTAAAGATGGTTGCACAGTATACTTTTATAATCCAGCATGTAACACCACATGACAATTTGTTGGCCAAATGCTGGTTTGGAGTTTTTTTGAGGAATCACTTTGGTTTTTTTGTCCTTTATATATAACCTTATTGGAAGTATTAATTCTAAGCCTGTCTCTCAAGTTTATTTATAGAGAAAAAGTAAGTAATCTGTATTGCCACATACCTTGAAAATAGAATGTGGTATGTTTAGGATGCCCACGGAATGAATTTTTCCTTATTCCAATTCAACCTTCTGTCTGGTTGTGCCAGGAAAACAGATGTTATATGACCTATGTCATTTTTGCCATTATAGTCAAATGTTAAAAGAAGAAAAAAGTCTGCTGAATAAAAAGGCCTTGATCAAAGTTTCAGATGGGGAAAATCATACAGATATTTTATGTGTTTCCAACATAGATTATGTGGCTGTTGGTTTCTTGAGATGACAGTGCAAAGGATTTGGGAGAGAGAACAAATTTGGGGCAGTAGTTGAAAACGTTGGGTCATTTTCCTGACTCTAGCTGCCAAATGGCCATCATATGCTTTTAATCTTTGTTTCAGTTGTCTGTCAGGGTTGAATTAAGAAGCTACTGGTTTATTCCCAATTGTTGATGCCTTTAGGTATGTTGGAATCTTTTTTTTGCCTAGGAGGGGCCAGTTGAAAATCTGTGACTCAAGAGGCAGTGAACAGAATACTGTTTTCTGGGGAAAAATTGGTTGGCTACTTGATGTTAATTATGGCACAGTAACAGGAAAAGGTTGTGTCTGTGTTTTTAAGTTTTTCTTTATTCTGCTTTTTTGCTGCTATAAGAGTTTTCTGAAATTTATATTTTAAACTTTTCATGCACTTTACTGTTTCTAGTCTCAAAATGTGATATTTTTAATAAACAAGAAATTTTCCATTATGTGAATGAAATTTTAAAAGACAATAGCCTATATTTGTGTCTCACTAATATATAAAGTATAGGTCAAATTTAAATTATTTAATTAGTTTTAAATATACACAATTTGTCTCCTCTTTCAAACCTGACATCTTCGGCTGTTTTATTAGTCTTAAATGATGCATTTACTTTGGTCATTTTATGCTAATTTCTTCCATAGTAAATTAATCAGGCTATATAAGGTAATATTTCCCCAGAGGGTAATTTTAGTGGGACGAGGGTGGTGGGATGATGTCATATCATACATGGGATTGCATCAGAAGGGTTCTGTAAAGCCTGAACTCCCTTTTAAAAGTGCCTAGTGATAGAGGCGTTGTTTGTCATCTATTATAATTGGAATGTCATTGTAGTTCAGTGAATTTTGATGTAAATAAAATATCTTTTAAAAATGTTAAAGTACCAGGATAAACAAACAAAAAGAAACAACCCTTAAGATGACAGATTTTCCTCAACATGCAGGTTTCCCTTCTTATATACCTCAAGTATCCAACATCTAGCCATGCAAATTGATTACCTGAAGCATAGTACTGGAAAGTAGAATAGCATGAAAAACTTAATTTTGTGGACATTACCTTTTTTTGTAATCAGCTACTGTATGTTTTATTTTAGATCTTTTGTTTTGGGTGGGTTTTCTGCTCTGGAGGTATATGCACTAACAAAACATTTTCCTCCTTTCATATACGCATGTTAATTAGCAATGTGAGCAATATTTCCTACCATACTTCACTCCCAATATTTTTTGAGATGTTTGTATAAAATGGAATTTAAAGTTCACTTATGATTGTATATGAACCACAGAGGAGCCCATTTATTAATAAAAAACTTTTTTAATAGTTAAATGTAGAGGGAAAAAATAAAAAAAAATGGGAAACATTGTAAACAGCTTAAGTTTATTTTGTGTATGATCGAGGCACTCTGTTGCAGGAAGGTGTGTAATTGGGTTCTCTCTGCTTCAAATGCGCTCTTTCAAACCATTCATTATCCTGTGTATTTTTAATGTGGTTTTAGTAAATGTTGGTAGTAGCTCTGTTGAAGTAGGTAATTGTGTTATGTTTTGGGTGGTACACACTTGGGGCATGGTAACCCAAATTTCATGTGCACGGTTTCCCTTTAGCCCACTGCCCAAATTTCACATACCCTTCACCCTTTGTTCCCTTTGTAAAAGGAGTGGTATCTGTTTTGAGCTGCCAATTCAGATGATCAGAAATGCTGCTTTCCTCAGCATTGTCTTGTTAAACCGCATGCCATTTGGAACTTTGGCAGTGAGAAGCCAAAAGGAAGAGGTGAATGACATATATATATATATATTCAATGAAAGTAAAATATATATGCTCATATACTTTCTAGTTATCAGAATGAGTTAAGCTTTATGCCATTGGGCTGCTGCATATTTTAATCAGAAGATAAAAGAAAATCTGGGCATTTTTAGAATGTGATACATGTTTTTTTAAAACTGTTAAATATTATTTCGATATTTGTCTAAGAACCGGAATGTTCTTAAAATTTACTAAAACAGTATTGTTTGAGGAAGAGAAAACTGTACTGTTTGCCATTATTACAGTCATACAAGTGCATGTCAAGTCACCCACTCTCTCAGGCATCAGTATCCACCTCATAGCTTTACACATTTTGATGGGGAATATTGCAGCATCCTCAGGCCTGACATCTGGGAAAGGCTCAGATCCACCTACTGCTCCTTGCTCGTTGATTTTGTTTTAAAATATTGTGCCTGGTGTCAACTTTTAAGCAACAGCACTGCCTAAAAGCAAGCAGAGAACAGAATCCCAGCACCATTCTATAGGCAACTTTTTAGAATTCAGATATAGTAAATCTGTTCCAGATTTATGATGTTTTATGTAAAAAAAATTTTGTATAATAACATAGCTGAATATTTTTGTTTCATTTCTTTGATGTAAGGCGTGTGAACATTCGTTTGAATATCACATGTTGAAGTCAGGTATGGCACAATGGGTTCTGAGACCAGCTTTTCCTCCCCTCCCATTTGCCTTGTTCCAAGCTCTTTCTTTTCAAATTACTTTTCTGATATTCATAGGCAGGTATTTAATTTTACTAATTAGCATCCTGTGTGAATGTATTAAAGAAGCCACTGTGTTTTAGTGTAGTTGGCAAAAATATAAAAGCTGTTTCTTATTTGCCCCTATTTTTTTGGTGTCTTAAAGTTATATATTAAATCACAGAGAAGCAAGGGAGAAAGTTGAAAGATATCTAAGGCTCATATCACTTGATTCTATGGTAGATTATATTAGAATTGAGGATGTGGCACATTAAAACTGGAACATGGGCAAATATAGTGTTCCATTTTAAAATTCTAAGTTTATATTGTTAAATGGGTGAAAATTTAAGTTTATATTTGCATTTCCAAGCGTTTCTAAAAATCACTAATGCCATCTATACTTTTAGTATGAAACAGCAGACTATAGAAAGCACAGGGAAGAATAGGCTAAATACATTCTTTGAAGAACCAGAGGCATATAACCACATCATTATGTCATTCCTAATACATGGCTAGATTTTCTAATGATAAAATTGACTGTGTCCCAATGCTTATTTGATTCTAAGCTTTTTTATTCTGTTTCTGAGATATTTTAATAGCTTTGCAAAATATGCTGACCAGTTTTTGGAAAATAATGGTTTTTATAGCAAGCAAAGACTTTATGGCACATTTTCAAAATAGCACTCATACATACTTACATTTTGACAGAAATGTGAATTCTCACATTGATGAGATATTCTTTTTCCCACCTGCCCTACCCTTTAAAAAAGGTCACTTTTCTAATGTGTAGTAGATTCATTTACGCCTTTCCCTTTGAGTCATACCATGTTTGGAGAACTGTGTGAATTGTAGGTAGAGAAATTAACTAGGGAAGCCAGAAGCTTGAACTAAAGTTTTAAATTTGTAGGCAGATGAGAACTTTTATACTATGGTTGCTTTGGGCGATTCTAATTTTGTAATAGCATCATGATCACCAAAATTAATTCAAACATTTTAGTACATCTTTAATCTGTCTTATTTACCAAAGTTCTAATCTGTTTAAGAACAGGATGCCAAGAGCATCTTTCATTTTATAGAATGATATGCTCACCTTTATAAGTGTCACCTAAAAGCTTGAGGGTAAAAAAGAAGCAGCCCATATATCTAAACTACAGGATGTCTTGAACAAGATTCACAGAAAGAAAGAAAAAAAAGCAGTTCTTTCCAGGAAGGTGGTAAGGAAGAGCATGCATATTTCTTGTTTTAACCAAATACCTTTTTTATGTAAATGTCTCTATTAAACCCCAGGTCCTACACCAGGAAATAGGGTGATAACCAGGAAAATACCAAGCTTTAACCCAGTTGGCAGTTCCTTGTGGCATACATTTGGTTAGACTTGGGTTTTTCCTGGAACCAAAGGAAAATAAGCATGTTGAGTTCTTCGTTCAACAGACATGACATTGAAGTAATAGAATATTTTTTAAGTAAAATAGTTTTCACTTTCAAAGCCTATGACATAAGGACATTTGTGCTTATTAATTGTTAATTTTTTTTTATGGTACATTGTATAAACTGAGTAGCATTGAACTGCATTTTAGAAGTATGTCATCAGAAACAAATCACATTATGGAAAGGATATACAAATGCCAAGTGATATGACTCTTTTGGCATGGTGGTAGCATGGTCCATTCAGCTTTCAGAATCTTTCGGAGGCTCTAGTTTGGTGCCTAGTACTAGTTATTTTTGTTAGAACAATCTCTCAAAATTTAGATAATTTTCCAGTTGTATGTCTGTCACTTTTAACTCTAAAGCGTAAGAATCATGGTAACCCTCTCAGAAGTGGTCCTTTCTTGCTCATTTCAGTTTCGTATTAACTTCAAATCACTGATGTATTGTCTTTCAAGCTATCAATTGTTATATGTACCAATTTAATTTAGTTTGTAGTTATCTGAAGTCACAAAATTGGTTCAGCATTGATGTCAAACAATGGCTTTGCTTCTTACCAAACAGACTTAGTATCCTGCTGCTTGTTTCAATCTTGATGCAGTAAGTGATGCAGTATCTGGGTCTGTATTTACTTAGAAACTGTACTGTCCTTTCTCTGTGCTTAACTTGCTAAAAATATATTCCCTTACCTGTGAAATTCCTGAGCGGTGCTCTGCCAACTTTTCAAGGGGAGGGATTTGGATGGCTGTGTTACTGCACACTGGATCTGGAATTGTTCAGGGTTATGAGTGACAAATTTCTTAAACACCAGCAGCACTGAGATGTGCACTATGGGCATTCGTACAGTTGTTGTCCAAATGCAAACAACTTTTTCATCTTGGAGAAGCTGAGATACAGAGTTCAATAGAACTACTTGGAATATTTTGAGAAGGTTGAATGTTTCATCTTTGGCTTTGTTGTCTCTGGAGTGGGGAAGTATGGAGGGCTTTTTTTTTTTTTTTTTTTTTTTTTTTTTTTTTTTTTAAAGAGAGTGTGTATGTACTTTTTCTCTCTATAAGGGCCAGGGTGTTGGTCAAATTCACCATCGATTAATTTATATCTTCTGTTGTGATTTTTTTCAACTATATAACAAGTGCCAACTAATTGTCCATGGGACAATCTACTTTTCCACTCAATTTATCGTTTTGAGTAGGGAAAGGTTCATTTATTTTCATTACCTGGCATTAAGTTAAAGAATTCATTATTTTGCATACATTTGAGTCATTCTGTGACCTATAAAGTGTTTTTGTAACTATCTAATTCTAATGGTTGCAAAGCAAAGCACATGACTGTAAAACCAAGCAAGGTGTTTTAGTAACTTTTTCCCTGAATACTTGGTAGTTTCCATTGATACTATTCCAAAACAAATTCTGCTGTTTTAGGTTGTATATTTACTTTGCTTTTGTTCTAAGAAAAAGCCAAGGACTAAATCAACTTGTTTTTGTGTTTCAGTAATCAGTTTAAAATCTAAGATTTTTTTTTAAATTAGACTATTTAATGAAGTGCCATGTAATTGTAGCTTGCTAGTGTTTAATGTTTAATAGACTGGTTCTGTAGGTGTTTTAACCATTTAACACTCTCTGCCATCCCTGGAGAAAGTGGTTCTACTCTTACTGAACACATTCTCTCTGACAAAATCACCAGCTGCTTTATTTTTCTATTTATTACAGTTAAACAGTTGATGAGGTCTGAATCTTGACCAAAACTGCTCAGCTGAGATGTTTTTCACAATAGACACTGTACAAAGTGTGCGTGCAAAAGGACACGGTTGGTAGTATTTTTTCATTAATGTGAACATTGACTAAAAAAAAGCAGTCCTGCCTTTTAAATCTTGTGGCAGCTCAGAAGGGAGGTGCTTAAGAACCTTAACTACTATGTCAGATAACAAAATATTTTTTTCCATTTTGGAGATTGGTTACTGCTCACACATGATGTATAGGGCTAAATATATGCTTGTTTCCTTGCACCTGTGTACTTCCCCTCTCTCCCTCCCTTTCCTTCCCCTGTAGGCAATAAATGGCCATTTTGCAACTGCATACCTTTGTCTTGGTTTTTGACTCTTTATTTGTGCAGTATAAACCTCTGCTTTTAGGTTGATACGTCTCTTCTAAAGTGAAGTAGGGAGCCAAGATAATTCAGGGCAAAATACATAATTACAAATTCATGCTACATTTTTTTTTCTGGTGAAAACTACATTACTAAGTACATTGTTTAAAAAAAATTCTGAAGCTAGTTATATGACTTGCTTTGCCCGAAGAAACCAGTGCAAAGGGATATATGTCACTTCTGAGTGGAACTTTAAGGGCCAGTCTTTAATTTGCCATATTTCCTTTTCTTGCCTGTGTGATCATAGAAGTATATGTTGAGATGAAACCTCTCATTCCAGATCCTTAAGTGACTTTGTTGAAGAGAACTCCCCTGCTGTCCTTTGGGCATGTAGCGTAATAAACAACTGCTAAATCTCAGTGTGTTAATACAATAAAGTTGTGTTATTAGGGCTTAATTTAGTTGATCCTGACTGACAGACAACCACCAGACAGATTTGCTGAGTTATCAATATTGAAGAAACTCAACAGCTGGACCTGCTAAGATCTCAAGTAAATTCATTCAACAAACATTCAGGTATCTTCTGTGAACAAGGTGCTGTGGGCATATTAAGATGAAAGACATCTTTATAATGCCTATCCTCCAAGAATTCATATTCCAAATACTCCTTATGACACAGAAGATATTCCAGTGTTTCAGTCAAAGTAAAGATATCTTAAATCATAGAATCTTGGAAAGAGAGAGAGAGAAGGCACATAGTGAAATAATTAGGAATTCTGCAAACTGTGCTTACAGATATTCAGCTGAAAAATGACTTTAAAATAAGGTGATAGAGAACAGATTATTTTTAGTGAAACAGAAAACAGCTGTGCGGCTTAGTAAGCGCTTGGAAAAGATAATGGTAGATTATTTTGGAACAGATTGTCAACATTGACAGTTCAGTGCCTATTGACTTGTTTTTACCAAGGATCCAGTGTGAGAAGGCTGTCACTGACCCTGAGGACCTTGTCTTCACAGAAGCCTTTGTGTTGGCCAGCCTTTAGGAAGTCCTCCAAAAGTGGAATCACTCTCATGTGAAGTGAATCTTGAAGTTGTCCAGATTTCAAGACACCTGCCTTGTTAAGAGACCTTTGTGATGAGGCATTGAAGACACTCACCAAGTGTCCTTTCATTTCACCATCTGGCCTTGGGCAAAATGTAGGCTCAATGGTAAAGTGGAGATGAACTAAATCTCACGAAATCGGTCTCCGAAAAGCAGAAACCAAGACAAGGGTTTGCATGGAGGTAGTTTCTTTGGGTAATTGATCTCAAGAATGAATGGAAGACAAAGAAGAATGAAATAGGGAAGGAGGGAAAGCCAAGTCAGGGATGCGTTACAGAGCTGATCACTTCTGTGGGCAACTGGGGAATAAACATGCCAAGGACCCTCTGTGGAGCTGAATAGAAGGCACCTGAAAATTATCTTCATGAGGAATGGGATGAGGCAAAGTTTACTCCATGGGTGTTAATTCCTTTTCCCATCCATGTTTGTGCCTGTATCAAATTCACTTAGCAAATTCCTGCAGGTGTCCCATATAGTGATAATGGAGAAATGGGATGAGGGGGTGGGTGGTGCAAAAAGCAAGAAATATTTGGTGTGGCTCAGGCAAAGTGTATCAAGTTACACCAGTGTGCATCTGGTTGCCAAGGTAATAGAATAAGGAAGTGAGCTGAGAGGTGTGAAGTGAACATAAGAGGGGTCCACTACAGTGTAACCACTTGTACCACCAAGTTCTGTTTGGGCCCAGGGTCAAGTTCATTTCATTGTAGCCTACGTTGTGGCAGGCTGTAATCTCAATAAAAAAATAGATGAGGAGTAGTGGGACAAAGAATATGGTCCCTTGCTGCAGCTGGTTCTGAGGCTGTGATTAATATTTATCTTCCCTATTCTATTACACATTTCAGATTTTACACAGCTTTGCAGCAACCTGTCAGTGGGTCTAGGTTGCTTCTCTGAGGTGGTGTGCCCAGACCTTCATCCCAACAAGATATAATTATACTTGCTGGGTGACGGCTGCTTTCCTGGACATAAAGGAACCAAGAGATGCCCAGTGAATCTTGGGTTTCAGATATGCTTCTTTCTGCCTCCCATTGTGGGAGCAACTCCACCTTCTCGTCAATATGATGAGTCTGTGTATGCCGGCATTGTGAGCCCAAAATGACCCCTTTCTGGGGGCAGCCAATATATTTCCCGTGCCTGGGTGTGGGTGGTATAAAGTCTGGGTCTTAGCCCACCTCAGCAACTCTGAAGGGCCTTCCCACCTTCAAAGTTCCCAGGGCGCCTTTCTGCTTTGTCCCCCTGAACTCTTTTCTCAGTCAAATCCTAATTCCTTTCCTTCTGTTTTACAGGGTTTGATTCTGAGAGCACTCACTGATAAGTTTCCTGCATGCTAATCTCCATCTGAGTTTCTTCCCAGGGAACACAACCTGCAACACTGAGCTCCAAGGAGGCATGCCAGCAGTATATTAGGACTGCCTCCAGGACTCCTTGCTTGATCCACTGGAGAGTGCCACCATGTCAATAAAATGCAGTCTTATTCTGGTGCCCTGGTTCACACTTTGAATATCTATTTTCACATGTTTCTTCAGTTCCTAGTCATGTTAGCCCAGATCTTAGAATTCTTTGGGTGTGTACACTATATTCTTCTGGTGTAGATACTATACTATATTCCTTGCTCAGACTGTAATGTGATGATAGTTACTGGTCACAGTCAAGGAGAGGAGGCAGGAGTGGATCTAATGGAGGTTGAGCATCATCTTGTGAGGCACCTGCTACATGTGAGAACTTTGTGAGTTATGCAGGCAAAGAGAGGTTTCTTTCCTCTAGCAAGGAAGAGGGGTCTGAGGGCTAAGAATATCTGGGGATTCAATCTTCTCTAGCTTTTCTACCCAAATATCCCCAGCCCAGGGTTTAGGGCTCACTTTGAATGCACAACCTCAAAGATGATGCCTGTATTCTTTGTGGCTCTGCTATTATTGTGCAAATCCTGAGCCTGACCTTTGGCACTGTTTGCCCCATGGCTGCTGAAATGATAGTCTATAAACACTGCCATGGATGCATTCTGACTTTCACAGTATGCCTTGACTTATAGTTAGCTAATTTGAGCCTGTCATTTTCTTTTTTTCAAAGTGTCTAAAGTCCATTTTGAAAACTGGGTAACCTTACAGTCCTTAGACTTATCGTTGCCCCCAACAGTTTAAGTGCCACTGTTTCCTTTCCACTTGCACTTCAAACCCACTACTAAGGAAAGTGCACTAGTGCACTGTCTAGTCACTTCACCAACCAGCAATGAAGTGACTAGAGAGTGTGATACAGGTCCAGAATCCATCTAAAGCCTTTGCTTCCTTGGGCTATTTCTGGTACTAATTGTCCTAGACTAAGTTCCTCCGGAGGACAGAGCCTGAGAGATCTTCCTTGTAGGTAATTTATTTTGGGATGTGATCTTCAGAAACAAGAATAGGGATTGCAAGGAGTCAAATAGGAAAGGAAAGCCAATTTAGTGGTGAGTTATTGAGCTGATCACATCTGTGGGCAACTGAGGCTTGATCCTAGCAGGATCCTTCTGAGGAGCTACATAAAATGCACCTCAGAATGTCCACTGGAGGAGTAAAAGAGGAGAATATCCAGTGGCTCCAATACCCTATTGGCCAAAGGTCACTTACCTAGGTGTTAACTCTCTCCCATATACAAGTTTAGCTTTTCTTATGACAATAGTGAAGGATTCTGAACATTTGAAGCAAATCCAGGGAATATACATAAAATTAACTACAAATGATAAAGTTCTTATGGAAATAAATTTAAATGGCTGGGCATGATGGCTCAAGCCTGTAATCCCAGTACTTTGGGAGGCCAAGGCATTTGGATCACCTGAGGTCAGGAGTTCAAGACTAGCCTGGCCAACATGGCGAAACCCTGTCTACTAAAAATACAAAAATTAGCCAGCGTGGTGGTGCATTTCTGTAGTTCCAGCTAACTGGGAGGCTGAGGCAGGAGAATCTTTTGAACCTGGGAGATGGAGGTTGCAGTGAGCCAAGATTGCACCATTGCACTCCAGCCTGGGTGACAGAGCGAGACTCCGTCTCAAAAAAAAAGAAAAATGTACGCATAGTTCTGTGTTTTCTAAGCACATTGTATATACTTTTATTCCTTATTTGTAGATCATGGCAAGTTAATATAAAACTTAGAATTGGCTGTTGTAGGGTTTGTTATGTGCCAGGCACTGTTTATATGCTTCATATAAACTCATTTAATCGTCACAACAACATAATAAAATATGTATTGTGATTCTCTTAATTTTCCAGATGAAGCTGAGGCCCAGAAAGATTGGTAACTCAATAGCTATGTAATCTTGGGCATGAGTTGGTACAGGAAAGGGCTCTGCAGCATGTCCAGACTATAGTGAAAAGTAGCCCCTCCTACTGGGCCGTCGAACCTTACAGACCTATGGTGTTAGAGGTTGAGCTGCTGTTATACAGTGGGGACAGGGAGGAATAAATCTGGCACCCAGCAGTATGCATGGGCAACTCTTGGTACTCTTTGGTCCCATTTTGCTGTTAAATTGACAAGGACAAGAATCATGGCTTGAAAAGAGCACAGTAACTGGGTTCTGGGTTAGCCCACTAGGTCAACCAACAAGACCAGCAGAGGTGCTAATTGATGAAGAGAAGCCGTAGGTGAATGGGTCATGGAAGGAGATGATGAATATCAGTTGTAGCCCCAGAACAGCTACAACAGAAGAAGCTGTAGGTTACCTCACTAGCCTTTCCCTTCTACGTATCCCTGGGGGATGTGGGGGCACAGGAAGAGGGAGGAGGTGCTTTCAGAAATTATACAGGCGGGGTGTGGTGGCTCACACCTGTAATCCTAGCACTTTGGGAGCCCGAGGCAGGCGGATCACTTGAGGTCAGGAGTTCACGACCAGCCTGGCCAACATGGTGAAACCCCATCTCTACAGAAATACAAAAATTAGCCGGGCATAATGGCGGGTGCCTGCAATCCTAGCTACTCAGGAGGCTGAGGCAGGAGACTCGCTTGAACCCGAGAGGCAGAAGTTGCAGTGAGCCAAGATCACGCCATTGCACTCCAGCCTGGGCAACAAGAGTGAGACTCCGTCTCAAAAAAAAAAAAAAAAAAAAGAGAGAAATCTATTATACAAAACAAGTGGCTCTGAGTGTCCCAAGGTGAAGCTATGGTGATTGCTCTGATTGTCCTCTTCAGGACTCCAACATTCATATTTTTTCAACAATACAGGAAGCTGGGGGCTTTCTGCTGAGGTCTTCCCTGAGGAGGGAGCCCTGTCTTGCCCAAGGTCATGCCCCATCAGGGAGGAGGGTTCCTGTCTGCAGCCAGTGACTGGTGAAGGTGGTGTTCTTAAAGCTTAGTCCCTTTGCATCAATATTTGGCAATTCTGAAGGGACAGGCCAGCTCCAGAGCTCCTTACGCAAATGTCTAAGGCCTTTGTTGTGACTACATTGCTTTTTCACTTCCCAAGTTTGATCCTGACAACTGTCTTAAGGACTTCTTGAATTCTAGTTTCTACTTCAAAATCTGTTTCCTGGAGCGTCTATCCTGTGGCAAAGAGTAACAGGTTTCGCATGGCAGGTAATATTAGTGCTCCCAGATTTTAGAAAATCTTGCCACAGAAAACTGTAATACTTGGCATATAAGTTCTATGTTTGTGTGTGTATCATAAGGATGTATTGAATACTTAAAACTGTAAAACATCAGGGAAAAACAGGTAGGCTTTATTTAAGAGATCAGTGTATATCAATTTGTGGGGATTTGTGATCTCTTTCCCATGGATTAGAGGTGTCTATAATAAGGGATTGCATTAAACAGAGTTTGATTGAATAAACAGAAGCTACCTTATGTTAATCAAGATAAATATAATGCAGTGAATCAGTTAAATGGGCAAGGGAAAGATGAAGTCAAATAGTAGATGGTGATGCAAACCAGAAATTAGCAACATCCAAAAGCCACTGTAAGCTTCAAGACACTAGATATTGGGAAGAGATGCCACTAACAAACAGATACAGGAAACTGGTTTGCCTGTCAGGAGTTAGAATCATGGCAAGGGCTGTCCATAGGAGGTGGTATCACAGAAGGAGGGGCTGTCTTTTGAGGGCTGGGATCAGAGAAGGCTCAGGCTCTGCTGGAAATGCTACCTGAAGTAAGAAAAGAAGAAATTCCCTGGCTTTCCTTCCACTCTTCCCTCCAGTTTCCCTCCAGGTCTCCCATTGGCTGAACCTAACCGTAAGTGATGGGTAAAGAAGCCTAGAAAACGTTGCTTCCTTGACACATTCAGAACAGAGGAACAGTGGGGAATGCATGCAAGACAAAGCAAGCAAATGATTAGTACATATGCTGTTTTTACGACTCAGCATCCATTCTCACACTTATAGCCATTTTAAACTGTGATACAACCACAAGCTAATGCTGCTATATAACAGGATGCAACTGTCCTTTATATGAGCATGCTTCCCTCACCAGTGCATTTCTTAACAACTTAGTAAAAGGAGAGTCCTCTGGATCCTTCAAAGCAAGGGTATGGTTGGCAGTGGTTAAGCAGTTTGCACGCTGTGAATCCATTCCAGATTTCTAATTCTCCAGACTCCTTTGCCTGTACTGTGCTATCTAATACTACAGCCACTAGCCTCATGGTTAGCGGCTATTGAGCACTTGAGATAATTTGTTAAAAACATATTAAAATGTGGGTGCTAGAAAATTTAAAATTACATTTGTGGTTTGTATTTTATTTCTGTCTGAAAGCATTGTTCTTCAGTGTGCCAAGCAACATCTCTACTTCATATCTTACTGGCCTTATTCTACTAAACTAGCAGGTGATTGATACCACCGCTGGTGCTTGAGTGAGTCACCACAGGAAATCCTGAATCCAGGTATACATGTCTATCTCAATAAATTCCGCCTGATCCAACCTTTGTTTCGTCCTTTTGAATAGTCCTTTAGAATATATTTTCATACATGTCCCCTACATTTAACATAAATTAACAACATTTTGCAGCTCCTTTGGTGTATTTGCTATTTCATATGGCAGCAGATCATTCACTTTCATCTGGGCTATGTTGGATCAAACTCTTGTTATGAGATTAGAAACGATGGGTGGTTTGAATGGGCTCTGGAAGAATAAGCATCCTCTTCTAGGGCATCTGCCACTAGTGAAGTCGTGCAATGGTTTTATGCAAGTGAAGATTATTTGCCTCAGTTCGGGTGTTAAATGGAAAAACTGACAAAAGGAAAGCTGCTTTTGCTGGAGAGGAAGGCTCAGGGGAATTCAGCATTCAGAACCTCATCCCTGTCTGCCCTTTCAAAGTCTCGGGTACCACTCCTTCCCAACCAGGTCCTTTACCTCAGCATAAAATACCTGATAGGACTACACATGTAACTGATGATGCATTATCAAGCCTTGGGCCTGATACTCAGTCATCTGCCTTATGGTGATGGAGGTATGGAATGTGGCTATATAGCTTGATTTTTGGGTTAAAAAATTTAAGGCCTTAGGCTTATCTTTTTCTTTGTGCATACTCTTCAGGGCAGTCAGAAACATCCATCCTATGTAATAATTCTTGTTATTATTATTACTATCATAACAGTCAAATGCAATAGTTACTTGACCAAAGTCTTGCCTTCAACTTGTACCATGCCTTGAGAAACTGCAGCTTATAGTTTAAGTATGATATCGCTGCCTACCACAAATTGCTAGTGTCCCATTTCTTGCCTGTAAGGAGGTCGTCACTGCATTCATGATCAAAAATGACAACACAGTCTTAGACTTCTGTGTGGAGTATCAGTAAGAAGCCCCTCAGAAAACCAGAAATCACTCTGTGTATAGCAGACAGAAGACATTTAGTGCAGGGGACTTGTTGCACAGGTAATAGAAGAGTTGTGAAGCCAAATGAGAAGATATTGAGGAATCCTGAAATTAGGAAAAGCAGGAAAGTGCTACCACCATTTTGGCTGATGAGGTAGAAGGGAAGACATAGTGTTCTCAGAGCTCAGAAACTGAACCATCTAGTAGGAGCTAGAACTTCTCAGTGGCTGTCTTGTGAGATCTGGAAATACATAGAATTATCCCAAAGGAGTTGCTGTTATGGAAAAAAGTCACTAGGCCAGGCGCGGTGGCTCATGCCTGTAATCCCAGCACTTTGGGAGGCCGAGGCAGGCGGATCACGAGGTCAGGAAACCGAGACCATCCTGGCTAAAACGGTGAAACCCCATCTCTACTAAAAATCCAAAAAATTAGCCGGGTGTGGTGGTGGGCACCTGTAGTCCCAGCTGTTCAGGAGGCTGAGGCAGGAGAATGGCATGAACCCAGGAGGTGGAGCTTGCAGTGAGCCAAGATCATGCCACTGCACTCCAGCCTGGGCAACAGAGCGAGACTCTGTCTCAAAAAAAACAAAACAAAACAAAACAAAAACCAACACCAAACAGTCACTGCCAGAGGTGCCACTAAGCAGAGAGAGAAAGGGAGAAATACCCTGGCTGCTTCTCTTCTCCAGGGTATTTCTTCAAGTAATCCATTAAAGCTTCCCATTTGCCAAACCTATTCAGAAGCCAGTTGTTAAAGGAGCCTGAGAAATGTACACCTTCAGATACAGGAGAATTAGGGAAGGATGAGAATGAATCTGAGAACAATCAGGCAAATGACCAGCACAAGAAGCATATCCCATTCTCAGTTACGTACACACTATGTGCTGTGGATAGAGTCCTAGAGATGATATGGTACTTCAGAGAAGCTTGCAAATATATGGCCATATCATATATATTATGTATGTTGTTAGTAGTAACAGCATGAATGCTAGAGAAATCTTGTGTAGTTCTAGCATTAGTTCTGATTAGGGTTAGTACCTATTTTTTATACAGTATATAGGTGAAGTTATTATACATACCATCTTATGAGAGGCATGAAATTACTTAAAATAGCAAGCTTTTAAATAAGATTCTACCTAAGTACTTTCCTTATTCAGAAACCCAAAGAACAACATACATTTTCCCTTCTATGAGCTTGGCTCTCTTTAGTGATTTGCAACTACATAGCCAAGATGATTTGTCTAAACTTAGGAGACTACAAACGATGTGTGAAAATGAGGTACTAAACATATGGAAAGGAAATAGTATGGTGCCTCCTTTGAGATATTTATTTCTGCTGAAACTTTAATCTCTTAGTATTTTCACATCTATAAAATATTCTTTGTGGGGGAGGGGGAAGGAAACTCCCTTCTGCTTTAAGAGTCCCATTTTAAACCAAAAATGCACTTGCCCAACTTTTTATTTATTCCCTTAATAGTTTTGAGCTGTACCTATGGAAAGTCAGGTAAATTCAGAAAGCTTGAGTTTAGATATTTTACATCCTATACCACGCTTTCAGGGGAAAAAAAGGGCTTCATATTTTGAATATGTGAATTCTCTACCCTGTGGTCAGGAAGTTAGATTCAGGCATTGATCCAATGATCCCTGGAACATCTTCCACTTTTTTCCCAGTGGAAGGAAGAAAGATTTGCTAGAGGGGCTGACAGCATGAGAATGTGCTGCTACTTTTAACCCTCCAGACTGGGTTTCTCCCCAACACAAGTGACCAAGCAATTGTTTCTGAAGAGTCTTGAATGATATCCACATGACCAGTTTCTCCATTTTACATGATAATGTAAATTAGTACTAAGGGGATGTCTTTGGTTAATTACTGCAAACATTTGAGTCTGCAAACTCACCCCTTACAAACTATATGACACTGAATACTAGATTAAATGTGAATAAGGCAAAAGATGAATGTTTCCTCTACTATCCTAATGCAGGCCAGTCTCCAGGCATACTTTTTCTGGGGGGAGAAGGGGGTACAAAAAAAAAAGACAGAGAGCCATTGGGAAATTCACAGGGTAAGTTAGGGAGGTGAGAGGATACTGAAGGTTTTTGCAACTACCCATTTTTGGAGGGTGG
The DNA here is from genome assembly GCF_000001405.40 of Homo sapiens. Classification (NCBI taxonomy): domain Eukaryota; kingdom Metazoa; phylum Chordata; class Mammalia; order Primates; family Hominidae; genus Homo; species Homo sapiens. The sequence continues at coordinate 77,703,385 of NC_000004.12, read as the reverse complement.
AGCAGTTTTTTGGTTCATCTTTGCACAGAGTCCTCAATAAAAGTTTATTGAATTAATTAAAGGAGACAAATATGACAGCCCTTCAAATACTTAATATTGTTATATGGGAGAGGCATTAATAAGTCTTTCTGTAATAGCCACTTTTTGTTCTTACTTTTATTCCCTTAAAGTCACACAGAATAATAAATGGGAGAGTTTCTAAATTATTGGAATTGTTTAAAAATTGACCACGTAGAGACTTTTTTGCTATTACTTCTGGACAACCACAGAAGAAAATATGCTTTCTGTTGATGATCAGGCTAGACGACCACTAATTAGCCTCCCAACTCTGCCGTTTAGAATTATAGGATCTTCAGTTTTCATTTTCATTCAGATACTTATGTTCGTATTCATTAATCAAAAATGTCTTCAAAGTTTCAAAGAGTTAAATTATAACTGAAGGAATTTGGAGACAGACCTGTCTCCAGGGCTGTTTTAGTAAATTAAGGTATACCTGTATGTTGGAAAACCTAAGCAGGCATAATATGTGTTTATGGACCAAGAAAAATGGTCATAATATAGCATTAAGGAAAAAAAAAGTTAGGCCAGTGATGGTTTAAAAGTAATGGACAGAAGGTTTCTGAAATTCTATTTTGAAGTTTTAATGTTTAAAAAATGTTTTTATCAAGTATGTGTATGATATATATAAATAAACTAGGACTAGAAGAAATGTAACTTCTAATTTTCTTATCTGGACCAATTTACTTATTTGGCATAACTGAACAACAGCTCAACTCTTAACATAATTGAGCCTCTTTTATTCTGCAGAAAGTTTGATTCCATTACCCTCTCACCTTGAAAGAAGGGAAATAGTTTGATACTGAAGGAAAGGGAGGAGTCTACCCTTGTCCTTTGTTTCCCTCATCATACACTTAGTCTTTAAACTCTCTTTACCTGGAGAGACGCATTTTAGTGGAGTAATGAATCCAGAAACCAGAGATGGACTGTCTATTCCCAGATATCAAATTAATGATCTTGGTCCTTTTTTTCCTCTACCTTTCTATAATGCTCAGCCATGATAAGCATCCATTTCTTTTGAAAAGTCTCTGTTCTCTTGGCTTCTGTGAAACTTCAGAAGATTTGAAGATAATGTAGGAAAAATAATTTATATCTTGTTCATTTTCTCTGTCCACTGGTCTTGAATTATTTCAAGCATCAGCCCTACTTGCTTTCTTTCCTTTTCATTTTTTCCATCCATTATTCCTATTTAGATGACTCCCTAATGTCTGTCTCCACTCCTAATCTCTTTTAGTTCTCTATTTCTAACTGCCTCTTGGGAAATTCTTGGGCACACCTAATTTCACTATCTTTGAAACTAAATGAATCGTTCATCATTAGTCTTGTTCCTCCTCTTGTGTTTCTTAGGTGGGGTGAGTAAAAGATTCCAATCAAGACTAGTTTAAAGTTTGAGGAGCCATGGAAAGAAAGATCAGTCAAGACCACTAGGACTTGAGAACTCCTATCTTTCTCCTCTCCATTTTATTCAGTACAGACCCATTATTACTAATTTAAGTTGCACAAAAGGCTATCAACAGTCTATTTACTGTGCTCTTTTATAGTTTTATTAATTTTATGGAACTGACATAAGTTCACCACTAATCTCAGTCTCTCATTCCTGTTTATGCGTTAGGCTCTTAAGTTTCCCAAATTCAACTTCTTTCATCTTGTAGATATTCAGGAACTTAATCCATGGTGACATGGTGGTATACATGTGTGTTTGTGCTATAAGGGAATAGGGTATTGCTATATAATCAAGTGTGGGAACTCATAAAATGGAAAACTTATCAAGAAATTAATTGAATCTGCACCTCTCCTCTGTACTCTTCCCAAATTCCAAGCTACAGTGGATGGGCAGAGTTATGAACCTATAATTGTCCTCCCTTTTTCTCTAATATTATCTAGAGTTATTCCTTGATCTGATTACGTTCTGAATACAAATGGAATGACTGGAAATGGCTCTTTGTATAACAGGACTGAACTGTGTTTTGAACACCTGCTGCCTAAATACATATTAAAGAGGCTCCTCCAAGTAGATGCCAGTGTCCATCAGTAAAAATACTCAGCTGTCTGGTGGGACAAGTGTTAGGTCACGTGGGCTCTCAGCAACTATCACCATATGCTGAAAATAAATGCCAGAAAAAGAAATAAGAATTTTTTTTTAGCATGTATGGCAAAGGCCTGAGAGTAACCTCCATTATGGTTTTGGGAAGCAAACAATATTTTTGTGCCCATTTTCTGGAATTAGGCAATTATTATACAAAATTATGATCTTGCCTGTCTGAAACTACAGTGGTAGGACTGTCACCTTCCAATGGAATTGTGTATTCAGGGGCCACCAGTTTTTCTTTAGTGACAGTGACCTGTGTACTTTCAGGGACATAGGGAGGAGAGCCCTGGTGAAAAGATAAAATGGGAGAAGTATTTGCTCTATTCTGCTGTTCTATTCCCCTTATCTGTGACTCAAAGAGGTGCCAAGAAAAGAGTCTGAGATGACTTTGGGAAGAAAGAGAGGGCAGAAGAGAGGGAAATAAAAGGGTTGATTTTTTATGGGGGTGGCATTGAAGAATTGCTAATAGAAGAAAGAGTTACAGGAGCTGGTGGAAGCAATAAAATTGTTTAGGCTACCCGTTGGCTGTGGGTTTATGTTGTTAACATGCTGTACCTAGAGCAGAGTATTATATTGGCATTGACTTGTTACTACTATAAATATCTGGAAATGTCTTCTAAACTAATAGCAGTTGTTTTCCTATCTTTTAAAAAATATATACGTAGGAAAAAAAATGTTTGGATAAAAGTACATCAAGAAGGTTACTACTTGTAAATTATTTCTTATATTCTGTTTTTTTCTCACTTAAGTATTTTTCCAGGTTAACACATATATGTCAAAACCACAGAATATTATGAAGCCATTCAAAATGATTTGGTTGTGCTATTATATGGCTTAATTTTGTATTTATTGGATATTTAAGTTGTTTCTAATATTTTCCTATTGTATATCACTGAAACATAAATGTACTAGAATTTTTCCTTTTTAATATCAAAACTTACTTTGCTAATGTTTAGAATCAGTGGAATTACAGGGGAGCATTTAGGTAACGTGTGACTTACCAAGCTACATGTGGAAGCTTGAGTTTCTAATCTACCTCCACCATTCAAGTCCAGGGAGCAAGAGGGTTAAACTCCTAGCAGATGGTGCTGCTGCTAATGCTGCTGCTGACTGAGCATGTCAGGAATTTAAAGAGTTGCTTAAACAGGGTTAATATATGGCCTGTGGGAAGACAGCTGTTGTGTAGCAGAATTACAGGTCAGGAGGTTAGCCACATTTCCCTGAAAACAGAGGACTCGCCAGAGTCAGAATCAGTGAAAGCCATTTAGGGAAAGGAAAAAGCAGAAAGGTTCTATTTAAGGGAGCAGTTGAATGAGAGGGTAGAAAGTGCTAGGGTAGAACAGAATAACTACCAAATATAGAGGGGAATGGGGGAATGAAAGGAGACAGAAACAAGCATAGCAGAACACTGCCCCTACAGCCTCCACTCTGGAGATGCAGAGAGAGGCCGTACCACCAGCCCATTTCCCAGTTCCAGGGTTCGTTGTCTTATGCTTTCACCAGTATAGGGATGTGAGTTGGGAGAGCTCTGATCCTGCCAGGCTATTAGACGTTTAACATGGCTAATTGGCCCTGTAAGAGGACACAATGGGATGCTACCAAGTTGGAAAAAAAAATTAGCCTCTTGGAATTAAAATCTCATCAAGTAGCTGATATCTAATGCAGTCCAAATTCTGCAAACACCTTGAGGGTCTATTCTTAGTGAAGCACTGTGAAAGGGTATTACGGAGGTTTGAAATTTAAAAATGTGAAACACCCATCTCAGCTCTCAGGTAGTTTATTATATAATACAAGGGTGATGAACAGAGGAATTAGATAAACCCATGACTGTAATACAAGGTGACTAAGAAAACTGCTACCGAGAAAGTGGCAGGAGGGTCAAAAACAAGAGAGAGACCAGGACTGGTGAAGAAAACAGTGAATGTTTCCAAAGGATGTAGGCAAATATTACAAAGATGTAGGAGGGCATTACACGTGAAAGTGATCACATAATCACAGGCACTGAGTGACTAGTCTATCCCTCATACATGTTCATTTTAAAGTACTCTGAGGTTTCCTTCTTTTTTTTTTTTTTTTTTTGACAGAGTTGCCCAGGCTGGAGTATGGTGGCACGATCTCCACTCACTGCAACCTCTGCCTCCAGGGTTCAAGCGATTCTCATGTCTCAGCCTCCCAGGAAGCTGGGATTACAAGTGTGCGCCACCATGCCTGGATAATTTTTGTATTTTTAGTAGAGACAGGGTTTCGCCATGTTGGCCAGGCTGGTTTCGAACTCCTGACCTCAAGTGATCTGCCAGCCTTGGCCTCCCAAAGAGCTGGGATTACAGGTGTGACCCACCGTGCCAAGCCTAACCTGAAATTTCTTTATGGAATAAGTCAGTCTTTCCTCATATTCGATTTCTGGCATAAATGGGTATTCAATAAATATATTTTGAATATTTGAAGACCCCAGTTTTTATATTGGCCTATAGAATGATATAAGGAAAGACCATAGACTTTAATGCTAGATAGATATGGGTTCAAATTTCAATACATTTTCTCGCTGTGTGACCTTGAACACAGTACTCATTCTCTGAGCGGTTTCCTTATCTATAAAAATGAGGAATATAAGGATGGACTTTGCAAAGTTGTCGTAAGGATTAAGGAGGAAGACATGTTCATACACTTGCTTGGTAAGAGCTAGTGTTCTGCTTTCCCTTGCCTTCACCCTTGCCCTGACCGAGTCTGTGTAGCTGCTTGCCACTTCCTTGGTAACACCAGAGGGCAACATCGTCCCATTCTTATATCAAAGTTTTTCAGGAGTGAATGCTTCTTTGCAGACAGATTTTTTTAAATGCTTCAGCAAGGGAGGAAATAGAAACTCCATGCTCCTGAATGTGAATAGGGCGATAAGGGCTAAGCCCTGGAAAGACTTTGGAGCAGCTGCTGTGTTCCTCTGTGGGCAACAGCTATGGGCAGACGCTGTTGGAAGGCACTCCTTGTGCCGTCTATTTCTGCCAGCTGGGTTAAGAGGACTTCTCGTGCTAACAGAACCTTAAACTGGGAATCTAAATCAATCGGCTTGTTTACTACTAGAAAACCATTGTGCTTGTGTGATATATCTGAAAAGCCTGCTGGAATGTGTTTGCCAGAGTCTCATTACTATGGTGACTATGTATTCTAGTTAGCCTGGGACAGTCCTGGTTTATGCCTGTGGTCCCAGAGTAATTATTAGTGCCCTCTTTTACACTCAAAGTATCTCAGTTTTCAGGATAAGTTACATGGCCATCCTAGTCAGAACATTAAAAGGGATACTCACTAACAGTAAGGATCTGACGTAGCAAGAGTCCTCTGGTCGGTCTGGTTAAGACCGTGCATGGGCTTTGGAATCAGAAAGTGACATCTGGGTTAAAAACCCTGCTCTATCTGTGTGTCATTGGCAAGTTAGTTAACTTCTTTAAGCCTGTTTCCTGATGTATAGATTAGGGACAACAGAACATGAATGCACTGTCTCATTTAATCCTCCTAGTGAAAATGCTTACATGAGGCTCTGGGACAGTGATACATGGTTGCTACCCCTGGTATTATTTTTAAGATTTGCTGTAAGATTCAGGCTGTCACCTTAGCTGTATTGATTGGATCTCTGGATTTGAGGGAGTTGAGGGCAAGAGTGAAATGAATTGCACAAGGTTACAGAAACAATTATTGAATTGCTCAAGGTTAGAGCCAAAAAGAGCACCCACACCCATCTCTCTGTCTAGTGCACCAAGGTGGTTGCTGTTTCTGTGGAGATAATTCAAGGTTAAAGATGTGACCCAATGTCTATCCTGAAGCCTTTAGCAAATACTGGGCACAGTATTATTCTGAAGCATAGAGGAGAATAGACATCTGACTATTCTACTGCATTATTCTTTTCATTTTATTGCAAAATGTTTTATGTATGAATAAAAATAACCTTGTCATGAACACCAGAAAATGCACCCCTATTAAATCCTAACATTACTCCATACTTTTTTTTCAAAGAAATTAAATGTCAATGTCATATTCTATTCATCTTATCTGTCCCTATCTTCCCCTTCCAACAAGAGAATACAATAAAAATGTTTCAATAAGGAAAAATAGAAATTAAATGTCACATACAATTAAGACCTCCTATGTACCCCTCTTGTATAGACTTTTCCCTTATTAGATAATATTTTAACAGGTTTTTAAACTTAATTTAAATGGTGTCATACTATATCCCTCTGCAACTTTTTTTTCGTGTTGCTTAATATGTTATCGAGATTTATCCATGCTGGTAAGTGTGGTATACTATTACATTATATGAATATTCTGCAGCTCATTTACTCATTTTCCTTTTCATAGATGTTTTCATTGGTTCCAGTTTTCTGTAATTATGAACGATGCTGCAATGAGCATCCTTATGCATAAGACTCTCATACATGTAAGAGTTTCAGTATGGGTTATAGCCACAAGTGGACTTGCAGGGTCTTGGAGTATTAGTATCTTTGACTTTACTCAAACTGCCAATTTTTGCCAAATATTACCAAAAATTCTCCAAAGTGGTTGTTCCAATTTTCATTGTATTTAAGTTTTTTTTTCCCAGATGAAAATATATTATTTAGTTAAAAAAAGAATATGGGCCATAGTTATTCCAGCAACCAAAGAACAGAAAAACACACTCGTTGTAAAGTATATGCACTTTTAAGAGGTAGGGAAATGAATATTTATTGGATGTCTACTATGGGCTGGGCCCTAAGCTAAGTGATTTACATTTGCTTTTTAATTAATCCCATTACCTATCTGTCACCAAATCCTCTTAATTCTGCCTCGAAAAATCTCTTCTTTTCCCTTTTACTCTTTCCTTAAGAATTTTATTTTTTGCAGAAACACAGATGACACTTGCTGAGTTAAACCAACTGATCTTGCTTCTAGTCTTTGTCCTTGCCAATTTATCCCTTGCAGTCTTAGAACAATCTTCCTAAAGGTGTAAATGGGATCTTGTCACTCCCTTTGGTGGAAACTTTTTAGACTTTTCCATCGACTAGAGGATAAACTTCCAACTTTTTGGTTGGGGCCAGATTTTGAAAGATTTTGCTCTCCAACTTCACCTCATTCCTACTCTTTTACGCTTCATTATCCTGCACAACTGATGGACTAGTTCCCCACATAGGCTGTGTACATTTCAAACTGAAAAAAGCGTAAGCAAAGCTGTGGAAGTTTGAATGTTCTTTCCATCACCCCCCACCTCAGGCAGATTTACCACATCATAGGGCTTTGAGTGATTCATTCTGTCTGGAGTAGGGAAGGGAGGAGTGTTGGGATGGCTTGCTAGAGAAAGGAAGGGTGATTCAGCTATTTGTCATGAATAGGGAGACCACATAACTTAACTTATATTTAACATGTAACTTAACTGGGACACCTTTGAAAGAGGGAGGTTAAAATAATAAAAATTATGTAATTTTTTGAATGTATTAACTGTGTAACATATTGGCATTGTTACATTGGTCTGTAATAGAACTATCTTATAGTTCTATTTTAAAACTCTTTGCAATAAAGTATCATATACTTATGTACATTAGTTCAAAATATTACAGCTACAAAAACCAAGTAAATTTATCTTTAATATTGACATTTTAAACTGAAGTTACAATAGCATTCACAATGATGAGAACTATTTCACTTTTGTCAGAGTGAACTTCAAACCTCAATTTGCTGCAGCAGATGAAAACAATGAGCTATTATTGGACTTAACCTAACTGACTTTCTCTTTGAAGCATCTGAAGACTTAGATATAAAACTGGCATCATTTAACACTTTGAAAAGTTCTTCTGCTAATGGAGCCAACACATCGACAGTTCTCACTTCATTTTTGTACATGCAAAGAGCACTTGGAATTGAAAATGAACGAAATAATGTAGAAGTTTGCTCTAAATGAAAAGTCATGTTTCACTGGGGGATATGTTAGCCCTGAATTCTGAAGCTGCATATCTTAAGTTGGTTTCTTTGGGTGTAGTCTTTATATAGTAACTACTAACTTTCTTTTTATTAAAGGAAGTACCTTGTCTTATTTCTTAGTAAACACCCTATTGAAGTGTAATTCACCTACTTCACATAAAACTGCATAAATTATAAGTATAGAGCTCAATGAACAACCTTGGATCAAAAGATAGAACATTGATAGCACCCATTCTCCCACTGTTATATACACCCCCTCCCCAAGGGGAATTGTTATCCTGGCACCAGGCACCATCTTGTAGTGCTGCCTACTTTTGAACTTCATATAAATGGAATCATACATTATGTATTTTTCTTGCTTCTGGCTCCTTTTCCTTAATATTATATTTGTGAAATTCACCCATGTTGCATATGGCAGGAGTTTATTTCTTTTCTTTGCTATAAAGTATTCCTTTGTGGGAATGCTACAATGTATGTAGCCATTCTACTACATTTCTACTATTTATTTCCAGTTCTGGGCTATTATGAAAAATGTCATTATGAATACTGTTGTACCATTTGGGGGGTGCATATATACTCATTTTTGTTGAGTATATGCCTAGAAGTGGAATTGTTGGGTCATATGTTTCTCAAAAGAAGACATACAAATGGCCAACAGGATACAGTTGATCCTTAACAATCCTGGTTTGAACTATGCAGTTCTACTTATATGTGAATTTTGTGGGTTCCACAGGGCTGACTGTGGGACTTGAGTATGCTCACATTTTGGTATTAAAGGAGGTCCTGGAACCAATAGCCTGAGTATATCTAGGAATGACTGTTCATGAAAAAGTGCTCAACATTAATTATTAGAGAAATACAAATTAAAACCACAATAAGATGATCTCACTTCTGCTAGAATGGCTATCATCAAAAACATGAAAGATAAGTGTTGTCAAGGACTTGGAGAAAGGGAACCCTTTTACCCTGTTCTTGGGAATGTAAATTAGTACAGCCATTTTGGAAAAAAGTATGGAGGTTCCTAAAAAATTTAAAAACAAAATTACCATATAATCCAGCAATCCCACTTCTGAGTATTTGCTCCAAAAGTTTGAAATCAGTTTGTCAAAGAGACATCTGCACTCTCATGTTCATTGCAGTACTATTTACAATAGCCAAGTTTGGAATCAACCTAAACGTCTACCAACAGATGAATGAATAAAGAAAACATGGTAGGCTGGGCATGGCAGCTCATTCCTGTAATCAGCAGTTTGGGAGGCCAAGGTGGGGGAATCACTTGAAGTCAGGTGTTTGAGACCAGACTGGGCAACAAAGCGAGACCCAGTCTATGTAAAATATAAAATACAAAAAATTAGCTCAGCATCATGGCATGCATCTGAAGTCCCAGCTACTCAGGAAGCCAAGGCAAGAGAATTGCTTGAGCCCAGCAGTTTGAGGCTGCAGTGAGCTATAATCATGCCACTGCACTCCAGTCTGGGCAACAGAGTGAGACCTTATCTCAGAAAAAAATAGAAAAGAAACTGTCGCCTGTATACATAATGGAATAATATTCAGTCTTAAAAAAGAAAAGAAATGCTGTGATTTGTGACAACATGAATGTAATTGGAGGCCATTATTCTAAGTGAAATAATTCAGGCACAGAAAGACATATACTGCATGATCTTAGTTATAGGTAGAATCTAAAATAATTGAACTAATAGAAGCAGAGAGTAGAATATGATAATATGGTTCTGTGGTACAAAGGCTGGGGCATGGGGAGAATGGGGAGATGTTGGTCAAAGGGTACAAAATCTCAGACAAGAGGAATTACTTTTTGAAGATCTATTGCACAGCATGATGAATATAGTTACAGTATTTTACATTTTGAAATTGCTAAGAGTAAATTTGAAATGTTCTCACCACAAAAAATATTAAGAATTTGAGATGATAAATATTTAACTATATTAATTATTCTACATTGTTTTGCATCATTTTGTGTCCCATTGGTTATATTATACAAATTACATACATTTATACAATTATAAATTGTCAATTTACAATTAGAAAAAAGAATTGCTGAGTCATAGAGTAGGCCTATGTTCAACTTTAATCGATCCTACAAAACAGACACTATGCATCTGGATTGCTCCAGGTCTATTTCCCACACGCATTTCACCTGTAATTTCTCAGGTCTCCTTTCTGGAGGCCTGCTAGTTTCAGGCATCTCACATGCTGGGGAACGGGCCACTGCATAATTGGCTAATACACCATGTGGCCATTGAGGGCAGCATCATGAAATAGTTCACTCTTCTGATTTCTCTACAGAGAAGGGGTAAGCCAAAGAAGTGGGGCGTGGTGAGCAAGATAGGTACTGGTAAATAAGAATGTGTCTGGAGACTAGTTATCTCCTTTCCTAGTGGGATATACTTGCTGCCACTGGGCTTGATGATTCGCTTTTACCTGAGGAGGGGAAATATCAGGAAAGTGGTCTGAGACAGTGTGTGGCAATGCCAGGCCAGGTAGGAAATGTGTGTTTCCAAATAGGTACAGAAGATGGATCTAGCCTATGCTCATACATACACTCCAGAATTGGAACCACAGAGCATAGTTGAGATTTGGGGTCGTAGGTTTGCTGTTCCAGTGTGGAGAAAAAGGGTATGCACATCAGAGGAATATAGTACGAGGAACCAAGCTGGAAGATGTGGCTGAGTCTCTCAAGAGACTGCCAAATCCTAGGGAAGCTACTTGGGATAAATACCTCATTAATGAGCCGGTTAGGGCACTGGCTCCCCACACCATGTCTATTACTATGTCTATCGTGGCTTCATCAGTGGCGATTACCACGAGAAAGGGAACATCAGCATTGCCTGGACTGTCCCATAACCAGACAACCTCTTTTCTCACCCTTCTGAGTTGGAATTAGGAGGATGAAAACTGCAGGAAAGGAGGGTGTGGTGTGAAAGAGCCACCACACTCCATTCGTACTCCCCTAAGCTAAGTCTAATTGCATGGGAGGAAAGGGGAGCCTTGATCAACTGATTCAAGTTTTAAAATAAACAGAACTGAGTTTTAAGCACAGACATTATGTTTTAATAACTGAAAGGGACAGCAAGTTATAGACTAGGACTGAGATCGCATTAGGGATCCTGCTATCCAGTGAGATGGAGGATTAACAGAGCAGAGTTGAAAACATTTACTGGAAAAATAAAATAGTTCTATGTTTATTCCCAAGTTGTTGAGACTGCTCAGTCAAATCGGTTACATAATCTGACATAAATTCACTCAATTAATGTAATCCTGCACCAAGAGGACAGACCCTTTATCTATTTTGTCTCCTACTATATTCCCAGTGTTCAGCATAAGGCCTGGGACATGACAAATGTTAGTTCCATATTTATTAAATGGGTAGCATGAATGATCTGTTTTTCTTGTTACCACATTTTTGTGTTCTAACTAAAAAATTGCACACACTCCTAATGATAAACTCTCCCTGAAGGCAATCATCTGTGAAAGCATATTAACGTATTATTCAATTTGCAACATCTTTTGAAACAGCTAGCTTTCAAATCAAAGAAGTAATTGAAGCAAGTTAGAGATTTTACTTTCAAATTCGAAACCAGTATTAATTGACTTATAACTTTGTTACCCACATTGAGGAAAAAAAATGAAGAGAAAAATGTGGTTAGCATATTAAGCAGGCACTTTATATGTCTACAAGCTTCTCTTCAAATGGGTTCACTTTGCAACTGGGACCAGATTGGGTTATTGAGTTGACTATTGCTACTCAGGGTTTGAAGTTTTGTGGTATTTTCATTATGTTGAGAAAGATTTTTTTCCGAGAAAATCCAAGTGTTAGCAGCATTAAATAACAGTGAGTTCAGCCAGTGCCACAATGGGCAGGCAATACAGTGGGCCAGGATGAAGCTATTATCTGTTCCATCCAGTTCAGTGTGTCCCAGGGTTTCACACTCAACTGTGAAACCCTGGGGAGAGGGATACTATTTGGGGCCTTTACTTACTAAGAGAAATGTAATGTACTAAAAGAAACTTATCCTAAAATGATCTTACTTATAAGTTACTTCCATGGCATGGACTCAAGGATATTATTACAAGGTGAATAACAAGTCATTTATCATCATTTTCTTTAATAAAATATTAAGAGCCTGCACTAGAGCAACAAGCAATATTCTTATTTTTTATAAACTTTTAGTTTTAGGACAATGTTAGTACATATAGTTCCCATATACCCCATAACAAGTTTCCCTATTATAAATATGTTATATTAGTATGATATATTCATTAATGAACCAAAATTCATGCATTATTATTAGCTGAAATCCATAATGTATTCAGATTTTGTTTGTTTTTTTTTTTTTTTAAAAAACCTAAGCCATGTTTTTCTGGTCCAGGATCCCATTCATGACACCACGTTATATGTAGTTGTCTTATCTGCTTAGGCTCCTTTTGGCTGTGACAATTTATTAAACTTTGTTTTTGATCTTTACAGTTTTGAGGAATAGGGTTAGGCATGTTTAGAATGTGCCTCATTTGGGGTTTTTCTCATGATTATCCTGGCATTATGGGTTTTTGGAAGGAAGATCACAGAAGAAAAGGGCAGTTTTCATCGCATCACATCATGGGTACATACTCTGAACATTATTTACCACTATTGATATTGACCTTGACCACCTGCCTCAAACAGATCTTATCAGATTTTTCCCATGTAAAGTTACCCCTTTCCTCCTTTTCCATACTGGAAGAAAGTCAGATTCATCCATTTTGGGGAGGAACTCAAATTACTCTGAAATTCCAGTTTTGTTTTAATTTTATTCCGGCATTACTTTCTGCACCAGTCATACAGAGGTATGCACACATGCACAAGTGTTCACACACAAACTCTTTCTTTCTCTCTCATCTCTACTCAGAAATACCAAAAAAGGTCTACACAGAGAGATCTCAAATTCGAAACACAGGCTATCAACAAGCTCTCCCCATACAAAAAGTTTATCAGTAACTATAGGTTGAAACCATAGATCAATACAGGAATTTTTCCCCACTGAAGTACATTCAAAGATGAAAAAGATGAAACTCAGAGGTGAAATAAGTTGCTGGTGCTTGTTTTCAAAAAACATGGGGATAATGATTGTAAAATATGGATTCCTCAGACCTATTCTTTCTTTGTCAAGGAATAAAGAACTCGCAATTACCAAGCTGGGCCTCTGAAATGGTTGGCGTTTTTTTGTTTTTGTTTTGTTTTTTTCCTGGAAATTCCAGGGATTTGAACTGTTGGCCTCCACTTCCACTTGGAAGCTGGGTTTAGCTCCCAGTGAGGCTCAGGAAGAGAGAAACATAATTTCCTTTCACGCTAACTCTTTAAAGGAGGAGACGCACTTATAATTCCTCCTTTCCTTTTTATTGTTAGCAATTATGCAGAATCAATAAAATAGTATTAACAACAACAAAGAGCAAAATTCCCTCCTCCCCACAACATGAATAGTTGTTTGTCTTCACTGAAATTTCATGTAGCCTCATTTCCCAAATTCCGACTTAGCAGACTTTCTTAGACTGTTTTTAGGAACCTAGTCTGTATCCAATTTCAGATCAAACTCTTTATATTACTTATATAACTAGCAGCGGTGCTAATGCAAATCTGTTGAGTATCCTCTATTTTTTCTCTGGGAATGGGCTATTCTATTCTTGGTCTCTAATTTCCTGGGTAAGGAAGAAATTCCTTTTGGGGTTTCACCCCTTAGATTTGAGATACCTAAAGTGACTTTGAATCATTTTCTTCATGCCTCCTGGAAATCTTAGGAGGACTTGCTACCACACATCCTTTGTTCTACCCTGATATTTGGTTAATAAAAAATGAACTAGAAAGAGAATGGCTTGGGATAATTGGGAAAATAAATTTTATCTGGCATTCTAAAAGATAAATGGACTCGGGATTCATAAATTCTGTATGAGATGGCACTGAAGAAAAAAAATAAGGTTCCTTATTCTGATACAGGAAGAATTGAGGAGAGTATAGACCAGCACTGTCCAACAGAAATATAATGTGAGCCATATATGTAATTTTAAATTTTCTAGTAGCCACATGAAAAAGAGGAAACAGGTGAAACTAATTTTCAAATATATAGGTTAATATATTGAAAATATTATTTTGACAGGTAATCAATATAAAAATATTAATGAAATATTTTTTCTCTAAGTCTTTGAAATTCAGTGCATATTTTACATTTAAAGCATATCTTAATTTGGATACTAAATTTTTAATGATTAAGATGAAGAAGCAGTCAAAGGAAAACAAAAAAGTTGTGTTTAGCAGAAAGTGTTTTATTCTGCTTAAGTTTTTACGTTTAAATGAACTAGAATTAAGTAAAATTTTAAAAATTTACTTCCTTAGTTAACACTAGACATTTTGCAAGTTCTTAATAGCTACATGTAGCTGGTGGCTACTGTAATAGATTGTACAAGTATAGATTAAGATGTAGAGCACTTTTAAGTTGGAGAGTTTATTAAAGTGGTCTTTACCATCTCTGCAAAACAGAGGTTAAGAGTACTGGTTGAAAGTTACAGAAAAATAATTAGAGGTTTGATTGGATATGAAAAGCTTTCGATTGGCCAAAGTTGGCTAAGAAGTCAATGCTGGATGAATAAAGCCTGCTGAGGGTTAACTGTGCAGTCAAACAACTTACTATGATTGTGAGATTGCCCTGGTACCTCCTGGCAGTCCAGGAGCAGAAAAAGTCCCACATATCTAGATTTTCTGATTGTTGGGAAGCCTGGAGAAGGTCAGGAGGTAAGTGAATCTAGGAAAAAGGCATGGCCAAGCTGAGCTGTGGTCCAGGGTGTGAGGAAATGACTGAAATTAAAACAGTTAACTAATCAGGTGAACAGGAGGGTATGAGAGTAAGGAGAAGCTCCGGGTTGGTGAGAACTTTGGGAGTGCTGGACGGGAGAGTTTGGTTGGAGAGAGGATTTTCATTACCTGATACTCTAACAGAATGTTAAAAGGGGCTCTTCCAGTTGAAACAAAAAGTGCCAAGTACCCTCGCCTTCACTGCCTAAACTCCTCCAAGTGACTCTAGAGCAAGCAAGCTAAAGAGGCCCATGGACCCAATTCAGTTATCATTTGTTTTAGTAATTAAACTTTTATTGGACCACAGCTGAGCTTATTCATTTGTTTTCTCGCTAATTGCTTTCATACTACAATGGCAGAATTGAGTAGTTGCAGCAGAGACTATATGGACCACAAAGACTAAAATCTTTACCATCTGCCTCTTTATACAAAAAGTTTACTGAGCCCTGGTTTAGCCAAGCTTTACACTATCTATGAAGGATTTGTAAAGAGGGTGGTTCCAATCCAATTCTCCCACGAATTCATCATCAGCTTAAGAGAAGGCTAAGAATAAATGATTTCTCAGACACAGTAAGGATTCCTTTGGAGAATTAGTGTAGTTCATCTCTGTGGGGGAATGTAGGGAGATGTGTTCCCCATCCCCAAACTGAAGACAAGTGAGGAAGACTTGAAAAGAATCACTTTGAGTTTATATTGCATGCTTTTCTGAAATTTGGATGACACAAGGACTGGTTCCTGAAAAAAATAAAGCCTCTTTAGCGGTGGCTGGTTAGAGTAGGGAAAGAGGGCCACAGTGGCAGTGACATGGACCTGATGTAGTAACTGTTCTCCTCCTCCTTGCCTTCCTTCCTCTCCTCATTCTTCACAGCTTTATTGGGATATAACTTATGTACCATGATATTCACCCTTTGAAAGTGCATACCTCAGTGGATTTTAGTAGACTCAGAGTTGTGTGGCTATCATCATTATCTAATTGTAGAGCTTTCCATCTCCCCCAAAGAGACCCTGTATCCATTAGTCATTTCCTACTTCTTTCACTAATCAGCCCTCTGTAACCACTAATCTTCTTTTTTTTTTTATTGGTTAGAAACTTTATTTTTTATTTTATTTTATTTTATTATTATTATACTTTAAGTTTTAGGGTACATGTGCACAATGTGCAGGTTAGTTACATATGTATACATGTGCCATGCTGGTGTGCTGCACCCATTAACTCATCATTTAGCATTAGGTATATCTCCTAATGCTATCCCTCCCCCCTCCCCCCCACCCCACAACAGTCCCCAGAGTGTGATGTTCCCCTTCCTGTGTCCATGTGTTCTCATTGTTCAATTCCCACCTATGAGTGAGAACATGCGGTGTTTGGTTTTTTGTCCTTGTGATAGTTTACTGAGAATGATGATTTCCAGTTTCCTCCATGTCCCTACAAAGGCCATGAACTCATCATTTTTATGGCTGCATAGTATTCCATGGTATATATGTGCCACATTTTCTTAATCCAGTCTATCATTGATGGACATTTGGGTTGGTTCCAAGTCTTTGCTATTGTGAATAGTGCCGCAATAAACATACGTGTGCGTGTGTCTTTATAGCAGCATGATTTATAGTCCTTTGGGTATATACCCAGTAATGGGATGGCTGGGTCAAATGGTATTTGTAGTTCTAGATCCCTGAGGAATCACCACACTGACTTTGACAATGGTTGAACTAGTTTATAGTCCCAACAACAGTGTAAAAGTGTTCCTATTTCTCCACATCCTCTCCAGCACCTGTTGTTTCCTGACTTTTTAATGACTGTCATTCTAACTGGTGTGAGATGGTATCTCATTGTGGTTTTGATTTGCATTTCTCTGATGGCCAGTGATGGTGAGCATTTTTTCATGTGTTTTTTGGCTGCATAAATGTCTTCTTTTGGGAAGTGTCTGTTCATGTCCTTCGCCCACTTTTTGATGGGGTTGTTGTTTTTTTCTTGTAAATTTGTTTGAGTTCATTGTAGATTCTGGATATTAGCCCTTTGTCAGATGAGTAGGTTGCAAAAATTTTCTTATACACCAATAACAGACAAACAGAGAGCCAAATCATGAGTGAACTCCCATTCACAACTGCTTCAAAGAGAATAAAATACCTAGGAATCCAACTTACAAGGGACGTGAAGGACCTCTTCAAGGAGAACTACCAACCACTGCTCAATGAAATAAAAGAGGATACAAAGAAATGGAAGAACATTCCATGCTCATGGGTAGGAAGAATCAATATCGTGAAAATGGCCATACTGCCCAAGGTAATTTATAGATTCAATGCCATCCCCATCAAGCTACCAATGACTTTCTTCACAAATTGGAAAAAACTACTTTAAAGTTCATATGGAACCAAAAAAGAGCCTGCATCGCCAAGTCAATCCTAAGCCAAAAGAACAAAGCTGGAGGCATCACGCTACCTGACTTCAAACTATACTACAAGGCTACAGTAACCAAAACAGCATAGTACTGGTACCAAAACAGAGATATGGATCAATGGAACAGAACAGAGCCCTCAGAAATAACGCTGCATATCTACAACTATCTGATCTTTGACAAACCTGAGAAAAACAAGCAATGGGGAAAGGATTCCCTATTTAATAAATGGTGCTGGGAAAACTGGCTAGCCATATGTAGAAAGCTGAAACTGGATCCCTTCCTTACACCTTATACAAAAATTAATTCAAGATGGATTAAAGACTTAAACGTTAGACCTAAAACCATAAAAACCCTAGAAGAAAACCTAGGCATTACCATTCAGGACATAGGCATGGGCAAGGACTTCATGTCTAAAACACCAAAAGCAATGGCAACAAAAGCCAAAATTGACAAATGGGATCTAATTAAACTAAGGAGCTTCTGCACAGCAAAAGAAACTACCATCAGAGTGAACAGGCAACCTACAAAATGGGAGAAAATTTTCACTAATCTACTTTCTATCTCAACAAATTTGCCTATTCTGAGCATTTCATAGAAATGGAATTTGAAAATATATTGCCTTTTTTGATCTGGCTTCTTTCAGATAGCATAATGTTTCCAAAGTTTGTACATGTTATGAATCAGTGTCTCTACTTTTTGTAGTTGAATAACATTCCATTGTATCGGATATACAATTGTATGGCTATACCACATTTTGTTTACCCAGCTAGGGGACATTTGAGTTGTTTCTACTTTCTGACTACTATAAATAATGCTGCTACGAACATATGTGTCACAAATTGTTGTTTGAACATCTGTTTCATTTCTCTTGGGCATATACCTGGGAGTGAAATTGCTGGGGATGAATGAAACATAGTCATATCTAACTCTATCTTTATCCTTTTGAGGAACTGCCAGATGGTTTCCAAAGCTACCATACTATTACACACTTCCACCAACAATGGGAATGCAGCTAAGTTCTAAGTTCTCCATATCTTTGCCAACACTTGTTACTGCCTTTTTTAAATGATAGCCATCCTAGTGGATATAAAGTGGTATCTGTGTTTTTGATTTGCATTACCCCAGTGATATTTATGTTGAACATCTTTTCATGTGCTTATTGGCCATTTGTATATATTCTTTGGAGAAACTTATTCAAATCCCTTTGTCTGTTTTTAAATTGGGTTATCTTTTTATTGTTGTGTTATAGTAGCTGTTCTTTAGTTGTCTTAAAGGGACTTTGCAAAACAGGCCTGCTGGGAAGGGTGAGGAGGTCAGACAGAGACCACCAGATGCCAGGGACTGAGATCTGTGTCATTCATAGCCATCAGGAGAAGACATCACAAAAGGAATGTTGACAGAACCCCTACAAACCCACAGAAGAACTAAAGAGAAGAAAAGCCAGAATTTGGGCATCCAACAGAGAGATTTCACTGGCACTAGTGTTATGAGACTTCTACTTTTCTGTGAATCTTCTCCTTTCACGCCCTTCACCTTCCCTGGGGGCCAGAATGAGTGGCTAATTAGCCAGTAACAGGAGGGGGAGGTAGGGAGAAGTAGCCCAAACTGTGGGGGAAGCGAATGCTTGAATGGACTGAGATAGTGAAGTTTTGATTTAATGTAAGTGAACTGTTTACAAAACCAAAGCTAAATACTTATTAACACCTGAGAGTAATTAGAAAAACCATGAGAACTGCCTGAAATTTTATTCATGGATGGGGAAGACTGAACAAGCTCAATGGTGTCAAAGGCAGTTGTATGAAACTAAACATTAAGCCAGTTTATAGTGTCACTCCTACTCACTCCACTTTGTTTGATTGATCATTACAAGATCTTAGACCTATTCAACACTCAATATAGGATAAGCATTCAATATGCTCAACATAAATATCATTGGGGGTAAGGCAAATCAAAACACAAACATACTGCTTTATATTGAGTGTTGAATAGGTCTGAGATCTTGTATGGCATGACTGTGTGTGTGTGTGTGTGTGTGTGTGTGTGTGTGTTGGGAAGGCATCCAGGGGAAGTGGATTAGAAAGTCAGAGAAGAGGGAAGGTCTGAAGTTGGGACGACAGGATGTTAGATGGATGGCCAACTTTGATATTGTGCTCCAACAACAGGGTGGAAGGGAATGTGATAGAAATGAAAACAGCAAGCTTGACACTTAGGAGGGTGAGGAATGGCCCTGGAGGCTAATGGATGGCAACTGTAGAAATGTCGAGAGAATTCTGTATGGGCAGAGAAAATGGGATTCTTGATAAGACGTATTGGAACTAAGGTCTGGAAGCTTCAGTGAAAAGTATGCCAACCACATCTCTTGGCTTGGTTTTAGGTTGGGAGAAGGGAAATCCACTAATGGAGAGATTTGAGAAGAAAGAAGAAGTATGTAGCAGTTAATGGAGTTTGGAAAGAAATCTTGAAAGAAGCCAGCAAGCAGTGTTGATAAGAAGAAGCAATGATAAAAGTTCAGGGGTGTGGATAAAGCCGAGAGGATAGCAAGGGTGGAGTCTGGAGAGGTCCATACAGAGGGGTAAATAATTTTAAAGATGAAGGAGATGGGGAAGACAAGGGAAGGGGGAACAATGGTACTGTTGACAGAACTACTTTGTCCTAAAATTTCTATTGTAAATTTGATGTGTTGGTATCAACCTGACCATATGAATGCAACCCCATTAAGTTGTAAACCCCAAATACCAATGCTAAGAACAACTTGGGGGTTCTCTGACCAGTGGCCTTTTTTTTTTATTGTGAAATTCTTCAATTTGAAAGGGGGCTTTCCAGTGGAAATAATAGACTGTAAATTGTTTACTTGGCAAAATGCCATTATACTTAGCTAAGGACCTGCATACATAAGGATATAACAGAGTTTACCTGCCAAGTGCTTTTGGAATGAGATGGTAGGGAAATTTTTCCTGACTTGAAAAGCAAAGAAAAGTTCTAAAAAATACTGTGTTTTGCATTTAAGAAAAACACAGCCATGAAAGAGTAGGAGCAAAAATGTTGGTCAACTAATGAATAAACTGGGTGGAAATCAAGCAAAAGACTAGTTGACATAGTTTTAAGTCGTTAGTCAATGATATATCCTTAAAATTGGAACAAACAAAAAAGTTTTCAGGGCTGCTTTGCTTGGATTTATTTTCCCCATTTTCCTTTTGGGGAATAATTAGTGCTAAAAAAGGAAAGAGAAAAAAGGGCACAGGGTGATAATTAAAGCATAAAAATACTTAGACGTCATGTTATCAAATCCAAATATAAGGGAAGTTTATAAAAGTCTGCTTCTGCTGTGTTTTTCCAATCAAGTGGCAACTATTGGATCTTGATTTTGCATCTAGCACTGTACCATGTGTCATGGCATTATTCAGGAAAGGTATAGGCATGATTCTTACCCTGTGGAGGATACATGCTCTTAGGAAAACAAGACTAACCACATGAAGTGTCACAAAGGGAGAACAATACAAGAGGTTTTAGAATAAACTACTTAGTTGGATTTACTCATGCATATTGACAGAAATGACACAGATACATTCATGAATAAAGCAATTGCTGTAATATTATAAAGAATGCATCTTGCAAGATGCTGTTTCAGAAAAACTGCAAAAAATATTGTCCTTGACCATATCTGTTAAGTCCCCATTCTAACTCAAAGCTAGGCAATCCATCAGGATATTTCCTAGAGTTTGCTCCATGGAATATTAGTACCCTGAGATGCCCCAAGTAAAAGGATTTTGTGGTCAAATTTGAGAAGTGTAGCATATTGTTAGAGCAGGTAGCTAGGCACACATGAGCAAAGCAGAAGAGGGCCCCCATCAGGAATGTCAGGCGACCATCAGGTGACGGTCAGGCGGTTATTAACAGTCTCTCTAAAATAATAATTGGTTGCAGCCAGCTCCAGGGGTAAGGCAGTCGCCCAATAGATAGAAAATACCTGAAGGTGGTGATTAGCAGCTTCATAATCAGATCTCAGGAGTTGGGCGAGCAGGGTCGAGCAGGTTCAAGCATGCGCACTAAGAGGCAAAATGGCGGAGTTTAACCAGTATACGTCCTTCCTCTAGGAATGCCCCGCTGGTAAGGGAAGAATGCCTCAAGTGAGCATGTGCACAGCTTCGGTAAACACACTGTGCATGCGGCCCCTCCCAAGTGCTGGCAGGCCACTGCACATGAAGACAACCCTCCCCAAGGGAAAAATCAAGGGAGGAGAAACGGAAACCTGGAAACCATTCCAATGTATAAAAAACCCCAAGTCAAGGGCTGAACAGGGCACATGGATCTCTCAAGTTGCCCACTTGGTCTTCTTCCAAGTGTACTTTATTTCCTTTCGTTCGTGTTCTAAAACTTAATAAACATTGACTCCTGTTCTAAAACTTGCCTCAGTCTCTCCCTCTGCCTTAAACCAACTTCTGCCCCTCGGTCAAATTCTTTCCTCCAAGGAGGCAAGGATCCAATTGCTGCAGCCCATACAGATTTGCCACTGGTGACAATACCATGTCTCTTTCTTGAGGAATCATAGCACACATTTGCATATTAAAGGCTCCAAGAAATCCTGCAGAGAACTCATGTTAAAACTGTACAATCCTGCATATCCCAAACTTATTTGACTACAGAACACCCTTATAATTGCTAACCCTACTTTGACAAATGCTATGTTAAAGGATACACATGAGATACTCAGGACTCAATGAGTAAGAAAAGCAGAGAGAATAAAACTAATTTGCACCTGGACGGAGGATTTATTTACCCATGTTCTGAATAAAAGCCAAGGCCCAGTGGCCTAGCCTCTGCACAGAGTCATAGGAAATGAAAACACAAATATGACTCCAGGTGTCTTGAGGAATAATATAGACCTTTAATGTGGGATTTTATGCAGCATACCAAATACAGGCCTTCTAGTTTGTCTCTCTAAATATTCTTTCCATTCTCTGAAAGTCTACATCTGCTTAGCCACTAAAATCTCTCTCCTGCTCTATTTTATATCCATGTTTTGCTCACCATCTTGCTGGTGAGGCCTGTTCAATTTCTTCTTCACTCTCACTCTTTTTTGACCCACCTTCCAGCTAATGACTAACCACAATTCAGCTCCCACTTGCTACCTACACTACACTATGTGGGGAAACCGTGTAACCCGGGAGCTCTAGTTCCCTTGTTTCTCTTGCTTTTCATGGAGGGTCATAGGGGGAGCCTCTTCTCATGTTCATTCTCAAAGGTTTTCTTATGAGACTTTAGTAGGGCATTTTTAGTAATGGGTTTGCTATATCTATTAATGGGAGCATTCCTAATTACATTGAATGTCCCTGAAGGTAGCTTTATTTTTGCAAATAGTATTAACAGGACTCTTTGTGGCTGGACTTGTGTTTAATAACCAGCCCATTCTCAAGGAATATGGACAAACTTTTGCCAGATTTAGATCTATAAAATAGGTTTTATTCTGCATTTAAACTTACAAAAGATTTCCCCTTTCCATTTCAATAAAGACAGCAAAATAACCAGAAAAATTGCCTCCTTACTTAAATCCAACCCCAGAAAAGCCACAGAAGTAGAAGGGAAGTCAATGAAGCTGAGAAATTAAGATAGAATAATAAACGTAGCTGAGTCCTGGTGCAGAGCTAATAGTTGAAAGCATAGGATAATATTTTTGTATTTTTTGGAATACAAGTCTTTTAAAACAAGAGCTCAAAAACAGACTGTAGGGTAAATGTTGATAGAATTGAACTTATCAACTGTTCCATGAAGGACATCACAAAGTTAATAGACAACTGATTGGGTGAAGATATTTGTAATATCCAAAACTCTCAAGGAGTTAATATCTAAACATATAAGAAGAGAAAATTAACAAAACAAAGACAAGAAAACCAAAGAGAAAACAGGAAAAGGATTTGAATAGCCATTTGGGTTTTTTCCTTTTCTGAAGTCCCCTAAAAGTAAAAGAGACAACCTCAGTAGTGATCAGAGAAATGCAAATTAAACAATAAGATATCACTTTATACTCATTAAATTTGCAAAAAGTAGAAAGCAGGATAACATCAAACGTTGGTGAGAATGTGGAGAAACAGAAACTTTCAGGTACTCCCTGTGAGAATATAAAGTAGTACAGAACATTCTGGCACTTCTTAGTGAGATTAAATATGCATAGTGATCCTACATTCTGGTCTCGGATCTACCCAAGAGAAACTCTTGCATAGATACATAAGGGGATATATAGAGGATGTTTATTACAGAATTGTCCATGATACAGGGAATTAGAGTCAACGTACATGTCCATTTTGTAGAATGGAGGAAGAATGGAGAGGTAAAATAGGGTGGATGCATACTAAAAATATGAGGTAGCAGTTAAAAATGATAAAGTATATATATAGCTACATAGGTAGATCTTAAAAACCAAACTGAGTGAAAAAAAGAACAGAAGGGCCAGGTATGGTAGCTCAAGTCCATAATCCAAGCACTTTGGGAGGCTGAGGTGGGAGGATTGCTTGAGCCCAGGAGTTCGAGACTAGCCCCAACAACATAGTAGGACCCTATTTCTACAAAAAAATTCAAAAATTAATCAGGCATGGTGCACACACCTATGGTCCCATCTACTTGGGAGGCTGAAGTGGGAGGATCACTTGAGCTTGGGATGTCGAGGCTGCAGTGAGCTGTGGTCATGCCCCTGCACCACAGTCTGGGCTACACAGAAAGACTCTGTCTCAAAGGAGGAAAAAATAAAGAATGGAGCTGAGTGAGACCTATAATCCAATGCCATTTATGGAATTTAAAAACACATAAACATATAGAATATTAGCATATATTCTTTTTTACAAATGTCTCATTATAAAATATATTTTAAAAGTAGAGAGTGTGCCTATGAGAAAAGAAATTGGGAATGGGACAAATTTTTTGTTTTCAAGGAGAAAAATGATCTATAAAATAAAACAAGAGACAGTCCTTTCAGGGAATCATAATGATTGCATACCGTGAACTTGGAAGTATATCACTCAACTATGTACTCAGATCCAAAAAAGATCAAAGTTATTATAAGAAGAAGCAACTACAGTGGAAATGATTGATAAAACCATGTAAATAGCATTAATAGACAAACAGCAAACTGAATAAAAGTTGTTCTATGGATATACATATATATATATAAGATAAGATTATGAAATTTAAAGAATGATTGCTACTGGCTGCAAGAATTAGGTCGATGATGACACTGAACTAGATGGGTATAAATCTTGCCAATTTTCATGAAAGGTTGTTAGCAGAGTTACAGCCTGGAAATTGTCCACACTTGGATGGCTGCACTTCACCTGGAGAAGGATTAGCTTCATGGAATACAAAAGATTAAATAGTTTGATTATACAGTTTGTGTATAGAGATTATATACAACACAAATATCCTACACTGCCAAATTCTATGTAATTTTTATTTGTATATGATTTCCACTTAAGAACCCCCTTTATCTTTCTCATTATTTTGAGTACTTGAATAAAGAAAAGTAAAGCTTTAAAACTTGATGACCATTTTTAATAGAATTTCAGGTATATTTTTCCATTCCAAAAATAAATTGACATTCTGTACTTGCTTTATAACCCCTCCTCCCCCAATATTTTCATATAGTATTTCTGTGGTATAAATTGAACCAAATATTTGATTTACATGGAATTGGGGGTCCATATAGATAATATTAGGGGTTTTTTTCTGTTTGATATTAGAATTATAAAGGTGGTATGTTCAAATCCCCTGGGAAAGACAAACTGGAAATTAGGGTTACCTTAGACTATACAGATGGGGAAAAATGAGAGGGAAAGGGTAGAGAGGGGGAGAAGACTGGAGTCTATTTTCACGAGTTCTTAAAAACACCATGACAACAGACGATAATTCCTTTTAACTTCTGTGAACTAAAAGACACAGTAGGGCTATGGATGATAGATCAGGAAGGAAGGAAACATCTGTTTTTTTCAGTATAAAACTCATAATTGGCTAAGATGCTCCAGAGACTCCTATTAAACAGAGACTTTCATGGCAAGACATACTTTCTCCTTTAAAAATTTTTCTTCTAATGCCAATGTGACTTGCATTCTGCAAGTTCATTAACCAAAAGTCTACTGGCCCCAACCAAAGAGCAATTGCTTCTTTTATTCCTATATTTAGTACTTTCAGGAGTTTCTGGGGATAAGCATAATAAAGAAATTAATTATCTTTATTTCATGTGCCTTATGTCCAATAGAATTTAGTGATAACTAAGAATTTGTGGAGCACCTATGACTAGATACTGTATTGGTGCTGGGGAAAACAACAGCAAACATACCCACAGCATTATTCAAAGTGCATTATGTATTAACCCCTTCAATTCTATTATTATCTCCATTTTACAGACATGGAAACTGGGTTAAATAACATGCCTAAGGTCAGTGGCAGAGCGAAGACTTGAACCTGGTCTACTTGGTTCCAGAGTCTATGCTATTGACATTACTCTCTGCTGACTCTCCAGGAATGGAAAGAAACAAGGCACAGGCTTGCTCTCAAAAGCTCAAATCTTGTGTTGCTTTCATTGTCTCCTAGATGTACCCCCTAAAACTGGTAAGTGTGATATCTGAATTTCTTATACTTGAAATAATATGAACAAAGTAACCTTATTGTTATCCTCTCTTCTTGTACAAGACAGGGTTCTGGTTGGAAACAGATGGCATTTTCAAAGATGTAATTAAAGAGGTGTAATAAAGGGACCATTGACAGCAGAAAGCCAAGCTGTTGTTCCTCTGGGCTTACATTAGGAAAGTGGTGGAGTTATTATGAAAACCCTGTGAAAGCTTGTAGCTAGAAGAGAAATGGCTGACAGGGTTTGCTACCATAGTTGGGGAATATACTTGAAACCCAACCATGGGCCAGCATGGGGAGAGTGAGAGGACGAGAGGATAGGATGTCTTGACCTTTCTCTCCTCCTGTCCTCCAGTCTTCTGGATTGCCCCTTATTGACTGTGCCCAACCAGCAGCTGGGGACTAGGGAGCATGGTTGATGTCGCCAGGGGAAGTCATCCACCAAGGGCATTGAACAGGGTGGTGAAGGGTGAAGATGAGAGAATATCCAGCATACTTCTTGTCCTTGTTTTCCTTTGTTGTCATATATTTGTATATACATTTGTGGTTTTAATTTTTATTATAAGAGTTTTAATAACTCTGTAATATTTTGACAATTTTGCCTGCTTTATACGATTTTTGTTGCAGATGGCGGGTATGCCAGTATGATGTCAGTAATGTAGTCAGCAGCTGTGATCAGATTTCTCATGGTGTCAATACTTTGGCATCACCAGAGTCCAGAGTATGATCCTTAGCTTTGTAGGTCCAAAAATGGTCTCATTAGTGTCACCCAAGAGCAATCAGCCTCTTAATGACGGGTTCTTTCTAAACAAGAGACTGACCTAATAACCAGACTATCTATTTTCTAATGATTGTGAAGGAGACCATGTACTATGTACTATCATTGACCATTCATTCCTCATATCAGTGGATTAGTTTACAGACATAGAAATAGTCATGTTTACTATCTTGAACAGCATCTTTCAAATATTAGGGAACATAGGATATCTAAATGGGTATCAGAGGGTTGCTTGTTGAGTTCAGAGTCAGAGCAAAGGGAAGCTTTATAGAGGCAGGTTCCACATAGGCCTTATTAACACCTCCAGTGACCTAAAGCCATCTCTCCCCCAGATTCAGTTTCTCTCCTGTGGGCAGCGTTGGAGGAATAAGCTCTGGGAATTGGACCCTCCTGACTTTCATTTGTCTGTTTCTAGGTTGATCCTTTTTTTTTCTGTTAAATCATCCATCATTTTGGAAAAATGCATATCCTAACCTGCACAGTCTGGGGGGAGAATGGGAGTCATCACAGCAATAAACAATGTTTCCTTGGCTCCCAGTGTTTATATATCTTGCCCTCCTTGGCAGAGTCTCTCTGACATATTGCAAATCTCTTGCCCTGCCTTCTGAGAGTCTCCAGGATACTATTCATTTGTAATAACATTTTTAAAAAGAAAGAAAAACCCAACATATATCTGAATAAGCCTGAACATGGGTCTAAGCTCCACTGAGCCCACCCTATTCCCCATCTCAATCTTAGCAGTTGAGAGTCTAGTAAATATGAAATTCTGATTGGCTGATTTTTTTTCCGAAGACATTTTAAGGAGACTTTTGCATTCAATTGTATCCATTATGTAAATTTTACTGGGAAAGCCCTGCCTTTAATTATCATCTAGCTTTCTAATCATATTTTCATTTTCTACTTGTTTTCAACTGATAGTATATCATAATCATTCCTATGCAGTTACATAGTTTTTGTAATAATTCATCATTCTCCTGTTATTATTCATATTGTTATATTCGGTCATGTGTTAGGATAGGCTAAGTTATGCTGCAGCAACAAATAATTGCAAAATATAAGTTGCTAAGGAGACAAAGGTTTATTTCTTGCTTGTGCAAAGTCATCTGTAGATCTATGTTGCTCTGCAGGGCACCTGTACTCTACGCAATGGCTCAGCTATCTAGGCTGCTCTGATCCTGTGTTGTTTTTTTTTTCTCGGAATAAGCCATCTCCTCCATAATCACAGAGGTAGGGGAAGAGGGCTAGAAAATTCACATGCGCTTTCACCACCATATCCTAGAAATAACACACATTCACTTTCTTCACAGGCTGTTTGCCCAGACTAGGCTTTGTCCCTCTCTAACTGCAAGGGGACTGAGCATAGTGGGAGTGAATAGGCCTGGGGCCAAGCATGGAATGAACCACGGACTGGAGAACTCAGCATGGAAGGAGTGAATGCATTATTTATTAAGCATCACTGTCTCTGCCACAGGTGTTTTGTTGTTGTTGTTTTTGTTTCTTTTTGGAGACAGAGTCTTGCTTATTGCCCAGGCTGGAGTGCAGTGACGCAATCTTGGCTCATTGCAACCTCTGCCTCCCAGGTTCAAGCGATTCTCCTGCCTCAGCCTTCCAAGTAGCTGGGACTACAGGTGCACGCCACCATGCCCGGCTAAGTTTTTTGTATTTTAGTAGAGATAGGGTTTCACCATGTTGCTCAGAGTCTGGTCTCAAACTCCTAAGCAGGCCATCCACTCGCCTTGGCCTCCCAAAGTGCTGGGATCACAGGCATGAGCCACTGCACCTGGCCTGCCACAGGTTGTTTTTTTGATCATTTTTGACAACAGATTTAAGTAGCAGCTGAGATTCTAAAAGCAGGGTCCAAGAAGAAGAAGAAGAAGAAAAAAAAACCCAATGAAGTGAAATAAGGAATATTTGTATATCACAAGGTTCTTTAGAGTACGATATAACTTCAGGGTACTAATCCCTCCAAGATTTTGTGAAACTCTGTTTTAGGGAAAATGGAGAATAGGAAATTATCTCAGATGCCTTCTTTCCTAGATTCAGTTCTTACTGGGGTCATTTCTTTTTGTGTGTTAAATAAATAGAATCTCTCCACACAGGGCTGTTTAGTTGTCAAACTTTTTCTAAAGCTACTTCTAATAGGCTGAGGAAAGACAGAAGTAATGCCCAAATAAGGAAAATAACCTTTTGTTCTAATTGACTTTACATAGAAAATATTAATTGAAAATTAAAGAAAAACAAATGTGATTTCTTTTCCAGGAAGAAAAGTTTATGGGCAGTTTCATTTATAGTTAGGCACTTCTGGCCGGGCGTGGTGGCTCACACCTGTAATCCCAGCACTTTGGGAGGCTGAGGCGGGTGGATCACCTGAGGTCGGGAGTTCGAGACCAGCCTGACCAACATGGAGAAACCCCATCTCTACTAAAAATACAAAATTAGCCAGGTGTGGTAGGACATACCTGTAATCCTAGCTACTCAGGTGGCTGAGGCAGGAGAATTGCTTGAACCCAGGAGGTGGAGGTTGCAGTGAACCAAGATCGTGCCATTGCACTCCAGCCTGGGCAACAAGAGTGAAACTCTGCCTCAAAAACAAAAACAAAACAAAATGAAGTTAGGCACTTCTTCTAATACAAAAGTTGCATTATAAAAAAATTTAAACATTTTTAAAAAAGGTTTAAACCTCCCCAAAACAAACCTCCCAAAAGTTATCACCCAGATTCAACAATTACCAACATTTTGTCACATTTGTTTCATCTATTTTTCCTTCGCTGAAGTATTTTTAAACAAATCCCAGTCATCAAGTCATTGTACCCTATTTCACTCTATAGTTCTAAACAGTGGGGACATCTTACAGGATGATGCCCCAGCAGCAGCATCACACCCAAAAAAATGAACAAATCTTTGGTATTTAGACCCTAGTCAAATTTCCATAATTGTCTCAAAAACGTCTTTTTACATCTGCTCTATTGGGACTCGGAACTAAACTATGTCCACACTTTGGTTGTTATGTCTCCTTTGTCTCTCTTAGTCTACTCTTCCAATAGGAGCATATTTTGATTAATGTATTAAAAAATATACTGGGAATGGCAATCTCCAGTGTGTGAGGGTTGACTGCTCTGTCACTGAAAGTGCTCCTAGGCCTATCAACTAAATACAATATTTGGATTTTTGTTGTTTATCAATTTTTACAAATAAGCTGTAAGAAAACATTTTAGGAGACAACCTAGGAAAACTGAACATGACC
Organism: Homo sapiens; assembly: GCF_000001405.40. Lineage (NCBI taxonomy): Eukaryota > Metazoa > Chordata > Mammalia > Primates > Hominidae > Homo > Homo sapiens. The sequence goes on along the minus strand of NC_000004.12, from coordinate 77,673,433 downwards.
TGTATGTATATTATGGAGTTGTTAATTTCATTTGGTGTGATTTGTTGGGTCTTGTGGTTATGTTAAAGATACCCTTATTTGTTGGTGGCATATATTGAAGTATTTCTGATTGAAATGATATGATGGGTTAGACACTTTTCCAAAAGTGGCACAGTGTTGTGTACCATCGAGGAGAGTGCTAAGTGCCTCCCATATACATTCACCTTTCCTTCTCAATAGAGCCCCAACTTTTAGTTGATCACCTAGCCACTTACCTAAAACGTTCATTTGTAGCTAGTTATGATGAAATGACTAAAATCTGGCCTATGATATATATATATATATATGCGCAAATGTTGTATGGAATTTCTGGTAAGTCACCAGAAAGTGTTCAAATGCTTTTTTCCACTTTGTCCTTCCTCATGTTGGGAACATGGATATATTGGCTGCAGATTTGTCCCTATATTTGAATATGAGAATGAGGGCAACAGCTTAGAAATGGCAAAGAAACAGCTGGAAGGAGCCTGAATCTTTGATTAACATTAAGCTGCTACATAAGCAGTGACTGTTTCTCTCTGGACATCTAAGAAGTTAAATAAATTTTCTGTGAATATATATGTGTATACTCACCATGTAGATGCTACTATTAATATTTTACTATACTTGCCTTACCACATATCAATCATCTATCAATACCCAAAACAAACAAAAAAAGTTAAAAAATAGTGAACTCAATTTTATGCATGCTGAAGTATTTAGTAGAAAGTGTACTGATGTCTTTACATTATTTAGAAATTTCTCAAAAAAAGACACTTCACAAAAAAAAGAGGTACAATAGCCAATTTTCATGTGAAAAAAAACCACTTAGTATTATTTGTCAGAGAAATGCAAGTTAAAACCACATTGGGATACTATTTCAAACTCACTCGAATGGCTAAAACTAAGAGGACTGATAAAGCAAGGAGTGTGAGGGCAGGGGGTTGGCATGTGGAACAATTGGAACTCTCAAAATATGCCTGGTTGAAATGTAAATGGTATAAAAACTTTGAAAAAACAATTTGGCAGTGTCCTATAAAGTTGAGTATACATTTACCGTATCACCTAGGAATCCATTCCTAGGTTTCCATTAATCCAGCAGCAATAAAAACTATGTCCACAAAATGATTTGTATACTAATGTTCATAGCGGCATTATTTCTAATAGCCAAGAACTAGAAACACATGTCTATCTACAGAGTGACTAGATAAACAAATTGTAGTTTATACATTCAATTAAATAGTAGTCAAAAATAAAAAATAAACTGAATCTGTGCCAAAAAAAATGTTAAATCTTTAAAAGATTATTCTGGTAGTAAGTATTTTTCTGGTAAACTTTCAATGTTATTGCATAATTATTTTAAAAAGATAATCAATGCTATAAAAATCCATTTTAATCTTATTGTATCTAATAAAAATTCCTCAAAGATTCATATGTGAACAGTAGTTCCAGAGCTTTTGCTATGTTCCTCTAATTTTATAGTAAGTCCTTCTTCCATTTCAATGGGGAATTCAAAGGAAGTGGGAAAGAAGAGTGTCTAGCTGCCATATTGCCTGACAGTGTGCTTTAAAATCTTATTTTTATTCCAGAATTTCCAGTTCCATGTAGCAACACACTGCTACTTTAGTGGATATAACCCAGATGTTTCAAGCACTCAGAATGTCTCTGTGGCCTTCTGATCTTGAAAAAATAAAAATAATTAGCTTTTAAAGTACCTCAGTCAATGAAGCAATGTGATGTGAGTATTGAATTAGTGCTCAAGAAGTACAGACATCAATTTTATTTTTAAAGAATGATGAATGATATGAGAAAATATTTATGATATAATATGAAAAAAGCACCATACAGTCTAGGGAGTCAGGTCAAGTGTCTCAAGTCTCTTCAGTCATAACTTTTCCCATGAAAAAGAATGTCTATGAAAATTTAAAGTTAGAATAGAGATGTTTATCCTCTTTTATAATATCATCATGAAAAGTTCAGAAGGAAGAAAGTTGCTATAAAATTTTTTACTTAATGGGCTCTCCACAATGTCCAGAT